>NC_000005.10:3760000-5010000 GCF_000001405.40 Homo sapiens | reverse complement strand
AGTAGAGAGAAAAGTTCATGTAGTTTGATGGAGAAATTCAATTTTGGAAAGAGTTGCCAGAAAAGTTTCAGGAAGATGAGGCTTGAAATAAAAGCGAAGACAATGAGGCAGAGAGCAATCAGGTGACTGGAAGCAGGCTGTGGACCAAGAGCAGTGGGTGCACAGCTCTAATGCATGGCTGGGACATCTACAAGAGGGAGGATACCGGTGTAGCACAAATGGAAATGATGACAATTCACGGTTAGAGACCCAGTCATGGTCAGGACTGAGGGAAGAGCAGACAGGTCATTGAAAGCATTTTTTTTCCCCCAGAAAGCCATGGATAGTTTTTAGTAATAGAGGAGCATGCTCTAACTGTTTAGCGAGGATGACTCTGACTGATAGGCTGAGACTAGACTGTGATGATGGGGGAGTAGGCAAGAGTGGAAGCAGGAAGATAGGTAGAAGGATGTTGCAGTAATCCAAATAAGAGGAGATGATACTTTGGTTTCTGGTTATGACAGTGAGTCGCAAGACTCTCCTTCCAGTGGAGAACAAGCATAAAACTGGACAGAATTGATGAGTCAACTGTTTTTGGACATTAAGCAACAGAAAACCAAGATACAAGTTGCGAGGAAAATCTAAACATAGAGCCTGAAGATAGCACTGCCATCCTGTCTGCCGAGACACAAGGAGGTGAAACCCAAACAGAGTAGCACAGTTGTTGAATTAAAAGGTCAGAGATTGGAGTTTTAACCTGCTGAAGTGGCTGGCAATCAGGAAGTGAAGCAGATGTACAGAGGAGTGGCTGCAGAAGTGGCAATGGGACTCACTTTGAATCCTTGTACAGGGCTGGACATGCATCCACAAAGGACTCCTTGAGGCCTTGCAGAGAGGACTTGCTACAGAGTTGGCAGCTGAACAGAGATACAAGAGGTCCTGTAGGACTCATGGATGTTGGTGTTCTGACATAACAACGGTGGAGAAACCTCACTACACACCTTGAGCATTCACTTAAGATCCCAGTAAATGATACGTCTCATACAGAAGACTCACATTTTACTATAAAGTCAACATCCTAGGATTTAATTGAAAAGTAAAATAGATACATTGTAACAAAAGAAAACAGCTTGACAGGATCTACCTGTCAAGTAATTTGGCTATCTCTCATAAAAATATTTAACATCTTTAAAAAGAAGACAAACTAAGACACGATACCATTCATAACATTCAACAAATAATAAAATTTACTGTGTTAGGCCATTTTTTTGCATTGCTATGAAATACCTGAGACTGAGTAATTTATAGAGAAAAGAGGTTTAATTGGCTCATGGTTCTGCAGGCTGTACAAGCTTGGCTTCAGCATCTGCTTCTGGTGAGAGCCTCAAGAAGTTTGCAATCATAGCAGAAGGCAAAGGGGAAGTTGGCCTGTCACATAGTAAGAGTGGGAGCAAGAGAGTGAAGGGGGAGGTGCTATACACTTTTAAACAACCATATCTCACAAGAACTCACTCACTATCGCAAGGACAGCATGCCAAACCATTCATGAGGGATTTGCCCCATGACCCAAACACCTGCCACAAGGCCCCACCTCCAACATCAGGGATGATATTTTAACATGAAATTTGGATGGAACAAACATGCAAAGTTTTATCATTTACTGTATGTGCAAAGAAGCAGGAAAACATGACCCATTAAAAGGGAGGAAAAAGCATTTAAGAGAAACAGATTCAAAGATAAGCAAAAATTGTGACAAAAAATTTGAAACAGCATATTAAATATATTCAAGAACTTTAAGGAAAAGATTATAATGTATAAACTGACGGAAAAGATCTCCAGAGACATAAAAACTATGACAAATAATTAAATGGCAATTCTAGAACTAAAAATTACAGCATTCGAATTGAAAAATAAAATGAATGGGCTTAACAGTGAATTAGATACGGCAGTAGAAAGAACTGATAAATTTAAAAAGAGGTCAATAAAAGCTATCCATGCTGAAGAACCAAGAGAAAAAAACTGACTAGAGCCTCACTGACTCATGGGACAATGTCAAGCAGACAAACATAGATTGAATGTGAATTCCAAAATCAAGGAGATAGAGAATGGAGTAGAAAACATTAGTTGAGAAATGATGATAAAACTCCAAAATCGTTTCAAAAACGTCCCCTTATAGATTCACATGAAGGAAAATGCCTTGAAGAATAAATTTTAAAAAAGAGAGCTACACACATCATAGTCAAACTGCTGAGAGTGAAATATAAAAATAAATCTTAAAAGCAGATGGAAGTCTTAGTTATTACCTCATGTACCCTATGAATATATACACCAATTATGTACCCACAAAAATAAAAACATAAAATAAAATAATTAAACAATGAAAAACAAGCAGACAGAGGAAAAGACCTATTAAATAAAGAGTAAGAGAGTAATAATATAAATGACACCTGATTCACATAAGAAGCAATGATGGATAGAAAACAATAAAACAACATAGTAAATATGCTGAAAGTGCTGAAAGGAAAGAAAAAAGTCAACCCTAAAATAGGTCCATATATGAAGATCACATAATTTTTGAAAAAGGTGCCAAGGCATTTTCTTGGAGAAATGAAAGTCTTTTTAAACCACTTCATTGATGTATGACTAACATACAAATGACTGTAGAAATATAATGTACATAACTTCATGAGTCTGGAGATAAGTCTACACCCAAGAAACTCAGCAAGATCTATGTCATAAATCTATCCATCACCTTCAGAAGATTTCCCATTCTCTATTTGTTTCTAATAATTATTTTTGGATAAGATTACTTAACATGATATCTGCAACCAAAGGAAAATTTTAAGTATATAATACAGTATTGTTAACTTTAGGCACTATGCTGTATAATAGCTCTTTAGGACTTACTCGTCTTGCATAGCAGAAGCTGTGTACCTCCTGGTTTCCTGCTTCCCTAAGCCCCTGGTAATCACCATTCCACTCTCTGCTTCTAGGAGTTTGACTATTTTCAATTCTTTATGTAACTGGTGTGTTAGTCCATTCACACGCTGCTGTAAAGAACTGCCCAAGACTGAGTAATCTACAAAGAAAAAAAGTTTAATTGACTCACAGTTCCACAGGCTGGGGAGGCCTCAGGAAACTTACAATCATGGTGGAAGGGGAAACAAGCACATCTTTCTTCACATGATGGCAAGAAAGAGAAGAATGAGAGCTGAGTAAAAGGGGAAGCCCATTATTTAAAACCATCAGGTCTCCTGAGAACGTACTCACTATCGTGAGAATAGCATGGAGGAAACTGCCCTCATGATTCAATTATCTCCCACAGGGTCCCCGCTATCACACATGGGGATTATGGGAACTACAATTCAAGATGAGATTTGAGTGGGGACACCACCAAACCATACCATTCTATTCCAGGCCCCTCTCAGATCTCATATCCTCACATTTTAGAGCACAGTCATGCATTTCCAGCAGTCCCCCCAGAGTCTTAGCTGATTTCAGCATTAACCCAAAAGTCCAAGTCCAAAGTCTCATCTGTGACAAGGCAAATCCCTTCCAACTATGAGCCTGTAAAATCAAACGCAAGTTAGTTACTTCCTAGATACAATGAAAGTACAGGCATTGGGTAAATACCCCCTCTCCAAATGGGAGAAATTGCCCAAAACAAAGGGGCCATAGGCCCCATACAAGTCCAAAATCCAATAGGGCAGTCATTAAACCTTAAAGTTCCCAAATGATTTCTTTTGACTCCACGTCTTTGATGGAGAAATTCAGTTTTGGAAAGAATTGCCAGAGAAGTTTCAGGAAGATGAGGCTTGAAATAAAAGTGAAGACATGCTGATGCAAGAGGTGGTTTCCCATGACTTTGTGCAACTCTGCTCCTGCAGCTATGCAGGGTACATCCCCCCTGTCAGCTTCTTTCACAAGCTGGCATTGAGTGTCTGTAGCTTTTTCAGGCACATATTGCAAGCTGTCAGTGGATCTACCATTCTGGGGGCTGGAGGACAGTGATCCTCTTCTCACAGCTCTAGTAGGCAGTGCCCCAGTGGGGACTCTGTGTGTCTGTGTGCAGGCTCCAACCCCACGTTTAACTTCTGCACTGCCCTAGCAGAGGTTTTCCATGAGGGTTCTGCCCCTGCAGCAAATTTCTGCCTGGACATCCAGGCATTTTCATATATCATCTGAAATCTTAGTGGAGGTTCCCAAACCTCAGTTCTTGACTTCTGCACATCCAGAGTCCCAACATCATATTTAAGCCACCAAGGCTTGGGGCTTGCACCCTCTGAAGCAATGACTTGAGCTCTATGTAGGCCCCTTTGAGCCATGGCTGGGGTGCAGGGCACCAAGTCCTGAGACCGCACAAAGCAGCAATGTCCAGGGCCTAGCCCATGAAACTATCTTTTTCCTCCTAGACCTTTGAGCCTGTGATAGAAGAGGTTGCCACGAACACCTCTGACATGCCCTGGAGACATTTTCCTCCTTGTCTTGGTGATTCACTTTGGCTCCTCATTACTCATGCAAATTTCTTCAGCTGGCTTGAATTTCTTCTCAGAAAATGGGTTTTTCTTTTCTATAGCATTGTCGGGCTGCAAATTTTTTGAACTTTTATGCTGTGCTTCTCTTTTAAACATATGTTCCAATTCCAAACCATATCTGTTTGAATAGAGAAAACTGATCCCCTTAACAGCACCCAAGTCATCTCTTGAATGCTTTACTGCTTGGAAATTTCCTTTGCCAGATACCCTAAATCATCTGTCTCAAGTTCAAAGTTCCACAGATCTCTAGGGCAGGGGCAAAATGCAACCAGTCTCCTTGCTAAAACATAGCAAGAGTCACCCTTATTCCATTTCCCAAAAAGTTCCTCATCTCCCTCTGAGACCACCTCAGCCTGGACTTAATATCACTGTCAGCATTTTGGTCAAAGCCATTCAACAAGTCTCTAGGAAGTTCCAAACTTTCCCACATCTTTCTGTCTTCTTCTGAGCCCTATAAACTATTCTAACCTCTGCCTATTACCCAATTCCAAAGTTACTTCCACATTTTTGGGTATCTTTACAGTAGCATCCTACTGCCTGGTACCAACTTACTATACTATATTAATTCATTATCAGGCTGATATACAGAACTGCCTGAGACTGGGTGATTTACAAAGGAAAGAGGTTTAATTGACTCATAGTTATGCAGGTGGGAAAAGCCTCAGAAAACTGACAATTATGATGGAAGGGGAAGAAAACACCTCATTCTTCATTTGATGGCAGGAAGGAGAAGAATGAGAGCCAAGTGAAGGAGGAAGCCCTTTATAAAATCTTCAGATCTCCTGAGAACTTACTCACTATCATGAGAATAGCATGGGGAAAACTGCTTCCATGATTCAATTACTTCCCGCTGGTCCTTCCCATCACACATGAGAATTATGAAAACTACAATTCAAGATGAAATTTGGGTGGGGACACACCCAAATCATATAAAGTGGTATCATGTGGTATGTGTCCTTCTGTGACTGGTTTATTTCCCTTAGCATAAGGTCTTCCAGGTTCATCCATGTTGACACAAGTGGCAGGATTTCTTTCTTCTTAACATTAAACAATATTCCATTGTATGTATATGACACATTTCTTTTATCCATTCATCATCAATGGACATTATGGTTG
The DNA here is from genome assembly GCF_000001405.40 of Homo sapiens. Taxonomy (NCBI): domain Eukaryota; kingdom Metazoa; phylum Chordata; class Mammalia; order Primates; family Hominidae; genus Homo; species Homo sapiens. Next base: position 5,004,370 of record NC_000005.10, on the reverse strand, counting down.
TTTCTATATGTTGGAAATTGTGAATAAACAATGCTGCAATGAACATGGAAATGCAGATCTGTCTTCAACAGACCGATTTCAATACTTTTGCATATATACAGAGAAGAGAGATTGCTGCCTCATATGTTAGCTCTCTTTAAATTTTTGGAGAATCTCCCTATTCTTCTTCATAGTGGCTGCACCAATTTACATTTTACCAACAGTCTACCAGGCTTTTTTTTCCACATCCTTCCTAATACTTGTGTTTTTCTTTTGTTTTGATAATAGCCATTTTCATGGCTGTGAGGTGATAGCTCATTGTGGTTTCAATTTGTATTTCTCTGATGATTGGTAATGTTGAGCACCTTTTCATATACCTGCTGTTCATTTGCATGTCTTCTTTGGGGAAGTGCCTATTCAGTTTCTTTTCCATATTTTAAATATGGTTATTTATTGATTGATTGCTGTTGAGTCTTAGAAATTCGTTACGTATTTTGGAAGTTAACCCCTTATCAGACTCATGATTAGCAAATAATTTTTCTTTTTCTGTAGGCTAATTTTATATTTGGTTGTTTCCTTTAATATACAGAAGAATTTTTATTTGGTAGAATTCTACTTTTCTATTTTTGCTTGTGTTTCCTGTGCTTTTCTTGTCATATCCAATAAATTATTGGCAAGGCTAATGTCCAGAAGATTTTCCCCATGTTTTCTAAGAGTTATACGTTTTCAGTTCTTACATTTAAGTCTTTAATTCATTTGGAGTTAATTTTTATGTATGGTGTAAGATAAGGGTACAATTTCATTCTTTTGCATGTGGACATCCAGGTTTTACAGCAACATTTATTAAAGAAACCATTTTTTTCCATTGTGTGTTCTTAACATCCTTGTCGAAGATCAGTTGACTATGAATGTGTTATTTATTCCTGGGCTCCCTATTCTGTTCCATTGGCCTACATTTCTTTTTTCATGCCACTACCATAGTGTTTTGATTACTGTTGCTTTGAAATTTGAAAATGTGTTGACTTTTCTTGCTCAAAATCATTTTGGGTATTTGAATCTTTTGTGGTTTTATATAAATTTTAAACTTTTTAATTTCTATTTCTATTAAAATGTGCCATTGAGATTTTGACAGAAATTACAATAAGTCTGTAGATTACCTTGGCTAGTATGGGCTTTTAAACAATATTAATTCTTCCAATCTGTGAATATGTGATATCTTTCCATTTATTTATGCTGGCTTTATTTCTTTCATCATTATTTTAGTTTCCAATGCACAAATCTTTCACATTTGCTATGATTTGAATCTTGGTCATAAAACTCATTAAAAACTCAATTAAAACTTAATTGGCATTGTATCAGTATTAAATAGTGAAAACATTAAAAAGTGATTTGGCTATAAGGGCTCTGCCCTCATGGGCAAAATTGATGTTATTATAAAAGGGTGAATTCAGCCCCAACTTGGTCCCCCTTTACTCTCTGCCCTTCTAATATCTGATGCCTTTTGCCTTGGATGGCAGAGCAGAAGACCCTCATGAGATGCTGGTACCTTAATCTTGGGATTCCCAGTTTTCAGAGCTGTAAGCCAATAAATTTCTCTTTGTCATAAATTACCCGGTCTGTGGTATTCTGTTACAGCAGCACAAAACAGACTAAGACAACATTTCTGGTTAAGTTTATTTCCAAGTCTTTTATTCTTTTGGATGCTATTGCAAATGTGATTGTTTTCTTAATTTGCTATTAGGATATTTTATTGTTAGTGCACAGAAATACAATAGGTTTTTGCTTGTCAATTATGTATTATGCAACCTTACTGAATTTGTTTATTAGTTCTAACAGTTGTGTGTGTGTATGTGTACACATTATGGTTTTCTACATATAAAATTATGACATCTGAAAAGAGAGATAATTTTACTTCTTCCTTTCAGAGTTGAATGCATTTTCTTTCTCTTGGATAATTGCTCTGGTAATACTTTACAGAAATATGTTGAATAGAAGTGGTAAGAGGTGGCATCCTTTCCTTATTCCAGGATTGCAGAGAAAAAAGCTTTCAGTTTCTAATCACTGAGGATGATGATGTTAGCTTCTTGCTTTTCCTATTTTCCCTTTATTGCATTGAAGAAAGTTTCTTCTATTCCTAATTTGTTGGAATTTTTTTTTACTATAAAAGAGTGTTGAATTTTGTCAAAATGATTTGAGATCACATGATTATGGGACTTTTTATCCTTCATTCTGTTAATCTAGTGTATTGCACTGTTTAATATGCACACATTGAACTACCTATATATCACAGGGATAAGTCCTACTTCATCATGGTGTTTGATTTTTTAAAATATACTATAAAATTTGCCCATGCTTTTGTCCTGAATGGTATTGCCTAGGTTTTCTTCTAGGATTTTTATGGTTTTAGCTCTTACATTTAAGGCTTTAATCCATCTTGAGTTAATTTTTGTCTAAGATGTAAGAAAAGGGTCCAGTTTCAGTTTTCTGCATATGGCTAGCCAGTTTTCCCAACACCATTTGTTAAATAGGGAATCCTTTCCCCATTGCTTGTCTTTGTCAAGTTTTTCAAAGATCAGATGATTGTAGATGTTAAAACACCAAAAGCAATGTCAACAAAAGCCAAAATTGATAAATGGGATCTAATTAAACTAAAGAGCTTCTGCACAGCAAAAGAAACTATCATCAGAGCAAACAGGCAACCTACAGAATGGGAGAAAAGTTTTGCAATCTATCCATCTGACAAAGGGCTAATATCCAGAATCTACAAAGAACTTAAACAAATTTACAAGAAAAAAAAAACCAACCCCATCAAAAAGTGAGCAAAGGATATGAACAGACACTTCTCAAAAGAAGACATTTTTGCAGTAAAAAAAATATGAAAAAAAGCTCATCATCACTGGTCATTAGGGATATGCAAATCAAAACCACAATGAGATACCATCTCAAGCCAGTTAGAATGATGATCAGTAAAAAGTCAGGAAACAACAGATGCTGGAGAGGATGTGGAGAAATAAGAACGATTTTACACTGTTGGTGGGAGTGTAAATTAGTTCAACCATTGTGGAAGACAGTGTGGCGATTCCTCAAGGATCTAGAACCAGAAATACCATTTGACCCAGCAATCCCATTACTATGTATATACCCAAAGGATGATAAATCATTCTACTATAAAGACACATGCACATGTATGTTTATTGCAGCACTCTTCACAATAGTAAAGACTTGGAACCAACCCAAGTGCCTATCAGTGATAGACTGGATAAAGAAAATGTGGCAAATACGCACTATAGAATATATGCAGCCATAAAAAAGGATGAGCTCATGTGCTTTGCAGGGACATGGATGAAGCTGGAAAACATCATTCTCAGCAAACTAACATAGGAACAGAAAACCAAACAGCACATGTTCTCACTCATAAGTGGGAGTTGAACAACGAGGACACGTGGAAACATCACACACTGGGGCCTGTCAGGGGGTGGGTGGCTAGGGGAGGGATAGCATTAGGAGAAATGTCTAATGAGACACCCAAATCTCATCTCGAATTGTAGCTCCCATAATTCCTTCATGCTCTGGGAGGAAACAATGGGAGATAATTAAATCATGTGGGCAGTTTCCCCTATACTGTCCTCATTGTAGTGAATAAGTCTCACGAGATCTGATGGTTTTATAAGGGGAAACACTTCTCACTTGGTTCACACTCTTCTCTGATGCCATGTGAAATGCACCTTTCACCTTCAACCATGATTGTGAGGCCTCCCCAGCCATGTAGAACTGTGAGTCCATTAAACCTCTTTCTTTTGTAAATTGCCCAGCCTTGAGTATGTCTTTATTAGCAGCATGAAAATGAACTAATACAATAAATTGGTACCAGTATAGTGGGGTACTGCTGAAAAGATAACTGAAAATATGGAAGTGACTTTGGAACTAGGTCACAGGCAGAGGTTGGAACAGCTTGGAGGGCTCAGAAGAAGGCAGGAAAATGTGGGAAAGTTTGGAAACCCTTAGAGACTTGTTGAATGGCTTTGACCAAAATGCTGATGATATGGACAATGAAATCCAGACTGAGGTGGTCTCAGATGAAGATGAGGAACTTATTGGGAACAGGAACAAAGGTGACTCTTGTTATGTTTTAGTGGGGACTGGTTGCATTTTGCCCCTGCCCTAGAGATCTGTGAAACTTTGAACTTCAGAGAGATGATTTAGGGTATCTGGTGGAAAAAATTTGTAAGCAGCAAAGCATTCAAGATGTGATGTGGATGCTGTTAAAGGCATTCAGTTTTAAAAGGAAAAACTGAGCATAAAAGTTCAGAAAATTTGCAGCCTGACAATGTGATAGAAAAGAAAATCCCATTTTCTATGTGGTACATATATACCATGGAATACCATGCAGCCATAAAAAGGAATAAGATCATGTATTTTGCAGGGACATCAACGAAGCTGGAAGCCATCATCCTCAGCAAACTAACGAAGGAACAGAAAACCAAACAGCGCATGTTCTCACTCATAAGTGGGAGTTGAATGCTGAGAACACATGGACACAGAGAGGGAAACAGCACACACCAGGGCCTGTTGGGGGCTGGGGGTGAGGGGAGGGAACTTAGAGAATGGGTCAATAGGTTCAGCAAACCACTATAGCACACATATACCTATGTAACAAACCTGCACTTTCTACACATGTATCCCGTTTTTTTTAGAAGAAAGAAAATAAATACATACAATTCATAAAAATTATTTAGAAAAGAAAAGAAAATCCCATTTTCTGAAGAGAAATTCAAGCCAGCTATAGAAATTTGCATAAATAATGAGGAGCCAAATGTTAATCACCAAGACAATGGGGAAAATGTCTCCAGGGTAGGTCAGAGACACTTGCACCAGGCCCTCCCATTACAGGTCCAGAGGCCTAGGGGGAAAAAATGGTTTCCTGGGCTGGGCCTAGGGTACCTCTGCTATGTGAAGTCCAGCTGTGACTAAAAGGGGCCAAGGTACAGCTCAGGTCATGACTTCAGAGGGGGCAAAGCCCTGAGCCTTGGTGGCTTCCACATGGTGTTGAGACTGTGGGTGCACAGAAGTCAAGAACTGAGGTTTGGGAATCTCCACCTACATTTCAGAGGATGTATGGAAATGCCTGGGTGTCCAGGCATAAGTTTGCTGCAGGGGCAGGACACTCGTGGAGAACATCTGCTAGGGCAGTGCAGGAGGGAAATGTGGGGTGGGTACCCCCACACAGAGTCCCCACTGGGGTGCTGCCTAGTGGAGCTATGAGAAGAGGCCCACTGTCCTCCAGACCCCAGAATGGTAGATCCCCTAACAGCTTCTACCATGTGCCTGAAAAAGCTGCAGACACTCAATGCCTGTCCATGATAGCAGTGGGACAGAGGCTGTATCCTGCAAAGCCACAGGAGCAGAGCTGCCCAAGACCATGGGAACCCACCTCTTGCATCAGTGTGACCCAGATGTGAGGCATAGAGTCAAGGGAAATTATTTTGGAACTTTAAGATTTGGCTGTCCTGCTGGATTTGGGACTTGCATGGGGCTTGTAGCCCCTTTGATTTGGCCAGTTTCTCCCACTGGAATGGCTGTATTCACCCAATGCCTGTACCCCCATTTTATCTAGGAAGTAACTAACTTGCTTTTGATTTTACAGGCTCATAAGTGGAAAGGACTTGCCTTGTCACAAATAAGACTTTGGACTGTGGATTTTTAAGTTAATGCTGGAATGAGTTAAGACTTTGGGAGACTGCTGGGAAGTCATGATAGGTGTTGAAATGGTGAGAACATGAGATTTGGGAGAGGCCAGGGGCAGAATGATATGGCTTGGCTGTGTCCCCACCCACATCTCGAATTGTAGCTCCCATAATTCTCATGTCATGGGATTGACCCAGTGTGAGATAATTTAATCATGGTGGTGGTTCCCCCATATTGTTCTCATGGTAGTCAATAAGTCTCATGAGATCTGATGGTTTTATAAGCGGAGACCCCTTTCATTTGGTTGTCACTCTTCTCTTATCTGCCGCCATGTGAGATGTGCCTTTCACCTTCCACTATGATTGTGAGGCCTCCCCAGCCACGTGGAACTTTAAGTCCATTAAACCTCTTTCTTGTGTAAATTGCCCAGTTTTGCGTATGTCTTTATTAGCAACCTGAAAATGGACTAATACAGATACTAAACATAAATGATTTCCAATTTCAGGTTAGGCAAAGGTTTTTTTGGAGAGGATGAAAAATACCAAATGTAAATTAAATTTAATGAATTCATTAAAATTGATCCCCATTACAATATTCTGCTCATAAAAGATCTCACTAAGAAAATGTGGAAAGTAGAGGCAAACCAGTTTTAAAGGAAATTTTGCAATATATGTATCTGATATATACTTCTACCTAAAATATATATAAATAATACAAAATCAGAAATTAAACAAAATATTTGAACAAACTTATCAGATAAAGAATATTAAAAGGCAGAGATTAGCAGAATGGGTGAATAACAATGACAGAACTACATGCTCTGTATGGAGCATGTTTCTGTATGGAGCGATATCATACGTTCCTGAATTGAGAGACAACTAAAAACTTCTGCACAGACAAGGAAACAATAAACAGAGTGAAGAGACTGTAGATTGGAAGAAAACATTTGAAATTCATACACCCAATAAAGGGTCAATACCCAAAATATATGATGCTCAAACAACCCAATAAGAATAAAAAACAAAGAAGCTAATTAAAAGGGCCTGAAAAGATATTTCTCAAAAGATGACATACAAGTAGCCAAGAGTTATATGAAAAAAAAAAACCGCTCAACATCATTAATCATTAGGGAAGTGCAAATTAAAAGCACAAGGAGATACCACCTCACACCTGTTCCAATGGCTACTGTCAAAAAGATGTAAGTGTTGGCAATATTGTGGAAAAAAGGAAATACTTATACACTGTTAGTGAGAGTGTAAATTGTTTTAGTCATTATGGGAAACTATATGGAGGTTCCTGGATAAAATAAAAATAGAACTATCATATGACCCAGCAATCCCACTTGTGAGTATATATTCACATGAATTAAAATTAGTATGTTGAAGAGATTTCTCCCCTCAGATGTTCATTGCACCACTACTCACAATGGCCAAGACACAGAGCAAACTCAGTGTTCATTCATGGATAAAAGAGTAAAGAAAATGTGGTACATATATGCTGAATACTATTCAACCTTCAAAAAGAAGAAAATGCTGTCATTTATAATAACACTTGGAGGACATCATGCTAAGAGAAATAAGGTAGGCACAGGAAGACAAATACTATGTAATCTCACTTATATGTGGAATTTTAAAAAGTGAAACTCATGCAAATAGTACAATGGTGGTACCAGAAATTGGTGGTGGGGGTTATGGGGGGAGAATGGTGACATGTTGGTCAAAGTGTACAAAGTTTTGATTAGACAGGAAATATATTTCAAGTTTTTGAAATCTATCACACAACATAGTGACTATAGGCAATAACAATGTACTGTGTATTTCAAAATTACCAAGAGATAGACTTCAAATGTTTTCACCACAAAAAATGATAAGTATGTGTGGTGATAGAACTGTTAATTGGCTTGATTTAATCATTCCACAATGTATAAAGGTATCAAAACATTACATTAAACCTCATAAATAAGTACAATTATTGTCAATTAAAAACAAAAAATTTAAAAAATATTTTTAAAAAATGACAACACTTCCTAAATTCATCTATGAATTTAACATGCCTCCATCAAAATTCCAGATAGTTATGAGTGGAAATTAATAAGCTGATCTTAAGATTCTTAGAGAAATTTAAGGGACCCGGAATAGCCAAAACAATCTTGAAAAGAACAAAGATGGAAAATTCACACGTTTTGATTGCAAAACTTAGTACAGTTTATAGTATTCAGGAATGTGTGGTACTGGCATAAGGTGATAAAGTCCTCCAGATATAAATACATATATATATATATATATATATGTATTTATATATATTCTATTTTAATTTCTACAATTTTGAGACTGAGAGAAAAAATTAAATTTTAAGTCGATTAAATTTTAATATAATTAAAAGTACAGAAATAAACTCAAACATTTATGGTCAATTAATTTTCCATGAGGGTCCTAAGACTATTCAGTGAAAGGAATAAACTTTTCAGCAAATGATGCTTAGAAAACTACATATTCACATGAGAAAGAATGAATTTGGACTCCCATCATCTTGTATCATATAAAAAAACTCAAATGGATAACAGAGCTAAAGTACAAGCTAGAAGTATAAAACTGCTAGAAGAACGCATAGGCATAAATCTTTGTGATTTTGGCTTAGGCAATGATTTTCTGAATATGCTCCAAATCCCAAGCAACAAAATAAAAAATAGATAACTTAAACTTCACCAAAATTTAAAATGTTTGTGCCTCAGTGGAAATCATCAAGAAAGTGAGAAGATACGCCACAGCAAGGGAGAAAATATCTGCAAATCACATTTCTAATAAAAATTTTATTTTGCATTTATGTTTTTACAATTTGATACTAAAAATAGCCAATTTAAAATCATTCAAAGGATCTGAATAGATACTTCAGCAAAAAAATATAAAAGAGTGAATAAGCTTTTAAAACTGTGCTCGACATCATTAGACACTAGGAAATGCAAATGAAACCCACAGTGATATGATGACAATCAGAAGATGAACACAAGGAAGTGTTGGAAAATACGGGATATTTGAACTCTCAAGCATTGCTGGTATGGATGTAAGATGGTGAAGTAGTGAAGCAGGTAAATGGTATGACAATGCTTCAGAAAGTTAATTATGTCATTACCCTGTACTACAGAAATACCACTTCTACTTACCTGCTTAAGACAATTGAAAATATGTATTCATACAAAAACTTGAACATGAATGTTCTTTGCAGCATTACTCATAATAGCTAGAAAGTGGAAACTGTAAAAATTTCTACCATGTGATGAATGCATGAGCACTATGTGGGATGTCTGTATAATGGAATAATAATTGGCCATTAAAAAATGAAGTGCTGATACATGATATAATGTAGCTGAACCTTGAAAACATTATGCTAAGTGAAAGAGGCCAGACACAAAAGATCACATATTATGTGGTTCCATTTATTTGAAATAGCCTACTTAGGCAAATCCTCAGAGGCAGAAAGTATTGTACATTACTGGTTCCCAGGGGCTAGAGAAAGCGAGGAATGGGGAATGATTGTTAGTGAGAATGGAGTTTCTCTGTGAGATGATGAAAGCATTCTGGAATTAGATACGGTGATGGTTGCGCAACTCTGTGAATATACTCATCACCACTGAATCGTACTCTTTGAAATGGTGAGCTTTGTGGTGCATGAATTATATTCTAATAAAGCTGCTAAGCAAAGGGTACATGCAGAGAGGTCTGCTGACTCCACAAAGAAAACAAAATTAATGCAACAAAAACCAAGTTCTTCAAGTTTGAATTCTGTCCATATGTATCTTGAAAGCATAATTTCAAACAAAATTCACTTTTTCTCTGAAGATAAAGCAAACTAGTTTGGTTCTTTGACTCCATAATAAGTTGTAAGCGGCACAAAGTAAATACTGAAAACATTTCTAAAAATAGTTTGAAAATATTTCCAACATCTGTATCTTGATTGGCTGTTGGTTACATGGATGTATCTTGTCTTAGTCCATTTTCACACTTCTTATTGTTTCAGTGATAGCTGCAAATATCAACCCAAATTCGGGGTCATCCATAAACTGAATCTTTTTAGTGACCTAACATTGCTAAGAACATGCTTGATTATAGAGGTGCCATATGGTACAAGAAGCTCCTGGATTAACATGGTCAATGGGTCTATCCACCATTCAAGCATTTCAAGACTTACACTTCGTATAAATTATACTGTAAACCGTACAGGTTCATGTGTTAAGACCGTTTTAAGGCAAGATATGGTTGCAAACACCTCCTTAGGTTTCCTAGGGAAATTGAGTAAGGCATTTCTTAGATCAAATCTCCTTTCACAAATCAACACCTGCCCCTACAGCAATGGCCCCTACTCTTTTGTAGACTATCAAAATCTGCTGAGAGCCAAAGTCCAGCCTTTGATGTGCTGTCTAATGCAGATTGTGAGCTTAAAGATTTCTAGCATAATCCTACTTGGATGCTAACTGCTGACTATGCATATATATGCAAATACACTGTGTGTGTGTGTGTGTGTGTGTGTGTGTGTGTGTGTGTGTGTGTGGTGTGTATACATACAAACTGTGCATGTGCATACAATGCAAAGGGAAATTTAAGTATTTTGATATTTCTGTTTTTCTTGAAGTATTGGCAGGTTAAAAATATCAAAAAAGAATGCACTGAAAATAAATTATGTGTGTTTTTCAATATTTGAAGTAACCACATGTCTTTCATCAGGTACATATGTTCAATAGTGTGTGGGAAGAGGTATGTTTGGAGTAGATGAGATAAAAGCTATTATTTTACCCTAGAGTATAAAGAGCAGGAATATGAGAAAGTGTAATGTGGGCATTCAGTCAAAAATGAATAAACTTTGAAATTAAAATTAAACTGTATTCTCTGTATAAAATATTAAGTACAGCACAATACACTGTAGGAAATGAAGTATCTACTTAACATCCAATTTATCTGTCACCCAGATAACTGATTTACTGTTAAATTACATGTTGATTATAATCTCATGATGCCTTAGTAAAAACAGCAACACCAATGCATTAGAAATTAAGAAAGTGGTTTATGGGCATTTAGTCAAAGCTAACATAAGCAACAACTTTAACCAATGCCATCTGTGGCATACACAAGATGTCCCTCACTTCTCTTTTAGAATTTAATGTGCCCTTGTGACTTGGTTTGTTTCTAGAAAGTCCTGCCATCCACAGGTAAATGAGTGTTAGCTCCCTAGCACTCCGTAACTCTGGATGCCAGCAAAGACCGAATGTAGAAATGTCTGGGCTGTATGGCAGCTGGTGTTAGAGAATTTCTAAGTTCCCATCAGTCTTTAAGGTTGTGTGATTCTAATGTTTTGTAAAGTGACTAAATAGTTATGTGTTTCTGTTAACTTGCTGTTCTTCTGAGTCAGGTAATTGATTCAACAAAGACCTTATCCTTGGCCAAATTTTTGTCAGGCTTGCCTAAGTCTGCTTCTCAACTAGACTTCAACCTTGGGCTTCTGTGTCTGTCCTTCATGCACTTGCATTCCCTAGATTTAGTAAGAATTTTGTTAAGTAAATTTGGCCAGACTGTTCTCCCTCAATATTTGATCAAACCCATGCTCACCACTAACAGGTGATGTCAGATCATCCTGGCCTGCCTTCCACAGGAATCCTGGGAATTTGGTTTAACCAGAATCCCTTCTGTCCCTGATGTTTCCCCTTAGTGATTTTTCTATCCACTGATCCCCACTCTGGTCCTTGACTCTAAATCTCCACTTGAGCTCAGTACCTCAGTACTATACTGAGGTCTCTTATTGCAGCAACTCCTAAATACAATCTGGTTTTTGCCTCTTTAACTATTGTCCAGCTTTGATGATCTTTAATAATTCTCAAAGTGGAGGCAATTTTGCCCCTAAAGAGCTATTTGACAATGAGATATGTTTGGTTGTCACAGCTGGGGAGACGTTACTGGCATCTAATGGGCAGAGGGCAGGGACATTGGTAAACATCCTACACTGAACGGGTAGCTCCCCCCACAAACACACACACACATACACACACACACAACAAAGGATTATTTGGCCTAAAATATTAATAGTGTCAAGGCTAAGAAGCCCTGACTTTGAACCCATAGCCTAAGCTTCTATAAAGCAGTCATCAGCCATTGTCAGTGTAGGCTCATGAAGTGAGCAATGCGTAAGTTTCAGGTTAAGGAGAGGGAACTGAAGTTTTACCCTTGAACGCCTCAAATATATTTTAGTTTGAAAAACTTAAAAGAGATGTCCGTTTGCACAAAGGTAACATAAGGTCATTTAACACATAAACCCCCAACTGTCACTGGCCTAACACAACAGAAGCTTATTTCTCCTTCACACTCTAGTCCAATACCAGGTGTTTTCATTGGCGCGCCTTCCATGTGCTCACTCAGGTTCCCAGCCCCCTCCAGCAAGGACTGTGCCCTTTTTCGGTTGCTCAGAGAATTCTGCATTCAATCCTGGGAGGGGATAGGGAAAGATTCAATCATGTGGAAGGCTCCCTGCATGGGCCTGGAAGTGCTGAGTGTCACTAGGTCACTGGCAGTGTCTACTTGTAGGGACCATGAGAAATGGCCTCTTGATGTGGGTCTTGAAAGAAGAGGGTCTGGGTTCAGGCAGCATCTGGTTCACTCCAGTTCCTGCCACTTGCACATGCTTCAGCTGGTGGTAGATGTTGCTAAGATAAGTAGAAAGAGAATTCCCAGTGGGTATAGCATTTGTAAAAATTGACTCCCTCTCATTGGACAGATTAAGAAAATTAGTCTTGCAATAACTGCCTTCCAACAAAAAGCAAGTAAAAGGGCCAGGGGTGTATCTCAGAATGCTTACAGTTTAGATGTTATTTTATTATTAAGTGCATGCAATTCTCAAATGTCTTGAGAACCTTAGAAATAACTATATATGGCAGGCTAAATTGTTACTATTGGAAACACAACATACTTTATTTTGAGATTATTTGCTTACTTATTTTATGTAATAATAATAAAAACAAAACTATTTTTATCAAAAGAAGTAGGCTTGGGCATTCAGAAAACAGAAACAATTTTATGCAAAAGTGTTGAAAACCAAGGGAGATTGAAGGTATCTCTGTTGCCCCAAACATACCTGCATCTACAAACTCCTTCTGAGCCCCTTCTGCTTTCGCAGGAATCACCACTGTGTGTATTCAACACAGACGCTAGTTGGAAGCTGGCTATGCTAAAACTCTTTTGCTTCCAACTATATCAGATCCACTTTGCACAACTGTTGGAAACATGGATTTTTAAATTAAAAAAAAGTCTGCATTTGTGTATGACAGCCAGTTGGCTGTTTTAAGTCACCCATGAGGTATGAAAGCAATAAATCCCAATACCACCCTTCAAGTAACAACTACAGCAACACTAAAACCTTCTTATAACTACACAGTAACATCTAAAGCCAATACTGGCTTATTTGTGTTTTGCTTTTTCAGTGCAGCTCATTTATTATACTCTGTTTATTGTAGTTGTTGTCTTTTGAATTCATAGGTGGTAGCTTATTTTTGCATAGATGTTTATTACTTGTTCTCTCATGTAAAATCCAAAATATGTTCCTGGTGTGTGGGTAGCTTTTCCCTACTCAGTGACTGGAGATATTTGCTCCTCTCATCTTGTAATAGCTTGTGACTTCCAAGGTGGTTTGCTTGTCTGCAGTAAGTCAGCAGATAAAGGAAGAACATGAAATCTTGGCTGGAGAGGTCTCGTGGGTGAGTCTTTGAAGAACACGAAGAATTGTGTATTACCTATGTTCACATCCACTGGCTTGAGCTCAGTCAATTATGTGGTATGTTAGGTCCACAACTATGCCAAATGTCATGCTCAGGGTCAGGTTTAGCCCCACCTGAGGTATGAAGGGGAGTGGGTGGATGGGCAGATAGCTGAGAGAACACTCGGGGGGCTGTAAGCAGGTGAATATGGTTTTATTCACCGGCTCTTTTAGCAGCAGCTCTCTTAACAGCAGCTTTCTCTCACTGTCTGATCTGTCTTGGTTGCTTGCTCCAGCTGCTCCCACACACAGTGGCACAGCTGGGTCTTTCTTGCCTTCAGGGTCAGCAGCTTAACTCTTTTTCTCTCTGGGCCCAAGCCAGTTCCTGGCTCCCCACTGCCTGTCTTCAAGGCAACTGGATCTCCCTTACGGGTTCAGTAGCACTACTCTCTTTCTGGGCGCTGTACAGAGAGAGTCATCTGTCCAATGAGAGGGAGTCAATTTTTATAAATGCTATACCCACTTTGGAATTCTCTTTTCTACTCATCTTAGCAACATTTACCACCAGCATGGGGCAGGTACTGGAGTGAACCAGATGCGCCTCAAACCAGACCCTCTTCTTTTCAAGACCCACAAGTGCAAGCCAACCCCGTACAGTGTCAGCAGGGCAGTTATACCTTTTTCAGACAATAGTGGCTCAGATCCAAGTATGGAGTTACACAAACAGGTTATATAACAAGTGGAGTATGTGCCTGCACCCTAAACTCACTGAGTCACTCTGGCCTGGATGTTCGCCTCGGCCTATTCCTGACCAAGGCACATCCATGTGCCTTACAGGTCACATCTCACTTCCAGGGACCCATAAAACGCCATGTCACTGTGTGCTCAGGAAGAAAATGGCAGGATCAGTGAACAGCTAGGCAGCCTGACACACCTAGTTTTAATTTGAACCTCATCCCTCATCCTCACAAACAGCATACTCTTGTGCAAAAGACTCAGTCAACTTTTGTTCTGGTTTCTTTAGTTATAAGTTCAGAAATGTGGGCTGAATGACACTTAGCGTCTCTTTCAGCCATGTGGTCATTGCTAAATCAACCAAGTTCAATAAGTATCTACTGTAAGAGAATGTAGGGCATAGTCCCTGACAGAAGTAGCTGTCACCAACTTGCATAACTTATTCTTGAGTAATTTTATTCTTGCAATTAAAGGAGAGAGCAAAAAGAGAACAAATTTAAATTTTACTGCAGGGGTGCATGGAAAAGCCCCTGCAGGGCAGCAGGATTGCACGGAAAGCCTCATATTTGGCTTGGCAAAGCAGGATAGATGTCTGAGAGGCCCACTGAAGTTTTAAAAGTATTCTACTGAAAAAAATATTTTTAAAAAGTCCGACCTAGCTCACATATTTCTGGAATGTATTTGTAAACAATGCTCTGTTTCTGTGAGAATTGTCTTGATTTTTCTGGAGCTTTTGCAAACAACACATATTTTCCCAGTGGAGAATCTGCCTTTGATCTACAGTGAGGCCCCACTGAATCACCAACTACTTTCTCACCTGGAACCAACCAAGGCTGTGTGCTTAGCTGGCAGAAAATAATAAGTTCACATTAGTTAGTGTACCTAGAAAGGGGAGGCTGGTAAAAATATGCACCATCTGTAAAACTCTCGACAATCATTTATAGACTGCATTAATGAGTCAAGCATTATGAGGCACTTCCCAACACCAGGCCAGGTTGTAAGGAGCTTTTATCCTGATGTAACAGTTTGTGCTTGTGGATTCTCAGACTAAACAGTGTGCTCAACAAAAAAGCAAATAGACACAAAATAGATTTGTTAAATAATATAAATACTAGCTTATAGTCATCAATTTATTAAAAAACACCCAACAAAACAAAACACTAGGATGACTTCAAAGGAATGATTCATAAAGCACAGACATATTAAAATATGCTATAATTGGAAAAAAACCTCTTAAGAACTGCTGGTTGTACATTTGTTCTCTATTTGTCTGTCAGTCAAAGAGAGGCCATGGATCCACGGAGAAGTTCCTTCAATCTGCAGTGGGTCAAGCAGTGCAGCCCACTCCAGAATCCACATGTCTGCCCTTATTTAGATATGAAGAGACTGAGCAGAACAGTTCAAGTGTGACTATGGCATATGCAATCATCAGGGACTAAGAAGTGGGTAAATCCACTCGTGTGGGTAGTAAACCCAATTCACTTTTAAGCTGGAAAGAAAAATAAGATACCAGAGAGAGCTGAAGTTGCTGTCTTTCTATGACAGTGGGATTTTTGGGATTCTTGGAAGCATGCTGTGGTGGTGGGCATATATGACAAAATTGAGTTACATATTCTTAGGTCATATTTACCTGATTTGGGTCAAAAGGGCCATTGGCAAGATATTATTTTGAAAAATTGACTAATGATTGCACCCCCAACCTTTTTACAAAAATAATGTAACACAGCTAACAAAAATTGATTCAACATAACATGGTAAGATAACACTTAAAGTTGATAAATGAAGACAAATCTAGACCAGAAAAGGAGGAAAGAACACATAAAATTATTTCTGCTCCTATTATCTTTTGTATAAGATTCTCCATTTTTATTTTGGAAAATAAAGACTTAAACTTCCAGACAGTGGAAATCATTTCTCTTTACAGTTACCCCATAGGATTTGCAGGAATCGGCCTTTCCCTGTTTTCTTTTCCTTAAGCTGTTATCCTGCACCTGTTGACTTCTCCCTCTCTGTGTTAGGGGGTCACAAGACCATCCTCAGCTTCTATGATATATTGGAAAGACCTACAAGATTCAGAAAAGCTATTATACTTACAGTTACAGTTTATTACAGCAAAGGAATAGGAATTATTTCAGCAAAGGAATAGAGTTTCCAGGCATCCTCTTACAGTGGAGTCTCATGCACATGCTTAATTCTCCTAACATTGTGCAACAGCATATGCGAAGTGTTGCCAACCACAGAAGCTTACCTGAGCCTAAGTGTCCAGGAACATCACCTGGCCTTGGAGCCCAGGAAGCTCACCTGCACCTTGGAGTCCAGGAAAGCCCACCTGGGCCTTGGAGTCCAGGAAGCTCACCTGAGCGTTAGTTTCCATACAGCTCACCTGAGTATTGGTGTCTAGGAAGCTCACCTGAGCCTTTGTGTCCAGGGTTCTTGTTGGGAGCCAGTCCTGCAGACCTGAAGCATTTATATGGCTGAACTCAGATACTCAGATTCCAGTTCTCCAGAGCAGAATTAGGCATTCAACATAAATCACATTGCTAGCATTAACAAGCTGTTCAACCGGTGCCATGTGGCGTAAGGCCTCAGCCGTACAAAAACACTCTTCCCAGGCAGAACATTCCAAAACTCAGCATTTGCTTCCCAAGAACTAGCCAACGGTCAGTCCTGAAAATAGTCATTTCTGGGGAATGTGCAGGGTTTGAGAAACTCAGGCCTCCTTCCTTCTCATCTCCCTTCTGTATTTCTCAAGGCACCTGGTCTCTTCTCTACTCCTCACACAGTCCTCAAAACAGAAGTCATTCTCTTTTATCTCAATACCTCAAACAGTCCATACGTAAGATGTTTGTTAGTAGGAATGTTTTGGGAGCAGCAGCAATGTTCAATATCTAGGACAATACACAAAACTTCTTAAGAATGAGCACTAAACCTTGTTGCATTCAGAGATCTTTTGCCATTACCATACCAAGTGACTTCCATGGGACATTTATCCCTTCTCACTTAGCTTGCCACTGCTGCAGGTCTTTTGTCACTCCTCATCCCAGCAGCCTCTGAGGAGCCTCCTCTAGTTGGCCACGTCTCTGTTTTCCTGCCCCTCTTCATCACCAGACTTCCTCCCAGACTCCCCATGCTCTGGACTGCAGAGCAGCTCAGCTTTCTCTTGACCTGTGTACTTTGTCCAGCTATGCCCTGAGGTTCTCTTCACATAGTTGGGACACACATCAGGATTATTCTGATCCCAAGCCAAGTACCACTGTCAGGTTTAAAATCACTGATTTTTTATTATTATTATTATTATTATTTTATGGTGCTTGTATGGAACCCACCCTGAACACCTCTGACGCCAAGAATCTTTTGGCACACCATGATCTGAGCTGCCACATTCAATATAGAATCACAGTTCTGGGCTCACTTTCAGCTACTATCATTCTCAGACTCATGAGAAGCCTGGTTTCATCTAATGAAGTTTGCTGTTAGAGTTAGATTTTACAGCTATAGACCCTTTCTCTCATTCTTTTAGCAAGAGCTATCTTTTCAACTTCTTTCTATCAAGGAAGTATTAATAGTTAGGTGAGGTGCAGTGGTTCATACTTGTAATTCCATCACTTTGGGAGGCTGAGGCAGGAGGATTGCTTGAGGCTATGAGTTCAAGAGCAACCTGGTCAACACAGCAAGACCCTGTCTCTACAAAAAAAAAAAAAAAATAGCCAAGCATGGTGGCATGCACCTGTAGTCCCAGCTACTCAGGAGGCTGAGGTAGGAGGAACACTTGAGCTCAGGAGGTTGAGGCTACAATTGCGCTATTGCACTCCAGCCTGGGTGACAGAGCAAGACCCTGTCTCAAAAAAAGAAAGTAGTTAAATCGCAATTACTGGAGACAGAAAGAGGCTTTATTTCTTTATATCTTCTGTTTTACACCAATATTCCTATGCTTACAATTGGGCTACACAACTCTCTGTACCTCTCCATTTATAAGTATCATGCACTAGGTGGGAGAATACCCATGAAACACAGAAATTTCAAATGGATGCCTCAAGGCTCAGCAGTGCCATAGACTGGAGGTAGAGGATGGCCCAGATCCTCCCAAGGGGAAGGGAGCAGCTTCCCCATGATGCCACCACTGCAGAGCACAATAAGTCTGTACATGACTTACTTTCTATTCCAAAGTGTCGTGAAAAGATCATATTGACATTCTTAGTTCTTTGAATTTGTCTAATTCCTATTCCAAGCTTGGCTTTAGACCTGGTATCTGTTCTCAACATTCCAACCCAGAAGAGGCTGTGGACTGGAGAGCTGATCACACTCCAGCAATGCTTCTGAAAGAAGAGGTGCCTGAATGTGGTTAAGGCAGTGGCAAGAAGGCGGTGCCTAGCATTGCTTTTCTAAATGGCTTATATGGGTTTACACTTCTCCACTTCAACCCTCCTCAGACTCATCCCACATTGTTTAATGCGTGCATTTTTTTTTCAGATATGTCCTCTGTTTCTACCTCTATGATTACAGTTTCTCTGCCATCCTGATCTTCATCACCTTTGTGAGAAGACACTTAACAGGGTGGATGTTTTCAGTCATGAATATGTGGCCCGGCAATCAGGTTATGGGTTACAAAAGGCCTTTTAATTCTTATTAATTTGTACCTACTGTAGGAAAATCCCTGATGCTGGAGTTGGACACCAGGGTAGGAAGCTGTGGTCACCATGAGGGTTTTAGTGATGTTGAGGTTCTGCACACACCACGTATTAATCAGGGCTCCCCAGAGGAACAGAAGCATTAGAGTGCGTGCGTGTGTGTGTGTGTGTGTGTGTGTGAGAGAGAGAGAGAGAAATTAATATAAAGAATTGTGTCATTTAATTAAAGATGTTGAGAAGTAACAAGATCTGTATCCAGCAAACTGCAGACCCAGAATAGCTCATGGTGTAAGTTTCAGTCCAGGTCTGAGTCCAAAGGCAGGAAAGGACCAATGTCCCAGCTCAAAGACATTCAGGCAGGAAAACAGTAAATTCTTTCTTAGCCCTTTTGTTCCATTCAGTCCCTCCATGGACTGGATGAGGCCCACCCATGCTGGGGAGCGCAGTCTGCTCTGTTCACTGCAGCAATTCAAATATTAACTTCATCCAGAAACACCCTCACAGACCTACCCACAGTAATGTTTAATCTCATTGCCCAGCCAAGTTGTCATATAAAATTAACCATCTCATGCTGCATTTCTCATGGCCCCTCGGCCACCTCTTTTGTGGGCTTCTAGGGAGACTGATTCTCGTTTTGGCTGCAAAAGGAATCATGGGTGACTTAGGATTAGTCCTCTGGGTTTGGGAGACTCTAAGTAGTATTGAAACATCTGTAGAAGAAATTGAAACAGGATAGGTCTATACGGCAGATCTCTGTCTTTCATTGCATAGTTTTTAGTCATGTGCTAAGAAGGAAAATGCTACTTAGAGAATATAATCAGTAAAATGGGAAGAGTATTTTATTCAGATTCTGCCTAAGTGACTAGAATAGGGTAGATATTTCAAAAGGAAAAAAGTAGACCAGAAATAATAGCTTTATTGTTTTTACAGAATCACATAACGCCTTTGTTCTCAAGGCTCACTGTGTTCTCCCATGATTTTTTCCCTATAGCCTTAGAATGTCTTAGGGAAATAAAAATAAATATGATTATGTCAGTATAATGGATGAGAACACTGGAACATAGAATGGTTAATTTAACAGTTCTTCATCAGCAGTGAGAATGAGAATTCATGCCATATTTACTCACTCCTAGATCTCAAGATTTATCCCTTAATAATAAAACTATTTGCTATCCCCTGGATAACAGACATTGCACTAGATGTAGGTTGAAGAATGAATTCTATTCAGCTCAGCAAGAAACCCAGGCAAGAAAATGCATGTGAAAAACTACCATGTGATGTGTGCTGTAATATCAATATATAATGTATATATGTATATGTATACATTATTATGTATTTGTTTAGTAATTATACAAAAATGTATTTAGTACCTACAATATGCTAGGCTTGATGTGCTACTGGATGTGAAAAATAGAGTGCAGAATATAAAATATGTGCTGTTTGCCTTTCTGAAACTTGCATTCTGGTGGAAAAGGCGGGTTGAAACACAGGTACTCAACGACAGTATCACAAATGTGGTGGACAAGCAGTACAGGGCACTGTGGGAGCATTTGCAGGAGATCCCCCTGCTGGGGCTGCTGGGGGAACATGAGGGATTTTGCTGTTGTTGATGCTGGAACCACAGCATTAATGTTAATACCACTTTCTTCTTGGCTCTCAGTAACCTTTTCTGAAAGAAGCTGAAATACAGATCGTGAACTGGCAAGCAACTTAAGTGCAACTGGAAGCGGCTTAATTCAAGGTCAACGCAGAACATATGCATGTGAAACACTGTAAGAAAAATAGAAATCCTGGAATCTGGTTTTTTATAAACCAAAGATAGGACCAAGTCCAAAAGCTTCAATATTCCTTCAAGGCCAGAAAATAACATCTTACAAATTGTAGTTCTGGGTAGGAAAGAACTAAGCACAGCACTGAGGGGTGACGATGTCTTTCAGCAGTTTATGGTCTCGGGGGATCCTCTAGTAAAAACTGTTTGTCAGTCACCATCTGCTTTGAACCAGGATGGTTATTTTGGACAAAATCGTGAAGGTGGCCTGTGCATGTTCTGAGTCTTTCCAGCATTGACTTTTCATTCACTCACGGCACGTCTATTTCTCAAACTCTCAGGCACGTGGAAGGGAGTGCATGAGTCTCTTTGAGTAGTCTTTAGTGTTATATTACAAAGTATCACTAATAAACTCTTGATGGTAGAAGGGAGATTGTGTCTTGAAGCCTGTATGGATAAACTCTCCGGCACATAGAGCAGCCATCAGCTAAAGTGGCCATGTGTGACTTGGTATATGTTTTAAATGACTGTTAAAACTGCTAAATGTTTAAATAGACATGTCTGCCTTTACTTGTCCTTTTTGTCTGTGGACATGCAAAATGACCGTAGGAAACTTCTGCGTGAGTCTGAATACAGGCATGGGAGAGGTGAGCACACAACAAGGGCTGCATTTCTGGTTTCCTGACGCATTGTCTCACTGTTCTTGAGCCAACGTGCGCCTGACTGGAGTCCTCTTTCTGGTTACACTGCCCTTCTGTGGACTCACTAATTTCAAGCATTTGGAAGCAATGTTAGTTATAGCTAGTTGTTAATCAATGACTTGAAAATGAGGGATAAATAAAATACTCTGTTTGAAGATTAGCAGACTTTGATGATAATTTAGATAACCTCAAAAAAAGTCTTGATTCACCAATAGGAATACGTAAAATAAAACACTTAGCTTATTTAACAGACTCTTAATAACACAGATAACCTTGAAAAACACCTGAAGCTGTTTGTACTAGAGGATCCCCAAAGACCATAAACTGCTGAAGGACATCATCACCTCTCCAGTGCTGTGCTTAGTTCTTTCCTACCCAGAACTGTGATTTGTAAGATGTTATTTTCTGGCCTTGAAGGAGTCTTGAAGCTGTTGGACTTGGTTCTATCTTTGGCATATATAAAAACCAGATTCCACCATTTCTATTTTTCTTCCAGTGCTTCACAGGCATGTGTCCTGTGTTGATCTTGAATTAAGCAGCTTCCAGCAAAATTGTTCAGTCTCTAGGGAGTGTGACCTAGATCAGTGGTTTCTGAACTTTAGCATAGGTAGAACGACCTGGAGGGATTCTTCAGACAAGATTGCTGCGTTCTGTTGCTAGAGTTTCTGACTCAGGAATCCCGGGGTGTCTTCCAGTTTCCAGGTGATGCTGATGTCACTGGTCTGGGATTACACATGGAAGAGCAGTGACCTAGACCACCACCCCCCCGCCTGCCCCCTGCACACAGACACACACACTGGATTTGGATAGCATCAGCAGCAAGGCCTGGTGAGGACTGTCCACACTACCATCCAGCAGCTGCCACGGCACGGTACCATGCTGATTCTCTCCAACAGAATTTCCTCATAGCCCAACCTTAACACATAGCATAGGTATAGAGGAGCACCAAGGCATTAAAAAAAAAGGCCAATTCTTTTTTATATAATTAAATTTCAAATTTTGAGGCAAAATAAAATACATGCCTTGGGTTTAGCTTTATTTGGGTTCAATTAAATTACGGTGATATAATAGAGGCAAAATGAGTATTCACTTACAGGCACCAATACTTCTCTTAACCAAATAAGTCTTACACTAGAATTGCTGACTTTAAATTGACTTATATTATTGTTTTAAATCATAGATAAATATCCCAAATTCAATATTTCTCTGAAGAAATATCTTTTTAAATTTTAAATGAAATGAAAACTCATATTGCTTGACCTGAATAGCCTTAATAAATCAACCACACACCCTGCGAAAATATGCGCAGACTCAGGAGCTAAGAGCTTGCATTACAGTATTGTGAAGTAATGCTAAAAACATATCAACTCCACCCATTTTACTCCTTCTTAGCTTCTGCCTTAGCTTACAGGTGGCTTGCCAGAAGAATAGGAACCAATTATCAAAAGATATTCGAAATAAGTCAGGATCTTGGAAAAATAGCTGGCACAGAGAATGATTCCAGCTTTGGTCCCTCTGAGAGATGCATGTCCACAGACAGAAATAACATGCACATATTGTTTTTCTTGTGTATTTTGACATTTTTCTTTTATAGCATTTAGCAAAACTTTCAAATAACTATTACTTATAGTTCAATTAATAATGATCATTGTAATTAATATTTAAATCAGTTGGTTATTTTCTATAGTTAACAAAATCCATGATAACAAACAGAACATTTAACACTCACAAATTTTGCATTTAATTTCTGCTAGATTCTTTTATAAGTTCAAATTTTGAACATGTGATTTATGTACTCATCATCTGTGTGTTTCAGTTTCTATTATTTTTTTACAAATTACTGACAGACCATACCACTGAATGCTTTAGTACTTATTACTTTACTTTTGTTCTCCAGAAAATTAAAGTGAGGAAGGCAACACCCTAAGCTTCTTTCCACTTTTCAATTTCTGAGAAATCCACCACTTTATTATCAGCCATCAGATGGAACTACTTGATACATGCAAAGCAAGTACAGAAAGAAAAAGACAGGCCTACACTTGGGAAAATTTATTATACTCAGAGAGGACGGAGTGAGGGCAGCACCTCTAGATGACCATTGTGTTCCCATCATCTTCAACCAGAAGACAACATTCAGGCTGACAGCAGAGACGTGTCAGTAAGAGTGCTCTGCTCTGCTCCAGGGTGGGGACAGCAAGAAAGAGATCAGATGTTCCAGGAAGCTTCAACGCTTCAGGCCCACCAAAGTCACAACATAGGGCCTTCGAGTATTTGCAGATAGGAAAGAGGAGTTATTTTTCCATGAGAAAATGTTGAATTGTGAGAGAGGGGTCAGATGAGTGGAAAAGGCTAATATTTTTCCAATTTCAAAATTGGCAAAAGGATGAATTCCAGAAATGCTGGGCCAGTCAGTTCAACATTGATCACTGACAACAATTCAGAAGGAATTATTAACAGGCAGATGAGCAATTGAAAAGGAGCAGTGATCTCCAGGTCCAGCCCAGTTAGTTTGACAACAAGCAACATGTTTTCACTTTGTATTTAGTCAACTTCCTTTGCTGGGTGCTAGTTACATAAAGATTAATGAAGAAGGATCCTTGGATTTAAGGAGCATTCTCGATTGGTGTATCAAACAGCCTGGTGAACTTCCGGCTTCCCACTTCACCGGGCAGGTAGCTGTCCTTTTGATATTCCTGTGTACTAGATGGAGCCACAGTTCAACAGATCTGAGCTGCCTTAACAATCTGTTCAAAGACTGTTACTAATTAATTGGGGTCAATCAAGAGGAAACCCTTAATGGCATGCTGTTAGGTCTTGTTCTTTATCATGTGTTAACTTCCATTCAGTGGTTTGGATGAAGGCATAAAAAACATGCCTATAAGATCTGCACATGCGGCCATACGCAGAAGATTGATACTGGACCCCTTCCTTCCACCACATGCAAAAATCAACTTAAGATGGATTAAAGAGTTAAGTGTAAAACCTAAAACTATAAAAACCCTGGAAGATAACCTAGGAGAAATACCATTCTGGACATAGGACCTGGCAAAACTTTTATGATGAAGACTCCAAAAGCAATTGCAATGAAAACAAAATTTGACAAATCAGACCTAATTAAACTAAAGAGCTTCTGCACAGCAACAGAAACTATCAATAGAGTAAACAGAAAACCTACAGAATGGGAGAGAATGTTTGCAAACTTTGCATCTGAGTAAGGTCTGATATCCAGAATCTATAAGGAACTTAAACAAATTTACAAGAAACAAACAAACAACCCCATTAAAAGGTGGGCAAAGGACATGAACAGATAATTTTCAAAAGAAGATATGCATGCATCCAACAAGCATATGAAAAAATGCTCAGCATTACTCGTTATTAGAGAAATGCAAATCAAAACTACAATGAAATGCCATCTCACACCAGTCAGAATGACTATTATAAAAAGTCAAAAAATAAGACACGCTGATGAGATTGTGGAGAAAAGAGAACACATGTACATTGCTGGTGAAACTAAATTAGTTTAGCCATGGTGGAAGTCTGTGTCGTGATTCCTCAAAGAACTTGAAACAGAGTTACCATCTGACCCAGCAATTGCATTATTTGGTATATGTCCAAAAGAATATAAATTACTCTACCATAAAGACACATGCATGCATGTGTTCATTGCAGCATTATTTACAATAGCAAAGACATGGACTCAACCTAAATGCCCATCAACAACAGATGGTATAAACAAAATGTGGTACTTATACACTATGGAAACTACAGAGCCATAAAAAAGTATGAGGTCATGTCTTTGCAAAAACGTGGATGAAGGTAGAGACCATTATCCCAAGCAAACTAATGCAGGAAGAGAAAAGCAAATACTTCATATTCTCACTTATAAGTGGGAGCTAAACAAGGAGAACAAATGGACAGAAAGTGGGGAACAACAGACACCAGGCCTACTGGAGGTTAAGAGGATGGAGAGGATAAGGAAAAATACCTTTTGAGTATTATACTTATAACCCGAGTGTTAAAATAATCTGTACACCAAACCCCTGCGACATGCTGTTTACATATATAACAAACCTGCACATGTACCCTTGAATTTAAAATAAAAGTTACAATTAAAAATTAAAAAGATTTGCACATGACACAAACTCAAAGGGATAGCTGATATAGAAGATGACAGAACTGACCTTCAGAATGAATGAAAAAAAGAAGAGAACTGCAACCAAATACACAGGATTCAATTTAAGTGGGTCATGTAAAGTTAGGAGTTTCTAGGTATTTATGCATAGTTGTTCACACAATTGCCAGCAATCAGAGTTCCATACTGTATTAGGCCATTCCTGCCTTGCTATAAAGAAATACCTGAAACTGGGTAATTTATAAAGAAAAAGGGTTTAATTGGCTCACAGTTTTGCACAATTTGCTTTACAGGAAGCCCCATGCTGGCATCTGCTCAGCTTCTAGGGATGCCTCAGAAAGCTTAGAATCGTGGTGGAAGGCAAAAGTGAAGCAGCATGTCACATGGCAAAAACAGGAACAGGAGACAGATTGGCAGGGGGCGGTGCCAGAAAACTTTTGAATAACTGGATCTCACAAGAACTCACTCACTCTCATGAAGACAGCACCAAGCCTTGAGGGATCCACTCTCAAGATCCAATCACCTCCCACCAGGCCCCACCTCCAGCTTGAGGATTACAGTTCAACCTGAGATTTGGCTGGGGACAAATACCCAAACTGTATCACATACTTTTTCTAGACTAAAGCTCAAGAAACCTGAGAGTGCATTTATGGAAGCGTTAGTGGGTTAGTAGGGTATGGGACAGTGTCTGTCAGTGCTGAGCAGGGCTGGCTGCTCACATCTTGAGCACGGTGACTTCTGTCTTCTGCATGCCCACAGAGAAAGCACCCAGTGGAGGACGTGAGGATGGACTGGAGGCCCCCTAGGAGGAGCCCTGGATACAGGTGACCTCCATGGATAGGACTTGAACAAGTATATGATGGGGACAAGTAGGTGCACTTCAATAGAATCAGGTCACGACTTTGCTATAAGAATTGTGCACCTACAAACCACCCCTTCAGGTGATGAGCCACTCATCATGAGGTAGATTCAAGCCAAGGCTGAAGTGCCCTGTGTCGGACACTGTAGTGTGACTCATGCACAAGATGGGAGAGGATTTCACCAGATGATCTTCCAGATCCTTTCAACTTAAGTTTTCCTCCTCCCATGGTTGGAAGGTGGCCGAGTGCTCAAGGTTCTTACCAGCACACACACACACACACACAAACACACACACACACTTCTGCTCAGAAGAGGGTCTGACTTGGAGGAGAGGAAAGATGTCTGAGACTAGTTCCTAGCCTGCTCCTGTGGGTTCTTTAATCAATGCCTAACTCTTTCCAGAGACCATCCAGCAACACAGCTTCTTGTCTGGGGTGTTTTCCATTCACATTTGTTGCTGCCACTGCAGTAAAAGCTGGTTGGGTATAACGAGCTCTCTGTCATGTTTTAATGAGGAGACTTTGGTTTCACTATGGCTTTTCCCCTTTGCTTCTATTTGTTTCCTATGGCAGTGCTCTGGATGCTGAAGTAATGCTTGTCCCGTGTCCAGCTTCTGAATTAGGATAGCATGAGTTCTGAAAACCTGATGAAAATGTCTATGGACAATTAACAAAGGAACTTTATATTGTAATTGGTGATTTTTTTAATTGCTTCCACAAGAAAGGAACACCGACTTTTTGGGATAAAACAGAAATATACAATAAAGGAAAATATAACACATGAAAAATTGAAGATTAATTGAAGAAGTCACAGAACTTATTCTCCTCTCTTTTTTTTTAATAGCTTGAGATAACAGTTGTGAAACATTTTGAAAAGCATGAAGTGATAACACTCTGTTTTATTAAACATGGTATAATGTAGTAATTAGAGATAATAAAATAGTCATCATCCCACATTTTACCTCTGAGGAATAAACTTGCAAACCACATCAGAATTCTCAGTCTGTGTTTACCCTTTTTCAGCAGGGGAAATGATTAGCCAGAACAAATAGCTGAATGATTTGTTGGTGTTCTCATCTGCTTAGAATTTCAAAGTGTGGCCTGGGCCCAAGTCTTTGCAGTCACTTGGCTGAATCATTCAGTCATCCATACATCCATTCATTAATCTACTTATCACTTTGTATGTTACTCCTAAGATGTGCATTTCTTGTTTGCGTTTCTAGTTTCAGTGGTGTGGATGACAGTCCACACATCCTGGTGCAACTGATCTTTAAACCTCACAGAGAAGCATTCAAAGAAAACAACAGTGAGCACCTCATTTTCAGAAGGACAAGAGGAAAATAGTGGCTCTCAGACACCAGGGTTGAGGGCACAGGGTGAGATATCCAAAGCTGTGGTGAGGGGTGTGAGTGCTTGTGTGAGGAGTGCCACAGATCATATTTCCACCCCTTGGCTCTTCACACTCTTTATTCTGCCTGTAGAGCTGAAGGCGGAAGGAAAATTGGGCCTTTGCTGTTCTGCAAAGGGAAATGTGCTTCAGTGCTTTTGAGAGCTTGTTCACTATTGGGGATGAAAGCTGTACTCTCTTAAAATGTCAAGGAAACATCCCAAAGAAGAGTCCAATTAGATGCATATCTTTTGCACGGATTTATTGGTACTGAGGGAGCATAACTAAATCCTAAACCAAACATAGTGGTGTGGAATGGGCCTAAGCCAAGGAAATGTAAGAAGATGGAAACATCCTTAATAAAGATCAGAAAATGTGCTCTTCATTCAAACCTCATTTGAGCAAATGCGTAAAACAATAGAAAGCAGCAGAATTGAGCACATTTTAATAGATCCATTTATGCAAAGGGTACACAATGGGGAAACAACTGGAGTTCCTGGGGACCTGAGCACAGAAATAAGATATTTTGTAAAGGAAGTAACTCTTATTGTTGATGCATTATTAGACAGACTCAGGAGAATCTCCTTATAGCACAGAGCAGGAGAAGTTCTCAAACATCCTCTTGCACTTTGTTAATCTTATATGTTTTGTTATATGCAGCTTTTTTCTTTATTTCTGAGAATTTTTGACTATACCTTTGCTTTATTTTAAATGGGCAATCGTGAGCAATTAAATAAGCAATTCTGAGGTTCTCTGCACAATGCAGCTGTGAAAGTAACTTCATTTCAGTAAACCTCAGAACACATAAAAGTGAAATTCATTAGAAATGATGCACATTTACTAATGTGTGTCAATACTGGGAGGGGTTAGATTTAGGGTAGTCTAAACCCTAGATGCCTCAGGTTGCCTTGCTACTTTTTTTTTTTTTTTAGATGGAGTTTCGCTCTTCTTGCCCAGGCTGGAGTACAATGGCACAATCTCGACTCACTGCAACCTCCGCCTCCAAGGTTCAAGTGATTTTCCTGCCTCAGCCTCCCTAGTAGCTGGAATTACAGATGCCCACCACCATGCCAGGCTAATTTTTTGTATTTTTAGCAGAGACAAGGTTTCACCATGTGGGCTAGGCTGGTCTTGTACTCCTGACCTCAGGTGATCCACCCGCCTTGGCCTCCCAAAGTGCAGGGATTACAGGCGTGAGCCACCACGCCCGGCTGTTGTTACTTTTAAGCTAACCTTCCCGTCTTCTCCATCAGTGGTCAGTGTCCTGTGCCTGCAGCCCTGCCCCTCACACCTTTGCCTCTGCTGTGCCTCTCCAGGAGTGTTGTTCACCTGCCTCTGTAGAAAGTCTTCCTCATCTCAGGCTCTGATTCAAATGTCACTTCTTCTATGAATTTATCTCCCCAACCCTGAGATGAAGCAATATCTCTGGGTGTTAAGGAAGAAGATTTCTCTGGCCTTCTCCTACAGCTGATATTACAGGGACATTCTATATTTCTCCATGCAGGAGGTGAAGTGTTCAGAGGCTGGACGATTTTCTACTTATCTTTGTATCTTCAGAATCCCACCCCAGGCTCAGCATGCAGTAGTTGTTGGAAAAGTCTCTGTGGATATGCAAGCTCCTGGGAAGGTTTGACTGCTGTAATTTCTGCAGCATATTCACTGTCCACCCAAGGGACACATCCATGGGCCTGCTCTCAGTGACTGTGACTTCTTCCACATCTAGGAACCTCTCTTCAACTCCTTCCTGTGCCCAGGTGCTGGGACTCTGACCCTGCTTGCAATCTTGTTGGGGTTCTCCAGCTGCCCATGGTTGAAATGCCCCTTTTGAACTCCAGGCCTCTGGCTATATGACTTTTTCATAGCAATTTGTTGCTTTTCACTCTGGCCACTAAAGCTGACCCATGGGCTGGGAGGGGGAATGGTGCCTGTTCCTGATAAGGGTGAGGCCAGGCCACTCAATGCCAAGTAAAAAAGTAAACAAGAATATTCTATTGCAGATTCACATTATTCACTTAAGTAAATCAAAGCTGATTTAAATGGATGTTTTCAAGAACTTGGATGTTTTGTGGCCACTGGCAGCCACTGCAGACTTCATTTGGATGGCCCATTCTTCACAAAGTCCAGCAATGACCACTTACCAGAGATTGAAATCCATCAATTTTAAGTCTATCAAGGAAATCATTTTGGGGCCAACATTCAGGCAATGACTACGAGGTATTAGATATCATATACCTGAAATCGCCTTTCAATCCTCAAAACAACCCTTTGAGAGAAATACAGTTATAGGTATAGGTGCAGGAGTAGGCAGAGGCGTAGACAGGCTTAGGCATAAACACAGGCACAGGCACGCCTATAGATACAGGTATTGGTGTAGGTGTAAGTATAGGTACAGATGTGGGAGTACACATAGGCATACACAAGCTTAGGCAGAGACACAGGCATGGGCATGCCTGTAGGTACAGGTTTAGGTATAGGTGCATGTGTAGATATAGGTGTAGGTGTAGGTATAGGTACAAAAGTAGGTATAGGATTGGTATAAGTATAGGTGTAGGTATACGTATAAGCATAGGTGTAGGTATAGGTAAAAGTATAAAAATAAGTAGGATAAGTGTAGGTATAGATATTGGTGTACATTTAAGTACACGTGTAGGTATAAATATATGTATACTTGGAGGTACAGACATAGTAGGTATACATATAAGTGTCAGTGTTGGTATAGATATAGGTACAGGAATAGGTAGAAGTGTCATGGTAGGTGTAGGTATAGGTCTAGATGTAGGTATAAGTATAGGTCTAGGAGTAGGTACAGGATCCATATAGGTATAGCATAGGTGTAGGTATAGGTGTTGATGTAAGTATAGACATAGGGAAAGGTGTAGGAGTACACATAGGTATAGATAGGCTTAGGCAGAGACACACGCATAGGCATATGTACAGGTGTAGGCGTATGTATACATATTGGTGCAGGTATAGGTATAGAAATGGGTTTACGTATAGTGTAGGTATAGATAGAGGTATATATATAGGTGTAAGTATAGGTATAGACATAGGATAGTTGGAGGTAGATGTATAGGTGTAGGTATAGATATAGACATAAACATAGTTGGAGGTATATGTATAGGTGTAGGTATAGGTATAGACAAAAGTGTCGTTGGAGGTATAGGTGTGGGTATAGGTATAGGTATAGGTGTAGGTATAGGTATAGACAAAAGTGTCGTTGGAGGTATAGGTGTGGGTATAGGTATAGGTATAGGTGTAGGAGTATGTGTAGATATCATTATAAGTGTAGGTATACGTGTAGATACAGGTGTATTTGGGATAAGTGTAGGTGTAAATATAAATATAGTTATAGATACAGGTGTAGTATAGGTAGAGATATAGGTATAGGTGTAGATATAAGAATAGGTGTAGGTATACAATTACATATAGGATAGGGATAGGTATGGGTGTAGGTACCAGTAGGAAGCCCATTTGAAATGTTCTCAGAGTTAAAATACCTGCCTGGATTTACAACTCTACTAAGTAGAGCATCCACAAGAATGAACTCTACTAGAGGCATTATCTCCAATTCAGGAAACCCACTTTGATGAGGAACCCAGGATGAATGAGAAACTGCCATTAATTTGAGATGGAAGTAAGTGTATTTTCCCATGCAAGTGATCCAAGTTCACAGCAAAAACATAATTTCCCTCATTAGCATAAAAAGCACACTTCAATAGTGGTTACAAATTAGTTCTTATAAGTAACCAATATACTCTGAGCAGCTGAAAATTAACTACCAGACTCTATTTTAGTTGCTACTTCCTGGGATATTTTCTAATATCACCTGACATTGTTCCTTGACGTTTGTTTTTGTTGTTTTCTTTTTATTTGTTGGCAATTTATGAAAACTGTGGGTTAAATACTCTTAGTCAAGTAGTTTAATATAATAGAGGTTGAAATAGTCTAAAGGTGGAGTCCTGCATTTTAGTTGGCTTCTGGAAGAAAATGCTAGAGAAGTTATTTCTTTTTGACTTGTAACTATTGGTATAAATACTAGTGTTGGACAAGCTCCTCATGAATTTTATAGTGAAAATTAATTGGCTAAAAGATCTTATATGATTTTGAAGTCAACCTTGTCTGAAGACTTGTCAATAACCTTGTGTTCAGAATGAAAAATTACTGCTGTTCTGGGCTATATGGGTGCCCCAAACTAAAAATTTCACAGAATATCCAGCTTAAAACTCCTAATTAAACAACGAATGTTGTTTCTAATAGAAATATTTAGAATTTTGACGATTTATAATTTAACATTTCTAAATGACTCTTAATAATGTTAATTTTTAGTATCTCAAAGTGTTCTTTGAAGCCATGTAGGGCATCCTTCCTGAGGAACTGGAAGATTAGGTGTATGTGGTCTGCATTTAATTCTAAGGCACATGTCGACATTTTTACATTTCTGAAGCTGGTGAGCCCAAGTTATACTCAATCCATACATTTCATATTTATCATTTTTCCTGAAGAACTGTTATTAAAGTGAGTATTATGGTCAAATGATCTATGGATTCCTTTTCTTAGTGAGTACAATTTAGGAGATCTAGATTTCATTTAAACTGCACATGTACCCTAGAACTAAAAGTATAATAAAAGTATATATATTAAAAAAAAAAGATTGATTTACTTTTTCTTTTTTTTGGAGACAGAGTCTTGCTCTGTCTGCCAGGCTGGAGTGCAGTGGTGTAATCTTGGCTCGCTGCAGCTTCCGCTTCCTGGGTTCAAGAGATTCTCCTGCCTCAGCCTCCTGAGTAGCTGGGACTACAGGTGCACACCACCACGCCTGACTATTTTTTTATTTTTTTATTTTTAGTAGAGATAGGGTTTCACCATGGTGGCAAGGCTGATCTTGACCTCCTGACCTCAAGTGATCCACCCACCTTGACCTCCCAAAGTGCTGGAATTACAGGCATAAGCCCATGTGCCCAGCCTGATTTACATTTGACTGCCGCCAAATGAGTAGATATTATGAGAAAGCTATGTAGTTTCTGTGTAGAGAAATGACAGAAGATGGGGTGAAATTTCAGACAACACTAGTATTTTTTGAAACTTGAGTGTTCATAGCTGTTTGTTTTGGTTCTTTAATTTAAAATTTGTTGAAGCTAATATTATCATAATACCATTTTTGTTTTTGTTTTTTCTTCTCCAACTTTCCACAGGTCACACCAAACCCAGTGTAGTGGTTGACCTACAGTAGCTGCTCGGTGACTGTTTGTTGATGAGTTAATGATAGACTTGTAAATCAGAGATCCCCAGATGGTTGCTTATGCCTAGCAACAGTGCCAAATCCTTAGGCCAGATGAGATAATGTATTTGAAAGCATTGTAAACTCAAAAGCGCTCTAATAATACAAGTTATTACAAATAGTGGAAGCAAACAGAACAAAGCCAGACAAAACAGTAAGAGAATTGGGGGCTCGGAGACTCCCAAGCGTTCTGAGGGTTATAGGCCCAGTTGCAAATCAGTATAAGCTGAGGAAATATATGCCAACTTAATAATGGGATGGGGATATTACAGAGTGGCAGAAGTTAGTAAGAATCATCCCCCGATAAAGAGGAGACTCTTGGAATAGACATCCATTATCTTAACCCAGGAAGGCCTCAGGAGTGTCCTGGGGCTGGAATTTTAACAGGAATCCTCAAACAAAATTGGAATCCTCTGGGATCCTAGAATTATTCTATTTGGAATGTCTTAGTATTGGCAATAACACAATCTAAAAGATTTCCCTTAGGGTGAAACTGTCCCCTTTGTGAAATGTCTCAGTTACTTAAGCAGTCATTCCCATCGTGTCCAGCTGCATGAAAACAAATGCATGTTGCAGTTTCTTTGTGAATTGCAGCTTCTTGATCAGCCAATAGCTTTTCCTCAAGTAAGTCTCCAGGAAGTCTCCCATCCACCAATGCTTTCATATTTCCCAGGTCTCTTATCTTATATCTCTAGGTAGGGGTGTCCAATCTTTTGGCTTTCCTGGGCCACATTGGAAGAAGAATAATTGTCTTGAGCCACATATAAAATACACTAACACTAATGATAGCTGATGAGTTGAAAAAAAATCCCCCTCCAAATCTCATAATGTTGAAAGAAGGTTAACAAATTTGTGTTGAGCAGCATTCAAAGTTGTTCGGGACCGCGTATGGCCCACGGGCTGCACGTTGGACAAGCTTGCTCTAGAGTGTGATCGTAGTGGCTTCGTGAACCCTGACTTGACTCTCATAGAACAGATCCTTAATATTTTTCTTGCATATTTGTTTCCTTTTGTTTCATTGCTAATCTGATAACAACAAGATGGATTGCTCAAGACCTTGAATACACTTCCAGAGAAAATTCAGACTTTGAGCTGGAGTTTATCCCTGATCTGAAGATTGGCTTCAAGAGTTGTTCATCAAGAGGAGTGAATCACAGGCAAGGAGTTTACCACATCAGACAAGATGTGATTTCTATTAAATATACTCTTGGTTGAATCTTGGCAGGAAAGCTTTTGGATGGTCGATACATTTGTAACTTAATTTAACACAGTGATTATTCTTACGTATTTATGTTAAAGCTTCCCTGTGTACCTCTAAATTAATGCATGTTTTATGTTTTTCTGAATACTTTGATTTAAATGAGAAAATCCAGGCACCCAACTCTCACTAATAGACACAAAAAGATATGGCTTCCACTTTTTTGTCTGTCTTTTCTATTCACAAGACAAGGAAAATACTGTTTCCTTTTATGTAATTGTTGAACCTGTCACCAACTATTGTTGATTCTCCCATTCTGATTTCTTCCAGATTGTCTCTCTCTGCTGCTACTACAATAAACTGAGGTCAGGTGCTCATTACCTCCTGTTTGGTTGTCCCTGGAATAAGGACAGAATTGCCCCACAGGGAAGAGGAGGATTTAATCATAGTATAAACTAATGACAAAGGCCTGACCTACTCCCTTTCTCTATCTCTCCCCCCATTCTTCCCTCCCTCTCTTCATCCTTCCCCTCCTTCTTTCCTTCAGTAGAAATATATTGAGGAGATACCATTATGTTCAAGTCATTGGGAGTTCACAGAAATAAACAATAAAATCCTCATTCTCAAATGAGGTGATTATAAAACACTGTCACAAATGTTATGGCAGAGAAAGGGGAAGCAGTCACACGGAATGGGTGCCGGGGCCTTTACAGAGTCTTCCTGGAGAAGGGTTGGCCATTTAGGCTGAGTGTCAGAAGATGAGCAGCTGGTGAACAATGAAGGAGGAGGAATCTGCTCCAAGTCCTGGGAGTGACAAAAACACAGAACATTTCAGAAGAGATATGAAACATTTGGGGAAACATGTGCCTTTCAGCATGACTTGAGAATTGAATTCCAGAGGAGGAGATAGAATAGGGGGCTGCAGAGGGACGCAGGCGTGCGATCTTGGTGGACCTTCTATGCCATGCTGATGAGCTTAGATTTCTTCCTAAGTAAAATGACAAACACTTGGGAGACTTATAACAAGGAGAGATATGGATAGATTATTCCTTGCTTGTTTATTTATCCCTCTAACTTGTAGGTTTCTAAAGAGCAAGGACCTCGTTTTGCTTCTAGAATCAAGGAGAATGCTGGGTATGTAGTAGGTATATGAGAAATAGATGCTGAACAAATGAATGGACATGCATTTTTTAAGGCCTCAAGTGGAAAGAACCACTATAGTCACATCCTTTTGTTGATTCTGGAAAACAATGCTAGTAATCGTATTTGGAGAGCCACAGTGAAACCTTAATTATGTAAGAATGAACCTAAACTTGGTAACTTACGCAGATGTACACTGAAGTTGTAGGATATTTAATATGGATATGGTCTTCTTTAGTCACTAAAGGCACCTTCCTGTGACATTTTGGATGGCTCCTGGAATAAATTTCTACCACTGAGGAACCTTGCTGGTGAGGCAGAAGTCTCTGTCTCCACAGAGAAAAAGGTAAGGTATGGAAAGTGGACAACGATTGTGAAAACTAGTGCAATATATAGTTGTTCCTATGACTTCCTCAAGTTGTGTTATATGCAATGGAAAAGGAGAGTTGAGCTCGCAGGCTGCCTCAGCTATCCTCACATCAGTGCACTGTAATAGTTTCCTAAGACATCCTTCTAGTTCTCCTCTCCACTCCCACAGTTCTGGTCCAACCAACCTGCATTCTATCAGACTAATGCTCCCCAAGCACCCATTTCATCATGACATTTCCTGGGTCAAACAGTTACAACCTAGACAGGATTCATCTAAGAAATATTTATGATTTGGCAGTCTGGGTGGCTGAGCTACAGCGAAGCAAATCTGAATCTGCCATATGCGTTGTCCTCAGGATGCTCAGAGTCTAGCCAGATGTGAGGGGCAGGGGAGCATCATGGTTTGGGACCCAGGATCCTTCTCTGGGCAGAACTGAGCTGTGGTCCTCACTGGATATACAAACTTGGACACATGGTTGCATCTTGTGGTGCTCCATTTTTCTCATCTGACAGATAAAAATTGTGATTGCCTACCATAGAGTAGTTGTGAGGATTACATGCAAGAAGTCAAACTAGGAACAAGCTACCAAGAGTTCAGTAGATATCAGCAGTGGTCATGATTCTGTATATATCCAGATGATCTTTCATTTCACTTAGGACATTGTTTGTTCTGGCTTTTGATTATCTTGCCAACTTTTTGTGACTCTTCCAACAAGTCTCATTCCTACTTTAGGTAGCCACTCCAACCTAACTGCTTACTTTCTTTCACATTTCAGCCAAAAGAAGGGAGTTGTGCATCTACTTAGAATAAGAGAAAACGGTTTCCAGATGGCTAATGAATGGTTAGGTTTCTCCGTCACATGGCAACAAGTCTTACTTCCTCAAATGCTGGTTCTAAGGACTACTGTGAAATCCTACTATTGAGATTCATCTAGATCCAATTCCATCTCATTATTGTGGAGATACGGTGCAGAGAACAATACATGAATAAATACAACTGGATTCTGCTCTACTGAGTACGTTATTATCATGGCTGAATATTCCAACACATGTTTACTTTAACTCCCACATCATCCTGTAGAGTATGGGTTATCTTATAAAATTTTTTGATAAGACAACTGAAATGCATGGAAAAGAAATAATTAGTCACTCAATTAGCAAGTGCCAGAGTCACACTTTACATCCTCACTTCAAAATTCAAATTCTGTCTCTTGTACTGTCCTAACTCTCGTAAGAGCATAAGATCGTTTTTCAGTAGTTCCTTGGGTCAGTGTAGAACATCGGTTCATTCAAAATTGGTGAACATCTTTTTGGGATTGGAGTGATGAGACAAACCTTCTCTAGAGTGACTAATTGCCAGTCTAGGAGGATGGCCTGCCCATTCTGAAGAGCCCTGACAAGCAGAGTTAACAAGTATTGCTCACAAAGTCATTTTAAGTAGAACCAGTCTGCTAGTTATTAAGTGTCTGGAAGCTATTTCCCAGTATTAAGTAGCCAGGATTTGCTGCTAATAGAGTCAGAGTCAGCATTACACCCACTGCTTGTAAATGACTTACTTAGAAAAAGTCAAGACATGTTGTGACTTGGCTGTCTTCTGTTCTTTGGAGATAAGGTAAAAGTTCCTAGTAACGAAACATGCAAACAAACATATTACAATCATTTAACATGTGTTACAAGTAAATAATTGGAGAACACGCTTTTGCCTTCTTTTCCTTAGCCTTTTACCATTTCCTTTGAACTAATGCATTCCCTCAGCTGCCAAACATATGTTTTTCGGGTGATGGGAGTCATTGTAAGGAGCAGGCCCAGCACGATTCTCTACCATTTCCATGCCTGATGCTTTAGTGCTAGGTAGATGAGATGACGTTTAGAAGTGGTCCATGTATAACAAAAGCCCTCTTGTGTTCTAGTAATTGATGCAGTTCAAAAAATTATTGTTTGTTCATTGCTATAGCACAAAAATGAAATGCACCTTTCCCAGACAGGTCCATAATATATTCAACAAGTGGCAGATCCTTTGCTTCCCTAAAGGTCAGAATATGTTATTTTTGGGTCAGGCTGCCCATCAAAAGCAGAATTGCATGGTGGATATATGCTTGCCTTCTAGAACTGGACAGTTGAAGCCTGGTTCCATCACTACCTGATTGTACTCTATGGAAAATAACTTAGTCTTTCTGTGTCTCAATTTCATCATGGAATATACCTCTTAGGGTGTTTGAAGGGATACCTGGAATTAATTGGGTAAATCCTGAGACTAGTGCCTGACCCACATAAGCATTATAGGAGGGCCATAATCACCCTCATAGCAAAGATGACTCTCATGATGGCCCTCATGATGGTGATAATCGGATTATGTAGAAACCTTTAAGAAGAAGAAAAATTAGAGGTGCATTAATGACTGTTCTAGCCCAGCTAACACAAAGTGATAAAGTTGTTTGTTTGTTTGTTTTATTTTTGAGACCGAGTCTCACTCTGTTGCCCAGGCTGGAGTGCAGTGGTGCAATCTCTGCTCACTGCAACCTTCGCCTCCTGGGTTCAAGCAATTCTCCTGCCTCAGCCTCCCGAGTAGCTGGGATTACACTACCGAGTAGCTGGGCGCCCACTACCA
The DNA here is from genome assembly GCF_000001405.40 of Homo sapiens. Lineage (NCBI taxonomy): Eukaryota > Metazoa > Chordata > Mammalia > Primates > Hominidae > Homo > Homo sapiens. The sequence continues at coordinate 4,966,171 of NC_000005.10, read as the reverse complement.
CACCCAGCTAATTTTTGCGTTGTTAGTAGAGATGGGCTTTCACCATGTTGGCCAGGCTGGTCTCGAACTCCTGACCTCATGTGACCCCCCCACCTCTGCCTCCCAAAGGGCTGGGATTACAGGTATGAGCCACCGTGCCCAGCCCCATGAGCCTTTTTCTACTCAGGGGATTAAATATCTAAAGTAGAATTGTTTTTGTCTTGCTTATCTCTTCCATGCCACCTCTGTTTCTTTAGGGTAAGCATCCATTCTTCGGAGACTTCCTCTTCATTTAAAAATAATGCATGTTTTAGATTTACAGAAAAATTGTGAAGGTAGTACACAGAGTTCCCAAACCAGTGTTCTCTATTATTAACATCTTACATTAAAATTAATGAACCACTACTGATACATCATTATTAAGTACAGTGCATACCTTATCAAGAATGCCTTTGTTGTTTGCTTAATTTCCTTTTTATATTCCAGGATTCCATCCTGAATACATTACATCTAACAGTCTTGTCTCTTTAGTTGCCTCTTGGCTGTGACAGTTTCTCAGACATATCTTGTTCTCAATAACCTGACTAGTTTTGAGAAGTTTTAGTCAGGTATTTGGTTGAATTTCCTTTACAAGTGAAATGTATCTGATTTTTTTTTTTTCACAATTAGATTGAGGTTATGGAACTTGGGAAGAAAGGCCATGGAGATAAAGTTCTATTTTCATTATATCTCATGCAGGGGCCATACTAACATGACTTGTCACTGCTGGTGTTGACCTTGATCTCCTGGCTGAGGAAATGTTTCTTAGGTTTCTCCACTGTGAAGTTACTCTTTTCCCCCTTTCTTGTTACTGCACTGTCTGGAAGGAAGTCACTACATAAAGCCCACACTTACGGAGTGAGGTGTCATATCTTGGAGGTGGAGCATATGCATAGATTATTTGGAATTCCTCTGCATGGAAGACTTCTCCACTCTGCCCCCATTTACTTATTCGTCTGTCATCAGTATGGACTCACTTATACTTACTTTATACTCTGGATTAGAATCTGATAGTACTACATTTGTTGCTTAGATTCTTCCAGCTTAGGGCATAGGGAGTCCTTTTGGTTGGTTTCTATACCTCTTTGACATATCTTATCATTGTGGTTTTTGTTTATTTTCTCATTTGATTGCTTGTTTTTGAGAAATTCTTTTTTTTTTCTTCTGGCTGTATAGGATACTCTAAGCACATCTTGCATATCTCTAGTTCCAGTCATAGAATCAGCCCTTTCTCCAAAATTTCCCTTATAGAGACTTAACTTAGAAACCAAGATTTGAGGTATCGTTGCTTCTTGGCCCTCTCAGTTGACATAGCAAAAACTGTAGTGCATTTTATCATCCACATGAAACATCAAATATTTGTAGGTATTTTTATACATAACCATCTGCTTCTATTTATACTGCATGTTTGTACTGGTATCTTCAACTCTACCCCATTACCTCGTGAATAATTCCCATATCCTCCCCTTGCTCATCTGCAATTTTCCACTCCAATCATGAGAAACCTGACTGCCAACCCCTGCCATCCACTTACCTAATTTTTCAATTCCAGTTATTCGTGTATGGCAATAACAGTTTTGTCAACCTGTGGCCTCATGTAAAATAATTTTATCAACTACACAGTATGGAGCTATGTCCAATTTATTGTGTCTTTTTCTTACAAACTCTGCTAATATCCAAAGATGCTTAGGATAGAAATTTTTTCCTTATCTGTTTCAGGGAGATTGTTTCATACATTCATAATACAGTTAAATTGCTTTAACACATCATGCATTCCATTCAAGAATTTTTTTGACTTCCTAAAATTTTAAAAAATAATTTGTAAGCATTGAGCTTCACTGTTTGTGCTGTAAATTTCTATGGGTTTTGACAAAGGAATAATATCTTTTATCCACTATTATTGCATCATACACAATAGTTCCACACCCTAAAATATACCCTGTGCATAATTTATTCAACTTTTCTCTTGTTCCTTCAAGCACCTGGCAACCACTGATCTCGTCACTCTTTCTGTAATTTTGCTTTTTCTAGAATGTCATGTAATTAGATTCATACAGTATGTTTCTTGTTCAGTTGGCAAGATTCATCTTTGTCTTTTCTTTCTTTTATTGATGAATACATTCCATTGTATGGATGTACTAGTTTGTTACCCATTTATCTATGGAAGGACAGCTTGGCTGCTTCTAGTTTTGAGTGATTTTGAATAAAGCTACTACATTCATGTGTAAGTTTTTGTGTGCACAAATTTTAAAGTCAGCTGGGTCAATACCTAAGAGTAAGATTGCTGGTTTGCAGGTTAAGACTATATTTAGCTTTATAAGAAATTGCTCTACTGTTTTCCAGAGTGGCTGTGCCATTAGCTTTCCCCATAATAGGAAAGGAGAATTCCTCTTCTGTGCATCCTCAGCAGCAATTAGAACTGACAGTTTTGTTTTGTTTTGGCCATTCTAATAGTTGTGAATAGTATCTAATTCCCTAATGACAAATGATGTTGAACATCTTTTCCTTTGCTTATTTGCCATATGCGTATGTTTTTGGTGAGGTGTCTGTTCAGGTCATTTGCACATTTTTAATTGGGTTATTTGTCTTATCATTGAGTCTCAAAATTCTGTGATTTGTGAATATTTTTTTTCCACTCTGTGGCTTTAATTTTCATTATCTTATCATTATCTTTCACAGAGTACACATTTTTCATTTGAATACACTCCACTTTAATGTTTATCTTTCATGGATTATGCTTTTAGCATTTTATCTGAAAGCTCATCACCAAACCAAAAGTAATGTAAAATTTCTCCTATGATTTGTCTACAAGTGTTAGAATTTTGATATACATTTAGGGCAAAAATGCATTTTAGTTAATTCTGGGGAAAAATGAGAGACCTTTGTCTAGGCTCATTTTTTAAAAATATATATCTGCAAATATCCCAGTGCCTTTTCTTGAAAAGACTACTCTTTTTCATGGTATTGTGTTTATTTTACATAAATCAGTTTACCATATTTATATAAGCCTATTTCTTGCTTCTTTATTCTGTTCCCTTGATCTATGTGTCTATTTTCACCATTGCTACACTATCTCATTGACTAGTTTTATAGTAAGAGTTGATATCAGGTCATGTGAGCCTTCCAACTTTCTTCTTCTTTTTCGGTATTGTGTTAACTATTCTAGGTCTTTTGCCTGTCCATGCAAACTTGAGAATATATTTGTCATTGTCTAAAAATTGCCTTCCTGGGATTCTGGTTGGAATTATGCCAAAACTGTAGAACAAGTTGAGAAGAATTAACAATTTGATAATATTAAGTCTCCAACTTATGAACATAGAATATCTTCACATTTCTTGAAATCTTTGATTTCTCTCATCAGAGATTTTGTATTCCACCTAAAGATCCTATATATATATTTTAAAACTTATACTTTTTAAAATTTTTTGGTGTTATGGAAAATGTTACTATTTCTAAAAAATTTTAATTCCAATTGTTTTTTGGAAATGAGCAATTGAGTTTTATATATTAGCTGTTTATCCTGAAACCTTGTTATTTGTTCACTTACTAGTTCCAAAAGGTTTTCTTCATCAATTCTTTGAGATTTTCCATGTAGAAAAAAATCACATAATCTGAAAGTAATGGCAGATTTACTTTTTTCTTTCCAGTTTCTATATCTTATTTTCTCTTCTTGTTTTGATGCATTAGCCAGGACTTCCAGTGAGTTGTAGAGGGGGAATGGGAGATCGCATCTTTGCCTTATTCACAATCTTATGGCAACAGCATCCAGTTTCTCATAAAGTATGATGTTAGCTATAGGTTGTCTGTAGAAATTCTTTATCAAATTAGGCAAGCTCCACTTTATTCCTGCTTTATGGAGAGTATTTGTCATGAATGAGTGTTGTCTTTTGTCCAATCACCTATCTTTACAACTAATATGGTTAGAACACGTTTTTTGTTTGTTGCTGTGGCTGATTAAATTGATTAGTATTTTAATGTTAAATTAGCCTTGCATAACTAATCCCACTGTGCTGTGAGTATGATTTTTTAATACAATGTTGGATTTGATTTGCTAGTATTTGTTGAGAATTTTTATGCCTATGTTCAGGAAAGACATTGTCTGTAGTTCTTTCCTGTAACATTTATTTGGTTTGTTATTAGGATTATCTTGGCCTCAGAGAATGATGTTAGAAAGTATTCCATCAGCTTCCATTTTCTAGAAGAAATTGTAGAAAAGTAGTTCTATTTTTTCCTTAAATATTTGGTAGAATTTGCCTATAAAACATTTGGGTGCTTTCTTTAGGTGCAGCCTAACATCTGCTTCTCTTTGTGTGAGGTTTGATATTTTTGTCTTTCAATTCGCTGGTCTGTTTAACTCAGTTATCAAATTTGTGGGCAGTGAATTTGTCACAGTAACTTTTAATTGCCCTTTTAATGTCTGTAAGATCAGTAGTAATGATGTCTCTTTCATTACTGACATTGGCAATTTGTGTCTTCTCTCTTTAATTCTTTGTTAGTCTGTCTATAGTTTATGAATTTATTGATATTTTTAAAGAATCAAATTTGGTCTCATTGATTTTTCTCTATTGTTTCCTAGTTCATTTGTATTCATTTTTTTCTAATTTCTATTACTTATGTCTTTTGCTTGCTTTGGACTGACTCTTATGTCTTTTCCTATGATGGAGGTTTATATTGTCAATTTCATTTTATGTCTTTTTGCTTCACTAACACGTACATTTGATGCTATAAATTGCCTCCTTAGCAGTAATTTTGCTATATCTACAATTATGGTTAAGTTCTACTGTCATTTTAATTTGGTTCAAAATAATTTTTAATTTACCTTGAGACTTCATTTTGACCCATATGCTATTACAGGAATGTTTTTAAATTTCAAAATATTAGAGAATTTCCTAGCTATCTTTCTGTCATCAATTTATGGTTTAACCCCATTGTTGCCTGAGAACATACTTTGTATGATTTCTACTTTTTAAATTGTCAAGACACATTTTAGGACTCAAAATGTGCTCTATCTTGGTGAATATTATATGTGAGCTTAAGAAGAATATTTTTGGGCCAGGTGTGGTTGCTCACGCCTGTAATCCCAACATTTTGGGAGGCCAAGGTGGGTGGATCACCTGAGGTCAGAAGTTTGAGACCAGCCTGGCCAATATGGTGAACCCCCATTTCTACTAAAAATACAAAAAAGTAGCCAGGCATGGTGGCACATGCCTGTAGTCCCAGCTACTCAGGGGGCTGAGGCATGAGAATTGCTTGAACACGGGAGGCAGAGGTTGTCGTGAGCTGAGATTGTGCCATTGCATTCCAGCCTGGGTGACAGTGAGACTCTATCTCAAAAAAAAAAAAAAGGAAAAAAAGAAGAAGAATGTTTTCTGCCATTGTTGTCTGAAGTAGTCTATAACTGTCTATTATATTCAGGCCAACTGTCTCCCTAAGCCTGCTAGAGCTCTCAATTTCTAACAGATGGTTGGCATCTCAAACCATGATCATTTATTTGTTGATTTCTCCTACCCATACCATCAGTTTTTGCCTCAAATATTTTTGCACTTCAGGTTAGGTGCATAGTCATTTAGAGTTGTTGTGTTAATATATTCTTTAGGGAGGACAGCATTCTGGGTGTGGCAGGAATTCTAAAGATTTCCCTGCAAGATTCTCACTCCTGGTTATTTAGTCAAACATTCGTCTAGGTACCGTTGAGAAAGGTCTTTGCAGATGTAATTAGGATTACATCCTTTAAAATAGAAAGATTATCCTAAATTTTCCAGCGTGCCTAAGCTTACCACACAAGTCCTAAAATGCAGAGAACTTTCTCTGGCTTGGAGGCAGAAGAGAAATGTGGCAGAAGTAGCCGTTGGAGAGATTCCAGCATATGTTTGTGATGGACCCATGCTAGCTCTTATGTAACAGGTGCCATGAGCATGAATGTGGGCTGCCCCTGGAAGGCAAGAACAATCTCCTCTGGCAGCTAACAAGGGAAGGGTGCCTGCAACATGGAACTGACAAAGACTCTCTCCTTTGACCAAAACTTTACTCAACCTCATGAGTCCTTGTTGAATAGGTCCAAACTTGGGCTTCTTTCTCTGTCCTTGTAGAATGCAGTTTGAATAAGAATCCTTCAAGGACACCCCCAACGCTTGGTATCTGACCACGCTCCCTATCTATCTTACCACATTGCCTTCAGCAATAATCCTACCAAGTCAGCTTAGCCAAGACCCCCTTAGGCTGGAAGCATAACAGAAGCATCCAGCTTCTCTTAGTAATTTTCCATTTACTGAGCCCTCCCTGCTCCTTCGTCATAAACCCCTACTTGTCCTTGCTGAAGTTGGCTCCAATCGCTCTCTTGTACTGCAAGACCCTGTTGCAGTGGTCCCTATACCCATCTCCATGGCTTCCCTTGGATATTGTCTGCTTTATCCTCTTTAACGGTGTCATGATTGTTTTCCTTTACCAGAACTGAAATCCACCAACAACCTAAGTCAGCTTAGAAACTGATTCTTCTCCAGAGCCTCCAGAAAATAACACAGTCTGTTCAACACCAGGAGTTCTGTCTTCTGAGACCCAGGGCAGATAAATCAGCTCCCTGCTCTTCCAAAAAGCAGAAGTTAAGTCATTGCAATTGTGGCAAACACTACAAAGAAAAGCCAGGATAGTTTGTAATAGATGAGAATGGCAGGACCTGAATAGGAGTGGTCAAGGGGGCCTCTCTGAGCCCTGGAAGGCAAGAGTGAGCCTCTGTGCAATAAGCAGGAGTAAGGATGAGCAAAGCCTGAGGAAAGACAGAGTCTAGTGTGCTCAAGGAGGCAGGAGCCTCCAAGGGTGGCTGGAGCAGGGAAGGAGGGTGGACAGAGGCAAGTCAAGGAGTCCAGCGGTTATGTGGGCAGATTGTTAATCCAGAAGATTCCATTAGATCTAATTTTCTCCCGAGTCTGCTCCTGTCCGTTACTAAAAAAACAACATGGCACAGGAGCTTAATGAGGAACATTGCCCATACTGATGGCATTTATACTCCCTCCTTTAGAAGTGGTTTTGTAGGAGCATGGAAATGCTCCAATTCCCAGGGAATAAGCCTCATCTCAGTGCCTGAGCCAGAGTCTGTGATCCCAGCTCCCTGGAGAAGCTCCCTGTGGTCTCATTCCCTTGATCGCTGCAGGCTGGTATTTACACCCAGAGTCACTGCCTGTGTCTTTGCTTGCCTGAGTGAGTTGTCAAGTGTGTGGGAAGAATTCAGCTTCAATACGAATACTGGACTCAATAGAAGCATCTCTGCAGGAGGAAACGGGAAGCCTGTTGTAATCAAGAATAGAAAGGAAGCTGTTTCTCCCTTCTTCCTTCCATTTCACAGACCTACGGGCCTGGAGGGGAAGGTGCCAATGAGAGTTTGATCCTGGAATCACTTGCTCGTCACCAGTCAGATGGTAGGAAATGTGAGATGATGCTTCCCTTTGGTTCCCCTCCCCATTTGACAGGTCACTGGCTTCGATATTGTTTCACCTCACTTATGATATTATTCCAGGCTTGGAGGCTGCAGGGTGAGCTTGGAGTGACTGGAGGCTGCCTGTGGCCACGTTCACACTCTCTGCCTCTGTGACTGGACCTATGAAGTGCTCGTGGGTGCCAGGAAAAGCCCCGCTCTACCCAGCTGACAACTTGGAGAATGAGGCAGAGAGGAAAAAGGCTTCCTTGAGGACGGGACGATCTGAGAGAGATCCCAGAAAAGCAAAGGAGTCCATATCCAGCTTCATCATGGTGACTTTCACCCCAAACTCAAGTTAGATCGCTTTGTCTTTCTCCTTGGGAAAGAGCCAGTGAGGAAGAAGAGGTGAGAGGAGACGAGAAACATTCTTGTGGGACTGGGGCATGTAGAGGAAGGCTCTCCACCAGAGGAGTGGGGAACAAGAGCTGACTGTTCTTCTGTGGATGCAAATATCCCATTTTTTCATTCAGCCCTGTCCGTCTCTCATGCTCTAGCTTTGACCTCAGGATTCAACAGTTCCACAGGCCCCTGGTGGTGCAGCTTCAGCTGCCTGACTTGCAGTGCTTCCCACATGCCTGCTGTTTTGGCTATTTTAACAGTTTTGGGTATTTTGCTTCTCCACACACCAACACCAGGGTGGATGAGCGTTGCTGAGAAATCACATACAGTCACGCCCTTGGGCCAGTGTGTGATTCTGGATTTAGTCTGTTACATCCTCAAAACTGGCTTCTTCATCGTATATCCTTTATCACTGCCCTCTCCCATCAGTCCAGCAACTCTTCCCAAGAGTTGCAAGTCCGTTAGCCCCTGCTGACCTTCAGAAGTGACCCATCTTATTCCATGGAGAATGCAGGGGTGCCCAGGCAGGAAGCTTTTGGGGTACTGGACCTTCCTGTGCCTGACTGTCCTTCGAACTTTCCCCACTGCCTTCCCCCCACTTACTCTCGCTGTCCCGCGGAGCCCTGCCCTTCCTGATCATGAATTTGCTTCTTTCTCATTTCTTCAAATGGCTCTTCTCCATTGCTTTCTTCCCAATGGAAACACACATCTCTATTCAGAATAACTAACTTATGAAAACACCCCAAACCGTCTCTTGGGTGATAGCTATTTTTCAGATATGATTTGAGAGTTCTGCCTCTTTTCATGGTTGCTTTTACAGAAATACAGGGCTATATTAGTTGTCCGTGATTCCCCAACTTTGGTTCAATTCACCTGTAGCTGACAGTTTGTTTTCTACCCTACCCTCTACCGAGACACCACCCAACAAAGTCCACAGTGAGTACAGTGAGCCAGCCAGCAAAGATGGAACAGCCAACCTCTTCTATGTTTGCTGACATCATTATATATTGAACACTGCTGACTGTAAAACATCTTTCCGCTCTAATTTCTGGTGTGTGTGTGTGTGCGTGTGTGTGTTTCTCTCTAGGTTTTAGCTACTTCTCTACTATCTTCTCAATTCTATTCCCAATTTCTCTTACCCACCTTATGTCTCAAATGTTGGTGTTTCAGTCCCTTTCCTAAATGCTCTTCTCATATCTCACCCTCTCCTGGGACAATTTAACATGTGTTGCTCAATCTGACACATCTAGTTTCATCTCCCTCAATTCTGCTTTACTTATTGTTCTTTGCCTGTACTCAGTCTTCCAATCTCTAAATTTATGTACATAATTAGCTACTAGGCATGTCTGCCAATGTATCTTCAGGCTGGACACTGATTGAACACAGTCTTTTACATGACATTATGGACCCTTTGTGGACAGGGCACTGCTGTCCACTACGTTTCCTTTGTGAGAGAAAAGGCTGTGTGTGGGGGTCACCACACTCCCAGAGCAGCACTTGCATTCTGCCTCACTGTGCCCTTCTTTACGCAGCCCATTCTGCCTCAGGTAGTGGGCCAATGTCCTTGCAGCTGCTTAGTAAGCCACGGTTGCCACCTTTGAAGATACCCTCACTGTACAGCTCACAATGCTGACTCAACACCCTGTGCATGTGTGTCACTACAAGTCAGGGGCTTCTACTGTGACAGGTGGATCTCTTTGCTATGTGCCATACCTGAAATCTTACCCTATCCAGCTGATAGTCCCTCACTGCATTTGAAGCCTAGCTCTTGAAATTCACTGAAGAGTTCCACTTGCTAATTTTGATAGACTGGGAAATGGATGAAGCAAGGTCAGCAATAAGCTTTGATGCAGCTTGCTAAGCCCAGGCACTCTTCTGTAGTTTGTGGTGAACACACGCAGCTGTGTCAGACTCTTCCGAGAAGTGCCCTTATGTAGGGTCTTGAATCCTATTCTCTTATCTTGTGATTGTGCTTTTGTTTTCTCTGTATAACCTTTTTAAATATAGCACTTTCCTTCATGAAATTTTAACTAGTTTATCAAATTTTGTGTGCTTGCCCAAGATGGCCTTAACATTGCCCTCAGCTTGGCTAACTTCAGACAGCCTTCTTCCTTACTCAAGTTCCCGGCTGACCTCCCTTTCCTTTGAGCGTTTTCTTTAAAAATTGTTTTTCTATGCCTGATGAGTTCTGACTGAGTTATGATCCCTCTCCTTATTGCAATAGTGTTGAATAAATTCTTCCTTGACTGTTTAATCTTGTCTGGTGCAACTTCTGCTTTGATAGATTATTTGAACTAAGTGGCATTCTCTTTCCAGCTATATAAGGTCAATAATGTCCCCATAAAATTACAGGAGACAATCTGATTAACAGAAAATGATGGAGTCCAAGTATACCCCACTATTAACTATGCAAGCTTCATGGAAACAATGATAATACATAGCAACACTCAAAAACACGTGTCAGCTGTGAAGTTTTCTTCTTTTCTCAGCTGACATAAGAGGACTCGGGGTTTACTCGCTTCTGTGTCCAGATGCCCATGTTTCTCAGGGCACTGGAGTTCATACAGACTTCCTTTAACCGTCACTTCCATGGCAGAGTTCTTCTCCTTAGAGAATATGCCCCTCTGTACTCTGGGAAAGTATAACAACCATCTCTTGTTTGCCCCCAAGGAAGAGAACTTTCTGTTTCCCTTGGGAACTCACATTCTGTGATGGTTAATACTGAGTGTCAACTTGATTGGATTGAAGGATGCAAAGGATTGTTCCTGGGTGTGTCTGTGAGGGTGTTGCCAAAGAAGATTAACATTTGAGTTAGTGGACTGGGAGAGGCAGACCCACCCTCAATCTGGGTGGGCACCATCTGATCAGCTGCCAGCATGACTAGGAAAAAGCAGGCAGAGGAACGTGGAAAGATTAGACTGGCTGAGTCTTCCAGCCTTCATCCTCCTCCTGTGCTGGATGCTTCCTGCCCTCAAACATCAGACTCCATGTTCTTCAGCTTTTGGTTTCTTGGACTTACACCAGTGATTTGCCAGGGACTCCCAGGCCTTTGGCCACAGACTGAAGGCTGCACTGTCAGCCTCCTTACTTGTGAGGTTTTGGGACTTGGACTGGCTTCCTTGATCCTCAGCTTGCAGACAGACTATTGTGGGACTTCACCTGGTGATCGTGTGAGTCAATACTCCTTAATAAACTCTCTTTTATATATACATCTATCCTATTAGTTCTGTCCCTCTAGGGAGCCCTGACTAATACAGGTTCCACGTGGTTATTCTGCCACTCATGGCCACCCATATATCTGATGGACACAGCTGACTCTCCTCCTTTAACTACCAGTGTGTTCTCTTTTCATGTTCTTCACCTAAAGGAGCTACTTTAAAGCTTTTCTTGTGTACCTCCTTCCAACTGACTTCCAAAGGACCCATCTCCATAATGTGTGTTCTACATAGCTAGATTAAATCTGTGTTTCAAGGGCTCCCCTAGAGCAAATTCTGACATCAGATGTCCTAGATTTTCAGTAAATATAACTTGCACCCTTGCAAACTATAGCTAGCTATATTAATTCCATTATCTCCACCACTAATTTATGTTAAATCGCATATGGCAACTTGCCATGACACTGCATGATTGGGTAGCCAGGAAGAATTTTTAAAAGTACTGCAAAATTTTTGAAGTATTTTTCTGCATCTGAATTTTCCCTTGGAATCATCTGGCTGCACTTTATCAGATTAGGTCATGCCTAGGAAGAAAATCATCCCCACCTCTAAAAGCATACCTCAAGGGCTTTGTTCATGGTGAAAGGAGCATTTGTTAAATCAAATATATTTGTGATTTTTGACCAGCAACTGCATTAAACTTTGGTAATTAGAAGAATCAGCGTGAAAAATTGTACATCATGCAATCGAATGTCCCTGGTGAATCTGAGCAATTGGAACTACATCAAGCAACTTGATTAATCGAATAAAATGGATCCATCAGGGCTATTAGTGTTATCAGTGATTTATGCTTAAAGTAGCGAAATATTGCAGATGACTCTTGGGATCAGTTTTAAACACTAAAAGCAAGTGCCTCCATCTGAAGGGGCAGCAGATGGCTCTAGGAAAGCTTCCCCGCCCTTGGTAATATACATTTTCATGTTAGCATATAAGCCAGGCCATCTCTCTCTCTCTCTCTCTCTCTCTGTTTTCCCTGGAAAAGAATAAAAGTTCATTAGCCTTCAAAAGAAAAAAAATCCATATCTAAAACATTTTAAATTCTGATTACTGCTTCCATTTGCTTTTTTACCTGACTTGTCTTTTCAGTTTTAGACTGGCCACACTTTTTTGACCCATTTTGTACATTCTGTTCTTTAAGTTTAGATCAACAAAGGCATTTTAACAACGTGATTGTCAGTAAAATTGACATCTGAAATTGAGTAGTAGGTGTGTGTGTGTTGTGTGAATTTATTTCTGATGCAGAACAAAATGGATCTTTGTTTTCACAATTATATACCTGGACACATTCCCATTTGCACACATAGACAGTGTGGAGGGTTCAAAATGTATCACTGAAGAATGGGACAGAGATGATCGAGTATCCTATTAAGAGGCAATGATGCATGGCTAACTTCATTAACTCCATCCAGGCGGCACGAACAAGAATTATTGTATTGCCTGCCTTTAACAAAATATACATCTATTGAGAAAAATTTAAATCCAACACACAAAAACAACAGCAACTAAACAAAAGGTTTAGAAGAATTTCTTGTTTCTGTGTTTCATCTGTCTTTGGCAGCTGCACATTGGGAAGGGTGTTGGTCTGTGCGGGTTGTTGGTACACAGCATATAGATGGTGCCTATGACTTAGCTGAAATAGGAAAACAACACTCACAAGAATGCCTTTTTAATTATTGTGTTGCAATCAAGAGGGCAAAGCAGAGTGTTAGAAATGTATCTGTGGCCGGGCAGAGTGGCTCTCACCTGTAAGCCCAGCACTTTGGGAGGCTGAGCCAGGTAGATTGCTTGAGCCCAGGAGTTCAAGACCAGACTGGGCAACATGGTGAAACCCAGTCTCTACAAAAAAATACAAAAAAATAAAATTAGCCAGGCACAGAGGCACATGCCTGTAGTTCTAGCTACTTGGGAGGCTGAGGTAGGAGGATCACCTGCTCGGGGAGTCGAGGCTGCAGTGAGCAGCCGAGATCACAGCACTGTACTCTAGCCCGGGCAACAAAGTGAGACCCTGTCCGAAAAAAAAAAAAAAAAGAAATGTATTTGTTTTATGATTCCATTAGTTGTAATGAGATGTATGCACAAAATAATGTGGAATCAAGCTATTATTTTATTCTAATAAAATAAAATTATAAAGCCTCTTAAGTAAATACTAAAAATATTTATACATGTGCGTATTCAATAACAATACCAAGTGGAATGCAAGAAAATAGAATAGTTTTCCAGAAATTCTCATGAATACTGCATTGAGTTTTCCTTCCTTGTTTTCTGAACTTTTAAGTATAAAAATTCACTTGGAATTATACTATTGGTACATAAAATAGGATAACTGGAAGTTCTTTTAATAGGTACCAACGTTACTACAGTCAGTTACCCCAGTGTGCCAATTAGCATTCTTTCTTGGCTCGGTTCCTTGTGAATCGTCCAGTTTCCTTTTTTGTTTTTTGAGACAAAGTCTCACTCTTTTTCCTCAGGCCGGAGTGCAGTGGTATAATCTCGGCTCACTGCAACCTCTGCCTCCCAGGTTCAAGCGATTCTCCTGCCTCAGCCTCCTGAGTAGCTGAGATTACAGGTGCATGCCACCATGCCAGGCTAATTTTTGTATTTTTAGTAGAGACGGGGTTTCACCATGTTGGCCAGTTGGCCAGGCTGGTCTGGAATTCCTGACCTCAGGTGGTCCACCCCCCTTGGCCTCCCAAAGTGCTGAGATTACAGGCGTGAGCCATAGCGCCTGGCCTGAATCACTGAATTTTCAAGTTGTCTAATTTTCCTTCCTAACTACGCCCAGTGGCCATTACTGCCATGGTGTTGGGATGTTCTCGCTCCATGATTCAGACATAGAACACAGTGTTGATTTTTTTCCCCCTAAACCAAAGTGTTTACCTTGGCTTATTCCCAATATGTTTATTATTTTTAATGAAACCTAAAGAATCTTGTTTTTCTTTTCTCCACCTCTTTCTATTTCCCTCTGGGGGTACCATTTTAAATCTTTCCTTCTAGGTAAATTTTGACATATAGACCAGCGTCCCACACTTATGTCATTGATATTGAAGTCTGGAGCCAGGAATAATCACCTGCAGCCTTTGATTATAATTAATGTCCTAAACTTTGGCCCAGAGAAAGTTTGGAAAATATCGGATTCTCTGTTCCCCTGAAGGTGTGCAAGGGATATTCCTATATTAACCGGCTCTAGAAACTGAACTTGAAATAAAGGGGGGTGGGGGGTGAGAGGTAGAGACTTTAGAGTTAGTTTTTTCCAAACTTTTTTGACTAAAGGATCCATGCAAAAATGTTGATCTTTTTTTCATACTTGTCAACTTCAAGTAAAACTGTGTTAGTTTTACAACATTTTAGAAAGTGATGCATTTTGCACTGAGTTTAAGAATTTTATGAATGAATTACTGTGGTTAAATTGTCTAACATTCTCACCGGAATGGTTGTAAGAAAAGGATTACAAAAACAAAGGGGAACTTTGTCATCTTAATAATAAGCTTTCAAATTTCAAAAGAATCTTTAATAGTTCTTAAACACAGAATACAAAGTCAGATGCATTCTAATTAGAGATTTAAAAAATTATAAATACATACAACCGTCGATTTCAGCCTCTGCATTATTTAGAAGCCTTTCACCCTCGGCTAATGTTTTTGATTTGCATGACACCACCTAGCTATTTGAAAGAAGAGCTTTATGTCTAAAAGCTGTTTCAACTTTATCCCAGATGAAGCAAAACAGCAGCAAGTTTCTGAGATCAGCAAGAGTTCCGGGATCATTTCATCTCATTAGCTCTGGGTGCCAAAGATCTTTCAGAAATTCTTGAACTGGAAGCTGGTGGTGATCTCATCCCTGTCAAGAAAGTCACCATTGATTTATTTAACATCTCTGGAGGTGTTGTGGGTGACATTTCTTAATACATAAATTGGTAATAACAAAGTAATTCTAGCTACAAAGAGTTTGTTTTCTTGTTTTGCACACTCAGGAAAAATGAGCCCTAGAAGAGGAAACACTAGGACTATGTGTCTTAGTCTAACATAGACTATGGCTGAAGCAACAGAAATTTATTTCTTCTAATTTTGGAGGCTAGAAGTCTGAGACCAGGGTGCCAGCATGGCCAGGTTCAGGTTGAACTGAATGATGTCCCCCTTGAAATTCATCTTCATATGGTTGAAGCTCTAACCTCCAATGCAACTGGATTTTGAATATGGCTTTTAAAAAGTAACTGATGTTAATGAGCTCATAACAGTGGGGTCCTAATCCAATAAGACTGGTGTTCTCATAAAAAGAAAGAGAGACACCAGGGATGTACAGGTATAGAAGAAAGGACACAGAAGAAGGCAGCCACCTGCAAGCCGAGAAGAGAGGCCTTGGGGAAAGCAAACCTGCCGAGAAATTCATCTTGGATTCCCAGACTCCAGAGCTGTGAGAAATAAACACCTGTTGTTTAAGCCTTTGGGCTCATGAAATGTTATGGCAGCCCTAGTGGACTAATGTACTCCTTCTCTTCTAAACACTTCTGATGATGCCTGAGTGCTGATCTTGTGATCTCTCCTACCTAGGTTTGGAGCTGCACCATGCTTCCTCAGAGAAAATGCCCCAGAAGGGTTCATCATCCATCTGATGAAGAACCTAGTCTCTCACTTAAGCACTCATCCGAGCCTGCTAGTCAGCTACAGGATGCTTGCAAAGACGTTTCAGACCCCAAGGGCATCTATCAACCTCTTCCAGCTGTTTGCATGCTAAGCATGATACAGAAAGAAAAAGATGACAGTGTTTGCCTCCAAGGAGCTTAAAATCATACCCAACAATAGATATTAATGACCTGACTTGAGATAATTTAGTGTATGTATTGTTTTAGAATCTTTGAATTCCTTTCTAGTCCTCTGTTTCTAGAACAACCACAAAAACATGTGTGAATCCTTAGCATGGGGTCATTGAGAGAGGGCTTCCTTCACCCAGCTTGCAATTTGAGCTTCTGTTGTAGACTTGGACATTCGCAGTCTCTGTGGTCCTTGCTGCAGTTCTGGCATGATAGGGTTAGAATTCACCTTCGCATGTTCCTACAGCCAGGAAGGAGTGGTGAAGATGGATCCTTTCCTTCCAGCGTT
The DNA here is from genome assembly GCF_000001405.40 of Homo sapiens. Lineage (NCBI taxonomy): Eukaryota > Metazoa > Chordata > Mammalia > Primates > Hominidae > Homo > Homo sapiens. The sequence continues at coordinate 4,950,032 of NC_000005.10, read as the reverse complement.
GGACATGCACTGGAAAAGTGCTGCCCCTGTGGATGCTGCTTCCTGGCAGCACACAGGAGACCTGCACCCGTACTCTCAGGTGATGCGTCTAAAGTGGACTGTATTTCAGTTTCTGCTGATGCCAGCTGGCACCTCAGTCCACCTTCCACTTTGTAAAAAAATTAGCTTCACAGGCGGGGCGCGGTGGCTCACATCTGTAATCTCAGCACTTTGGGAGGCCGAGGTGGGTGGATCACGAGGTCAGGAGATCGAGACCATCCTGGCTAACACGGTGAAACCCTGTCTCTACTAAAAATACAAAAAAATTAACCGGGCGCGGTGGCAGGCGCTTGTAGTCCCAGCTACTCGGGAGGCTGAGGCAGGAGAATGGCATGAACCCGGGAAGTGGACCTTGCAGTGAGCCGAGATCGCGCCACTGCACTCCAGCCTGGGCAACAGAGTGAGACTCAGTCTCAAAAAAGAAAAAAAAAAGTGTCACAGATGGTGCTGCCCTTCCATTGTTGGGTGCATTTTCTTTATTTAGCCATGACAGTGTGCTTCACATTGTTATATGGTAAAAAAGGTGCTTGACTTCTTACATAAAACGTGTACCATGCTATGCAAGATGATGTGGCTTAGTTTACACCCGCCTGGCCTCATCAAGAATATTAGGCTGAGTCTCAGGGAAGCTGCTATTCTCCGAAAGACCAATTATGTGTTCATAGCATGAGGTCCTTGCCCTGCAAACTCTCGTAACCCTTACTCTAGTGGGCTCAGCCACATTAGAAACACTCCCTCCTCCTCTGCATTTTTTACATTACAAATCATGATTTCACTTCTTGCCCTATTTAACAAAGTAAAATTTTCTGAAATGTGAATCCAAAGAGCTAGATTTTTAACGAAGTCTTCATCTCTTCGTTTCTAAGAGGAGGACAGTGTAAATCCTGCATTTCCTAGCGTGGCAATCCGATGGAAAAGTATCAGAGACAGCTTTGTAAACTGCAGGATCCATAAGACGTTGCCCGAAACTTTTTTTCTGTTTTGCATCTTGGTAATTTTTTCTCCAGAATTTCTGTTCTAGGAAGTGCTACAGAACCTGCCCAGTTTTTGCCTGATCCAACCCCACCTGGCCGCTGTGGCCTGGCCCAGGAATGAGTGAGTGGGCCCACCTAAGTCAGCTGTCATTCCCTGCTCCCCTGCCCTTCAATCCCTCCCTGGCCTGTTCCATCCATCCAGGCTTGACTTCCAAGGATGAGTTTCTCTGGGATGTTTGGATATGGGGGAAAAAGAAAGCCAGGTCACTCTATCGGTCGGTAGGCACTCTGGGCAGACACATTCTGTAAAATACGAAGCCAAGCCCCAGACTCCCTGGGGTGCCCACTCATGCCTCTGCCCCTCCCAGGGTCTGGGTGTACAATGGCCCAGGGATTCTCTGAACCTTTGACAAAAAGCTGTGTGAGTTGGCCTCACATCACTTGCAACCTACACCTAACTAATACACAAATAATTAATATAAAATCCCACAGCCCACCCTGCCCAACAGACAGACCAATTACCAACTGCACAGTTTTTACTCTTTTATAAGAAGCAAAGATTTGTTGCGGAGTTCTAGACCACTGTGATACTATTGCTACTTCCTTTATACTAACACAATTTAAGGATGACATCACCATCATTTCTGGACATGTGTGAGCCGGTGGAGGTAATAATCCAAGCATTGTTCAGGATCTTGATAACACAGTTACTACATAATTGTTTAACTCATCGAGGGACTATCCAGGCCTATGGATTGTATCAAGGGAACCTTGATTTCATTCATTAAGGCTATTTATTTCTCCCTTGGGGATTTTCCTCTCCAGCCCTCTAATTGAGCCATCCACCTGGGATTCCCAAAACATTCACTAAGAAGAGGCTGGAGGGGGCGTGAACCACATAAGCAGCCTGGGGATGAGACACCAGTCGTGACTGCCCCAGAAGACTCACACAGCAGAGGCCTCTGAATAATGAGAGAAAGGCGGCTCAGCATTTTATCACGAGTCTGTGTTGAATTCGTGACAAGTGACTAAATGAAATCTTTGACTCATTCCTGGCAAATTAAAATGTTTTACAAAGCAGCACCTCTTTATGCCAAATACATTATGCTCATTGCCAAACGTTGTGTGTTTTCCAGAGCAGAAGAGCTTGGCGTCCCCATGGACAGAGGTAAGGTGCTGACCACTCTGGGCATTCCAGTTCATCTCATCATGTTGGAGCTCATGATGCTAAATGCACTTGTCATTTCTTCATTAGTAGATGAGAAATATAAAAATACAATGTGTTTTGGAATTGAACAGTGTTATTCCTCTTCAGGGAGTTCACTGCAATGAGCGTGCAGTTGCAGACCTGGAAATATGATATTGAACATTCTATTTTGGCTCCTAGCCTTTCAGAAGTCAGAGGAAAGACAGTAAAATAGAATCGATTCATTCCTCAGAAAAAACGGGAAAAAGTATATTTTAAATCAGATTATGGAGAGCTAAAATAAGTTAGTCCTGTTGATAATAAGAAATATTCTTGTTAGTACAGTAGTGTTCTAGAAGTCTGGGGACTCAAGCTGTTATTGAGGAAGGGGCCTCACTGAGGTTTTATGCTGTTTGGGAAACACAGGGAAGCACCTTGGTCCCTTGGTTGAGTCATGAGGATGTCTTGTGCTGTGACTTCTGTCATGGTCACTGGGTGGGAGTGTCCTCAGCATAACAAAGGCAGAGCATTGGGTCAATGTGGTCACCTTTAAAGAGAAGATTAACCACTCATGTCTTCTACACACTCAAAAGGGAATTCTTGAGAAGAGATGGGCTTTATTTTAGATATTGTATGAGATAAGAGCAGCATTGTGGAAAGGAAGGTCCCCCGCCCACCCAACCCTGCTTCCTTTCTGGCCCACACTCTCCTTTCTCCCAGGCCTTGGCCAGGTGCCTTTGAGTCCCTCATGCACACCAAGCCTCCACCTGCCGCAGAAAATGCCTCCCTGGCAGTGGCAGCTGGGGCAGGGTCGGGACATTCACAATGCAGAAGAGGATGGGGATCCATCTCTGTAGCTTGGAAAGGAGAAATGGTGGGGGCAGAGACAGGAAATCTGGAAAAGGCCTAGGAAGGAAGATATTGAAGAAGAGGAACAAGAAAGGGGAATGCAGAGCTCGGCCATGTGCACTGCTCCACAAAGGCCTGGGAGCCTCGCAGGACAAACTTGCAGAGGTCTGAGCAATGAGGCTAGATCCCAGAAGGGCAGGAAGACTGGGAGACCGTACCTTCTGGAACCTGCAGGCGTCCAGCATGAGTTTGCTTTCAGAACAGTGTGGCTGTGCTCCTGGTAAAGGTACAGAAGGAGCTTCTCCTTCCTGCTCCAGGGAGAGGCTATGCTTGGGCTGCCCGGCTGGAGAAACACCAGACTCCATGTCCAGATCCTGCGCTGGGCTCGCTGCTGACAGTGGGAACGCTGTCTCTCAGGCCTGAGGGCTGGTTATGGAAATCCATAGGGGTCAGCTAGACCCTAAACAATCAGTAAGAGGGGAATGCCAATCCAAAAAAAAAAAAAAAAAAAGGAAACCAACCAAATAAACATACAAAAAGAGACTGATTTTCATCTCTCTAGTGAACACCTAAACATGTCCATGAAAAAGTCACAGGTAAAACTTTCTGCATGTCTAATCTCTTAGGCCATGAAACTAGGGGGGGGAGAAAGCCTATACTTGGTTTCTATTCCCTTTGGATAATAATAGGTTTGTGATATTAGCCAGACTATTAACTCCGCTTAGCCAATTTCCTTCTCAGTTGAATGGAAAAAATGATGGTGCTTCACATGGATATCACAGGTCCTGTGTAAGCTGTACAGCTAATTATCATGACTGTGATACTGTACATTGGAATCTAAAGTCCATTAAACACACTAATGCTTAATGAGCACTTACTACATGCCATGCTGTCTTTCAGGCATTTTGCTAAATTTTAAAGGTACTTACTCATTTAATTTTCACAAAAAAAGTCATGGAGTAGGTTCTTTTATTTTATTTATTTTTTATTTTTAGATGGAGTCTAGCTCTGTTGCCCAGGCTGGAGTGCAGTGGCGCGATCTCGGCTCACTGCAGTTTCCACCTCCTGGGTTCAATGGGTTCAAGTGATTCTCCCGCCTCAGCGTTTTGTTTTGTTTTGTTTTTTCTTTCTTTCTTTTTTCTGTTTTAGAGAAGAGGAAAATTAGGCAAAAAGAAGTAAAGTAACTTTCCTGAAGTAACTCAATACGTAAAAAAGCTAAGATCCTCAGCTCATCAACAAAAAATGGAGTTACATCCATTTAATAAGATAACAAATTCTAGAACTATTTTCTGTAGGGGTGCAAACAGCTTTATCTTTCTGTTAAATAACTTTTATAAGCCAATTAACTTAAGAACATCTCCACACATTTCCGTGAATCAAAACCTCCCCATTAACTGAAGGTTGCAATGTGTCTAACCAGGAATTTATAAAGCGCAGGTCAGTGGTGAAGCATATGGGCTTGGGAGCAGGTGGCCCAATGCCAATGGCAGGCATTGGGCAAGCTACGTGATTACTCTGTGCTTCCGCTGTCTCTCTCTCATTTGTAAAACAAGACGAAAGAACCCATCACGTGGATTTGTGGGGGGAAGAAAAGAGTTAACAAATGGCAACCACTTGCACCAGTGCCCAGCAGCACAGAGAGCATAGCAGATATTATATGCCAAGCACTGCACACCCGCAGATTGAACACTTAACATTATAAAAATAACAGGCACATACTTCTAGAAATAGTAATTAATAAGTCTAGTACTTTTATAAAACAGGAAATAATCAATGTGACAGGATCCTCTCAGAGGCCCGCATGTGTCCTGACAGCTAGGACAGAGCCAGGTGGTGATTTAGGAAAATGTAGGAAGCAGAGACTCCTGCATAACCCGTGCTGGCAAAGCCTCTGGAGGGAGGATGGACTCCTGAGTACCTACAGCTGGAGGTACCTATGACTCTGCAGGAAAAGTGGACTCATGAGTACTCAGCGCTGGAGAGGACTCTGGATGGAGGGAAGACTCATGAGTATCTACTGCTGGGGAGGACTCTGGAGGGAGGGTGGACTTGTGAGTACCCAGTGCTGGAGAGGACTCTGGAGGGAGGGTGGACCCGTGAGTACCCAGTGGAGGAGAGGACTCTGGAGGGAGGAGGGACCCGTGAGTACCCAGTGGAGGAGAGGACTCTGGAGGGAGGAGGGACCCGTGAGTACCCAGTGGAGGAGAGGACTCTGGAGGGAGGAGGGACCCATGAGTACCCAGTGGAGGAGAGGACTCTGCAAGGAAGAAGCATTCAGAATAACTGCTGCTGGAGAGAACAATTTCATTTCAGGAAAATGTTCTTATAGTTGCTCATTCCCATAAGCTAATATCTCTAATATATACACACATTCATGATTATAAATACTGTTAGAATACATAATACCTGTAGTACCTATATAATACTTATATGTTTGTGTACATATTTGAGTACAAAATATACATATGGACATAATGAGTGCAGAAGTTTTTGTAATCATGAAAACAGGAAATAATCCAATGCCAAATAAAATGGGAAGTTTAAGTAAATGATGCTCTTTTTGTCCACTCTCTGAAACACTAGAATGAGGAAAATGCAGGAATCTTGGACCTTGGACAACGGCTGGGAATTCTGACTCCTTATAAAACTGTTTCCAGAGTCCAGCATGTGCATGCTGCCATGAAGGTTTGGATCTATACATAAATATTATTGTATAAAATGGCTTGAGTTGCCATGTGGAGAAAGAGATACAAATATTCCGGATTCAGTCTCTGTTACTCTTAAGTTTCTGTGTTTGTGTTAACTTACCTCTAACCTGGGCAGCTGAATGGAGGTGGCAGTCAGTGACATCCTCCCCCTTCTTTTGGATCCCCTACCCCAGCATCTGGACTACTGTTGGACATGGGACAGACTTTTTGACTGATTATTTTGTTCATCTGTTATTTATGGTAAGTCTTATTTTGGGGAGCACTTTTTGTTATCTTGGAACGCTTGAAACCCTCCTTAGGTGTGAACTTCTGAGCAGATGCAGGCATCTCCTCCTGTCCAGCGGCAGTATGTCTTGCCTTGGGATTCAACCTTTGGCATTCATTCTTCAAAGCCCAGCCCCTTGCTTCTCAAAAGCCAATTCCACAAGTGTCTGCTGCTGAACACTGGGCACAGAGACCTGGGCAACAAGAGGCCGGCAGCCTGGGCCCCAGGCAGTGCTTCTGAGCAATGGCTGCATGTTGTCTTTTGTATTAATGAATTCTTTTATTTTCTGAATTCTGGTGCTTGGACATCCGGGGTCTTGCTGACCCTGGAGGTACTGCCCTTGCCAGAATGAGCTGGTTCTTAGAACCCAGGGCTGTGCTTTCCAAATCAAACCAACCACCTGGAGTCCATGCTCCAACCACCTTCTCTGTGGCCCTCACACTCCGGGCCACCATGCACCTGCCCAAATCACGCCAGGCGAGGGACCAGACAGGAAGGGACAGCCCCTCGCCCCTGAGCCTGCTAAAATGATTCAATGATTCAGGTTAGCTGATCTGAGCCTTCTCTGGCCCACGCTCCCCTCGCTCCCTTGCCCACCTGGTTGGCTGTGCGTCTCTGTGTGGCCAGGCGTGACTCCTCTGTCCAGGGATCTGCAAGGATAAACTTCTTTCTTCATGACAATCTTTCTGTGTCTGTGAGTCCCATCATCCCTGACTTAAAAAAAAATTCCAGGTACCATGGAAACACCTTTGGTTTACTCGAGACATAGTTCTCTCTATGCCTCAAGCCCCAGGGACGACTTTCTTCCTTCTGGTACTTCCCAGGCTCTTTCTCGCATTTCTTTTAGAAGTTGCCAATTCCCTTCCCCTCTCTGGCCTCTCCTGGCTTTCCCAGTCCTATGGGTGCCTGGCGCCCTGGGCAGCCACTCTGGTGCTGGCCCTGGGTCATGACCAGCTCCTCCCGCAGTGCGGGGCCTCCCTGCACCACCGTGGCCGTCCTGGACTGCAGGTCCCCCTCACGGTGCTCCCAGCCTATGGGTGAAGCTCCCAGCTCTACCTGGATGCTTGGTGTGGCTCAAGGCCAGCATTTACAAATGGCTGTAAGAACAGGCACCGCTCTGCAGGGGGAAGGGTGAGACAAACAAATGCTCACCTCTAAGCCCCTCCGCTACAGCAACCCTTCTCCTTTTGACAGCCCAGATTGTTAGCGTTGAATAAGATGTAGTGTTTGCTGGCACAGCAGGGTGGCTATAGTCAAGAATAATTCAAGTGTACATTTTTAAATAACTAAAAAGAGTGTAACTGGATTGTTTGTAACACAAAGGATGGATACTTGAGGGGACGGGTTCCCCATTTTTCATGTGATTAGAACACATTGCATGCCTGGATAAAAGCATCTCATGTACCCCATAAATATATGCTTCTACTATGTATCCACAAAAATTAAAATAAAAAATTGAACAACAAAAGAACAGCAGAAACCAGATTGTTAGCACCTGGGGACTGCGGGCCCGGCTGACCTGCAGTGCGTAGAGCGGCCCCTAGGTGGCAGCACAGCACCGGTCGCCCTGGGGGTAAAAGGGGCGCCCTCCTGGCCCAGGGTCCTCAGGGCAGGAGGGTCCCCGAGTGTCCCCAGGCCCTGCAGCCTGGGCAGCCGCGCGGGCGCCGTCTCCAGAGGGGAGGGGACCCAACGCCTCGGGAGTGGACTGAAGCTGGAAAAACAAACAAACAGACACCGAGCTTTTCCTGAGAAGGATTCCCAGCCGAGGAAGCGGGTGCTGCGATGGGACTTGGGGATGCCTGCAGGGCGAGAGAAAGGTGCTCCTGGGTGGCCTTCAAAGAGCCCTCCGAAGAGTCCACCCAGGAGCACCAGCAACTGAAGATGGAGAAGAAGAAACGGCCGCAGGCCGGAGGTCAGAGCATTCCCATGGGGAAGCCAAGTCAGGGAGAAGCCACGGGCTTGGGAGAAGCAGGGAGAGGCCAGAGCGTCCGCTGTGGTCACTGGACGGCTGGTCTATGGCAGGGGAATCTCCGGAGACGCACCTGCCGCCACTGCTCATAGAACTTAGTGCAGAGGAAGAGCGAGTCCTCGCTGAAAACTCGGGTTCCAGTCACCCCGCGCCCCGCCTCACCTGAGGCCTCTGCCTTTGCAGGGGGACTGTGAGGTTGCAGCGATGTCTTCCCAAATAGCTCATGGGTTCTACTCAGTGATCCGTTTTAAGAAAACTGGTAGAAATCTCAGCCTAGTACTGAAATGTGAGTGCCGGTTAGCATTGCTTTTAAGGATCTTACAAAAACACGGACCGATTTTTACAGGGAAGTGAGACAAAACGTATTATTGCTATCGTGTGCCAACTCAATAAGGCATTTAATTTGTTAGTAATATAATTCAGAGAATAATACTTATTATTATTATTATTTTTATTATTTGACATAGGTCGCAATTGGGCAGGGGCCGCGCTGCCTCCTCCGTTCAGCTGTTGTGGCCTGGAACCCACTGTACTTGGCTCTGCGTCTCACCCATAAAGTGAAGTCTGTAAATGATTTTTCAATTGAGTTCAAACTGAGTATGGAAATCAATTACTTTTCAAATACCCACTGCAACAATTAATCCAAAGCCTCACTGCTGAGCTCTGCTCACTGGTTCCAGCTCTGTGCGCAGCTGGGAAGCAGGGAAATCCTGATGCTATGGAATTAAACGGGAGCTGGAGTGAGTTCGGGAAGGACAAGAATTTTCCACGCCAGCATGATCGTTACCCGGTAGGGTGAAGTGGCAAGGCTGTGAGGCACAGAAAACGTGGTTTTTGCGTCAGCTCTTCTGTTAATGAGGCCTGTCTCAGTTTCCCCATTATATTCTGTGCAAGCTTCTACCCCAAATGGGGTCTGTCTCTAGTCTGCGACTTACTTCTAACAATATTGTTTTTTACTCAAATTACACGCTCCATCCCCGAACTGAAGAGATGCACAAAAGAGATGAGGAAAGTAACTGCTTAGTTCTAGGAAACCATATGCAGCACCCCCGAACTGTGCAAAACAGTTCTGACACAAAAACCACGTTTTCTGTGCCTCGTGGCCTTGCCGCTTCACCACACTGGCTAACGACCATGCTCGTGTGGAAAATTCTTGTCCTTCCCAAACTCACTCCAGCTCCCATTTAATTCCATAGCCTTAGAAGGATTTCCCTGCTTCCCAGCTGCGCACAGAGCTGGGATCACTGAGCAGAGCTCAGCAGTGAGGCTTTGGATTAATTGTTGCAGTGGGTATTTGAAAAATAATTGAGCTTTTTATTGATGGAAAGATTGTTTTAGGCTGGTCACAGTGGCTCACGCCTGTAATCCCAGCACTTTGGGAGGCCAAGGTGGGCGGATCACAAGGTCAGGAGATCCAGACCATCCTGACCAACATGGTGAAACCCCGTCTCTACTAAAAATACAAAAATTTGCCGGGCCTGGTGGCACACACCTGTAGTCCCAGCTACTTGGGAGGCTGAGGCAGGAGAATTGCTTGAACCCGGGAGGCGGAGGTTGCAGTGAGCCGAGGTCACGCCACTGCACTCCAGCCTGGCGACAGAGTGAGACTCTATCTCAAAAAAAAAAAAAAAAAAAGAAATATTGTTTTATATTATAAATGCATTCATTCTTTTGTTGCCCTAAGATGTTAAAGCACATTTTGTCCATAAAGATTGTACATATAAATTAGAAAGCAGGGCAAAAGCAATGACATAAAACTTAGAAACATAAAAAGTCACGAAATAGTGCTTGTGACGACCTGTTCAAGGAATTCAGTGGATATACTGACTGTGTCTACAACACTGTCTGTAACTTGCATAATCATAGCACACCGATTTAGACGTGTTTGATAAACACTAAGCCTTACCTAGGTGTCTCACCACACCAACATGACTGGAGTGATGTAAAAAAATAATTGGTAGCCGAGCGCAGTGGCTCACACCTCTAATACCAGAATTTTGGGAGGCCGAGGCAGGCAGATTGCCTGAGGTCAGGAGTTCGAGACCAGCCTGGCCAATGTGGTGAAACCCCATCTCTACTAAAAATACAAAAATTGGTCCGGCATGGTGGGGCATACCTGTGGTCCCAGGTACTCAGGAGGCTGAGGCAGGAGAATTGCTTTAACCCAAGAGGCGGAGGTTGCAGTGAGCTGAGATAGTGCCACTGCACTCCAGTCTGGGTTGACAGAGTGAGAGTCCATCTCAAAAAAAAAAAAAAAAAAGGTTATCTTTACCCTTAAGAAACTTTTACCAGGAATTACTGCTTGTGGCTAATAGATTTCATTTGCATAAAATTTTTGGTATCGAAAAATGTGATTCGCCTGCCGTGTCACATGGAAGGAAAACATTATCTTTATTATCCTGGCAGGAAGTAGACCCGCCCTCTGCTCTGCAGGGAGACAATTTCTGTGCGCTGTAAGGTGCTTTGCTATGCAGATAGCCTTGAAAACATGATCTGGAACAAAAAGCAGTCAGTGCCTCTCCCGGCAAGATGTGCAGAAACATAAGAGGCAGGTGGAGAATGGTCTGGTCTCCCTGTATCTACATGTAATGCCTCAGAGTCATGGGCATGAAGAACTCTTTGGTTAGGACTTTTGAATGTGTGTGTAAATGAATCCAAGGCTGGAGATGACAGAGATACGTGATGGCGGCCTGACAGGCAAGCACACCAGCTCTGTGCCTCCCGCCCTTCTGACGTTCAGGCTGAGAATATAATACAGAAATCCATCTGTGTGTCAGCTGTTTGGACATCTGGCTGCATCTAGGCATGGGGCATTTACAAGTTTGGTGTGCAGTACTTGGAGAGTGCCCATGCACACATGCCCGTAATATTTTTGGCCCCAACTGGCGGCATCACCTCACAGTCCCCTTGCTATTGCCCCGGGCAACGCCAGCTGTGGAGGGGTTATGCCACATCCTGGCCATCCAACATCTAGGGCCTGAGTCATTTGATCGAGTTTACTTTCCCCAACAGTAGGAAATACTGCGTTAGACCCTCAGGAGGAAGGAGCAGAGTTGGGGTGTGTGCTCTGGAAAGAGAAGAGTCAGCTTCAGGTGTGTGCTGTCACCACTTTCTTTTGTCTTTGCTGAAGTAGACAAAGTGTCTCTCCAAGATGTTTATGCTACACTTCACAATAGTGGTGATGTCCCCGAATGAAGCTCCCGAAACCTGTCGGATTTTCATTGCTGTTACATTAACAACTTGCCATAATACAGAGAAAAACTTTGTTTTGCAAGATCCAGTGTGGCCTCACATGATTGGACCACTTTGTATATAATGTGGCACGTGCCAGCAGAGTGCACAATGTTCTCAATGACAAAGGCAACTTCTTCTTTATGCTTTTATGCCTTGGGGTGGCACCAATTGCTTGAAACACCTCCCTGGGAGGTGACTTAGACATCTGTAAATCTTTTAATTTGGAGATGACTCTCAAAAAGGGATATTGAGAAATTCTCCTTTATTGTGTTTTGAAATTCCATCCTGAAACTTCTTTTTGCAGGAAGTTAGGTGCTCAGATATAAGGGATTTGGCCGTTCATCTGTGCATTTGTGTATATTCTTCTGGAAGCAATTGCTTCACTGACTATCGCTAGCACATATGTGAATAAGCAGCCGCAGCTTGAACAAAATAGGAGCAAGAAACGAGTTAGAGGGTTCTGTTTGGAGTTTCAGGAACAATAACATCACAGACAACTCGTAACATGGGTTAAAATGGAAATAGGATGCTTTATGCTTACAAAGAAAGCCAGTAAAGCCTTCTGCTCGTCTTAAGCAGTTTAACAAATGCACCCTTTAGTGTTGTAGAAAATAGCCCAGAATCATGATTTAAACAACACTGGAGGACAGTGTGTCAGTGACTTGCATATTAGAAGGTGACACCACAGACACATGTGTTCAACAATAGTGTATTTGCACCAAATGCTGCTTTTTTCATTCCCTACTTTATTCGTCTCGTCTTAAACCCTGTCCAGGAGGCAGGTATTTGGACAAAGCGATGAGGTTGACAGAAAGGGCTCTCCTCTGGGGCTGAAGCTCAGTGCAGGGATTCTCAGAGCTGTGGGAGACCTTGATGCAGGATAGTGAGTAAAAGCCAGAGGAGGTGGAGGCTGCTGAAGGAGCAGGTGGAGCATGGCTAACCGAGGCCCCGGACCGAGAAGAATGACGTCCAAACTAAGATTTGAAGGAAGTGGTACTTATGCTGGAAAAGAGGACAAGAAAGCAAGCCACCAGGGAGAAGGTCTCATATAGATGTTCTATGTCTTCTCTGTGTTTCTAAAATACTGACAAATCATTAAAAGAGAGAAGCTGCGCTGATGACATCCTTGATCTCTGTTTCAGGAAATGGACTTCTTTTCTGGCAGGGAAAGTGAAAGATAGCAGAGTAAAAAGAAGATTAATTTTGTATCTACTGAATTAGAGGGTTATAGAAAAACGTGATGGGCATCATCTCACTGAGTTCTCATGACACATCTCAATGACAATCACTGTGGTCACGGCTGTTCTGAAGGGCAGAGCCAAATCACTTCCCCGGGACAGTGCCTGGCTCTGTGTTGGCATTCTGTCTGAATTCAAACACACACACACATACCTGATGACAACATCTCAAGAGGTTCCCACTCTTTGGATGTTCCTGTCTGAAGCTCTTCAAAATAAAATCTGAGCTTATTTGTAAATAGAATGCATTTTAGTCCCACGGTACTGATAAACATAAATTAAGAAACCCTAAGACCTCCCTGGCTTCTAAAGAATCAGAGTTTCTTTCTTATTCACAAGGATGTAGGTGGACAGGCCTCATCCTCTCTGCAATGACTTATGGACAGGAGCTATCTTGAGGGTCCACCATTGTCAGAGGGAAAGAGCCTCCAATATCATTACAGAAAGGGCCAGTGTCCAAAGGACCTTGTGGGAGATTTTCATTAATCCCATCATTGGTGAAGAGCATTGACCACCCATTGACTGGGGCTCAGCTGCAGGGAGCTGCCCACAGCTATGGGCTGGTTCGGGGACATGCCCTCTACTGCACAAGGACATTGCCGAACCAGGCTTGCCATGCATGGCCTTTACATACAGATCACAAAAATAGAGGATTTTTTTAGACAATATCAACATATAAAAATAAATAAGATGAAGTGAGACTATTACATATTTTCATAAAAATTTGAAGATCTGTTCTCTGAATTTCCTAACTAAAGAAAAATGTCTACAAGGTAGTTAATTGCTTTTAGCCAGGGTTCTATTTTGACTGCCAACAACCCCCTGCCTGAAATTTGAGTTGTTAGAAAATTCAGGCATCTGTTAAGGAAAATAAGGAAGTCATATGTCTTTTCCTTGGATACAGCATGAAAGCCACACATTTTTCTATTACATTTTTACTGAAAATATAAAAGGTGTGAGGAACAATTTTCCAATAATTTTAGGAGTGTTTGTTTACCTGGAGAAATTGGTGAGGCTGGCACTCACTGTGGCACAGTGTTCTTGGGCAGAGCATGAGGAACCCAGAGGGTGTCCTGGCTTTGGCTTGGTGGGGTGTGGCTGTCTCTGGACTGTTAGGAAGGCACTGGGGCAGAAGCAAAGGCACGTGCTCTGCACTGGCAGGGCTTCTTACTGATTCTAAGGAAGCCACTGAAAACCTAGGGGTAGGTTGGAAATAAAAAATGTTAGGAAAAACAACCAAGGGCCGAGGGACGAGAAATATCCATTTGGCTGCAATGGAATTCAGAGCTGGAGTCAGAGTTGGTCTTTGCCCAAGGAGGTCCTCAGCTTGTAGTGACAGGGCCTTCTGGGAGGGCTTCATCTTCTCCCTTGAGTCCCACAAAACCCTTGAAGGTGTTCCTGGGGCAGTCCGTGTTCATCCGAGGACACAAAAGCTTCCTGGAGCACTTCCCCGCCCCAGCGCTGCTGATGGAGGCCACGGGGTTCCATGAGCATGCAAGCCTCTCCTGGTCATCAACCCTAATGTCCCACCTGGAGGAAGAGCTGAGCCACATGGAGAGAATGTCCACAGTGCACGCTCCTCTTTTTCCTCGCTCTTGTTTCCAGTAGCTGAAGGACAAAATTTTGTCCCTTCCTGCAAGGACAAAATCAAAACAACAACAAAACACTATTGTTTCTCAGAAATGACTTTCTACTTAGCATAAGCCCCTCCAGGTTCATTCACATTATTGCAAATGACAGAATGTTCTTTGTTTTCAAGGCAGAATAGCATAACATTGTGTATATGTACCATATTTTCTTTACTCATTTTCTCATGATGCACACTTAGGTTGATCCATATCTTGCCTATTGACCAAGCACTTGGCTAGTGCTGCAATGAGTGTGGGAGTTTAGGTATTCCTTTGACAGATTGATTTCAATGCCTTTGAATATATACCCAGAAGTGGGCTTGCCAGATAATATGGTAGGTCTGCTTTTTTATTTTCTGAGGCCAAGCACAGAAAGACAAATATAGTACCACATAATCACACTTACATGTGGAATCTAAAACAGTTGAACTCCTAGTAGAGTGAAGGTCCTCTGGGGATGGGGGAAAGGAGAAAGACTGGGAGATGTAGGTCACAGGGTACAAAGTTTTAGCTAGACAAGAGAAATAGGTTTTAAGATCTGTTGCACAGAAAGTTGACTACAGTCAACAGTAACATATTGTTATTTCAAAGTAAATGAGAGAGTAAATTTCAAAGGTCTCACCACAAAAAAATAATAAGTAAGCAAGGTGAGGAATGTGTTAATTCACTTGATTTAATCATTTACATTATTTACATATATCAGAACATCACATCGTACCCCATGAATGCATGCAATTATTTATTTGTCAACCAAAAATAGTATTAATAAAAAATTACTTTCTTGGGAGGCTGAGGCGGGAGGATCATTTGAGCCCAGGGGTTCGAGGTAACAGTGAGCTATAATCAGCCACTGCACTTCAGCCTGGACAACAGGACAAGACTGTCTCAAAAACAAAATGACTTTCTAAATTGCACAATGACATGAATGATATAATGTTGAAACCAACAGGGTATGCATTAGAGTTTTGTCAACACTGTCCTGCTTCTTCTGAATGACAGAATTGGACCAGTGTCATAAAGATGACCAAAGACTCCTTATATACATCCCGGCTTCAACTTCCCCATAAACCATCCTTGGGGGAGTGAGCTAAACTTTCGTTTTGTCTTAAAATACGTACAGTTTTCCATTGCTGTCCCAGGCAGAATTCAGATGATTTCTCATCCATCATCTTATTTAATTCTCAGAATAAATCCATGGCTCTTACATTACCAATTTAAAAGTGCAAGCATCTAGATGTGAAAAGATTTCACCCTGGGGTGAAATGACTAATTCATTGAAGAGGAAGCCATCAAAACCAAGATGCTGCAAAACTTCTCCATGAAACTTTTAATTCCATTTGCTTTCTCTAAATTGAAATTTGTTCATTTTTAAGAAACCGAAATGAAGTCATTTATAAATACATTATTTATAGAAACTTTGAATTAATAAATATGACAGTAATAGCCTAAATTTGTACAGCAATTTATAATTTTAGGAACAACCACACAAATATTAACTCAGTTGATATTATGAAGTCTTTGTGACTCATTTACAAGTAAGCATTTTAAAATGGTATATATTTAAGTAGAACATGCTTTTGAGGTCTACAGATCCACAGTGAAATGGTTGCTACAGTTAAGCAAATTAACCTATACATCACCCTTCATCATTATCCCTGTTTTTGTGGTACGAGCACCTGAAATCATTCTCTTATCGAGTTTCCAATACACAGCACTTTGTTTACCATAGTCCTCAGGCTGTGCATTAGATCTCCAGATTTATTCATCCTCCATAAGTGAAAGCATTGCAACTTTTTTTTTTTTTTGAGACAGAGTCTCACTCTGTCACCCAGGCTGGAGTGCAGTGGTGCAATCTTGGCTTACTGCAACCTCCATCTCCCGGGTTCAAGCAATTCTCTTCCTCAGCCTCCCGAGTAGCTGGGATTACAGGTGCCTGCCACCATGTCCAGCTAATTTTTGTATTTTTAGTAGAGATGGGGTTTCACCATCTTGGCCAGGCTGGTCTTGAACTCCTGACCTGATGATCCACTCCCCTTGGCCTCCCAAAGTGCTGGGATTACAGGCGTGAGCCACTGCACCTGGCCTAAAAGCGTTGTACCTGCTGACCTACATCTCTCCATTTCCTTCTTCTCCCTGCCCCTCGTTACCGCTGTTCTATGCTCTGTTTAACATATTCAACCTTTTTTTTTAGATTCACATATAAGTGAGATTATGTGGCACTTTTATTTCTATATCTGGGTTATTTCACTTAGCATAATGTCATCCAGGTTCATCCATGTTGTCACAAATGGCAGGATCTGCTTCTTTAGTAAGGCTGCATATTATTCCATTGTGTTCATTCATATACCACCATTTCTCTATCCCTTCATCTGTTGACAGATGCTTAGGTTGTTTCTATGTCTTGGCTATTGTGAATAATGGGGGAATGAATATGAGAATGCAGACAGTTCTCCAAGATGCTGGTTTAATTTCCTTTGTGTATATACCCAGCAGATAAATCATTGTGGTATATGGTAGTTCTGTTTTCAATTTTTTGAAGAATCTCCATACTGTTTTCCATAATGTTTGCACCAATCCCTATGAAAATTCCAATGGTGTTTTTCACAGAAATAGAAAAATACCTAAAATTTATATGGAACCAAAAGGTCCCAAATAGCCAAGACAATTTTGAGGAAAAAAAAATGTTGGATGCATTACACATGCTGATTTCAAATTATATCACAAAGCTATAGTAATCAAAACAGTGTGGTACTAAGAGTATGGTAATGTTTTAGACACATAGACCAATGAAACAGAATAGAAAGCTCAGAAATAAACTATATGGTCAGCTAATTTTTGACAATGCCACCAAGAAGACAAATGAGAAAATAATAGTCTCTTCAAAAAATGATGCTGGGAAAACAATGTCCACTTACAAAATAAATAAATAAATAAATACATTGGGTCTTTATTCTACATTACACACAAAATCAACTCTAAATGGATTAAAGACCTTAACTTCAAGGCCTGAAATGCTAAATCTCCTAGAAGAAAGCATAGGGGAGAAACTCCTTGACATTGGCAGTCATCAATAATGATTTTAAAAAATTACGCCAAAGGCTCAGGCAACAAACATAAAAATAAAGTGGTACTACATCAAGCTGAAAAACTGCTGCACTACAAAAGAAACAATCAACAATCAAAAGACAGCTTACAAACTAGAGACAATATTTGAAAAACATCTATCTGAAGAGGTATTATTACCCAAAATATATAAGGAACTCACGCAACTCAATAGCAAAAAGAATAATAACTGGATTAAAAATAGTCTCCAAAGAAGACATGCAAATGGCCAACAGGTATGGGGAAAGATGCTCAAAATCACTAATAAAGAAATACAAATCAAAGCCACAGCAAGATACCACTTCACACCTGTTAGGATGGTGGTTGTCAAAAAGGCAATGGATAGCAAGTGTTGGCAAAGCTGTACAAGGCTTGTACACTATTGATGGGAACATAGATTGGTACAAGTCAGCATTTTGAATTACATAATTACAAATCGGAGGACTTGAGCAATTCTAGTTAGACATAATAGTATCATCTGAATATTTGTCCTTTGTATATCAATAAGAAAATAATATTTAAATATTTTATTAAAGCATTACATGTGGATCACCGTGCACGTGTTCCTGTGTCACGGAATGAGCATACCCTGGTAACCTCTACCCGGGTCAGGAAAATCAGCAGCAGCATCCTGGAAACTGACTTACGTTTCCAACCTGCATTACCCATTTAGGTCTCTTTTTGGACTTCTTATAAATTAGATGATACAACATGTCCCCTTGTGTCTAGCGTCTCTTATTCAAACTTTTATGAGTGAAATTCCTTCTGGTTGTTATAAGAACAGCTAACCACAGTCTTTGTACAAATTTCTACCTTATCAGTAGAGATGAGCAGTGCAGTTGTTACACAACCACAGCATCACACAGTATTGCCTAGTGCATCATATACCTTATATAATGGTTCATATAGATCACATATAGTAGTATTAAGTATAATATACCATATACACAGCAGGTATATAATATAGATTGGTTTACATATGTGACTATGTGTGTGTATATATATACACACACATATATATATAGTGCAGATATATATATACAGTACATATATATATATACACTGCATATATATATATAAACATACTTTTGTTATGGACGATTTCAAACATGTATGACAATAAGCAGACTAGTATACTAAACTTCAATATACCTGTGCCAACAACTTGGACACTGTGGCCAATCCTGTCCTATGCAACCTTCATTCCACTTGCCCATTCTTTTATTAATTTGAAAGAAATATTCCAGAGTGTGTCTGTGAAGATAGATTTAAAAATCATTTCATAATTATATTAAAATAAATAATTCCTTAATACCAGTGAATAGCCAGTGTTCATATTTCCAATATTTTCATTAATGTGCTTGTTTGTTTTTTATAGTTTATTTGTATCAGAATCCAAATTAGTCCCAACATTTTGATTAATTCATATGTCTTTTAATACCCCATACAAATTCTTTTTGAACTCTTTTTTCCTAGCTATTTTGTCATCGGAGAAATTTGCTATATTTGTCCTGCAGAATTTGTATAGCTTCCAGTTTGTTAATTGCATTTCTATGGTGCAATTGAAATGTTCCTCTGCCCTCTGCATTTCCTGAAATTTGTTAGGTGACACACATACATATATGTACATAGATATATGAATATACAGATATGTGAAATTTCTCAAGATCAAAATTTAGTCTGAGTCGCTAACGTTAAGAAAACCCTGACCAATAGAGACAGTGACACCATGAAAAGAGAGAGTTCTCACACTGCATGCCTGAAAACAAAAAAGACTACGAAAACCACATGATGACTACAAGATGACTTGCACAAAGGTCATCTCAACCTTGCAAAAAAAATACTTCTGCAAGGACATTTGCCCAGCAGCTGCCTGTCCAACCTTGCACTGGAATCACCTTTGCTATTGAACTTTGTAGCCAACGATAATTATTCCAAAACAATTATGTAATCTTTTTTCTTTAAAAACCCCTATCTTACTTCATCTCCCTAATAGGCACATCATTTACTATGGTATGCATATTCTCATTGTAATGCTTTATTCCCAAATAAACATGTTTTTCTTCTAGACAGCCTTTGTCTGTTATCTAAGTTGACATATACACATGCATATGGACACATGCACATGTACACATACATACATATCATACCTATACACACATGCATACACACAAATATGCATCCATGTATTCTGACATATTTTATATATATATTTTCTGTCTTTTTGCTAGACTACTTTGCAGGAGGTGTTATGCCTCCTATGCAAATAGTATCCCAGCCTCCAATGTCTTTCAGCTTCTCTCCCTTCTTTGCTGGGGCTGCCAGGGTACTCACTTCTCCAAACCCTCCTCCCCTTAAACTTGCTCTCAGAAGAGAATCTGTCCAGGTGTGGTGACTGGTGTGATGGTTAATTTTATGTGTGAACTTGGCTCAGCTGTGGCGCTCAGCTGATTGGTCAAACCTCAGTCTAAATGTGGCTGGGGAGGTATTAATATTTTGCAGGAGTGAATAACGTTAAAATTATAAGACATTAACTAAAGCAGATTGCACGTCATAATGTGGATGAGCCTCATTTAATTCGTCAAAGGCCTTACAATACTGAGGTCTCCCAAAGAAGAAGGAATTTGGCCTCAAGATTGCAACAGAGGAACCCTGCCTGAGTTTCCAGCCTGCTGCCCTGAGGATTTTGGACTCAAGAAGTTCACATCGAATCGCACCTGCATCCGCAGGCTGTTGGCCTGCCCATGGGATTTCAGACTTGCCAGCTCCCACGATTGCATGAGATGATTCTTTAAAACAATTCCTCTCTTTCTTTCTCTGTTTCTACATACACATACACACACACACACACTCTCTCTCTCTCTCTCACACACACACACACACACATATGTGAGGGATACATCTATATATCACTCACGGGATATATATATATGTATATATATATCACTCACAGGGATATATATATATATGTATATATATATCACTCACAGGGATATATATATCACTCACAGGCATATATGTGTGTGTGTGTGTGTGTGTGTATATATATATATATATAGAGAGAGAGAGAGAGAGAGAGAGTACATACTCCGTCATTTATGTATATATCCTATTGGTTCTCTCTGGAGAATTCTACCTAACAGCTAATGCAACTAATTGACTAGTTGCATGTCTGTTTCTCAAAGAGAAACACAAAGCTTTGAGCTAAAGTCGTAAATCTCGAACTAACTGTGGGACTGGAGCGTCGGTGGAAAGTCAGAAGCGCACATCTCTTGGACCCTGCTGTTCTGAAGTCATCCCTCCCACAAGTGGCCTCCTCTGCTTTCCATAGATCTCTGTGAAAGCTGCTTCCTAATGATAGCTGGAGCTGTGCATCAGAGAGGGCTGGGCTTGGAGGTGGGCATCGCTTGTTCCTGGCTGGGAGGCTGAGTGAGATCAGAGCATATTTCCATTGCTAGTGCTAAAATCAAAACTCCCCTCTTCAGACAGGGATTACAGCCTGGTCAGAGAGCGACTCACCCTCTGCACTCTGGTTGCTTTTACTGCCGGGCTGGCCCTTGATTGGACTCGATGTTTCCCAGATGTTCTTGCTTGCACTCATACCTCTCCCTCCTCAGTGTTTCACCCATCCCTGCTCACAGGAAAAAATGTCTTTTTGTACGAAGCTCTTTCCCCCACAGGGAAAGTGGCGTGTGCCAAGGTCCTGGATGCCTCCTTGTGAAGAGCCTGCCTTGCATGAATGCAAATCAATGGTTTTATCCTCAGATCTGCACAAGACATGTTTGATGGAGTTCTACATTTCTTTAGGCCCTGAAGAGACACACACATTCCATTAGGAGAATATTGTGAGCTCCTGAGTACTGGGTGGGCGGGAGACAGGACATTTGGGACTTGGAGGGGTAGTGGTTTTCCAAATAACACTCTTTTGGCTGCTGAACAGTTGAAGTAGGAAGAACTAGAGCCCCCCACAGCTGATGACAGCCCCCCAAGCCAGGCTCAGGAGAGCAGCCTTCAGAGTAACAAGGCTTCTGCCTTAGGAAAGGCACTATCTTCCTTGCTTACCAAGCAAATGAAGCTCTCTGTGCAGTTTTAAATATAATATACGAGCCGTATCTTCTAATAGTTTTATTGTTTCAATGTTTTATTTTATGAGGATCTTTGAAGCACCAACCCTATTCACAGCATGGCGTGCTCTGCAGCAGGGAATGCTGTGTCCTTTCTTCAGTTTATCCCTATGCGCATCTGTGATCCATCACAGCACAGCATGGTATGCCCAGGGCAGTGATTCTAAGTTTGGATTCCACCATTGCTTCACCCAAGAAAGTTACTTAGGATCCCTGCACTTCCGTTTCTTCATGTATCACATAAAAATAATAATGGCAGCAACTATTATGGGTTATTTGAATAATTACAAGAAGATAATGTACTTAAAGTGGTTGAAGTACCCATGAATGATAGCTATCATCATGGTCCTATTTTTCATTATTATCCAGTTATTTCATTATTATCCTGGAGCACTTGTTCTCAACCGGGGACAGTCTTGCTCTCCCAGGGATATCTGGCATTGTCTAAAGACACTTTTGCTTGTCACAGTGGGTGAGGGTGTTATTGACATCTAGTAGGTACAAGTCAAGGGTGCTGCTAAACAACCTACAGCACACGGAACAGCCCCACAACCAAGAATTATTCCACTCAGAATGTCTGTAGTGCCAAGGTTGAGAAACCCTGCTCTACAGAGAGTAATGGGAGGAATGAGGAAAACAGTGTGAGAAACCAACAGTCTCGAAGGGTGTGGGCTTTGGAACATTCTTTCATCCCTACTGTAAGTGGGGACATATAGTCTCTTTATGGTCTCTGAGACTCTGGAATTCTGAGTTTCCTACTTACCTATTAATGAATCTGGAAAAGCGCAGCTGTTAGCACCGTGTCTGCCTTCCCTCATTGTCCAATAGAGATCATGAGTATTAGGGAACAGAAAGGGATGCAAAACACTTTCTATAGAGATCTCAAGACCTCTACACCATGCTAAAAATATGCCTCTTCCCAGGTCCCATCTTAAAGATCAAAACCATGAAATCTTCCTAATGTATGCCTCTGAGTCGTGAGCAGTACCGAGCATGTTTGAAACTTACATTTCCCAGACACTTCTCTACGTTGTACAACACATATGCACAGGAGCATGAGCAAAGCATTAAGATTTTCCACTAAAATAAAAGCTTGTCAAATTCATAGATACATCACCAGTATCATTTCCATAATTATAGTTGATTTCACCACTCAAGGTTAATGATTGGAAAGCTATTTGAAATGACAGAATTGGCCACTGGTCTTCTGGGCTATTGCCATAGGCAGAGCCTATTGCTAAAGTGTGTCTGTGTCCCCAGAGGCTTAGTCTTATGCAGCAAGATCCACAAAATTAGACTGGAAAGAATTACTCTTGGTAATACCATAGCTAATAGCAGGTTGCCTCAGAAGTGAAGGCTCACACCAATACATCATGGCTGCACACTGGCACCCACGTGGTTCTCATATAAAGCAATCTTGCAGAGCAGAGGAGCAGGTGGGGAATGTGGAACACAACAGCAACCCTGGTCCCTGGGCAGCTTTCTTGGGGGATGTTACATCATCTTAAAACCCAACCCCATCAACCTGTGAAATTGACACAAAGACACCAGCTGCTGTGACATCACAGAGGGAGGAGAGAAAAGCAGGAGGCCTGCTGAAGGCATGAGGCCGCACAAAGCTATGTTTCCAGCTTGCATCACAGCCCTGCTTTCTCTTCATTTTCACACTTTTCTCCTTGCCAAGATATTGACTGCTGCCACACAGGTGTCATAGGCAAGGTCTATCCTTCTCCAGGACATACTGGTGTGGGTCCTCTCTACTCTTGGCAACCTGTCCAGGCTTCCAGGGCAGGAATTTATCACCAGAGCCCTCTTATAAGAGTGGCAAAGCTGTTTCAGTGCTGAGGGCTTTTCCCCATCAGATAAGCCTGCGGGAACATCTAAAAGCAGGATGCATGGTGGTCTTAAAAATTCTGAACCTTTGACTCGAGCCAAGACTTCAGGAAAACAAAAGTGCAACAGTTCTTGTAGAAGAAGCATTAAAAATTGGTTTCTAAAAGTCATTGGAGCACTCAATATCTTCTTTCCTATTGTAATATATCTCAAGAAAGTTTCTCACGCTAAATACACTTAATGGTAACAACAGAAATGTTTATTAGAAAATGTAATCTTATGACTGCATACACCAGTACACCAGGTACATATCTATAGCATTTGACTCTGCAATTGACACCTGATTGGCTGATCAAGATTTCCCATGTTATAGAGGGCAGTGTGCTTTCCTGCAGTGTGACGTTTTCTTAAACTTTCTGCCTAATAATATCATTGGTTTTCACCACTGGGTTTACTCCACTTTCCACATCACTTGATGAGTGTGAGGAAACAACTGACCAAGGCCAGTAAGTGCACAGATGTAGCAGTAGTGGCCACATACTTGTCCTCAATGAGCAAGGAATCATTCTTGCAGGCTGGCTTTAAAAATACATATGCTATTAAACAGTTACAAGTTAATCTCAATGGGTTTCTTTGCTCAGATGGTCATGGTCTGCAGTGCCAAACACAAACAACAACCCCATCTTGATAAGTAGAACATATGTTCTAGCTTCACCTCTAAAGGCAGCCTAATTAACACCTGACACTGTCTACTCATATTTACTGGGAAAGGATAATCAATGACAATACTCATCCCAGGGAACAGGGCTGTGACTTAGGATGTCACAATCTCATACCACTCATCATGAAGATGGAATTGTTGCAGCCCTGAAACTCTGGATTTAAAAAAAAAAAATGTACATTAGAATTTAAGATGAAACTCTTAGCATAAATGTTGCCATTAGCAGGCGATCATTATCAAGATATCCTACCCCTTGAACTCAACTCTGAAGGGGTGGGTTGCCCCTCCAAACCTGTGGGTGTTTCTCGTAAGGTGGAACGAGAGACTTGGAAAAGAAAAAGACACAGAGACAAAGTATAGAGAAAGAAATAAGGGGACCCGGGGAACCAGCGTTCAGCATATGGAGGATCCCGCCAGCCTCTGAGTTCCCTTAGTATTTATTGATCATTCGTGGGTGTTTCTCCGAGAGGGGGATGTGTCAGGGTCACAAGACAATAGTGGGGAGAGGGTCAGCGGACAAACACGTGAACAAAGGTCTTTGCATCATACACAAGGTAAAGGATTAAGTGCTGTGCTTTTAGATATGCATACACATAAACATCTCAATGCTTTATAAAGCAGTATTGCTGCCCGCATGTCCCACCTCCAGCCCTAAGGCAGTTTTTCCCTATCTCAGTAGATGGAATGTACAATTGGGTTTTATACCGAGACATTCCATTGCCCAGGGACGGGCAGGAGACAGATGCCTTCTCCTTGTCTCAACTGCAAGAGGCATGCCTTCCTCTTATACTAATCCTCCTCAGCACAGACCCTTTACAGGTGTCGGGCTGGGGGACGGTCAGGTCTTTCCCTTCCTACGAGGCCATATTTCAGACTATCACATGGGGAGAAACCTTGGACAATACCTGGCTTTCCTAGGCAGAGGTCCCTGCGGCCTTCCGCAGTGTTTATGTCCCTGGGTACTTGAGATTAGGGAGTGGTGATGACTCTTAAGGAGCATGCTGCCTTCAAGCATCTGTTTAACAAAGCACACCCTGCACAGCCCTTAATCCATTTAACCCTGAGTTTGACACAGCACATGTTTCAGAGAGCACGGGGTTGGGGGTAAGGTCCTAGATTAACAGAATCTCAAGGCAGAAGAATTTTTCTTAGTACAGAACAAAATGGAGTCTCCTATGTCTACTTCTTTCTATACAGACACAGTAACAATCTGATCTCTCTTGCTTTTCCCCACACAACTCTAAGTTGCCCCAGAACAAAACAGTGAGCTGAGCCAAGTTGCCACATCGCATCAGTGCACACACTGCTCTCGAGCTCCAGAACTCTCCTTTTCCTTCGTTTCTCAAAAAGGGCCTGGAAACTGTTATCAGTACTGCCCACAGTAATGATGCTTACATCATATCCCTGTTGAGGTATGCATTAAAGAATGGATGTTTCCAGTTTTCTGTCTGGTGGAGATGACTCATGAATCTGTGTCTATAGTTGTGGCTTCTCTTTGGAGTTCTGATTCTCTTTGTTTCTCCCTGCTGCTGTGGATCACCACCTGGATGCCTGTAGCCACCAGGGTTCAGGGCGCAGGACACAGGAGTGAGCCCCCACCCTCTTCCCTTTACACATCTTACCTGTCACTATTCCAAACCCATCCTTCTCAATGAAGTGGAGCCGTCATCTGGGGAGCCGTCCTTGCTATGCCTCACTTTCATGCTGTGATTTGGAGGTCACTGCCCTGATCACAAGTTAACTCAGCCTGGAGTTCAAGGCTTTGAGCTCTTGTCTCCATCTGCCATTCAGCCTCCACTCCTGCCATCCCATCCATGGGCCCTGTGTTAGCCAGGTTTCACCAGAGAAGCAGAACAGAACCATTAGTGTATGTGTATGTCTATCTGTCTACCTATCTATCGATTTATGGAGAGAGAGAGAGAGATCATAAGAAGTGGTGCACACAATCAACAGGGGCCAGAAATCTCACAATATGTTGTCTGCAAGCTAAGACCCATGAATGCGGGTAGCATGACTCCAATCCTAATCCAAAGGACAGAGGTCTAGGAGTGCTAATGGTGTGAGGCCCAGCCTGAGAGTCCGAGGACAGGAGAAGACAGATAACCAACTCATGCAGTCAAGTAGAGATGTTGAATTCTCCCTTCCTCTGCCTTTTTGCTCTATTCATGCCCTCAATGGATTGGGTGAGGCCCATCTACATTTGCTTTACTCAGTTCAGAGATTCAAATGCCAATCCTCTCTGGAAACACCCTCACAGACACACCTAGTATAATGTTTGGCCAAATGTCTGGGCATCTCGCAACCCAGTAAAGTTGGCACATGAAATTAACCACCACAGAACCTTGCTGCTGAACTATGCTTATTCTTCCATCCTGGTGACTTTTCTTTCCTCAATCCCAGTTTCAGAAGTGCTCTGTTCTTGTTCTCTGAGCCCTCTCTGCCTGCCATGCAGATGCATTTCAGGTGGGCGTCTCCTCTGCCAAGCCTGTGGGGTCTCCCTTCCTGCAGGGCAACCCCTGTCCTCTTGGTCCCCCTAATATTTTACTGTTTTATGGTACTTTTGCATTTCAACCTTATGTTATCATGATCCATGTGCAGCCTTCTCTCTCCTCCGAGGCCAGGAGCTCGTTGAGGACTTCATCTCTGTGTTTTCTACAGGACTCTGGGAGAGGGTAAGAACTCAGCATCTGGAGGTTGAAGACATGCGTAGGGAAAAAGCCGTATTTCTCCAACACCTTCCCCCAAAGGAATTCCCTCTATCTCCCCAGCTTGAGATTCAGTGGTTTTTCCTCTCACAGTGAGTGTTGAACCAAGCATCACACACTGCTTTCTGTCCACCCCTTGGCAAGGCCTGTATCCAGGTCTCACATCGATCCTTTTCCAAGCTTGCATGGTTATTGGCAGAACTCAGTCTTCGCGGTTGCAGTACAGAGGTCCCTGCTTCACTGATGGTGGTTTTCCAGGAGCTGCACTGAGCATCTAAAAGCCCCACAGCTTCCTGGATGTGGTCCTCTCTAGGTCTTCAGAAATAGTGACTTGCTTCTGCAAGGTCAGCATGAAAGTCTCTTGCTTCAGCCTGCTAAGATGATGGCTTCTTCTATAATAAAATATAATCATGCATTGGCATCCTGTCACCTTGGCCACATTCTGTCGTGGCTGAAGTCAAGTCACAGATCCACCCAAACTCAAGGGAGGGTATTACTGTGTGCCTGTTCCCCACCAGAAATGTTCCTCCATCCACCTGCAGCTTGTACGTTGACACCATCACACCATTCAAATCTAAGCTCCGTTGGCACTTCCTGACTGCCCAGTGGATGACGGTTGCCTAATTGCTCCACATAACCTCACCCTTTAGAAAGTCTCTGCACAATGTGCACTGCCAGCCTATATTTGCATTACTGTGGTGTTTATATGTTTATTTATTTGCTATCTCTCTCCCTGCAAGAATGTGATTCTACACAAGGAGGGACCACCCTCACCAGTCTTGCTCGAACTGCATCTTAGTGCATGTTACATAATACGTTCCTACTAAATCAGCACCAGCAGGCTGAGAAAATGAATGAAGGTCAGGGTCCTGGGCCTGTTGATGTGGGACGGTTCCTGCTTTGCCAAGAGCCGATAAACAATCAGTCATGGGACTTGCAGGTCAGAGGTGGGTCCCTGGACTGTTCTTGCTTCTGCAAGAGAGGGATCTATTTTTCAGAGGTAAATAAAAGCAACTGCAGTGTTAATATTTCAGGTGTTGTGATTATTGATTATGGTGTATCATATTGCATCCTACGGAAGAGCAATCCAAAGCCACCCGGCATACAAGAGAATAAGAAGGGTGTTTTCATGTTTCTTAACATTTCTAACCTGTACATGTGCATGCACGCATGTGTATGTGTTTTGTGTGTGTGTGTGTGTTGTGTGTATGTGTGTGTGTGTGTGTGTATGTAAGGAAATTCTATTTTTTCCTTTTGCTAACCAAGTTCTTTTGTCCATGAAACAAGATGTGCCTAGCCGCAAATGTAGTCTTGTCCACAGGATTGAGCTTCGGGCCATCTGTTCATCCCCATGGAATCTATCACCAGGAGAGAAATATCTGATCAGGTCAGAGTGAAACACGGATGCAGAAACAGAGAACGCAGAGGCTGCTCCCTTTCCAACCACACAGAAATCATCATATTTCTCACATGAAAGCATTAAAGCCACTCTTGCTTCAAGAATTATTTTTAGTTGTATAGAAAAAAATGCAAACACATGTCCAGCCATTATTATCAAAGCTTAGCTAATCTTTCCAATGATGGATGCATCAGTTTATCTAATAACTTGGAGGTTTCTTCGAGATCCTGGCACTGTTTTATCGAAACGAATCATGGATAACATGGTCAATTTATCTCAGTCTCCTGTCTCCAGAAGTTTCAGTACATGACCGGACACTCTGAGAAAGGCAGAGCGTCTTTGCTGCAGAGCTGAGGACAATACTCCTCCATGGGGAATGCTCTCATCTTCCCAGCTAGGCAGCAACTGAGATCCTAAATGTGATCATTAATGGGCTTTGACATTTTATCATATTTAGAGCAACTACAGATGCTAGTCTGATTCCAGTGTTGCATATGTGATCCATTATTTACTGTGCCTAAGGAATTTGCATTCATATTTTATTGTGATGCAAATAGCTACAATAATGATATATTCTACACCCTGTGTATATTCTGCACCCTGTGTAGAATGATATACTCTGCACCCTGTGTAGAATGATATATTCTACACCCTGGGGGTGCACATTCTTTTTTATGCCCTGTGATCTCTCAAATCAGTTTTTCACAGTTGAAGAGAGAATTATTGGCCCTAGCTAGGTTTACCTCCCCACTAACTTTGACAATTTTAGAACTGTGTATTGTTTTTAAAGTGCACAAGAAAATATTATTGTTCTCTTTCCCAGAGCACTCTATGGGGGCCGCCAGAACCTGAATTTAGATCTGGGAAGTAAATACTAATTCACACTCCACCATTCTGTTACACGCTTCAAATTGCTTGTTCATTTTAGAGTCTTACGTTTGAAGCTCAAGCCACTTTTCTAGCCACGGCTATAACTAATAAGCACCTGCTGTTCAGCTCCACTGCTCTGTACTTCCTTATCGGAAACTGTCTCATTTCCCAAACAGGAGGATGTAAATTGGCACCATGGCTTCCAAGACATTTTCAAGAATAAGTTGGGCTTTGCACATAAAAAAAAAAAAAGCTCCCTTTATAAATTTTATTTTGCATTTCTCCACCTAGAGGAAGTACTCTGTTTCTTCTTTGGAAGGTGGGTTTTTAGCTGAAAAAGATCTGACCTCCACAAATTGCCCATAGCATCCTTCAGCCACCATCCCAAGGCCGGGGAACCACTGATCTGCTTTCTGCCTATCTCTATAAATTAGTTTATTTTCTTTAGAATTTATAAAAATGGAATAATGTGCTATGTGCTCTTTTTTTTTCTTGCTTCATTCACTCAGCATAATTATTTTGAGATCTATCAAAGTTGTTGCCTGTATCAACTGTTCCTTCCTTTTAATGTCTGAGTAGTGTTCCACAATATGTTTACACCCAGCTTGTTTATCCATTTACCTATTGACAGACATTTGGGATATTTCCACTTTTTGGCTATCACAAATTAAGTACTCATGAACTTTTGTTTACAAGGATTTGTATTGCATCTATACTTTCATTTATCTTGAGTAAATGTCTAGAAGCAGAATAACTAGATCATATGGTAGGTATAGGTTTAACTTTTTTTTTTTTTTTTTTTTTTTTTGAGGCAGTGTCTCACTCTGTCATCCAGGCTGGAGTGCAGTGGAGTGATCTCGGCTCACTGCAAGCTCGGCCTCCTGGGTTCACGCCATTCTCCTGCCTCAGCCTCTCAAGTAGCTGGGACCACAGGCGCCCACCACCATGCCTGGCTAATTTTTTGTATTTTTAGTAGAGATAGGGTTTTACCGTGGTCTCGATCTCCTGGCCTCGTGATCCACCTGCCTCGGCCTCCCAAAGTGCTGGGATTACAGGTGTGAGGTTTAACTTTTTAAAAAAGAGAAAAATTATCTTCCAAAATGGTCACACAATTTTATATTCCAATCAGCTGTGCCACACATCCATATCTTACTACTCATTTTAATGGGAAAGCATTTCATCTTTCACCATAACTGTGATATTACTTGTTGCATGTTTTTTTTCACAAATACATATTACCAGGGTGAGGAGGAAGCCTTCTACTCCTAGCTTGCTGAAAGCTTTTATGAGAAAATGGATGCTGGGTTTTGTGAAGGGCTTTTTCTACTTTTACTCAGATGTTCATGGGACTTTTCACTTTTAGTTTGTCACATTTATTTTGGATTGTTAAACTCACCTTGTATTCCTGGGGTAAATCTCACTTGCTCACTTGTTCATGATGTATTTTTAAATGTTGAATTTAACTGGTAAGATTTAGCTTAGGATTTTTGTTCTTCCATGCTCCCGAAGTCTGTAGTTTTCTCTTCTTATAATGTCATTAATTTTTTTTTTTTTTTAAGTCAGGGTAATGTCAGTTCACTGAATGAGAAACCTCTTCAGTTTTCTACTTGAGTTTCTATGTAAATAGTATACTCTCTTTTATTACTGTTAGTAGAATTTACTAGTGAAGCTATCTGTCTCTAATATAATCATTGAAGGGAGGTGATCAGCTACAAATTCACTTGCTTTAATAGGTAAGAGGCAGGAGAATAGGGAATAAGGGAACCAAGGGTTAAGGAGAAGGAGAACAGCAGGTGCAGCCAGCTCCAGACAAGATTGGGCAGCACCCAGGCCACATCCTCACTCCTGTGACAACAAAACAGAAGATTCCACTTCAGCCCCTGATTGACTGGGGGCCAAGTCTTCACTTCACCCTCTGATGGGTCATGGGCCAATCCTTCCTAGGGTGTAACCAACTGGACGCCTCTAAAGGGCACTTAGGGATGTTACCAAATTCTTTTATCTTAATAAAACCCTAAAGAACATTGTAATTCGGGGGGTTCTTCAGGCACTTGCTTGAGCCTGTTCCCACTCTGTGAAATGCACTTTTGCTTCAATAAATCTGTGCTTTTGTTACTCTGTTCTTTTGTTGCTTTGTTTATCTTTCATTGTTTCATTCTTTTGTTGCTTTGTTTGTATGTTTTGTTCAATTCTTTGTTCAACACGCCAAGAACCTGGACAACTCACAGTCAAGACCTTCCATCCAGTAACACACAGGGCTCATTCAGGTCATCTCCTTCTTCTCGACTGACCTTAGTAGTTCCTGTCTGCCAAGGGAGTTATCCATCTCACATGTGTTGTCAAATTTACTGGCACAAAGTTGTTCATAATATTCCCTTATTATCTTTAAAAAAATTAATTGTAAAATTCACATAACATAAAATTTACCATCTTAAAGTATATTTTAAACATTTTTAAATATATCCACATCATTGTACAACTACTTCCAAGAACTTTTTTAATCTTGTAAAACTGAAATTATCTACTGCTTAAAAAATAACCCTCTATCCATCTTCTCAGCCCATGGAGACTAACATTCTACTTTCTGTCTTTATGAATCTGACTACTCCAGGTACTTCCTATAACTGGAATTATACAATGTTTGTCTTTCCTGACTGACTTATTTCACTCAGCATGCTGTCTTCAAGGTTCTTCCATGTTGTAGCAAGTGTCAGAATTTTCTTCCTTTAATATCCATTTGATGAATATACTGTATTTTGTTTATCCATTGATTCTTTGATAGACGCTCGCGTTGCTTCCACTTCTTGACTATGGTGAATGACGGTGCTGTGAACATGGGCACACAAATACCTTTTTGAGACCGTGCTTTCATTGTATTGGATATATCCAGTGGAATTGCTGGATCATATGGTAATTCTGTTTCTAATGTTTTGAGAAACTACCATACTGGTTTTCATAGCAACTGCACCATTTTACATCAAAAATGCACAAACGTTTCAGCCTCTCCACATCTTGAGCAATGCCTGTTTTTTTTTTTATTTTTTTGATAGTAGCTGTTCTAATGGGTGTGAGGTGAAATCTGATTATGGTTTTGATTTGCACCTCTCTAATAATCAGTGATATGTATTTTTCACATGCTTGTTGGCCATTTGTATGGAATCTTTGAGGAAATATCCATTCAAGTCCTTGCCCATTCTTTATTGTCTCTCATTGTCTATATCGTATGTGGTGATGACACCTCTCTCATTCCCGATATTGGTAATTTGTAATTCTCCTTTCCTAACCAGCCTGGTTAAGGGCTTATCAATTTCATTGACCTCAAAAAGCAGTTTTGGCTTTATTTTCTGATTTTCATTTTATCTATTGTTTTTCTGTTTTCTGTTTCCTTGATTTCTGTTCTCATCCTTATATTTATTTCCTTCTACTTAATTTGGGTTACATTCCCTCTTCTTTCTCTGTTTCTTGAGATAGATACTGATATTATTAATTTGAGTTCTTTCATCTTTTCTAATGTAGGCATTTAATGATATAAATTTCCCACACATTTCAGGGGCATTCTAAAAAAGTCTGTAAGTTGTATTTGTATTTACATTCAGTTCAAAATATGTTCTTATTTTATACTTATTTCTTTTTTGACCCATGGTTTATTTAGAAGTGTATTATTTAGTTTCAGAGTATTTTTTTTTGGAGCTTTTTGCGTTATTCGTTTTTGATTTTATTACAATGTGGTCTGAGAATAGCCTGACTTGAATCCTTTCAAATATATTGAGACTTGTTTAGAGGCCCAGAATTTGGTCTATCTTGGTAAATTCTTTTGTGGCCACTTAAAAAGAATGTGCATTCTGCTATTGTTGGATGGAGTGTTCTGTAAGTGTTAATTATTTCGAGTTGATTGATAATTTTGTTCAAATCTGTATCTTTATTGATTTTCTGTCCACATAATCTCTCAATGGTTGAGTGAAGGTATTGAAATCTCCAGCTATATCTACTGATTTATCCTTTTCTTTTTGCAGTTCTATTTGTTTCTGCTCTGTGTAGTTTGAAGATCTCACTGTGTACACACATGCTTAAGATTCTACATCCGCTTGATAAATTGACAACTTTATCATGATGAAATGACCTTTTTTACCCATGGCAATATTCTTCGCACTGAAATATACTTTGCTCAAATTAACATATACTTCTAGTATTTTTGGATTCGTTTTAGAATGATACAGCACTTTAACAAATTGTTTAACCTACCTGTGTATTGATAATTAAAGTGTGTTTCTGGTAGTCAATATGTATTTGAGTTTAGACTTTTTATCTTATATGATAACCTCTGCTTTCTAATGGGTGTATTCAGGTCATTTACAGTTACTGTGAATATTGATATTATTAGGTATAAATCGACCAACTTATCATTTGTATTTTATTTGTCCCATTTATTTTTCATTTCCTTATTTGTTTTTGTCATCTATTGAAGTAATTTAATATATTTATGATTTCATTTTATATCAATTCTTTTTTATTCTCTATAACTTTTTGTTTTATTACTTTAGTGGTTTCATTTTGGTTAATAATATAAACTTCTAATTTATTGCAGTCGACATTCAAGTGATGTTTCATATATATATTTCATATATAGCATAAGAAAATTACAATAGTATACTTTCCTTTATTCCATCTGATTTGGGTGCTGTTTTTGCCATATATTTTAAATGTATATTTGTTGAAAACTTAACACTCATTGTTATATTTTATTAATGCTTTCTTTAAATGCTCTCTAAAAGAGGATTTAATAATCAGAATGGTCTCGTGTATCTACCCATGTAGTACAGTTTTTAGTACTCTTCATTCTCTTGCCATAGATCCACATTTCTATCCGGTCATTTCCTGTCTCCCAGAAGAACTTTTAAAAATATTTCTGGTACCAATATTCTACTGGTAATACATCTCTACAGCTTTTTATGTCTGAAAGTCTTTATTTAATTTTTACTTTCAGAAGATCTTTCCTGTGGGTATAAAACTGTTGGCTGACAGTTTTTTCTTTCAGTACTTTAAAGATGCTATTACACTGTCTTTTTGGCTGTGTTGTTTCTAACAAGAAACCTGCTGTCATCATAACCATGATCTTCTTTATGTAATCATTTTTCTCTCCAGTTGTTTCTAAGCCTTTATCTTTATCATTGGTTTTGAGCAGTTTTATTATAAAATGTCTTGACGTAGTTTTCTTTATGTTTCTCGTCCTCATGTTTCTGAGTTTTTTGAATCTATGTGTTTGTAGTTTTCGAAATTAGAAAAATTTGTGTTCATTTCAGTTTCTTCTTCGTTTTTTCTTCCTACTGTCCCTCTCCTTTTTCTCCTCTTCTTCCTCCTTACTGTTCTTATTCTTTCAAGAACTTCAATTACTTATATATTATTCTGTTTACATGTTTTCCAGAGGTCACTGGTGCTTAGATAATTCTTTAAGTCATAGTTTTATTCTAGTGTTTCATTTACAGTTTCCAATAATGTGTTTCTAAGTTCACTAGTCTTTTCTTCCTATCTGCCATTATTCTTATCCAGTGCATTTTACAATCTCACCTATTACACTTTTCATCTCTAAAAATTGATTTGGGTCTTTTAAATACCTTTCGTGTTTCTACTTAGTACTTTCAACACGGCACATTTATAATAGCTTTTAAAATGATCTGCTAATTCTAAAACCTGTGTTAGTACTGGGTCAGTTTCAATTGTTTTTTTTTCTATTGGGCATGTTTTCCTTTTTATTTGAAAATGTAGTAATTTTTATCTAATGCAAGATTTTGTCATTTGATTTTGTTAAGTCCTGGGTATTTTTGTTCTCTTAGGAATATCCTTGAGCTTTGTCTTGGGATGCCATTAATTTTATTGAAAATAGTTTGAACCCTCTTGCCTTGCTTTATAAGAATTTCTTGTGCAAGAACTAAAGCAGTGATCAGACTAAGACAGTGGTTTCCAACCAGGGTAAATTTTGTACCCAGGAGACATTTAGCAACATCTACAGGGGTTATGGCATCTAATGGGCTAATATTGTGGGTGTTGCTAAGCATTCTATGTGCAGTGGACACAGTTCCCACAGCAAATACTATTCAGGGCAAAATATTACTGGTGCTGAGATTGAAAACCTCTGATGTAGGACTAATTAGTCTTCATGACGTACACAAGATCTGTGTATGTACTTTGCCCAATACTCAATGCATTCTGTTTTTCTTATCTGGCTGGCAGGAAGAAGCACTATCCTCAGCCCTGTGTGAGTTTCTGGTACCCTTTCCTCTCATCCATTGGGTAGTTCTTTCCCCAGCCTCAAGAAGCATCCACACATGGGTGCATTCATGAGTACCCAACTGAATACTCCACAGGGACCTTCTTGACACCTCTGAAGCGCTCTCTCTGTGCTCAGTCTCTCTCCGGTATTCTGCACTGTGGATTCTACGTGGCTTTGCCTAACTGGATTATTCTTCCTTGTCCTCAACTCAGAGAGTCTGAGGGCCTCCAGCTAGGTCCCCTGCCTTTACCCATCTGGGAACTCCCTCAAGGCACCATGCTAGGATGGTTGGAGAGCTCACATCATTTGTTTTTCATCTCTCAGGGTTCATAGCTTTTGTTTCTTAATGTCCATTCTTGACAATGTGGGTTTCATATGTTTTATCTTTTTGCTTTGTTTGTTTGCTTTAGGTAGGAGGGTAAAAATTGTCTCTTTCCTGATAGGAAGCAGAAATTTTTCTCATACATTTATCTATGCTATGAGTCTTATAAACAAGACTTAAAAAATGTGTTCTCTTTCTTGTGGTGCAATAAACTATCAGCTAACTTAAATATATGACTTATAAGAAAATGTTGCTTTATGGGAGATCTACTTATTCAACTCTATAAATATTAGAATTCAGAGAATGATGTTACTATAATACTTTCTGAGTTGTTCATCTGGGTAGAATGTAATTTTTACTAGGTAAAATGCAATAAAACAAAATATTTGCTCTTTAAAATGCAGGGCAAAATTATTAAGAAAATATAAAATATACTCTAATAAAAAAATAATATAGTACGTACCAGTAAGCAAATAAAATAGCAAATTTCCTTGGCATCAGGACAACTCATGAGTGTACTGAATGACATATCATCTCATGCCAGCGCTCCAATTTTCAGTTTCTTAGAGAATGACTCAGAGGGGGGACAATTTTACATTTATGTTCATGAAACCGTAAAGTGCCATTTACATCAACACATCAGGAGAATCGTCCCTCTCATCCGGCCTGTGTCCCACCTCCCCAACCCATGCTGCTGAAACATATCATGGCTTGTTGAGGGTCCTTTTGCTCTGTTTAGTCATCTGTTGGGAGTGTGTGCATGTGCTGGGGACTATTGGTGTCAACCTAAAAAATCCTAGGGAGGGCCCAAGACTTACAAAAACCACTTCTTAAATTTCATGGGGTTGTAGAACCAGAGAGAAGCTTGGGATGAAACACTGGTACAATGACCAATCACAAGACTAAATATTTCATGGAATCAGGTTTGTCTTTTTATTAATACATTTAGCTTGTGTTTCTGCCCTTTTGTCAAGATCTACTTACAGCTTTCTGATTGATTCACACAGAAATGCTTGTCAACATTAAAAGTCCAACTAATGATAGTATAATTTTTTTCTTAATATTGTGTTAGGCTTTAAAGAGAGTCAATCAACAGCACAATTCTTACTTGCATGTAAAGTCATGTTTTTTTAGTATGAAAAACTGGTCTATATTATCATGAAAACAGTTTACTCAACTTGATAATTGAGTTTAAATGTGGAAATATTAAAGGATTCAGTTTTAAGAGTTTGAAAATTGAAAACACGTTATAACCATGTCCCATTCAGAGTTCTTAAATATTTTGCTTTCATTGCTGCATAGTTGTATAAGGAAATGCTGACATCTGATCTTAACTCACTCCATATTTCCCTCGTGCTTTGTAGGCTGGAAGGCACAGATTCAGTGGTTTCAGCATTATCTGTCCTTTGGTACTTTCTGGTTGATTACTTAGCTGAAGAAATTAATATGACTCTAATAAACCACAGATGTTAATTAGTTCTAATTGTTGAACTACTCCTCCGTTGGTATATTGCAAAGACGTGGAAAAGATATACTGTGGAGAGTTGGAGAATTCAATGGCATTTGTCTGTATTTTAAAAGAAAATCTGAGGAAGAATTTGGGAAGGAATGGTAAGGGAGGAGCCATCACAATCAAACATAATAAGAATTCAAAGGTGTGAAGCCAGCTTGCTCCAGAGTCTTCCTTTCCCCATGTCAAACCTCCCTTCTCCCTTGACCCAGTGCCTGGACCCAAAATAAATGTTGGTGTTTCTTTTCCTTCCCTTCCTTTCCTTCCCTCCCTCCCTCCCTCACTTCCTTCCTTCCTTCCTTCCTTCCTTCCTTCCTTCCTTCCTTCATTTCTTTCCTTCTTCCTTCTCCTTTCTCTCTTCCTCTCTCTCACTCTCTTTCTTTCTTTCTTTTTTCACAGGGGAAGAAGGGAATAGAATATGGATGCCCTTCCAGACCAAAACACAAATCTCCAACAAAGAAGAACTCTTGGCTGACCAGCACTCTCCTTGCAGCTTCTCTCAGCATCTGAATTCAAAGCTGCCGTGAACCAACTCCGGCTGCACCTGAGGCCCAGGCCCAGTGCCCAGCAAAAGCCTGCAATTCTGTGGACCAGGTTCATGGAGACTGCCATGCAGGATGGAGCCCAGGGGACTAAGCCCCCATTGTGTGCCACTGGCAACTGCTGGCTCGTAGGCATGGAGGAGGTTGCAGCCTGTGGCAACCCAGGGTGGGCTGGCTGCTGGCTGGAGAGGAGATGTGTCAGGGTGATGACAGGAGAACAAATAAGCCCAGTGCTCCTTCTCCACGACAAATCACGAAGATGCAATCTTCTATTGAGAGAAAAATGCCCAACAATCATTCTGACTCCCTGCAGAGGCATGTCTCTCGGATCTTCAGCATCTGTAACTGATAGCGGGGGATTGTGACCTCATGCTAAGTTTGGGACTTTATAATGTTAAGTAGCTAACTGATATTGAAAGTGACAGGCACAGAGTGCCTGGTCCCCACCAAATACTGATTGCTGTGGTAGGAACAAGTGTCAGGGTTATAAAAACTGTCATCTTTTGTCCTGTGTTTCTGTTGTACACAAGCTGGTCACATTCTTTGTCCCCACATGTTTTAAATCAAGGGAAAAATATAAATAAAATATTTAGCTCCAAATCTCTCTCACATTTGGCACACAATGTCACCACAAAGCAATCAGGTCCCAGCTCTCTTCTCAAGGGTAGATGCTCTGGAGTCTGTCAGGAAGCTATAATCTGACCAGGTCTCCCTCACCACAGCCGATGGGAGTGGAGCCTCTGAGGTGGCTGAGCCCATTCTTCTGGCTCATTTTCTCTCCTGGTCCATGCCTGACTTCTTTCTCCGATCCTAGAACCATAGCTCCCAGGCTCCAAGGGAACAGAATCAGGACAGGCCCCTTTCCTTCTTCACCCTGCATGAAAGATCATGAGAACCTTGATATGGTTTGGTTGTGTCCCCACCCAAATCTCATCTTGACTTATAGTTCCCATAATTCTTATGTGTTGTGTAAGAGGTACCTGGTGCAAGGCAATTGAATCATAAGAGAAGTTACCCCCATACTGTTCTCATGATAGTGAGGGAGTTCTCATGAGATCTACTGGTTTTATAAGGGGCTTTTCCCCCTTTATTCGGCACTCATTGTGTCTTCTGCCGCCGTGTAAAGAAGTGCCTCCTGCCATGATTGTAAGTTTCCTGAGGCTTCCTTATCTCTGCGGAACTGTGAGTCAATTAAACCTCTTTTCTTTATAAATTACCCAGTCTCGAGTATTTCTTCATAGTAGCGTGAGAACAAACTAATACAGTAAATTGGTACTGAGGGAGTAGGATGCTGCTACAAGGATACCCACAATGTGGAAGCAACTTTGAAACTCGGTAGCAAGCAGAGATTGGAAATGTTTGGAGGCCTCAGAAGAAGACAGAAAAATGTGGGAAAGCTTGGAACTTCTTAGAGACTTGGAGGGTTCAGAAGACAGGAAGATGTGGGAATGTTTGGAACTTCCTAGAGACTTGTTGAATGGTTTCGACCAAAATGCTGCTAATGATATGGACAATGAAATCCAGGCTGAAATGGTCTCAGAGATGAGGAACTTATTGGGAGCTGGAGCAAAGGTGGCTCTTGATGTGCTTTAGCAAAGAGACTCGTAGCATTTTGCCATGCCCTAAAGATGTGTGGAACTTTGAACTTGAGAGAGACGATCTGAAACTGAAACTTAAGTTTAAAAGAGAAGCAGAGCATTCAAGTTGGAAAAATTTGTGGCCCGATGCTGCTACAGAAAAGAAAAACCCATTTCCTTGGGAGAAATTCAAGCCCTTGCATAAATTTGCATAAGTAAAGAGAAGCCAAAT
Organism: Homo sapiens; assembly: GCF_000001405.40. Classification (NCBI taxonomy): domain Eukaryota; kingdom Metazoa; phylum Chordata; class Mammalia; order Primates; family Hominidae; genus Homo; species Homo sapiens. The sequence goes on along the minus strand of NC_000005.10, from coordinate 4,910,737 downwards.
TTTAATAGCCAAGACAATGGGGAAATGTTTCCAGCACATGTCAGAGACCTTCAGAGCAGCTCCTACCATCCCAGAGGCATAGTTGAGAAAAATGGTTTCCTGGGCTGGGCCCAAGGCTCCCTTGCTCTGTGCAGCCTCAGGACATGATGCCCTGTATCCCAGCTGCTTCAGTTCCAGGCGTGGCTAAAAGGGGTCAAGGTACAGCCTGGGCCATTGCTTCCAAGTGTGCAAGACCCAAGCCTTGCTGGCTTCCATGTGGTGTTGAGCCTGTGGACGCACAGAAGTCAAGAATTGAGGTTTGGGAACCTCCGCCTAGATTTCAGAGAATGTATGGATGTGCCTGGATGTCCAGGCTGATGTTTGCTGCAGGGGTGGAGTCCTCATGGAGAACCTCTGCTAGGGCAGTGTGGAAGGGAAATATGGGGCTGGAGGCCCCATGCACAGTCCCCACTGGGGCACTGCCTGGTGGAGCTGTGAGCAGAGGGCCACTGTCCTCCAGACCCCAGAATAGTAGATCCATCAACAGCTTGCACCATGCCCCTGGAAAAGCCACAGACACTTAATGCCAGTCCATGAAAGCATCCAGCATGGGGGCTATACCCTGTAAAGTTATGGGAGCAGAGCTGCCCAAGGCCTTGGGAGCCCACCTCTTGCATCAGCATGACCTGGATGTGAGACATGGAGTCAAAGGAGATCACTTTGGAACTTGGAGGTTTAATGACTGTCCTATTGGATTTCAGACTTGCACAGGGCCTGTAGCCCCTTTGTTTTGGCCAATTTCTCCCATGTGGAATGGGTGTCTTTACTCAGTGCCTGTACTCCTCATTGTATCTAGGTAGTAACTAACTTGCTTTCAATTTTACAGGCTCATAAGCAGAAAGGACTTTCCTTGTCTCAGATGAGACTTTGGACTTGGACTTTTGGGTTAATGCTAGAATGAGCTAAGAATTTGGGAGACTGTTGGAAAGGGATAATTGTGTTTTGAAATGTGAGGACATGAGGTTTGGGAAGGGCCAGGGGTGGAATTATATTGTTTGGATGTGTCCTCATTAAAATCTCATATTGAATTGTAGTTCCCATAATCCCCACATGCTGTGGGAGGGACCCAGTAGGAGGTAACTGAATTATGAGGGCAGTTACCCCCACACTGTTCTCATGATAGTGACTGAGTTCTCACAAGATCTGATGGCTTCATAAGGGGCTTTTCTCCTTTGCTTGGCCCTCATTCTCTCTCCTGCCGCCCTGTGAAGTGGTGCCTTCTGCCATGATTGTAAGTTTCCTGAGGCCACCCCCGTCCTGCGGAACTGTGAGTCAATTAAACCTCTTTCCTATATAACTTACCCAGTCTCAAGCAGTTCTTCATAGCAGCATGAGAATAAACTAATACAAATCTCCTGACTCAGCCTCCGTTCCATGGCGAAGTAGTACTTTGACCCTTCACCCCAATGTGTAATAAGGTCATCTGCTCACAGTTGCTTCCTTATCATTTCCACTGAGGGCCATTCAGCTCCTCCATGCCCTGAAGTAGGATGAACAGCCTCTTCACGCTCCACTCAGCATTGTGATAGGCTGACTGACATGGCACACCCTGGGGCCCACACTTGCTTATTTCTCTCCAAAGAAAATTATTCATGACTAAAAGCTGGTGGGGCACAGTAGCTCATCACTGCAATCCCAACACTTTGGGAAGCCAAAGTGGGAAGACCACTTAAGGTCAGGAACTTGAGACCAGCCTGGGCAACGTAACAAGACTTCATCTCTACAAAAAGAAAAAAGATAGCTGGGCATGGTTGTGCATGCCTGTAATCCCAGCTACTCAGGAAGCTGAGGCAGAAGGCTTGCTTGAGCCTGGAAGGGACTGTGCAGTGAGGACTTCCAGAGCAAAAGCTGCCTGATCTGAGTGTTTTCGCTCTTTGCCACAGTCTTATTGATTCTCAGTTTTGATATGTTTGGAGTACATGTGCCAGCAGGAAGGGAAGGAGGGAAGGTCTGGTGCTGTCCTGGAGCCTGTAATCTACTGGCTTTGCTTTAGACTGCCTGGGTTGGGAGTCAGTGAAGCAGACAGGCTGGGCAGTCCTTTCTGTCACCCATACCTACAGTAAGGGCAGAGTGTACATTCTAGAAACTGTGCCTCCCCTCATAGTGGCTTCTGTGGCTGGGCCCCATCAGTCAGACCTCACTGGGACTCCAGTGACATTTCCATGCAAAGAGGAGTGCAAGCAGCCACCACGTCTGATAGCAAATGCAGTCAGTGACTGCCTTCCATTCAGCATGAACCTCTACAAGAGTGTCTTTGTGATTTTTAGTATTAAATTCGTGTTCAGGATGTGTGCCCTGTGCTTTTACCTCCTAATTTTTGCTATTTGATTTCTATGAAGGAGAAGTATCTTTTTTTCATGAAGTGGTGCCAACATGCATTGCTTTGAGAATCTTCGGATCTTCTGATTCCTGGCACCTGCAATTTTAGCCTCAGAGTCCAGGTCTCTGTTGGGACAATTCTATGTCTTAACAGGATGTATATGACAAACCTTCTTCTTGATTCCATGACTCAACAAGTTCTAATGCTGTGGTTTGCAAGTTTGATATTATTATTGGCAATTGTGTCAAATGCTGGGGAAATAAGGAAAGGGTCCCTGCCTTGACTTCTGGTAGGTAAGTGCTATTGTAGTTTTATACAACATGAACACGTCGCAGGCAATACAATCTCCACCCCCTGGCTTTCTTCCCCATTCCAATTGGACCCCATTCTAACCCACCTGCTGAGTTCCCCTTGAGGTGCTCCTTCAGGCAGAAGGACAGGGCAGGACAGAACAGTCCAAGCCTTCCACTGGGACCAGACAGTCGTTAGGAACTGCAAGCGGCTCACCTTCCACTCCTTTAATAAGCACCAGGCCTCAATCAGCAGATTTTCCTGTAATGGGCCAGATGATGGAGATTTTCAGCTTCAAGGGCGGTGTGGTCTCTGCTGCAGCTCTGCAGGTGGCAGGCAAGCAGCCACAGCTATGTGTAAATGAAAGGACATGGCTGTGTTCCAAGAAAATATATTTATGGACTCTGAACTTTGAATGTCATATAATATTCATGTATCACAAAACATTATTTTTCTTTTGATTTTTTAGAAAAACATTGAAATGTGTAAAACCCATTCCTTGTTTGTGGACCTGACAAACGCAAGAATTTTTCTTACCGAACTCTGCCAGAGACTAACATGAGAAGAAAATGGTCGTGTATATTGAACTTGCCCTCCTCAGTGCTTTTTTCCCTGGGGTTTTGGGTCCCAGGCTCCAGCAAGAGTTCTGTCGGCATGCAGACAGTCCCTGAACAATAATGCTGAGACACTACCAAGTGATAACTATAACTTCAATTAATATACTGAATTAGGCTCTTATAAGCATGTGTAGCCATAACAGTGATCTCAATGTTTATTGAAAATTATCTAGGTGAGATGTCTACAGAGGTTTTACCATGCCTTGGTAAACAGCAGATGGTTTATCAATAAAACATTTTTTATTGTGGCTGTTTTTGATGATGAAGTTGTTTTGTCTTTAAATTAACCCAAATTATGTTAAGACACATCAGTGAAAGAGCACCTTACATTTTAAAAGCACTTAATTTATGTGAGAATATCTGTTGCCTTGGAATCTGTTGTCTTACTTCCCTATCTTTTATGTGCAATAAATCTCCATGGGTTGTGTTGCTAATCTCATGCCTTGGCAGGTTCTTCCTTGGCCTTTTTCCATGGCTCTGAATGGGGAATGCATATTCAGAAAATAATTCACTATTTTGAAAATAGTCCAGGATGAAGAAGGGGAGGAAAGATTTCTTCCTTTAGTTTTCTGTCAAATATGGCTTTAAACCTCCTTCGGTCTCTCTAAGTTCCTACAGTGTTTGCAGCCATCTGCTCCCTTCTGCCCTGAAATTATGATTTCTTTAAACATATTTAGGAAATGTCAAGCTGTTTTTAAATTTTGTTTGACATAGTTAAAAAAAAAAAAGATACACTTCATGCAGATTCTGGATTCCACTGGGCTGGCAATTTTTATAGATTTACTTTCTGATATATCACCTTTATTTGAAGAATAAGACACAATTTTCATTGTATGGAGATGTTTGGAATAGAATATATTTCAAACAAAGTATTGATCTTTTTCTGTCTTCCTGTTAGTGCCCTGAGAAATCAGCAAAAGCTGAATAAACTTCAGAAAGTAATGTTTACATTAACTTAGTATTAATTTCAGGGTTATGCTACAGTGAAGTCTCACTTTTCTTTCTCGTTGTGCTGAAATCCTCATTTCCCTGAGAACATGTTTTGCGGTGTCTCTGTACAGCAACAGCAAGCCTTTATGGCTGCAGTTGTCATCATGCCAGTGGCCTGTGTGGTGGCCTCTATTCTCAGGCTCCAGGCAAGAGAGGCTCTGGCACAGTTGGTGAGCACACGCCATAGAGAAGGCCAGTGCCTTGGGAGTCGTTGCCGCGCTGACCGTTTTTTGTTTTTTGCTCTGTTTCGTGATCACCCCTTTCACCCCTGACAACATCCAGCTCTCTCACAAACACATGCCTTTGGCCACAAGGGGGACTGGGTGGGAGATTGTGGCCGGACCAGTTCAAATCCATCACTCCCAGTGGGAGGCAACTCAAACCACATGGCCTGGTGGCCCCGAGCCACCCAAGCCATCCTTGTGGACAAAGGCGGCAGGGTCACAATGACTAACACAGTGCGGGCTGCCAGGAGGCTTTATGCTTCCCTAAGCCTGGGCTCACGTGTGTATTCCTTTCCAGTGCTTTCGCATCGTTTTCTGCATCATTTTAAGCATCATTAAGAAATGGGCAAAACCCATGTATCGTTTTAAATTGCCCAATTCTGAAGTGCTCTGTCAGCATTCTGGAGAAGTTAAAATACAATTATTCCAGGAAGGAATAATTCCAGTCCGTGTTTTCACGCATTTGTTCTACCCATAGCCATGAGAACTCACTTGCAAATATCTAGAGCCTTTGTTTGGCTCCAAATAATTTTTTATCAAATAAGATAATTTGTGAAGCGTAGGTTAAATAGGTCAGCAAAATTGTTTATCTTAATATAATTTTTCTTAATAAAATAAGATCTATGGATTTGATTCTAATTTAAAGATGTTCACCTTTCTTTGTTACTGTTTCTTTTGCTATTTTTCTAGCTTCTCTTTCTCCCAAATGTCTTTTCATTCAGAGGTTACAGTTTTTTCAGTGACTACATTCTACACATTGCTTTGAACATCTCCACTTGCTGTCTTCATTTTCTAGGGTCCTGTCTGTTCAAAATAAGAGAAGGAGAAAGGGAGTTTCTCTCTTATGGCGGGGAAACAGGAGATGTTGTCCAGGCCCATCTCCCTTTTCTGCAGGGCACAGAGCTAGTCGACACTTCCCACTCCTGGGGAGTTCACGGTGGTGGTGGGGACTGGGTCGTGGTCAGTGGAGGCCTGGGCTGCCTCCGGGCCTGACTCCTGGAAGCTTCCTGTGTGGCCATCTGCACACGCTCCTCCATCAGCTGGATGCACAGGCTCCTGCAGAGGACTCTGTTGGCCAAGAGGTGAGGCAGCCGCAAGAGGAGAAGACCCCAGGTCCCTGGAACCCCATGGGAAGGCCACCTGGGCAAGCACATCTGCCCTCATGGTTTTCAGGGACCTTTTTCTTTGGCCACAGGGGCAGTGTGGGTGGGCGAGCATCCTCTGCTGAGTGAGGTACAGGAATGTACTTGCCTCTGAGGAGCGAGGACATCGATCGCCATGTGCGGGGTACTGTGCTTCTCTGCAGAGTGAAAGGTGCTTTCACATTCCCAGGTCCAGGTGATGACACAGGCTGCCTGCTGCAGTGCCGCCCTGCCCACCCCACCTCCTCTGGCCACCCCACCCAGCTAGTGTCCTCCTGTCTGGCTCCCAGCCTGGGGACCCTAAGGTGGGCACGCAGTCATCGTCCTCTCTCTCCTCTCTTCGTTTATATGGATTCTTCTCCATGCCTTGTTGATCAGGGGCCTTTCCTTTTTCCCTTTTCGAAATTCTGAGTAGAAGAAACAGGCAGTAAACAGAAAAGCATCTGGAGGCTGCCTGCTTCTTTGTCTCTGCAGTACAATTAAGGTGCTATCACAGCCCTCACTCTTTCCAAGACTGACAGGGGAGAATGAGTATAAGGAAGTTCTGACAGCTTCCAGGTAAAAATTGTTGAACTGGAGCTAGGTTTATTCCCTCTGAAAATCCAGCTAGAGCTACAGGAAAGGTGCAGATCTCCCTTCTGATGAGAGAATAATGGATTCTGTATTGTCTAAGCCACTGCTGTTTGCCTCAGTGTTTGCAGCCAGCTCTAACCTGCCCTGATAGAGAAACTGTGAGGAACTGATGCAGGCGGGGAAGCGGTGAGAACAGGTGAGGCAGGAGCCACGGAGCACATGCCGCAGGACACAGGGAAGGCTCAGCCAGGAGAGGTGGGAAGCAGAACCAGAGACAGGCAAGCTCGTTCTTTGACCAGCTAGGAAACTGTCCTGAATCCAAGATGGGCAATGAAGGGATCCAATCCAATGCTCAGACAATGCTCTGATTTTAGATGTTTAGCAGCTTCATATTTGTTTTCATAGGGAGAATGCAGTGTGAATGAGTGTGTGCATGTGTAAAGAAGTGTGTGTTTCTGGGTGGGTACATGTGTGTGTACATGTGTATGTGCATGTCTTGGGGAGGCACGGTCTAGCATTTGATACAGAACATCCAGGTAGGAAGTAACGGTGGCAATAAAGAAGAGAAATCATGAAGGTCCAAACTATGAAAAGTATGAATTGTCAGACCATGTGGGAGATACATTGAAGGGAGAGACAGGAAGGTAAAATAATCCAAACTCAGTTATTGATTAGATGAGGTGGCCACACAATTTGTCCCAGGCTTGTTACACAATAAGCAATCAGTATGCAGGTATTGAGCAGAGGAAAGAGTAAATTAATTTTAATTCGTACTAAAGATTTTAATTTACACTTTCAATTTTCTACTATCGGGGAGGGATAATAAATTTAATGCATACATTTTTAAGGAATCTATCCACTTATTATAATGCAGTCCATTGAACCTGCAGAACACAGTTTGTAAAATAAGTATGAATTTTAAAACCCTTGAAATTCAGTGCATGCTGTTTTAAGAAAATCTATATTTGTCTCCTTTTTAATGCTGATTTCACTGCTGTTAGGCTGCATCTGTGTCCACCTTGAGCTCTGAAGCCTTGTGTACTCTGCAAAGCACTCATTTCTCCCTTGGTTTGTTACCTGCTTGGGAGACCTGTTTGACCTGAGGGTCTGCCATTGGACAACTAAAGTTGAAAAGTAGTTATCTCTTGGTTATCAGTTTTCTATGACAATATATATGTTCACATACAGTAGGATGTTTTCCTATAACATTCCCATGATAAAAAATAACACTAATATTTTCTCCATAAAAGCTTGCATTAGGGCTGCCCTTGGAGTTTTTCACCTTCTGTATTTCCCCATTTCTCCTGCTAGTGATATTTTGACACCAGGGTCAAAGTGCTCATTGAAGGTGCTCGAAACCACATTTTTCCTCTTTATATTTACATTTTTGTAAAATAGTTAAGGCAACCCCTTCTCGTTTTTTTTTTTTTTTTTTTTTTTTTGGAGACAGAGTCACCCAGGCTGGAGTGCAATGTCGCAATCTTGGCTCACTGCAACTGCCGCCTCCTAGGTTCAAGCAATCCTCCTGCCTCAGCCTCCTGAGTAGCTGGGACTACAGGTATGCGCCCCCATGCCCGGCTAATTTTTGCATTTTTAGTAGAGACAGGATTTCGCCATGTTGGCCAGGCTGGTCTCGAACTCATGTTCTATGGGGAAAAACAGAAAATAATTCAAGAGCTATTAGAAGTGTGTACCCTTCCCTTCCACAGTGAAGAGAATGCCCCTTCCAAATGGATTCTGATCTCATCCAATTCTGTGTAGACAGCAAGACCACATTGTTCTCAGCATGCATCTGAAACCCTGAGCTGATGAATCTTCCACAACCTACCTTCTGTGCACTGCTATGTCACCATCTGATGATTGAAAAATAGGGTTCACATCTTTCCATCTCCTGTGTATCTAAATGCTCACTGGGATCATGCTTGGTTACAGAAGTATCTTCTTGCTTTGTGCAGTTCCAGCCACTGTATCTTTCAGTAAGAAAGAGCAGTTCATAAGTTCCTGGAGGTTTGCCCTGGGGAAATTGTGGAGCATAAAACCCAGATATGAGTTAGCAATTGATATTTGAGAATGCAAATTGAGTGACTAGATGTCCCAATGCAAGACAATTGTTACTTTTTGGGTCCGGATGAGTATCGGGTTTATGAGGCTGATGTGAATTGGGAATCCCTGGAAAGGAAGAGTGGTTCTCATACGCCGTGATGGGGATTGGATTCTAGCTGTGCCAGGTGTAATGATTAAGGCTTGCATTGTAGAATTACAAGGAACTGTATTTACAGAGACAGGAAATTGAAAAGCCGGGAAGAGTGGATCCCAGTTGGGGAACCCAAGTGGCCTGGAAGGAGATATGAGACTAGAACAGAACTAAGTATGCAGAAAAATAACAACCGAGGTTTGGGGAATGATCCCAGAGGCACCAGCCAAGTGTGTAAAGCAGCGTGAAAACTGACCTAAGTGAATTTCTCCTCCCAGCAGTTGTCAGTTCTCTGGATAAACAAAGTCTCTAGCACTCGGTGTTCCGTGGGGGAATATGTCTCCTCCTCTCCCCACAGCCTTGCTACCAGATTATTATACAAGAAAAGAAAGTCTTAGTATTAAGTTTGCAAATTATATAGTCACTTTTTGGCACACATGCACAAATGTACTCATTCAGCCTATTCTAACAGCTGAGGAAAACTTCCCATCCCTGTCTTTAGGGTCTCCAAACCACACCTCACGTGGACACTTCACTTGGGGATGGACCCAGGGACACGCCGATGGCAGGACCAGCCATGCTTGGAGTTGCAAGAGAGGACAGAGACCTGATGGAGTGGAAGGATGTGGGAACGACTGGCTTCATACCTCGGGAAGCTTTGGCCGTGATATGAGGTGATGAGCTTGCCAAATTTGCATATGGGAGATGTCACTGGCGTGCAGGGAGTGAACGAGGATGAAGGCATAAGTGAGTCTTGCCAGAGATCAAGGACAAGGCATTGGATAAAAGTCCAAGAAGAGTATAAGCTGGTCATTTATGACGCGCAGAAACCCCAACTAGGGGACTGGAGAAGAAGCAGGTATTCTGTTATGCCCCAGAGCAATGAGGTCCTGAAAACAAGCAAAAAGAGTCGAGGCCACAAAAAGTTCGGGTAGGCAAACAGAGCCTCGCCTTTCGCAACTTGGGGAGCAAGAGACAGCAGAGCCAGATGGAGCCGTGTGTTGAAGGCTTGGTGCCTATGCGGGGAGCTATGGGCAGCCTGCCTGTCTCATGAGCTTAACATGGTACAAATAAAAATATTTGTCTTGAATGAGAAAATAAATCACATCAAATTATAACTTAAGTGGAAACACACACACAGAAATAATAAACTGCTAGATGTCTACTATTATATTTGCCTACAATTTTCCGTTGCATATTCTTTGATTGTCTTTTTAAGTAACAGTGATTTCCTAGTATATTTTCTATAGTAAAACTAGAAAAATAGTTTAGTCTTTGCTTTAACTTGCTTGTTTAAAATTTATTTATGTTTATGTATTTCCTACGGTAAAACTAGAAAAATAGTTTAGTCTCTGCTCTAACTTGTTTGTTTAAAACTTATTTATTTTTATATATTTTCTACAGAAAACTAGAAAAAATAGTTTAGTCTTCACTCTAAGTTGCTTGTGTAACATTTATTTGTTTTTATCATTGAACACGGAAAAGCATAAGACATGCAGGAGCTCTTGCATTTGACTTCTGACGTGGGCTTGTGCTTTACAGACACAGGGATCCTGATAAATTCTATTTCATAAGATTTCCATCAAAAGTCAAAGAAAAAAACTATCAATATATTTCTAAATATTAGTACCGCCTTACTAGATATGTTTCTGACAGGAGAGAGAATCCATTTTGCTGAGGAAATCTGTTTACAATTTTATACATCTGGGGATTGGACGACATTCCCACAGACTGGTTTCTAGTGCCATATATATATATGTATGTATATATACATATATGTATGTGTGTGTGTGTATGTGTATGTGTGTATGTGTGTGTGTGTGTGTGTATATATATATATTTTTTTTTTTTTTTTTGAGACAGAGTTTCATGCTTGTCACCCAGGCTGGAACACAATGGCGCGATCTTGGCTCACTGCAACCTCTGCCTCCCGGGTTCAAGCGATTCTCCTGCCTTAGCCTCCTGAAGTAGCTGGGATTACAGGCCCACACCACCACACCCAGCTAATTTTTTTGTATTTTTAGTTGAGATGGGATTTCATCATGTTGGCCAGGCTGGTCTTGAACTCCTGACCTCAGGTGATCCACTCGCCTCAGCCTCCCAAAGTGCTGGGATTACTGGCGTGAGTCACCACATCCTGCCATAGTGCCATGTATTTTAAGACTTTTCTCATCGGCCCCACAGGCTCTCATGCCAACACCTTCAGGACATACTCCTGAAGGTGTTGGGACCTGATGGACCTCTGTCCAGCCCCTTCCTGTGTGTCTTATGGGAGGGACAGGTAACAGTAACTTAATTATACAAGTAAGTTACTGTAAATCCGTTAAGTGTATCAGGTTAATTACAATCTAAATGTATCTCTAAAGCAACTCCACTTTCTGAGATCCCTAACTTGTCCGTAGCTGTTCAATACCAGCAGCCATGAGGGGAAGATGAGCAAGGGGTAGATGGAATGTAACTGATCTCAATTGCAGTGAGATTCTTAGACTGGCAAATTTCATCAAAACGTATGGTCCATAAACGCATTGCAAGGCCACCCTAGGGGCTGATGCTGAAGCTCTGTGAACTGCATCATGAATGGTTTCCCGTTCCCAGAAACTGCCTCAGGCCTCCAAAGCAGGGGTCTCAATCATCATTCACTGGACATGGGAGTATTCATCAATGAACGTATCAGGAGGGACTTCATGAGAAGATAAGGCCTGCCCACTTCAGACAAAAGCCTCCAGTGCATTTCCTGCTACACCATCTTTCAGCTTCTCTGTAGCTAGAGGCTGTTCCGTGCAACCATGTCACATGCTGTGCAGGACACATGCTGGCAGAAGGTCCATGCGTGGGGAGGCTCCACGGCAGGTGCTGACACACAGGGGGTTATCCCCCTCATCTCACCTGCAGGCAGGGAAGTCAGAAGGACCAGGGAGCAGATGGAAGAAATCAGACTCCTCCTTGACCAGTGGCTGGCCTGCACAGAGTAGGGTCCTGGTCACTTTGAGACTTTATATTATTCTTCAAAGTAGGGACACGGAAAGAATCTTTTTTTTTTTTTTTTTGAGACAGAGTCTTGCTCTGCCACCCAGGCTGGAGTGCAGTGGTGCAATCTCGGCTCACTGCACGCTCTGCCTCCCGGGTTCACGCCATTCTCCTGCCTCAGCCACCCAAGTAGCTGGGACTACAGGCGCCCACCACCATGCCCGGCTAATTTTTTTTGTATTTTTAGTAGAGACGGGGTTTCACCGTGTTAGCCAGGATGGTCTAGATCTCCTGACCTTGTGATCCGCCCGCCTCAGCCTCCCAAAGTGCTGGGATTACAGGCCTGAGTCACTGCACCTGGCCAAGAATCTTTTTTAAAATTTTATTTTTTATTTTACTTTTTGAGATGGAGTTTTGCTCCTGTTGCCCAGGCTGGAGTGCAATGGCGCAATCTCGGCTCACTGCAACCTCAGCCTCCCAGGTTCAAGCAATTCTCTTGCCTCGGCCTCTTGAGTAGCTGGAATTACAGGCCCCCACCATCACACCTGGCTAATTTTTGTACTTTTAGTAGAGATGGGGTTTTACCATGTTGGCCAGGCTGGTCTCGAACTCCTGACCTCAGGGTATCCACCTACTTCTGCCTCCCAAAGTGCTGTGATTACAGGCATGAGCTACCACACCCTGCAGAAAGACTCTTAAGTCAAGAAAATTATCTTAACCAAGAGTGAGCCATTGAGTAGTCAGTTACATTTATTTAGGAACCATGGAAACACAGCCACGGGGTAGTGGATAGAATGAGCTGAATATCCTGAACTTAGATAAAATGCATGCACACAAACACACACCAACATTTCTTTATTGATTTTTATTTTTATTTTTTTATGTGAAAATTGGGAAACCTGCATTTTGCACCATTTTAGCAGCATGTGGCCAGGTTTTGTGATAGGATGCTGCTCTGCACATGAGAGCTGAACCATTCTCTGGTTCTGTTTAGATCATACACCTTCTCTGTTTCTATTTTGTTAGTGCCTAGAGATGAGATGATGTATACTTTACCTTTTGTTTTGTGGTGGCTGAATATTTCCAGACACAAAGACATGGTTGGAAGATGAATTTTTTCCCAACCGAAACCAGGTGCACGTATATGACCCAGTGTATTTCCTCAGAGACCAAATGCTTAAGTTCTCATCAATAAACTTAACAGTAGGCGGCACCAACAAGAGACCCGGTTCACTAACAAAATGGAATGCGACATGTGGAATAGGCATGGTTTAACTGAAATAATCTGTGGTCTGTGATTGCATTTCCAAAATCAGTTAATAACCACCTTCACAGGGCTATGGATTGCAGCTCCAGTTCTGAAACAATAGACCTGGGACATTCATACTCATTTGGGATGAACTAATCATTTTCTGAAAAGAAAAGTAAAAGAAATTATTTATAACAGATATATAAGTATCATGGGGACACACAATATACTTCCAAATGCACTAAATCACATTTCTTCCAACTTATAAACCACCCCACAGACAGTGCAATATTCTAATGAAGCCCTTTCTCACAGGGGAGCTCGGGTGGAGGAGACCAGCTTCTTGAAAGATGGTGGTAGGAATAAAGGTACCGTCAAGTAGACAGTATTGAGTCAGTGGAAAAATAGTTTGTTTTTATTTCCCCAGGGATGATTTAATTTAACTGAGATAATTTGGAAAGAAAGCTTCTATACATCTAAGAACTATCAGACTGACAATGGCAAATGTAGCTTCTAAAATAATCATTACCATGGATGATCATGTTTGTAACAAGATGGAAACTTGAGAATACTCAAATAAGAGTAGCAGAAATAATTGAAGGTTGGAAAATAGGTCTACAAAACCAAGGGCAACTGAATTATGATGGCTTCAGCTGAGAGGAGTATCATCGAACTGAGTTGATTGTTTTGGAAGAGTGGGTCTGGTGAAATCTACATTGAGGAGAAGAATGGAAATAAATGAACATTTATAATAAAGAAGAAACAATGGATGTTAGAACTGGAAAAGACCTCAAAATCACATTTGGGGGCCCCACCTAAAAATTACATTTCAGGGGCCCACCTAAACTTTTCTAGTTTTGTTAGAACTGGAAAAGACCTCAAAATCACATTTGGGGGCCCCACCTAAAAATTACATTTCAGGGCCGCACCTAAACTTTTCTAGTTTTGTTAGAACTAGAAAAGACCTCAAAATCACATTTGGGGGCCCATTCTAACTGACAGTTAGAATCCCTGGGGCTAAGACTCAGAAATCTGTTTTTAAAAATCCCTAATGAGTTCAACTGATCATCAAAACGGAAGTCCATGAATCACTCTGTCTCCTATTACAAGAAGAGTTAAGGTAGCTAAAAGGCAAAAAAAAAAAAAAAAAAAAAAAAAAAAAGCTCATTCTGACTTCTTGTTTAATTAGAAATTAGAAAACTCTACTGTGTAGATTCTGTAATTTGGTTTCTAAACAGCTGAAAGAATCACCTCTTCCATCTTGTACATGCTGAGGATCAGAGTGCCAGGTTAGGATTCGTGTTTGACATGAATCAGGGGATCTGTGCAATCCCACCGAGTCAAGGGAGGTTAGCCCAGACATGAAGCTTTATTGCCATTGGGAAGACTGTGTGCTCTTTAAGTCCCTCTGGAGTCGGGTATGGGATTTTATTGTTCTCTTTAGCACTTCTCAACTCAGCAGCAAGAAGAGTTTCTGTTACTTGGGACAGATTTAATTTGGCAAAATCCACCCCTGTTATCCTTATCAGACAGAGCACTTGGGAAGAACCTACTTTGCATAATGAAGTGCTTGGCACTGAGATTCCCACATGCAGGCACTGGGACGGTCAGGTTTTTGTTCCACTTCCCTGGACTCATGTCCAGTTTTGAAATTGCATTCCGAAGAGTTATGCAGTCATCATTCTTGTCTTCATTCATATCAGTTTCAATTGCTGACATTGTAAAGACGCTCCTCATTCGCCCCTGTGGGTTCAAAAAGGTGGCAGGCTATGGGAAACACTTGGAAACCATCACATTCACTTGAGTCGATAACGACTGGATGAGAAACATGTACAGGTTATTCTGTATGCCCAGGAATTGCAGACAAAGCAAAGAGAGCAGAAGAAATTGACTCCACTTTGCAAGTTGATGATTCTATTAAAGAAAAACATGATTATGTCTTCATATTAATTAGCAAATTGTATTTCACCTATTCTCTATTCTTGCCTCTTGGCCTATACAGCCATTAGTTAACCCAAAATCTGCTTTCTACCCATCTCTATCTCTGCCACATGCTAGCTGAGTAATCATGAGCAAGTCACTCACATCTTGGACTCTTAGCTTTCTCAACATTAAAATGAGAACAGTAATACCTACCTCAAAGAGCAGCTGTAGGAATATGAAGTGTCAGGCACACAACTCTCAATCAGTGATGCTTTCATTGATTTTGAAAGGATGGGTGTATTAGTCCACTTTTGCACTGCGATAAAGAAATGTCTGATACTGGGTAATTTACAAGGAAAAATTTAATTGGCTCCCAGTTATGTAGTCTGTACAGCAAGCATAGCAGCTTCTGCTCAGCTTCTGGGGAAGCCTCAGGAAACTTACAATCATGGTGAAAGGCAAAGCGGTAGCCATTGCTTCACATGGTGGGAGCAGGGATAAGGGGTGTGGGGGCGGTGCCACACATCTTTAAACAACCAGATCTCATGAGAACTCTATCACAAGAACAGCACCAAAGGGATGGTGTTAACCACGAAGGATCCACCCCATTATCCAGTGACCTCCCTCCAGGCCCCAACTCCATCACTGGGAATTACAATTGAACATGAGTTTTGGGTGGCGTGATGGTTAATACTGAGTGTCAACTTGGTTGGATTGAAGGATGCAAAGTATCAATCTTGGGTGTGTCTGTGAGGGTGTTGCCAAAGGAGATTAACATTTGAGTTAGTGGGCTGGGAAAGGCAGACCCACCCTTAATCTGGGTGGGGACCATCTAATCAGGCAGAAAAATGTGAAAAGGCTAGACTGACCTAGGCTCCCAGCCTACATCTTTCTCCCATGCTGGATGCTTCCTGCCCTCGAACATTGGACTCCAAGTTCTTCAGTTTTGGAACTCGAACTGGCTCTCCTTGCTCCCTGGCTTGCAAACGGCCTATTGTGGGACCTTCTGATGCTGTGAGTTAATACTTAATAAACTCCCCTATCTATCTATCTATCTATCTAATCTATCTATCTGTCTGTCTGTCTGTCTGTCTGTCTATCTATCTATCTATCTATCTATCTATCTATCTATCTATCTATCTACCTACCTACCTACCTACCTACCTATCTATCCTGTTAGTTCTGTCCCTCTAGAGAACCCTAACTAATACAGATGGGGACAGAGATTCAAACCTTATCATTGGAATATTTGAACTCATTACAGGAATATACATACAAAGCAGTGATAAGACCAATACTCTTTTCTGTAGAGTGGGAGTTAATGTCCAGCTAGCCAATATTCTTTAAATATTTGTTGAAATGTATAAATAATTGAGTCCACAACTTAATCACAGTCTGGTGTTAAGGACTTGTCACTTCCCTTACTGCTTTTCACCATTTGATCTTGAAATACTGGAAAAGAGTCAACACGTAATGGGAAATGTGTTGGAAAGATGCTAGGAACTGTTAAAGAGCAAATTCTTTTGCTATCATGACTGAGTCTTCCAAGAGTCACCAGGAAGCAATGGCAGCCACAGCCATCCTTCTACCCCAGAGCTCCTTCACTATTGCTTGGGCCCTTTAGAGCCTGGGACTCAAGAGAGCACTGGAGAAATGGGGTGCACCTGAGGCTCATCTGCCAGCGTCCCCAGTGTGGGCTCCCAGGTGTCTCAGGTTGGACCCGTCCCTCTGACTCCCTTCTTCTTTGGAAACTTTGGGCTTTTTCTCTGTGGCCCCCCATGACTCCCACCCGCTTCTTCTGTGCAATTTTTCTCCAGTGAAGAAAATGATAATCTATGAAGTTTCTAAATCATCCTCTTGGGTCCCTGGAATCAATAAGAGGCTGCTTGAGTTTCCTAAGCATTTGATGCCAGTAAATATTAGGAAAGAGATGGGGTCAAAATTAAAACAAACCAAAAACAAGGACACCTAGGAGACCTCTCCTAAACTTCATAAGATGTTCTTTGAAGTAAAGTAGGGCTAGGACTCACTTACCTTGTTTTTTTATCAATGGAGTTGAAAACGAAAACTTCTTTTTTTGGAGAATCCAACCCTAGCTTACTCCCTGTGCATCCCGTTTCCTTCCTTTAGATGAGTTCTCGTGACTCCCAGCACCTCCCTGAAAAGTCCTTTGTGGTTTTTCCCTCTCCCCTCTTTCCTCTTGTGCCACACAGCACAATAAGACAAAGGTGAATGGTGATTTACTTACATCCCAAGTATAATTCCAATAAAATACCTTTCTCAGAATCCCATATTTCATGTAAGAAAATATCTTTGTAACATTCATAAAATGTTTTATAGGCCAAACAACTAAATACACAACTAAACATAAAATCATAGGGATATACAAACAGTTGATAAAATAATCCTTCACAGAGAATTTGAGTTATATCCATATAATTTCAATTCTATGCTTAGTAGTGGAAATACAAGTCATTTGGATACAATTTTTAAAATTGCAATTATTGGATTCCGTTCCAAGATGGCCAAATAGGAACAGCTCTGGTCTGCAGCTCCCAGCATGATTGATGCAGAAGATGGGTGATTTCTCCCTTTCCAACTGAGGTACCTGGTTCATGTCATTGGGACTGGTTGACGTGGGTGCAGCCCATGGAGGGTGAGCCGAAACAGGGTGGGGTGTCGCCTCACCAGGGGTCAGGGGATTTCCCTTTCCTAGCCAAGGGAAGCCATGACAGAGTGTACCTGGAAAAATGGGACACTCCTGCTCAAACACTGTGCTTTTCCCATGGTAGTAGCAACCAGTTGACCAGGAGGTTCTCTCCCGTGCCTGGTTTGGCAGGTCCCATGCCCATGGAGTCTTTCTCACTGCTAGCACAGCAGTCTGAGATCGACCTGCAAGGCTGCAGCCTGGTAGGGGGAGGGGCATCCGCCATTAATGAGGCTTGAGTAGGTAAACAAAGTGGCCAGGAAGCTCAAACTGGGTGGATCCCACTGCAGCTCAGCAAGGCCTACTGCCTCTGTAGACTCCACCTCTGTGGGCATGGCATAGCTGGACAAAAGGCAGCAGAAACTTCTTCAGACTTGAACGTTCCTGTCTGACAGCTCTGAAGAGAGCAGTGGTTCCCCCAGCACGGTGTTTGAGCTCTGAGAACAGACAGACTGCCACCTCAAGTGGGTCCCTGACTCTGTGTAGCCTAACTGGGAGACACCTCCCAGTAGGGGCTGACTGACACCTCATACAGGCAGGTGCCCCTCTGGGATGAAGCTTCCAGAGGAAGGATCAGGCAGCAATATTTGCTGTTCTGCAGCCTCCACTGGTGATACCCAGGCAAACAGGGTCTGGAGTGGACCTCCAGCAAACTCCAACAGACCTGCAGCTGAGGAACCTGATGGTTAGAAGGAAAACTAACAAACAGAAAGGAATAGCATCAAAATAAACAAAAAGGACATCCACACGAAAGCCCCATCTGTAGGTCACCAACATCAAAGACCAAAGGTAGAAAAAACCACAAAGATGGGGAGAAACCAGAGCACAAAAGGTGGAAATCCTAAAAACCAGAGCAGCTCTTCTCCTCCAAAGGATCACAGATCCTCACCAGCAACGGAACAAAGCTGGATGGAGAACGACTTTGACAAGTTGACAGAAGATGGCTTCAGAAGGTCGGTAATAACAAACTTCTCTGAGCTAAAGGAGCATGTTCTAACCCGTCACAAGAAAGCTAAAAACCTTGAAAAAAGGTTAGACGAATGGCTAACTAGAATGAACAGTGTAGAGAAGTCTTTAAATGACCTGATGGAGCTGAAAACCATGGCATGAGAACTTCGTGACTCAGGCACAAGCTTCAATAGCTGATTCGATCAAGTGGAAGAAAGGATATCAGTGACTGAAGATCAGATTAATGAAATAAAGTGAGGAGACAAGTTTAGAGGAAAAAAAAGAGTAAAAAGAAATAAACAACACCTTCAAGAAGTATGGGACTATGTGAAACAAATCTACATTTGACTGGTGTACACGAAAGTGATGGGGAGAATGGAACCAAGTTGGAAAGCACTCTTCAGGATATTATCCAGGAAAACTTCCCCAACCCAGCAAGGCAGGCCAATATTCATATTCAGGAATACAGAGAACACCACGAAGATACTCCTCAAGAAGAGCAACCCCAAGACATATAATTGTCAGATTCATCAAGGTTGACATGAAAGAAAAAATATTAAGAGCAGCCAGAGAGAAAGATCGGGTTACCCACAAAGGGAAGCCCATCAGACTAACAGCAAACCTCTTGGCAGAAACCCTACAAGCCAGAAGAGAATGGGGGCCAATATTCAACATTCTTAAAGAAAAGAATTTTCAACCCAGAATTTCGTATCCAGCCAAATTAAGCTTCATAAGTGAATGAGAAATAAAATCCTTTACAGAGAAGCAAATGCTGAGAGATTTTGTCACCACCAAGCCTGCCTTACAAGAGCTCCTGAAGGAAGCACTAAACATGGAAAGGAACAACCAGTACCAGCCACTGCAAAAACATGTCAAATTGTGAAGACCATCAATACTATGAAGAAACTGCTGGACAAAATAACCAGCTAACATCACAATGACAGGATCAAATTAATACATAACAATATTAACCTTAAATGTAAATGGGCTAAATGCCCCAGTTAAAAGACACAGACTGCCAAATTGGATAAACACTCCAGACCCATCGGTGTGCTGTATTCAGGAGACCCATCTCACATGCAGAGACACACATAGGCTCAAAATAAAGGGACGGAGGAAGATCTATCAAGCAAATGAAAAGCAAAAAAAAGCAGGGGTTGCAATACTAGTCTCTGACAAAACAGACTTTAAACCAACAAAGATCAAAAGAGACAAAGAAGGCCATTACATAATGGTAAAGGGTTCAATTCAACAAGAAGAGCTAACAACTATCCTAAATATATATGCACCCAATACAGGAGCACCCAGATTCATAAAGCAAGTCCTTAGGGACCTACAAAGAGACATAGACTCCCACACAATAATAATGAGAGACTTTAACACCCCACTGTCAATATTAGACAGATCAATGAGACAGAAGGTTAACAAAGATATCCAGGACTTGAACTCAGCTCTGCACCAAGCAGAACTAATAGACATCTACAGAACTCTCCACACCAGATCAACAGAACATACAATCTTCTCAGCACGACATCGCACTTATTCTAAAATTGACCACATAATTGGAAGTAAAACACTCCTCCACAAATGTAAAAGAACAGAAATCACAAAAAATTTCCTCTAAGACCAGAGTGCAATCAAATTAGAACTCAGGATTAAGAAACTCACTGAAAACCACACAATTACTTGGAAACTGAACAACCTGCTCCTGAATGACTACTGGGTAAATAACGAAATGAATGCAGAAATAAAGATGTTCTTTGAAACCAATGAGAACAAAGACACAATGTACTAGAGTCTCTGGGACACATTTAAAGCAGTGTGTAGAGGGAAATTTATAGCACTAAATGCCCACAAGAGAAAGCAGGAAATATCTAAAATCAATACCTTAACATTACGATTAAAAGAACTAGAGAAGCAAGAGCAAACCAATTCAAAAGCTAGCCGAAGGCAAGAAATAACTAAGATCAGAGCAGAACTGAAGGAGATAGAGACACAAAAAACCCTTCAAAAAATCAATGAATCCAGGAGCTGGTTTTTTTAAAAGATCAACAAAATTGATAGACCGTTAGCAAGACTAATAAAGAAGAAAAGAGAGAAGAATCCAATACATGCAATAAAATTTGATAAAGGGGATATCACCACTGATCCCACAGAAATACAAACTACCATCAGAGAATACTATAAACACCTCTACGCAAATAAATTAGAAAATCTAGAAGAAATGAATGAATTCCTGGACACATACACCCTTCCAAGACTAAACCAGGAAGAAGTTGAATCTCTAAATAGACAAATAACAGTCTCTGAAATTGAGGCAATAATTAATAGCTTATCAACGAAAAAAAGTCCAGGACCGGACAGATTTACAACTGAATTCTACCAGAGGTGCAAAGAGGAGCTGGTACCATTCCTTCTGAAACTATTCCAATCAGTAGAAAAAGAGGGAATCCTCCCTAACTCATTTTATGAGGCCAGCATCATTCTGATACCAAAGCCTGGCAGAGACATAACAAAAAAAGAGTATTTTAGACCAATATCCCTGATGAATATTGATGCAAAAATCCTCAATAAAATAATGGCAAATCAAATCCAACAGGACATCAAAAAGCTTATTCACCACAATCAAGTCAGCTTCATCCCTGGGATGCAAGGCTGGTTCAACATACGCAAATCAATAAATGTAATCCATCACAAAACGGAAGCAACGACACAAACCACATGATTATCTCAATAGCTGCAGAAAAGGCCTTTGACAAAATTCAACAACGCTTCATGCTAAAAACTCTCAATAAACTAGGTATTGATGGAAAGTATCTCAAAATAATAAGAGCTATTTATGACAAACCCACAGCCAATATCATACTGAATGGGCAAAAACTGGAAGCATTCCCTTTGAAAATCAGCAGAAGACAAGGATGCCCTCTCTCTCACCACTACTATTAAACATAGTGTTGGAAGTTCTGGCCAGGGCAATCAGACAAGAGAAAGTCATACAGGGTATTCAATTAGGAAAAGAGGAAGTCAAATTGTCCCTGTTTGCAGATGACATGATTGTATATTTAGAAAACCCCATCATCTCAGCCCAAAATCTCCTTAAGATGATAAGCAACTTCAGCAAAATTTTAGGATACAAAATCAATGTGCAAAAATCACAAGCATTCCTATCCACCAATAACAGTCAAACAGAGAGCCAAACCATGAGTGAACTCCCATTCACAATTGCTACAAAGAGAATAAAATACCTAGGAATCCACCTTACAAGGAATGTGAAGGACCTCTTTCAGAACTACAAACCACTGCCAATAAAATAAAAGAGGACACAAACAAATGGAAGAACATTCCATGCTCATGGATAGGAAGAATCAATATTGTGAAAATGGCCATACTGCCCAAGGTAATTTATAGATTCAATGCCATCCCCATCAAGCTACCAATGACTTTATTCACAGAATTAGATAAAACTACTTTAAAGTTCATATGGAACCAAAAAAGAGCCCGCATTGCCAAGACAATCCTAAGCAAAAAGAACAAAGCTGGAGGCATCACGCTACCTGACCTCAAACTATACCACAAGCCTACAGTAACCAAAATAGCATGGTACTAGCACCAAAACAGATATACATACCAATCAAACAGAACAGAAGGCTCAGAAATAACACCACACATCTACAACCATCTGATCTTTGACAAACATGACAAAAACAAGCAATGGGGAAAGGATTCCCTATTTAATAAATGGTGCTGGGAAAACTGGCTAGCTATACGTAGAAAGCTGAAACTGGATCCCTTCCTTACACTTTATACAAAAATTAATTCGAGATGGATTAAAGACTTAAATGTTCGACCTAAAACCACAAAAACCCTAGAAGAAACCCGAGGCAATACCATTCAGGACATAGGCATGGGCAAGAACTTCATGAGTAAAACACCAAAAGCAATGGCAACAAAAGCCAAAATAGACTAATGGAATCCAATTAAACTAAAGAGCTTCTGCACAGCAAAAGAAACTACCATTGGAGTGAACAGGCAACCTACAGAATGGGAGAAAATTTTTGCAATCTACCCATCTGACAAAGGGATAATATCCAGAATCTACAAGGAACTTAAATTTACAAGAAAAAAACAACCCCATCAAAAAGTGGGCAAAGGATATGAACAGACACTTCTCAAAAGAAGACATTTATGCAGCCAACAGACACATGAAATAATGCTCATCATCACTGGTCATTAGAGAAATGCAAATCAAAACAACAATGAGATACAATCTCACACCTGTTAGAATGGCAATCTTTAAAAAGTCAGGAAACAACAGATGCTGGAGAAGATGTAGAGAAATAGGAATGCTTTTACACTGTTGGTGGGAGTGTAAACTAGTTCAACCATTGTGGAAGACAGTGTGGCGATTCCTCAAGGATCTAGAACTAGAAATACCATTTGACCCAGTGATCCCATTACTGGGTATATACCCAAAGGATTATAAATCACTCTACTATAAAGATACACGCACACGTATGTTTACTGTGACACTATTTACAATAGCAAAGACTTGGAACCAACCGAAATGTCCATCAATGATAGACTGGTTTAAGAAAAGGTGGCACATATACACCATGGAATACTATGCAGGCATAAAAACCAAAGAGTTCATGTTCTTTGCAGGGAAATGGATGAAGCTGGAAACCATCATTCTGAGCAAACTATCCCAAGGACAGAAAACCAAACACTGCATGTTCTCACTCATATGTGGGAATTGAACAATGAGAACACTTGGACACAGGGCAGGGAACATCACACTTCAGGGCCTCTTGGGGGTTGGGGGACTGGGGGAGAGATAGCATTAGGAGAAATACCTAATGTAAACGATGAGTTGATGGGTGCAGCACACCAACATGGCACATGTATACCTATGTAACAAATCTGCATGTTGTGCACATGTACCCTAGAACTTAAAGTATAATAAATAAATAAATAAATAACAAAAACAAATAATAAATAATAAAATCTGAAAAAAAGTAACAGCTAGGAATAGCACCCATATCTTAGGTATGTTCTCACTTTGTTAGGGTTGACACTCTAGGATCACATTAAATGTAGCCTTAAACAAACCAACAAACAAAATTGCAATTATTATCTGATCTTTCCTACAAATGCACACAGCATGTACCTGCACGGCTCAATGTAAAATAATAATTATGAGTTACTTTTGATCTGAATTTCTTCAGAATTACAATACTAATCTTTCAATTGTATATCGTATTATTATTAAATTAAATATAATTAAGATTAAATATTAAATCTGAAAACCAACAGGAGACAAAAAGGTAAAGCAAATCCTAATGTATTCAGAGTCTACTTTACCAGATACCATTTTGATAAACAACTTAGGTCCCTTGTTCAAGTGGAACGTCCACTTCGCAAAGGAAAGCTAGAGCCACTACCTACAGAAATGCTCCAGATGAAGGGGAGCAGAGTTTCAAAGGCAAGGATAAGCTTCTCAGGCCATCGGGCCCCTTGGAGCCTGAAGCGCAATGTCCAGCAGGCAGTTTCAAGAATGTGTCTGTCCTTTCAAGGAAAGTACGTGGCATGGAAGATGCGTGTGTGTGTGTGTGTGTGTGTGTGTGTGTGTGTTATGGGGCCACAAAACCCTTTTTGCTGGCCTTGAGGAATCCCTGGATCCCCCAGGTTGTCAAGAGCACAGATCGAAAACCGCTGGCAAACAAAATTTGGGATGTGAGCTGGTTAAACTCAGCCACCTCTCTGAGCTGTGACAGACATCAACGGGCAACACCCAGCACCACGTGGCTTGGCGCTGGGGAGCCATTTCCATTTCAGATCCTAATAGAAAATGCCCCTCTTCTATTCAGAGGCCTGCACTTAGCCCTCCTTGTTCATTTGCCGGATAAATGATGAGAATCCTGCTTTGCTGTTTCTCTGGATGTCGTCTCTGATGCCCACGTTGCCGTGACTTATGGCCTTTTTTCATGCCTTATCTTAATGAATTGCTCTTCGGAATATGATGTTTATTGCATTTTCTTATCACTCACCCTTGCTGACTTTGGGGACACTCTTCTCTCCTGGTTCTCCATGGACTTCGCTGTCTGTTTTGTCTCATTAAAGAATTCTCTTCCTCTGATCTCTCTCGGTAGACGGTGGTGATCCTAAGGGCTCCATCCTCGAGCCACTACACATCACGGCTGTTCCCTAAGGAAAATCTCTACCAGGGGAGCCCAGGCCCTCCTGAGGTTTCTTTTCTTGTAAAGTGACAACACACACATGCACACACACACACGCCCAGAAGTGCATACGCACACACACACACACATTCCGTGCCGTGGGCTCTCCCTGAAATATCAGAGGCATTCTTGGAACTTCCTGCTGGACTCTGTGCTTCAGGCTTGAAGGGGCTCTTGGCGGCAAGAGCTTATGCTTGCCTGGCTTCAGGTGATGAGCCTCCTTGTCCAGCACCCATCCTCACTTCTCTCTGCCTTCTCACACTTGCTGTGATTGGTGAGCTTGCGCAGAAACAATAGACCACATGGGGCTCCAGCTCTGCTGAGTCCTCCTTGGAGCTCCTATGTCTGCAGAGATTCTGGGTTCTCGACTACTCTCTGGGCCATGCACAGCAAGGGGAGATATTGATGAGCACACCTGAATCTACTTCTAAGCCCCGTCTTCCTGTAGAGCTCTTATCAATAATATCTCACACATTTCCAACTGACTGACACCTCCATTTATTTCTCAATGGATTCCAAGCTCAAGTAAGGAAGAGAGATTCTATTTATTGGGATCCTAAATCCTCAACAATTATTCAAACTCCGAATAATAAGGACCAGGCATGTCCTCCTTCTCCCAAATGTGTCACTCTATCCACACTTACCTACTTCAGCAACCTGAGGTCAATCTCAACACCCTCTGCACTCACGCTCTTCACCTCTAATTGATCTCTAACTTCTATCCTTTTTCTAAGTATTTCTTTAAACTTCTCTCTTCCAATTTCAATTACTAGCACCCCAGTTTAGAGCCTACAAGATGACTCGAAATAGCTTCAGTCAACACAGGAACCTACTGGCTCATTTGATCAAAATGCCCAGGGGTTGAGCTCATTTCTCATTTGCAGGCTCCAAGGACCCCTGTGTCCGGCTCACCCTGCTGCTGTGGACAGGAGCTTGCACCCTTGGTAGCTGTAGAAGCCTTCTTACAGTCCCCACCCAGCTCCCCACCTTCAACCTTTTTCACTCCTGACCCTGGTCTTTCTTCCATTGTGGTGAATCTTCAGCAAACAGTAGTGTACTCATATGCTTCTCCATCCACTTCTGCTCACACAGCTTCTTTTTCTGGAAGGTGGCTTTTGTTTTCTTCCTGTGGCCAAGACTACTTGTACTCAAAAACTCAATTTCTTTTCTCCATTAACTCTTTCTTCCTAGAAAACCAGATATCCACCTCTCTCATTACTTACTTTTTAAACCCAGTTCTTTGCATTTCAACCCCTCATGCTGAAGCACCTCACGCAGGATTTCCGGCCTCTGGGGGCTTTCTATAGAGAAGGCCTCTCGATAGCGTGCACAGAGCCTTGAACAGAGAGGTTGTCCTTCTGGCTGCCGTATCAGGCGCTATGTCTCCATGGTGCCTGGGGGGTGATAAAGCCATCTTCAGCGAGGGCTGAACTGAACCAGTGATGGACAGATTGCTCAAGTAAAAGAGAGAAAGGCATGGAGAAGGCAGCACACAGCAATATTCCCAGCAAAATCAGACAAGGAATTTGCAAAGTCTGCTAATTAGGGAAAAAAGAAGCCCTCTATCACAATCAATAAATATGTAAAGGTTGTACAGAAAGCGTTTGAGGAACAAAAATGCATATGTGAAAAACTCTCATTGGAAAAAAAAAAGAGTGTGAATCAAAGAAACAAAACAATGTAACTCAGATATTGTGGAGAAGCACAGTGTAGGCCCAGAGAGGATGTGGATCTGGAAGACTGGCCCTCTAGCAGACACTGAGAGCACACCAGCCTGCAGAGCCCCAAAGATTGGAATGCAGTGTGTGCCTTGGGGTTGTGTTACCTACAGCTGGGTTTGCTCCAGATTAAGTACATGCAGGTCTCACTGCAGAGTGTGGGTGCAGTTATTCTCAAGAGTATTGGCCTTTTCATAGATTGCTGGGTTAAAAAAACAAAATAAACAAACAACAGTTCAGAAATTGTTATCTGAAACACTTGGCTGGACCCCACGCACAGGAAGCTCAGGTGCTTAGGGGCTGGCACAGCCCTGAAGAAATGCTGGCTCTGCCATGTCTCTCCTTGTGATGCTCCCCATGCCTCATGGTCACCTAAACCCTTCCTTTCCTCTGATTCTGTTGTACCCATTCACTTAAGGGTCCGAATCGTCTGTGATGTTTTGGAAAATATCGTTCCTTCTCCTGGCCAGGTTTCTGGCTTTGTTAGGCCAGTCATAAACAGCACGGTCATAAGCAACACATCCATTGCAAACCTGCTTCTCCTCCCTATTGTCTGCAAGCCCCAGTTAAATGTTAGTACCAATATTAATTCATTTTCAATATTGTTTTCTTAAATTACATTACTATTTCTTAAAAATAACCTTTGTCTCCCTTCTGTTGCCTACTCTTGGGTAAAAGGGTTAGTCATAAAACTTGCTCCTGTAATGCCTCCTTTAAATGTCATTTTGAGCAGTTTTTATTTGGGGCATCAAATTAAAGTGATTCGTGTATTTGTTTTCTCTTTTTCTCCCTGCATGCTCAGCACTTTTCCTCACCGCAGGGTAAGGTCCCCAGGAACACCCTTGTACACGCTCATTGTCATGAGGGTTGAGTTGGGCCATCATAGCCAGAGTGACCTGTGGAAATGCTGAGTTCCTCCTCCAGAAGTGTCAGTGCAGGCAGCTAGTGTGAGCACACAGCCTTCTGCGGATGCTGGAGGGAGCAGCCAGCCAGAGAACTGAGCTTTTCCAAGGAACCAGGGAGGGGAGGCAGCAGCTGTGACGGATCTGAAGTGGCCCTTGACACATGGGCTTATTAAATTAAAGTTATTGGCACAGTAATGTGAGCGAGAATCATGCACTGAATGTGAATCCAGGATTCACATCCTGATTTGTGCATGCATCCAGCCCTGCCTTTCCAAGGTGACACTTCTATTACTCCGCTGAACTCTGCTCCTCTGTGATAATAACGGGGTACCCTTGGCTTGCACACTTGAGATGTGTCTTGTTCCCGGCACTGGATGCCTGAGGACATTGCCTTTCTTTGCTTGTGTCCCCGTTTGTATTTTAAAATGTGCTAGAATGCAATCCCCTCACCTCCCTCAGAGTAGTAGTTAATATTTCATATGGATTCTGAAAAGTTACATCTACAGTTCTGTCAGAAGTGAGATGCTGAAGGTCTACAGACTTTATAGTGCAGGTAATCAAAGACCCCGTGAAGACATTGGGAGGTCAGTGAACAACACAGTCAACCTACAGTGCCTGGAGTCAAACTTTTCAGATAAGTCTCTACCCTGTACCATTTCATGATGACAAACAAGGCCCAGCCACCCTATCCGTGGGACACTGGCAGGTTCTTGTCAATCAGGCCTCAGAACCATCTTTTAATGTTTTCCTGCCACCTAGGGTGATGCTACCTCTGAGCTTATACCCAGATGCTGCCCCCAAGAGTGTGGACTGAAAAGACACTGCCAGAATCTGGATTCAGACACTTCCACACCGTGGAGTGCTAAAGGGCACAACAGCAGGGCCCTGAGCTGCCTCCTGGTTGTCACATTCATGCACGTGGTTGTCCTGTGCCACAAATGCCCTTCCAGCCTGGCCCTCCAGCCCTGGGTCTGTCTGGGGACCACCTCTTTTGGCTTCAACATCCATCTCAAAGGTCACCTCTTCTCTTAGCTTTGCTTCAGAAATCACTGTTTTCTCTGCCTGCCATCAGTGTGGGACTCCTCTCTCTTGCCTTATGTTTCCAAGTTGGCTGCTTCCTCAAGGACTGTGAGTTTCTGCAGGACCTGGTGAGTAGAGCTTCCAATGGCCTCCTCCTCATCCCATTGGTGAGGGAGGAAGTCCTGCTCCAGGCTTATGAAGATGGCCAAACACACACCAGCACGGGGCAGATGCAGCTGGCAGTGGTATGTTAGTCACATCCACTCACATTCCCAGGATGGAAGACACCGTGCGTCATGTGGCCCCACAGAGTCACATTCAGGAACTGAGTATCCACCCAGGGGCTGGGGCAGGCTGGCTGTGTAGTAACAAGAGGGTGGGATGACCCTGGTTCCAGAAGGAAGATGCAATTTGCCTGTTTGCATCATTTCAGGGGCTGGGGGTTGTGGAAGGCCACTGCTCAGGGATCAGCTGACATTGCACCCGATTCCTTGATTCCAAGCAACAGGGCGGCTTGGCCAGGGGACATTGTTCATGGGAGCAGATTGGGCAATATCTATGGCTATGCCATTCCAGACTCTCCTAACTTTACCAGCGCATTAGTACCCCAGTAAGTGCCAGGGAAGGGCTGGTGGTTAGTGTGGCTACCCTTGTAAGTGCCAGGGAAGGGCTGGTGGTTAGCGTGGCTACCCTTGTCAGGCTACTTGCATGGCTAACATTCTACATAGGAAGTGTGCGAAGCTCAGAATTTTTGTATAATTTGTTTTGCCCTCACTTGTCATGCTCCTTCAAATTATAGCAAAAAGTTTAGGAAGATCTCATCTTTGGCATACTGAGGAATCTAAGATCAGTGAGAACTCCCTCTGGTGTGTGGCAGGCCAAGTATTTTAGAGAGGGACGGATGTCCACATATCAACAGCTGGTTTTGTTCATCCTCTATTAGTGTTCTGGATAGTCCTGCATTTTCAAAGTAGTCACAAAAAATAAAACTTCAACTAGTTCTAATCATCTATTAAACATGTCCCGGGGCATTTTCTGGCAGAGTTGAGTGCCGAGTCCATCTGGAGGGGCAACACGGGGCAGGTATGTCTGGGGCTGCAGGGCTCAGCTGGCTCATGTCTATTTGGAGGCCATCCCTGGCTCTGTCACCTTTTAGCTTTCCGACCTTGGACAGGGGACATAACTTGCCTCAGTGTCTCTACCTGTAAAATGGGAGTGATCCTAATAAAACCTACTTCATAGAGTGACTCTGAGAATAAAATGTGAAAACACAAAGAAAGCGTTTAACATAGGGCCTGCCTGTGCTGTCGGCAGCCACAGAGGCTGCTGTCTCTGTGTGTGTAGTGGGTGAATGGTGTACTCCAACAATTCTTGTACACTGGGAACCTCGGAGCATTGCCTGACTTAGAAATATGGTCTTTGCAGATGGAATTAAGGTAAGAATTGAGATGAGATTATACTGGATGAGGGTGGGCCTAAATCCAATGAGAATATCCTCATAAGAGACAGATCTGGACACAGAGAGACACAGGAAAAAAGAGGAGAAGGCCAGGTCAGAAGGGAATGGAGGGATGCAGCCAGTTGCCGAATGCGTACAGGGATCAGAAGCCGGGAGAGGCAAGGCAATTGTCTCCTCCGGAGCCTTCAGAGGGAGCACGGCCCCATGGACACATTGATTTCAGAATTCTGCCCTCCAGCACTCCAGCCTTTCTGTTGCTTGGAGCTATCAATTTCATTTTAAGTTTTCAGGCAGCCCTGGGAACCTAGCAGAGCATAAGACAATATAAAGTACTTAGGGTGCAAAGCAAGGGCCGGGCACTCCCAGGAAAATTGTTCTAGAAAGCAGCGCTAGTCGGTGATCGTAACCCTTCATCCAACAAAGGTTTATTAAGTGCCCTCCCCCATGCCAGGCACCACTGTGTTAACGAATAAAACCAGCTGATGTATTGGCCTCGAGAGCGCCCGGCCTTGCACCCCAGTTGCCAAGCAGTTTGCACACCTCACTGATGCCGGAAGGGCATGGCCTGGAGGGTGGTCTGCTTCCTGGGCACAGGTCCTGGTTTCTGGAGTCAGCCCCGCAGGTGGGTGCTACATGAGTCGCAGCCCCTCTGACCTCAGCCGGCCCCTTGCGGGGGCACCCCTGGTGCACCTGCCACGGTCCCCCATGTGCTGGGCTGAGTCCTTCCCCTTCCTGTCTCTCACTCCCTCTGCCCCAAGGAGGTGCTCCTGCACTGGCACTTGCAGGCCTCAGATAAGAAGAGGAGGATGTCCCTGTGGGCTCCTGCGGGAGCTGCTGCTCCCGTCGGGGTTGTTGCCTCCTGTCCATGAGCCATCTCCACCCGCAGACGGGGATGGGCTGATGGTCGGGGCAGCTGCACACCCCGCCAGTGTCAGCACAAAAAGTACCAACGAGACTTCTAAAGGGTCCCGTGATTCTCCAAATACTTGATGAAAAGGCGTAATTTTTTTTTCTTCCAAAACCACAGCTGTCATTTTTGTTAAATGACAAGACGTCTTCATTCTTTACATCTGATAAAAACAAATAATGCTAAGGAAGAATTTACACTGAAGCATATCAGAACGGGAGACCGGACTTCGAGGACATTTCACAAACACCGGGACCGTGGGTTCATTGGACCTATGTTAGAGTTCTATCCCCTCGAAGTCTACACTCCCCAGCCCTGTCCATAAAAGAGGCCTCGACCTGGGAAGTGGACCAGGGCCTGTGTTTGTGGAGATTCCTGGCAACCCCACGTCTATTTCACAGCCATGGTCCTTGGCTGCCCTCTTCTGGTCGGGTCTGGAACAGCTTGGCTGAGAGGCCAATTTCCTGTCCCTCTGCATTGGGTGTTGGGTGTCTGAAAGCTAGCCTCCAAGTTAGGGTGAACAACTGTCCTGGTCTACCTGGGACCGAGTTGGGGACTTCCTGGGGTGCAGGACCTTCAGTACTAAAATCAGGCCAGTGTCAGACAGATTTAATTCATCCTTCTAGGATGAATAAATTCTTCCTAGGACCTCATGGGCCTACGTCAGAGGAGCAGGGGGCTTGGAAATGAGCCTCAGTGTAGTGCATTGCTGTGTGGCTGCTGCTGGGGATTGTCGGTGCACAGTCGACTTTCCTCTCTGCTGTTATCCTCTATTAGAAAGTGTTAGCATCCATGTTTTGTTTGCTCTGGGCCAGGGCTTTATATTGGTTCTTTAGGTTAATTTGAAGGACTCCTATTAGCAGGTGCTGTCCATAACCTGGACCCAGCCCACCTGCTTGAGCTCTGCATTCTAGGAGGCCAGGCTGGTACAGTCCATCCTCCCGATGCAGTGTTTGCTCCCCAGGGAGCTCACCCTCCCAGCCGGCCCTGTCACCCTCAGGAGGGCCCCAGCTGCAGCCCACTCCTCAGCCCAGGCGACAATCTGTCGATGTGTCGGCCTCGTGCAAGGTTACGTGTCCATTGAGCGCAGGACTGTGTGGCATCCTCATACCTGACGCAGTGACCATCTCAGGGAGAAGCCCAACCTCCCAGCCCGGTCACCACCCAAAGCCAAGAGCAGGCCACCTCAGTTGCACCAACCTCTTCTGTAATAGCAGAAGTGCAGCTGTGGCCCTGGCTCCAGCAGCCCCACCTGATTTTAGAGGTGGGGCAGCTTCCAGCTGCGGGGGCTGGTTCCCTGTCAGTGACTGGGTCCTGGGAGGCCTGGAGACTCAAGCTTCCCCTGACTGCAAGGAGCTTGGCCAGAGGCCCTCTCTCCCCGCCTGGTCTCCCAAGGACCTTGCCTGAGACTGCTGCGAGGGTGGCTTAGGCGGAGACACACCTGGGATGTGACAAACTGTGACTCCTTAGGGCCCCATCACGCCCAGGGCCAACCGGACCACTTCCCTTCAGAGTACAGAGGCTGAGCACCCCCACTTCCACCTGCTGTTTGCATGGGGCCACCTCTACCTGCCAGTTGTCATCCCTAGCCCATCAAGAAATATGCCACTGTCTAAATAAACAGGGCTGATTCTTGACCCTTTCTTTCAACCCTTGCCAGAAAAGGAAAAAAGAAGTTCACTTAATAATCATATTGAAACTTGAGATGGGATAAATCACTTTTCTAGCAATTCAAATTTTCAGTCGGTCAAAACGTGCGTGGTGCAGCACCTAGTTTATGTTTCACAGGCAACCCATCGCCTTTGGTTTGGAATCAATTGAGAGCTGATGGTTAAAACGAAAACAGGACTCCTCATGGCCAGCCAAGTTCCAGGGGTGGGGACCCTGGCACTTCCCCAGGGAGAAGTAGGAGATGGGGGAAAGGAAAATCACAGCAGGTCATTCTCTACTGAGTGGAGTGGAGACCAGGAGGGGGATTAACCTTTTCATCTGCTCGCCCAGTTGGCTGTGTGCATGCTTTTGAGGGTGAAAGCAAATGAAGGTCTACAGTCCTCCTGTTATCAGGTCTTTGTGAGAAGGAGCTCGGGGAAGCCCCGGGCTGAGAAAGGTTGGGTGGACGTTTCATTGCATAGAACAAGGTACCAGGAATGAAGCCAAAGGCTTTGTGGGTCGCCGGTTCTGATCCCCCATGGAGGACAGAAACCTCTTTAGCCAAGAATTCTTCATCGTGATGCTATAACAACCTGAAAGAAGCGTTTCCTGGGCATATTAATAGCATCAATAATTGCAGCAAGGCAGGGTGGGGGAGGGTTTCTGGCCATTTCTTCTAAAGTAAGACAATAATTTCAAAGCTTCTTTTTCAAATAGAACCTTTGTTATTAAAAAAGAAAAAGAGCCAGCAAATATTTACAAGTGTGAAGTTAAAAATTGAAAAAAAAAAAAGTACCCATCCCTGAATGTGAACCGCTGATCTTAGGTAAACAGGTCAAGGCTGTGGGCAGTTGCCGGGAGACTGGCCTCAGGCATCAGTCTCCGCCAGCTCCTCACAGCAGGGCACCCTGGAACCTGCACATGCACAGATATTCTAAAACAGAGCAAGAAAAAAAAGAACAAAAATTTCAGTCAGTTAATACAAACAGCAAACACAGCAAACTTCGACTAAGGGGAGACGGGAACCAATATTTATAAAAATGACTGGCTCCCAGGCAACGGCAGTTGCTAAAGGCCTACAGTTTTCCCATTCAAGTCCTAAACAAAATTACAAATTGTCAAAGTTACTTTTTATGGCAAGTAAAACAATTTTTAAAAAGCACAAGTTACAAATGGACACTATGCACAAATACATCTTGAATTGTTGCATGTGTGGTCCAGCATGGGAATATAGATACCTCTAAGTGTATAACGTATGCATCCCATAATAGAAAACTGAGATGTCCCATGTACACTAACTTGGCACATAACTGAAGTTTATTTTTCTTTCAAGGCGGTGAAGTTTAAGCATTTTTATTATGTAAGGAAATCATTATGTAAATGCCTTTCATATCCTTCCCAGTTTCCTTAAACGCTGCATGGCAAGCCTCATTTCATGCCATTTGAAAATTCAAAGTTGTGATCTTGGGCCCGTGAGTGTCTCCTGCACTGTGGTGGTGGGAAGGATGCCCAGGGGTGTGAGCTAAGCTGGGGGCTTTGCTGGCCACTGGAATTGCAGCATGCCACTGGCCTCTCTGTCACGATCCTCCCACTGAGTGACCGTTCATTGCAGAGAAGTGCCTGGGTGCTGGATTCAGAGACTGATGTGGGTTTGAATCCCAGTAGAGTCATTATTAATTCCTGTTCCACAGAGCCCTGGAGTGCTGGACAGTGATGCGGCGGGGGTGCTGGCACCTTGTCGTTAATGCCAAGGCCGACTTTGGTAAGAAGCTGCCTCTGTGCCAGCCTAACTCACGACTGTCGTCTGTCCCCTCCACAAGTTCATGAGGTCCTCCTGACAGGGAGGCTGAGCCACAGGGAGCTTCAGTCACTTGTCCCAGGTCACTCAGATGACTAACGACAGAGCTGGTGGCCTGACTTCCACCCGCGGCCTTAGGGACACACTGCACTGCCTCTCACTTAATCTTAGCTGTCAGTATGATGATCTGATGATCCTCTGTGACTGGGACAGGCTTGTTACCTTTATCGGCATCACATTTTCCCTTCTGAAGGGAAGGCAGCTCTTTTCCTCTGCAGAGGTGCTTCTGGGCTGAACTCGGGTGACTGTGAAGTGTCTCCTGCTGCCCTCGGGATAGGCCTTCATGCATTCCAATGGCTCCATTTTTTTTTTTTTTTTGTCTAATCTCTCAGCAGCTCAGATCGCCACTTCCTGATGTCTTCCACAGCTCCCGCTGTACTAGGAGCCTCTTCATTTACACCTCGTGTCCGATTGAGGGTCAGATGCTGAGTAATCTTGAGAAAGGTCGAGCTTGCAGGGATGAGGACGGGGCCTAGAGGATGACTCTGCTCTCAGAGCTGGGGTGGGTGGGAGACTGGATGCTCAATGCTCAATGATCTGGGAGCCCTGAGCACCCTCAGAGTAGCTCACAGGGAGGTCTAGCATAGTTGCTTTCCTTGCTGACAGAGCCCTCAATTCTTCTTGCAGCTTCACTCTCATGAGGGCCCTGGCCGAGAAGATGTCTCACATGGAAAAGCCTGCACTGAGCACCTGATACCTGACAGGTCTTCTGCTTGGTGCTAAAGGGGCAGAGCCAGGTACATATGAGGTGGCTGGTGGCCAGTCCATGGGGGAGTGCTATCTCCTGGGAGCTGGACAGTGGCAGCTCACTTCAGCACACGGAGGCACATGAGCGATTGGCTCAGATACTGGGGACTGGGGCCATGGCTCCCAGCTGAGCCCCATCCATGGTGGCTTGGAACTGTCATCTGCTCCTCCATCTACCCCTGAATGTGAGAAAGCAAGAATTATGGGAATCTGGGGTTTGGACCATTATCCTTCCATTTCAATATGATGGACAGGACAGTAGAATTAGGGAAGAATCATGTAATTTACTTAAAGTTTCCCTGATCTCTGATATAGTTTGGATGTGTGTTCCCTGCCCAAATCTCATTTTGAAACATAATCCCCAGTGTTGGAGGTGGGGCCTGGTGGGAGGTGATTGGATCATGGGGGTGGATTTCTCATGAATGGTTGGGCACCATGCCTTTGGTGCTGTACTGGCAAGAGCGAGTTCTCACAAAGTCTAGTTGTTTAAAGCGTGTGGCACCTTGCTCTGTCTCTCTTCCTCCTGCTTTTGCCACGTGACATGCAAGCTCCCTCTTCACCTTCCACCATGATTGTGGCTTCCTGAGGCTTCCCCAGAAGCAGAAGCCAGTGCTGTGTTTCCTGTTCAGCCTGCAGAACCATGAGCCAATTACACCTTTTTTTAAAATAAATTACCCAGTCTCAAGTATTTCTTTATAGGGATGTGAGAATGGACTAAGCTCTCCTTTCAGAGACGTTGAGAATTACGGTAGCAGAAGCCCAGGAGAAACCGCTTGTCCTAACATGCGGGAATGCTGTTGATGGAGATACACCCACACTTGTCTGTGGTGTGGCTGAGGATTGAAGCCACCACACACCCTGGATGCACCAGGTCAAATAGGAGACCCAGACGCCCTCATCGTAGAGTATAAGCTCATTGATCAAATAGCAAAATGTCATGGGATGGCTTTAATAACTGTTGCTGGTCCTTGGCCAGTTCTCCCATGGAGAGATGCGGTCAATTTCCTCTCCCCTTGAATCTGGGTGGGCTTGTGTTTCCTTCCAAGAGAGTGAGGCAGAAGTGATGCCATGTGACTTCTGAGATGAGATCGTTAGAGGGATTCTCCTCCTGCCTGGCTCTCAGGACACTCACAGGACCCCAGAGAAGCCCATGCCACCTGGAGAGGCCAGGACTTTGAGAGCCCAGTTGAGCTCAGCACCTAAGTCTGGCAGTCCCAGTATCAGATGCATGGGAGAAGGAGTGTGTGGAAGCCCCCAGCCACGTGCATCTTCCTAGCTGAGGCCTCAGACATTGGGATCAGAGATAAGCCAGCCTCCCCACCTTGCCAACTTCCTGGCCAGTGGAATCCAAGAGCATAATGATGTGGTGGGTCTTTAATGGTGCACATGTGTAGAAGCTCCTTATGTAATGATCAGTGATCAATAACCAGAACAGGACAGGATATTCCACCACACAGCAGTGCCCAGGTGCTGCACAGAGTACGGTTGGGACTTACTACATTTGAACCAGACTTTAGGATACCTGGAAGCTCAAGTCAGCAATCTTTAGGATTCTTGCAAATACGTGAAGAATAATATCTGGGTAAAAAGGACACAATATGACATTGAATAATCTTATTAATGACGTGCTCACAGAGCCCTCTCCCTGCATCTCTACCCAAACAAAGGAAGTCACACTGACAGGACCGGAGGGAGAGCCCAGGGCACCACCTAGTAGAGTTGCCGTCAGGAGCATGTGCAGGGTGCCAAGTGATGGGTCCAGGAAGGCACACTGGGCTCGGCCACCGGGGTCGCTTTCCCAGGATGTCGCAAGAACAGGGCGATGGGGACCTGCAAGGTGGAGTGCAGGAGGACACAGAGTTGGATGTTTGTCTGCAGAAGCGCTGTTTCCCTTATCCCCTCCACAAGGTGAGGAGAGAAGAAGGAAGATCACTCTTGCATATTTATATTTATTTTTGTTTAACAGGAACTTACAGAGACCAGGCGCAGGGGCTCATGCCTGTAATCCCACCCCTTTGGGAGGCTGAAGCTGAAGGATCACTTGAGGCCGGGAGTTTGAGACCAGCCTGGGCGATATAGGGAGACACGATCTCTACAAAAAACTTTTTAAAATTAGCCAAACATGATGGCTCAGACCTGTGGTTTCAGCTCCTAGGGACGCTGAGGTCGGAGAATCCCTTGAGCCTGGGAGTCTGAGGCTACCGTGATTATGCTGCTGCATTCCAGCCTGGGCAACAGAGCAAGACCGTTGAAAACCAAACAAAACCAAAAACCCAGGAACTTACAGAGTGCTCGCTCTTTGTCTTCAGATGCTGATTTAATTTTCTCAACAATCCCAAAGCAGAAGGCTCCTTGATCTACAGACAGCCCCTGCTTTTCTGGACTCAAATGTGTTTCAGCTTTCACACCAGAGATTCGGGCTTAGTTAGCACTTTGCCAAATTAACTCATCTAGAAGGAGCAGTAAGCCAAAAATGACTCTGCTTTTCAGTAGAAATACGCCTGAGACTTAAAACTTGCATTTGCGAATTGTTCTTCTCCCTGTGACGTGGCAATGATCATTTGTAGCTGCATTCCCCATGTGACTATGTGAATTACATGCACAGCCTAGAAGCTTCACACCTCAATCCTGGGGCATAGTTAGAGCAAGGGTGCTTCAGGGTTAGACTGATATCCTGCTGTGTAGGTAAGACTTGATGAACACTGAATAAGGGCCTGTTCTCATCTCTACAGATGATTTACACAGTGGCTCAGAGAGAAATACGGCCTCTGGGACCCTCATGCACACGTGAGATGCAAATCCCACCTTTTATTATTAGTGTGCATAGACTTCTTTATTGTCAGTTGTATCCATTCTCATTCAAGTTCAACTTCAGTGCAGTTCTCCGGGTTGAGGGATCGGGTGCATGAGGCTGTGACCTTGGTAGGTCCATGCATCTTCTGGAGCAGCGGACAATGATTTGGGTTGGAGAGCAATGACAACTCCAAGAGGGCAGCAGGGCAGCAGGGAGACTAGAGTGCCTTCTACCCCATCCCAAACTCACTTTAATAGTACGCCGGACAAAGGGGGCTTTTATAGTTATATTTACACAGAAGCACCAGGGATGTTTGTCTCCACATTTTATCATTTTCTTAATTCCTCAACTCTCAAGACCCCTTTTCTAAAGATCCTCATAAACACTGATATTTATACTGTAATAAATACAGGAAATTTTTAGTATGACTCTACAAACTTCATATGTAATTCATTTTAGGGAATTTTACACATTTATTTTCTATTTCTCAAATTCGTAAACATTTATTTTATGTTTATATTCTTTCTTTCCTTAATAATAGCCAGTGTGCAAAGTGCTCTTAAGGATACATATCTTGTCTTTAGAAAGGCAATTACCCAGTGGGAAAGTCAGTGCAGACGAGCA
This sequence comes from Homo sapiens, assembly GCF_000001405.40. NCBI lineage: Eukaryota > Metazoa > Chordata > Mammalia > Primates > Hominidae > Homo > Homo sapiens. The sequence goes on along the minus strand of NC_000005.10, from coordinate 4,872,635 downwards.
AATGTTTATAAGGAGGTATATTTCTAAAGAGGTAGCTGACAATTAAAGTATGTTTATTTTAGAACACTATACTCTACACTCTAAGAAATGCATCTGATAAACTGATTTCCCTGACGGAATAGTGACAGGAATTATTCTCATGGACAAATCATGATCTGGATTCAAAACCATGTCTCAGGGAGAAATGTTAAAGGCACCACGTCCAGTAATTCCAGTTCTTCCCCTTTCTGCTGGACATGCCTTCAAATGCTTGAAGGCTGCCGATACCTCCCTAGACTCACGTCCAGGTTTGAGTGTGATGTACGCATAGATGTGGTTGCTGGCCATGACATTAATTTTTTGCTAGGAATCCTCAGACAGGTGTGATGAGAGGCCTGGAGGATTCCAGCATCACAGCTGGTGAGGTACATAAGTCCCAGATGGCTCACACTTGCTGTACGGAGATGATAACCAAATCCTCCTGGTTCACATTTCCAGGCTCAAATCAGGAAAACCCACCTGTCTCCAGGCTAAATCTCTAGTCAACTGACTTCCAAACATGGGTGAAGGATTCTGTTCCCCATCAGAAGCAAGCTGAGCTCAGGCTAATTGGATGGCTCCTGAACATAGGGCCGTGGGGCTGGGTGGTGGGGCCAGGCCTTTGGAGCCTCCTGGGTGCTGCAACCTGTGGGGAGGCAGCGTCATCTGGGCTCTGCATCTTTCCCCAGGGGGCTCCCTGGCCTGTGCTGGTTTCTGTCTTCCTTATCTCTGCTCCCTCTTCGGCTTCTCTAAGGGGTCCCCTGTCACTGCTTCTTTATGACGGAGCCCTCTCTTCCTCCGTTTCTTCATGACAGAGCCCCCTCTTCCTCAGCTTCCCTTCCTTCCTGTGAAAGCTTCTCCACCTTCTTCTTCGCTAGTAGCAAAAGTGAGAGATGACTAGCAAGACACGGCTGGGACCCTACAGCTTCATTCTGGGCTTTGGGAATTCTGTTCAAAATTTGCCAAATTCATGAGTTGTTTTAGATGAAAAATCAAGCTAACTAAAACTTTAAAATTTAGAAATTTATCATCAGGTCTGTTCCATTTGCACTTTATTTTTTTTTAAAGCTCTTTAATTCCATTTTCACTTAAGAAAAATTCAGAATTGTCTTCTCTGCTATATTGTCGCCTTTTGCCCTCGTTGGTCTCCTCTCATTTCTCTCCTATGCCAGGACACTCGCGATTTGGAAATCCAAATCTACTGAATTTTGCCGAAGGATTGAAACACATTGTCCACATGATATTCTTTTAAAAATGTCGCTGCATTTGAACCATCACCCTCCCCACCTGTGAATACACAGTTATACTCACATGTAGTTGTTTTGCTGATTGGAAGAACTATTTGAGAGTAAATCACAGGTGTCATAATCTTTCACTCCTTTGATCTTTAGCATGTATCTCACGAAAAAGAGAGTATTCTCTCAAATTACCTAAGTGCCTTTATTAGTCTCAGAAAATTCAACATCAATACAAAGCTAATATCTAATACACAATCTATATTCGAGTTTTATGGCATCTTTATGGTAATTTTTTTCACACATGGCATTGAGTTGCCATGTTCTTTAGTCTCCTTTATTCTGTAATGTTCTCTAGCCATTGTTTATTTTTCACCATATTGGTGTTTTTGAAGAGTGCCAGAATTTGTAGACTATTTTTCAATTTGAGTTTATCTGCATCATATAATTCTTTTAAAAGCCAATTCCTATTAAGCATTTCATATAGAATTAAATTTATGGTATAGTATTTGTAGCTGGCATCTCTTGGTACCCAGAAGTACATGTATCAGTTAGTTCTCACACTGCTATAAAAAGCTGCCTGAGACTGTGTAATTTATAAAGAAAAGAGGGTTAATTGACTCATGGTTCCGCATGGCTGGAGAGGCCTCAGGAAACTTACAATTATGGCAGAAGGTGAAGGGGAAGCAAAGACCTCGTTCACATGGCAGCAAGAAAGAGAGAGCGAGGAAGAGCAGAGAAAACTGCCTTATAAAGCCATCACATCTCGTGAGAAGTCACTCACTATCATAAGAACAGCATGGGGTACACCACCCCCATGATTCAATCACCTCCCACCTGGTCCCACCCTTGACAGGTGGGGATTATGGAGATCACAATTCAGTATAAGATTTGGCTGGGAACACAGAGCCAAACCATATCAGTGCCTTTAGGTTTAAACGTGGTCCTCTCCGCGCAGGTCCTGTGCTTTGTTCAGCATCCTTTGGTGTCTGTCCTCTCCAGAGAGGGAGATGGGTGCTGCTATTGAAGGCCAGGATACCAGTGCTAACAATCTAGGTGGGGACAAGTCACAGTGGGCTCCCTCCCTGACTCCACTGGAGTGAAGGAGAAGCTGTGGGCCAGTGTCCACTGCAGGAAGATGCAGCCTGGCCCACAGGGAGCTTTGGCAGAGACAGTCCCCGGCATCCTGGCCTCCATGGTCCTGAGGGCTTTCATGGAGTAGCTGACTTTGCACATGAGTTGGTGGATCCTCCACTGCTTCAATGTTCAGCCACTAAACGAAGCTTCAGATGGAGACCCCAAGGCACAAAGGCACACATCGCTTCCCTGCACGTGGCTTCTCTTTTGCCAGACGCTGTATTGTTCACACTGGTGTGCCCGTTGGTTACTCTAGGTGGGTCGGAGATTTTTCCACATGAACTTGCTCCCAGGAAGAGTGGCACAAGAGTGGCACAAGAAAGGCAAGCCTTAGACCCAGTCCTGCCAAGCACGCACCCATTTCTTGGTAAGGAGGCACAGCACTTCCCTGCATCTGTCCTGAAGCTCAGGAGAACCCCCATCCTATGTGTCCAGGCAGTCTGTCTAGTATTTAGCAGGACAGGGCTGGCACAAAATGCCCTGAGGCAGAATGCAGGGCCCTCCAAGCAACCGGGGAGACCCAGGTCCATGAGGGTTTCAGAGCCCGAATGCAGTGTCGGACACATTAAGTGCACAGATTGCTGGGTTCTCATGCCTCATGTGAGTTAGGGGGCTCTGGAAGTCTAGACCAGTCCCGACAATTATGTTAGATAACTCAGCAGTAAATAACAAGGAGTTAAATTGCATCGTCCTAGTTGTCAGGAGAGAGGCGGTCAGTGAAGGCTGAGGATTTGGGGAGAGCCGCTTCTTCCCAGACCTGCGTCTCCTCCAGGGTACTGACCCTGCAGGCTATATTCTGACCCACTCCTGCTGTGGCTCTCACCAGCCTTGCTCTTCCTGCTTTTCTCTTGTTCTGCCTTTCTGTGCTTCACCCACTGGTTGGGGATTTGTGGAAGCACCTTTCTAGAACCACAGAACAATGGTTCTTTGTTCTTTCTAGAAGAAACGTTCTAGAAATGGTTAAGTGTTCTTCCTAGAACACAGATCTTTCTAGAACAATGGTGCTCACAGGGCCGGAGTTCTGAGCCCTACACGAGGCCATTTTGCCCAGCACTTATGAATTTGCACTGGGAAAACCAACTACACATCTGTGGATGCAACCCTGTACATCCTGGTCCAAAAAAGATGATTAAAAAGGTTTTTTTTTTTTTTTCCAATAAAATCTTATTAGGGAATCTAAATAAATCTAATTAGAGAACAAAAGAGAATCAAATCTGATTAGGGGATAAAAGAGAATAACCCATTTGGAGATTTTTAAAAAGTAGTGATAAAAGAAAAACTTCAGCCAAATTAAATTTAAAGGTGTTTGAATAAGGAACAATTCATGAATCAGGCAGCATTTTGAGTCAGGGTTGGCTCAGAGACTCCAGTGCAGCCGTGTGGTGGAAGATTTATGGACAGAAAAGGGAATCGAAGTATAGAAACAGCTAGATTGGTTGCAACTTGGTGTTGGCCTTATTAGAACAAGGTTCAAAGAGTTGGCTACATTTGATTGGCCAAATTCAGTGTATGGGCTACAGTCTGTTTACACAGTTATAGTTTCTAATGTACCAAAAAACCTTTAGGCGAAATTGAAAATATGTAAGAAGGCAGCTTTAAGCTAAACTTGATTTGACAGTAGTGAGGAGAAAATTATCAGAAGTAAAAATTGCTATCCTGGCCAACAAGAGTGAAACTCCGTCTCAAAAAAAAAAAAAAAATGCCCAACAATTTTTTTTAAAGATATTAAACTGGTTTGGATAAAACCCTTTTCAACACTGGCTGCTCCGCCCCCTCTCCTCCCGCCATCTGAATAAGGTCTTGACTAAATTCCCTGACTGCTTTTCGCCTTTTATTACAGAGGCTGGGAAGTGGCCTTTTCATTTGGTACCGTTTTTGGACCACAGAGTCTTTCTCAGCTCATCAGTGCCCCCTGGTGGTATGCAGGGTGAGGGGACAATAACGAGTCCCATTGTTCACCGGCTGGTGACTGAAGGACATTTTCTCAGAAGCCCTGCACCTCCTCCCCTGTGACTCAGGTACACCTTTAATATTTTCTTGATGACGATATTTATTGATAGATTGTACTAAGTTAACAGCATCAAGCTCAAAAGAAGCACAGTTAAAAACCAAAGCCATTTCCCCACCCTCTTAGGGTCCATTTATTGAGGCCCTAATATGTGTTAGAGACTTTCCTGGATTTACTTTTCTGATTTTTATTACATTATATTTTCAATTGTGTGGAATGGACTACATAAGATACAAATTGTATTTGTATCTATTCAAAGCAGGCACTGTGAATAAAAGGTGCTTCCAGGAATTCCCGGTAGAAGAGGGAGTGCAGAACGGGAGAGCCAGGGCAAAGCAGGAGGAGCGCAGCCCTGGCAGGAACAGGTCAGCATGCAGTTTGGATCAATAGGGAAACACCACGTCTCTTCGTGTGCACAGGCTTCTAAACTTCATGGGATTGTTTTCAGCATCACATGAGACCCTGAGTAAAAGGCTCACTGAGCCTGGGGTATCGTGAACGCCGCACACATGGTTGTTATTATTCACTTGGCAATGCCCTGGTCTTCCTGTTCCCTAGCACTTCCGCAGTGGCATGGAAAGGAGAGCATAGGAAGCCTCTTTCCAACCGGCTGGGGGCTCCGTTGTGGCCTCCGCCACCCTAGGGCCAGGCTCCCAGTGTTCCAGCTTTTTGATGTCCCGGCTATTTCAATTATACCCACTCATTCAGGGAGTCCCATAAGTACCCAGGTACATTAATTTTCTTCAAAGTGCATCTGCAATGCATGGTTGGCTGACACGCTGACAGCCCCATCGCCAGCCAGGAGCCGTGGCAGAAGCAGCCCCACAGTCAGACCGGTGAGGTTAGGCTGGGAGTTGCTTGGACGCTCACTAGTGCTTCACCATGAGATTCTTCCCTGGAACAACTGGTGTGTGTTCTTGGCTGAACTCGGGTCCATTAGACGTTGACTTCACATTGACCTAAGAAGTTAAAGGAAAAGGGTCTCTGGCTGACGGGGGCGGGAGGGGGTGGGGTGGTGGGAACCGGCCACGCCGGGAAAGGTGCAGTAGGCGCACACAATTGACTGAAGAGGACAGCTGAGACTTATACGGAGGATTCCACCTACGTCTCCAGCCAGCCTTACGGTTCTCCCACTGCTGCTCAACACTAAGGGCCCTGGGAGAGCGGGTGCGGGCGGCTGAGCTCTGCCCGCATCCCACCTCTCACGCAGCCGCGGAGTGGACTCGGCCTGGGAACCCTTGTAATCCAATTGCGGGAGGAGGTGCCAGGAATGACCCCTCCACCGTGGGCTGTGGGCGTGGTGGGAGGATCATTTCACCCCAGGACAAGGGTGAGCCCTTAGGAAGCTGGAATAGATACTTCGAAGCCCGAGATGACCACTGTCCACGGCAGCCTCAGTCCCTTTCTCCCAGAACATCATTTAGCTGTTGAGCTAAATCATCCACTTGGCCCCTTACAGCCTCGACCTCGTCACAATGAAGTAGATGAGGCCACAGAAGCCTTTGTTATCTCCACGAGCAGCTGGAGCCCGGCTTTGGCTGAGCCCTGGCAATGCCTGCTACACCCCAGACCAAGGTGATACGTGGGTGGCTGCTGCGATCGGAATGTTTACACCCCCCCACCGCCATATTCATCTGTTGAAATCCTCACCCGCAAGGTGATGGGGCTAGGAGGCAGGACCTCCGGAAGGTGAAAAGGTCATGAGGGCAGAACCCTCGTACGCGGAAGGTCATGAGGGCGTAACCCTCGTACGCGGAAGGTCATGAGGGCGTAACCCTCGTACGCGGAAGGTCATGAGGGCGTAACCCTCGTACGCGGAAGGTCATGAGGGCCTGACCCTCGTACGCGGAAGGCCATGAGGGCGGGACCCTGGTACGCGGAAGGCCATGAGGGCGGGAACCCTCGTACGCGGAAGTTCATGAGGGCGGGACCCTCGTACGCGGAAGGTCATGAGGGCGGGACCCTCGTACGCGGAAGTTCATGCGGGCGGGACCCTCGTACGTGGAAGGTCATGAGGGCGGGACCCTCGTACGTGGAAGGTCATGAGGGCGGAACCCTGGTACATGAAATTCGTTCTCTTATTTAAGAGACAAAGAACGCCCTTGTTTTTTCCACCACGTGATGGCGCAGACAGAAGACAACCAGCATCTATGAACCAGGAAGCCCCCACCAGGCACTGAATCTGCCCCTGCGTGGATCTTAGACTTGCAGACTCCAGAACTGTGAGCAATGAATTTTGTTGTTTATAAACCACCCAGTTTTTGGTATTTCGTTATGGCAACCGTAATGAACTAAGACAGTAATTTATTTCCCCAAACCTTTCCAGCTAACATGGGCTTTCGAGCGGATTTTCAGAACATAGAACTTGCTGGTTTACTCCCTATTACCCGGGTACCTACTGACAGCAGGCACAGCATGGAAGCCAGTGCTACCATTTAACTACGAATAAGCTGATCTCAAGTTTACAGGCTGGGAGTAAAGTCAACCTTAATCAAGTAATCATTCTAGCAGGGTTATAATTACAAACGCAGAATCCACATTCTTCTGAAAGTAGCACAGTTTCACGAGGGATCATGGCAGGAATCAGATCTGAGAATAAACCTGGCCAAGAAGTCAGAGTCACAGGGGTTTTGTGACAGATTATTTTGTCACTCAGGTATTAAGCCTAGTACCCAGTGGTTATTTTTTTCTCTTCTCCCACCCGCCACCCTCGAGGAAGCCCCAATGTCTGTTGTTCTCTTCTTTGTGTCCATGTGTTCTCGTCATTTAGCTCCCACTTATAAGTAAGAGCATGCAATATTTGGTTTCTGTTCCTGGGTTAGTTTGCTTTGGATAATGTCCTCCACCTCCACCCATGTTCCTGCAAAGGACATAATCTCATTCTTTTTTTTATGGCTGTGTAGTATTCCATGGTATATATGTACCACATTTCCTTTATTCTCTCTGTCATTGATGGGCGTTTAGGTTGATTCCATGTCTCTACTATTGTGAAGAGTGCTGCAGTGAACATTCATGTCTATTTGTCATTATGGTAGAATGATTTTTATTCCTCTGGATATATGCTCCATAATTGGATTGCTGAGTTGAAAGGCATTTCTGCTTTTAGCTCTTTGAGAAATGGCCATACTGCTTTTCACAATGGTTGAACTAATTTACACTTCCATCAACAGTATATAAGTGTTCCCTTTTCTCCACAACCTCACCAGCATCTGTTGTTTTTTCACTTTTTAATAATATCCATTCTGACTTCTGTGAGATGGTATCTCATTGTGGTTTTGATTTGCATTTCTCTAATAATCAGTGACACCGAGTATTTTTTTTTCATATGCTTTTTGGCTGCATGTCTGTATTCATTTGTAAAGTGTCTGTTCATGTTCTTTGCCTACTTTTTAATGGGTCTGTTTGTTTTATTCCTGTAAATTTGTTTAAGTTCCTTATAGATGCTGGATATTAGACCTTTTCAGATGCATCGTTTGCCAAAATTTTCTCCCATTCTGTAGGTTGTCTGTTTACTTTATTAATAGTTTCCTTTGCTATACAGGAGATCTTTTAGTTTTAATAGATCTTATTTGTCAATTTTTGCTTTTGATGACACTCTCGTGTATGGTTGAAGTGAGTAGAAATTATCACAGCCTTCAGGAGGATTGTTTGTTATTAACTTTCAAAAATTAAAAAGTACACATGCTTTTGCTGCAGTGTCATGTCAGGAAATTTTCTTCATAGATGCTCACTCACGTAACCTAGTATCTGCAATATATATACTGATATGGTTTGAATGTGTGTCCCTGCTCAAATCTCATGTCGAATTGGAGGAGGGTCCTGGTGGGAGGTGATTGGATCTTGGGGGTTGATTTCCCCCTTGCTGTTCTTGTGATAGTGAGAGAGTTCCCATGAGATCTGATGGTTTAACAGTGTGTGGCACTTGCCCCTCACTCTCTCTCTTCTGCTGCCATGTAAAGAAGGTGCTTGCTTTCTGTTTGACTTCTGCCAAGATTGTAAGTTTTTGAGGTCTCCTAGTCATGCTTCCTGTTAAGCCCACAGAACTGTGAGTCAATTAAACTTATTTTCTTCATAAATTACCCAGTCTCAGGTAGTTCTTTATAGCAGTGTGAGAACGAACTAATATAGAAAATTGTCAGAAGAGTGGGGGACTTTGGAGCTGAGTAATGGGCAGAGGTTGGAACAGCTTGCAAGGCTTGGAAGAAGACAAGAAAATGTGGGAAAGTTTGGAACTTCCTAGAGACACGTTGAATGGTTTTGACCAAAATGCTGATAGTTACATGCACAATGTGTGTGTGTGCACGTCTGTGCATGTGTGTGCATGCATGCATGTGAATGTGTACCTGCACGTGAGCTAGTAGAATCATCATGGGCCTGCAGAAGAGGCGGTTTCAGTGATCAGCCACATCTGCGTTTCAATTCAAGATCAGCCCCTTCTAACCAGCCCACCTGTGTCTTTGAGCGTCCTGCATGGTTAGTGGTGATGAGGGCCCGACCCGGCAGGATTGTAGAGCATCCCTGCAGAGAGCAGCTGCAGAGCTCCCGGCTCACCCCTGGCACCATCGCATGGGATTGTTGCACTGGGCTTCGAATTTTCTCAATCATAATGCAACACTAATTTTGCATTTCTAACTTTGCATTGGTATTAGTTTCCCAGGGCTGGCATTGCCAAGTATCACAAATTTGGTGGTTTAGAACAACAGAAGTGTATTATCTCACAGTTCTAAAGGCCAGAAGTCCAAAATCAAGATGGCAGCAGGTTCCTTCTGAGGCTGTGAGGGAGAATCTGCTCCGGGCCCCTCCCCTCTCCTTGGGGTTCGCTGGCAATCCTTGCTGTTCCTTGGTTTGTAGGCACATCTCCTCAGTCCTCGGCCTTCCATGGTGTTCTCCCTATGTGCTTCTCTGTGTGTCTCTGTGTTTAAATATCCGCTTTTTGTAAAGACACCAGACATATCAGATTAGGGCCCATGCTACTACAGTATGATCTCATCTGAAGTAATGACACCTGCAACGAACCTGCTTCAAAATAAGGTCACATTCTGAGGTACTGGGGGTTAGAACTTCAATATATGCATTTTTAAGGGGACACAATTAAATCCAGTGCTACATTATATTAGTTACAACATCCAGCTTAATATCAGACACTGGAAAATTTATCTTTATATCAAAAATTGGAGATGTAAGCTTGGATCTACTGGTTTTGTAATACAAATCTATCTCAGTATCTATCCATCTATCTATCATCTATCTAACTGTCTATCATCTATCTTTCTATCTGTCGATTATCATCATCATCCACCTATCTTCTATCTGGGAAGACTTTTTAATTAGATATGTTATAATTCACTAAGCAATCACTTTTCCAAGGACCCTGTAGAAAGCATACATTCATGATTATATGGTTAAAGTTATAAGGCTATCAACAATTTGTTCTTTTAAATAGAAAAATAAATTTAACCTGTGTTTGTATTACTGTCTTAAGAACAGCAGAGGGCACTCCAAGCTAAACTTTGGAATGTGCTACTGTTGATTTTTAAAGAAGTTTTAAATTGAGAACAAGCACAAATCAATTAGAGCTCCATCTGTGTGCATTAGGTGTGTCTGCAGTTTCTTCCAAAATAAATAAAGGATTATGTCTCTTAACATATACACAAATTAAACACACAGTACGTGTTCAACTTAAAAAAATATCTCCAGGGTCCTCTTTTTGAAATAATTTTACATTTAACAATTCTTTAAATAGAAATTTCCTGGATTGTTAGAAGGAAACAAGGTGTAACATTTTTCAAAGATATTGGCTAAGCTTTTTGAAACAATTTACTCTCATTCAGAGATAAAGTATTTTGAGTGATTGCTATTACTTTCACATAATTGATTTAATTCATTTATAATTTCATTTGAATAACTCATAAGGAAATGCCAGAAGAGATTAAATAATTATGAGTATAATTTCTATCACATGGACCCTCTGTATTCTCAAATAAATGGGAATAAAGGGTTATCTAGAAAACAGTTTCTTTAAATATTTTTTGGTTTCCTTATATATAAGACAGTCTCAATTTCCTAAAATACTCAAGATGAGAATGTATCATCTCAGAGACTGCCTGTGTAGAACTTTATATTGTATTCACAGTGTTCTTAACAAGGAGATCTCCAAGAATGTTGCTAATCTAAAAGCCTACTTGGGATCCGATAAAGGGATTTTATTTGCTGGTTATTTTCTCACTTAGATCAACTACTGAATATGAATTGACCAGTTGACAGCTATCTAGAAAACAGATAAACTTATCTAATACTGTTTTTAAGTCAATTTATAAATTTAAATTAGCTGTCTCCTAGAAGTAACTAAAATAGTCGAAGAGAGAACATCCTTCTAAACTTGGTAAATCATTTGTAAATTAAATTTTTTAACATGACTGAAACCTTTATGTTACTAAAATTTCTTTCTTTCTCCAAACTGTTGAGTAAAAATCAGACTGTATTTTCTGACAGTATTTGATGTGGCAGGTGGGGGTAGGTGTATGAAAACACTCTTTTCTCTTTTAGGGAGTAAAGCTGAGTGTAAAGTCAAGTAAGTTGTCTTTCTTTCTTTCTTTCTTTCTTTTTCCTTCTTTTTTTTTTTAGATGGAGTTTCGCTCTTGTTGCTGAGTCTGGAGTGCAATGGCGTGATCTTGGCTCACTGCAACCTCTGCCCCCCAGGTTCAAGCAATTCTCCTGCCTCAGCCTCCCTAGTAGCTGGGATTACAGGCATGTGCCACCACGTCCAGCTAATTTTTTTATATTTTTAGTAGAGACAGGGTTTCTCCATGTTGGTCAGGCTGATCTTGAACTCCTGACCTCAGGTGATCTGCCCGCCTCAGCCTCCCAAAGTGCTGGGATTACAGGCATGAGCCACCGTGCCTGGCAAAAGTATTTCTTCATAGCCTCCAACAGCTACCTTTTACAGATTCAGAGATAGAAGCCTATTTTGCTACTTCAGATTTATTTAAAAAATAAAGATACAATGTTATAAATCATAAACTGTTATTACTAGAAGGAGAGATGAGCTAGAAAGGGGTTAAGGGATGTCAAAATGTCACCGTGGAAAATGGTCGTCTGTTTTAGACATCTAGTTCAGATAACGACTCTATACTTTTCAAGATGCTGAAACCAGGTTTGTGAGTTAGTGATGACCTTTCACCTATTGCTTCTCCTGTCTGTATTACCTTCTCATCTTTAAAATAAAGTCTGCACAGGCCATGCCAGACAGGGTGACCATTTTTCCCACTGCCCTGTTGATGGAGAAGACCTAGACTGCCTCATTTTATTCCAAGACTAACGCTCCAGTCTCCTTTGTTGATTGGAAGAGATTCGAACCAAGGGCTGCCAGACCATGGGCTGGCCTATGTCCATGATCTGGGCTGGCAAACAAAGAGGAGATATGCCAACGTGTATCTATTTTGAGAGGCTGAACTCGAAAATACTCAGAGAAAGCAGGCAATAAAGTTATGCATAGAATGCATGTTGAGGAGGCCATGGGCCAAGAGGAATGACAAAAAGCATGCATTATCACAGTGCATGAGCACATAGAAGGCGAGAGTCTGTAAAATGAAAATAAAAATAAGACCAGCTCAAAGTCCTGCTATTAAAAGTAAATTATTGTATGTAAAATATTTCCAACCGTGCCTGGCACACCACCAGCCCGATGCACGTGGGTGCTCCCTTCCTGGTGTTGATAGCCTTCCTGTGGTGGTCATTACCTTCTCTCTCCGTCTCTGAAGGAGGGACCCTCTGCAGCACTCAATGATGCCTGTGAGGGAAGGACCCCAGGCACTCTCTGTCCACACGTTCTCGTCACCATTGCCCTTGGGTGACAGCTGACCCCTGTGGATGTCGGGGTCGCCCCAGCAGCTTCCTCCCAGGATCCTGGCAGGAAGTCAGGACGATTCTTTTCTGCTGTAAGATCCTCAGCATTACCTGGGGTGTCCTATCACGTGGCTCTCCCAAGGGTTTCTTGATAGCTGTGGATTGGTCAAGGCCAGGAACCCCTGGGGGTCCCTTTTGTACATCTTTCTGCTTTCACTCTTTAGTTTGCCTACTTCCTGGAGATGATCTGGCATGAGCTCTGATTTGTTGAAATGGGACTTACTCTGACTTTGTATTTCAAGCTCTTGTCTGCTCTAGGGCTAACATGAACCCTCCATGCTGCTAGTTCTCTGGGCTCTGACCATGGCCAAATTAGCTAAAGGATAACTAGAAGCTATTGCTCAATATAGAACACAGCTCTTATCTTTCAAGATGCATCTGCCTACACATTTGGCCATACATTTTTATATTTTGGAAGATATTTATATGTTCATTTTAAGAGTATTTTTGTTTAATCATAAATACCACACTAACATCAATTGCAATGATTTATATTAAAGTTAACATTTAATTGATTAGTTAATAAATACATATAATTGAATATTTTTATCCATGAACCTCGTTAGTTATTTGAAGCACTGCTTAATTCTCCCTGTTAATAATTTACTGAGGAATTTTACACTGATATTTGCAGTGAGGTTGTTCTGTTGGTTGTTGCGGTGATGGTCAGGGTGTGTGTGTGTGTGTGTGTGTGTGTGTGTGTCCTTGACAGGTTCTGGTATCACAATTATGTTGGTTTTATAAAAAGAATCATGATGTCTTTTGTTTCCTTGCCATAATACAGTCCACTTTAACTGGAACCTCAATTACATAATTTGTAAGGCCATATATCTTTTCATCTCCCCTTCCTGTCACTCCGGTCAGTTGTTTGTTGTATTCTCTCTTTCAGGGCTCCTAATGCTTGTTTTTATAAATGGGAATCACAGCACAGAAACATCTACAGCTTGAGTTATCATATCTGGGTCAAGGATGTTGAATCTGCTTTGACTCTGCTGAAAATTATTTTCACTCTATTCATGGTTTTAAATTAATCCTTTTAAGATTTATTTTCCAAATCTTTATGAGTTTCCTCAATGCCCCTCTGCTCACACAGTGGTTCTGGAATTGTTGACTCTTCTTATTCTGTCTTTAACTATACTCACTCCATTTTCCTTACTTTTTTCATGATTTTGAATGTAAAGTCATATCTGGATATTTTTAAAGAATTATGCAGGGAGGAACAGAGTGAGGCCTGCCCTAGGCCAGAGGAAATTTTAATTTAGGTATGTTGACTCAGGACAATTTCTCATGGAACCTGTTGCCTTCCTTGGTCTGGAACATGTCTCCACTTATTGTTCTGCATTCCAAGCTGCTTGGTGAGCTGGAGACACATGTGTAGTTTGTAAGGAGGCAGATTTCTGTGGGATCACTTGGCATTCAACCGTCATCAGTTTTGGTCAAGCTGACGCCCGTGTACATTCATTTGTCTTCCTGCACTCTTCCTGTTGGCTTTTCTGAGACATGGTGTACACGTGCAGTTACTCCTCTTGCCCACCTTTGGTTTCTTATCAAAAGTGTGACATGGCATTGGTCTTGTTCTTGAAGCTCATCTTTGCACACAACCAATGTGGATGATACCTTCCTGGGCTTAGCGATTTGAGCAGCTCTTTATTTTGCATGACAGTTGTAGAGATTCATGTCTGTGTTTCACACCCCTCTCTCTTAAAAGTTTTTTTTCTTCAATCTTCGTTTGCCATTCAGGTAGGTAGAGATGTTTCACACTTCCATCTTCAGCCTGAATCTCTCGACAGTTCTATATGCTCTGAGAAGACATGACTTTCTTGGACTGATTAGGAAGGTAGTCATGTGTGAAGTTTTAAGAAAGAAGAAAGTTTTGAATTAGCCTTTGGGAGTAGGATTTGTCAAGGGAAATATATAAGTGTTAACAGATAATATTATTGATAATTGTCCAGTTTAGAGTGGAGATCAGGAATTTTAAAGGCACCAATCTGTACAGTTCTGTGATTTTTCGGAATTGTTGGTGTTGCCTAGAGAAAGCAAGCACATGAAATCATCAAGGGCTGGCATTTGATGGGTAGAAGCAATGGGATGGCAACATGGCAAAATAGTTAGGTGCTCCTCAGCAGACTTATTACATGAAACACAGTGTCATTTTCCAGAGTAGGTACAACAGAGGCACCGGGTTGAATGTATACTCTCATGGGCGCATGATGTAAGCCTCAGTGAGGTCAAGCAACAGGCATAATAGGAGAGAAAGAAGAAATGATGATAAATGGTAGGCTGAGGTCAATGAATACACATGTTGGTGAGGGATTAGAGTGGTGGCAGGATTCTAAGCCAGGACACAAACATTCAGGGAGTGACTCAGCTACATGTGGTTGACTGGTGTGGTGGAGAGTGAGTCCTGGGAACTTTGAGGCTGCTTAGGACAAGAGAAACATAGGGAAAGAGAGGAAAACCAGGAGCAGAAAATCTTCAGAAAACAATGTGAGTGTGGGAAAGATTAGAAGATGATGAATAGGAATACATCAGAGGGTGCTGGGAGATGGAACCACCCCCAAAACAGGGGATAATGACTAGGAATGCATCAGAGGGTGCTGGATGGATGGAACCACCCTCAAAACGGGATAATGAATAGGAATGCATCAGAGGGTGCTGGATGGATGGAACCACCCTCAAAACAGGGGATAATGAATAGGGATGTGTCAGAGGGTGCTGGATGGATGGAACCACCCCCAAAACGGGATAATGAATAGGAATGCATCAGAGGGTGCTGCATGCATGGAACCACCCTCAAAACGGGGGATAATGAATAGGAATGCGTCAGAGGGTGCTGGATGGATGGAACCACCCCCAAAACAGGGAATAATGAATAGGAATGCATCAGAGGGTGATGGGAGATGGAACCACCCCCAAAACAGGGGATAATGGGATAATGAATAGGAATGCATCAGAGGGTGCTGGCAGGAGGGAACCACCCCGAAATAGCTGAGCTCCTAACATCAAATCGGAGGGCCATCTTCTGATAGCAGTACTAGAAATCAAAGAGAACACAAACAGTTTACTTCTCATGCAGAGAGAGGGATCAGGCTCATGAGTTTTGGTGCAGCAATTAGACTCCAGGAGTCTCCTGGTTGTTCAGGGTTGGAGGCTGGAGCCACATCACCTCAGATTCATTATACTTCCAAGGCACTCATATCCTAGGTGAATAGGGCTATGATGAAATTCATTGCATTATGGAACTGCATCCAGGGATTGGAAAATTGGTGGCGTCTGTGGGGGATTCAGGCATTTTCCTGTTTATTCTTTTTTTTCCAATGCGTCTGACTTTTGGGACATTTCTATATCATCTGCCTTTTATGTCAGTGGTGCTCAAGAAAAGAATGCTTTTTCACACACACAAAAAAAGCCTAGATCTTTTTTTAATAGCATATTGCTCCAAATTTTCAGTCTCCTAAATCTGTTCATCAGACCTCAACTAGCTGATGAATATCACTGAGTGGAACAAATGATACTTGGAATGTGTTACCTAAAAAGTTATCTCTAAAAAGTAATAAAGACCATTTTAATTGATAGCATTATGTTACCTTTAGATGATATAGAATCCTGAGTGTATTTCTTTATTAGGGAAACTTAATTTTAAAACATATTCAAACCAGAAAATACATCTTTTATTATTATAATTATTAATCTACATTGATTCAAATTTCAAAAAAAGTACCAAAATCCAATTTACCAATAATCAAATTTCACAACAAATGATTAGCATGAATATTATCTGTTTTTCCCACATAGATTCACTTTATAAGTAGTAATGTGGGCATCATTTTCCTTAACAGAGAAGACTTCAGGAGATTTACAAAGGGGATGTGAAGATTTTTTGCCGTCTTATTCTTCTATGTAATGAAAGTCCTACCAAGAGTCTTCACTGAGAATTAGGGAGCAAACATTTACTTTTTCCCCAAAGTCCGTAGGAAATGGAATATCTGTCTAAAATGTTTCCCTATTCCTAGCTCGTCTGTGTTACACAAGGCCCCATTTTATGCACTGAGAGAGAATGTGAGCTGCAGGTACATTTTTTCCTAGTGTAGATATCAAAGTATTTAACTATTTATGAAATAATGCAAATTACTCTTTCCTACTCACCCACTTTAAGGTTGCATTGCTGCTCCGCCAGGTGCCACCCAAGCCTGGTTGTGAAGTTGATGAATCATGTGGTCACATAACCTGTCAAATCGGTTTATGAAGTCACCTCATGTAATGAAATGTGACCCACTGGAGTACATCAATTACTGGAAAGGCTTATTGTGGTGGACACTGGTAGAATGTGTGGTTTTCCCATTAGACATCTCTAATTAGTACTGAGAGGGTCAGGTTTCATGTCCACAAGGAAAAACTAGAGCTAGTGTAATTATAAAATAGAGAAAGGAATTCCAATAAAAACTAGTGAACCACAAATCAGACAAAAATTACATATATGAATGTACACACACTCTCACAAGTGTGATTCTCTATTCCAGATCCCTGTGGTTGTCAGGGAGCGGACTCTCAGGCTGCAGAGCCATCTCTGTGTCACAGGCCATGTGGATGATCCCATGGGGTGCAGAGATTTGCGTCTCCCTCACTCATGACACACTGGTCCCTGCAACATGTCGCACCTCAACTTCTGGACACCCTGAAGCCCTTCACGACGTGTGTTCTGCACAAGGAAACTGCTGATGAAAGTAAAAATTCCACATCCAAACGGCCACTCAAACCAAGCGTAGGCACGCGGTACCTTACAAGAGCTGTGAGATATCCTTCTCTCTGCTTTAAGTGTCTCTGAATCCAAAGAGAACATTTAAGGAGACTACAGACTGATTCCCTGTGTCCTTCAAGTTACCTTCATTCTGTTGTAAAACCTATGGCCTCTTTATCCACTGACAGAAACCCTAAGGACAACCCAGGTATTTCTAGAAAGTCTGTGGTTCCTAAGTGAGGATGAAAGGAAGAGGTTGTGAAAGGTGAGGGCCAGCCTGCGGCTGTTGTTCAGAGACCCTACTCAAGGCCACCACGTTCTGGAGCGCCCTCCCCATTCAAAAACAGCCCATGCACACGACTATGCACTAGCTTGTCTCAGTGCCTGGAATTTTCCCCAGATAAAGAGATGCTTTGCAATTGCAAATGCTTTCCTGAGGGAGTGGCAGCCAGGCAGAGGGGGAACGGCAGCCTTTGTGTCTGAAAAGCAAAGTTTTAACTGGAACTTCACTTCCAATTACCTGATGATGAAAAATAAACACAATGAAATACTTAAGTATAAATCAAACCAAACATGTAAAAGGTCTGAGTGCTGAAAATTATAAAACACTGATGAAGTCTAAGATCTAAATAAATACGAAACATGCAGGGTCCATAAACTGGAAGACTCAACATATTAAAGACGTGAATTTTCCCTAAATTTATCTACAGGTTTAATGCAATGCCTATCGAAACTCCAGCAAGAACTTTTTTGTAGAGATAGATAAGCTTATTCTGGACTTTGCATAGAAAGGCAAAAGGCCTAGAACAATTAAAACTAAAGCAATTTTGAAAATTTTCACCTGCACTAGGTGAAGAATTCTTAGATGTGACAGTAACAGCATGATCCATACATTAAAAATTTGCTAAATTGAACTTCTTCAAAATTAAAATATGTTTGTTCTCCAAACAACCATAAAAAGGATGAAAAAACAAGTAACAGCTTGGAGAAAATACTTGTGAACAACAAATTTGTCAACGAATTTGTAAGTAGAATATATAAAGAACTTAAAGAACTCTCAAAACTCTGAAGTATAAAACAACAACAGTAACAGCACACCACCCAATTAGAAACTTGGCAATAGGTACAAACAACCATTTCGCTACAGAGGGTGTGAAAAGATGCCCAATATCTTTAGCCATGAAGGAAATATAAATTAGAATCACTCTGAAATACTAGGACACATCTGCCAGCAAGGTGAAAATACCCACTGCTGGTGAAGCTGCAGGGCCACTAGCTCACTCCTACACTGCTTTTGGAAATGGAAAGTGACAAAGCCATTCCGGAAAACAGTTTGTCAGATTTTTAAATAAAAAATGCTTGTTATACAACCCAGCATTTGCACTTTTGGACATTTGTTTTAAAGAAAGGAAACCTGTTAGTGACACAGAAATCTAGTCATGAATGGTCATAGCAGCTTTACTCAGAATAGCCCTCAACCAGAAACAACCAAGTTGTCTTTCAGTGACTGAATGGTTAAGCAAAGCATAGGCCATCCATACCATGGAAAACTACTCAGCAATGAAAAGGAAGAAACCTCTGATGCTTGTAACAACTAATATCCAGGGAATTATGCTTAGTGAAAAAGCCAATCTCAAATTGTATATGCCACATGAGCCCATTTATATAATTTTGTTGGAATAAGAAAGATACAGAGATTGAGAACACATAAGTAGTTGCAGGGAACTGGGATGGAGATATAACTGGCTGCAGAGGGAGATCCTCTAAAACACGGGTCCCCCACCCCCGGGGCTATGGAGCTGTACTGATCTGTGGCCTATTGGGAACTGACTGAGCAGCAGGTGAGTGAGCATTCCTGCCTGAACTCCACCTCCCGTCTGATCAGCCATGGCATTCGATTCTCACAGGAGCACACGCCCTATTGTGAACTGTGCATGTGAGGGATCTATGTTGCACATTCCTTATGAGAATCTAACTAATGCCTGATGATATGAGGTGGAACAGTTTCATCTCAAAAAACCATCTCCACCACCCCTGTCCATAGAAAAACCATCTTCCACATATCCAGTCCCTGGTGCCAAGAAGCTTGGGGACCACTGGTCTAAAGCAATGACTCATCTGTCTACTGATGGTGGTGGTTCTAACACTCAGGATCAAATTGCATGTAACTGCACACGCACACACACATCACACACATACAAATATATGCATGAAAAACTGGTAACAACTGAATAAAGACTGTAGTCCAGTTAACCATATTGTGCCAATGCCAGTTTCCCAGCTTTGATCTTATTCCAGATTAATGTAAGATGTCCTTATTGGGAGAAACTGGGTGAATGGCTCAAGGGACTTCATAGACTGTTTTTGAGATGTCCTGTGGGTCTATAATTATTAAAAAACAAAATGTTAAAAAGTAAATATAGCAAAAAGTAACAAGCCAAATGGTTATTCAAATACAAAGAACACATGCATATATTTTAACTTTAGTAATTCAAGGGATAGAGATTGCAAGAGTTTTTTAAATAAAATACATATTTGCTAATTCCCACTTGCCAATAAATAAGTAAAAAAATTGGAGAAAAGATGAATCAACTTAAACATAAAACTAAAGAAAGAGCATCATGGAAATTATGGTTATAGAACAGAAATAATTATTAAATATGACAATGGAGAAATAGGAATATAAGTAATAAGGTCAGAAGATATAGTAGGGAAGGATTATCTTAATCACAATTTAAGATTTTAGTTATTTTATATTTCAATGGAATCGATTTTGGGCTAAGTATAAATAAGATTCATATTAATCTTTCAGTTACTCTTGTTGTTTGAGAACCTTTAAAGAGCATTTGGATTTTCTAATTTTGTTGATGGGTTTCTTTGCTGTGCAGAAGCGTTTTAGTTTCATTTCAGATCATTTTTCCAGGTTTGCTCTTGTTGCCTGTGGTTTTGGTGTGATATCCAAAAAATTATTTCCAAGGTCAATATCAGGAAGCTTTTCCCTTAGGCTTTCTTTCAGGAATTGTATGGTTTCAAGTCTTATATTCAGGTTTTAAATTCACTTTTGATTTGACATTAGTGTATGGTGTAAGGTAAGGGGTTAACTTACTTCTTTTGCCTACGAATATCCAGTTTTCCCAACACCATTGCTGAAGAGATTATCCTTTCCTTACTTACGGTGTCTTCTAGGTGCCTTTGTAAAAATCAGCTAACTATACATGCTTGGATTTATTTCTGGGTTCTCTACTCTGTTTCACTGGTCCATGTGTTGTTTTTATGCTCACCATATTGTTCTGATTATCATAGCTCTGTAATGCAACTTGAAATCAGTAAGTGTGATGTATGATGCCTCCAACTTTTTTTTCCTGTCAAGATTATTTTATCTATTCAGAGTCTTTTGTGGCTCCATAAAAATTTTAGCACTGTCCTTTTATATTTGTAAAAAAATGCTATTAAGATTTTGATAGGGATTGCACTGAATCTGTATATTGCTATGGCTTTATGGTCATTTTAACAATATTAATTTTTCTAAATTATAAACATGATCTATCTTTTCATTTATTTGTAACTTCAATTTATTTCATCAATGTTTCATAGTTTTCAGTGTAAATTTTTTTTAATTTGGTTAAATTTATTTCTAAGTATTTTATTCTTTTTTGATGCTATTATAAATGGAATTGTTTCCTTTATTTTTTCTCAGATATATTTTTATCAGTGTAATTAAATGCAACTGATTTTTTTATATTGGTTTTGTATCCTGCTACCTTACTGGACTTATTTACTAGTTCTAACAGTTTGTGTATGTGTGTGCATGTGTGTGTGTGTGTGTGTATGGAGTCTTTAAAGTTTTCTAGCTATAGAATCATGAAATCTTTAAACAGGCCTAATTTTACTTCTTTTTTTTCTAGATGCCTTTTATTTATTTATTTATTTACTTATTTATTTTTTGTCTGAGTGTTCTTTCTAGTACTTCTGGTACTATGTTAAAAAGAAGTGAAAAAGTCTTTTCCTTGTATCAGATCATAGAGGAAATGATTTCAGTTTTTCCCAATTTTTTATGCTGTTAGCAATAAGCTCTATATAAATGGCCTTTATTATGTCAAGAAAATTGTCATATACATTTTTTAGAGTTTTTATTATAAAAAGTTGTTAAATTTTGTCATTCTTTTTTCTGCATCTGTTGACATTATGTGATTTTTGTCTTTATTCTTCTAATATGATGTATCACATTGATTGATTTGCATAGTTAAACCAACCTTGCATGCCAGAGATAAATCCTACTTGTCATGGTATATAATCTAGCTATAGATTGGAAGAAAGTATTTGTAAACCATGTATCTGTTAAGAGGTTAACATTCAAAATTAATAAGGAACTCACAAAACTCAATAGCAAAAATAAAACATAATCCAATTTAAAAAATGGACAAAGGACCTGAATTGACATTTTTCGAAAGAAGAAATAAAAATGGTCAAGTATGTGAGGAAGTGCTCAACATCACTAATAATCAGGACAATGCAAATTAAATTAAAATCACAATAGATATCATTTCACTGTTAACATGGCTACTGTAAAAAGGAGAAGAGACAACAAGTGTATGGAGAGGGTGTGGAGAAGAGAAAACACACGGTTGGGAATGTAAATTGGAATGGCCATTATATAAGGAAACAGTATAGAAGCTCCTTAATTTTTCTTTTAGGGCTATGATGTTATCCAGCAATTCTTCTGGTTACATATCCAGGGAAAAGGAAATCAGCCCCCCTTGAGGATATCTGCACTCCTGTGTTCATGGTAGCATTATTCACAGTGGTCAAGATATAGAATCAGCATAAGTGTCCATAGGCAGATGAATGAATGAAGAAATTTAGGGTATATATAAAAAAAATATTCAGTTTAAAAGAAGACAGAAATACTGCCATTTATATAATGTTGGATCTTAGAATACTTTCAGTTTCACATTTTGTGCCTCCTAACACTCCACCAAAAATATCCTTGATGTGTTTTCATCTTTAAGGGTATATCTAATCAATTTACAATATATACCTTGTATTCTGGAATTAAGTTTGAGCTCAGCATAACAAAAAATGAAATTATGTTCTTTGCAGCAACATGGATATAGCTAGAGGCCGTTATCCTAAGTAACTTAACAAAGGAACAGAAAACCAAACACTGCATGTTCTCACTTATAAGAGGGAGGTAACCATTGGGCATTCAGAGCTGTAAAGATGGGAATAAGGTACACTGGGGACTACTGGATGGGGGAGGGAGGGAGCGGGGAAAGGGGTGAAAAACTAACTCTTAGGTACTTATCAGTAGCTGAGTCACCGGTTTATTTGTACCCCAAGCCTCAGCATCACACAGTATACCCAGGTAACAAACCTGCATATGTATCCCCTGAATCTAAAATAAAGGCTGAAAAAAATCTTTGGGCTCAGCAAAAAGTACTACATATATAATAAAATCTACTACTCACCTATGGGAAGGGCAAACATGCCTTGATATCTCCCATTTGCCCACATTAGAAAAATCCAATTCTCAGGTAATTTAAGGGAGGAACCCAGAGTCATTTGGTTAAGTAAAGGCAGAGCATGAGCTAGCCCCTTAACTTCAGGACTAATGTCATCTCTGTTTTTATGTCATGTAATATCCAACTTTTCTATTGGGTCCTTTTGTCCCCTTTAACATCATTCTGGTTGATTCTGCGATCATCATCATCATCACCATCATCTTCTTCATCACCACCACCACCACCATCATTATCATCATTATCATCTGTCAACACTTTCTCTGAAGAACCTTACAATGTCTCTTCTCCATTAAGAAAACCTACTTCAACATCTCCATTGGTTCTCAACATAGAGGTATCATTTACCCTTCCAAATTTCTTTCTGAAAATATTTCCTCAGGAATATAGGAAAAGAAATATGAAAAAAGCAACATAAAATCAACTGAGGCATGGATGAAAGTGCATATAGATAAATCTCTTTGTCTAGTTGAAATACTGTCTTACGATATTGACAGGAAGGATGCTTCCACAAATTTTGGCAAACTAGAAATGGAAAAAAGTTTGAGATGGATGTTAAAGTGTTATTTGGTTGTGTGTTATATTGGGACACAGTTAGAGGTAAAAGCAATGCTGATACTTAAGATTTAAATACTATCTTATTAAATGTTGTTGCTTAAAAAGGTGACTCATATTTAAAAAAATGTTTTTTCACTATTTTCTGCATTTGTGCACATAGATATTCTCCCTTACTCTTCTACAAAAGTCACCCATATTCTCTTTGTATTATCTTACCTTGCTTTGTCTTTAGAGAAATTCAGATTGTAGTATATATTTAATTTTTTATTGTTTGTTTTTCCAGTAAAGGGAAGCACCATGATGACAAGAAATTTGCTTTATTCATATTGTTTGCACAATAATATAAATACTAGACTCAATTTACAATTCAATTCTTTTTTGGTGTTGGTTTCTGTTCCTCACAATTTATCATTAAAAAGCAAATATATACATAAAGACATATACATAAGCAAAAACAAGCAACAAACATATACATAAGTGAAAAACAACAAAACCTCACAACATCACAATTACCTTAATCACTGCTTTCCTCTGGTTTATAGCCAAGGGTGAAAGAAGTCCCACACACCCTCACACACACACCAAATGTGGACGTGATAATCTCAAAGAGCATCTGAAAATACTGATTTATTGTTTTACTCTTTAAAATGACATAAACATTTTTAAGTCGTACACTCAAAGCAAACAAAAATGCACATGATATAGATATATAATCTAATCAGTTCTATCATTTATATTCTTTAAAATTCTTTATTTTCAAAGATGTTTAAAATACACCCCAAGAAAACCAACAATCATGAGATTCTTGATTGGGAATCAAGAATCATATGGAAAATGGGAAATCATAAGCAGTACAAATAGTTACATGGAATTATTGATGTATATAGGCTATGAGATACTCCTGCATTCCCTTTAATAAATGGAAAATATTTAAAATTGGTATTTTATCATGGAGATTATGTTTTAATCAGCCTCAAATCAAAGATGAACTGTCATAAGTAGCCTGTGGATAAGAATCAAATAAATATTGGCATGTTTTGCAGAGAATAACATTTGGGAAACAATCCCTTTAGAATGATTGGTCAGCTTCAAGAGCAGGAAAATATGCTAGGGTCATGTGCCATGTGACACTTTTAGGAAGGACTGCCTGCCATTGTGTTCAGTAAAAGCTATTTGACCCTTTTAAAATTAGGAAGGGATCACAGTAAAGGAGAAAACAAAGGCAAGGTTTGGATCACAATGGGTGGTTTCACGGAGAGGCTGATAAACTCAAAGGCACGCCAGCAGCCCCTCATTTGTCAGGCCTTACGTCACTTAAAGTTATGGCTGATTCATTAGGTGTCCTCTGAGCCACCAGGTAGACTGTCATAGGAAACCCACAGTAGATTTCTGCAATGCAATCATTAAAAAGATGCATGGGCCCCCATGTTCCCTGCTAACTTTCTTGGTTGAAGTCCAGTGACTTACAACTTTCATTCTTCTAGGTAGCAGGGATATTTGTCAGCTGTTATGACTGGACTTCCAGAGTTACTCAATTTACAGTATCTATAGTGGAGTGAAAATGAATGAACATCTGTACATTTGCTCAGATACTATGTCAGGCAATACAAAATTAGCTGTCATAACAAGTCCATAAAGCCTTAACACACTATTTATCTTGCTCAGTTTATAAAGTACATAAACTATGGTAACCTGATCTGAGCGGGCTGTCTTTGGAGGACAGCGTGATCCGGTAGCAATGAGAATCTCCTATGGATTTGACCCTGCTGAGAAGTTTTCTTCACCCATATGTTCTGTCCTTTGATTTGCATGCTTAACTCTAGGAAATACGGCCATCTCTTTAGTTTTCCCCTTGATTCTTTTATCTTCTTTTAAAAATTCATTTTAAAAAAGGGTTGGAAGTCTCTCTTTTTATTTAAATCTCAACCCTGATTATATTCAGATTAAGAACTGTTTTAATGGAAAAGTATGAGAATGAATGAAACCACCCTTCCAAAGTAGTTTATAAAGAGTGAGAAGTCAAGAATTTAAAAGTCCCTCCCCCGCACACCTTTTTTTTTTTTTTTTTTTTTTGAGATGGAATCTCTCTGTTGCCAAGGCTGGAATGTGCAGTGACATGATCTTGGCTCACTGAAACCTCTGCCTCCCAGGTTCAAGCGATTCTCTGGCTGCAGCCTCCCCAGTAGCTGAGACTGCAGGTGTGCGCCACCACACCAGGCTAATTTTTGTATTTTTAGTAGAGACAGCGTTTCACCATGTTGGCCAGGCTGGTCTTGAACTCCTGATCTCAGGTGATCTGCCCGCCTTGGCCACCCAAAGTGCTGGGAATTCAGGCATGAGCCACCACGCCCAGCAAAAAGGCTCCTTCTTTGATGGGACCACTACAATTTAAAAATCATTAGAAAAATGTTCCTATCTGCTTCAAATGAAGGAATAAGGTGATGTGCATTCTTGAGCTACTATTGGACTGTCTCATTGTTGACTCTTGTTAGTTTCAGAATTTCCAGCCCAGAGCCCATAGATGTGAGAACTTTTTTAAACTATAGAGGCTAAAAATCTAAAACTTTAGATTTAGTATGGAGAGATTTAGACCAGTGGCTTCACAGTACGATGTGAATATCACTTGAATTGCAGGATCTACTGGGCTCCAGGAAAAAAATTCTACAACTTTTTCTGTATTTATTTTAATCTCAAAAATGAGTATGCATACTTAATATGTGGGTTGACCTTGGGCCCATCCTTTGTCAAGGTCAGATGATGGTCTACAATTAATGGTACTCAGGTATCCCAAGCATGGTAGGGTTATACCACTAACAAGATGCTGGCTGCTTTAGTTGTTCTGCATATATCATATTGTGACTTAGTGCAGCTCAGCGGTGTCCATATACAAGGAAAATTTGTTTTCAAAAGTCCTGCAAACGTTGGAGCTTGAAGAAATTCCTAATACGCTATGCATGAAAAAGCTACAAGAAAATGTCTTTGAATGGGCCTATTGTCAACCATGTTACAACAAAATGGTGCCTTAATTATGATTATGAAGAAGGTGACCCCAGCATAATATGAAATTATCAAGTAAATTATTTGAAATGTAAATATCATTGCCACTATTTTTAACATTAATTCTTACCCTTTATGAAGATTATGCCTTGAAAAATGAACTATTGACTGTGTGAAACCATCTCAATTGGCAAAACAATTCAAAATTAAGCATCTGCAACATGATGATAGCACACCTCTACCAATCTTCAGGCAGCTAAACATTATTACTTCATGGAGGCCTTGGCTGAAGTTTATTAATCTAGTTGGGGGAGGCTGCCTTGCGCAGAGGGACAAAAGGAAAAAAAGGTTTAGTTACCATATCATTGTCTTTGCATTGACAAAAATTTACAAATTGGGATAATTTTTCCCATATTGGATGATAATATGACAAAAATTTACAAACTGAGATAATTTCTCCCATATTGGATAATAATATGGGTATCTTAAACAGATTTTAGATTGCAATATTTGTTTCAGTAATGCAGTTCTTAAAGATGTACTCATGTGTATGCCTGGGTGTAAACCTCAGATAACTCAAAAGTTGATACATGCAACACCAGCAGTCTTCTTTAACCAAAACATAGTATCAAACGAAAACAACAAGTACAATAAAAACTTACAAAATTGTAAGTGTAATCACTGATGAAGTGGCTACATTTCCTAGAATTGGGACAGGGTGTTGGAGGTGAGGGGGAAGCCAAAAATAAAAGAAGAGAAAGAAAAAAGATTCCCAACTAAAATTATCAAGATAGGACCATATGTGAAATTTATCTGCTACATCATTTATAGACAAGCTCTGACCAGTTAAAATATTGAAGACAGAAGTGCCCAAGTGCACAGGGTATCTTCAATATAGTTAATTTATTTTGTAAAAGAGATACCATGAAAGGTTTGCAAAATGTTTAATAAAAGGAAAGTTGTAATGAAAATCTTTTCTAACACAAAGTATCTATGATGCTTAAATACATGGGACATTTTTAACTTAGGAGTTAAATGTATAGATGAGGGATACAGTTTTCTTCTATAAAAGGCAAATGTTGCAGCTTTGCCAGTTAGCTCTGAGATGGGAGCAGGCTGCCAGCTTGGCTAACTGGGCAGATATTTTTAAATAAATTGGAATGCTTGGTTTAAAGTGGTGGCAACTTTTAAAATGAAATTGTAGTGAAAAAAGCAGTGACTGATTTTAAAGAGAAATGTTTTCTACGACGAGCGAACATTTGAAAAACACATAATAGCTGATTTTCATTGTGTAATTTGTTACAAAAAATGATGTAAATCTGTCACCTTTAAAAATTCCTCTAACTGAACAATTCAACTTGGGGAAAAATCTAATTATTTAAAAGTCTTTCACATGAGGATCAACAAAATATTGGACATCTTCTGGTAATATTTAATTTTAGAAGACTATTCTATTTCCTTGCAATAATAATTGAATGACATAGGAAAGAAGGAAAATATTAGGCAAATTTAACAAACACTCGTATAATTGGTATGTGAGATTGAACAATTTATTCTTCTTCTTTGCGTGCTTGCTGTTAGAATGTAGCCGTAAACAAACCTCTTTCATGTGAACCACTCATCTCTCAAAGTGACATTGGCCAGCCCCGGAGAGACACTGAAGTCATGAATCAAAATAAAGAAAACCTAGAAGCCAACTTTCAAATGACTAAATCACAAAACATAAAATCAGGAGTTTGAAAAAGTGTATTCAATTATATTATTCATCTAAAAATATAATCATCACATATTACATATTTTCATGTGGAAAAAACATTTCTACTATTGATAAATAAAATTATTTTAAAATATATTTTTTGTTTAATTTCTATGAAATGCAGGTGATGTGAGTATTCATACAATAGTGCATGTTTACGTTTGGAGATCATTTTCATATATAGGAAAAAATTTAGAGTTTTGTCAATATTCATTTCATTGGTTACATAGGTAATTAACCAACTAAGTCTTACATTATTCTTTAAAATTTGAACAATCAAAATAAAATTCAACTGATGCTAAATTTTATGCTTTTCTTTATAATCAAAATAGTTATTGGATGGAGATAATTGGTTTAATTGATACAGTGCTTGAACTTTCATTTTATGATTCTGAATAACATGCATCATCAAATAATATTTATTTTTTATACAACTTGAAACTCTATTTTCTCTTTGTTATTTAGAAATCTCTCCCTTTCTCTATGTGTCTGTCTGTCCTCTCCTTTCTCTTATTATGCTACAGTTGTGTTGCTAAGTATTCAAAACTCTTACCATGAAGGCAGTGATTTAAAAGGGAAAGAAAATAGAGAAGACAGTTTAAAACAGGGGTTTGTTTCAGTTTAAAACAGGGGTTTGTTTCAGTGTTTGTATCTAACAGGTTGCTATTCTTAGTGTGTTAGATGGGTCTGTTTCGGTGTTTGTATCTTACGGGTTGTTATTAGTGTGTGAGATGGGTCTGTTTGTTTCAGTGTTTGTATCTAGCAGGTTATTATTATTGTGTTAGATGGGTCGTTTGTTTCGGTGTTTGTATCTAACAGGTTGTTTTTATTATTGTGTTAGGATGGGTCTGTTTGTTTTGGTGTTTGTTTCTAACGGGTTTTTATTATTGTGTTAGGTGGGTCTGTTTGTTTTGGTGTTTGTTTCTAACAGGTTGTTATTATGGTGTTAGGATGGGTCTGTTTGTTTTGGTGTTTGTTTCTAATGGGTTGTTTTTATTATTGTGTTAGGATGGGTCTGTTTGTTTTGGTGTTTGTTTCTAACAGGTTGTTTTTATTATTGTGTTAGGATGGATCTGTTTGTTTTGGTGTTTGTTTCTAAGGGGTTGTTATTATTGTGTTAGGTGGGTCTGTTTGTTTTGGTGTTTGTATCTAACGGGTTATTATTATTGTGTTAGATGGGTCTGTTTGTTTCCGTGTTTGTATCTAAGGGGTTGTTATTATTGTGTTAGATGGGTCTGTTTGTTTCCGTGTTTGTATCTAAGGGTTGTTATTATTGTGTTAGATGGGTCTGTTTGTTTCCATGTTTGTATCTAATGGGTTGTTATTATTATTGTGTTAGATGGGTCTGTTTGTTTTGGTGTTTGTATCTAACAGGTTGTTTTTATTGTGTTAGATGGTATCTAACGGGTTGTTATTATTGTGTTAGATGGGTCTGTTTGTTTCGGTGTTTGTATCTAATGGGTTGTTACTATTAGTGTGTTAGATGGGTCTGTCTGTTTCGGTGGTTGTATCTAATGGGTTGTTACTATTAGTGTGTTAGATGGGTCTGTCTCTGTGTTTGTATCTAATGGGTTGTTACTATTAGTGTGTTAGATGGGTCTGTCTGTTTTGGTGTTTGTATCTAACGGGTTGTTACTATTAGTGTGTTAGATGGGTCTGTTTGTTTCACTGTTTGTATCTAACAGGTTGTTGTTATTATTGTGTTAGATGGGTCTGCTTGTTTTGGTGTTTGTATCTAATGGATTGTTTTTCTTATTGTGTTAGGTGGGTCTGTTTGTTTCAGTGTTTGTATCTAACCGGTTGTTTTTATTATTGTGTTACATGGGTCTGTTTGTTTCGCTGTTTGTATCTAATGGGTTGTTTTTATTATTGTGTTAGATGGGTCTGTTTCGGTGTTTGTATCTAACAGGTTGTTTTCATTATTGTGTTAGATGGGTGCTACTTCTTTTTCACTGCCTTAGTTCTTCAGTTTCCTCTTCTGTAACTTGAACATGGCATGAAAGGTAGAGGAAGTCATATATGCATATAGTGCCTGGCACATAGCACATACAGAATGTACATTAGTCTGTATTATTTTATTTCAAATGATATGAAGAGTAGTTTTTTGTGCAATGCACCACAGATTTTCTAATTAAAGAGAGCTACCTGTGTGTGTGTGTGTGTGTGTGTGCCCATGTGCACTTTGAAAACTTCTTTTCTTGAATTGTTACTACCATCCAAGGAGTTCAGAATTATTATATCCATTTTGCAGATGCCAAAAGTGAAGGTCAGAGAGGAAAACCAATTCAAGTAACTCAGCCAAGGCCCCAGAAGTAATAAGGAATAGTAAGGACTTGAACCCAGCTCTTTAGCCTAGAGCCTGGCTCTTAACAATCACACACACACAGCCTTCAATAATGTCGCTTCCAGAGCCTGGCAGAAATTAAAATGGCACACTTGAAGTTATTGAGCATATTCACATACTCTGGAAAATACTTTATAAACTGCCTGTAGGGGAGTTTTTCTGCAGGTAATTAGATCACTAATTATTTTCTAAAAAGTTTTGCTTATATGACATAAACCAAGAGAGTATGCATCAGAGAAGGTGGGGTACATGAATTAGATCATTCAGTTTTTCTTTCTCATCTTGATTTACTCATTTTTATGTAAATTTTAGTAGTAAAGAAGTACTCTTTGGATAATAGTTCTACAAATAAATATTCAACAATCACTAAGTACTAAATAAATAAGTAATTGATGAACAAGTTATTATTTTTCACTTGGTTTCCTCATTTACTTTGGTATTATTTTAGGGAGATTTAACTTAAAAATAGCCTTATCATATAAGTATAGAAACAATGCAAAATAATGTTGAAGGTAAAATTAAAACCAGCCTTAAGACTACTGCATATGGCTCATTAATTTAATAGCTTGAGGGATTTCTTCTAGATCTTTTTTCCCACATAGTTTTATAATCTTGATGTCATATTTTATGTAATTTTTCACATGAGTTTTCCATGAAGCTGTAACATGATGATCTTTTTATTTTATTAGATTCTCTTAATTTAAAGGATCCAACGCAATGACCAATCTCCAATTGTCAAATATTGAGTGTGAGTGTCCACTCTTTACTATTGTAAATAATTCTTCTATAAGCAATTTTAATGCTTAAAATTCCACTTAATTGTTTTATTTCTAATTCTTTCGTTCTTTTTTCTTTAATTATGTTTTGCAGAGACAGGATCTCCCTATGTTGCCCAGGCTGGTCTCTAACTCTTGGGCTCAAGCAGTCCTTCCACCTTACCTCCCAAGTAGCTGGGACTACAGGTGTGAGCCACCGCACTTGGCCTAATTGTTTCTTGAGAACCATAAAAGAAAAAGGTGTACAGCTTCGAATGACCTGAGTCATTTTGGATGAGCTTGATACACATTAACACATTGGTTTTTACATGGGTTGTAATCTTCCTCAGATAGTGCTTTTGTTTTAAGTCTTTCTTAACTTTCATAAGAATTCTGATGCTTCTTCATTGATTTGATTTGAGATTAGAACTTGGCATAGCTAACATCAGACACTATTTAGGTCATTTTGTTTTAAAGCAAAACATCAAAAACAGACTCAGATCTCATCCCTAACAGCCACACAAGCTAGACTAAAGAGCGCCTGGGAAACCTCTTCTCCATGACCCATTTGGTGATCACAGAATAGATCATGGTCAAACTGCATTCCTTCTGATCCACAGAAAACCCATCTTTACCCACACCAGTTCCTGAAGAACTCATATTCCTCCACTTGTTTTAATCCCAGCACTTTGGGAGGCTGAGGCAGGTGGATCACCTGAGGTCAGGGGTTCGAGACCAGCCTGACCAACATGGTGAAACCCCATATCTACTAAAAATACAAAAATTAGCCAGGCATAGTGGCACATGCCTGTAATCTCAGCTACTCAGGGGGCTGAGGCAGAAGAATCACTTGAACCTGGGAGGTGGAGGTTGCAGTGAGCCGACATCGTGTCATTGCATTCCAGCCTGGGCAACAATAGTGAAACTCCATCTCAAAATAAATAAATAAGTAAATAAATAAAGAATGAGCTTTTTGTTTTATTTTCTCTATTGCTTTCCTGTTATCAATTTTGCTGATTTTTATATTTATCTTCATTTTATCATTACTTGAACTCACTTTAAATTTAATTTGCTATTCCTTTTCTTTCTTTCTAAGGTAGATATTATTGATTTGACATATTTCCTGTTTTCAGTGTAAGAATTTTAATCCTATAAATGTTCCTCTTATCACTGCTTTAGCTGTGTACCACGTATGTTTATATGTAATTGATCTTTCTTCTTTTCTTTTACATTGTCATCTAACTCAAAATATTTTCTAATTTTACTTCTGATTGCTTATTTGACCCCTGGGTTACACAGAAGTGTGTTTTTTTAATTTCCAAGTGTTTGGGAATTTTAAAATGCTATAATTGATTTTAAGTTTAATTTCACTGTGGGCAGAGACTACACTTTGATTGCATTTTTTTAATGTGTTGAGATTTGCTTTATAGTCTAGAATATTGTATGTCTTAATAAATGTTTCACATGTACTTTAACAGAATCTGTCTTTTGCTAGTTTGAGTGGAGTGCTGTAAGTGTTCTATGAATATCAGCTAGGTCACATAGCGTTTTTTTATGTCTTCTAGATCCTTATTAATTTTCTGTCTGTGATCTATTGATTATTAAGGAGGGAATGCAGAATTCTATTATAATTTTAAAGTTTTCTATTTGTTTCAGTTCTGTACATTTTTCTTTTATTATTTTGAAGCTCTGATATTTAAGTCTCATATATTTGGATGCAAAATTAGTCTTTAGCAATATATTCCTTTTTAATTATGAAATGTCTTTATTTCTTGTTTTAAAATTTACTTTGAGATTAATGTAACCACTTCAGCTTTCTTTTGCTTAGTGTATGCATTATATATATATGCTATTTATTTTTGATACTATCTTTAAAAAATTCAAATTGCTTTTTTCATAACAATCTTTGCCTTTTTGTCTGTTCAAGTCATTTGCATTTAATGTACATATTAACATGACAATTTAAATATATGTTTGCTATTTAATTTTTCTTGTCCCCTTGCTCTTTTTTTCTTCTTTTCCTTCCCTTTTTGTACTAAATGAATAGTTTCACTTTATCTCCATGGTTGACTTATTTGTTTTATCTCCAATGGAGAACCATCCTTAATTCCACTTGTTTCTGGGCCTTTATACCTGAGTCTTTCTCCTCCTCTTTGTTATTCTTTCCATCCACTTGTATTCTCCTGGGATCTACCATTTGTAAGCTCTGGAGGAGATGTTTCATGCTCACCCACAAGAGAGGGATGTAGGCTTCCTCAGGCTTTCTCCCTGTCATAGGGACTCTCTTATCCACTGGCTGATAGCCTCTCTCAGGTTCCAGAGATAATCATTATACACATGGTTCAGTGGGACATGATCAGGAACTTTGAATGACTACACGCCTTGCCATGAGAGAAGTCATGCCTATGAGTTAAACTTCTGGTTTATCATTGGCATTAAATTACGAAAAAAAGCAGGACTAAATACTGGGCTCTTTCTGAAGCAAGAATCTTAAATTTCAGTTTGAATCATTTTTCTTTTGTCTAGAGTATGCCAGACAATTTTATGGTTTCTGGATCTATCTTCAAATTCATACAGTTTTAAAGATTTTTAGTGTGTGGTTATGATTGACTGGTTGGCTGCTTGTTTTTCACATGTGAGAAAGACTTAAAACTCAATCACCTTGTGCATCAATTTTAGCCACCAGAAACTTGCTTTGTTCCTTTTCCCAATATGGGCTGGGCTCCTGTTTGGCTGTGTGTCTAAATGCCATTGTGGCCATCCACAGATGTCCAGGCATTGTCCTGTATTTGAAATTTATGGCCATCAAGATCTCCTTTATAGCTAACATGGAGAGAGATGAGAAATGATAATGTGTCCGGAATTGGTGGGTTCTTGGTCTCACTGACTTCAAGAATGAAGCTGTGGACCCTTGCGGTGAGTGTTACAGTTCTTAAAGCGGCACGTCTGGAGTTGTTTGTTCCTCCCGGTGGGTTCGTGGTCTCGCTGGCTTCAGGAGTGAAGCTGCAGAAGTGAATGTTATAGCTCATAAAGGCAGTGTGGACCCAAAGAGTGAGCAGCAGCAAGATTTATTGCAAAGAGTGAAAGAACAAAGCTGCCACAGTGTGGAAGGGGACCCGAGCGGGTTGCCACTGCTGCCTTGGGCAGCCTGCTTTTATTCTCTTATCTGGCCCCACCCACATCCTGCTGATTGGTCCATTTTACAGAGAGCCGAGTGGTCTGTTTTGACAGGGTGCTGATTGGTGCGTTTACAATCCCTGAGCTAGACACAAAGGTTCTCCACTTCCCCACTAGATTAGCTAGATACAGAGTGTCGACACAAAGGTTCTCCAAGTCCCCACCAGAGTAGCTAGATACAGAGTGTTGATTGGTGCATTCACAAACCCTGAGCTAGACACAGGGTGCTGATTGGTGTGTTTACAAACCTTGAGCTAGATACAGAGTGCTGATTGGTGTATTTACAATCCCTTAGCTAGACATAAAGATTCTCCAACTCCCACCAGAGTAGCTAGATACAGAGTGTGGATTGGTGCATTCACAAACCCTGAGCTAGACACAGGGTGCTGATTGGTGTGTTCACAAACCTCGAGCTAGATACAGAGTGCCGATTGGTGTATTTACAATCTCCTAGCTAGACATAAAGGTTCTCCAAGTCCCCACCAGACTCAGGAGCCCAGCTGGATTCACCCAGTGGATCCCACACCGGGGCCGCAGGTGGAGCTGCCTGCCGGTCCCCTGCCGTGCGCCCGCACTCCTCACCCCTTGGGTGGTGGATGGGATTGGGCGCCGTGGAGCAGGGGGCAGCTCTCGGGGAGGCTCGGCCACATAGGAGCCCATGGAGGGGGAGGGAGGCTCAGGCATGGTGGGCTGCAGGTCCCGAGCCCTGACCTGCGGGGAGGCAGCTAAGGCCAGGCGAGAAATCGAATGCAGCGCCGGTGGGCCGGCCCTGCTGGGGGACCCAGCACACCCTCCGCAGCTGCTGGCCTGGGTGCTAAGCCCCTCATTGCCCCGGGCTGGCAGGGCTGGCCGGCCGCTCCCAGTGCGGCCCGCCAAGTCCACACCCACCCAGAACTCACGCTGGCCCGCAAGCACTGCATGCAGCCCCAGTTCCCGCCCGTGCCTCTCCCTCCACACCTCGCAAGCTGAGGGAGCTGGCTCCAGCCTTGGCCAGCCCAGAAAGGGGCTCCCACAGTGCAGCAGCGGGCTGAAGGGCTCCTCAAGTGTGGCCAGAGTGGGCACCAAGGCCGAAGAGGTGCCCAGGGCGAGCGAGGGCTGTGAGGGCTGCCAGCACGCTGTCACCTCTCAGTAATTCATTTTTCAGTGTATTCTGTTTAAGGTTGAATTATGAGTCCTTCAATTTGTAGGTATGTGTAAAATTTTAGTTTTCCTTAACCATGCTTTGGGCCACAACAATATATCAGAAACTCTTGATTCTGGGTCTTGGCTCTGGAATGATAAAGTATAAAACATTCAAATGTTATCTATGTTTTATAGGAAATAATTCTTATCTTTTCAACCTCAAAGAAAGGGGAAAAAAGAGAACACAATATAAATGTATTTCAAACTTCAAATTGTTTCTAATGACCACAGTGGATATGACAGTATTCTCAAAAACATGCTTTGCCTAATGTTTTGTAACATAATAAATATTGCATGTAAGCTCTCCCTTTCTTGGAGGCTAGCAAAAGTGAGTTTTAATATTTAATAAGGTGTAAAAATTATTCCTTACATGAAATGACGTAGTTTTATCTAAATGCTTTAGATTCAGAAACTGAAAAAGAATAATAATGGATACAAGAAACAAAATCCAAATAAAATATATGTTCACAAAATACAACTGAAACTGTGGGAGAAAAGTTAGTTAACAAGATGTTGGTAATATCACAAAGGAAGGCTTTTGCTACTATTGTTAGGAGAAATATAGATTATTCAGTAGATGCCGTATGAACAACTGGATAACATCTGAAAAGTAGAGTGGGATCCTACCCTATATCCCTGTATCCTTCACCAAAATAAAGTGCAAATGCACAAAATGTTAGTAGAAAAAGTAATGTGAAACAATAAAAATGCTATAAGAAAACATGATGGATTTTTAAATATCATCACATAATAAAAATTTCTAAACATGAAACAAAATTCAGAAGCCATGAAAGATGAGAACTGATAGGTTTTACTCTATGAAATAAACAATTCATGGCTACAAATCATAAACAAATTCAAAAGCCAAATGACAAATTGGGAGAAATAATCATAACTCATATCAAAGGACTAACATATAAGAAACTTCTATAAATCAGTAAGATAAAGATTAATACAATAAAAATATCAAAGAAAACAGATTTTAGAAAAGAAAATATAAATATCTTTTCATATGTGAAACAATCAAATTATTCATTAAAATAAATGCAAAGTAAAATTAAAGTAAAATGCTTCTCACATGGTCAGATCAGCAAAGATTTACAAGATTGATGCCATTTTCTAAAGTACCACTTAATACCATTTATGAAAGATGATTTGTCAATATCTCTCTATGTTCAAAGTGCATATGCCCTTTGACCCAGCAACTCCTCTTCTAGGGATCTTTCTTAGAACCACCTCCTGCTTAGAACTGGAGGCCATGATGCCTCTCTTGAGGGAAAGGCTGTGGGTGGGTCCAGCCCATGGGTGGCAAAATGTGGAGTCTTCACTGCTTCCCCTTTAGTGCCATTTGCTTTTTTAATTTTTTTCTTTAATGTTTTCAAAGGAAAATATTAATACAAAAAAGAAAAGAAGCAAATGTTCTGCCTGACCTTGTCAACCACACCTAGGCATTAACTCTTAAAATTCTTGCAGTTTGCAGAGGAAAAGGGAGTAAGAATGAACAAGACATGCATGCGTGCATCGCGGCCAGCCTTGGGTCAGAACTTGGACAGATTCAGTAGTTGAACCATTGGCTAAATGGCCCTTATTCATTTTTCGGGGCAAAACCCACTAGGAATGAGTGTATAGAGACCTGTAGAAGCAAAATGATTTCTTCAGCTTGGTGAGGGCCTCAATGCCCCAATCCCACCTCACACCCTGTCTGCTCGATCTCACTGTCTTCTTCACTTGTAACTCTGTGTCTTAGTGCTGAAGTTTATTAAAGTAGAGCTTACAGCTCTTTTCATAGCACCTGATCGCACACTCCTGGGACTGACTTATTCTCACCTCTACCACACAGTGGCCAGATCCTGAGGGCAGGGTCCTCTGATGAAAGCTGTTGTACTAACTCTACAGCTAACAGCAGTCAGGGTGAAAGGACAGAGTTTCCCTAGGACTAAACAAAAAATGTGGCTTCCTTTCTTGGTTGGTTTCCCTAAATGGCCTTAGATAGAATTGTCCCTATATTCCACCCTCACTTCTCAGACAGATGTGCAGGAATGTTTGTTTGTTTGTTTGATACCATGAATAAATGTAGACACCACTCTAAGAATCCATAAAGAGGCCATGCTGGGATAATTGGATGAAAAACAGAAACATTTAGTTTTTGGTGGAAAATCTGGATTTTTTTCTAAGCATCTGTATTGTTATTGGAAATCTTTGTTATATACCCCTCGTTCACCAATGCCTTCCATCTGGCATTCTAGGCCTTCAGAGGCTTGGGCCAGGGCTGCTTCCTGCCTCTGCACTGGGAGAGATGAGTTTTTCTCGTACTGTGCTCCCAGTGGGTAACCGCAGCTTTATTATCCCATTATGACAACTGAGATCTCTCAGCTAGCACCGATTCTCATGAGATTCAAGTAAAGCAGAAGGGACCAAAAGAGTCAGAAGTATTTTGATTGCAAATGAGAAAATCAACTCAAACTGGTTAAAGCATAAAAGGAAACCTATTGGCTTACACGGATAAAATGTCCGGGGATACAGTCACCTGAAGACGCAAGGAAAGTCACTGCCAAAATTCCTGCTCCTTTCTCTAAGGTCTGTTTTCCTTGAGGTGGCTTACATACAAGCAGGACTTCCTATTTGCAGGGAAAAGTGAATCCCAATTGCTCCAGCCTTACCTTTTATCACCTTGGCAGCCTCCAGTGGAAGAATGTACCTCTTTCTCCAGTGCAATTCCTAGGTTCCAGGTCCACTGATGCAGGACCTGCACGTGCCCCCACCCTTGACAGAGTTGCTGTGCCTGGGTGAATGGGGAGACCTCACTGGTGAGACTAAGCCTCGAATCCAGGTCCTGACATGTAGGCTGGGCTGACCATTCCAAGCCACAGGACTGAGAGGGGCCAGGTTGATACAACACCTTTTTCAATTTTGTTCTTCATTTCACCTTCATCAAATCCATTTCTTTGTCCAACCAGGAAAGATTCTCTTTGTTCAGATTCTGGGCACATAGTGCTTTCTGTTTTTAGCCTGATAAAAGACTTATGAAAACTGGAAAGTATTTATTTCACCAATGCTTGGCACATAGTGGGTTACATAAATTCGCAATATTAAACTACTTTTTGTTTTATCCCATGCCATGCTAAAAATTGAGCCTTAATTGGCACAACCATTAAAAGAGACTAGGATAACCAGAATACCATCAACATTTTAACACATAATTTTTTTTACTAAATTATTAAATATATGTATTTGCTTTTTGCACTTCTCATTTTCTTCAGAAAATAATTAATGCAAAATATCCTAAATTATAGAAAATTATTCAGGATTGATGTACCAACTTAGGTGTGCAAGTGGATGATATCGTTTAAAGTAATGTAAGTGCTATACTTTAACGTGCACAAATCCTTGCATTATCTGTATTTAAACAAGATGGAATAACAACGGATGAAAACATGCCAGGTGACTGCTTTATTCAATTAAACCATGCCTATAAATCAGCCACCGACCACTACCTTTTCTATTCTTGCATAGTCATTATACAATGAGAGACAATTGCATTTCCCCAATACAAAGTGGTCAGTAATGTTATGTGGGGAAAAAGAAAAAAAACCTGATAAGTCAAGGCATTAAATTTAAGGGGGCGGGGAGATCTACACAAACCACTTAAGTACACTCATTATTATGGCTATTGCTACCTCAGGCCACTGGAGACTTTATAATTTAGTCAGCATTATGCAGTTTGAAGTGTTTCATGTTCTGCATGGGAGCAGGCTGCAATTCAAATATCAGTGGCCATGAAAAATATGCACATACGTTTAGTAGGAAAATCTCCAAGGGGACAACAGAGGAGATGGGCATATGTCGTTGCTGTGTGATGGAGAGTTTCTGTGAATTAATCATCTGGACATAGTTTAGCACCATTTTTCATTTTGCCAGAAACATCCCCCCTTCATTTGTTGGGGAAGCTTATTATACATGCACATCCTGGAAAGATAATAAGGCCATGGCCTCTGATGCTTAAATGCAACAGGGCTGGTTGGGTTGTGTTCAGACACAGACAGCGTTCCCATTGATGCTGCCATTCTGATAGCAAGAGTAATTGCTTATTTTATCTAGTTTAGGGAATTGTGACTCTTTCTACCCACTACTTTATTACATCAATTACTGCAAACCATTGTCTTGTATAATTTATGGGGATGAATTCAATTTCATTGAGATAATCTTCTAAATGGGAGACATCCTTTGTTCATTTGCTTCCAAATATTAAAATGTTTATTGCATTTTCTAGGAACGCTTCATTTTCTGTGTGGATTTAAACATCTTGCTAGACATGTAACCTGTGTGATTTGTTTGTATAATTCAAGGGTTGGAGTGGGGGTGTTTTGCCTCCCAGATAAGGTATTGCAGAGTGAAATACCTAATCTTTAAAGTGCAGTTAACATAAATGGCAATTTTTAGAAATGGATTTCTAATGCCTTTAAAGCAGAGGGTGAATGTGCCTGTCAGAATTCTGGCCCGCAGTTATGCCATTTGGTTGTTGTTTTGCTTTAGAAGTACTGAAATGTACTGCTATGGTTAGCAGTATAAGTAGAAACCAGAGCAATTGCTTTTGACACTTAAAAAGGATTGTATTGACAGTTGGAAACACGTTGGGGATTTGAGAAGAGTACTTTTCCATCTGTAATACTTGGTGTGATCAAAGATCACACAGCAGCCTCAGATTAGTGGAAATGAGGCTGCAGCGAAGGTTTGCCACTCCACATGGAAGGAGGGCTTGGTTTTTGATTCACACTAATCCCCATCACGATCTAAGTGGAATTTACGGTAATGGGGATATACTTCTCAGGGCTCCAGCCAACGTATATTTAAAGAGTCCTAAAGTAGATAATAATATAGCAAGATTTAAAATTTCCTTTTAAAGTTAAATCTTACTTTCCTACTTTCCATTTATATATTGGTTTAATGTTTCTATCATATTTAAGTCTCTGCATTTCCTATATGCATTTACAAATATGTGCATTATAGGTGGTGCTATTTTAGATAACAGGGGTCACTACTTTAATTCTCACTGAATCATAGCTAACAAGGTGATGTAGGAAATCATCAGGCTACAGGTACAACTGAACAATTAGAGATTTGGGTCTCAGAAGACCTGGTATAATTTATTATTCCTTCTCTCTCTCTCCCTTCTCCTTCCTCTCCATTTCTCCCTCCCTCCCTCCCTCTCTCCCTTCCTTTCTCCCTGTCTCTCTTCCTTTCTTCCTCCCTCCCTTTTGACTACAGATTTTATACATGTACATGTACACAGTTTTAAAATAAAATGCCAACTATGTGTAATCTACCTGCTCTATGACCTTGGGATATCTGAAGCTTTATTTCTATCTCTCTTAAAGGAGGAAAATAATCATATTTCATCACAGTATTTAAGTAAGGATCAAAGACTCTAAGATAACTGAAAGCACTAAATTAATTTTCTTCACCAAGATCACAGGAAAAACAGAAACTACAAGGAGAAATGGAAAAAGCTGGACCTTCCCTATGGACATGGGGAAAAGTGGCTATCTGGAAGTCAAGGGAAAAGAGAGATTTTTCTTTATAAAATAAAAGAAATGCCTGAACCACCAAACTGGACCACAAGCTTGATCCAAGGATGGTGCCTGACCCTGCACAAGGAACTCTCAGGAAAGGAACACTTCAATGAGGGTGATAAGGAAACTGTGTAGTTTTAAGGGAGGCCTGAGCCCTGACTCATCAGTTTGCTTCTAAGTGTTCTCTCAGCCCATCACCAACTCAGCTTCTGACCTAATCAACCCCCCACCCCGTGAGCCCAGCTCCTACTTTCAACCCCAACCCCAGACTGAAACCTTAGCACCTACTTTAGCTAACACCTCTAGCTCCAAACACCCTACATCCTATTCCAGTCTAACCTCATCATCAAACATTACCTGTATTCAAACTCCATATCTTTTTTTCAAAGAAGTGCATTCAAAACCATATATACACATACATCTTTGCTTTTACTGTAAACAAGGCAATCGTAAAGCCATATGCTTTTACATTATAAAGTAACCTTTCGCAGGTTTCTGATTTTCTAAAAAACAAGTTTTGTTGAAGTTTCTGAAGTATTTTTTAATACAAAACAAACACAAACAAATAGAACTAAATGTTTTAATAAAAATATGAAGGTATTATGTTTTGTAAAGGCTGAAAATTCCACACTAATATCCTTTTTTTCTAAAACCCCTTTTCCAAAACATCCTTTTTTAAAAAGGAGAGTGGTACCTGACCCAGTAAATCTTAATCTCTCTCCACCAAGGGATTCATCATGAGTGGCAGGGCCTCTGTAGGGGCAGGTGGCTTCAGAGGGCAGGACAGTATTCCCAGGCAAGATTTTCCAAGGGAAGCCCTGATCCTACATGCCATGCTTCAGAAATGTGGTCTCCTCCTGGGCATCTTTCAAATGGAATTTAACAGTGGAGCTGGAGATTTTGGAGGTAGCGGCAAAGCCCTACTTTCCCTCTGGCCATTGTTCTCCAACTTGTTGGCAAGAAATGCCCAGAAAAATCCTTCCGTTGATGTTTGGAATTGTGATTACAAAGCATCATGTCAAGAACATCTCCAAACATGGACATGTACACACACACAGACACAGACACACATAAATGCACACACAAGTCTACATACATGCATATACATTAACATACATACACACGTACACACACGTACACTTCAAGCTTCACATCAGTGTGTTTCTGTCTCTAGAAATTGTCATGAAGCTGTTTGTAAGGAGAATAGAAAAGAGATCCATG
Organism: Homo sapiens; assembly: GCF_000001405.40. Lineage (NCBI taxonomy): Eukaryota > Metazoa > Chordata > Mammalia > Primates > Hominidae > Homo > Homo sapiens. The sequence continues at coordinate 4,830,515 of NC_000005.10, read as the reverse complement.
CTTGCCCAAAGCCCCTTTCTTCTGGATAATATACCATATTTGAGAAATTCCTATTCCATCAAGGGAATGAAATTATTTTTAAGGTGTTAAAGATAGTATTAAAAATAATATCTTCCAACCATGGTAAAATTTTGGAAGTAAGTGTTTGTGTTTTTTTCCATTATTTAAAAATTCTAGTTAGCTATTTTTTGTTTTTGTATTTTAGTCTTGTGATGGTCTTGTCAGAGAAATTTAAAATTACTGTCATAAGAATAAAAAAAGAAAGAAGGAAGGAAGGAAAGAGGGGAGGGAGGGAGAGAGGAAGCAGCAGAGGGCTAGTGTTGCTTGGGGGTTCAAAAGTGAGATTTGAAGCCAGAGGACTGAATTCAAATTCTAACTCTGATGCTATTTGTGTTGTTGTGGGCAAATACATTTACCCTCTCCTGCTGTAATTTTCTCAAATGTAAAATAATGATGCTAATTTGTAAAACAAATAAACAAGAAAATAAGCAATAACTTTAAAGGATATTTGCTGCCAACTTTCCCCATCCCATTTAATTTTCAGTATCCACAACTGTTGGCCATTTAATTTCAAATCCCTACACAGCTGTTGGTAAAATGAGATTTCCACCATCTCTCAAAACGTGCAACCACATCCCCTCTTCAGTGAATTGCAATGCACAGACTGAACTACTGCTAACCTCAGCAAACACAATCCCTCTGTATTTGTTGTTATGCCAAATCACCATAAATATGCAGCAGTCTTCAGGAGTAGCAATGCCCAATACCTTTGGGTGAGCCGATTTTTTTCAACAAAATGGTTTTCAGATGTTTTCTAGTAGAGAATGGTAGCTTGTTGCAAATAGTTTCAGAAATCACAGAACTGAGAGCAGTCATATCCCATAACCCTTACACCATGGGGACCTGGGGGCAAACCTTCCCTTCAAAAGTTCAAGTACATGAAAGTAGCAGAGATCTTAAGCTATAGGAGTCATGCATGGGATGTATGCTTTATGTGCATAATGATGGTTTCAGATGGCATTTTAATTTTTGCACATGCAGCAGTCAAAGTTGTTTGGCAATCCAAATGTGATATAAAACAATGGAGGAGGAGGAGGACTCATGTGATGCATCAGAATAATTCTCTGCCAGGTTACAGCAGCCCATGTGTGAAGTCAAGATGGGCTGCCTTAATTGCGTGCTGAACACCGCTCAGCACTGGCTGATCAAACTTATTTTAATAACATTAAATATGCATGGAATCTGTGACCACCAGAGAAAGTTAATTAGGTGACTTGTGGGAGTGCTAAAAAAGTACAACTGCACGACAGAGGTAAGGAAATGCCACCATTAAGAATTTGGTAACTGCAGCCCACACCTTATTGTCTGCTGCAGAAAGACTTTGCTAAGGATAAGGAGCCCTCATTGATGTGAGTATACAGAATTAGCTCATTATTTAAAGATTACAAGGTGCTTTGGTACAATTAAAATTTATTCATTCAGTCCATTTATTCTCAAAAGAGAAGACTGAATTGTTCCCAGGAAATATTTTTCTAATGGAAGACATTGCAGCAGTTTGAGAGTGAAAACTCTATTCAAGTCAGAACCATTAAAAATTAAATTTAAAGTACAGACATCTTGTAGCATTGTCAAGAAAGGGGATGTGAGTGCTAAGAACATCTCAGAGTCACTAATTCTGGCATCTCCTTCAAGTTCTTTCCTCCCATGTTTCCAGTCTAACACAGGGTCTCCTTGCTCAACAAGTCAGATGCTGAGAGACTGCCAGCACAGCCTCCAACATATCTTGTGATTCACAAGACCTTCTGAGGACATGGAGAAGAAGTAAATGCAGCTCCCAGTTGTGGCTGTCAGAACCATGGGATCTCAAGGCACTGAGTATGCTTTCCTTCAGAAGCCGAGGAACTACTCAGTGTGTCTCAGGACTCTTTGATATGACAATTAACTCACATAGGATAAGATCTCTTGGCTGGCCTTAGAGTCCTAACAACAGGCCCACAATTGTGTTGTATAATGTTTATAGTGATAGAGGGCCCAGCAATTTGCACCAGCTGCAGTTAGGGACTGGTGATTTTATAATACCCTGAGCATATTCCAAGATCACAACTTGGGACTGTACAGTTGGCACCACTTACTAGTGAAGGCAGGCCAGATTCACAGTGATAACATTGGTATAAGATGCTGGGTAGACCCTTGGTGCACTCTAATTCCTCGATGGCCATTCAGCCTTGCTGCAGTTCTTAGATGTCTCTAAGAGCACACAGTCAATTGCTGGACTAAGGCAAATGTTCAGCAGGTCATGGGGCTCAGGTTTTCTTTACAGAAGAAAATTCAATTGGGCAATATTGAGGTTTTTGAGTTTGATTTGGAAGAGAACTATTGGTTGCTAAGTTGTGGAGAAAATGGGGATGCTTCACTTCTTGGGGTGGCAGTGCTCCATAATCTTACCACGCTGTGACTGACATCATGATATGATTGGCATTACCATAGTACGATTGGCATTATGACAACACTGAAAACATAACAGCATTTCTCAGGGCTAATGGCTTTGGGCATGAAGAAAAATTCTGAATTGTATTTTGCTTTCTCTCATAAGATTGAAAAAATTCAGAATGGCACAAGCACCCACTGCTTTTCTTCTGCAATCGTTTTTGGTACAGACAAGAGACCAGGGCTCTAGATCAAGGTAGCCCTTGGATGGAGGAGATGTCGGAGCAAAGACCATGTGATAACTATAATAAGGATTCTCGTTTCATAGATCCTCATGTGGTGAAATGCATTCTAGTACTCACTGGGTATGTTTTGTCATCTTATATATACATTAATTTTCTGGGCTCATCAAGAAAATATAATCACACAGAAATAAAGATATGCAACAAGTTAGTCCATTGCCCTAAAACTATATGCTCTCAATGTGAATAACAATTCAAAGGGAATTATAGGTTTATAGTTTGTATAATATTTTAATAAATTATCCTGAATTTATAACTTCAAATTTTGAAATTTAGTTCTTGAATTGGTTTGTAAAATTTATATTTTGTGGGGAGGACCTAACAAACACTATCTTTGCTGTGTTTCAGAGCTTAGAAGCAAGGTTGGTATTATGGATTTTGCAGATGCCCCTATTTGCAAACAAGAGTATGTTCCATTCCACCATCTATCAGGGGATGGTTATGGTGTATTTTGACAAATTTGATATGTTTTATGGTGGAAAATGTGAATGTAAACTCACCCAGAGGACTGTGGCTTAATGGTTTCTGAGCCAGGATGGGATGGAGACAGGGGGCAGCTAATATTCTGCCGAGCCCAACCAGTAGGCAGTGCCACCAGCAACAGTGTTAAAAGATGAGGCTTAGTGGGACCTGGTGCCTGGTGGGATTGACTGTATCTCTGGCGAAAGGTCCTCCATACTTATGAAGTTAAATGTTTTAAACAAAGGTCTTTGGAGGACTTTGGAGATGAAATTCACTCCCACTTTTATCATGAGTGAGAGGGAGAGGCGTCCTGGTTTCGTAAAAAGCTCAGCATTATTCAGCACAAGTTTGGCTGAAGGTGAGAGAAGATTTTCCAAAACTTGCAGAAACCTAGAGCCCACTTATTCTTCCACACTGCTGGAAGCCCGGTGGGGGTATCAAGCTTCCAGGCAAGTGCTGTGGCTGCATTTGTCTGCACTTTCCTTTCCTGTGCTCTCCCCACAGAGCAGGCTTTGGCCCTGGGCTGATTGCCGTGTGGATGCAGGATGTCTGCCAGTGTGTGTAGACTCATCTCTGCACAGCTTGTGATCCAGAGGAAGGGAAAAGAGGTCTCCACTCCAGTCACCTCTTCTGAGATTCCCCAGTTGGGAGCTCCAGGCTCAGGCCTATCCTTGACGCTGTGACTGTGGCCAAGAACATGGAATATGGTGACTGGCGTAAACTAGCCGTCTAGCTCTGTGGGTCTTTTATAGGAAGGATAAAGAAATTTAGATGGGAATGCAAAATATCTTCCACTGACCCTGAGAAGGGGACCAACGGACTGAATTGTTGAAAGCAATGAAGAGCAATTACAACAGTAGTAATAACATTAAAAATAAGAAAAACACTTTGGGAAGTCTCAAAAATGGGCAATTTCCAACCTTGCAATGGAGAGTCAATTTAGTTGGTTCAGACTATGGAACAATTTTTGTCATAGGACATTGTAGAAATCAACTGGCAAACACTCAGCAATTAGTGGAGGCGGATAGATTAGTGTGATGCCAACAGAAGCAGACAATCCACAAGCTTACTGATGAGATCGTGGAAACAGCCAGGCAAGAGAGTTCCGCTAAAACCACCAGTGTTTTCAGGGAAAAGGAAAACTCCACATATGACCACGGATTGCAGGCTCTGAGGAGAAACACCATGCGCGGCACACTATGGGGAAAACAGAATTTCTTGAATGGTCCAGCTAGCCACCAGACAAATGAACAAGAAGAAAGAAAACAACAACAATAGCAAGCCCCAGGGAGTTATCATTACCCAAAGTTACTACAATAGATTATACAAGGTATCCAATTTTCAACAACAAATCCTAAGATATGCAAAGAAACAGTAATAGGTGACCTTCCTAATGCACAGTAGAAAAGTGAGACAGCAGAAACATTTGAGAGGGCCCAAACATTGGACTTAGCAGACAAAGACTTCGATGAACCTTTCTAAATATATTCCATGAACTAAAGGAAGTCATATTTAAAGAATTAAAGAAAGATAGGTTGACAATGTCTTATTAAATAAAGAATATCAGTGAAGAGATAGAAATTATTAAAAAGAACAGAATGGAAATTCTAATTTTGCATTATAAGTGAAGTAAGAATCAACTAGATAGGTGCAACAGTAGATCTGAGTTGACAGAGAAGAATCCGCAAGCTGGAAGATACATTGATGATGATGCAATGTGAAGAACGGAGAGGTGAAAGAATGAAGGTAAATGAGCACAGACTCAGAGAAATGTGGGACATTAAGTACACCACAGATACATAATGGGAGAGTACCAGAAGGAGAGGAGATGGAGAAAAGAACAGAAAAAGAATTTCCACGTAATTGTCTGAAAAATCCCCAAAATTTGGCCAAAACAGAAATACAAAGAAACCCAAACACCTGCACATCAAAAAAGTTCAGCAACCTCTAAGTAGAATAAACATAAAGAAATCCACAATTAGACCCATAAGCGTCAAAACATTTAAAGGAAAAGGCAAAGAGAAAATCTTCAAAGGTGAAAAAGAAAACTAACTCATCACAATTAAGAGAACCCCAAAGAATTAGCAGCTAGTTTGTCATCAGAAATGGTGAAAACAGGGATCGGTAGAATAATATAAAAAGAAAAATCTGTCAGTCAAGAATTTTGTATCCAGAAAAAACTGTCTTTCAAAAAAATAAACACAAAAGCAAATCCAGATATACAAAACAAATATGATTTTTTGCTGCTAAAAAAAAGTCTGCTACATTAGTTTCTACAAGCTGCCGTAACAAATGATGAAAAACTAGTTGGCGTAAAACAACAGGAATTTGTTATCTCACCGTTCAGGAGGACAGAAACCTAAAATTAAGGTGTCAGTGCGGCTGTGCTCCCAATGAAGGGTCTAGGGAAGAATCCTTCCTTGTCTCTCTCCGCTTCTGGTGGCCCCAGGTGTTCCTTAATATATGGTGGAACAACTACATTCTCTGCCTCCATCGTTGCATGGCTTTTTTTTTTTTTTCTTTTTGGTCTTTTTCGTGTCTCCAAATCTCCCTCTCTTTATAAGGATCCTAGCCCCTTCATAAAGCCTCAATACATTGATAAGGCACTGAAATCATACAAATAATGTTCTCTGACTATAAGAAAATTAAAAATAAGTTACAGAAACAAATTTGAGAAATTCACAAATGTGTGGTAATAAAAATGAGTGAGATAAATCACAAGAAAATTAGAAAATGCTGTGAATAAAACTGAAAACACAACATTCAAACTGTGTGAGCTGCAGATCAAAAAAATTGCTTAGGTAGAAACCTATAGCTATCATCACCCATATTAAAAAAGGAAGCTGATGTCACCTTAGTAGCCTAAGCATCCACCTGAGACAAAAGAAGCGAGAAAACTAAATCTCAAGCAAGAAGAAGGGAGGGGAAAGTGAAGACTGGAGTGGGAGCAAATGACATAGAGCTAGAAAAACAATAGAGCAAATGGATAAAACTTAGAACAGGCTTTTTGAAAAGTTTAATAAAATTGACAAAGCTTCAAAAGACTAACCAAGAAAACAAGAGGGGAGACCTCAAATTACTAAAAAATGTGAATGAAAACAGGAACAACACTACTATGTTTGCAGAAATAAAAACGTCTTAGGAGAGAATGCTATGAACAACTGAATGATAATGAATTAGATGAATTAAATGAAATGGACAAGTTCCTAGGAAGAAGCTAACTACTGAAACTGAATCAAGAAGAAATAGAAAATTTGATATATAAGAAGAATGTGAACTTGTACTTTAAAAATTCCTGCAGAGAAAGGCCCCAGCTCAAATGACTTCATTGAAGAAATTTACACAAGGTTAAAAGAATTGCCACACACACACACATGCACACACACACACACACAAAAAGATATGTGAGGTGATGCAAATGTTAAATAGCTTGATTTAGCCATTCCGCAATGTATACATACGTGAAAACATCATGTTGCATACTATACTTGTTTGTATATAAATATATATACATACACTTTTTACTTTTCAATTAAAAATAAAGACTAGCTTGTAAAAGAAATAAAAATAAGAATTAATACCAGTTCTCCACTAATGCTTCCAAAAAATTAAAGAGAAGATAATATACAGAGACTCATTCTAGAGATCAGTAATATCTTTGTACCAAAACCAGGCAGATAAATAAAAATGATATCTTTTATGAATATATAAAAAACTTCAACAAAATAACAGCAATTTAAAGTCAGCAACATATAAAAAGGATTATACACGATAACCAAGCAGGATTAATCCTGGAAGTCAAAGGTGGTTTATCATACACACAGAAAAAACCTATGCAATAAACCATATTATTAGAATAAAGGTAACAAAAACCGCAAGATTACCTAAAAAATGCAGCAAAAACATTTGATAGAATCCAATACTCTCAGAGTAAAAGCAATAAAAAATCTAAAAATAGAAACTCACTCAACTTGGTAAAAGGCATCTACAAAATTTCCATAGCTAATGGAATATATAATGTTGAAAGACTGATTTTTTTCTCCCTAAAATACTCTTTTTTTCAGGTTTTTATATTGGCAAAATACACGTAACAGAAAATTTGACATCTTGACTATTTTAAATGTTATTTTAAATACATTCACAATGTTGTGTAACCATCAATGCCATCCATTTCCATATTTTTTTTTGTTTTGTAAAACCAAAGCTCTATATCCGTGAAACAGTAGATCCCCATATTCCTCTCTCTTTAGCCCTTGGCAATCACAATTACACATTTTGTCTCTATGATTTTGACTACTTTAGATATCTCATATAAGTGAAATCATGTAGTACTTGTCTTTTTGTGATTGGTTTACTCCACTTAGCAAAATATCCTTAAGGTTCCATGTGTAGCATACTGCAGAATTTTCTTCTTTTTTAAGGCTGAACAATATTCCACTGTATGTATGTACCACCGTTAACTACTATATTCATCATCTTTGGTCACTTGCTTGCTTCCGGATTTGGGTTATTGTGGATAATACTGTTATGAACATGAATGTACAAATATTTCTTTGAGACCATGCTTTCAATTCTATTTGGCATATATCCAGAACCAGAATTGCTGCGTCATATGGTAATTATACTTTTAGTGTTTTGAGGAACCACCATACTGTTTTCCACAGCGGCTGTACCATTTTACATTCCCAATGAGACTGAACAAGGATTCGAATTTCTCCACATACTCACCACCTCACTAACACTTATTATTTGTGTGTGTGTGAGTGTGTGTGGGTGTTTAGTAGCATCCTAATGAGTGTGAGGTGATATCTCATCATAGTTTTGATTTGCATTTCCATAATGATTAGTGGTGTTAAACGTCTTTGGTGTGCTTAATGGCCATGTGTATATCTTCCGTGGAGAAATGGAGAAATGACTATTAAAGTGTTTTGCCCATTTTTTAATGGAATACTTTTTTCTTTTGTTGAGTTTCAGTTTTATATATATTCTGGATATTACTCTATTATCAGGCATATGATTTACAAATTCTTCTATTTCAGGGCTGCCCTTTTATTTTGTTTATATTGTTTTCTAATGTTCAATTTAAAAGTTTATGAGGTCTAATTTGTCTATTTTTTCTTTCGTAGTCTGTCTTTGGTGTCATATCAAAGAAATCATTGCCAAATCTAGTGTCATGAAGTTTTTGCCCTATGTTTTCCTCAAAGAGTTTTATAGTTTTAAGTCTTACATTTATGTGTTTGATCTATTTTGAGTTAATTGGATATGGTGTTATGTAAGGGTCCAATTTTATTCTTTTGCATCTGGATATATAGTTTTCCCAGCATCGTTTCTTGAAAATTTCTCTTTTCTTATTTAATGGTCTTGCTAAACTTCTTAAAAAATATTTTGTAATATATGCAAGAATTTAGTTCTAGATTCTCTATTTTATTCCATCGGTATATATGTCTGTCTTTATGCCATTACCACACTATTTTGATTACTGTGGTTTTAAAATAAGTTTTGAAATCAAGAAGTTTGAATTCTTCATTTTTTTTTTCATTATGTTTTGACTATTCAGGGTCCTTTGAGAATGCATAGGTCTTTTGTGATCGGTGTTTTTGTAACAAACATCACTGGGATTTTGATAACTCCCAGAAATCTAGAACAAAACAGGAATGACCATTGTGTAACTCCTATTCAGTATTTCACTAGAGGTTCCTAGTAGGGCAATTGGGAATAAAAATAAATAACAGGCATTCAGATTGAAAAGGAAAATGCAAAGTTGTCTCAGTTTGGAAATGACATGATCTTGTATACAGAAAATCTTAACGTATCAAGTATAATTTTTACACCAAATAAATGAGTTAAGCAAGGTTTTAATAGATGTATGGTTAATGTTTTTAAAAATTTGTATTTTATATGCTGGCAATAAACAAGCCAACAATGGAAGTAAGGAAAGAATTCCATCTGTAATAGTATCAAAAAGAATAAAATATGTATGAATAAATTTAACAAAAAAAGTGCCAGATGCACACTGAAAATTAAATAGGCGAAATAATAATCTTTTTAACAAATAATGCTGGAACAACTTAAAACCCCCTTGCAAAAGAATGAGTTTGACCCCTACCTCACAACATACACAAAACTTAACTGACACTAGGCCACAGACCTAAATATAAAAGCTAAAAATATAAAACATTTGGAACAAAAATAATAGGAAATATCCATAACTTAGGGTTAAGAAATGATTTCTTGGCCGGGCGTGGTGGCTCACGCCTGTAATCCCAGCACTCTGGGAGGCTGAGGCAGGCGGATCATGAGGTCAGGAGTTCGAGACCATCCTGGCTAACACAATGAAACCCCGTCTCTACTAAAAATATAAAAAATTAGCCAGGCGTGGTAGCGGGTGCCTGTAGTCCCAGCTACTGGGGAGGCTGAGGCAGGAGAATGGTGTGAACCTGGGAGGTGGAGCTTGCAGTGAGCCGAGATCACTTCACTGCACTGCAGCCTGGGCGACAGAGCGAGACTCTGTCTCAAAAAAAAGAAATGATTTCTTAGCTATCTCACCAAAGCATAAGTGATAAATGAGCAACAAAAAATCCTTAAACATTTGAGTGTATCAAAACAAAAACTTTTATACTGCAAATGATATCATCAAACTGAGAAGACGACTCACAAAATGTGAGAAAATACGTTCATATTATATTTCTGAAAAGGGACTTATATAAAGAATATATAAAGATCTCTTAACACCCAACTACAACAAAACATAACACAATTTAAAAATGGGCAATGATATCAATAGGCATTTGTTCAAATAAAATATATAAGTAGTCAATAAGCACAAAAAATGATTAATGTTATTAGTTATTAGAGAAATACAAATCAAAATCACAGCAAAATACCATTTCATTGGATATTGAAATCCTCAGTACAATGTATATAATAGAAAATACAGACAATAACACATGTTGGTGAGGATATGAAGAAATTTTAACCTTCAAAATTTCCTTGTGTGGATACAAAATGATGAGGTCACTTAATAAAACAGGATGGATGTTTTTTCAGAATATTTACCATAGAGTTACCATGTAATCTAGGAATTTTACTTCTAGGTATTTACCCCAAAATATGAAAACGTGTCTACAAAAAACTTGTACTCAAATGTTCATAGTGGTATTATTTATGGTATCCAAAAAGTAGAAACAATTCAGTGTCCATCAGCTAGTGATTGGACGAAATGTGCTACACACATACAATGGAGTATCATTTAGAAATAAAAAGAATGAAGTCCGGAAACATACTGCAGTATGAATGAACCTTGAAAACATAATATAAGTGAAAGAAGTCAGATCATGGTGATGTTTGCACAATTGTAAATATCCTGAAATACATTGAATGTTACACTTTAACATGTGATTTATGCGGCATGTGAATTATATCTTGATGCAGCTATTAACAAATATATGGGATTTTGGAAGGCATTGACAGACATACTTTATGAATCAGGCCAGTGCAGTGCATTGCTGGGACATCAAAAGCCTGGTCTCTGTCCTGTGATTGAGCCCTTTACAGATGTGAGTTCATAGGTTCCCTGCCTAACTAGCCTTCTCTAACTTTTCTGGGACATTGTTTCACCTTATATCTTCCTGTTGGTCTTAAGTCAATAATACATCCTCACTAGAACATTTTCAGTGTGAAATGTACCAGGATTTTCTTGGTCTTTTTACATGTCTGTCGTCATGGTGCTGAGGTGGTCTATTAACAAACGTACCCAAAGTGAGATTCACCACCTCCTGACCCTTTTTCTTGGGCTGTGAATCACCTCAACATGGATATATTGTTCCTTGACCAGTGGGTGTTCCATCTTGTTTACCTATAAGTTCAGTATATTGGACTGCTGTCCAAAGATGCTGTCCAAAGGAAGATGGCCTGCTGTCCAAAGAAAATTTTGTCTCGTTGACTGTCCTTCTAGGATGCTTCTAGACACTGATTCCGTGATTTAATAGAAGTGCTACTTGTCAGCAGGCATGATGTACATCCACCACTACAGCAGGTCACAGTAGAGCGTTGCTCTACCTATTGGCCCACAGTAGTGCCCCAATTCACAGTACACCTCTCATCTTTGGTGGTTTCTGATTAAGCTCCTTTATGACATAATTTGTGAATCATCCTTGAGTATCTTATCTTTGAATATGTGTCCTGATTAAAAAATGCATTTCAGGGAGAGGGATCTGTGCCACAAGATGGATAGGAGATATCCAACATTCCACATCTCAAGTATTCCAGAACCAATATAATGAATACATAGATACAGTGTTGGGGAAAAAGGCGTGTGCTGAGACCCGCTGAGCATTACAATATAAAAGCCATCCTATTGACAATTTCCATCAGCCTGGAACTGTTGTACATCAAAGACTAAACTCAATTATTAAACTTCTCAAGTCAGTCCAACTTCCTTTTTCAGAATTATTTTATAATTTGTGGTTATTTTTCTACTTTTTAAATATTCAGTGGGTTTAAACTTTTTTTTTTCTGATTTTTCATGAGAAAATCCTGTTGTGCTTTTTCTCATCAATGTGATTCCACTTTCACAGTGGCTGCTGACTTCTCATACTACATGTCCCTCACATTGCCATTAAATATGATTTATGTGATAATTTACATAATTACATAAGTAATTTATGTAATTATTTACCTCACTTTACAAATAACTCTTTTAACATAAAAACAGATCTATAATCTTTTACTCAGCTAGGTTTCTGCCACACATCATCTTCAGAACATCTAAGAATTCACCATGGTGACATATTCCTAAACAGATTTCCCTGTTGCAGACAGAATTGTAATAACTGCTGATGAAATCCTGAAGAATGTTGATGTATTGAAATGTATTTTGAGAACCACATTTTAGATTTCAAATTTTATTGAAGATCACTTCAAACTCTGTTTTAACCATAAAATTGGTGACAACATGATGGATGCTGTACCCTTATGAAAGTTTCTTCATAGGCTTATTAGAAATCCCCTCCTCCTCTCAGGATGTCTTGAACTTTTGTTGCTCTCAGTCTTATGCAAACTGTGATTTAAGAGTCTCAGCAACTTCATGACAAGTCTTGGGCTAAGAAAACTTTGAATGTGAATCAATATCTATTAAAATAAAAATTTGTTCCTCTTGGATTTGTGTCTCGGTCAGTCACTTCAGATCCCTCTGCCACTGTAGCTCACATCTGTCAGGGTTTAGGGGAACTGAGGTAGTTTGAGGGGACCATAAACTCTTTCCACATTCAATATTTAGTTCCTTGTATCTGCTCACCACATCCTTTCCCCTTCAAGCTTCACTAGACCAGCAAGGCACCCTCACAACTGCCAAGCATTCCCATGGCACCATTAATCTCCTCTGAGAAGCTCTACATGTCTTTGAAGTCTTGAAGCTAATCAAGGTTTAGAGAAACAAAACAACAATAAAATGTGTCACAAGTTATAAATTCTAATTTTATCTCCTACCACACTGGCCTCCTTGCTGTTTCTTTAAAGTGCCCATTGTTCCGGCTGCCTTGGTGTTTACATTTCTTTGTATATAGAATATTTTTTCTCAGATAACTTTTAATTGACAATTTTGCTTAAATGCCTCATTATTAAAGTCTCTACCCTCATTCTTGTGCAAATCAATGTAAAAAATATTATGTGGCTTAAACTTGGTATTGTGGAAACCTGGTACCTGATGGCTCCATTGCACTTTGCTGAGCTGTTGCAAAGAGAGACCCGCCACAGTGGAGGTGCAGGTACGCGTGCTTCAGTTGGATGACTGATTGATGGCTGTCCTTTCTCCAGAAAGGTGGTGTGGGCCCTTTTTTGCGTATTCCTGTAGCTGGGGTATGCTGTGTTCAGTCTTTTCTGCACATACTTACAGAATGTGACTACTCATCAGATTGAAAGTCAGTAGAGAGAAAGAGCTGCTACCTATTCCAACAGAGTTTTTTTTTTTTAATATATATATAGTGAGATTGAGAAGATGAGGATATAAGACTAGCAGGTTAACCATCTAGCGGCACTCCCCACCCCTGCCAGTACACCTGGGATTTCCCCCTAAAGAGCAATTATGAAGGCTCAGACCTGTGTTTCTAAGGTGTCCCCCCAGGCCAAGGCATTGGCATTAGATCCCTCTGATATCAGAGGACTCTATCAGGGCCCCGGCCAACAGGCAGCAAAGCAGGGTCTGCACTAGGAGAGACACATGTTCAAGAGCGTTTTCATTCCTCACCAAACAAAAGCTTTCCTTAGATGTAATCAAATTGCTTATGTTGAAGTTTAGCATCCAGCCACGCATTTAGTTATTTATTCATTCACTCATTCAGTCATTCATTCTTTCAGCTTTTATTTCTGCTAAGTCAGTTATGGGCTGAGCATTTTGCTTGGGGCAGGAAACACAAGCTGGACGGCACACACCAGTCCTGTTCTCAAGAAGCCTGCAGCACTCTGGGAGGAGAGTCCACAATCACACAGGAAATTTTACAATGGTAGCTACAGTAAGAGCTACAGAAGAATATACAGCTACAACATATTGTAAAATGGTTTAACAATATACCTAAGGGAAACCTGAGGTTCAGGACAACCCACGGAGAAAATGCCACTTACAAGAAGACACGAAAGCTATGCAAGGCCCACCTTGATTTTTGATTACGACTCGGTCTTGGCACCTTATTTTAAAGATCTGTTTCACCTGCCATGCACACTCAGACTCCTGCCTGGGTGGTCACATGGGAGCACTGTCAAGTCCCCACATCAGCCAAGGCTTCTCTGAAGGCTGTGAGACTGGCTTCTCTGTGCACATGCCATTGTACACCGACCTCGTTCTCGGTGTCCTGAGCCACTCCTGCTGCCTGCCAAGGACAGAGTGGGATCGTGACCAGAAGCAAGTATGGAAAACACCTTTGGGACTCTTGAGTTGTTTAAATATATTTAATCAGAATCATGACACATTGTATTTTTAGGAAAATACGATTAACTTCTAAAATTAAAGTATTTAATTTAGTTGATGAGTTTATCCTCAATTAGAAAATAAAGTATTTTCTAATGCTTTATTAGAAATAAAGTATTTTCTAATGCTTTATTAGAAATAAAGTATTTTCTAATGCTTTATTAGAAATAAAGTATTTTCTAATGCTTTATTAGAAATAAAGTATTTTCTAATGCTTTATTAGAAATAAAGTATTTTCTAATGCTTTATTAGAAATCAGGTATTTTCTAATGCTTTATTAGAAATCAGGTATTTTCTAATGCTTTATTAGAAATAAGGTATTTTCTAATGCTTTATTAGAAATAAGGTATTTTCTAATGCTTTATTAGAAATAAGGTATTTTCTAATGCTTTATTAGAAATAAGGTATTTTCTAATGCTTTATTAGAAATAAGGTATTTTCTACTGCTTTATTAGAAATAAGGTATTTTCTAATGCTTTATTAGAAATAAGGTATTTTCTACTGCTTTATTAGAAATAAGGTATTTTCTAATGCTTTATTAGAAATAAGGTATTTTCTAATGCTTTATTAGAAATAAGGTATTTTCTAATGCTTTATTAGAAATAAGGTATTTTCTAATGCTTTATTAGAAATAAAATAAGGTATTTTCTAATACTTTATTGAAATAAAGTATTTTCTAACTGAGGATAAACTCAACTCATCAATTAAATTAAATGCTTTAATTTTGAAGTTAATTGTATTTCCCTAAAAACACAATGTGTCATGATTCTGACTAAATACATTTAAGCAACTCAAGAATCCCTAAAGTGTTTTTAACACTTACCAGCTTTTCACATCAGTCAGAAAGGCTATTACTAAAAAGTCAAAAAAATAACAGATGCTGGAGAGTTTGTGAAAGAAAAGGAATGCTTATGTTGGTGAGAGTATAAATTAGTGCAACCACTGTGGAAGACAGTGTGGCAATTCCTCAAAGGCCTAAAGACAGAAATATCATTTAACCCAGCAATATAAATCTTTCTATTATAAAGACACATGCATGCATATGTTCATTGCAGCACTATGGACAATATCAAAGACGTGGAATCTTACCTAAATGCCCATAGGTGATAGACTTGATAAAGAAAATGTGGCACATACACACCATGGAATACTATGCAGTCATGAAAAAGAATGATACCTTGTCTTTTGTGGGAACATAGATGGAGCTGGAGGCCATTATCCTTAGCAAACTAATGTGGGAAGAGAAAACCAAATACCACATATTCTCGCTTCTAAATGGGAGCTAAATGATGAGAACACATCGACACATGGAGGGGAACAACACACATGGGCCAGTTGAAGGGTAGAGGGTGCTGAAGGGTGAAGGAAGAGAATCAGAAAAAATAAATAAGAAGTAGTAGGCTTAATACTTGGATGATAAAATAATCTATACAATGAACCCCCATGCCACAAGCTTACCTATCTAACGAACCTGCACACGTACCCCTGAACTTAAAATACAAGTTAAAAGAAAGAAAATACTTTCCACATAGGGAGGAGAATGGCGAATGAGATTAAAGAAGCAATGTTTCAAGTAAGAAGAACAGATATTTTCAACAAATGCCACTTATTTTATAAATAAACCAACTGGCATTAGATTAGAAATCAGGTAGCCTACAGGGGGTCATCTCACTTCTCATTGCTCTGGCTTCTGTAAGTTAGTATGATGCACTTAGGATTGGCTGGCACTTGCCTAGAGTGTGTTATGACAAGCTGAGTCCAGCAGGATCTACTGGGAAGAGGAAGAGGCTGACAGGGAAAGAGGATAACTCAAAGGCGCAAAGCAGATCAGGGCATACCAGTGAAGATGAGGGGAAACGGGCACTCTTACATGTTTCATATAAGAATTGTATCAGGTCCTGCTTGCATTGCTATAAAGGAATACCCCAGACTGGGTAACTTATAAAGGAAAGAGTTTGAATTGGCCCACGGTTCTACAGGCTATACAGGCATGACACTGGTATCTGCTGGGCTTCTGGTGAGGGACTCAGAAACTTTTATTCATGGCAGAATTCAAAGTGGGAGCAAGCATACCACAGAGAGAGAGAGAGAGAGAGACAGAGAGAGAGAGAGAGTGCAAAGGGTGGGAGGGGAGGTGCCACACATTTTTATTCAATCAGATTTCAAGATAACTCACTGTCACGAGGACAGGACCAAGCCATGAAGGATCCATCCTTATGACCCAAATACCTCCCACCAGGCCCCACTCTCATATTGGGGGTCACATTTCAACATGAGATTTTTGAAGGGACATCCAACCTATATCAAGAATATAAACTGGGACCCCATTTCTGAAATCTTGTCTATTGCAATTTGAAATTAATAACTGAATGCTATTTACAATGTCACAAAAATAGAATACTTAGGTCTAAATCCAAGAAAACATATACAGAATCTATTTGTGGAAAACTATAAAATTCTGAAGAAAAATATCAAAGATCAAAAGTAATGGAAAGATGTTCTGCGTCCATGGAATAGAAGACTCGATATTGGTAAGCTGTCAGTTCTTCCCAGCTTGATGTGTAAATTCAATGCAATCCCAATTAAAGTGCCAGCAGGCCATTTTAGGTTATTTGTGCTTTATCATGGTCAACTGATTCTAAGTCTATATGGAAAGGTGAAAGACCCAGAATAGCCAACACTCCACTGAGGAAGAACATATTGGAAGACTGAACTACCTGACCTCCAGGTTTACTCTGAAGCTATAGGAAACATGACAGTGAGGTACTGGCAGAAATAAGCATATAGATTAATGGAACAGAACAGAGAACCCATAGTGACTCAAAAAATATATTCACTGCTCCTTGGCAAGCAAATGAAACTCAATGGGGAAACGATAGTCTTTACAACAAATCATGTTGGAAGAATTGGATATCCATATTAAAAAATAAACTCAGAAAACTTACACCTTTTGCAAAAATTAGCTAAAAATGTATGAGAGTTAAATAGAAAAGAAATACTATAAAGCTTCTAGAATTTAATAGAGAAAATGATGGGTTTTTTTGTTTTGTGATGAGTTTTTAGATATAATGCCAAATAGATGAAATATAAAAAGGTGATAATTTGGAAATTGAAAACTTCCGTGAAATGTAATGTTAAGAGATTGGAAACACTAAAGAATATATTTTTTTAAATAAAGAACTCTTAAAAGTCAACAATGGGAAAAAACTCAATTAAAAAATGAGCAAAAGATCTGAATAGACTTCTCACCAAAGAAGATATGCAAATAATAAATAAACACACGAAGACAGGCTAAAAATTATTTTTCACTAGGGAATTTCAAACTGAAACAACAAATACCTTCTTCTATTCCATAAGCAATTTTTAATCATTATTTATTTATTTCAGTCCCGGGAATGAAACCGACTTGATAGTGGTAGATAAGCTTTTTGATGTGCTGCTGGATTCGGTTTGCCAGTATTTTATTGAGGATTTTCGCTTCGATGTTCATCGGGGATATTGGCCTGAAATGTTCTTTTTTTGTTGTGTGTCTGCCAGGTTTTGGTATCATGATGATGCTGGTCTTATAAAATGAGTTAGGGAGAAGTCTCTCTTTTTCTATTGTTTGGAATAGTTTCAGAAGGAATAGTACCAGCTCCTCTTTGTACCTCTGGTAGAATTCGGCTGTGAATCTGTCTGGCTCTGGGCTTTTTTGGTTAATAGGCTATTAATTATTGCCTCAATTTCAGAACTTGTTATTGGTCTATTAAGGGATTCGACTTCTTCCTGGTTTAGTCCTGGGAGAGTGTGTGTGTCCAGGAATGTACACGTTTCTTCTAGATTTTCTAGTTTATTTGCATAGAGGTGTTTATAGAATTCTCTGATGGTGGTTTGTATTTCTGTGGGATCAGTGGTGATACCCCTTTATCATTTTTTATTGTGTCTATTCGATTCTTCTCTCTTTTCTTCCTTATTAGTCTGGCTAGCTGCCTATATTGTTAATTTTTCCAAATAACCAGTTCCTGCCTGAAACTATCATCAGAGTGAACAGGCAACCTACAGAATGGGAGAAAATTTTTGCAGTGTACCCATCTGACAAAAATCTCATATTAAAAATCTACAAGAAACTTAAACGAATTCACAAGAAAAAAAGCAAACAACCCCATGAAAATGTGGGCAAAGGATATGAACAGACACTTCTCAAAAGAAGATATTTATGCAGCCAAGAAACATATGAAAAAAAGCTCATCATCACTGGTCATTAGGGAAATCCAAATCAAAACCACAATGAGAGATCATCACACTCCAGTGAGAATGGCGATCATTAAAAAGTCAGGAAACAACAGATGATAGAGAGGATGTGGAGGAATAGGAACACTTATACACTGTTGGTGGGAGTGTAAGTTAGTCCAACCATTGTGGAATACAGTGCAGTGATTCCTCAAGGGTCTAGAACCAGAAAAACCGTTTGACTCAGCAATCCCATTACTGGGTATATACCCAAAGGATTATAAATAATTTTATTATAAAGACACATGCACATGTATGTTTATTGCAGCACTATTCACAATAGCAAACACTTAGAACCAAACCAAATGCCCATCAATGATAGACTGGATAAAGAAAATGTGGTACATACACACTATGCAATACTATGCGGCCGTAAAAAGAATGAGTTCATGTTATTTGCAGGGACATGGATGATGGTGGAAACCATCATTCTCAGCAAACTAACACAAGAGCAGAAAACCAAATACCACATGTTCTCACTCATAAGTGGTAGTTGAAAAATGAGAACACATGGACACAGGGAGGGGAACATCACACACAGGGGCCTGTCAGGGAGTGGGGGGCAAGGGGAGGGAGAGCATTAGGATAAATACCTAATGCATGTGGGGCTTAAAACCTAGATGACAGCTCGATGGGTGCAGCAAACCACCATGGCGCACATACACACCTGTGTAACAAACCCGCACGTTCTGTATATGTATCCCAGAACTTTAAGTATTTTATATATATATATATATATATATATATATATATATATATATATATATATATATACACATACACACACATACATACACATACATACAATAAAAATGAAAATGTAAAATATGTAATAGATAAAATGAAAATAGAAAAATTTTCTCAAAATTGCTGAATTAAGTTTTGGTAATGGTAAATGAAAAACATTTGTCAATGAAATAAAGCAAAAATTAAAATAAATTGGAATTATTAGTGTAAAGTTGAAACACTGGCAGAGAAGATGAAGAAAATTTAAAATATACAAGCATTTCAGAGAGAACAAAAGAAGTAAAAAAGAAATGAAGAAAACATATTACTACTACTACTAATAATAATAATGTGAAATGACTGAATTGAAGACAAAAAATATGTTTTTAATTAAGATGTTTTTCTGATAGCAATAAAATATTAATGAAAAAATACAACATTTTAAAATATCCTGAATTGTCACACTTCAATGAAGAAAATAAAACCTTACAAGCTCTTCTAATTGCTTTTTCATAAAAAACAATTTACTTTCAAAATAAAGCGGATATAATTTTCATTGGGCTTCTTATCTTCTATAGTGGAAGCTAACGATGTTTGACTTATATGCAGTTTTGATGAGACAATGTTTTTCAGCAATTTTTCTCTCAGGTAATGCCACCACTTATTATTCTGTTGAGAATTGTTTAAATAATTTTGTATTTTTAAGATGTTCAAAGACTCAGAAATTATTCTATCCTTCTTCCCTATCTAAACAAATTATTTCAACAAGCAGTGTAACCAAAATCGTTAAGTCCAAAGTATGATTAAAACAGAACTAGATTAAATATGAAAGCAACAGTCATGAGAAAGTATTTACACTGTGTAAAACATAACTTTTCACTGATAATGATAATGCAACAGAGGATTTTAATTGAGAAAATAATAACAGTTCTTAAAATTAAAGAATAAATTCCCAGACCTGTGAATCCTAAACTATCATAAAACCAAAATTGGTGTATCTAGGACACTGGGAGAAGGGTAAAATACAAATATTCTAAAGTTTTCATCTCAGAAAACGGAGTAAACAGATTTTTAAAAATCTCAATATGAGAGCATAGGTGAGTGACAAATAGAAATGGAACATAACCTAAAACATATTTTTTCAAATAGGAAAAATAATTAAAAAGAGAGAAGCAGTAAATATAAAATTGATGTTAGACATTAAACTAAGTAAACACAGTAAACACAATAGTATTATTTTTTCTTATAAAATTATAGAAAATGTACTTTTAAAATTAATTTAAAAACGTAATTTTAAAAATGTAATTTTTTTGGGGGGAAGAGCTTGCTTATTTTATGTCTATAAAATTACATTTTAAAAATGTAATTTAAACAATCCAGCTACATTAGCAGAACTAAGCATGCTCCTTCCCCCTCAAAACACAAACAAACAAAAAAACGGAAGAAGAGAGAAAAATAATAAGACTTGGAGCAAGTTGGCAAAAAAAATCTCGAACAGGATTTCTCCTGTAATGTCAGTGTAAATAACAATTAAATCACATTTCAAAGTTAAAATTTTTAAAAAAGATGGAATTCATACAATTATAAAATGTATAGTAATACATAAGTTATATATATGTAAACTTTATATACTGTCACATAAAAGAAAATGGGAATAAATACAAATATAAATTCTTAAAAATAAAATTATTTTCAAAGATTTTAATAGATAGGTCCAGTAATCAAAATCAAAAACTTTAAAACACTTACAATTTTATATCTTACAAACTGACAACTTGCAATCATTTTATGATAGAAAAACATTTATATAAATAAATCATGTGCTAGTTTCCAGAAAAAAGTAATTAATTCTACGGGGGAGATTTTGTAAACTGCACTTTTTGATAAAAATTCAATAAATCTAAAAATAAAAATAAAGTTCAGAAAGACTTCTGATTCTGTGCATGATAAAGTAGCTGATACCATATTTTTTCTACCCATAAACAGCTATGAAACCTACATAAATATCCATATAACAATGATTACAGATTTAGAATGACAGTTAACCCAGGGCAATAATAATTGAGAGAGGAAGCTCATGAGTTATGGCTTGTATTTGTTCTGAATTTCTTTTTGAGGATATTTTCCAGGCTGAAGTTCAGAGAAGTCAGTCAAGGCTGAGAGTGAAAGTTATGCTGAGCTAAAGAGAATGAGAAAAGAGTTGAGAGCTTTACAGAAATCCCAGAAGGCAATGACTATGAGCAAATTGTAGAAAGGAAAGTGTAGAAGTCTACATTAAATCAGCCTCTTTGGTTCTTGGCCAGTTTCTGAGATTTGATAGAACTCTGGTCTGCCTGTCAGGAGGAGTAAGGCTGAATGGATGTAGTGGAGAATTCATAATGTCAGGGAGATGCTGAAGTCCAGGCTGCTTAAAGTGAAGTGGCCTTTCAAATACCCTGAATATTCTTTTAGCAACTAGAAAGACCATGCTATAGAAGTGTAGGTTATGTTCTGGAAATAAGAAAAACTGCAATATAAGGCCCTAACAAGTTGTAAAACTGGGCCTTGAAATGATCAAGGTAATTGATTATTTTATAATTTAACTCAAATTTAATTCAGAACAAATTAAAAATGGAAAATGATACAATTTTGGTTCTTTACAATGTAATAATTACAATGTCCAGCACGAAATTAAAAATTTCTAGACTTTCAAAGAGGCTGAAAAAATGGACAAATTAAGAAGTAATACAGTCTAAGCAGAGGGAGAGTTTGTTTAGATATTTTACTTCACAGAAAATGACCAATATCTTAAAATTAATAAAGGAATTATAGATAAGAAATATGCAAATATGGAGTATCTTATAATAATTAGAATTTATAAAAATATAAGAAACATTATTACAGTGTAAAATATATAATAACTAAGTTAATAATTCATTGAGAGAGAAAAAATCACACTGGATTCAGCAAAAGATAGGTTAGTAAACTTGAATACAGTTAAAGAGAAGATATTAAAATTGAAGCATAGACATGAACATGAATAAAAAGTATAAAACATGAAAAAACTAGAATATGAACAAGAAGTTTAGCAAATATGTAGTTGGGGTCCCAGAAAGAGAGAAGAAAAAAAATAGGAAGTGAGCAATATCTGAAGCAAAAAATTACCTGAAGATTTTCAGAATGCTTGAAAGCTATTCAAGATGTTCAGTGAACCACAAATTGAATTAATATAAATTAAATCCCATCTAGATATATAAAACTTAAACTTGTAAGCATCATAGAAAAAGAGAGAACTTAAAAGCAAGTGGGAAAAAAACACAAACCAACAATAAAAATGAGAGCTGAATTTTTAACGGAAGCAATGGAATTCAGAAGACAATAGAATAATATTTTTAAAATATCGAATAAAAAAAGACACAAAAAAACTGGCAACCTTTATTTCTATGACCAGCAAATTTCCTTCAAAAACAAAGGTTAAAAAAATGTCTCAAGCAAATAAACGTGTCAGCATTCCCTCAGGGTTGTCAACTCTAAAGGAAGCGCATTAGTTTAAATGCAAATGAGCCCAGATTGAAGAACCGAAGTGGAAGGGGTATGACCAAAAAATAGAGGAGAATCCTTGGGCCAGCTGATTTGGTTGTGGAACCTGAGCACTTATGGCAGGGATGGACCAGTGTCTTTCTCTAGACCCTCCATACAATAAGGGCTGGATTCATGAGGTGCAAACAGGCTATTTATCTTTATCAGAACTCAGAGTTGGTGGGATGCTAGATTTTGTCTCTACAGTTGATCTTCAAAAGGACTACATACTAACTACTATGCGAGCAAGGCCATCTAATATACTTTACAAAATGGAAAAGTTTTTTTTCCTGCTTTTATTTATTTTTTGGAAAAACAACTGTTATTATTGAATTGTCTTTTATTTCCTTACTATTAATATTTTAAAATATTAAATATACATAAAAGTAAATGCTATTCTCATAAATACTTTTTTTTAAATAAAACAAGATGAACTCCACATCTTCATAACTCTGCGAGGTGTAAGGAGACTTCTTAGAAGTACTTTTATCTACTTAATGTTTTGAGTCAGGATTCTACATTTGACATGTATTTGACTTTGTATCCCAGGACCTGCATCATGTTTTTAAAGCTGTGATTGTTGTTGACATGAGGTATGGAAATCACATGGTGGAATGCCATGCCTGCTACTTCATTGTCTCCCAAGTGAAAGGGACCGTGCAGTGCACTCTCGCCAGAGTGATTTCAAGCCTGGTCTCACTTCTTGAAATCACTCTTCTGGTGCTCTCTTGTTGACTAGATAGAACAAAGGGAAAATGAAGATTTGAATTCTGTTGCCCAATCAGTAAAACCACCTTAGGCACAGTGCTACATATGAGGGCGCACACATACTTAAAACATCTGAGGAAAATACCCCATTCATAAAAAGCAAACTGGCAATTGTGTTTTCCGATCTTGACTGTGACTTAATCTGTTGGTAGTAACGACACTGTTTAGAAAAACAAAGTGTTTTTGTATCTTACTATATTTGTGTAATTACACTTATTATTGCAAGATTCAAATGTTCAGAGACTCTCTGTCTTATTTATGCTTGTAAACATTTCAGCATCCAGTTGGAAACATAGGTAGGTAGGTAGGTAGATTAAATAAATAGATTACATAGATAGGTGATAGATAAATAGATGGATGGATAGATAGATAGAGTGCTCAAAAATAAAGTGGGTATTCAAAATGGAAGAAGTTAAGGAAAAGGAAGAAAGGAAGAAAAAAAGGAAGGAAAGACCAGACAGGAGGGAGAAAGGATAGTAGAGAATGGAGAAGCAGAGAAAAATTTTGGCTACTCAGTAATTTCAAAGAGGGTTTTCTGTAATACTCTTAATATGTATCAAACCTGAAGTCCAATTACTTATCTGTATTAAATGATGTATTTTAATATATTTAACTGGGAGAATATACAGTGAAATATTTCAAAATGTATAAAAATAACAATTTAGTAAATTGAATGCTAAGTAAATAAAAATATAAATATGGACAGATAAAAACAAGCACTTTTTCTTTATGCTTTTTCTTTTTGTAAAATAATGACATTAATGTTGATATCCATAACAAAATCCGTGAATACTCCTCTTTTATCATTATTAGGAGTGCATGTTTATTTTTAGTGGTTAAGTCAATTTAGTATAGTTAGTATTATTATTGACTTATTAATAGTATTATTATTATACTTCAAGTTCTGGGATACATGTGCAGAACGTGTAGGTTTGTTACATAGGTTTACACATGCCATGGTGGTTTGCTGCACCCATCAACCTACCATCTACATTAAGTATTTCTCCTAATGCTATCCCTCCCCTAGCCCCCCAACCCCCAAAAGGTCCCAGTGTGTGATGTTCCCCTCCCTGTGTCCATGTGTTCTCATTGTTCAACTCCTACTTATGAGTGAGAACATGCAGTGTTTGTTTTTCTGTTCTTGTGTTAGTTTGCTGAGAATGATTTTTAACATTTTCCCCATTTTTATTGTTAGGTCCAAATTTTGGTCTGGAGCCAGAGACAATATAGGATGAAGTTTGATTTGTTCCAAAACCCACAGAAATCTCTAAAATGGAAGAATTTTCTTAGAACCAAAAGGCATGGAATTGATGACATGAAACTGGTAAGTTTAGAAGCTGTGCAAATGTAGGCCTGACAATCAAAGATGCCTTCTGCAGATTCGTGAGTTTAGAGTTCGAGAAGCCAGCACCACCTTGCAATCGGTTAATAATATAGTAGCTGATAAGCTGAGTGGGAAAACTTTCATGTAAAATATAATGAGAAGATTTTTTTTTTCTCTCCTTTTGGTATATATTTGAAAATCTTTTAAAAATCTACAAAAAAAATCGATGTTACAGTCTTTACCATTTGCTTAAAAAAAAAGGTTTTCCACTCGTTCATCTCTAGAAGGTCATCTTTGAGATGTACAAGCCAGCCCTTCATTTAGGTCTCCTCTTGCATTCATATTTAACTTTCTTTCATTCGGTGGCCTTTATTAGCTGAGCTCCTGGAGCTTGTAGCACATTTTAAACAGCAACACTGGAAGGATGTAAATGCAGAATAATGTATCAGGACTCAAATTTGCATGGTCAAATGTCAAAAAAATTAGGCCTTCCCCAGAACCATGTCAAGAGAAATAACATAAGCGGGCAAACCCGACAGCAGGCATGCCATTATCATTTAGCACAAGCTGTCATCACTGCCGGCAAGTGGAAGCAGTGGTCATTAGCTGGAACTCTGCCGGGGGAGGTTGCAATTCTTCCTTTTCCTTTTTTTAAAGATTTTTTTATTTTTTTCCCCATCATCTGACAGTATTTCACAGAAAACCGCAATGCCATGTTGCCTCCCTGACAGGAAAGTCAAGAGGTGGGGGATGGCGCCTTTGGGTGGTGGTCGGGGGCAGCAGTGAAAGGACCAGTGAGCAAAATCCATAAGAGTCCACTGTCAGCTGGAGGGCGCAGGAATTGCATTACCTATCGGATAAATACTCATTAAGAGTAATCACTTTATTTCAGCTCTGTAATGACATTAACAAGCTTGGAATACAGGGAATTACATGAGTCAGAACAAATAATTGAATATTCTACTGCAGAGGGAACACAGCACACGCCTGCCTTCATGTCATGCCGTTTCTGAAGCTAGCACAAGCATGCAATTAGATAATAAGCTTAAACAGCATTAAATTGGCACTATCCGTACCACCACTGAGAAAAAAAGGAGTATTAATTGTTCAACTTGAACCTGCTTGTAATTTCATGCAATACAAATACTAGTAAGCCTGTCCTATTTTTATTTAAATGGACTTATACACAGGCATTAAACATACCAATTAAAAAGGAATATAAATAAAATCTTAGGAAGAAAGATAAAAAAAAGTGCACATGCTGATTCGATTAAGTGGGGGAAGGTTTTCTCTTGAAAAGAATAAAAATTCAGCTACTTTTAAAAAAACTTTAGGGTACTATAGTAATGTGATTATTATTTTCTCAGTATTTCTACCAGGCAGTTTTCTTTTAAAATTATAATCTAAATATGTGCAGTGCGGAGAAATTCATGTTGGCTTACATAAATGTAGCTGTAGCTATACATACAGATAAAGACAGGGACATAGATCCAGATAAAGACAAAGGAATAGATACAGGCATAATTGATGTTGGGTCATCCTTAGTCATGCAAAATGCTATGTGAATGTAAAGATGCCAAACAGAACAGAATGATTCTGTGTTGTGCTACTCAAGAAAAGAGAGTTGAAAGCTGGTGAGCACCAGGTGTCATTTAACTTGCTAGATTCATTAGTAAGCTGGGACCCTGAAAGAAGAAAAAGCTGCGTTTTCCACACCTTGCCACACAAGGGTGTCATTTGGTGCCCTAGATCCCTAGATCACCTTAAGCGTGAGTTAACCTGATGGGATGCATCAAATTACACAAGCTGTTGGACAACGCAAGGAGCAGCGCAGGAATATCCTGCGGGCTCTGCCCTCCACACGGAGAGGATGGGGTCTTCCCCTTCTAGGGTGAGCGGCCCAGAACAGATGAGATGAACTGCGAGAGGCCAGGGCCTTTGGGGAGACCAATCTTGGAGGTAGCCATTTAGAGTGGGTCTCCGTCACAACTCCAAATCTGTGCAGTTATTCAGACAAGCCAATCAGCACTGGATATTCGATAGGCAAACTCAATAATCATTTATAATCCTGACAGGTGAAGGGGCTCCAAGGCAAACCTTAATATACACTGTAGGTTTGAAAATAAGAGAAAACAAATAAAGAAATCTCTATATTCCTGAGAAAATGTCTTTTCTTTCTCTAGTCCTACAATCTTCTAGTCAGGGTTTTTTTCTTCTTTTTTTTATCATTCCCATCCTCACAGGAGACACAAAACCATTTTAAATCTATTTTTCTAAGTAGATCACCACCCAGCCCTCATCTAAGTTCTTGTCTGTAACTCATGTGGATGTTTAGAAGTTATTATTCAATAAAGGCAAAGGGAAAGGGAAAGTAGTTTCTACTTTAGAACTATTTAGACTATGTCAGTAAATTCAATTTTGAGAACTAAACTAGAAGTTTCAGTATTTATCATATCTGTCCTATAAAGTAACTTGAAATTATTGGAAGAAAGATTATCCAGTAGCCCAGTCTTCTTGGTGAAATAGAACTTTGCTTACTGCATCGCTCATGGTACATATGCAATTCATCTGTAGAAGAAATTCAGGAAAAGGACATATTTCCAGTTGAAACTGGAATTAAAATTAATTGCAATAGCAGAAGTATTCTCTATCTCTCCCTTCCTCTTTCTTTTCTCTCTTTCTCTTTCCCTTTTTTTCTCTCTCATTATAATTCTAGTTTTACTTAAGAGAATCAGTAATAATAGATCTTAGCTTTCATAAAGTGGGTACTGTATTATACACATAACATTCTTAATTACCAGTGGTTATTCATCGTATCCCTATGTGCTAGGTACATTGGGAGATAGTAAAACGATAAAATTTGGTCTCTATTTTAAAGCAGCATTTATTTCTATTAGGTTCACACATGTATGAGATAATAATGAAATAATACAAAAAATTAGGGATTATGTTTTATAAATGAATAGCCCAAAATGAATTCATAGAAAAGGAGCATTTATGTATTCAGTCAACAAATATTGATTGATCACTTACTGTATACCAGACTCTCCACCATGTGCCAGAGATAGACCTGAGAAAGCGCTCGTGTCCTCCAGGAACTTCACTCACCTGGAAGAGACAAGCTGTATCGTGAGCTGGGCAACATAGTGTTCATTGTAACTTTTCTTTTTCAAATAAATTTCTTTGAAGAAGCATTCTTGTCAAGATGAAATCAAGAGAGACATGACTTTTGGCAGCACCGTCCTGTGGGACATGTGGCAAACAAATGACATGAGCTAATGGGACAAGAAGGCAACTTCAGCTAGAGAGATGGAAAAAGGTCAGTTGTCCTCCAAATGACCTCTGTTCATGACCACCTCACTCAACATCCAGACACCAAATCTTTAGGAGAGTGACTGAGCACACTACGTGCCGAAGAGCAGGAGGCTGGAGGAGGCTGGACATCACTGTCTTTTATTATCACAGACAGAACAGTAACACTCTGCAGAGCTACGGAAACTTGGTAGAAAAAATAATGGATGAGTCACATGGTGGGAATGTTCAGAAATGTGGAGAAGGCTTTGGCTGCCCCTGCAAGGAATTAAAGCTGTACTTAAGATTAGGTTGACTGTGATAAAAAAAAATATTTCATCTATGCTGAGCCTCAGAAAAGGATAAACTGAGATAGATTATTTCATGCAGATAGAATAGTTTATACAAAGTCATGGAGGCTTAAGAGAACCTGTCTTCAAGTTCAATATTGCTATGGGATGAAGTTCCTGGAGGAAGTACCATAGATTATGATAATCTGTTATGTAATGAAAATGGAATTCTAGTATTTTCCTGAAAGTGACAAATAATTAGAATAATTTAGAATGGGGCTAGGTGCAGGTTGTTAAGGGATCATATGAACTTTATTACCATATTGTAAAGATCACTCAGAAGAGATTGAAGGAAGTTGGACTAGAGGCAATAAGACTAGTAAACAAACTTTCCACATGATCTAGTTTGGGTAATTTGGCACTATTAATCAAAGGAGACATTGTAAAAGAAGAAAAAGCAGGTTTGGAAGTTTTGAACAACTTCAGTTTGAAATGGGCTTTGTATTACTCTGTTTTCATGCTGCTGATAAAGACATATCCAAGACTAGGTAATTTATAAAGAAAAACAGGTTTAATGGACTCACAGTTCCACATGGCTAAGGAGGCCTCACAATCATGGCGGAAGGAGAAAGGCACTTCTTACATGGCAGTGACAAGAAAGAATCAGAGAGCCAAGCCAAAGGGGTTTCCCCTTGTAAAACCATCAGATCTCATGAGACTTAATCACTACCACGAGAACAGTGTGGGGAAACCGCCTCCATGATTTAATTATCTCACTAAGTCCTCCAACAAGACATGGGAATTATGGGAGCTACAATTCAAGATGAGATTTGGGTGGGGATACAGCCAAACCATATCAGGCGTACAGGTGTCTTTGTTCTGTAGGCAAGAAGCAGAGATGTGTCTGGCGCTCAGCATTTGGATGGTCGTCAAAGCCATGGATGGACTTTGCCCAGGAAACCTGTGGAATAGACAGCCTCAGACACAACTCAATTTTACACTTGGGCAGAGATAAAGACACCTGTGAAGGAGATTGAGCAGAAAGTGTAATAGAAGCCAGAGAAAACAATGTGATGCCATTCGAACCAAGGGAAGTTAAATTTTCAGGGAGGGAGAGATGAACAATGCAAGAGAAAAGTACCCAAAGCTCAACATGCTCCAAATTAGACATGTGATTTTCCCCCATATGATAATATTTTATAATATTGGCAATTATGGTGAATGGTAAAACCATCATCCCAGGTACGTAAGTCAAAAGATGAGGAACTGTTCTTGACACCTCACCTTCCTTTGCTCATTGGATTACAAACATTGCTTAGACACCTGGGTGTCCTTCAAAATACGTTTTAATTCCTATACTTTTCTTTCTCTCCACCACCACTTCCTGGTTCAGATGATCGTCATATCTTTCTTAGACTCTTGCACCAGCATTGTCTCTTAGGCTAGTATTTGCTTCATCAAATCCGCTCAGATCCGTTCACACTAATCCAATCAGTTGTCCCCAAGGTAATCAGAAACATCTACTCAAAAACTCATCATTTATATTGCTTACAGGCCATTCACAAAATCTTCTTGCTCCTAAGTTGGACCAAAACCCCTGCACATATGGCATGTTACTGTAGGTAGTGCCACCCAGCTCCACCTGCCTTCACAGCTTGCAACAGCACCTGGGTCTCTTCTGAGTTTTGAATAATCCAAAATTCCTGCCATAATTTGTTATTTGCATATAGTATGCTTTAGACTTTTCAGGCTCCTCTCTTCATCTTTGTCTCAATAATCATTATTATTTCTATAGTTTCTAATTTAATGAGCATTTTCCTTTTTTTATTATACTTTAAGTTCTAAGGTACATGTGCACAACGTGCAGGTTTGTTACATATGTATACATGTGCCATGTTGGTGTGCTGCACCCATTAACTTGTCATTTACATTAGGTATATCTCCTAATGCACTTGGAACCAACCCAAATGAGCATTTTCATGTGATCAAATCCCCCATTACCATAGGCAAACCCCTGTATCATGGATGAGCTCTGTGTATCTCCATTTCAGAGCTAGGAGATCATCAGAGGCAGAGGTCAAGGCTCCTGCTTTCTCTCTTCCCTCATCACTAGCAGGAAACCTTGCACTCACTCGTAGGTGGCTGCTTAAGCATGTGCTATCACATGCGTATTCCATTTCAAAGGAACAATGAACATATCTATATGTTGCTTATAACTGTAACCTCAGAACTGCCTGACACATAGCAGGGGCTCATATGAATTTGAACTATACATAGGGAAATACATGAAAAAAATGAGAAATCAAGTAAAAAGATGAATGCATAGTCTCAGTGTGCTTTTATAATGAATGGTCACTCATGGTTTCACAGATAACAGGTTCTGTATAAAATGTAAGACAGTTATTGTTTCTATTAGTGTGAAAAATAAGGGTCGCAAAGAAATGGAAAGAAGACAGTTAACTATTCTAGTTTTATAGCTTACTTTTAAGAGGTAAGTGACATACAGGGAACAAATAAAAAAAAACAAGGACTTTTTTCTTTGTTGTATTGTTAATGGTCACCGAGTCTTGGCCATGTTTGCAAGCTGAGAGGACAAGATAGTGAAGAACAAAATTATGTGCTGAAAAGCGGACCCACTTCAAGGGCATATGAATAGTGCAGCCACACAAGGCCTGCACTTGGTTTAGAGTTCCCTGTCAAAATCTTGAAATTCTTAATAATGGTATCTTTGAGCTGGTGTCTTGCAAGTAAAGTCAAATGGATAATGGAGTATTGTGTATGCAGAAGAAATCTGTGTGTTGGCCATGCTTTGCCACAGTTTTTGCATATATCATTACTATTGCTACTTGGCATCCATAATTTTTGTAACTTATGCTCACTGGGAGGCTCACTGAACTCCCATGCTCTGTGGGTCCACAGGAACCCTGTGCTCCTGTTTTATATCCACATATCTATGGCTAAGTGGGCGTTCTGGCAGCAGTTCTGTTCAAACTATAGCTTGCTTCGAATGCAGGAGGAAAGTAATGGTGAGCCAGCAAATCTTATCATCAATCAAAATATCACATTAAGAAGGTATCATTATTGTATTATATAAAATTATGACACCAAAATTTGATTTTTTCATTTATAAGCTTATGTTTCTTTTCTTGTATCACTATTATCCATATTACATCTTATATATAATCACATTTGTAGAAATACTTCCAACCCTTTAATATAGATAAGGGTACATGTGCAGGTTTGTTTGAGCAATGGGCCTCATGTTTTTATTTTACATGAGGCCATGCAAATTATGCAGCTAGTCTTGCTTTCTTGTGGGATAGACTCGAAGATATGAAGGTGAACCTGGAGGTTGTTTCTCACGTAACAACACTAATTAATAAAAACTGTTGAGCTGTGCACAGTGGCTCACACCTGTGTAATACCAGCACTTTGGGAGGCTAAGGGAGGAGGATTACTTGAGCCTGGGAGTTTGAGACCAAGCCTGGGCAACAGGGTGACCACATACCTACAAAAAAAAAAAAAAAAAAACCCAAAATAGCTGGGAGTGGTGGTATGTGCCTGTGGTCCCAGCTACTAGGGAGGCTGAGGAGGGAGGACCACTTGAGCCTAGGAGATTGAGGCTACAATCAACTGTGACGACTCCACTGCACTCCAGCCTGGGCTACACAACAATATTCTGTATCAAAAATAATAAATACCAAAACTATATTGAATATGTACTCTCTGACTAGCACTGAGATTAAGATTATTACCTCTATCTCTGTCTTCAAATATTTTTTAATATAATGTGGTCCACAGAAACTTTTATAGGCTGCCTCCTTATTAGTGGTTACATCTGTTTGGCAAGACGTTAAATTGGCTGATTATGAATACCTTGGGTATTAAATAATCAGCAAGGGTTGTGTATATTATCCAAAGTTCAAACTCATATAGGGTAGAAAGTATGGAAAAAGTAAAGCAGCAAAGAAAGAAATCAGATTGATGTGTTTGGTGTTACTAATTTTCATGCTACTTTAAAATATTCATGAGGTGTAACATATCATAACTCTAGTTCCCTACATCAAAAGGTGTCAAAATTATGCAAAAGAATATAAAGAGACCTAAAATCCTTTCACATTCAATGAAAAAAACAAACTCTCTAAAGAGAGCCCCCACTTCACCTGTGTGAAGGCACGCACTGGATAAAAATTGGAAAATATAGACCAACTAGGGCAAGGGCGTTAACAGCTGTAACATATCTCCCCATACTTTGAATAAGGCACCAGTTACCCTAAAAACAAATTCTCCCCTTACTGAGAGACAATTCCAGTGATCCGTAGTTCAAGTAATGAGAAGTTCAGGCTTGGGAAAGCCAAAGGACAAGCTCGAAAATTTACCATAGACATTAAATTTGATAAAAGATGTTGAAGTGGATGGAGTTAGAGAAAGCTTCTAATTTAAACCATTCATGGTCTATGGCCTGGAGTCATTACCAAGAGGGCCTGCAGAGGGAGAAGCATAATGAACATGCCTAGGAGGGAGATTCATGAAGGAGACAACACAACCAAATTATAAAGTAGAAGAGTCTTTAATTTAAAGATGTAGCTTAGCCACACTGATCATCAAAAACTTAGAAGTGTTTGTCTAAGGCCATAAAATAACATATTTCATTGTATGTTCTAGACATGGAAGAGGGAAGAAAAAACATTATGGAAGTGAAAGTGAATTAAAAACAAATAGGAAAATTGAGACTGAAAAGGTAATCAGCCATAGATTGTTTTGAGGAAATCCACACAAATCATAGTAGAACAGTTATAAAAATGTGCATAGAGAATGTGGCAGAAATGGAAGATAGATAATCCAGAAGAAGAGGGTAGGAAATAAAATAGAATCATTATAATAAGAAAGGATATAATTAGCTAATAAACTTTTTTTCTGCAAAAATAAGCTTAAAACTTGTAGATAAAAAGGGCTTAGTAGTTCATAGGAAAATTGACAGCAAAAATCAGGACATAACTTATTGGGATCAATGGATGTTGAAGGTAAAGAAAAAGATATCTAATGAGAAAAATTATCTAAATACATGGAAGAAAATAGTGGGTTGGCCTCAAACCTTCCCACAGCAGCATTCAGTCACCGAGGAGAGATGAACTCATTCAAGCATTTTCACTGTTTTCAAAGGAAATACATTGTAAATGCCATTAGAAGTGGTGTTGGCTTGTATTAATGTAGATATCTGTACAGAATTAAGTGCTGTGAGTGACAGAAAACACAAAGTAATAATGACTTAAATAAAAGAGAAGTAATAATGACTTAAATGATAGAGAAGTTTAATTCTGCTTTTCATTAAAGAAGTTTAGGAGTGAAAATTCTTAAGTCCCATAATTTTTCCGGACCAACATATATTATCTCTGTGCTCTGCTGTTATTAGCAGAAACTTCATACTTAAACATGGTTGCTTGAGCTCCAGCCATTAACTATACATTCTAGCCAAAAGTGAGTCTGAAAGGTGAAGAAAGTTTTGCCATCAGAACAATCTACAAGGAAGGTTAGGAGATATAATCTTCATTCTGTATGACTATGTGCCTAGCTACAAACTGGCATGTCTACTGTGAAGAAAAAGGAGAATATTGGTATGAGAGAAAAATTAAGAATCTCTGTTTCAACATTTTTCCTGTAGCTGAGGATATTTCTTTCTATTCCCTTGTGGAAGGAGACTTTTGTTTTAAATATGAAAATAATAACAAATTGGATATTTCTAATAAAACAAAGAAGTCTTCAAACACACAAAACATAAACTTATAAGCCAATCTCCTCAAAATACCTAATAAAAAAGTAAAATAACATGGCAGCATTCACCAAATGTCCAGAGAAATCTCAGGTGTGTCTTCAGTGTCATCGCTGTGCTGCTTCCTCAGCCCAGCACAGAACCAAACCTGTGTTTTGAAGTTAAGCTCTAAGTAGTTGAATATGGTTTCCAGTCATGATAAAAGCTTTGCACAAGGATCAAAGTTATCACCAGCATTCTCAAATAATACATCGCATAGTTTAAAAATATTTACAATGGACAATAATAAGTAGTGATACTAACATAAAATTGGCCAGGTAGACAGCCTTGTACAAGTGTGAGGCTGACAGTGGAATGTTAGTGTTATGTCAGGACATTTGGGCTGTGGCTGCTGACTCTTGTCCATCAATCATTTATTTTTGATACAATGGGATAGCAAGTTCCTCCATTCATATTCAAACACTGGTGTATTTCCAATACCAGTTAGCTGTGCCTTTGGGCAAGATGGCATGTTAGTACTTGAATTCTTTGTCTACACATTGATCTCAATGGTTGATTTGTTTACAGACATGACTACTGTGTCGGAGTTCTTGTAGTCTTGAGCTGCTAAATGTCAACAGCTACTGCTGAGAGGTGAAATCTAGAGAGCCTTTTGAATTGATGGTGGTTTTTGGTTTACCGAGGAATTTTTGTCTCTTTAAACTGTTAATAAAGTGAATTATATTGAGTTTCTCTAATGTAAAATATGAGGTAAAATTATTAAAAGGTGATATATAAAACTGTCCATGTTCTCAAATGATATAATATTCTTCATGGAAAATGCAGGAAAATTTGAAGACAACTATTAGAATTAATTGGAGAGTTCAACAAATTGTTAAATATGATATCAGTATAGAAAAAAATAATTGTGCTCTTAAACATAAGCAGCAATTGATTATAAAATAGAATTAATTTAAAAAATCTCTTCCAAAATAGCGATGACTGAATATATATATATGTATAAACATAACTAAAATATAAGATTTTTATTTTAGAGACCATAAAGCCTTATTGAAAGACATAAAAGAAGACAAATAGGAAGACATCCCATATTCATGAATGAGATAAGCACATCGTTTTCCCCAATTGATTTAATACAAACAATGAAATTTACATCAAATTTCTCATTTTTCCCCTACAGAACTGGATACATTTATTTTAAAATTTATAAAAGTCCAACAGTAGCCAAAATAATTAAAGAGTAATAAAGGGAGAATCTTACTTTACCAAATAGCAAGAATGAGTATAAAACTGTAGTATTTAATGTCATGTAGAAATTGAGACGGACAAATTAACTGAAGGAACATAACAGAAAGTATGAAAACAGAAACACTAGCAGAATTTGTATATTCCTTTATGAAACTAACATATGAGAGTTGTGGCTCTGCAAATCAACAAGGTAACTGTCTATCCATCTGAAAAATTAAAATTAATTGAATTACAGATGTATTAAAGACAAACAGCCAAACAAAACTTTACGTGGTGTAGGGAGACATATTATGATCTCCAGGTTTGATAGGATTTATTGACCAAGGCATAAAGAAAAAGAAGTGGGGAAAAAACCCTATAACTTTTACTGCATTGTCAAAATATAACTTTCTGTAGGACAAGAGCACCCTAAACTGAGTAAATTGACAGTCCACAGATTAGCTGCAGAATAGGGAAAGACCGTTTCCATGTACATGACAGACAAAGAAATCAACATCCATAATATGTAGCATTCCTATAATGCCATGATTAAAAGAAACAATTTACAATAGTGTAAGAAATATGAAGTACATAGGAGTAATCTAACAAAATAAAGGCAAGTCTTCTTTACAGAGAACTGTATGGCATTACTGAGAGAAAATAGACCAAAACATGTGGAAGGAAATATGAGCAGTGGCTCTGGGCTGACAGTTTGCAAGGAAAGAAACCTGAAAGGACCAATGAGGATATGAAAGATGGTCAGTCTCTCTCATAATCAGGGAAATGCAGTAACAGTTGTCTTTTAATCTGTACATTAGGGAAAGATAAAAATTTCATATATAAATGGAAGTGTGATTTGGTACAATTACTTTGGAAAATGGTTTGACAATATTCACTAAACTTTAGATATGTATGTTCTATGGCCCAGTGGTCCAGCAGCAATTTAACTCCTACATGTTTATCCAAGAGAAAAAAACACATGTGTACTCCAAAGACGTGTGCAATTTTTATTTTATTTATTTATTTTTGAGACTGAGTCTCACTCTGTTGCCCAGGCTGGAGTGCAGTGGCGCAATCTCAGCTCACTGCAACCTCCGCCTCCTGGGTTCAAGCAATTCTCCTGCCTCAGCCTCTCCGGCAGTTGGGATTATAGGTGCCCACCACCACAGCCGGTTAATTTTTGTATTTTTATTAGGGACAGGGTTTCAGCATTTTGGGCAGGCTCGTCTCGAACTCCTGACCTCAGGTGATCCGCCCACCTGGCCTCCCAAAGTGCTGGGATTACAGACGTGAACCACCACACCCGGACAGCATGTGCAGTATTTTTTATTACAGCATCAATTGTAATAGCTGTTAGTCTACTATAATATTTGATATTTGTACCAATAAACCACTTTAATTATCATATGGTTTTAGTAAGTCTTAATGCTGGAGGGAGGAAGTCTTCCCACCTTGTTTTTTAAGCATGTGTTGTGTATTGTTTCCCATAACTTTGAGGATCAACTTATCAAGTACTGTAGTTGAATATAAATCAATAAGAAGAAATTAACATCTATATAGTATAGAGTCTTTCCATTCATAAATATGGCATATCCTTCCACATGTTTTGGTCTATTTTCTCTCAGTAATGCCATATAGTTCTCTGTAAAGAAGACTTGCCTTTATTTTGTTAGATTACTCCTATGTACTTCATATTTCTTATACTATAGTGAATTGTTTCTTTTTATTTTATTTTTAAATTGCTGGCTGTGGAGATATAATTACTTTTCAAAGAAGGATTTAGAACCAGCATGCTTATTAAATTCTGTTAATAATTCTAGTTGTTAACCTGTAGATTTTTCTGCTTTTCTCTATATGCAATCATGTAATCTTCAATGAATAATGTCAAGTTTGCTTTCTCTTTTCCAACTGCCAAGCTTTCTTTTAGTGTAGATCTCACAGTGATGGATTTTCTTAGTTTTTATTTTTCTGAAATGTCTCTGTTTTACCCTCACTATTAAAAATATTTAATGGGTATAAAATTCTACATTGCACATTACATTATTTTTAGCATCCTAAGATATTGTTCCACAGATTTCTGGCTTTCAGTGTTGCCAGTGAGATGTAGCCTACCAGTCTAAATATTGCACCTTAAAAATTTTTATAATTGACTGCTTTTAGGTTTTACTTTTTCTTTTTTTTTTTCTTTCTTTGAGACGGAGTCTCGCTCTGTCGCCCAGGCTGGAGTGCAGTGGCATGATCTCAGCTCATTGCAAGCTCTGCCTCCCAGGTTCACGCCTTTCTCCTGCCTCAGCCTCCCGAGTAGCTGGGACTACAGGCGTCCGCCACCACGCCCAGCTAATTTTTTTGTATTTTTAGTAGAAATCGGGTTTCACCGTGTTAGTCAGGATGGTCTCGATCTCCTGACATTGTGATCCGCCCGCCTTGGCCTCCCAAAGTGCTGGGATTACAGGCTTTATTGATTTTCTATTGTGTGCCTGTGTTGTGTCTAGATGCGGATTTCCATTAATTTATTTGCAATACATTTTTTTTAAATCAATAGATTTATGGATTTTTTTAGTTTTATGAAAAAACTTAGCATTTAACAATATATTATTTCTATTCTGTGCTCTTACTTTTGTTCCTCTTGAACACCAAGAAACCTAAGTTCAACCTCTCATCAAATCAGCTATCTCTCTTTCTCGTCTGTATTTTCTCTTTATTGCTTCATAAGTATCTTTATATAATGTCTGTGATCTATTTTCCAGTTCATTGGTTCTTGTTTTAGCTATATCTGAACTGCTGTTAAATAAATTTATGGGGATATTAATTTTGATTATTATATCTTTTTAAAGGATTTATCTTTCATTCTTCTAAAAATCTATTATGATATTCTACAGTGCCCAATTCTCCATCAAAATATTCAAACTTATCTTGGACTTCATTTAATATAGTAAGCACATCTAGTTTATAACATGGACCTGCTAAGTATAGTATTTGGAGTACCTATGGGTATGTTTTTGTTGTCTGCGTTCCTACAGGTTCTCACTCATGGAGTCTTGGTTTCTTGTGTTCTTTTTTTTTTCTTATTTTTATTTCCTTTTATTGGTTTAGAGTCTTGCCTATTCTAGGTAACATCAAAAAAGAAGTTTTGTATTTACTCAATATATAGACAGTTTAAAATATTGTTAAAATCTCTTTTTTTCAGCACTCACTTTCCAAATGTAAGATAGATGGATACTGAGCTTCTCTTTATTCTTAACTTGACCATAAGGAGCAACCATTACGAAAAGTAAAAACTTACCTATTTGATGTGTCTCTACCATTGTGAGAAATAGAGGAAATTCATTAATAATTACAGTTCTAGGCTTTCCCCAGAGTGTCATTTTTATTTTAATAATAAACTTTATTTTTCAGAACAGTTTTACAGAAAAATTCAGCAGATGGTACACTGAGTTCCCAGATATACCATCTTCCCTAATTATTATTTCCCCTAATTATTATTTCCAATTTTTATTCCCCTAATTATCATTTCCCCTAATTATTATTTCCCCTATTATTAACATCTCACCCTGTTGTGCATTTGTTACCATTAGTGGATCAGTTATTGATTTGTTATTACAACTACTTTATACATTAATATCCACTCTTTGCATTATATAGTTCTTTTAGTTTTGGTATCACTGTAGTACCATACACAGTAGTTTTACTGACCTAGAGATCCTCTGTGCTTCACATTTCCACCTGCAACTCCAAACCTGTGGCAACCATTGATCTTTTTTACTTTTTCTAGTTTTTCCTTCTCCAGAATTTCATCTGGTTGGAATCATACGGTATGTAAATCATTTTAGGCTGGCTTCTTTCAGTAATCGATATGCACTTACAGTTTCTACATGTCTTTTTGTGGCTTGCTAACTCATTTCTTTGTATTGCTGAATAATGTAACATTTTATCTATGTACCTCAGCTTGTTTATCCATTCACCTGTTGAAGTCTATCTTGTTTGACTGTTGGGAAATTATAAATAAATCTGCCACAAAAATTACTGTGCAAATCTTGGGTATGTATAAAGTTTTAACTCCATTGGGTAAATATTTAGAAGCATATTTTCTGAATCACATTTAGCTTCGTACAATTCTGCAAAATTATCTTTCAAATTGGCTATACTGTTTGGCATTACGATAAACACTAAATGAAAGTTCCTATCACTGCATCTTCATCAGCATTAGGTATTGGCAGTGTCGGTTGGTTTTGTTTGGATTTTAACCATTTGAACAGGTATGCAATAGTATCTCATAATTGTTTTAATTTTTCCTTAGTTAATAACATGATGTTGACTGTGTTTTTATAGGCTTGTTTGCCATATGTACATATTCTCTACTAACTTGTCTTTTCAGATATCTTACACATTTTTAATTGAGTGGTTTGCCTTCATATTGTTGAGTTTAAGAGTTATTTGTATCTTTGGACACAATCCATTATCAGATATAAATTTTGCAGATGTTTTCTCTCAGTCTATATTTTATCTTTTTAGTCTCTTAGCAGTGTCTTTTACAGAGCCAGAGTCTTTAATTTTCACGAACTCCAACTTATCCATTTTGCCTTTCATAGATCATTATTTTGACATTGTGTCTAAACTCTCATCAAACCCAAGCCTCCCTAGATTTTCTTCTGTTTTCTTCCAGGAGTTGTATAACTCTTCATTTTACATCTAGGTCTATGTTCTGTTATGTATTAAATTTTGTGAAAGGTATAAACTCTGTGCCTAGACTCTTCTCTTGCCTTTTATTTATTTATTTATTTTGCATATGAATGTCCAACTTTTCTACCAGCATTTGTTGGAAAAACTACTTTTTTCAAATGAATTACATTTGTTTCTTTGTAAAAGATCAGATACTGGTGTGAGTCTATTTCTGGATTCTCCATTTATCAGATCCACGTATTTATGTGGCTCCTTTTTCCCCAATTTCAAGCTTTCTCAATTACAATCTGATAAGTCTTAAACTTGTGTAATATTCGTCCTCCAACTTTGTTCTTCTTCATTATTGTTTTGGCTAGTCTGAGTCTTTTGCCTTTCCATATGAACTTTAGAATTAGTTTAACATGAAATACCATGAAATAATTTGCAGGGGTTTTATTTGGGATTATGTTGAATGGATATTTCAAATTGGAAAGAATTGACAACAAAAATATTTGACAAAAAATATTATGCCTTCCTATGTATGAACATAGACTATTTCTCCATTTATATAGATTTTTGAGTTTTTTTTGATGTCTTTAATCAGTTTTGTACTTTTCTGAATATAGATTCTGTACCTATTTTGTTAGATATATATGTAAGTATTACATTTTTGGTGTGCCTATGTAAATAGTATTAAGATTTTAATTTCAACTTCCAGTTGTTTATTATTGGTATGTAAGAAAGCAATTGAGTTTTGTATATTAACCTTGTATCCTGCAACATTTATGGGAACTGATTATTAATTTCAAGAGTTTTGTTTTTGTTTTTTTTTTTTGGTATTTTCTACATGGATATGAAACAAAAACGGTTTTATTTCTTCCTTTCCAAACTGTATGTCTTTTATTTTCTATTCTTCACTGGATTTTCTAGGATTTCCAGTACAATGTAAAAAAGAAATGGGGAGTGAGGACATTATTGTCTTGTTCCTGATCTTAGGGGAAAAGCACCTGGTTTCTCATTATTATGATGTTAGCTCTAGTTTGATTTTTGTTGTTGTTTTATTTTCCTTTGTTTTTGATGTTATTTATCAAGTTGAGGAAATTTCCCTTTAATTCCTGTTTCCTGGAGAGTTTTTTTTGTCATAAATGGGTGTTAGATTTTGTCAAATGCTTTATTCTGTATTAATTGATATCATAATATTTTTCTTTCTTAGCCCATTGATGTTATAGATTACATAAATTTATTTTCAAGTGTTGAACCAGCCTTGCATACTTGCAATACATTCTTTTATATTGTTGTGTATAATTACTTTTATAAATTGATTTGCTAAATTTTTATTTGAGGATTTTTGTATCTATGTTCATGAGAGACATTGGTCTATAGTATTTCCTTTTGTACTGTCCTTTATTATTTTGCCATTATGGTAATGGTGACCTGATGTAATGAACTATGAAATGCTTCCTTAGTTTCCATTTTTGAAGAAATTTTGAAGAATCAGGATAAGTTTTTCTTTCAATTTTAGAAGATTTTACAAGTGAAACATTCAGGGCATGGTAATTTGTTTTATAGACTCCTATTAATTATTGATAAATTTCTTCAGTAGACACAGACCCAGCCATATTATCTATTTTTCTTAACTGAGTTTTGATAGTTTGTGTTTTTCAAGGAATTATCAAATTTGTAGGCATAGAATTGTTCCTAATATCCCTTTGTTATTATTTTATTGTGCACTGGATTAGTAGTGATGATCCTTCTTTAATTTTAATATTAATGAACTGTGTCATTTTTGAATTCTTGGTAAGCCAGTCTGGAATTTCTATAATTTTAGTAATCATCTTAAACAACAAGCTCCTGATATCATTGATTTACTCTATTGTTTTCCTGTTTATAATTTTATTTATTTATGCTTTATTTTTATAATTTCTTTCTCCTGCTTGATTTAGCCTTAATTGCTCTTATTTCTTTGGCTTACTTATTAATTGTATATGTTTTCCCCAATATATACATTTAATGTCATAAATTGCCCACTAAACACTGCATTCAATGCATCTCACAAATTTTGATGTTTCTTTTTCATTTTCATTTGGTTCAAATATTTCTCTAAGTTTTATTAAAACATAACTGACATATAATTTATGGTACACAATATGATGTTTTCATGTATGTCCTATGTAAAATGATTAAATAATGCTGTTTAGCATATCCATCCCATTACATATTTATCATTTCTTTGGGGTGAGAACATTTTGGATCTATACTCCTCTTAGTAATTTTCAAATATACACTACATTATTATTAACTATAATCATCATGTGGTACAATAGATCTCCAGAGCTTATTTATGCTGTCTAGTTGAAACATGTACCCTTTGACAAACACCTCTCCTCCCCCACTGCCAACTTCTGGTAAACACCATTCTATTCTCTGCTTCTATGTGTTCAACAGTTTTCAGATTTTACATATAAGTGATATCATGAAGTATTTGTCTTTCTGTGTCTATCTTATTTCACTTAACATGATGTTCTCCAGGTTCATCTACCAGAAATAGTAGTAATTCCTTCTTTCTCAAGGGTGATTAGTATTCTATGTATACGCTATGTGTGTGTATATATATGTATGTGTGTGTATACATGTATGCATCAAATATGTTCACACACACACACATACAAGCATAACACATTTGTTTTGTCCTTTCATTCCTCAATAGACATTTAGTTTGATTCCATGTCTTGGTTATTGTGAATAATGCTGCAATGAACATGGGAGTGCAGATGTCTCTTTGGCACACTGATGTTATTTCCTTTGGATATATAACCAGTGGTGGGATTGCTGGATCATATGGTAGTTCTATTTATTAATTTTGTTATCTTTTAAAATATAACTTGAGATTTTTACTTTGACCCATATATTATTTAGATGTGTAATGTTTTTTCTCCAAAAGTTGTACTGTCTGCCCTAAACTTTGCAATACATCTTTCCATTAACCTAAGTATACTATCAAATAATGCTTTACTATCTTTTTTATGAAATTCATCATATCCTCATTTATTAAACTTACATATATTAAATGTCGTTACTCACCACTGTTTTCTCTTCTTTCACCTTGTCTCTCTTATGTTTTTTTTTTTTGGTCCCCTTTTTTTTTTTAATTATACTTTAAGTTTTAGGGTACATGTGCACAACGTGCAGGTTAGTTACATATGTATACATGTGCCGTGTTGGTGTGCTGCACACATTAACTCATCATTTACATTAGGTATATCTCCTGATGCTATCCCTCCCCCATCCCCCTACCTCACAACAGGCCCCGGTATGTGATATTCCCCTTCCTCTGTCCAGGTGTTCTCATTGTTCAATTCCCACCTATGAGTGAGAACATGCGGTGTTTGGTTTTTTGTCCTTGCAATAGTTTGCTGAGAATGATGGTTTCCAGCTTCATCCATGTCCCTACAAAGGATATGAACTCATCATTTTTTATGGCTGCATAGTATTCCATGGTGTATATGTACCACATTTTCTTAATCCATTCTATCATTGATGGACATTTGGGTTGGTTCCAAGTCTTTGCTATTGTGAATAGTGCTGCAATAAACATATGTGTGCATGTGTCTTTATAGCAGCATGATTTATACTCCTTTGGGTATATACCCAATATGCTTTACTATTTCTAAGATAGTGCAGGTAACTTACAAGTACTCAACATTTCTCCTGTGCATCTCTTATCACATTTTTGTCATTCATTACACTTACCTATGGGCAATAATCATCCAATACATTGTTGATAATATTATTTTGAATAGTTATTTGTTAGACAAATTAAGAATAAGTAAGAAAAGCATGATTTTGCCTCTATTTATTTCTTTCCTGATGCATTTTCTTCTTAAATGTAGATATAAATTACTGACCTAAGTAATTTTCCATCTCCCCGAGGAATGTCTTTTAACATTTCTTGCAAGACAGGAAAATTGAGTCCGAACTCCTTTAGTTTTGCTTCTCTCTTTATTTTTCCTTCAGTTCTTTAGGATAATTTCACTGAATGCAAGATTAAACACTATTGGATTATTTTGTTTACCACTTTAAACATTTTATCCCCCTCTCTTTTTGTTTGCATTATCTCTGATATGAAGACCTATGTAATTCTATTCTTGTTCCACTATA
Organism: Homo sapiens; assembly: GCF_000001405.40. Classification (NCBI taxonomy): domain Eukaryota; kingdom Metazoa; phylum Chordata; class Mammalia; order Primates; family Hominidae; genus Homo; species Homo sapiens. The sequence continues at coordinate 4,786,324 of NC_000005.10, read as the reverse complement.
GTAAGGTGTTTTTTTCCCTCTCATTTCTTTAGTGTTTTTCTCTTCGTCTTTGATTTTTTCTAGAGTGATTTTGATATGTCTATTTATAGTTTTTAAAAATTTATCTTGTTTTGAGTTCTCTGAGGTTCTGGGATCTGTGATTTCATGTCTTTCATTAATTTTCCATAATTTCCAGCCTTTATTACCTCACACACTGCTTTTTTTCCTTCTCTCTTTTTTCTGCTTGGTGTTCTCATTAGGCTTAACCCTTTGTAGAGTGTAATTAATGCCTCTGAGTTTGTCTGTTTTGGGGCCCAAGCACCTGTGCTTTGTACTTCTGTACCAAAGTAAAGTTAACACTAACTGACAGAACTTTTGGCTCCTCCACTTGAAGATAAATTTGCTCCAGTAAGCCAAGGATATTCCACCTAAATGAATCTCAGGTGCACATCCTCAGAAGTAAAGCAGGTAGCTATCACATCCTAGGGCAGTAAATGACGTCTGTGTACAGAGCAGCAGAGGTTACTTTGTACACAATAAGAGCCTATAGCAAGAGATAGACAAAAAATGAAACAATTCTAGAATTCCATGAGGCTGGCTGCTCCTGGATGGTGCAGTGTGTAAAACAATTATTGTATTCTGTGGTCCAAGACCCTCTTCCATACCTCCATTTCTATGATGTGGGTTTCCTGGTCAGGTTCTATGCTGTGTGGGGTTCCATGCATGTAGATTAGCCAAGCTCTAACCTCTTGGATAGTGGTGTTAAATGAGGCTGTGCTGGGTGAAAAGACAAACCCATCCTCAGATTAGGCAATTATTTCTTTAAGGAAAAACCTCTGACCGTTCCAGAATTTAAAAGGTCCACTGTAGTCTGTTTGCCACAACACATAGTGGCTGGTTGGTCTCCTCAAGTAACAGTAACACACTGAGGCTCAGCACTCATCTTTGTGCCTTGCCTATTTGACAGTCAGCAGCTAGATCAGCTTTGGTAAGTGCCATCCCAGCAGGGTTAATTGTTACCCTTCATCTCTGTAAGCATGCAGTCTGTTCATGTGCTATTGTGCAAATTCTGTGCTGGACAGCGATGATGGCTGATTAGTGTCAAACAGCTGGGTTATTTTGCCTATTTAGTTGGTCAGTGTTTGTCTTCCCATAGGCATTAGCACACGATACAAATGTCTTCATGTATCTGATATGGTCTGGCTCTGTGTCCCCACTCAAATCTCATCTCAAATTGTAATCCCCATGTGTTGGGAGAGGGACCTCATGGGAGGTGATAACATCATGGGAGCAGTTTGCCCATGCTGTTCTTGTGATAGTTAGTGAGTTCTCATGAGATCTGATGGTTTTATAAGAAGATTTTCCCTGCTTGGCTCTACAGTTCTCTCTCCTGCCACCATTTGAAGAAGGGTGTGTTTGCTTCCCCTTCCACCATGATTCTAAGTTTCCTGAGGCCTCCCCAGCTATGCAGAACTGTAAGTCAATTAAACCTTTTTCCTTTATAAATTGCTCAGCCTTAGGTATTTCTTCATAGCAGTGTGAACATCATACTCTCTTCTGTATGTACACCCATGTGCTTTAACCAGAGCTCTGGCTTGCCATATTCCAGTCCTTTTTTTCCTCAGGTTTTTGACCAGCTGTACCTGGTCCCTAACAGTGGCTATTAGCCACTGATATGGTTTGGCACTGTGTCCCCACCTAGATCTCACCTTGAACTGTAATTCCCATAATCCCCACGTGTCAAAGGTTGGACCAGTTGGAGGTAATTGAATCATGGGGGCGATTTCTGCGGCACTGTTATTGTGATAATGAATCAGTCTCTCGAGATCTGATGGTTCTATAAGCATCTGGCATTTCCCCTGCTTGCACTCACTCTGTACTGCCACACCGTGAAGAAGGTGCCTGCTTCTCTTTTGCCTTCCACCATGATTGTAAGTTTTTTGAGGCCTCCAAAGAAATGTGGAGCTGTAAACCAATTAAGCCTCTTTCCTTTATAAATTACCCAGTCTTGGGTATTTCTTCATAGCAGCATGAGAATGGACTAATACAGCGACTGTCCAAAAATCTGAATATACCTCATGCTGGTCCACTGCTTCTACACAAAGTGATGACAAGGTGCACTACTGGAAGATTCTCTTTCTCTACTGTCTTTTATAAACATCTCACATTGTCAGTGCATTGTGGCTGCCATTCATTGTCAGAGTGTGCCCATATCCTGGCTTAACCAACGCTTTAGCAGGTGGTTCTGGGCTACCTGATCAGGTAGCTTACTCATGGCTCTGGTCGTGCTTGGCTTGATCCTGGATATTCTATTTCATCCTGCAATGGACTGCTATGATGCCCTTATGGTATTGTGACCTGGCGTGGGGTAGGGTAGGGTGATAGAAATCTGCTCCTAAGGGACAGCTCTGGGTTCTTGGTCTCCAGCTGTTCCATGGTCAAGAGTTTCAGTTTGGAACACTCAGAGCTCCTTCTCTAGAGGCTTATCAATCTCTTTGTGCATGCCATGACTTTGCTCCAAGATCTCAGGGTCATGTGTTTAGATTCTTCCACTAGGGCTTGGCATAAACTCCCCCTCTGCATCTTATTTTCACATTTCTGATGTGAAATCAGAATTCCTTTCCAACCCATAGTGTCCTAGACAACCTATACAATGGGAGAAAAATTTTGCCGTCTATCCATCTGACAAAGGCCTAATATCAAGAGTCTACAAGGATCTTTAACAAATTTACAAGTAAAAAACAAACAACCCCATTATAAAGTGGGCAAAGGACATAAACAGACACTTCTCAAAAGAAGACATTTATGCAGCCAACAAACATATGCAAAAAAGCTCAACATAACTGATCATTAGAAAAATGCAAATGAAAATCACAATGAGATACGATTTCACACCAGTCAGAATGGCTATTATTAAAAAGTCAAGAAACAACAGGTGCTGGTGAGGTTGCAGAGAAAAAGAAACACTTTTACACTGTTGGTGGGAATATAAATTAGTTCAACCTTTGCAGAAGACAGTGTGGCAATTCCTCAAACATATAGAGGCAGAGATACTATTTGACCCAGCAATCTCATTACTGGGTATACACCCAAAGGAAGATAAATCATTCTATTGTAAAAATACATGCACACATATGTTTATTGCAGCACTATTCACAATAGCAAAAACATGGAATCAACCCAAATGCCCATCAATGAGAGACTGAGAAAAGAACATGTGATACGTATATACCATGGAATACTATGCATCCATAAAAAAGAGATCATGTTCTTTGCAGGGACATGGATGGAGTTTGAAGCCATTACCCTCAGCAAATTAATTCAGGGACAGAAAATCAAACACCGTATGTTCTCACTTATAAGTGGGAGCTAAATGATGAAAACACATGGACACATGGAGGGGAACAATACACACTGAATGGGGCCTGTCAGGGGGTATCGGTGGGAGGAAGAGCATCAGAAAAAATAACTAATGCATGCTGGGCTTAATACCTAGGTGATGGGTTGATAGGTGCAGCAAACCACCATGGTACACATTTACCTATGTAACAAACTTGTACATCCTGCACATGTACCCCAGAACTTAAAATAAAAATAAATACTAGCTGGGTGTGGTGGTGCACATCTGTAGTACAAGCTACTCAGGAGGCTGAGGCAGGAGGATCACTTGAGCCCGGGAAGTCAAGGCTGCAGTGAGACATGATGGTGCCACTGCATTCCAGCCTGAAGAGCAGAGTGAGACCTTGTCTCAAAAAAAATAGTAAATAAATAAAAAAACCACGGGTGGGGTGCAGACCACAGCAAAGGCCATGCCTCACCACTTCCCCCTCTCCTGCCCCTTGCCTGGCTCCTTGGCCCCTTCTACAGTCCGTTCAGCTTCTGGTCTGCCATGCCCCCTATTCACTTGCCAAAACTTTGAGGACAGAGCTCCTTTACCCTGTTCTTCTGAAGCCTCTACTTATGGATTCTCAAGCGCTATGTTAGGAAAAAAAGGAAAAATGAAACAGTATTAAATTAACAAGTTTGCATTTCTCCCCTAACAGTTGAATTCTCCTGGAGGCCATGGTAATGCTCCTGGGTAAATGGAGGAAGGGTCAAGAATTATGGAAAATAAAGCTGAAACTTAATATCACAAAAGCTTAAGGCGTCATAAAAATGCACACAATATGCAGATGTCCATGAGCATAACCCCATGGCCCAAATCAGGTTTAAGCTGGGTGGTTTAGCCCCAGGTTTTGTAAAGTTCTATAAAACGTTTTCTGAGAATCAAGTTCTGTTCTTAACACTGTATGGTGGAAACTGTGCAGTTTCTACTTTTCCCTTTATCCCTTATTGCTCTTCCCTTTTTATCTTGTCTTCCACTTTAATCAAGACCACAACCTAGGAGGTTGCAGGCTTTAAGAAGACATAATTATATAAAAGAATGAAGAGTCAGAGAGGCTGCTAGTCTTCATCCATTTTCAACTATTGCAGCTGCCCCCACCTCTGCACAGATCCCTCCATTGCTGATCGATTTTGAGGAGCCAAGGATGGCCAGCTCACACTGGAGAGTGGCATTTCCTTCACTCAGAGGCCCTCATTTGACATTGACTGGTCACTTTATGATGAATTTTATTAATACACCTTTGATGATTAAGTCACATATTATCCTTTTAACCCTCTCCAATAACTTCTGTATTTTACAGCGATTTTCCATGAAATGCACACCATGCTACTTCTTCCATATCTACAAGGTATGCATGGGCTGCCCACTCACAAAAATAAAGCCAAGTCAGGTCCCGAGAAGGGCTGGCATTTTCATGTAAATGGCAAGTTGTACATCAATGTCAGATTAGCTGCGAGGTTGTTGCAACACTGAAACCTGACCTGACCGGCTGACAAGGCAGGATTTCCACAGAGGGGACGATATTTCTGAAGCATCTGTATCTCTGAGCTTTTGATGTATGAGTTGATCTTTCCCCAATAGCTAGCGAGAAAAGCACTCTTGTTAGTATTTAAAAATAATAAAAAATGAATCCTTTTTTTTTTGGCTCTATCCTTTTCACTTCAAAATATCCTCTTTCCAAATTACCTATTGCAATATTAGCCTTCAGGAGTTGGGCTAATGGAAGTAGACACCAGTCAATGCCCCTCCTGCTAAAAAAACAACAATGTATTGTGCACTGATGTCAATTGTACAACCAGAACATTCTCTGAGGCAAAAGAATGGTTCCTCTTCTCATAGACACTACGTATGTGTTAGAAAATGTGATCCAGGATGTAGCATGGTGGGCTACAGTAGCAAGAGTGTAGCCAGAGTAACAGAACAGCTGTTGTTACTCTTGAACAGATAGACGGTGGGATCTCAGGGGAGGAGGAATCAGAGAGTGACATTCTTTCTTTTACAAAAGGCAATGCCATCATGACCATTTCCTCCCTGGAAAAAAAAGATACAGGCTTTTTCCTGAAATGGTTTGAGTCATACCACTGTGCACAGAGCACAGGATTCCCTCAGCCTAGGCATGCAACAATACGTTCCAGGCACTGTATGTGGAGATCATGGCATCAGTGTACTCACTCACAGGCCCCAGCAGCAATCCATCTCTGCTAGTTTCCTTACGTCTTTGTTCCTCCTTTTCTCTGCCCCATCTTTTAAACATAAATTATCTGACAAGTGGGTGAAATCACAGAATGACACTTTGCACTTGGAAGAATAGATACGGCTTAAGTCAGTAGTGGAGGACCAGCTCTAGCCTGATGCCCACCTCTCGCTCCTGACCTCCCCTCTGAGCTCCAGTTCCTGATTTCCGGGGCCTTCTGGATGTTTTATGCGGGTTGATTCACTGTCACGTGTTGTTATCTTTCCCCAAACTGCTGGCAGCCCTGACTTTATCGATGTGAATAATAAAAATAATAGTATATTAATAATACCAGTCTTTTCTAAGTTTCTCAAATTTCTACTTGCCTTCTTCCTGTAGACCGGCAACTTTTGAGCAATGAATTTTCTAAAACATGCCCATAATTATGTTTTTTTGTTCAAAAACATGTTATGGGATCTTACTGCCTCATCGTTGTAAAACCTTCATCCAGGTACTCCAGGCTCTCCGTGGTGATTCCTCAACTTCAGTTTCCCTAAATGTCAGCCACGATCCCCCTTGGTTAATTCCACATTTGGGTCAGGTCATATTATACACTTGTCTCTACACCTGGCCCACAGCTTTCCCTGTCCATTCCACCTCCACCTCTGCCTGCCTAAATGCTACTCTCTGCAAAACCCAGGCAAATACCATCTTCTTTAAGAAGTATCTCTGTTCTTTTCAGAGACTGAAAATTCCTATCCTTGGACAAGTTATAAATGTCACATGCCCATAAACAGCTTCAGGCTGGGGATGATGCTTCCTGATGTCTCTGCATTCATGGGACTCAAGAAGGGAAACCATCCTTATGGCAGGTCCAAGAGCTGTACTCTTCTCAAATCTAGCCTAACTTACCTGAGGAGTCAGGTGCCATAGTTTTATTTTTATTTATTTTAACTTTTATTTAAGGATGTCTAGGTTCGTTTCACAGGTAGACTTGTGTTTGTATTATACAGATTATTTCATCACCCAGGTATTAAAACTCATATCCATTAGTTATTTCTCCTGATGCTCTCTCTCCTCCCACCCTAACCCCTGATAACCCCCAGTGTGTGGTGTTCCTCTCTATGTGTCCATGTGTTCTTATCATTTAACTACCACTTTTTTTTTTTTTTTTTTTTTGAGACAAGAGTCTCGCTCTGTCGCCCAGGCTGGAGTACAGTGGTGCTATCTCGGCTCACTGCAAGCTCTGCCTCCCGGGTTCACACCATTCTCCTGCCTCAGCCTCCTGAGTAGCTGGGACTACAGGTGCCCACCACCACACCTGGCTAATTTTTCATATTTTTAGTAGAGATGGGGTTTCACTGTGTTAGGCAAGATGGTCTCGATCTCCTGACTTCGTGATCTGCCCGCCTTGGCCTCCCAAAGTGCTGGGATTACAGGCGTGATTCACTACCACTTACAAGTGAGAACATGGCAGTATTTGATTTTTTGTCCCTGCATTAGTTTTCTGAGGATAATGCCCTCCAGCTCTATCCTTGTCCCTGCAAAGTACACGATCTGCTTCTTTTTATGGCTGCATAGTATTCCATGGTGTACATGTACCTCATTCTCTTTATCTAGTCTATCACTGGTGGGCATTTGTTGTCGATTCCATGTATTGGAGAAATGCAAATCAAAACCACAATGAGATAGCATCTCACACCAGTCAGAATGGCTATCTTTAAAAAGTCAAATAATAACAGATGTTGGTGAGATTGTGGAGAAAAAAGAACACTTACAGACTGTTAGTGGTTGTGTAAATTAGGTTAACCATTATGGAAGACAATGCAGCAATTCCTTGAAGACCTAAAGACAGACATATGATTCAATCCAGCAATCCCATTAATGGGTATATCCCCAAAGGAATATAAATTGTTCTACTATAAAGGCATAGGTGGGCGGGTGCGGTGGCTCACGCCTGTAATCCCAGCACTTTGGGAGGCTGAGGCAAGTGGATCACGAGGTCAGGAGATCGACACCATCCTGGCTAACACAGTGAAACCCGTCTCTACTAAAAATACAAAAAATTAGCTGGATGTCGTGGTGGGCACCTGTAGTCCCAGCTACTCGGGAGGCTGAGGCAGGAGAATGGCATGAACCCAGGAGGCGGAGCTTGCAGTGAGCTGAGATCGCACCACTGCACTCCAGCCTGGTGACAGAGCGAGACTCCATCTCAAAAAAAAAAAAAAAAAAGAAAAAGGGAAAAAAAGGCATATGCATGTGGATGATCATTGCAGCACTATACACAATAGCAAAGCCATTGTTTCATTTGTGGATTTCTGTTTGGGCTTCAGAGGGTTAACACAAACCCAAGTGTTTATAGTGAGTGTGTTTAAACAGCTTCAATATGGGAAGTGGCTGGAAGGTCACTGTCTAATGCTGTGAGGTTGGCTGGGAGTGTCAGATGCATATGGATTATGTTTTAGAGCCTAAAGTGCTAAGTTTTAAATAAGATATGTAAGACATAAAATTCTAGAAACACAACAAAAACACGCCTGACATCATTTTAGTGAAAATTTAGATTAAAATGCCAGAATTGAGTTATTAATCAGGTTAGTAGCGAAAACAGTTTAGCTACCCATGTTTTAGCTTCAGTGATTATCTGGGCAAATATTCTGAGCCTGTGGTTGAAAGCCATTCTGAATAAATTGTATTCCGATAAGTATTTGCCTTGAATACCAAGTTTCTTCCCTTAAATCAACACAAAGTGAAGACTGCACACTCAAACAAGGGGAGAAAACTGATTCACACGAAACTTCATCTCTAACCCATCTTGCTGTCTATGATATTTTTTTCTACTTTTCTGTAGGTGCATTGCGAAAAGAAAATGCTGCCTTTCTGAATGGTGGAGAAGTACATATTTTAAAAAGTCGAATTCAGCTTACAAGATACTCAGGGAGTGAAGGGTCTAATATATCCTAAGGGGCTGTTACAGACTAGACTAGGGTTCTAATTTAGGGAAAATTAAAATACATTTTAGAGTTAGCTTTACAGTGTCTTCAAGGTTGCAGGGCTTTTATTTTTCAATATAAAATGTATTTCAGTAATGTATGGTAAGACAAGGACATACGTCATCATATGCTAGTTTACGGCTCATACTTTAGTGAGGACCTATGGAAGGAGGCAAACCACACCTTGACCTAAGTGCATTTGCACAATCATGTGATTATTTGTGTAAGATGCTATATCTATTAGTCATAAGCTATGTCACTTTTAGGATGCCGGAGGAAAAATGAAACCAATGTGAGAAGATTTAGTTGGATTCTAAAACGATTTGTGATCCTGGACTGGTTCTTCAAATTCCTTCTCTTCCCTGAAATGCCAAGCCACCTTCCTGAGTGTTTTGGCATTGACAGCTGATGTCTCCTTTTTATTATGGATCTTCAAGTCAGAAGTGGTATTTGGTTCTCTTAATCAACTTACGAAGAGAAGACTACCCAAATGGGAATTTGTTTAATCAAAGAGAGCATCATAACACAAATAGTCACAAAATTGATTAGTTATAATTGTGGTAATTTCATTCAGTTCTGGGACATCTACAGTACATACTTAGTTCCACAGACCCCACTGCCTGTGACCTAGTTGGCCAAATTTAAAGTTGAGTGACAAATTTTAATTATGAAGCTGATGAAGGTACTTATGCAAAATTATTTCTAATCAATTATAATTCAGTTTTACTCACTGATAATCTACTGGAGTCTAATACATTAATTTAGTGTACTCTAGTATTGAACATCAATTGCACTAATGCTAGGAGCTGTGGGTGATCCAAAGGAATGATGTATATGGGGCAGCTGATGTGCCAAGTCCCCTCTCACTAGAGAACAAGGAAGTGGAAAAATATGTAACCATAAGATCAGCAGAAAGGACAGATGTGGTAGTTTGGCTAGTGAGAAAACAACTGAAAAGATCCATCTGAGTAAGCTCCTAAAATTCCAAAGTCATTTCTTAAATATGCTATTTTTAAGATGATACTGCCTGCACATTTTCCATGGAGATGCTTATTTTTGGACCATCTGTTGATGGTAAATATGTATCATGTGCCCTCTAAAGCCTCTATGTGTTGTCTACTCACTATTTTACAGCTTCTGACTTGTGTCAGATACTGAAATGTCACTGTTATCCAGTTTGTTGGCTTATGTGACAGAGATCACCTAAGTGCTCACTGGCCTCCTAGACACCGGGGCTGCTTTCCTTCCCTGACTCACTTTCAGCCAGATTGGGTGTCTGGGACAGCTTCTGTCACTGTGTTGCAGGTAGAGGTGGTTTCTGCTATTTTGGAGCCTGGCCTCTAACAGCCCATGAGACTCTCGGCTCACTCTCTGTCTCTGCTTACAAGCTAGAAGAGATACTGTCTGAGACGACAGAGATGCACAATGGAAGGAATCGTGATCTCTAAGCCACTGCTTGAAAGAGATTGGTCAGGGCATCTGTTCAACTTGCCTGGGTTCTACATGAGAAGCACGTCTTGCTTTTGTTCAGCACATTCAGCGAGTGATTGCCATTACCCTGACGCATGCTGAAGTTGACAAGTCTTGGACCAAGGTGCCACCTGCACTTGCATATTCATACTGCCCAATAACACTCACTGGGTTGCGGGAAATAAGGCAGAGATTAAAGTCTAGGAGGTTGCAGAGTTCGCCCTGCATGGACTGAAACATTGGAGCTACATCAGGCTGAGGATGCTCTGGGTTGGCTTTCCATGCTTGTTTGTTTGTTCATGGTTCAGTTTGTGTAATTCAGCCACCACTGGCCCAAAAATCCAAAGAAAAATTCCCTTTTCCCACATGTTACTGACCTGGTTAGAAAAGCCATATTAGGGGTAATTTTGAAGAGCCACTGTTTTGAAATACGGTTTCTCTTCCAGCCTGAGCTTCTCAGCTGACCTGTGATGGAGTGTTGTGCCCAAGTGGAAAGTTCTTCTTTCTTTCAGAGACATATCATTCACCATAAAATACAACCAGAGACTTCAAAATTACTCCAGGCTAGAAGGACACTCCAATTAGGGGAAAAGTAACCTATGGGCAAACCATCTTCCGTAAGAGTTCAAGGACAAAAAACTACTGATGTTGTAATAACATTGAAACTTAATGTTTTGGGCAATCCTTAAGTGATTTATTTGGAGTGTCCCAGTCATTTTAGACCTCTTCACCTTACAATGTATTGTGTGAGATTATATTTCCATGCACCTAATTTTAAAATAAATTTATTTAGGTAGATGTAGAGACATATTACTGTGATAAAGCAGTTCATACCAAATAAAATTTAGCTAATAATCCTGGCTGTGTTTTCAATCTTAGATTAACTTACATTACAAAATCTCTTTCCTATAGCAATGTTTTCAGTATTCATGTTGTTGATGATGATATGTTTAGTATAAATTACATCTTCCACTACATTATTTTATGGAAGTATAAAAAGTAAACCAGGCCGGGCGCGGTGGCTCACGCCTGTAATCCCAGCACTTTGGGAGGCCGAGGCGGGCAGATCATGAGGTCAGGAGATCGAGACCATCCCGGCTAAAACGGTGAAACCCCGTCTCTACTAAAAATACAAAAAATTAGCCGGGCGTAGTGGCGGGTGCCTGTAGTCCCAGCCACTTGGGAGGCTGAGGCAGGAGAATGGCGTGAACCCGGGAGGCGGAGCTTGCAGTGAGCCGAGATCCCGCCACTGCACTCCAGCCTGGGCGACAGAGCGAGACTCCGTCTCAAAAAAAAAAAAAAAAAAAAAATAAGTAAACCAGATAGAAACAGTTGTTCCAGTGAAGCTGAGTGGAGTTCCTAGAAAGATGACAGTCTGAATACTCTTCAAAGGTCATTCAATTCCCAGTAAGCACCTGAAAGAGATACTGTGCATAGGGCTCCAGAAACGGGCTGGCAGAAGTTGGACCTTCAGTGAGAATTTTATTTTAATAATTTCTTGATTTCAAATTAATTTGGCTGTTCCCATCTAATACATGGAACGAACAGAATGGTTCACTTATAGTTTTATACCAATCAATTTAATCACAAGTGATGTTTTAATCTGTTGAGACCACATTATCTGACTAAACAAGCTTCTACTTGCAGAAATGCACTGATGACCTCTCCTGTTCCAGAATTTCTCTATCTTCAACTCATGTATAATTTCCTAAATGTGTCCTGCTATTAAAAGCTAAAGATATTATTCCTTCAGTCTCTGTGATAAAACTGAGCTGAAAGCGAGCATTTGGGTCTACCATGGGGGAATATCACGGTCTCACAAATCTCTTTACTGAACCTGTGTAGGTTACACAAGGTAAATGTGCTGAATGTGGTCCACACTTGCATATGCATATTGCCCAATAATGTTCATAACTGCATCAACAAAGCAATGCAGCATCCATCCACCATCCTGACTTTCACCATCATGAGGCATTCACACCACAGCTGCCTGTCAGTCTCCAGGTCGGCTTTCTTTCCATGCAATGTATCTGTATTCCATATGCAAATTCTTCAGTGAATGATTTTCCTGTTTTGTAAGCTAGACTGCACCTGTAACATGTGAGACTGAGTTAAAAATGACAAGCAGACAAGCACAAGGCACATTATCTTGACAAACTCAGCCTCCAAAAATTACTCTGGGCCTGAATTATTAAAATAACAAGGAATATTTCATTCAGCTGTGCAGAAATGATCCTAATTGTCCACTTTAGCTAAATCTTTTCAGTCTCTGAGATCGGTCAATTTACACTGGTGGCTTGCAAATTCCTCAACTCCCATTAGGGAGATGCACAGCAGCAGCCCAATGCACCCTCATTTATTTTAATAACCTGCCAAGCAGACATGAAAATGTTAAAGTTGGAAGGCTATAACATGACAGGATCCTGACTTGTCAGAGCCACATTATAATCTAGTTAAAATACTTTCTTTCTCCCTTTCATGTCTCCTCAGGTAAGTGGGAAACTAATTGTCAAATTACTAATTTTGTTGGCATTAATATCAATACCAAGACAAGAAGAGCATGAACTGTTGAGCGAGAGGTTTTTCTTCTATACCTTCTGCTGCTGCTGGGGAAATTACTCTGGAATCAAGTAAAGAATTAAATTGGTATGATCCATTTGCTATTTGGTACTAACCCGTTCTTGCAGGTGCTGTTTATTAATACTGCCAGTTGAACAGGCCAATTCTACACTATCTGGCTTGGTTTTGGTTCTTATTGTGCAGGTCATCATGATAATAAACAAATATGAAGCATTTACTTTGTGTTAATGAAGCATAAATGGTTATATGCACAGGGGCTTGATGGGTAAAGTCTTTCCAGAACTTCCAATCTGGTCAGAACTTGGATGATTCTAAATTCTGGATTGTGCCTGTTGTCCTGGCAAAATTATTAATATCATCATCGTTCACTCTCAAAAGTGTCCTGTTTTGATGATAAGTTATGTGACTATCCTGGCTACAAATAACAGATATGAGATTGTGGGTTACTCATACGACATGGGCTGAAACATGGTTTTTGAAGTATTTTGTGAAGACTTTTCACAACGGAAAGGACAGGGTAGAGAAATGGGGTTTATGCTCAAAGTGAGGTAGCTCAGCAAGAGGATGAAATGGCACCTGACAAGAGAAAGTTTCCTAAAGATCAGCCTCTAAATATTTTTCTTCTGGAAGCAAAGGGAGGGAAAATGTGCTCCATGGCTCAGGGATTGTGATGCTGTTCATTTACTGGGTTTTGGTCTTGGAAAAAGAGAAGGCTTCAGCTGCAGAAGCCAGGTCTGTTTGCTAACCAATTTTTGCTATGCTGAAAAAGAGGAAAGAGAAGAAACAACATTAAAAATGGGAACAAATTATTTTAAGAAGGATGGAACTCACAGAACACATCTCTGTTTGAGTCTCCAATGAAAGCAGATTATAAACTTTGCATGGCGACTTCATTTACCAGCACAAAAATTCCTTCAGTTCATAAAACAGAACCTCCCTTTTCACCATTGGCATCTAAACTTGGCAGTCAAACTGTGGGATGTCACACATTCTTGAGTATGAAAAATTTAAAGTATTCAGTTTGTGAATTCATCATATTTGCCTATTTCCCCACAATGTGTTTATTCTATTATATTTTTTCTCAGCATTAAAAAATTTTAGAACCATTATAAATCACAGCATCTTTGCTATTTTTTCTGTGGAAGAATCTGATTATTTGTTTTGGTGCATTTAATTGAGAGAATTGAATAAAAATAACCCCTTGTATGAAAAGTTGATATTTTCTTTTTCTTTTCTTTTTTTTTTTTTTTTTTTTGCATACCATCCCATTTATTTGAAATTCCAGAAAAGGCAAAATTAATCTGTGGTGAAAAAATCATAACAGCAGTTCCTTCTAGCAGGGGATTCACTGGGGAGGTACACAAGAGAAATTTCTGGGTGCTAAAAATGGTCTGTCTTGATAGGGGTATGAATTACATAAGTGTATTCATTTTTTTCTTTTTAGTTTTTTTTCCTTTTATTATTATTATACTTTAAGTTTTAGGGTACATGTGCTCAATGTGGATGTTAATTACATATGTATACATGTGCCATGCTGCTGTGCTGCACCCATTAACTCGTCATTTAGCATTAGGTATATCTCCTAATGCTATCCCTCCCCCCTCCCCCCACCCCACAACAGTCCCCAGAGTGTGATGTTCCCCTTCCTGTGTCCATGTGTTCTCATTGTTCAATTCCCACTTATGAGTGAGAACATGCAGTGTTTGGTTTTTTGTCCTTGAGATAGTTTACTGAGAATGATGGTTTCCAGCTTCATCCATGTCCCTACAAAGGACATGAACTCATCAATTTTTATGGCTGCATAGTATTCCATGGTGTATATGTGCCACATTTTCTTAATCCAGTCTATCATTGTTGGACATTTGGGTTGGTTCCAAGTCTTTGCTATTGTGAATAGTGCCACAATAAACATACGTGTGCATGTGTCTTTATAGCAGCATGATTTATAATCCTTTGGGTATATACCCAGTAATGGGATGGCTGGGTCAAATGGTATTTCTAGTTCTAGATCCCTGAGGAATCGCCACACTGACTTCCACAATGGTTGAACTAGTTTACAGTTCCAGCAACCGTGTAAAAGTGTTCCTATTTCTCCACATCCTCTCCAGCACCTGTTGTTTCCTGACTTTTTAATGATTGCCATTCTAACTGGTGTGAGATGGTATCTCATTGTGGTTTTGATTTGCATTTCTCTGATGGCCAGTGATGGTGAGCATTTTTTCATGTGTTTTTTTGGCTGCATAAATGTCTTCTTTTGAGAAGTGTCTGTTCATGTCCTTCGCCCACTTTTTGATGGGGTTGTTTGTTTTTTTGTTGTAAATTTGTTTGAGTTCATTGTAGATTCTGGATATTAGCCCTTTGTCAGATGAGTAGGTTGCGAAAATTTTCTCCCATTCTGTAGGTTGCCTGTTCACTCTGATGGTAGTTTCTTTTGCTGTGCAGAAGCTCTTTAGTTTAATTAGATCCGATTTGTCAAATTTGTCAATTTGACAATTAGATCCCAAATGTCAATTTGCCATTGCTTTTGGTGTTTTAGACATGAAGTCCTTGCCCATGCCTCAACACTTGTTTTTAAAAAATTAAGCTGTTTCTTGGGAGTTCAGACAGTCGTAAGTTTGTGCTTAGTCTTAATTTGCACATTTGCACATGCAATTAGCAGTTCAGGTGCTGCAGGTGAGCATAGGCACCTGGGTCAGATATAAAACAACCATCTGCTTTTTTGATCCAGTATGAATATGCTTACAGGCTACATCATAGGGGGCAAAGTCATTGCTTTCTTTTCCCAAAATTGAAAAACGATAAAGAACTGAATTGCTAAATGAAGAGAGTTATTTGTCAAGGTGCTCAATGGGAACCTGGGGCATGGGGAATCTGCAGGTCATGAAGACACCTGGGGAATGAAAATCCAGGAAGAACATCAGCACCTGCAAGCAGACAAGGTGCACCGAGCACCCCAGAGCTGGTGGGTGAGAATGAGAAGAAAGCAAATACTACACTGTTGAAAGTTGTATTAGTCCATTTTCATACTGCTATGAAGAAATACCTGGGACTGGGTAATTTATAAAGAAAAAGAAGTTTAATGAACTCACAGTTCCACATGGCTGGGGAGGCCTCACAATCATGGCAGAAGATGAAGGAAGAGCAAAGGCATGTTTTCTATGGCAGCAGGCAGTAGAGCATGTGCAGGAGAACTGCCCTTTATAAAATCATCAGATCTCTTGAGACTTATTGACGATCATGAGAATAGCATGGGAAAAACCTGCTCCCATAATTCAATTACCTCCCATCAGTTCTCTCCCATGACACATGAAATTATGAGAGCTACAAATCAAGATGAGATTTGGGTGGGGACACAGCCAAACCATATCAAAATCTAACACTGTAACACTGGTTTTCTATTGCACCTAAAATTCAAAACCCAAGTTGGAGATGCCAACAGGATTGATCAGCATACTAATTCCTTGTTTATAATCCTTCGAGGGCTCCATGTATCCTGCAGCAGCTTTCCAGCAAGGGCCTGGAAGTATTGGTCCATCCATGCAGTGCCTCTGGCCTCCATGGGCATAGAAGGTCTGGGGAGTACCTTGAGCTGCATGGAAAGTATCCTCACTTCCAATCTTCTACTGTATAGTTTCAAGAAGGATCCTGTAAGTGTTCACTTACTTGCTTCATGAAAAAAAAAAAAAAAAGATCTGGAAATTCAGTAAACCTCTAAATACAATTTAATTTAAAGATTTTTCCATTTCAGGAGTGATTGCCATCACCATCACAATTGCACACAGAAACTCTGGTCTGATCATCCACCTCTCCTGGACAGTGGTTTTGGCCTCTGTAATTTGCACATGGTAATGCCAGCATGTCAGGCAGCGTGTTTCAGTCATGTGTGTATGTCAGTAGAAACACAGCAGAAGCATTATCATACTGCCAAAAACTATATTAGGGAAAGAATGATATAAACAGACAAACAGAAAATCAAACATGTTGATGCTTCTACCAACAAGCTGATCAAATTTTTTATTAAACGTATTTAAAGATCTTTAATTGAGCAATTTATTTAGTTATTAATGTGTGCTTCGTTTGCAGTGGAATTCTTCTAATTACTCTTCCCTCTCAAACTCACTGCCACTCACACACAGGGACGCTGCATGGCCCCTGTGCCTCTAATGCCACATTCATTGCAAAGAGGCGGCCCAGGGCTTATCCCCGCAACCAGCAGCTACTCCAAGACTGGGAGTTGGGGAGATGGTTTACTCCTGCATTCTTCCCCCAGACAGCTGAGATGTTTGCTTATTTATTTGTTTTGTTGACATTAGGCTTTGATGTAAAAAAAGAAATATTTTTCAAAATTTATATGTGGACATGGAAGTTTTCTCCATCAAGTAAATGAATCAATATTCAATGACATTTTTAGAGACAACATTTGTTTTTGATGATTTTGAAGAGTTTATAACCTGAAAACTAAAATATCATGGCTGCACATTTTTGAAGCACATTGAATCTGACACATGGGAGAGGAGTCTTGGGTAGTAACTAGGTGGAGCAGAGAAAAATATGGACATTCTTAGAAAAGAAAGAGTGTGCAGGAGGAGAAGGAGAAAGCATTTGCATATCAGAGCCAGCTGAAGGCAAGTCCAAGCTCCTGGGTGTTGAAAGTGGAAGAGGAAGGAGACGGTGAGGCAGTGAAGATCTGTGGTTTCCAGGTTTCCCCTATCCACAAAGAGGAGATACATTGCAGTGTGGAGGGTTCAGTCTCCTCCTGTCTGTCTGTGCACACTTCATTTTCCAAAACTGTTTGTGCCATTGGATATGAGATTGAAAAGTGACTATTTCATCCAACCTGCTGCCCTTTTGGGTTCATGTGGGCATGGTTCTATCCAACCTCTTTCTGGAGACAAGCATAAGAAAGTGCCTGCCTTCCCACTGATACATCCAGTGAAGGGCTCTGGCCAAAGAACACCACATGGGGTTGATCTCAGGACTGGAGAAGGGCACCATTCTTCATGCTCCTTTCTCACAAGGCCCAGCAGTGCATCATCTAAAAGAACAAAATTACTTGTGGGATAGGCTATATTCACTGATGATGGAAGGAAATATATAAGTTGTAAACATAGAGCATATCAGTCTGCTCAGGCTGCTATAACCCAAATAGTAGTACCATAGACTGGGAGACAGAGAAATTTATTTTCTCCCAGTGTGGAGGCCGGAAGTCTGGCATCAGAGTGCCAGGATGGGCAGTTCCTGGGGAGGACCTCTTCCTGGCTTGCAGGCAACTGCCTCCTTGCTGGGTCCTCACCTGGCCTTTTCTCTGTGTATGGAGTATGAGAAAAGAGAAATCTGTGGTGCTTGTTCTTATAAGGGGACTGATCCCATCAAGAGGGCCTCAGCCTCGTGACTTCATCTAACCTTGGTTACCTCCCAAAGGTCCCACCTTTAAATACCATTATGCCAAATGTTGAAGCTTCAACATAAGAATTTTGCAGGGACACAGTTCAAGCCTTAGCACAAAGTATCTGTGCCTGCAGATAAAACATAAAGTTGAGATTCAGGAAGAAGAAAAGATAACATTTGGGTACTTCTTTATGTAAAGGTTTTATGAACCAGGTGATGGTGAGAAGAAAAAGTTAAAGAACAATGACACCGAGCAGCTGCCACCCTTGGAAATGTGGTTGTGACCACGGCTGGCAACCCAGGTTCAGAGATGACTCTCTCTCTCTCTGTCCACCATTCCGTGACTCATTCTTTCTCTTACTCTGTCACCTTCTCTGTGCAAGTAGCCATTGCACACACTCTCATTCTGGCCAACCATAGAGTAAGTGATAAAGAATGGCTGTGAAATTGTTTCCATGTAATTTCTCAGCTTTCCTCTAACTATGTGTGTAGTAGAAAGTAGTCTCCTCCCTCTCAATTTAGTGGGCATTAAATTGATTATTTCATATGATGGCCTTAAAGTGATGTGTTAGAACATTGCTAAGTAAATTGTCCCCAAATTCACACACTGAATTCAGTCTAAGATTTTTTTTGAGCACCACTTTTCCAAAAGTTAAGAATCTGGAACAGAACATTAAAAAATGTCTTCTCCTTTATTATTTATTCTTAAGTTATAAGTAAAGGGGCCTTTTATGTGACATCATAAATTAGATCAAATTTTATGTACATGGGGATTTATGATTCTACCTGAGATGGAGTAACAAAGACTGGATTTACCCTCTCCTAAAAAACAACAGACAAAATACACAAAACAGTGGTTTTCAAGACATTGGACAAGAAGCAAGAAGAATGGAGATCCCTTACTGTAGCCTTGTAGTATAGTTTGAAGTTGGGTAGCGTAATGCCTCCAGCTTTGCTCTTTTTGCTTGGGATTATCTTGGCTATACAGGCTCTTTTTTTGGTTCCATATAAACGTTAAAATAGTTTTGTCTAATTCTGTGAAGAATGTCAGTGGTTGTTTAATGAGATTAGCATCTCTAGGTGATTCACATGAACATTAAAGTTCAAGAAGCCACTATTCTGGGGCAAATCCTCCTAGCAGGGACTTGGACAATATCTGTACACCCATGTTCACAGGAATATTATTCACAATAGCCAAAAGGTGGAAGTCACCCTAGTGTCTATGAACACATAAGCAAAATGTGCTAATTACATACAATGGAATATCATTCAACCTTAAAGAGGAAGGAAATTCTGATACATAGTACGACATGGATAAACTTTTAAGACGTTCCTCTCAATGAAATAAAACAGTTACAAAAAGACAAAAAAGGCCGGGCACAGTGGCTCACACCTGTAATCCTAGCACTTTGGGAGGCTGAGGTGGGCAGATCACCTGAGGTCAGGAGTTCGAGACCAGCCTGGCCAACATGGCAAAACCTCTTCTCTACTAAAAAATACAGAAATTAGTGGGGTGTGGTGTTGCACATCTGTAATCCTAGCTACTCAGGAGGCTGAGGCAGGAGAACCATTTGAACCTGACAGAGGTTGCAGTGAGCCGAGATCACACCATTGCCCTCCAGCCTGGGTGATAAGAGGAAAACTCTGTCACACACACACACACACACACACACACACACACACACACACACACAGAATGGCGATTCCTGAGAGCTGAGAAACAAGCAAGCTGAACCCTAAGTTTGGCTGCATGTCTGCCTCAAGGGAGTTTTCAGACCACAATACAGGTAGGGGGCACCAAGGAGAGGCCTGATAGTCTCCCTGTGTTGAGCAGATGAACCTGAAAATCCAGGAAAACCAAGATTGCTGTAGTTTTCCTGATAGTCCTGGAGAAAAGGGTTAAGTTAAATTAAATTAAATTTGGCTTAAAGCCTTTTTATCTTGAGTCCATCCCTAGAGAACCACAGTCTAACCTAAAAATATATGTTTTTATAACTAGTAGCTGAATTTCAGCCAATCACAGCCTGCCAAATGATTACACTAGGCCCAAATTGGGCACATGCCAAGTTGTAATCCATGAAGCGTTTCTGTATGTCACTACCTTTTTTTAAGTATGTAAATACTGCCTGCCCATGTTGCTGGGTAGAGCTCTCTGAACCACTCCTGGATATGAATGCTGCCTGATGCATGACTTGTTCTTTGCTCAAATAAACCCTGTCAAATTTAACTTATCTAAAGTTATTCTTTTAAAATTTAGGCATCAGAGGTCACATCCAAAGTAAATCTCCCTTGACCCCCAGGAACAGTAGGTGACCAATGGAAGATACCTACTGGGCCCGTTTTGCCCATTCATATCTTGCGGCGGCTGGAGTCAAGGGTTAGTTTTCTCTCTGATTCTAGATCCACAAACTTACATGTTTAGCGCTCTGAGTTTATTTGAGTATCTTTTATCAATACTTGATTTGGAAGTTGTGATAGTAATAAGACTGAGTCCTGTAAGGAGGTCTCTGGTGTTTGACTGGGTCAGGCAGACACTGGACTAGGTTAAGTAGGTAGTCAAGGTTACTAGAAGACAGGGAATCATGGATTCATTTGGATCTTAGGAGTATGGAACTCTTGCCGATTTTATGTAGAAGAACTATGCACCCAGAACTTGTTTTTTTCTGGAGAAATGGGTGAATCTTAGTAAAAGTAACTCAAAGTTACACGGATCACAGTGGATACACTTTTTATAAAAGGCAAACAGGTGCATGTCTTTACAGCTGCAGGGACCAAGAGGACTTCCATATGCAAACTCAAACAGAGGGATCCCAAACTAAAGACCCCTGTGCCCTGAGATGTCTACCTTAATTGTAAACAGCCAAACCATTGGAGAAGAAATTGTCCATTTTACACCAGTCAACTGATGGGTCTACTTTGTTTAGCTTGGATTATCTCCACTAGAGGTAGCCCCCAGTGGCTTCATTCCTGGGAAAATAATCAGCAATTCTCTCAGAGAAAAAAAAATCAAGAATATTACTGTCGTGAAGGTTTCAAATCAAGTCTGAAAGGTCACTGTGACCAAGCCCGTCCGACTGACATTTGAACCACTTGCCGAAAAAATAGTTGTAAGAGTTAGTCCTCTGTGCCCTTCTGTTTGACCCTACATCCCCCATGGGAAACTGTCAGCTGAGATCCCCTTTCTGAAAACCTT
The DNA here is from genome assembly GCF_000001405.40 of Homo sapiens. NCBI lineage: Eukaryota > Metazoa > Chordata > Mammalia > Primates > Hominidae > Homo > Homo sapiens. The sequence goes on along the minus strand of NC_000005.10, from coordinate 4,765,166 downwards.
GCTGACTTTACATTCTGCCAGCTCTGCCCATCTCTTTTATGTTGTCATGATCCTTGATATTCCCCAAAACTCTGCTGGAAAAAAATGAATTCAAATATTGTTTAGTAAATTAGTGAACTTTGTATTATTGTACCTGGGATGTGGCTAAAGTTTCACAATGGCAGCTATGAGATCTGTTCCTGTCTATATAGCTATATATGTCTGTATGTATGATATATATATGTGTAATAATTTGCTATCTTTTTATGATATTGCCAAAATTAAATTGTATAAAAGCTCTGTTTAATTGACTTAATAAGAATAAATGCTTATATTAATTATTTTCTCAGAACAATAAGAAGTAACCCTAAATCTTTTCAAGTTTATGTGGATTAGGTAATCTTTGGTAAATGAGAATATTGTTGATTTGATTACAACAGTTATATCTTCAGAGTTTTCAGGATTAAATATAATTCAGACATACAACTTTTCTTACCTATGTTTACTGGTAAAATAAGCTTGTTTTATCTCTATATTATAGTTAATAACGAGATGATGGCTAACTTTTTTTTATTATTATTATACTTTAAGTTTTAGGGTACATGTGCACAACGTGCAGGTTTGTTACACATGTATACATGTGCCATGTTGGTGTGCTGCATCCATTAACTCGTCATTTAGCATTAGGTATATCTCCTAATGCTATCCCTCCCCCCTCCCCCCACCCCACAACAGTCCCCAGAGTGTGATGTTCCCCTTCCTGTGTCCATGTGTTCTCACTGTTCAATTCCCACCTATGAGTGAGAATATGTGGTGTTTGGTTTTTTGTCCTTATGATAGTTTGCTGAGAATGATGGTTTCCAGCTTCATCCATGTCCCTACAAAGGACATGAACTCATCATTTTTTATGACTGCATAGTATTCCATTGTGTATTGCCACATTTTCTTAATCCAGTCTATCATTGTTGGACATTTGGGTTGGTTCCAAGTCTTTGCTATTGTGAATAGTGCAGCAGTAAACATACATGTGTATGTGTCTTTATAGCAGCATGATTTATAATCCTTTGGGTATATACCCAGTAATGGGATGGCTGGGTCAAATGGTATTTCTAGTTCTAGATCCCTGAGGAATCGCCATACTGACTTCTACAATGGTTGAACTAGTTTACAGTCCCAGCAACAGTGTAAAAGTGTTCCTATTTCTCCACATCCTCTCCAGCAGTTGTTGTTTCCTGACTTTTTAATGATCACCATTCTAACTGGTGTGAGATGGTATCTCATTGTGGTTTTGATTTGCATTTCTCTGATGGCCAGTGATGATGAGCATTTTTTCATAAAATGAGTTAGGGAGGATTCCCTCTTTTTCTATTGATTGGAATAGTTTCAGAAGGAATGGTACCAGCTCCTCCTTGTACCTCTGGTAGAATTCAGCTGTGAATCCATCTGGTCCTGGACTTTTTGGTTGGTAAGTTATTAATTATTGCCTCAATTTCAGATCCTGTTATTGGTCTATTCAGAGATTCAACTTCGTCCTGGTTTAGTCTTGGGAGAGTGTATGTGTCGAGGAATTTATCCATTTCTTCTAGATTTTCTAGTTTATTTGCGTAGAGGTGTTTATAGTATTCTCTGATGGTAGTTTGTATTTCTGTGGGATCAGTGGTGATATCCCCTTTATCATTTTTTATTGCGTCTATTTGATTCTTCTCTCTTTTCTTCTTTATTAGTCTTGCTAGTGGTCTATCAATTTTGTTGATCTTTTCAAAAAACCAGCTCCTGGATTCATTGAGTTTTTGAAGGGTTTTTTATGTCTCTATTTCCTTCAGTTCTGCTCTGATCTTAGTTATTTCTTGCCTTCTGCTAGCTTTTGAATGTGCTATGAAGAACATCTACTTCTAGAAGTTATGATTCATAGATTTGCCAATCTACACATTGCATCTTGCTGGTGTGACAGGCAGTTGCTTGCTTCCTAGAGTTCACTGGAAAATAAAGTTGCTAAAAGTTAAGCATTCATATATATATATATATATATATATATGAAATAATAAAATTATGTATGCAAGTATACAAGACAGGTAAGATGTGATTTTGGTAAGGAAAAGCTATAAGGCAAGCAGATTTTTTTTTAATAGAAAAGAGTAAGTTTTTTCCAAAATTAGTAGGATGGGTTGTTCAAAAATAAGAAGAGGAGAAGTGTAGGACAAAATCTGAATGGTTAAGAAAGCCTAAAAAGATCTGTGAAAGATGAATCGAACAAAAGGAATTTTATATGTGATCAAACTATTTAAGATTAGAAGGTACTTGGTTATAAATTTTTCTACAAATTAAGCATCAATATAAAAAATACAGACTGTGCAAGGTGACACATGCCTGTAATCCCAGCACTTTTGGAGGCTGAGGCAGGTGGATCTCTTGAAGTCAGGAGTCTGAGACCAGCCTGGCCAACACGGTAAAATCCTGTCTCTACTAAAAATACAAAAATTAGTTGGGTGCGGTGGTACACGTCTGTAATTCCAGCTACTTGGGAGGCTGAGGCACAAGAATCGCTTGAGCCTAGGAGGCAGAAGTTGCAGTGAACTGAGATCATACCACTGAACTCCAGCCTGTACAGCAGGGTGAGACTCTGTCTCAACAATAATAAATAAATAAATAAATAAATAAATAAATAAATAAATAAAGTATAATAATGCAGAACTAGAATTTGGTCCTCTGTGTTAAAAGAACAAGGTTTTCTTTAGTATTGGTTTTTTCTTAATAGGAAATTATGAGAGGTTTTTCTTTATTTTTTAGATAATTGGCCAAAGGAAAAAAGATTTATGTTTTACCAATATAATTTCCTGTGCTTCATCTTGTCTTTAGTAGATTAATGATAATTTAAGAGAACTGAGACATCTCTGTTAAAAAAGTTAAAATTTTTCTACAACTGTGTAACTTTTCTTGTTTGAAGTCATTAAATTACCACTTGGGTAATATGTGTTTCAAAATTTATATGAAATTCTTAGAAATCCAATCATACTACTAGTCTTGGGTAAGAATTTTCAGAACTCTAACAGAAAAATGTGGTTTCATGAAACTGCTAACCCAACACCAAGCAAGACAAGAATTAATTGATCACCGAGGAAATGTTTTGACAGATTTTCATGCTAACTCAGCCAATACTGAAATCATTAAGATGTGCAATTTGAATGAACTTCATAAGATTGATCCAAGTAAATCACCTATGATAATATATTTAATAAACACCGCTAGGCACCTGAATTGGAGAAACAAAGCTAGTGTTTAAAGGGATTTTAATTCAATGTAAAGTGTGGGTTCATGGAAAGCCTGGATGGTAGCCTGGTTATTCGAGTTCTTAACACTTAGGACTCCAGCCTGGGCAACAGAGTGAGACCCCATCTCAAAAAAAAAAAAATGCTTCTCTGTCTTGGCATAAATGTAACACTTCTATTATTAAATGCTCTGCGTTCCAACTCCTTTTGGAGTGGATAAAATAATATGAATAATAAAAATATGTTTTTGTGACTATCTAAAATTGTGAAAGTTGTTTATAATCAATCTTTGGTTTGTCAAGTCCATAATTCTAGTAAGGCAACAAAATCCTCAAGTGACACGTTTCCATCATCTGCTGGACTATTTGAACAAACACAAGTGGATTCATTCAGTTGCCTTCTTCTGTGTATGTTTTTGGTAGTATAGAAACTTCCCTATGCAGAAAAAACACTTTTAAAGTGGTACCTAAAAGATTGTTGGAAAAAAAAAATGTGTTTCCTTTATGGGATATTCCTGGAGAAATCTCCATCGTTAGAGATAATTGTTTCAGTGGAGAAGGTATAAAATAGTCAAATAAGGTATTACAAACACTATGTCATCCTGCAAAGCTAGCATAATTGCATTACCTTGGTCAGAGTTATTCCTGATTGATGGTAATCCGATTCATTCCCACTGGAAAGCAAAAATTGACCCCAATAAAATAGTGACTGGAGTACCTATTCTTCTAATAATAAAATCTTATGTACCTCATGCCCTTATAAACTGACATGAACCAGTATTTTAAAGCTTTCATACACGAGGCCAAGTATATTTTCTCCAGGTAAAAGAAGCTCTTCATGACCCATGAACAGATGACAGGCAGACCTTTCACAGCCTAGAACATGCAGATTTGGTCTCTTGGAAACAACACCAGAGAAAGACCACAGTTGAACTCTCTTGAAAGGAACTATGCCAAGTTCTACCCTGCAGCAAAACTTCAGAGACTCAAGTCTTGTATCCACATCTCTTAACTCAAAGAGCCCCTCTAGACTCTTGGGACCATACACACACTGGAGACATCAAGGTGAAACTGACCAGGGAGGCTTCTCCTTAGAAGAAGAAAACATCCCCGAAGTACACAACTATCCCAAGATCACAGACCAAGGGTCTGTCTACAGTCACCATGAAATTTTTCTCTTTTCCTACTGTTTATCTTCTGTCTATACATGGAAAGATAATGTGAAAATTAAGATTTTATCATTGATAGCTTCCACAGAGAACTTAACTGAATGAATGTTGGATATGTCATGTTAAACCTAAACCCTTCCATGATCTTAGGTATCCTTTGGTTCACTGTATAACATATTTTGCTGATATTCCCAGTGTGATATTTGATGCTTTCTGTAGTGTCAGACTTTTAGATTTACATATTCAGATTCCTTATTTAAAGCTAACAGTAGGTAAACACTATACTGAGGGCTTTGCTGTTAAATTTGGCCAGAAATTGAATACCAACAAAGAAAAGAAAGATAATTCAACAGTTTGTAGACAGATTTGTAACTCCAACCTTTTAATTATTAGTAGCCACCAACCATGCAATAATTCAATAATGGTCCCTTAGATAAGTATTACTAGTGCTTTCTTACTGGTGCCTACTAATGCACAAGTTATCCCCATAGGAAACTGTCTGTTAGAACTGTCTGTTATGTCCCTCCAGAATGTAATTTTATTTGTGGAGGATTTAGTAGTATAATAATCATTTAACCATTCACACATTCCATGTTTCAGTAAGTGGAAAATAAGGATCCAATGTAGATTAGGAATTCTAATGGTATTACTCTCACTCCACAATCAACTAGACACTGAATGTTGGTCTGCATTTCTTAACTTGCAGTATAGAATAAAAAGTAATTTGAATGAATTGAAATTCCTACAAATGGACATCTTTTCATAGAATGCTCCTTCTCAGGCTGGGTGTGGCGGCTCACACCTGTAATCCCAGAGCTTTGGGAGACCGAGGCAGGTGGATCATGAGGTCAGGAGTTTGAGACCAGCTTGGCCAACATGGTGAAACCCTGTCTCTACTAAAAATACAAAAAAATTAGCCAAGGTGGTGGCAGGTGCCTGTAATCTCAGCTACTCGGGAGGCTGAGGCAGGAGAATTGCTTGAACACGGGAAGGGGAGGTTGCAGTGAGCCGAGACTGTGCCACTGCACTCCAGCCTGGGCAACAGAGTGACGCTCCATCTAAAAAAAAAAAAAAAACATCCTTCTCTGGCTTGGCATAAATGTAAGTGATGTTATAGTTAGAAATCTGTCTCAAACATTAGCTACTACATCTGACTTAACTGCAAAGGTTATAGTTGTCCAAAAAACTTCTTTAAATTATCCTGCTAATACTGTTTTGGATAACATAATTTCTTTGGACTATGTTTCAGCTAAACATATGGCAGTGTATACGAATACACCTGGATAAATACATCTGGTATGGTAAAAACTCAATTGCAAGAAATCAACAAACATACAACTTGGTATAAACAAGTAGGTTACTTTGCTGGGTACTTGTGATATTTTTTGTTCAGATTGGTTCTATTTATGGTAGCTACTGTTAAGGAGTCATGCTTCAGTCTTTTCGAATCATCTTCCTGGAAGCCATTATGATAGTCTCCCTGGCGCACCACTCCCTCAATAGTCCTAAGTGATTGTACAGAGGCATCTGTTATGCATCAAATTGTTTTACCACAGTTAGAATAATGAAAATACAAAGAGTGTTAAAAGAATCATCCAACTGGCTTGCCATCATGAATTGTGAATTCCATACTAAGTCCAAACAAGTCAATTACCATGGTAACAGGGTGTGGCTTCAATGCCCAAGGTTTTGGTGAATCTTTCAGAATTAAAAGGCTGACCAAAAGGCACGAATTGTTCAATTAAATCTGGCCTAAATTTGCTCGGTATCTTGATTCTACACTTAGCAAGCTACAACCTAACTTAATAAGAAATAAACTACAACCTAAGAGTATATTATTGTAGCAAATGTTCGAGTCCCAGCCAATCATGGCAGCTGGGTTTTGGTGAATGACAGGATGCCCACTTATGAGATCATGTTCATGTAAGGCAAATGCCTCATCACTCCATGCTCAAATAAGGCAGATGTTGAGCTGTATTCAATCAAGCTGTTGTGTCTGCCACTTCCTTTTTTTTCTCTCTGTAAATACTGCCTGCCCACGTTGCTGGGTGGAGCTCTCTGTACCTCTCCTGGTTCTGAGTGCTCTTCAACTCATGAATCATTCTTTGCTAAAATAAACTCTGCTAAATTTAACTTCTCTAGAGGGTTTGATTTGTTTATTTGTTTATTTTTTCAAACAAACAGAAGAGAACTTCCAGAAAGATAATTTTGGTGATCTGCAAATGATACACTCAGTGATCAGCTGGTTACTTACTAGTGCGTGTGTGTGAAGAGACTACATGGGAATGGGGAAAAAACTATAAAAGAGTTATAGGTAACTGCTGCACACTCAAAAATAGTGCCTTAGTGCTGTTTTCTGCAGACAGCCTGTAAAATCTCATTATGCAAATATATGAGATAGAATAATCAGAGAAATGTTGTCATTGTAGTGAAACAAAAACCACTCCTGACTCAATATTGCTCTTGAACATCCCCAAAAATCTTAAAAGCAAGACTTGAACAGAACAAATGATTATAAAAAATTTAGGTACATATCAGATACAAGAAAATGTAAAATACATACACACACACACACATATATATGTACATTTATATGGATACAAAAATATTCAGCACATCCGGAGGCAAAATAGATGTTTATGCTATCAGTATGCAAAGAAGCAGGAAAATATAACCCAAAATAAAAAGATGATTCAGTTAATTAAAACCAACCCAGAATTGATAAAGCTATCAGAATTATTAGACATTTAAAAGGTTATTATAGATTTCTATTTGTAGCCACAAAATACAGAGTTTGGAAGCTGTCACTTCAGTCCTTACACCAACAGAGAAATTGAACAAACTAAAATTCACGTAATTTTTTTGTGCTTACCATGAAACTGAGGTTTCAGGGAAAACCATCGCCATGACATCTGAAGACACAGATGACTCCAGAGTCACAGCGCATATTTCCTTACCTGCAGCAGAAGATGCTGGAACTATAAACTGGAAGGAAAAGTTAGTAGTTCTGAAAAATTGCTGGAGGACGAGTATGGACTGCAGTTTGGGGAGGAGAGACATATTCATGGAAATTACCTCCAGGGACTCTACCAGGTTCTTATGATGAAGATCTGAAAAATATCCTCCCATAACTGTGGCAGAGAGAAGAGAAGAGTAATTGTAAAATAATCCCCGTGCTCACTATATTAAAAAAGGCCTTTTTTTTTTTTCAGGGGGGAAGAACTTAGCAGAGCTTATCCAATCTGGGAGAAGAATATTTCAAAAGAAAGTTGCATAGCTATATTAATTTTAAATGAAGTGGACTTCACATCATGGAAAATTGCCAGGAATAAAGAGTGGTATTATTTAATGATAAAAGGACACATTTTCCAAAAAGACGTAGGGATCTTTAACATATGAAGCTCTAACAATAGTGTTAAAATATGTGAGACAAAAACAGATTGTACTGAGCAGATAGACAAATTTGCTTTTATAGTTGAAGACTTCAGTTTATCTTTTAGTAATTGATAGACCAACCAGGCCAAAAAAAAGTCAATAAGGTTGTAGTTGACTTGAGCAGCACTATCAATCAACTTGATGTAATTAACATTTGTAGAATACTGCACCCAAGAACAGGAGAATAGCTATTCTTCTCATACTCTCATGAGACTCTCACCAAAAGAGACAATATTTTGTTCCTAAACTATACCTTAAGAAATTCAAGAAAATAGAAGCCATATAGATTATCTTTTCAGAACACAATAGGATTATAAGTCAATAATAAAAATATCTGGAAAATTATTAAATATTTGAACATCAAACAGTGTACTTCTAAATAATATGTGAATTACAGAATTATTTATCTCAAAATAAATTTAAAAATAGGTAACACTAAACAAATATGTAAAACAAACTTATGAAAGTTTGTAGAATATAGTAAAAGTAATGATTAGTGAGAAATGTATAGCATTAAGTGCATATATTCGAAAATATTAAAGACGTAAAATCAAGTGTTCAGCAACTAGAGAAAAAAGACCAAGTTAAACATAAAACAAGGAGAATAAAATAAATAATAAAAGGGGAGAAAATCATTGAAATGGAAAATTGGAAAACAATTTAAAAATCAACAAAACTAACATTGTATTCTTTGAAAAGATCTGAAAATTTCTAATCCTCAATCCAAGCCAGTCCAGCCACAAACAAAATAGAGAAGACAAAATTTATAAAACCAGAAATAAAAGAAAAAAAGAGTAGTCATTACTTTCTATATCATGTATATTAAAAGGATAATAAGAAGTACTGCATAACTAAGTACCCACACAACAATTCCTTGAAAGATACAAACTACCAAAATTCACACAAGGAGAAATAAATATCTGAATAGGTCTATATCTATTTAAGTAATTTAATAAATAATAACATTCCAAAAAAGAAGTCATCAAGCCCTGTTGTGGGGGCACAAAAAACTCCCAGAAAATATGAATAAATAAAATACAATAGTGAATTAAGAAGTATATACCACCACCAAGTGGGATTTATTCATTTATGCAAGGATGGTTCAAAGTTTGAAAATCAATCACCGCTGCATCAACAAACTGAAGAAGTATCAAGTAATTATATTAATTGATGTATAAAAATTATTCAACACAACATTCATGATAAAACTCTCAGGACACTAGGAATAGAGAGAAATTTTCTTACTTTAATTAAAAATAATCACAAAAAGCCTATAATTAACATAATAATTAAGGTTGGGAAACAAAATATTTTCCCCTTAAGATGTGGAACAACGCAAGAAGGACTTTTCTCACCAGCCCTGTTCATATATATATATAATGTATATATATTACATTATATATATATGAGACCCTCACCAAAAGAGACCATATTTTGGTAATATATATATATTACATTATATACATACATTATGTATTTTATATATAATATATATATCATATATGTAATATGTGTGTGTGTGTATATATATACAAACAAAATAGATAGCCCAGACATAGTCATAAACACAGTAAACTAATTTTTATCAAAAGAGAAAAGGCAATATCATAGAACAAGAGAAGTCTTTTCATCACATGGTGCTGGAACAGTTGGATGTGCATATTTTTTTTTAAAGATGCATATCAACACAGACATTACACCTTTCACAAAAATCAACTCAAAATTGATCCTAGGTCTACATATAAAATGTAAAACTATAAAATTTCCATAACAAAAAAATCTTAGGAAGAAATCATTGTGACTTTGGTTAATGAGATTTTGGATTCAATACAAAAAGCATGGTCTATGAAAGAAAACATTGACAAATTGTACTTTATTAAAATTAAATTTTCTGTTAGGCAAAAGACACTGTTAAGATAATAATGCAACAAGCTACAGATGTATAAAATATTTGTAAAAACAGATTTCTGATTTATATTCAAAATAAAAAAACCTCAAAACTCAAAATATAAGACAAAAAATAAATGATGAGCGAAAGATTTGAAAAGATACCTCATTAGAGAAGCTATACAGATGGAAAATACACATATGAAAACATGGTAACATCATTTGTCATAAGACATTACATATCAAAATAGTAGAAGTACCACTACATGCCCATTAGAATGGCAAACAAATGAAACAAAACAAAACAAAACAAAGACAATGCCAATAGTGAAGAATGTAAAACAACAGGATCTCTAATTCACCACTTGTGGGAGGGCAAAGTGGCCATTTTGAGAGATACTTTGGAAGTTTCTTACAAACGTAGACTTAATATTTTCATATAGTCCAGCAATTTCCCTCCTAGATATGTACTGAACTGATTTGAAATATATGCCAAGACACTAAACTCTGTGTGAATGTTTATAACATCTTCATTCATAATCAGTGACAGCTGGAAGCAACCAAGATGACTTTCCACATGTTCATGGATAAAGGAACTGTGATCCACCCTTATAGTGAAATATAACCCAACAAAGAAAAAAAACAAATTACCAAACCTTAAAAATACATGAAAGAATCTTAAATATGGCAGGTAAATTAAAAATAAAAAAGCTATGCAATATATAATTCTAACTGTGACATTCTGGAAAAGGCAAAAATGTAGAGATAGTAAAGAAATCAATTGTTTGTTACAGGGAGAAGGAACTGGGAAGAGTGTAAATAGGTGGATTATGAGGGACTTTTTTAGGCAGTAAAACTATTTTGTTTGATAGTGTAACAGTGGATATGTGATACAATATATGTGTCAAAACTCATAGTTCTTTACAGCACCAAGAGTAACCTTAATGTATGTAGATTGGTAAAAATAAATCATTTAGGAGGTCAGGAGATCCCAGAGTAGAATGCAGAATGTGACAAAAGACTGATGTCTGACAAATGTTTAAAATAGCTTTACTGAAGGTCAGGAAAAATGGTGCTGACTTAAATAATTTGAAAACGAGTAGAATTTGTAAGACTACAGGCAAAAGAAACTATGTAACCTCTTTGGTTGATACAGTTTTCTGCAAGGTTGTGAGCTAGTTTTATACTGATAACACACACGCGCGCATGCACACACACACACACACACACACACAGAATTAAACAATTAAGTGGATGATGGATGCTAAGTGCCCAGATTTTCACTGTTGGAGTTGGAGGTTACAGATGAGCAAGGGAGATGGTAAGAATGATCCATGTGGTAATGGATTAGAGCTGGAGACATCAGTACAAATTAATGTCTAGCTTAATATAGATACAGCTGACTACATATACTATTATCAATGTTCATAGATATTTGGATATGCATAGGTTAGTATATACACATACATTCTCTTGCACTGTTACATCAGAGGATGTAGAAACAAAGGCACCTCTGAAGCATTGGGCACACACAGTAACCAGATATGGTTCTAAATACGTTTATTCTCAAATAAACAGCCAGTGCTGATTTTAGTAATTGCCAATTCTAAGACTGCAGAAGAAAATATAAAAGTTGAATGCATTGGCTTACTATGAGTGTTATAAGAAATCAACACAAATGTGGTGGCTTCAAATAGCACAATAAATATGTTCTTACAGTTCTAGAGTCAGACGTCGGAAGTGGGTCTCATTGGGCTAATGTCATGGTGTTGGCAGGGCTGGCTCCTTCTGAATGCTGTAGGGGACAATCTTATTCTTGCCTCTTCCAGCTTCTTGAGGTTGCTGGAATTTTTTAATTGTGGCTGCATCACCTCAACTTCTACTCCCATGGTCACACTGCCTTCTTTTCTTCTATAGTCAAACCTCCCTCTGCCTCCTCCTACAAGGAACATTTGTGATTAATTTCTAGTCTGCTCAAATAATCCAGGATAATCTCTCCATTCTAACTTAACTTAATCATACCTGGAATTTTTCTTTTGAGGTAACTTCCCTAAGTAATTTTCACTAGTTCCAGGAGTTAGAATGCGGGCATCTTTGAGGAGCCATAAGATGTCTTAACACACACAGGCACACACACACACACACGACCATGGTATGTCATAGGGCTACAGCAGCCAGGTGCCAACTGACAGACCACTTAATGCCCAAATCTGGAACCATTCTTTCCTCCTTATTCCCTTTTCATTTTCCAGCTTTATTAGGGTATAATGGACAAATAAAACTGTATATGTACTAATAATGTAAGTAAAGTATTATTAGATTATACTCCAAAACACAAAATAAATGCTCATGAGACCATACTGATATAGATAATCAAAAAATAAATAAATGGGACAAAAAAGGCTCCCATAAAAAAGAATTCCGAATAATTTATGTATTTACTCTTCTACCCACTCTTCACTGAAGGCTGTGATAGCAACTTTACAGTGGAGAGACCTGACAAGCACTAACTCCACCAGGTGGTCATTATTAATGTCAGCAGTGATGTATCATCTTGATAGGACATACACTGGATATGATGTGATGAACGTGGGCATTCTACAAAACGCCTGACCATAACACCTCAAAACTGTCAAGATTGTAAAAAGCAAGAAAAACCCGACAAACTGTCATTGTCACGAGCCTATGAAGACATGTGAGTTAAATGTTACAGAATATCATGGGTGGGATCTTGACACAGAGAAAAAATATTAATTCAAAGTAAGAAAATCTGAATAAAGCATGGAGTCTAGTTAATAAGAATTAATAAAAATATGCTCATTAATTATTTTAAAATGCATTATCCTAATATAATGTAATAATTGGGGAACCTGGGTGTGATATTTGGGAATTTAATATACTATATTTGCAATGTTATTTTTTTAAGTTATCAAAATTCTATTCAGTGGAAGATATAAAAATAGCCTAATTCAAGCTTCTAAAAATCCAAACTACACTGTGAGAGACAAAAATATACTGAATAGAATGAATAACAAATTTAACGTTGCAGAAAAAAATAAATAAACTTGAAGAGCGAGAGAAATATACACTACCAAAACTTAAACACAGAAACAGAAAAAAAGCAAATCTAAAAAAAAAAGAATCAGCGAATGTCAACATCAGGTGGCTTGAGCTTGATATATATGTAATTTGCATCTTCAAAACGGAGGAAAGTAATGAGAGACAAAATAAACAATTAAAATAATAATGGCTGCTTTTTAAAAAATTTGATGCAAACTGTAAACCAACAGATACAAGAATCTCTGTGAAGAGCAAGCACAGGAAACATGAGGCAAACAGATCCAAGTCATATCATAATAAATTTGCTATAAACCATTGATAAAGAGGAAATTTTAAAAGCATCAAGTGGGGTCAGGCAAAGAAATGTTACATACAGAGGGGCACAAAGAAAGATGAAAGTCAGTTTCTAATCAGAAACAATGGCAGCAAGAAGACAGAGGACCAACACAATTAAAGTGACTAAAAAATATTTTTTAAATATTACATAAAAAGTGGAAATAAAGACGTTTTCAAATATACAGTGATACAGTTTGGCTGTGTCCCCACCCAAATCTCAATTTGAATTGGATCGCCCAAAATTCCCATGTGTTGTGGGAGGGACCCAGGGGGAGGTAATTGAATCCTGGGGGCTGGTCTTTTCCATGTTATTCTCATGATAGTGGATAACTCTCACGAGATCTGATGGGTTTAGCAGGGGCTTCTGCTTTTGCTTCTTCCTCATTTTCTTGCTGCCACCATGTGAGACATACCTTTCACATCCCACCATGATTCTGAGGCCTCCCCAGACATGTGGAACTGTAAGTCCAATTAAACCTCATTTTCTTTCCAGCCTTGGGTATGTATTTATCAGTAGCATGAAAACGGACTAATACAGTAAATTGGTACCAGTATAGTGGGGCATTGCTGAAAACATACCCGAAAACGTGAAAGTGACTTTGAAACTGGGTAACAGACAGAGGATGGAACAGTTTGGAGGGCTCAGAAAAAGACAGGAAAATGTGGGAAAGTTTGGAACCTCCTAGAGACTTGTTGAATGGCTTTGACAAAAATGCTATAGTGATATGAACAATAAGGTCCAGGCTGAGGTGGTCTCAGATGAAGATGAGGAACTTGTTGGGAACTGAAGCAAAGGTGACTCTTGTTATGTTTTAGCAAAGAGACTGGCAGCATTTTGCTCCTGCTCTAGCAATTTGTGAAACTTTGAACTTGAGAGAGATGAGTTAGGGTATCTGGTGGAAGAAGTTTCTAAGCAGCAAAGCATTCAAAAGGTGACTTGGATGCTATGAAAAGCCTTCCATTTTAAAAGGGAGCAGCATAAAAGTTCAGAAAATTTTCAGCCTGAGGAGGCAGTAGGACAAACAAACAAACAAACAAACAAAAATTTTCTGAGGAGAAATTCAAGCCAGCTGCACAAGTTTGCCATAAGTAGCCAGAAGCCTAATGTTAATCCCCAGGACCATGGGGAAAATGTCTCCAGGGCATGTCAGAGACCTTCATGGCAGCCCCTCCCATCACAGGCTTGGAGGCGCAAGAGGAAAAAGTGTTTTGTGGGCCAGGCCGAGGGGCCCCATGCTGTGTTCAGCCTACTGACTTGGTGCTCTGTGTTCTAGCCACTCCAGCCGTGGCTGAAATGGGCCAATATAGAGCTTGGGCTGTGGCTTCAGAAGGTAGAAGCCCCAAGCCTTGGCAGGTTCCACATAGTGTTGAGCCTGTGGGTGCACAGAAGTCAAGAACTGAGGTTTGGGAACCTCCACTTAGATTTCAGAAGATGCATGGAAATGCCTGGATGCCCAGAGAAAAAGTTTGCTGCAGGGGTGGGGCCCTCATGGAGAACCTCTGCTAGGGCAGTGCAGAAGGGAAACGTGAGGTCAGAGCCCCCACACAGAGTCCCTACTGGGGCACTGTCTAGTGGAGCTATGAGAAGAGGGCAACCATCCTCCAGACCCCAGAATGGTAGATCCACTGACACCTTGCACCATGTGCTTGGAAAAGCTGTAGACACTCAACACCAGGCCATGAAAGCAGCTGGGAGGGAGGCTGTAGCCTGCAAATTCACAAGGGCGGAGCTGCCCAAGACCATGGGAACCCACCTCTTGCATCAGGATGACCTGGATTTGTGACTGGAATTCAAAGGAGATCATTTTAGAGCTTTAAAGTTTGATTGCCCCACTGGATTTCAGACTTGCATGGGGTCTGTAACCCCTTTGTTTTGGCCAATTTCTCCCATTTGGAATGGCTATATTTACCCAATACCTGTACCTCCATTGTATCTAGAAAGTAACCAGCTTGCTTTTGCTTTTATAGGTTCATAGGTGGAAGAAATTTGCCTTGTCTCAAATGAGACTTTGGACTGGGGACTTTTGGGTTAATGCTGAAATGAGTAAAGACTTTAGGGGATTGTTGGGAAGGCATGATTGGTTTTAAAATGTGAGGACATGAGATTTGGAGGGGCCAGGGGTGGAATGATATGGTTTGGCTGTGTCTCTACCCAAATCTCAACTTGAATTGTATCTCCCAGAATTCCCACATGTTGTAGGAGGGACCCAGAGGGAGGTAATTGAATCATGAGGGCCCATTTTTCTTGTGCTATTCTTGTAATAGTGAATAAGTCTCACAAGATCTGATGGATTTAGCAGGGGCTTCTGCTTTGCTTCTTCCTCATTTTCTCTTGCTGCCACCATGTAAGGAGTGCCTTTCACCTCCCGCCATCATTCTGAGGCCTCCCCAGCCATGTGGAACTATAAGTCCAATTAACACTCATTTTCTTCCCAGTCTCAGGTATGTTTTATCATTACATAAACAGTGGAAATAAAGACTTTTTCAAATATACAGTGATATAGTTTGGCTGTGTCCCCATCCAAATCTCAATTTGAATTGGATCACCCAAAATTCCCATGTGTTGTCGGAGGGACACAGGGGGAGGTAATTGAATCCTGGGAGCTGGTCGGTATGTTTTATCATACCTGAGACATACAGGTCACACAATACATATGGGTCATAAAATATTCCATCTCCTATACACGTGAGGTATAAAAAATGTTCAAGAAATTCCTTCAGGCCAAAGGAAATTCAGATGGGCTATCTAGTGAAATACAAGTTCAAACCAAAAAAATGAAGACTACTGGAAATCATAACTACTTGGATAAACACTTATTTTTTCTTTCCTTTTCAATCAACTTAGTTGATTGTTCAAGGAAAAACAATAACAACATTGGGTAATGTTTATATGAAAAGTTAAAATGTGTTACAACAGTAACATTATGACCAGTAAGAGAAAAACTGAAGTATACTTTTATGACATTTTTATACTCTACATGGAGTTATATAATATCACTTGAAGATAGACTATGATAAGTTTACGATGTACACTACAATAGCGAAGGCAACCAATAAAATAACAAAATAAAGTATTTTGCTATTAAGTGAACATAAAGATAAATGGAATCATAAATCATAAGCAATAATTTTAAAAAGGCAAATAGCAAAATGAATAAAAGATAAGGCAAATAGAAAGCAAATATTATAAAGTGCTATTAAACCTAACTACATCAATAATCACATTAAATATAAATGGTTCAAACCACCTATTAAAAAGCAGAGATTTTCATATTGGATGAAAAATAAATATATGCAGTCTGAAAGACAAGGACTTTAAAATATTTAATTGATTGTGGAAGTCATTTAACAATGTATACATATATTAAATTATCATGTAGTACACCTTAAATATATATAAAATAACTTTATTTTCAATTATATATCAATAAGCCTTGAGCAATAAAGACACAAATATGTTAAAAGTAGGAAGATGCAAAATATATTCATGTTAATAGTATTTTTTTTTTTTTTTGAGTCACCAAAGGCTGGAGTGCAGTGGCATGATCTCGGCTCACGCAACCTCTGCCTCCCAGGTTCAAGTGATTCTCCTGCCTCAGCCTCCCAAGTAGCTGGAATTACAGGTGCCTGCCACCACACCTGGCCAATTTTTGTATTTTTAGTAGAAATGGGGTTTCACCATGTTGGCCAGGCTGGTCACGAACTCCTGACCTCAAGTGATCCGCCTGCCTCAGCCTCCTGAAGTGCTGGGATTACAGGCATGAGCCACCATGCTTGGCCTTTAATACGAATTTAAAAACTGATTTGACTATATTAACTTGAATTGGTGTAAGTTTTAAGGCAAAACAGTATTACCAGGGGAAAATAAAAACATTTACAATGGCAAAGGGGTCAATTAATCAAGACATAAAGTCTAAATGTTTATTAATTTAATAATAGTGTCGTTAAATATGTAGTTTCAGTGCAGGGTCCAAGTGCCACCCAACAGCTCCCCTGGGTTCTCAAGAAAAACTTTGTGCTTGGTACAGGATGTGCTGGCAAGCTCACAAATACAGTTTTGTGAAATGAGCTCAGAGAACAGCTAGTATATCCCTGTTCCTGCTGCAGTGGGCATATATAAACTTTTTCTGGGAACTTATTACCTATATATGTGTCAATAGCCTTCAGGCACCCCCAGCTTTCTGTCATTCACACCTTTAGAGACAATGGTGGGAATTTTTCTACTTCAGCCTGAAGTGAGGCACACGTAGTCACATTGCCCTCAGTGATTGTAGAATGGATCCAATAGCCGTGGGAGACCCATGCATTGCAAGGGGCTAAATCTTATGTACTTGCTTTCTCCTCTTGCTATAAATAAACGTTGTATCACTTGAGTCTGGTGTGCATGTTGTCTCTTCATAGTGACCTAGAAACTTGCACTGTTTCCCTGATGGTACTTACCTGCCTTTTGACCTTGGCCACACTGATGTTACACTTTATCCTGCAGCACAAGCTTATCACCTAATAAAACATGAAGCAACAACTTAAAAACATCCAGAAAAAATAGACAAACTTTTTTATTTTATTTTTATTTTTTTGAGACAGAGTTTCGCTCTTGTCACACAGGCTGGAGTACAATGGCGGGATCTCAGCTCACTGCAATCTCCGCCTCCCAAGTTCAAGTGATTCTTCTGCCTCAGTGTCCTGAGTAGCTGGGATTACAAGCATGTGTCACCACGCCTGGCTAATTTTCTATTTTTAGTAGAGACGGGGACGAGGCAGGCAGATCAACTGAGTAAAGAGATCATTTCTACAGCTTCTACAGATATTCAAAGTATTTTTAAATAGATTTAAAATCTGTAGATGTTATAGTATTCTATAGATGATAAATAGATACTAGAAGATAAAAGCACAGCATAAACAACTTTATACTATTTAGGTTGACAATTTAGATGATGTGAAAAACTTTCATGGAAAACACGAATCACCAAACTTCACTCAAGATGCAATGTATATAACCAGAATAGCTCCATTGAAAAAAATTAATTTGTACTTTTAAACCTATGAAGAAAAATCCAGAAGCAGATGGATTCATTGATGAACACCAGCATCTTTAAATACTGTTTTAAAAGTAGAAATAATGCTTAATTCTGTACAAAGTCTGTTGAAGATGAGGAAATGCATCTCAGCTCATTCTGTGAAGCCTGTCCTGCTCTCACTGGAAAAGTAGACAACAGTATAAGAAACAAGGGAAAACAATAAACCAATCTCTCTCATGAACACGGATAGGAGGAGCAATACATTACTGATAACTCAAATCCAACAATATATTAAAATGCTAATACATCATTACCATGTGGGGTTTGCTCTAGAGATTCAAGGTTGTTTCAACATTTAAAATCAATCAATGTAATTTACCACATTAATAAATTAAGATGGAGGAGCCATATGCTCAATAAAAGCATAAAACTATTTAATTATTTGATAAAATGTAATATTCATTAATGATGCATACTTTGCAAACCAGAAAGAAAAATCAATCACCTTCCTGAACTTGAAATGACACCTACAAAACATTTGCATGTAATATCATATTTAATGTTGAAAGAAGTAACACTATGTTTCTAAGATCAGGAATCATAGGAGGATGCATGCTACCCACCATTTCTATCCAAACTTATACTCGAGGTTTTAGCCAATGCAATAATAAAAACATGGAAAATAAAAGGCATACAGACTAGAAGGAAAGAACAAACTTAATTCTCAGATGCCATGATTATCAACGTAGAAATTTGGTAGAATCTATAAAAAATAATAAGACTAATAAATTAGTCTATCAAGGTAATAGCATAAAATAAAAATATATGAAAAACTAATTGTACTTTTACATACTAGCTTAGTCTAGAAGGTAGAAGTAGGCTTTTATCCAACATGGCTGGTGTCTTTATAAGAAGAGGGGATTAGGACACAGATGAGACAGACTGAAGGAGAACCAGGTAAGCACACAGCAAGAAGACAGTCATCTACATGCCAAGGAAAGACAGTTCAGAAGAAATCTAACCTGCTGAAACCTGATCATGGGCTTCCTTGAACTGTAGGAAAATAAATTTCTGTTCTTTAAGCCACTCCACTTGTGGTAATTCATTATGGCAGATCAAGCAAACTAATATACTTAATAATAAGCAAAAATTGAGGCAAAATAACTCCCAAATCTGTTAATCCACACCTCATGTCCTACATAAAAATTAACTCAAAATAACCACAGATTAAAGGTAAGAAATAAAAGTATAAAATGCACAGCAGAAAACAGGAGACAATCTCCGTGGTCTTGAATTAGCAAAATTTTTTTTTTAAATATAACACATCATGTACAGAATTGATCAAATAAGTTAATAAATTGAACTTAGCTAAAATTAAAAACTTGTGGTCTTTGAAATGGACTACTAAATAAATAAAGTTAAGACACAGGCTGATAGAAAATATTTGATCCAAAAAATTATTTTGGATCACACACAGACTGTCAGACACAGACTGATAGAAAATATTTAATATTTTATATTTAAAAATAATATTTAATCCAAAAATAATTTTACTCTAGGACATATATAAACACTAAATACTGAATATAAATAAAAAACAACCCAGCAAAAAAAATCTTGAAACAAATAAAAATAGAAACACAACATACCAAAACCTATGGCATATAGCAAAAGCAGTATTAAGAGGGAAATTCATAGCAATAAACACCTACATCAAAAAAGTAGAAATATTTCAAATGAATAACGTAATGGTTTATCTTAAGAAACTAAAAAAGTAAGAACAAATCAAACCCAAAATTAATAGATGGAAAAAAATAATAAAGACCAGAGTAGAAATAATAAAATTGAGACTGAAAAAGCAATACAAAAGAACAATAAAATGGAAATTTGGCTTTTGAAAAGATAAATAAAATAAGCAAACCATTAATTAACTAGACTAACTAGAAAAAAAGATAAAAGATCCAAATTCATAAAATCAGGAAAAAGGAGAAATTACAATTAATACCACAGAAATGCAGTGAGTTATCAGAGTATTATGAAAGACATGTCAGCAAGTTGGAGAATCTAACAGAAATGGATAAATTCCTAGACACATATAATTTGCCAATATTGAGAAATACAAAACTTGAAAAGACCAATTATGAGAAATGAGATTTAATCAGTAATAATATTTCTCCCATAAAATAAAAGCCCAGAATGTGACAGTTTCACTACTAAATTCTATCAAACATTTAGAGAACTAATACCAATTCTTCTCAAAATATTTTAGAAAATCAAAGATGCTGGAATTCTTCTAAACTCATTTTCAGAGGCTAGCATCACCCTGATAACAAAACCAGATAAGGGCACATCATCACCAACAAAACTGTAAGCCAATATCCCTGATGAACATAGATACAAAATTCCTCAGCAAAATACTAGCAAACTGAACCCATCAACACATTAAAAAGAGTATACACTATAATCTAGTGGAACTTTCCCCAGGGATGCAAGAATGGCTCAACATATGCAAATCAATAAACATGATGCATCACATCAGCACAATGAAGGACAAATAACTTAATTATCTCAATAGACGCAGAAAAAGCATTTGATAGAAATCAACATCCTTGGTTGTCAAACCTCTAACAAAGTAGATATAGAAGGAGCATTCCTCAACACAATAAAGACCATATATGAAAAATCACAGTAAATATCACATGGAATGTGGAAAAGCTGAAAGTTTTCCTCTTAGAAATAGAACAAGACAAGAATGCTTACTTTCACCCCTCTTATTCAACATAGTACGAGTAATCCTAGCTAGAGAAATTAGGCAATAGAAAAATTAGAGGTTATCCAAACTGGAAATGAGGAACTTAGAACTGATCAAAAAATTCAGCAAATTTTCAGGATACAAATTAACATACAAAAAAAATCAAAATCAGTAGTGTTTTCATACACCCACAATTAACTAGCAGAAAAATAAGAAGGCAATCTTATTTATAATGGCTACAAAATAATAAAATACCTAGAAATAAATATAAAAGATTAAAGATCTCTACAAGAAAAACTATAAAAGATTGATGAAAGAAATTGAAGAGCTCACAAAAGAATGGAAAGTTTCTTTATGTTCATAGATTGAAAGAATTAATATTGTGGAAACCATATTACCAAAAGTGATCTACCAATTTCATATAATTCCTATAAGAATATCAGTGGCATTCTGCACACAAATACATATTTTTTAAATCCAAAAGTTTATATGGAATCACAGAACACCCTGAATTGCCAAAGCAATCCTGAGCAAAAAGAACAAAGCTGGAGGCATCACACTACTTTATTACAAAATATACTACAAAGCTATAGTAACCCAAACAGCATGATGCTGGCATAAAAGAAGCCACATAGACCGGTGGAACAGAATGGAGAACTCAGAAATAAATCCACATATTTAAAGCCAACTGAATTTCAAATAAAATGTACCAAGAACATTCTGTGGGGAAATAATATCATGTTTAATAAATTGTGCTGGGAAAACTGAATATTCTATCTCTCATTATATGCAACAATATCAAATTAAAATGAATTAAACACTTGAAAATAAGACCTGAAACAATACTAGAAGAAAACATTGAGGACATACTTCAGGACATTGGTCTGAGGAAATACTGTTTGGGTAAGACCTCAAAAGCATAGCCAACAAAAGCAAAAAAATAGATAAATGGAATTTGTCAAACTAAAAAGCTTCTGCACGGCAAAAACAAACAACCAAAAACAATCAACAGAGGGAAGAGACAGCCTACAGAATGGGAGGAAATATTTGCAAATGATCCATTTGATAAGGGGTTAATAACCAGAATATCTAAAAACCTTAAACAAATCAATAGCCAAAAAAAAAAACCCCAGATAATTTGATTTTAAAATGAGAAAATGATCTAAATGAACATTTCTCAAAAGAAGACATACTAATAGTCAACAGGAGTGTAAAAAATGATCAACACCATTAATCATCAGGGGATTGTAAATCAAAACTACAATGAGATATCATCTTACTCCATTTAAAATGTCTGTTATCAAAACAACAGAATTTAGCAGATACTGGCAAGGATGTGAAGAAAGGAGAACACTAGCTCACTGCTCGTGGGAATGTAAATTAGGGTGGCCACTATGAAAAAACAGTATGGAGTTTCCTCAAAAAACTAAAAACAAAACTATCATATGATCCAGCAGTTGCACTGTTTGGTATACATCCAAAACAAGCTCTGATAGGTCCATAGATATATATGCATGTTAAATTTTACATCCTATATTTTTATTGATTTTATTTCATTTTACTTTATTTATTTATTTTATTTTTTAATTTTTTTTTTTTTTTTGAGTCAGAGTTTCACACTTATCTCCCAGGCTGGAGTGCAATGGCACGGTCTTGGCTTACTGCAACCTCTGCCTCCCAGGTTCAAGGTCTTCTCCTGCCTCGGTCTCCCAAGTGGCTAGAACTACAGGCTTGCACCACTATGCCCTGCTAATTTTGTATTTTTAGTATAGACGGGGTTTCACCGCGTTGGCCAGTCTGGTCTTGAATTCCTGACCTCAGGTGATCCGCCCACCTCGGCCTCCCGAAGTGCTGGGATTACAGGCATGAGCCACCACACCCAGCCAACATCTTACATTTTTAGTATTTGCACTTTATTGTGTGCCAATGATATCTCAATAAAGTTGTTTAAAAGTTTTATACAAATTCACTTGAGTCTGCCTTTTGATATTAGTTATAAAATGATTTGGAATTTGCACTTATTGACCAAAATTGATATTACTCTTTGAAATATTTTCTTTTCATATTGAACTTTATTCCAATACAAAACTACCCAACTTATTTCAGTGTTGTGGTTTTGGTGTTGTTTTGTTTTTCCTAATTGTGTTTGCTTCATTTCCCTTATGCAAGCATATAGGTCCTGTGTTGTTAAATTTTGCAGTATACAGTAATACATTGTATTCAACCAGATCTTAAACTTTCATATATGACAAAATATTTCTGTTATATTGAATCGCTCTAAATTTAGAGGCAACAATGTGAATAGAAAACCAACTTTAACAATGACAGAGTTAAAAAAAATCCACGGGTATAAGCATTTTCCTTGTGTTAATAATGTCCAGCACTTTGGTAATAAGTTAGGAAGGAGATATTGTTTGTTCAAAGTAACTTTGCATTTTCCAAATATTCACATAACTGACACTTTTCAAAAACGCTTTTCCCCTCTAAAAAATGTTTTTGAATCCTGTGAGTACTAAAGGTGACAAAATGTATCATACGATTTTAGGTTCTGCCTGATCTTTCTAAAGGCTTATTGTTTCTAGATAATTTTAACTTCAAATTTCAATGCCAAATGTACAAATATACACAAATTTTACATGATGATGTAAATGTACATGTTATAAATTTATAAACTTAAAACATAGTATTCTAAAATAAGCAATTTTTTATAACTTTTATTTTGTAAAAATAAAATGTACAGGTTTATTACATGGGCATATTGCATGGTGCTGAGGTTTGGGGTATGACTGATCCCATCGCCCAGGTACTGAAGTATAGTACCCAATAGTTAATTTTTCAACCCTTGCCTGTCTCCTTCCCTCCTCCATCTGGTAGTCCTCAGCATCTACTGTTGCCATCTTCCTGTTCATGTATATGCAATGTTTAGCCCTGCTTGTAAGTGAGAACATGCAGTATTTGGTTTTCTGTTCCTGTGTTATTTTGCCTAGGAAAATAGCCTCCAGTTGTATTCATGTTGCTGCAAAGAACACGATTTTATTCTGATTTATGACTGCATAGTATTCCATGGTGTACCGTATTCCCTTTATCCAATCCACTGCTGATGGTGGCACCTCTGTTGATTCCATGTCTTTGCTATTGTGAACAGTGCTGTGATGAACACAGATGTGCATGTGTCTTTTTTGAGGAACAATTTATTTTCTTTGGGTATATATCCAGTAATGGGTTGCTGGGCTAAATGGTAATTCTGTTTTCAGTGTTTTGAGAAATCTTCACACTGCTTTTTACAGTGACTGAACTAACTTGCATTCCCACCAACACTGTGCAAGTGTTCCCTTTTCTCTGCAGCCTCGTCAGCTTCTATTGTTGTTAACTTTTTAGTAATAGCCATTCTGACTAATGTGAAATGATCTGATATAAAATATTGGTATGCTATTCTATATACAGTATACATGTAATATGTATGTTTCTGCATTTGTGTGTGCGCATGTATATATCACATTACGTAGCAATAAGCAATGGTAATGTATTAATGAATCTGTGGCTTTCAAATATTTATGATCTAAATAAATAGAAATAATTTTCATTCATCCCAACACTTACATTTCTGTTACAATCATTTGACAGGTTGTTTTGAATGAAAATAAACATCTCTTCAACCAGCTTGACTGTTTGTTACAGAAAATAAAGTAAGCATCGAAGTGCTTAATAGATTTAAAAAATTGGATGTGGCAAAATAAACGAATGCTAATTCCTCTATAGCTTGAGTAAATAAATGCCGCTTTAATTCAGGTGTGGTTGTGCCCGTGGGTTATGCTCTTCTGTTAACACCACCTGTCAGCAGCAACCCCATGTAAATGAGCCGGCTGAGCCTTTCCCTCGCATCTTTGCTAAGCCTCTTGCATTCTTCTAATCATGCTACACAGAAGCCAATATCTATTTTCATCAGGCAGATAAGATCTCTTAAGGAATTAGAGAGGTTTTCCGCTTAGTTCTATGCTGGGCAAGGACACGGCTGTGATCTAGGGCTTTGGGGATTTCTCATTATGCACTGGTGCCTGCTGGATCGAAGAACTGAGTTCTGGCTACTGGATTTTTGATCCTCTTGTGGTCAGGGTTAGAACTTCTAGTTACTTAAGATCTTTGATTACTCAGCACTTGGCTTTTGATTGAGTGAACTTCTGAAGACAGCACAGGGCTGTGATTTCAAGTTAGCAGTTTTAAAGTAACTACTGGAAAAAATAGATAGGAAAAGCCCTGTGATTAAGAGACACTATCCCTTTTTAATTGACTTTCTGAAGTTATCTGATGCTTAACTCTTCATGTGCCACAACAAAAAATAAAGTAAATAGAGTGAATGAATGGCTTTAAGGTTTTCCTTTAAGATGGAGAAAATTCCATGAAATGTACAGGACTCCTGGCAACTGTGAGACTGAGAGAAGCTCAGCTTTAGCTGAGGGTAACAATTGATGTGGAGAGGGTTTCATATGAAAAAGATGAAGCAGGTTTCCACCAGTGCCTGGAAATCTCCTCAGCTGATGATGTAAGTATTCAGGGAATAAATAGAAACAAGGCCACCATGATAATGTTGTCGGTTCAGAGAGAGAGAGAGAGAGAATATACACATACACATATACATACACACACATATATTCATACATACACATAGTACAAACTATATCATGAATAGAAACACATTTGTACTGGTTAAAATTATTCAGACAAGATAATCTTAAATGTCTCTCCCTGTGGAACTTAAAACAATGATATCTGGTCTCTGTTGCCCACTCCTAGAAGGAAGTTACAGGTGAGAGGTTTTCCCTCAAATTTTGAAATAACAAACATCTTTTGTGGAAGTAAAATCAGTGAGAATAACAGCTGGCCGCTCGGGCACAGGTTGCTGAAGGGGCACCCCAAGGGCTCTCACTGGTCCTAGAGTGGGTCAGCCGTTGGCTCTGGCCACTTCCTGTGGCTGCCCCTCCTCCCGGTCACTTCTGGTGTCTGGGACCTATGTTCTGCTGTGGTTGGGATTTATGGACCAGCCTCGGCAAACTAGAGTCCAAGAGCAGTCACTCAGGGTTCCTCTGGTACGAGTCAGACAGACTGAATAGTTACATGCCCAAACTCATGAAGGTCTTTTCTTAGAGCTGTGGTGGGAAAAAAAGGACATGAAGGTTTGGGACACTTTTATTCTTTCCTTCTTGGGCCACAGTCCTAATAATCAGACATTTTTTGCCTTTTAGAAAGGCCTGGGGTGGCCGGGCGTGGTGGCTCACTCCTGTAATCCCAGCACTTTGGGAGGCTGAGGCTGGTGGATCACGAGGTCAGGAGATCGAGACCATCCTGGCTAACATGGTGAAACCTCGTCTCTACTAAAAATACAAAAAATTAGCCGGGCGCGGTGGTGGGCGCCTGTAGTCCCAGCTACTCGGGAGGCTGAGGCAGGAAAATCGCTTGAACCTGGGAGGTGGAGGTTGCAGTGAGCTGAGATCACGCCACTGCACTCCAGCCTGGGCTACAGAGCGAAACTCCGTCTCAAAAAAAAAAAAAAAGTTAATTGAGTCTTATAGCAGAATAGGGATACAAGAAGAAAGTAAAACTGAAGTTATGTGGAATGATAAAGAAGTTTATGAGGGTAATGCCAATTAAACATAGTTTTAGAAAAAGCATTTCTGCTATAATTTTTGAAGATGAATTAGGGTGTGGTGAACCTCTAGGTAGGTTACCAGTAGAGCAGAAGTTAGCATCATCTCAGTGAGACGTTTTGACCAATATAAACGAAAAGGAGGAGTCAGGTTTCAAGTTTCAGATTAAAACTAACTGAAAACCCTTCTGTGCAGAGGACCTGAAACAAACACATTTTGAAGGCATAGATTTCTACATGCTAGGTTTGGGGAGAGTAGGAGAAGTTTGTGGAGAGGGGAGGACAGGTGGGAGAAGTTGAAATCACTTGGGGACATTGTGAATTGGAGGAGCATGGGAACATTTTAAATGGTGGTGTGCTGTAGGGAGTTGGGAATGTGGGTCTGGAGCTCTGCCTGGGTTCTAGAGCTCTGTGTTAGATACAGAATAGGGCTGACCTCTGCATTCAGTTTATTCAGTGGCATATTGGAGATATGAAAGAGTGTGGCTTCTGAGGCTAGGCCTTAAATCACATGTAGTTTTGGTCTTGTTCTCTCTCGAGTCAATTACCCTGGGGAAATACACCTACTATGAAGGACAGCACTCAAGAGGTCTGTGTGTCAAGGATTTGAGGCTTCCTGCCAAAAGCCAGCAGCAGTTTTCTAGGCATATGAGGGAGCCAGGCTGAAAGTATATCCTTAGCCTCAATCAAGATTTTAGATGACTCCTGCCCCAGTCAACATCTTGACTGCAGCCTCCTGGTAGACCTGAACCAAAACCGCCCAAATTCTTAGACATAGAAACTGTGAGATAATAAATGATTACTTTAAGTTCTTACATGCTGGTGTAACTGCATATGCAACAATAAATAGATAATATATCCAGTCTATCTTTCCATTATTTTGTGTTATTTCATTTTCATGGAATCACTTGCTTAGGGATCATAATTAATCATTTTACCTTTCACGGAATTGCCTTTGTTATAAGAATAGGAAATTCAGGATAAAAAATATGGAATTAGAGCAGACTTTTGGTTTTAATGCTCATCACCAGCTCTCTTTTTTTACTTTTATTTTAACAATCTTAATAATTTGTATACTCAATGATTTAGATATCCTCTAGTGAGGTTTTCAGATATGAGCCATGTGGTTCTGTAAAATTATGGTTTTCCAGTGATAAAAACTACACACAGTGAGATACCAAGCAGCCTGAGTGGAACAGAAACTTGCATAAAAGTGACAAAACTCACTTTCTCTTGATTTTTGTTGATATGAACCAGTAAAGTTGCAATGTTGCTTATGTTTTAAAAGTCATATTTAACTAAAATTCATTCAGAAACTATTATGATTTTGTCTTTAAATTCATCATAGCCTTAATGTAGTAGAGTTCCTATAACAGGGTATTCTTCATGCTAAAAAATAGTGTTTCTGTGGTTACCAATGTGGAAACCAAATGTTTTCATCCTGGGACTGGTTGTTGTGTGTAACCTAGTCCTCGGGGATTCCTCCGCCTCTGTGAGTGGATTTCACTCCCTTTAGCAGCCCTCTAGAGCACCCTTTCCTATTCCATACTCACCACAGCTGTCCTGAAATCCCAAATGGCTTCCTTCTTGTTATTAACCTTAACTATATCCCGGACGTAAATCTCATACCCTAAACTTAATCTCATTTCTCTCTTCTCCAGCGTTGTTTTGTGAAGATCTCTTTTTGTTTCACAAAAACTTCAGCATCAACTGCTTTTACCTCCGAACAAATGTCTCTGGTCTTTAGCTATTTAGTATTTCTGTAGCTGCATGTAGCTCTAATGTTGCTAGGGACACGGCAAAACAAAATAAAATAAAGTTTAAAAAAGAATGATGCACATAAAACAAGGAATTGAATATTCATCACACAACTTTCTTCACTCATGAGAAATTTCCTTGCTGAACGTGTGAATAGGAAAATCTGGAATTAACACCAAATCCATGACCAAAATCGTGATTTTCATTTTAATTATTTTATAACCTTAATCTCTACTTTTTGCAATCAAGTCATAGAGCTTAACAGATATTTTGCCTCTGCTTTTTACTTATGCCAAAATTTACTCACTTTGTTTTTTTTTTCTTTAAGTAAGAGAAATGATAAATGAAGTCAGCTTTGGTGGACGAGTATTCACCACAATTATACAATTCTCGTATTCTATCCAGATACTGCAACAACAAAACGGAGCACCTAGATATGTGCACTCTTTTATTACTTTGTAAACATATTCTCCAGCACCATGTCATGATTGTTTAATTTTTCTTTGGATTCTCTGCATGAAATATCGAGCCCCTGCTTTCCTCATCATCACACTTCAAAGGCTTAACCATCCTAATGACACAGCGAAGACAATAAATCAATAATGATTTCTACTGTGCTGGGTACTACCTGTTTCAATGGAACCTTTTTATATGTCATGTAAATAGCTGTGTTAAATCAAAAATGTGCCCATTGATCTGCAAAAACTTGTGCTGAGTAGCAAGCTGAGCACAGTCCCATTTTATCCTGGTTTGGCAATCACAGCACAGTGGCCATGGGTATCTAAAACCCTGACTCACCCGTTCCATGGAATGTGTTACTGGAAGGGTTTTGTTTCAAACTGTATTCTGCTTTAACTCATAGATGATTTGAGTCAATCAATGAGCAGATGTCTTTTTCTGCCTTGTGAGATTTACTGATGTGTTCTCTATAATCATTTAATCCACCAATGTCTAGGGCCAGTTTAGGAAAGACATTAAACATCTTCACCCAGCTGAACCGCCCAGCACAGACTGTGTGTGGAGGATGCATGGGAGTGTGGTGGATCTCTAGGTAGGTTGCCAGCAGAGGAGGTGGTTGGAATAATCTCGCTGAGATGTTGCAAGGGAAATGAAAAGCAGGAGACTTTGTTGCTTCAGCTCTTGAAAGCTCTGTATTGTTGTTAAAAGATAAACAACCAATAATCCTGGGGAAAATCCCCACTGTAGAGGAGAGGGGCAGAGAGCCTCTTGCTCTTCATAACTGAGGGGTCTTTTTAGTGATCTGGAGTCCAAGAAGAGGGGCCCATAAAACAGGATCCATCCAGCCCCTCTTATTTTGATCCCCTCCAGGATAGTAAGGACGGTTTCCTTGTTTTGGTGATGTCACTTTTGCTCTGCTTAATGGATTTGGTTACAGTTGAAAAGATTTCAGAATCTTCGGTGTTAAGCCTGCCATAAATACATAACCATTTTCCTCAGGGAACACCTGCTGTCTGGCATCTGTCTGTCAGCTGATTAAAAAAACATAACTTCTTAAATGCATATGCACTTTTCTTTAAAAAGTATCACGAACTTTTTTGTTTTAGTGCTCTATATTTTTTCCAAGTATAAATGAAGACTCAGTATTCCTGTGCTAGAAAAAAAAAATCACTAATTGGATCACTTTTGATTTACTTGCTTGTACTCTCCATTTTTTGTGTACTGGATACATTTTTGCGAGGGCTGCCCTATTCTTAGGGACAAATTGATTCACAAATAGAATTTGGTGGGGAAAAAAATGCAATGGGAGAGAAAGCCAGAAAGAAACTGGAGTAGGAGAGGAGAGAATCAGCAAATTAGGAGAGAGTCAAAAATAACTCTGGGATAGGTACACCTTCATTAAGGGGATCAATGCCATCCAGCTAAGTGGCATCCCTTGCAATGTTCATTATAAAATCAAAGAGCATTTGCAAAAATGGTGTCCCTATTGCATGTGATAAGGGGCTTCATTGGGACTTTTTCATGAAAATGTTAAGAACTTTTGTTGGCTAATGTATTTTCCTCTCCATCTACTACTATCTTGTTAGTTATCACTTGCCAGGATGACTGAAACCAATTTATAACTTTTCCCACTCTCTTTAGCCATAGTTACTCACCCCAATTCCCAGTCCATTTCTTTCTCTGCTTTGTTACCAGAACAATTTCCTAGTAAAAAATGAAATAATGCTAATATCCTGATTTTTAAAACTAAGTAAATTTAAGTATCAGTATCTCCAAGATCCTATGATTAGGATAAAGTCCATAATGTCCTTTATAGACCAAGTTTCCTGAAAGTGAGTAATGTAGCATGTGTTTTCTTTGTAGCACCACGTGCAGAAAATCCATCTTTGCAGAAGGAAGCAGCTCCCTAGCAGGGCATCCTTTCACCCTCTTTGCCTAATCTATGTCAACTGTCCCATTTTCTGCCTCCCTAAAAGCTTCCTGTAGTCAGTCAGTCGTTAGACCTTTGCCAGAGCATCTACCACATACTGTGTACCTTCTAAGTCACAGAAATTTAGATAAAATTGATAGTTCATTATTTGACCTCTAGGAAATCTCCAGCGAATGTGACAAACCACCAGGCAATTATATGGTCCTGTGATGAGTACCAGGTGGGAAAAGGTTCAACCTAGGCCATCATGGGGAAACCCCATAGATGATGTGTGAGCTGTTATCCTAGGGTTAAAAGAGTAATGCACTGGCCTCAATGTTGAGCACAGAGGAGGTGACATAGGCAAGGCAGGGATTGATGGAAGGACCAGCACATGTTGGAAACTTTCCCCACAGGAAGTGCCAGTTGTGGGTTGGGGAATGAAGTGGGGTTGTCTTACAGAGGTTGCCAGGATCACATCGTGAAAGGCAGTTGCAGGTCATGTTTAGGATCTGGGGTTTTACCCAGAAGGTAATGGTGGGGAATGGGAGGGCATAGCATTTTCCTGAATGATTCATTGCATTTGACAAATTTTCTCAGGGAAGACTGTAAATGACTTGAGATTATAAAGGTATCAGGGGTCCTGGCAGCCTCTAGAAGTTACTTTTCAAACACGCAGACTTCAGATACTAGAATTCAGAGTCAACTAATTTGATTCAGGAAAGCTGTGATTTCCAATTCCAGGAGAAATAATTCCTTAAGGAGTGTTTCTTCAGCCTCCGCTGGCTCCAGTCCAGAGATCAAAGACGCCCACTCACCTACCCTTTGTCACACCAATGCCCAGCCCCATCAATCTGCTTCCTTCCTTCCGACTCCATCCCCACCATGTCCTACAGCAGAGAGGAAAAAAGAAAGAGAAGGAAAGTTAAAAATGACTAAAAGCATATAAGTTTTCATGTAAAATGCAAGACATATTTAGATGGAAAATGATATATATGCCAGCTTGGGAAAAGGCTAAGTGAGCATGATTTTTAAAAGTCAGTGACAAAATATTAAGATTGATGCAGGTTCTGCAGGAATACAGTGCCAAGATTAGATAAAACCAATTATTTACTCTCATCACTTAGAGCAGTTATGAATTCACTGTAGCAGTTGTAATTGTTGGGAAAGGAAATAATTGACCAGATAACATACTGAGTAACTAATGGGAATCACTCATTTCTTAGGTAATCTGAGATCTGCGTGTAGACCGATACCTCAGTGTCACAGGGCAATGGAGTTTTTTGCCCAGTATAATTTTTTTCATACCAAATAATCAGCATCCTCAATACAAATATTGTGATTATCCTCAAACAGTTCAATTTTAAAAATGTGTATTAAGCAGCAACCCTGGAACCTTCATCCTAATGTACTGTGTGCTCTTCAGAGAAATCCTTTTGTGTCTCTGGACTTCACTTTTCTCATAACCATTTTCAAGCAAACAAAAATACTCACTGCAAAGTAAATAAATTAATAACTGCATGTAATTTTTATTTTAAGTTAAATCTGGTTAGTGATTAAAACTTCTAAAAATTAATTCTTAGATTCTCTGGAATATAACTGTGTTTAGTAGGGCAAAATAATATATATCTACCTACCCACTTGTATCTAGTACATGACCCAAAAATGCCAGATATAAGGGAAAGATCCATTCTACTTTTGATGAGACATTAATGAGGCAATGTCTGATTTTATTAAATATTATACATTATTCATAAACCATCCATTCCGGAAACTAAAATATAGACATTTTCATATTAGAAGCATCAATACTACATGAGATTAGCCTGCGGGTCACCTGGAGGGACCTCAGGGACACACACACATCCCAGAACAATTTGGGAACAGTTGCTCTGAATGACACCCAATGGTGAATTTAGAATAGTTTCTCTTTGGGGGAGAAATAAATCCATTTTTAAAAGTTTATTTTTACAATGTTCCTTTGTTCTTCTGACCTATAAAATAGACCTTTGCTTCTCATGAATGTGTTAAACAAAAATGATGATTTTAAGTTATCTAAAATAAACATGATTTAACTTAGAACCTTATTGTGAAGAGCTGTGAAAAATTAGACATAAGAATAAATCTTATTCCTTCAACTTCCAACTAAAGTAAAATGCATTTTAGATACCACTTTATTTTTTGTGTACATTAACAATGTCACACCAAAAACATATTCAATTCTCATGATTAAAAAGACTATGCAAACAATTCCAAAATGCTGTAGCACATTCTGAGTGATGGCAAATTTAAGTGCTGTTATTCTTTGATTAATATAAAATAAAGATGTTTGGATGATTTTATAACAGCCTTTAAGAGATAAATAACATTTAAAAATGTGTAACTAAAGTTGAAACTACTCACGTGAGAATTTTTTGTAAATAATTTTCACGTTTTAAATAAACATGAAGGACTATCCTACTGTTACAATTTATACTTAGTACCTGGTTTTAACTACTCTCACTGTCATGAGTTTAATTGTGTCCATCCAACCTGCCCCAAATTTATCTTGAAGTCCTAGCAGTTAGCACCTCCAAGCCTGATCTTTGGAGGCTGGGTCCTTAAAGGGGTAATCTACTTAAAATGACCTCATTAAGGTGGGTTCTAATCAACATGACTGATGTCCTTACAAAAGAGAAAACTTGGAGACAGATATGAACATGGAGAGCACACCATATGCAGTTGAAGGTGGAGACTGGGATGAAGCTTCTCAAAGTCCAAGAATGCTGAATATTGCCATGAAACCACAGAAGCTATGAGAGAAGCCTGGAACAGCATCTCCGTTCCAGTCTCAGAAAGAATTAGCCCTGCCAACTCCCAGATCTTGGACTTCTGGCCTCCAAAGCTATCAGGAATAAATTTCTGTTGTTTGTGATTTTTTTTTTTTTTTTGGAGACAGGGGTCTCACTCTGTTGCCCAGGCTAGACTCAAACTCCTGGGCTCAAGCTTTAACCTCTGAAATAGCTGAAACTGTAGGCATCTCACCACGCCTAACAAATTTTTGTTGTTTAAACCATCCAGTTTGTTGTATGATGTTGCCACAGTTCTAGCAAACTAATATACTTGCTATTGACATACAATGGTTGCCGACTTTTTGGCACCTGTGTATTGTCTTATGGAAGACAATGTTTCCATGGACGGGGTGGTAAGGGGGACGGTTTCAAGATGAAGCCGTTCACCTCAGATCACCAGGCATTCGACTCTCATAAGGAGCGCACAACCTAAATCACTCACCTGCGCAGTTCACAACAGAACTACGAAGAACCATGAGAATCTGATGCCACTGCCGATCTGACGGGAGGTGGAACTCAGGCAGTAGTGCGAGTGATGGGAAGCAGCTGTAAATACAGATGAAGCTTTGTTCGCTCACCCCCTGCTGTGTGGCCCAGTTCCTAACAGGCCATGGACCAGTACCAGTCCATGACCCAGGGGTTGGGGACTCCTGGTCTAATAGACATCCTTTTTTTTCTTGCCTCCTTACTATCTATATTGCTCATATTTTCAGGTCTCTTAATAGTTTTTAGAATAAAAGACATGTATGCTCCATTGTGTGCCAACTGGCCCTTTTCCTTCCACTCCCCTGAGAGTTCAGGAGAACCATATATTATTTTCACCAGAAAAGAAGACATTTGATAAAATGTGCACGGATTCGTTAACGTTTAATAACCAACCACTGTATGTGTCTTCCAGGTACACACCCATCCCTTCCCAAAAGAGCCCTCAAAGGCGGCCACCCCTGCTGGAGAGTCCCTGGCCATGTGGGGCACCAAACCTTTGCAGTAGTCGTGCTGTCTCTCCAATTATCCTTCCCTCATCCTTTGATTAACTAACTGCTCTCCGAACAAAGACTGTGCTTCCAGGAGCTCCTGTTTTCATACACAGTCCTCCGGGACAAGCCAGCAGCACTCAAAGTGGGCCTGGAGCCAGGATCTGGACTGGAGAAGTGATGGACTCTGGATAAGGGGCAGCCCGCCCTGTGTCCCAGTTTTCTTCCAGTGAAGTGAGAAGGCTTTAATAAGCTAGCTGAGGAGCAAGGAGCAAGTGAGAACCACCTGGAAAGCATTTAGAGCAATTCCTGGCAGATGGAAAGTACTTAATTATATAATGTTTTCCTTTTACTCCCACAGCGCCATAGGCATCCTTCTGTCTGAAATGCCCCCATGCTGCCTCTCAATCTTCTCTCTGCCTGCCTGCCTTGCCCACTCTTTACATCTTTGTCTATATAAAATGCAGCTGGCAATAGATACATTTATTGAGTGCTCCTTACAAACATCTCATAGCATTGAATTCTTAAGTTTTAATTTTTGCCATATACATTAAGAGTTATACTTCCCTTTATATAGATGAGAAGATTAGACATAAGGAGATTAGGGATTGCACTGGCGGTGCTGATCTTCATAATGTCTCACCAAAATCTCTGCACTTTCAATTTACAGACACACTTAGAATGCAGCCAAAAACTTTGCCAAAGAACATCTCTGGTTGAACAGAGTTAAGTCATCCTGCAGTCAAGGCTAATGCTGACGAGGAGGAGACAATGGCAGTGATGGTTTCACAGACCAGAACGTGGAAGGCTCTGCCTGCCAGTAGTTGTCCTACACCAGCCTCAGGAGATCATAGTGGTAAAGCCCTCTTGGCAGGTTAACCA
The DNA here is from genome assembly GCF_000001405.40 of Homo sapiens. Classification (NCBI taxonomy): domain Eukaryota; kingdom Metazoa; phylum Chordata; class Mammalia; order Primates; family Hominidae; genus Homo; species Homo sapiens. Next base: position 4,729,811 of record NC_000005.10, on the reverse strand, counting down.
GTTGGTTACTGAAGAGTCAGTTATGGCATGAAATTGTTAACCTCAGACTCCCATGCTGGGGGTACAGTTAGCCAGTACACACCAAGGCAGCATGGGAGCTATTAAAACACAAAAATATTCTGGGCCTGCTGGTAATCAGCCACTGGCTGAAGCCCCTCGTGACTCACCAGTTAAATAAGGTGTGTCCATTTATTTATCAATCTTTCGAAAAGGGCAGAATCAACTTGTTTGAATATGGGTCTGTTGCTGTTTTAATTTCCAAGTTCTCCTTGAAAAAATGTACACAAAAGGTTCAGTTCACAATTTCTGTGCTTGTGCTTGTGCTTCCAGTAAGATGGTGAAATCCTACAGATAGTATGCAAAGTAATTTGAATGTTGAACACTTCCAGTTTTTACACTTTGCTTTCTCCCTGTGAGTGGCTCAAATACCTCATTTTCTAGGATTTTTAAGTGACTTCACTTAATCAGATCTTTCCTTTGTGTGGTCACTAGTCAGATGGTTTAAAGGCAAATGGAAAATAGGTGTTAATTTTGATAGTTCATTAAATCAAGATTGGTTAGGAATTATTTTTGGTGTTTTATAACCCTCATTAAAAGTTAGATAAAATGAAACAGAGAGTTTAAGTAGCATATTCAAGGACAAACAGGTAGTAAATAGCAAATCAAAAAGCAAACCCAACCCACTAGCAAGAGCCCAGCCAGCATCCAGCTCTTTACATCTGATGGTGTTCTCCAAGAAAGGGAAGGAGGGCTCCTGGAGAAATGACTGGTTCCAGTTCAGAAGCAGAAAACTCGCAAGTTGAGCCTGGAGCACCATTTGCCAGAAATTCAGAAAGTATTCACAAAACAAAAAAATACAAGGCAAATACAAAAAAAAAAAAAAAAAAAAACCAACAACAACAAAACAAAACAAAACCTGCAGTGATGACATTATTTCAAAGCAATGCAAGAATCAACTGATGGAATTCCCAATGACCAAATCTGGCACAAGTTACTAACAAAAAGAATAATTATAGTATTGGATTAAAATGCAAAACATAAATATCCATGAGTCTATACTATCATAAATAAGTGATTAAATAAGTAAATAAGGTGAAGAGGAGACAGGTTTCCCATAAAGAAGAATTCCACAAGGATTCCAAACTTGTATGTATCTAATGTATCTACAAGGAGGTGGCACATAGTTCTCATTACTTGAGTGTGGACTGTGACCACGCATAGTAAAGTTAATTACTGCGTATCATTGTGACCATGCAATAGTCACAGAATAACAGTGGAGAGATCTGACAATCCCACCTCCCCTAGGTGATCAAAGTTCACATCAGTGGTGAAGTCATGTGGATAGTAAATACCTGTTCCATCTCCAAGGGCTAGTGTAACAAATTACCTTAAATTGGGTTGCTTAAAACAAAGGAAATTTATTCTCTCATAGTTCAGAGGCCAAAGGTCTGGAACGAAGGTGTCAGCTGGGCCACACTGCCCCTGAAGACTCCATGGCAGGGCCCTTCCTTGCCTCTTCCAGCTTTTGGTGCCCTGGGCTTCCTTGGTTTGGGGCTGCATCGCTCCAGCCTATTTCTCCATCTTCCCATGGCCTTATCCTCACTGTGTTTCTGTGTTCAAATCTCCATCAACTTTCTCTTACAAGGACACAAGTCCTTGGGTTTCGGGTCTACTCTAAATCCAGGATGATCTCATCTCAAGATCTCTAATGCAGTTAAACCTGCAAATAACCTAGTTCAAGTACAGTCACATTTATAGGTTCTGGGAACTAGGAGTTGAAAATGTGTTTTTGGGTATTTATTTTGACTTAGCACACTGCAATACACTTGCTATGTTGTGAGGAAAATGACACTTAACCTCTGTGCCCTTCTTCCTAAAAACACATCATCAAAGCCTAATCATGAGAAAAACACCAGACAGGCCCCAGTTGAAGAACGCTGTATAAAACGCCTAACCAATGCCCCTCAAAACTGCCAAGGTCATTAAAGACAGGGAACGTCTTGAGCTTTCAAACTCAAAAGGAGCTTAAGGAGACATGAGTAAATGTAATGGGGTATCTTGAATGGCACGCTGGAACAGAAATAGGATGTTAGGTAATATAATGTACCAATACTGCTCCATTGCTTTTAGCAAATGTACTATGCTTATATAAACTGTTAATAATAGGCAAACTGGGTGTGGGGTATATAGGAACTCTCTGTACTACATAACTTTTCTGTAAACCTAAAAGTGTTCTAAAATAAAATTTATGAATAAAGTGTAAACGAAGCTTGTCTCTTTTTTAGGATTCACCCTCTCCCCCATACCACTTGTCTTTGAGCATTTGTCATCTTTACAAGTCACGTCTTAGGGTCATTTAATCTAAAATCACTTGCACCCTCCTCAGAGCCATCATTGTGCTTCATGACGCGTCAACAGCTAAGAGACACTTTCTAAATGGGAGCCAGACAGCTCTCTGTTCTTGTTGTTGTTGTTTTAATACAAATAGGAAGTGCTCTTAAGTTTATATTATAGAGCCCTTGGCTAGAGTCTAAAGAGGAGAGGACTCTATATACTTCTGAAGAATTTGAATTACAAAAAGCTCATAGTGACTTCCTAGAGAATGCTTTAAAAGGGTGTCACTATGAATAATAGGTTTTCAAACTTTTGACTTTTACATGAACCCATGGGAATTCTAGACATTGCTCAGTAATACGAATTCGGCATAAGGCACATGCGAATGCAGGGATGTTCCTGGTGCTGGTGCTTCGCTTCAGTGACCCCTGTCCCTACAGTGATCATTCTTCTGCATCATTAATGGATGGTCTGCTGTCTAATTTGGCAGTTATGAACATGCCCGTGGCGCCAGGGTGATCTCCCTATTGTCCTGAAACAGGTGAGCAGCCCCTTTGTGTCTATTTCTAATGCTTTGTCCTGCACTTCTCCATCGTTGTGGCATCTCCAAGCTCATACTGGGCCTGGACCTGGACCCTACAACTGTATTGTCCTTTTCCCCTTCTCTTTTCCTCTCTCCCGCCAGCCTTAAGAGACAAAATATTCCAACTGGCTTCTTTCTTGGTATGCCAAATATTCTCAAAATTAGAGAATTTGTATAAAATGTTAAAAGTATATTTTCATCGTTGCGTTCATACAGACACATCTATATATGCACATATAGGGGTGTGTGTGTATGTGTATGCATGTGTGTGTTTATATTGAGAGAGTGTGTATTGCTGTTGTTCTAAAAGATACAAGTAGTGTGGAACTGCAAAATATAAACACTTTACCCGTTTTCCTTATTTCCGAATCATTGAAATGTTGCTGGTATGAATAACAGGCTTAATGGTCAATTGCCATTTCAGTTATTTTAAAAGATGATTTTATTACTACTTTATAGTCACCCACAATTGATCATACCTCAATGTATGCATGTGGAAATATTTTCATTATTTGCATAGTATCCACGTGGACAGTGAAATGGGCAAGTGCTGTTATTTGGAATGCCTAAAAATAGCCAAGAAGTAGTCTTCTGCCTGAAGTCACAGGTGGGAGGTGTGTCAACCTCTGGAGCCTTCACTCCTGGTCACTGATGCCCTAACTTACCAGCCAAAGAGTGGGGAGCTCCTTGACACCAGCTCCAACCCCAATTTCAGAATATTGTACTGAAATATGATAAAAACAGTGATTTCTTACATATGACTTAGGGATAAAGAGTAAAGCCACAGCTGCCTTTAAGAATGTTGAAGAAATTTATTGACTTTTTCTAAGATATGTATTAAAAGAAAACAATCTATTGAATTTTATTCATGCTAATCTACTAAACATCCATTTCTAGCTGTCCACATTGTACTGGCTATCCACATACAATTTTAAATAAACATCAACAAAATGATGAGTTTATTTGAATTCAGCATTATTTCTAAAACCGGTGTTATTAGGGGGAAGTACATGGGCGGTGCAGACATTTACCAGCCTGTCTGCTGAGGGCAAAGAGGAAGCGGCATCTCTGCATTTGTCTGCGGTTGTGCAGGTGCTCAGACAATTATTTCTTGCCCTCTTAATAGATGGAAGGATGGGCTCCCCAGCTTCTGACCTGTGTGTGTTCTAAGGACAGGCCCTGCATTTGACATTGTTTTTCAACCTTAGAACCTGAGCAAACATCTGTTGAGAGTGCTGAATTGCAGAGGTTCACTCTGTGGGGCTGGATCCTGTCCTTTTGTCACCCAAACACTTAGACATCATTTCAGTTATCTAAAATAATATAAAATAGAGAAAGAACCGTTTAGTGTGGATCAAGGATCAGCATGCTGGGGTTCAGATATAAGCTCTCCTAATTCTGGGTGACCTGGCATAGTGGTTTTATCAGTTCAATGGCAGAACAGTGGGACTTAACCTCATTTGGAAGATTAAATGAAGTAATCCAGAAAACACTGACCACTTATAAGAGCCTGGCAAGTGCAGAGCTGTGAATGCAAGCTGTGGCTGTGATTGCTGTGGTGGCTTCTGTTTCTGTCCAGGGATAAATCCTCCAGTCTGCACCACTGGATCTGCTATCTCTGCATCACCTCCCCTACTAGAGACCTTTTCACGATGGCCCATTTCTCTGAAGACAGCCTCGATTCCTTAGCACCATGTAACAACACTGCCTTTATATTTGTTTCAAGCAAAGGCCCATAGGCATTAGCATGGATGCCTTACAATACGGGCCTGATGCATTTAGTATTTGCGGCGTCTCGATGAGCTGGATGCTCTCATCATCCCTATGTGACCTACAAGAAAACTGTGACTTGGAGAAATCAGATAGCATCCAGGAGATTTCCTTCCTGGGAGAGGACCAAGGAGCATGAATGGAGGCTCTCATCTCTGACATTGCTTCCTGCCTCTGATAGCCGGATGAGTGCACATCCAGAGTGGGGAGTGGAATGGCACAAAGCCTGGGACTCACCTCCATCCGTGTTCCCCACAGCAAGGCTTGATCTGGAGCAGAAAACAGTCCACACTATGACTTCTAACTCTCATTTTGTTTCTCCTTAGAAATTGCAGTGGAGCTGAGCTTTGGTATGAGAAAAAGAGACCCAAGATAGTAAACATTTCCCTCAAAGCACTCCCCAAGGGGTCAATATTATGGTAATGGCATGCAATTCTACCCTTGCTTATTTGACATGGTTATTACAATTTTATATATTGCTAAATATGTACCAACATGACTGTTAGATATCCATGAATCATTGTAAGACATTCTCTACATTCTTCTAATATTCCTAATCTCTCCTTTCTTTCCTTGCCACCTACGTATTCTTCTCCTCTTCCTCTTCTCCAAAGTCTCTGTGATGTTCCTGGGGTGACTATTTTACTGTAATCTTCCTTTCACCTTCAGAGTCATTGTGTCTGATGCACCTGGCAAAATTTCTTAGTAAAGCAACCAGTTCTATTCTACATGATTGACTCAACCGAATCCTCTCTTCCATCGGAGGACTTTAAATCTGATGGAGGAATCAAAATATGAAGCATTTAATGAACGGTGCAAGGTGGCATGTAATAGCTCATGATAGTGTGCACTAAAATCTGTGTTACAGGCGCTTAAAAAAGCTGGAACTGAAGTTAATGACAGCAGTTAGGGAGATAGACCCTGGGCAAAGTCCCAGGGACTTAGCAGTGACACACATGATCAGGAGCAGTGAGACATGGTAGGCTAAGGGGAGGAGGGCATGCAGGTGGGAAGCAGGAAGAGATGCAGAAGAGGGATAGATGAGTTGGGATCAGATTAGGAGGAAGCTGGAAATACACTGTTTGTTTAGGTACATATGGAACCGAATGTGTTCACTGATGATGTTGCACCTTTGTACCTTAGCTTAAGAGATACCAGATGAGTAGTTTACCATTTCAGCTTGGTTGTTTTTGGAAGAACAGTGCAGGTGTTTGAGTATGCCATTCCAGATTTCACCCTCCAACTCAATGGCACAATAGCAGCTCAGGTCAAGAGCCAAGGAGAGGAGACTCTAAATGTCTTTCCTCACATATCCCTAAAAGGAAGAAAATCTGTTTACCTAGGGGTGATCTAATTGGAATCATTCTCTTATCAAGTACTATGAATGGAAAGAAAAAAATAAATTTAATTTCTTATTTGTCAAATAAGAAATTGTGGCTAAAATAACCTTGATCCCATCTTCTCCATATGCACGCACAATTTTAATTCATTTTAATAGTTTTAAGACTTAAAGACAACAGTCTTTATCCTTCAATTAGTGATTAACACTTTAAAAGTTAAATGACACTGTGTTTACTTTTCTGGTCAGAAACCTACATGCAGTTGAGGATGGGGAAGGGTGAGAGAAGTTTATTACATTCACCATTAAAGTGAGATGCACAGTGAGGAATGTATGATGAAAATGCTCACAACTGAAATGTAAGATGGAGATAACTACCACACTCCCATCTCTGTAGCTGGAGAATATTAACCTGCCCCATAACTCATCTTAAAGTTATGTCCATGGGAGCTTTATAAAGATGTTGCTGCCATGTCACGATGTTTCTCGTCCCTTCTATTTAGTTGGACTACCTGAAGCCAACCCATGTCTTTGGGCTAATTCTACAGTGTCGGTAGGCCAGCTAGTTATGCTCAGTAAACCAAAAGAATGAAAGTATCACTGAAATTAATAAACTGAATGAGGACATTTACTTGTGTCTTCTGTCTTTGCCCAAACTAGATTATCCAGAGTGGCATGGCTGAGATCCAGCCAGCTACACAAAGAAAGGTATCACAGCTGGGTCACGTGGGAACACAGGTGTGGTTTGATATTTAAGCCATAACACATTGTTAAGTCCCTAATTCTGTTTCCTTTCTTTAATTCTGTAAAGGGAAAAATGCAGTATAATAATTCAGAAGGCTATAACTCTAAAATCCATTGGCAGGAACAATTATTTGGTACTCCTAAGAAAGGGAGCAAATTCTAGAGATTATGCTGTGAAGCTACAGCTGGGTTGTTATTTGTCTGCAATTTAAAAATCTGGCTGTTAAAATTAGTTACATTCAAGGAGAGTTTATCAGAATAAAAGTCTCAGATGTGATATTTTTAGTCTCTGGAATTAAAGTGGCACCCATGAGCCAATAGATCACAGTAAAAACAGCCAGCCTTGCCGTTTAGAGTTCTTTAAACAGACTTATTCTGATTGTAACAAAAACACCCATAAATCTATGCACATATATATTGATCTTGGCTTCCTCTTAAAAATGACTCTGTCCTAGTAAGTTGGCATATTTCATAAACAAACCAACAAATTATTGATCTATCATATACTCTAAAAGTCCTGTGAAGAATCTAGGTTGCTTTTAAGTTCATACTGCACCTAAGGGAATGAGAAACTCTGAAATGAAAAATAGATATTTAAAAAGAAGCACAGAAGATATATAGCTGTCTCTTTCTACTTCTTTTGAGCCTCCTATTGTGATTCCATCTGTGTATACCTCATCCCACATTGTGTCTACTGATGTGACATTTAGTGTGTTAATGCCATTCCCTCCAAGAGGCTTCAGAAATTAAGTTACTCACAGCCCTACATCTAATAATTAATTTGCAAAAAATATTGTCTAGGTTTTTTTTTGTTTAAACAAATTAGGTATAAATTAATATATTTGTAGAATATCTTCTATTAAAGCCTCACTGCGAAAATAGATAAAAAATAATTGTTTCTATTAACTTAGTTTAAAAGAAATACTACTGTGAAATATTTCATTAATAAAATTAAAATGGTACCTGATACATTAATCATTGCACCGAATGAAAGAAGCATTTTTATTATGTTATTTCATCAAGTGTGTTGCTCATGACATGAATAAGGCAGGCTCTACCACAGACTCAAGAACATGAAGCACATTGATTGTCAAGATTGAAATTAATACATGGGGAGTCGTTTCGTTCCTGCTAAAAGCTGGTGTACAGGGCTTAGGCCAATGTTACTAATTAGCAGATAGCACATTTTTTTAACATTAAATAATGTCTTCCATCTTTCTGAAGGAGATAGAAAGTAAACAATAAGCAAGATGACTAAATACATATTAACATATGATGGACCGTGAAATGAAGAAAAATTAAAAGTAGGCCCAAGTCGGGGCTCCCAGGAAAGCCTGGGAAGGCTGGGTAGACTGCAGCCTACCTTGCTATATTCAGGGTCGGGGGTGTCATGGCAGATGAGGTTCAGGATCACCAGGGGCCAGTGCAGGGTCTACTGTGGGTGGGAGACACAGTCAGGGGCTGAAATGAGGGCATATTGGGTGGCCTGCTGAGGGTCATCTGATACGGTTTGGCTGTGTCTCCACTCAAACTTTATCTTGAACTGTGGTTTCCATAATCCCCACGTGTCATGGGAGGGACCTGGTGGGAGGTAATTGAATCATAAGGATGGGTTTTCCCGTACTGTTCTCATGATAGTGAATAAGTCTCACAAGATCTGGTGGTTTTATAAAGGGCAGTTCCCCTGCACACACGCTCTTGCCTGCCACCATGTAAGATGTGCTTTTGCTCCTTCTTCACCTTCTGCTATGATTGTGAGTCCTCCCCAGCCATGCTGAACTTGAGTCAATTAAACCTCTTTCCTTTATAAATTATCCAGTCTCAGGTATGTCTTTGTTAGCAATGTGAGAATGAACTATTACACCTTCTTAAGGACTTCAGCTTCCACAGAGAGACTTGGAGAGACTTTGGCTGCTGAGAGTTCAGCATGGAAGCAGGACAACCGGCTGGAAAGAATTGCAGACATGCAGGCAGGAGAGATGATGGCTCAGACTGAGTCAGAGCTCTGGCGTGGTGACAAGGTGTCAGATTCTGAAGATATAGGAAGGCTGAGCCAACCAGATTTCCTCACCTCCTGGCTGTGGGACACAAGGAAGAGATAAGAGTCGAGGATGACTTAAAGCTTTTTGGTCTGAGCAGCCCGAAAGACCATGGCCATCTGCTGAAGGAGACGAGATAGAAGAGGTTTGGACGGGGCTGAGTTGGGGATCCGAGAGTTCAGTTTGGACCTGTCGATTTTGAGATGTCTGTCAGGCATCCAAATGGGAGCGGGGCAGGCAGTGGGGCTGACGTCTGAGTCTAGTTCAGGACAGAGGTTGCAGTAGTAAGAAGAAGGGTTCCTTGGCATTCAGGTACATCCAAAGCCAAAAGACAGGGTGAGACCAAAAGGAAGCAGGCATAGAAGAGAAACATGTGAATATTCCATAATATGTTTGAAATCAGATTTAACCACACTTGCACAAAATCAGTCATATTTGTGTGTAATGAAGAATCTTACCAAGGAATGTGGCTTATTTGGAATGATGATTGTTCCTCACGAGCATAAATGTGAATCAACACAATGTCCAGTCCTTATCACCTACACTTCCTCACCATACACATTAACACAACCTCCTCCTAACTCAAAGGTGACAGCAGGTAAGTTATTTTAGGGCCTGTGTATATTTGCTGCGATGAACCAAGCAAATCTTAAGATATTCCATGAAGTTTATGAATATTAACTTCATTAGGTGAAACAAAGTATTTGTTAGTATTATTGATAACACTACTTATTTTATGTGCAGGCTTATAAAAGCATCAAAAAGAAGACAGTTTCTTGAATCAGAAGATTTGACTTTAATTTCTGGTTTTGGCATTCACTTAGTATATCCTTGGGCAAAGAACTGAAGCATGGTTGTTAATTCCACTTCTGTGAGTGTGAAATAGATTAATAATACATCTACTAAGTCATGGTGGAAATCACATTTTTATAACTTTTAATATTCCATTATCATTTTGTCTTTGATACACTAATAATTTAGACGTGTGCTTTTATATTACCAAAATATAGGATGTTTTTGGTTATTTTTTCAGTTTTCATTTATAATTATTCCAAATAATTACCATTAAGGAACATGGTAGATATAATGTAGATGTCTTAATTGTTTTGAGATATGTCTTGAAGAATATAGTGTGTTCAATTTTTGTTAATTTTCCACATGTGTTCTTGGTTTTGGTAGTTTTTTGCTTTATTTGGTCTATCAATTTCCGAGAAGGTTAAGTTAAATATACACACAATAATAGTGGATTTATGTATTTGTTTTTAAAATTCTTTTAATGTTCAGCCTTTCATAATTTTTGTCAGGTACATACAGAGCCAAGAAAGCTATGCAGCTTTCTGATACAGTCTTATTAATATTTATTCATATCGAATAGTTATTTAAAGGTTTAAATTAAATGAAGTTCTAGGATGAGACTTTTTAGCTATTAGAACTATTCCAGTCTGTTCCAAATGCACTCTACTAGTCATTATCAACTTATTTCCTCTTCTTACCACTAATATGATCACTATGGTGTGGTATTGGTTTTTTCTTAATTTCATTGAAGAAAAAGAGAAAAAAAATCTTGTTATCTTTATTAAAAAAAAACTTCTCTTCCTAGCTTCTTCCAAATGTCTGCCTGAAAACTTTTCTTACTGTTAACATCTTCCATTTCCTGAAAGAAATTTTATTCTCTTTAACTCATAAATATTAATATGCTTAAACTTCTGGATTTTCTTCTCCTTGGAAACTAAAAATGGGAGTTTCATATATGATTATTTTAGATGAGAAACATAGATTTTGAGCACTGATATCCTATTATTCACCACATTCACATTTTTTGTTACAATTGGAGAAAATATGTCAGCAGTTTGACAACTATTTGAACTTTATTCAGTGTTTGAAATTTTGAATTAAGGCCTACACTCTCAATACAAGAGAAGGTAGGACACCTTGTGCTTCAGTGGTCAGAGATCCTTCTACGGCAATCTCACCTTACTCGGAGATTTTTACATCCCTTTTGGAGTGTATGTCTTAGTCTCCAACCTGCCCTGGGAGGGACTTTGTCACCATTTTCAGCAAAGTCCCTTCCCTTTACTTAGAAACCTCACCATCAGACAAAAATGAGAAGAGGAGTTAACATCTATTTGAAGTAGGATGCAGGACTGGACTCTGGATCAGATTGAAGACTGGCTGGAACAGGGAAGAGGCACCAAAACACCTCTTCATAAGACATGCCAACCAACGCCATGACAGTTTACCATGTCATGGCAACGCCCAGAAGTTACTGCCCCTTTCCATGGCAAAAAACAGGAAGTTACTCCTCTTTTTTGATACATTTCTGAATAACCTGACCCTTAATTTGCATGTAGTTAAAAGTGAGCATACATATGACAGCAGAACTGCCCTGAGCTGCTGCTCTCAGCACACGGCCTGTGGGGTAGCCCTGCTCTGCAGGAGCAGTTATGGATCTGTAACACCACTGCCTCAACAAGGCTGTTTTCTTCTAACACTGGCTCGCTCTTGAAATCTTTCCTGAGCAAAGCCAAGAACCTCCCCAGGCTAAGTCCCAGTTTTGGAGCTGGCCTGCCCTGCACCAAATTGATTGTCTAATATATATCAGACACAGTGGATCTGGAGACCTAGATAACACAAGAAAGGTAAAAACATTTCAGTTATCTGGAAGTCTAGCATTGACTGCTGGAGGAAATTATGACAAATAGACATAGAAAGTAAGCAATCAAGGACTGGTACATTCACAAAAATAAAGCTTATCTTTATGAGGGTAGAAGGATGAAACAATGGAATTCATTTATTTTCATTTTATTAATATTGAAGGCAACAGTCAAGAGCATCCTCAGAATTCTTCTGTTTCCTGCTGCTGTAAAAGCTGAGCACCACACACACCTCAGAGCTCACGTCATGTGGCAGCCACATATTCGATACCTGGAAGGTTATAATTTTGCAAACCTGGAATTCAGACTCTGGCTACAGAACCATAGCAAAGTCTGCATTTCAGTTTCCCACTTTGAAAGGTAAATGGTAAGACTTATATGTACCTTTTACCAGAAGCACTTACGTATAATGGTCGAAGTTTAGAGGAAATTAAGTCATTTGGGACATTGAGGAATTCTGATAGTGCCTTCTAAGCTTGACTGTGTTTGAAATTGTCAATATTTTTACCAACTTCAAGCTTTTTATTTTTTTTCCTAGTTCATACTAGCATTGAACTCAACAGATATGACTCTTTTAGATAAGTTCCCTTATATGAAAAAAAAATGTCACCCAGCCCTTTGGAGTGGCTGTGAATGCCCTTTTCAGTCATTATAATTTATCTTTCCTGATCTCACTACATCGATTTTCTGCTGCAAGACATTGCAAGGTCCTGCTATATTAGCTTAGGTTGCAGAACCAAAAAAGAAGGTTTAATCTTGCAATGTGTGTGCTGCACTCTCCAAGGGGAAAGTTCCTCACAGCAAGAAAGAATAAGGCCCTTTAAAATCTCTTTCTACTTTTGGACAAAGGCAGACTAATTGAGTATAATGTTGAGTTAGAGGTAGAAATATTAAGCCTGAAACAATCTCAGAGGTCCCTCAAGGCTGACCTAAGTGTGTAATTTTTGTTTTCCCTGCAGAATATAGCCTTAAAACTACTCATTTTTTAAATGATGAATATCGCCAGTCTTTGCTTCTTTCTAGCCTTCCAACTCATCTGCACTTTCAGCCAGCTTCCAACACACACATATTATCTACATTCTGTTCTTTTTATCACCACTATTTATGCTTGTTTTCAACATAGGCTCATCAGGAGCTGTTTTTTTATATGTCTCAGAAATAGGTGCTTCTTGACAAGCAGAGTTTAAAGGAAAATGATTGTTTATGCCTTTGTCCTTAACATGCATTTTAAACTGAAAAAACTCCCAAATATGAAAATGCCTATGTGGGCAGAAGCCCATTATGAAGCACTTTCATCTATTCCCCCTGCCTGTGTTGAGCCTGTGGGTGGATAATGATCGTCTGTCTATTGTTCTGCTGCAAATGCAAAGGAAACGCTCAGCTTGTGCAAAGGATTGAAGACGTGGTTTCTAAACTACTTGGTCTAAAGCAGTGCTCAGAACAGTAGTTACAGAGTGAGTGCATCTGATTCATTAAACAGGAGCCTCAAGTTCACTGTGCATGGAGTAGTACGTGTAAATTAGAATATTTGCCACCAGATCTTTCTTCACAGTGTCTGACATATGCAATGTTTGGCATCAAGTTTGCCACTAAACAGAATATTGGGTTCTCTGGACCTGGTACCTTTTCTTAAAAGTATTTAAAGAGAAGCTTTAAGCATGAACTTCTGTAGAAATAATACAACAAAGCTCAGAGAATAACTGAACTTAAGTTTTTCAATAAACTGACCAACTTACTATATACAGATAGATATGGAAACTACAGAAAAATATAGGATGTTTCTATGTTCTACTTGACTAGTACTATTTTGAGTTTTTAAGTGAGAAAAAGATAACTATATCAAATGTCTCTTTTTTCATGAGAAAATACGATAAAATCTTCCTGAAAAAAGCAAAGAAGTTAAACATAAATTTTTAAACAAGAAGTACAATTTACTCAGGAGGAAGTTAAATATAAATACATAAGAACATTATTGATGTTTGCATTAGATAAGAAATTAAAATTTTTGAGAAGGTTTCAAAAGAGCTATGGACATTCTCTTTGTAATGCAGTCAATTTCATTTTTTTAATGACAACAAATAAATAAATTATTTAGGACATATTTTAGCAAATTATAGGTGATGTCAGTTTCTTGGCCAGAAAAGGATAGGTTAATTCAAGAAGCACCTAGATCTTCTAAGATCCTGGAGTTAAAGTTGTATCATATCATTCCCTTTGTACTCAATTCAATTACTTTATTTTTGCTGGTTTCTGTGCCTTTGATGCAGATACACATTTCATTTGAAAAGGTATCCACAAGGTAACATATTTACAAAATATATCTTCAAAGTTTTAAGGAAGATAAAGATTTCCATTACTAGAAAATTGACCAGAATTATTTTTTATGTGAAAGTTTAAATTATTATTATTATTATTGTTATTTTAAATTATACTTTAAGTTCTGGGATACATGTGCAGAAGGTGCAGGTTTGTTACGTAGGTATACATGTGTCATAGTGGTTTGCTGCACCCATCAAACCATCATCTACATTAGATATTTCTCCTAATGCTATCCCACCCTTGCCCCCCACCCTCTGACAGGCCCCACTGTGTGATGTTCCCCTCCCTGCACCCATATGTTCTCATTGTTCAACTCCCACTTATGAGTGAGAACATGTGGTGCTTGGTTTTCTGTTCTCGTGTTAGTTTGCTGAGAATGATGGTTTCCAGCTTCATCCATGTCCCTGCAAATAACATGAACTCATTCTTTTTATGGCTGCATAGTATTCCATGGTATATATGTGCCACATTTTTTTAATCCAGTCTATCATTGATGGGCATTTGGTTTGGTTCCAAGTCTTTGCTATTGTGAATAGTGCTGCAATAAACATACTTGTGCATGTGTCTTTATCGTAGAATGATTTATAATCCTTTGGGTATATACCCGGTAATGGGATTGCAGGGTCAAATGTATTTCTAGTTCTAGATCCTTGAGGAATTGCTACACTGTCTTCCACAATGGTTGAACTAATTTATACTGCCTCCAACAGTGTGAAAACTTTCCTATTTCTCCACATCCTCTCCAGCATCTGTTGTTTCCTGACTTTTTAAAGATTGCCATTCTAATTGGTGTGAGATGGTATCTCACTGTGGTTTTGATTTGCATTTCTCTAATGACCAGTGACGATGAGCTTTCTTTCATATGTTTGTTGGCTGCGTAAATGTCTTCTTTTGAAAAGTGTCTATTCATATCCTTTGCCCACTTTTTGATGGGGTTGTTTGTTTTTTTCTTGTAAATTTGTTTCAGTTCCTTGTAGATTCTGGATATTAGACCTTTGTCAGATATGTAGATTGGAAAAATGTTCTCCCATTCTGTAGGTTGCCTGTTCACTCTGATGATAGTTTCTTTTGCTGTGCAGAAGCTCTTTAGTTTAATTGGATCCCACTTGTCAATTTTGGCTTTTGTTGCAATACTTTCAGGTGCTTTAGTCATGAAGCCTTCACCCATGCCTATGTCCTGCATGGTATTGCCTAGGTTTTCCTTTAGGGTTTTTATGATTTTAGGTCTTATGTTTAAATTTTTAATCCATCTTGAGTTAATTTTTGTGTAAGGTGTAAGGAAGGGATCCAGTTTCAGTTTTCTGCATATGGCTAGCCAGTTTTCCTAACACCATTTATTAAATAGGAAATCCTTTCCACATTGCTTGTTTTTGTCAGGTTTGTCAAATGTCAGATGGTTGTAGATGTGTGGCATTATTTTTGAGGACTCCGTTCTGTAGCATTGGTCTATATATCTGTTTTGGTATCAGTACCATGCTGTTTTGGTTACCATAGCCTTGTAGTATAGTTTGAAGTCAGGTAGCGTGATGCCTCCAGTTTTTTCTTTTTGCTTAGGATTGTCTTGGCTATACAGGCTCTTTTTTGGTTCCATATGAAATTTAAAGTAGTTTTCTCTAGTTTCGTGAAGAAAGTTAGTAGTAGCATGATGAGGATAGCATCGAATCTATAAATTATTTGGGCAGTATGGCCATTTTCAAGTTATTGATTATTCCTGTCAATGAGCATGGAATGTTTTTCCATTTGTTTGTGTCCTCTCTTACTTCTTTGAGCAGTGGTCTGTAGTTCTCCTTGAAGAGGTCCTTCACATCCCTTGTAAGTTGGATTCCTAGGTATTTTATTCTCTTCGTAGCAATTGTGAATGAGAGTTCACTCATGATTTGGCTCTCTGTTTGTCTATTATTGGTGTATAGAAATGCTTGTGATTTTTGCACATTGATTTTGTATCCTGAGACTTTGCAAAAGTTGCTTATCAGATTAAGGAGTTTTGGGGCTGAGATGATGGGGTTTTCTAGTTATACAATCATGTCATCTGCAAAGTGAGATAATTTGACTTTCACTCTTCCTATTTCAATACAGCTTATTTCTTTCTCTTGGCTAATTGCCCTGGCCAGAACTTCCACTATTATGTTGAATAGGGGTGGTGAGAGGAGTGCATCCTTGTCTGTGCCAGTTTTCAAAGGGAATGCTTCCAGCTTTTGCCCATTCATTATGATATTGGCTGTGTGTTTGTCATAAATAGCTCTTATTATGTTGAGATACATTCTATCAATACCTAGTTTATTGAGTGTTTTTAGCATGAAGGGCTGTTGAATTTTATGGAAGGCCTTTTCTGCATCTAATGAGATAATCATGTGTTTTTTGTCACTGGTTCTGTTTATGTGATGGATTATGTTTATTGATTTGTGCATGTTGAGCCAGCCTTGCATCCCAGGGATGAAGCCAAAGTGATCGTGGTGCATAAGCTTTTTATTGTGCTGCTGGATTCAGTTTGCCAGTATTTTATTGAGGATTTTTGCATCAATGTTCATCAGGGATATTGGCCTGAAAATTACCATTTTTTTTGTATTTCTGCCAGGTTTTGGTATCAGGATGGTGCTGGCCTCATAAAATGAGTTAGGGAGGAATCTCTCTTTTTCTATTGTTTGGAATAGTTTAATAGTTTTAGGAGTGGTACTATCTCCTTGTACCTCTGGTAAAATTCAGCTGTAAATCTTCTGGTCCTGGGCTTTTTTGTTGGTAGGCTATTAATTACTGTCTCAATTTCAGAACTTGTCATAGGTCTATTCAGAGATTTGACTTCTTCCTGGTTTAGTCTTGGGAGGATGTATGTGTCCAGGAATGTATCCATTTCTTCTAGATTTTCTAGTTTATTTGCATAGAGGTGTTTATAGTATTTTCTGATGTTAGTTTGCATTTCTGTGGGGTCAGTGGTGATATCCCCTTTATCATTTTTTATTTTGTCTATTTGATACTGCTCTGCCCTTTCTTCTTTATTAGTCTGGGTAGCTATCTATTTGTTAATCTTTTCAAAAAACCAGCTCCTGGATTCACTGATTTTTTGAAGGTTTTCTCGTGTCTCTGTCTTCTTTAGTTCTGCTTTTTTTGGTTTCATATGGAATCAAAAAAAAGCCCGTATAGCCAAGACAATCCTAAGCAAAAAGCAAAAACTGGAGACATCACACTACCTGACTTCAAACTATACTACAAGGCTATGGTAACCTTCTTTAGTTCTGTTGATCTTAGTTTGGTTTAGTTTAGTTCTGTTGATCTTAGTTATGTCTTGTCTTCTGCTAGCTTTTGAATTTGTTTGCTCTTGCTTCTCTAGTTCTTTTAATTATGATGTTAGGGTGTCAATTTTAGATATTTTACGCTCTCTCATGTGGGCATTTAGTGCTATAAATTTCCCTCTAAACACTGCTTTTGCTGTGTTCCGGAGATTCTGGTACATTGTGTCTTTGTTCTCATTGCTTTCAAAGAAATCATTTATTTCTACCTTGATTTTGTTATTTACCCAGTAGTCATTCAGGAGCAGGTTGTTCAGTTTCCATGTAGTTGTGCAGTTTTGAGTGAGTTTCTTAATCCTGAGTTCTAATTTGTTTGTACTGCGGTCTGAGAGACTGTTATGATTTCCATTCTTTTGCATTTACTGAGGAGTGTTTTACTTCCAATTAGGTGGTCAGTTTTAGAATAAGTGCTATGTGGTGCTGAGAAGAATCTATATTCTGTTGATTTGGGGTGGAGAGTTCTGTGAATGTCTATTAGGTCTGCTTGTTCCAGAGCTGAGTTTAAGTGCTGAATATCCTTGTTAATTTTCTGCCTTGTTGATCTGTCTAATATTGACAGTGGCGTGAGTCTAAGTCTCTTTGTAGGTCATCTCTAAGAATTTGCTTTATGAACCTGGGTGCTCTTTTATTGGGTGCATATATATTTAGAATAGTTAGCTCTTCTTGTTGCATCGATCCCTTTACCATTATGTAATGCCCTTCTTTGTCTTTTTTGACCTTTCTTGGTCTAAATTCTGTTTTATCAGAGACTAGGATTGCAACCCCTGCTTCTTTTTACCTTCCATTTGCTTGATAAGTCTTCCTCAATCCCTTTATTTTGAGCCTATGTGTGTCTTTTCACGTGAGATGGGTCTCTTGAATACAGCACACCGATGGGTCTTGACTCTTTATCCAATTTGCCAGTCTGTGTCTTTTAATTGGGGCATTTAGCCCATTTACCTTTAAGGTTAGTATTGTTATGTGTGAATTTGATCCTGTCATTATGATGCTAGCTGGTTATTTTGCCCATTAGTTGATGCAGTTTCTTCATGGTGTCGATGGTCTTTACATTTTGGTATGTTTTTGCAGTAGCTGTTACCGGTTTTTCCTTTCCATATTTAGTGCTTCCTTCAGGAGCTCTTGTAAGGAAGGCTTGGTGGTGACAAAATCCCTCAGCATTTGCTTGTCTTTAAAGGATTTTATTTCTCCTTCACTTATGAAACTTTGTTTGGCTGGATATGAAATTCTGGTTTAAACATTCTTTTCTTTAAGAATGTTGAATATTGGCCTCCACTCTCTTCTGAATTGTAGGGTTTCTGCAGAGAGATTCACTGTTAGTCTGATGGGCTTTCCTTTGTGGGTAACCTGACCTTTCTCTCTGGTTGCCCTTGACATTTTTTTCTTCATTTAAACCTTGGTGAATCTGATGATTATGTGTCTTGGGGTTACTCTTGTCGTGGAGTATCTTTGTGGTGTTCTCTGTATTTCCTGAATTTGAATGTTGGCCTGTCTTGCTAGGTTGGAGAAGTTCTCCTGGATTATATCTTGAAGTGTGTTTTGCAACTTAGTTCCATTCTCCCCATCACTTTCAGGTACACCAATCCAATGTAGCTTTGGTCTTTTCACATAGGCCCATATTTTTGGTTGCTTTGTTGTTCCTTTTCCTTCTTTTTTCTCTAATCTTGTCTTCATGCATTATTTCATTAAGTTGACATTCAATCTCTGACATCGTTTCTTCTGCTTGATCAATTCAGCTATTTATAATTGTGCATGCTTCTCGAAGTTCTCATGCTGTGTTTTTCAGCTCCATCAAGTCATTTAGGTTCTTCTCTAAACTGGTTATTCTAGTTAGCAGTTCCTGTAACCTTTTACCAAGATTCTTAGCTTCCTTACATTGGGTTAGAACATGCTCCTTTAGATTGGAGGAGTCTGTAACTACCCACCTTCTGAAGCCTACTTCAGTCAAACTCATTCTCCATCCAGTTTTGTTCCCTTGCTGGCAAGGAACTGTGATCCTTTGGAGGAGAAGAGGCATTCTGGTTTTTGGAATTTTCAGCATTTTTGCACTGTTTTTTCCTCGTCTTCATGGATTTATCTACCTTTGATATTTTATGTTGGTGACCTTTGATTGGGGTTTTTGTGTGGTCATCCTTTTTGTTGATATTGATGCTATTGCTTTCTGTTTGTTAGTTTTTCCTTCTAACAGTCAGGCCCCTCTTCTGCACATCTGCTGGAGTTTGCTGGAGGTCCACTCCAGGCCCTGTTTTCCTGGGTATCACCAGCAGAGGCTGCAGAACAGCAAAGATTGCTGCCTGCTTCTTCCTCTGGAAGCTTTGTCCCAGAGGGGCACCCACCAGATGCCAGCTGGAGCTCTCCTGTATGAGGTGTTTGTCAACTCCTTCTGGGAGGTGTCTCCCCATCAGGAGGCATGGGGGTTGGGGACCCATTTGAGGAGACAGTTTGTCCCTTAGCAGAGCTCCAGTGCTTTGCTGGGAGATCCGCTGCTCTCTTCAGAGACAACAGGCAGGAAGGTTTAAGTCTGCTGAAGCTGTGTCCACAGCCGCCCCTTCCCCCAGATGTTCTGTCCCAGGGAGATGGGAATTTTATCTATAAGCCCCTGACTGGGGCTGCTGCCTTTCTTTCAGCAGAAAGGCTGCCCTGCCCAGTGAGGAGGAATCTAGAGAGAGAGCCTGGTTACAGCGGTTTTGCCAAGTTGTGATGGGTTCCGCCCAGTTTGAACTTCCTGGTGGCTTTGTTTACATGGTGAGGGGAAAAACCCTTGCTCAAGCCTCAGTAATGGTGGACGCCCTTCCCCTATCATGCTTGAGCATCCCAGGTTGACTTCAGACTGCTGTGCTGGCAGTGAGAATTTAAAGCCAGTGGATCGTAGCTTGTTGGTCTCCATGGGGGTGGGATCCACTGAGCTAAACCACTTGGCTCCCTGGCTTCAGCCCTCTTCCCAGGGGAGTGAATGGTTCTGTCTTGCTGGCATTTCAGGGGCCACTGGGGTACAAAAAAAAAAAACAACTCCTGCAGCTAGCTCAGTGTCTCCCCAAATGGCTGCCCAGTTTCTGTGCTTGAAACCCCAGGCCCTGGTGGTGTAGGCACCTGAGGGAATCCCCTGGTCTGCAGGTTGTGAAGACTGTGGGAAAAGCATAGTGACTGGGCTGGGCAGCACCACCCCTCACGGCACAGTCCCTCATGGCTTCCCTTGGCTAGGGGAGGGAGTTCCCTGACCCCTTGTCCTTCTCAGGTGAGGCGACACCCTACCCTGCTTCTGCTCACCCTTCGTGGGCTGTACCCACTGTCTAACCAGTCTCAGTGAGGTGAACTGGGTGCCTCAGTTGGAAATGCAGAAATCACCCACCTTCTGCATTGGTCTCACTGGGAGCTGCCGATTAGAGCTGTTCCTATTCGGCCATCTTTCTCCCCCCATTTTTTTTTCAAACAGAGCATTCACAGCTTTTCCCTGAGCCCTGAAGAGTTCACACCATTGTGTGCTCCCAATCTCTTCTATGAGGCTTCTGTCTAGGGCAGAAGCTTGTGCATAATGAGGCCAAGGGGCCTTTGAATCAAAGCCTTTGCGTTATTCACACATCTAGGAATACTTCCAGGACATCAGCTCATGAATGGCTTCTTGTTTGTTCAATAGTTCATAAAATCAGCTTCTTCCTGTTTTTCTTATTTCTTAGCATTTCAATCAAACACTTAAAGATGTCCACTGGGATCTTCCATTTCCTTAGTAAATTGTCTTGAAAAGATGATGGTTGAAAGTCTCAGCTTTGATGAAGTTAACTATTTGTACAGCATTGAACACACTGCTTTGGGGATTTGGGGCACAGTCCTTGTCAACTCATGCAGTCACAGAAGGCAAAGCTTTGCTATGAGATATGAGGCATCTTTCTTTGTCAAGGTGGCAAAACTAGGTGGCAAGTGGGGGCACATGATTAATAAGTGAAATTTATGCATTAATAAATTGATGAATTTAAACTTGATATTCTGCCTAGCAAAAGAAATTTTCCTGGTTTAGAAGATATTAATGTATTTGAACTTTACAAAATACAAGAATTTGTCTTTGATACCATTTGAGTTTCTTCAACAAACGAAATGCAGGACTTGGTCCACTACCCTCAGCAGCTTTTCCTCTAGGTTGTAACCTGGAGGGATGTGATAGTGCCGTCATTTGTTCCATGAACTGCAGCAAAGAATTTACATAGTTGTCAGTGATACCAGAGCTCATTTCATCATTTGACTGAGGCACCATTTTCTCAGATCACACATTAATTTCTTTAATAAATATTTGCTGAGTGTCTAACAGCTTTTAGATACTGGAGATATAATGTTGAAAAGGAAGGTTTTGAATAGCCACATAAAGCAAAATTTAAATTATGAAGAGGAAAGAGAGAATGAGAAACCAAATTTAATATGATGTCAGGTGGTAAAAAGTGCAATGAAGAATAATTTAGTTGAGTAAAAGGGAAAGTAAAAGAGGTAGAGTACAAGTTGTCATTTCTGATAGCTTCATTTCTTTTCTTTGCTCTAAGACATAATAAATTTTAACTCTTCCAGAACATGTGGCTACACAAATAATTCTTGAACTATGTGTAATCTGTTTTGTTTGGAAATAGGAGAGGTAGCTTTTTCAGATGCCTGCTAAAAGGATTGGGATGGGAGAAAATGTAGGTTCTGATAGTATAGTAATAATTACAACCTGACTGTGTTCCTCACAAAACTATGTGAATCATCCAGCATGTTTGCAGGATGCAAGGATACGAGATGATTTTACAGCTAACTTGGCTTCATGCTAGAAGTCAAGAAGAAAGTTGCGACAATAGAGGCACCTATTCTTCTGTACTCAGTACAAAAGAGAATGACGATAACGTGAAAAGATACATAAACATCATTATACTTTTCTTGAACTTTGACATTGAGTCTAACCTAAAGTAATAGACATAATTGTGACAGTGAACATCGCCTCCTGGGAAAGATGATGGTGACTTTACATTGGTCAAAAAGGCTGGAATACTCCTTAGTTCTCATTCTGGTTTCTTATCTAATTTTGACTTTTCTGCTTCTCTGTCCAATGTGAGAGTTGGTGGTCACCTTCCTGTACTGGCAGCCATGGACATGTATGTGTCAGAGAGACATGTGTATGTGGCTGTCCCTGCTGCTTTGGATGGTTCAGTCATCATTATACAGAGTTTATTTTGGGACTTCCTTAATCTCTTTGACCCCACTGACAATAATTTCATCAAACCTATTTTGATCATTCTTGTTATAAACTCCTTTTTCAAAAATCTCTAGAATTGCAAATATCAGTTATACTTCTCCTTCCAAGTATGCGTGCTCTAATAGTGCCTTCAGTAACAGTATTCTCTGCCTTTGTGCTCTTCTTAGTATATGAAATTCTATGCTGAAGGAAGATGCACTACATACAGCACTACAGTAGACAATGAAAGAAGAGAGTGAAATAAAAAGCATCTCTTATGGAGATCAGCAAGGTTCTGGAAGAGCTTGTAAGTTCAGATGTATTGCTGTGGCTGTTTGGAGAAAAATACAATCTGCTAGAAATGAACATAGCAAGTTGTTAATCTGATACCTCAGATGTTGATTGTATTAGTCTGTTTGCACACTGCTATAAGGGCATACCCGAGACTGGGTAATGTATAAAGAGCAGAGGGTTAATTGACTCACAGTTCCACATGGCTTGGGAGGCCTCAGGAAACTTACAATCATAGTGGAAGGCACCTCTTCACATGGTGGCAGGAGAGAGAATGACTGCAGAGTGAAGGAGAGAAAAGCCTCTTATAAAACCATCAGATCTAGTGAGAACTCACTCACTATCATGAGAACAGCACTGGGGGGACCGCGCTTATGTTCTTGTCACTTCCCACGAGGTCTCTCCCCCAACACATGGGGCTTACAATTCAGATTACAATTTAAGATGAGATTTTGGTGAAGACACAGAGCCAGATCACACCAGGGATGAAGAATAAAATTAGATTTTATTTTATGTTTTATACTTTTGATTTATGTTATTTCATCTGTACAACAAATGTGTATTACTTCTTCAATATAAAAATGTCCAAAGAATCATTTTTTAAAGAAATATAGACAATTGGAAACATCAAGAACTTGAAAATGCATAGAAACATGGGCTCATTTCATAATAAAATAAGAGACAATGATAAAGTACAGTTACAAATATAAAATTATACACAATAGTTGCTCCATTTGAAGACAGATGTAACCTACAAATGAAAACCGTTATAAAATACCGAGAAAGAACATGGGAGAATTTCAAAAATTCCAGCATATATGAATGTACTGTTTTTTTAAGTAGTGGCAATTTGTTTATTTCGCTATACTGTATGTAACTTTAGGGATAAAAAGTTTTATAAGTATATATTAAGAATATAAACACAACAGAACATTTATTATAGAAAGGGCAGGAAAAGACATCAAATCTGTAAGTTGTCTAATTCATAAGAAAACAGTATGTTCAGCAGATATTATGGAGTCAGAAAGATAGAAAAACAGCAAGAGTATGAAATAATGTGAATGACGTAAGCCATAAAAACACAAGTATTCAAAAATTCTAAAAATGAAATAATAATAAGAATAATAGTAATACAGTGCTTCCCTTGAATTAAGCACTATTCTAACAACTTTAACTCTTTTAATCTCCAACCTTAGCTAAACAGATGTCAGGAGAGTTTTCTGTCAGCCCCTTGGGACCATGTAACACAATTCACTCTTTTCTAGTCTTACCAAACAGTGGACCACTCCACCTTAAGAAACTAGCAAAAGAACAAATTAGATCCAAAACGAACAAAGGAAATAATAAAGATGAGAGCTGAATTTAATTATATTGAAAACAGAAAAGCAATAGAGACAATTAGTCAAACAGAAACTTGGGTCTTTGATGACCCTCTAGCTAGACTGATAAGGAAAAAGAGAAGGGCCATAAATTACCAATGTCAGAAATAAAAGAGAGAAAGTTGTGACAAACTGTACAGATGTTAAAATCATAATGACAGTATTATGACCAACTTAGTATTTATGAATTTACCAACTTAGATCAAATGGACAAATTATTTGAAAGACTTAAACTACCAAACCCATTCAAAAAGAAATAGGTAAACTGCAGTCACATACCCTTTGAGGAAATTAAATTTTTAATTAAAAAATTTCCAACAAGAGAACTCCAGGGCCAGATGGCTTCGTTGGAAAATTCTACAATTTGTCCATTGGCTCTCAATCTCCCTTGGTCCAGGAAAGTTCCATAAGGGGCTGAATCCTTTGAACTTGTAGGTTTGCGTCTGAGTCAAAAATGGCTGAAGTTTCACAGAGGGACAGCAAAAGTGCTTGTGGAAAGAGAAAGATCAGTGGTGTAAACTGGGGTTGGTTGCTGCAAGAACAGTCACAGGAAAAAGATGGATAAAGCGTATGTGTGGAGAGCACGACAGTGTGCTATATACTGGTCCTTGGTCCATGAATCATGACTCTCTTATAGTTTAATTAAGGAATCCATTGATGTAGTAATATAATGAGCCTGCAGCCCAGCTCAACAGCTAGAGCATTACCAATGTTATGCAGCTGCCCAAGGGTTCTGAACCTATGCCAAGCCCCTGACTTCTCAACCCGTCAAGTTAAGCTCCACCTGACTGTGGTGTTAATTATTGCCTTACTTTAGTACTTTTCTTCATTTTTGGATTACATATATATGTATTATATATGTATATGTGTACATATGTAATATACAATATATTATGTATATATGTAATATATGTATATGTAACATGTTTTATATATGTGTTACATACATTGAATACACATGCATACATTATATACATATATTATATACATATATATTGCATGTATATGTTATACATGTAATACATGTGTATGTAATATATGTATATGTATATGTAACATGTTATATAATATATATAAAGACGCATGTACGTACATTTATATAAAATATTTTTATATAGCCATATACATTGCTATATATATATAACATATACATATTAATAGATATGCTCTGGGGCTTTCTTTTCATTCAAGTTACATCATTAAGATTCACACTTTTTTTTGTTTTGAGACAGAGTGTCAGGCTGGAGTGCAGTGGCATGATCTCGGCTCACTGCAACCTCCACCTACTAGGTTCAAGTGATTCTCATGCCTGAGCCTCCCGAGTAGCTGGAATTACAGGTGCCACCACCATACCTGGCTAATTTTTGTATTATTTCAGTAGAGATGGGGTTTCACCATATTGGCCAGGCTGGCCTCGAACTCCTGACCTCAAGTGATCCACCTGCCTTGGCCTCCCAAAGTGCTAGGATTACAGGTATGAGCCACCATGCCCAGCCCAATTCACACGTATTTTTGCATGTAATTGCAATGAGTTTATCTACACCATTGTCTAGTTCTACCTTGTGAGATACTATTATCCATTCTCCTGCCAGTAGGCCTTTCAGTTATTTCCAGTTGTTGCTATGACGGATACGGATGTGCTACTCTGAATGTCCATGTGCATATTTCTTTGTCCTCATGTGAAAAGTTTCTCTGGAAACTAGAAGTGGTATTGTAATGTTGTAAACAATGTAGATTCACAAGATAGTGGAAAGCTGGAACTTTTCCAGTGGTTCCAGCTCCAGCCAACATTGCACAAAGCTGGAAACCATATATCTGAGCTCAGTCAATCCGCAGAATAACCATATTGTTGTTGTAACATGAAAAAGTTTATTTTGCAGCAACAGAGAATAAAAATGGAAATAATGCTATTTCTGGGTCTCTTGTAAAATAAATGTTAGAGTTACCTAAATTCTTTTCTAAAATGTATGTTAACATCTCTTGATTACATTTAAAATTAAGAAGATATATCTGCAAAAAGTCCTTAGGAGATTTAACTAATAGAGTGCTCAGAGGTAAATTTAAAGCCTTAATTAGTTTCATAATTAAACCAAAAAATTAAATTAAATTAAATGTACTAACATTCCTAGTGAATAAAGTATTAAATTACCAAACTCAAAGAAATTGTAGAATAGATTTAATGACATCAGCTGTAGAAAAGTGAAGTAGAATACAAATATTAGTAAATCCCCTCATATGGCCTATGTGTTCATAGTGATAATTCCAATAGAGCTATAAAAGTAATTTCATCATCTTCAATATTCCTTTCTGATTAAAACAAGAAAAAAAGCAAGTAAATGAAGATCACTCAGGAAACTTGAAGTAGAAAGTTCTTTAACGTACATCACCTCTATTTATGCAAATAATCAAAATCTTATAAAAGCATTTAATTAGAACAATTTTATGTAAGTAAAAAACTGAATATCCTCTTTATCACTTAACATTTTAAAACATTTTTTAGATAATTATATGAAATACACCATAAAAATGAAGTGACTTTCTATAAAGATAAAAAGTACGTGTAAGTAACTTCAAGCCCTGTGATTCTAGTTGACAAACTACAGAGAAATGAATAAACATAATTTAAAATAGTGTAACATTTTATCAGATGATTCATTGTACAAAATTAAAAGCATCCTTTAATATAGAATATTACAAGTTATAGAACTATAATGATTACTAACATCCTGTTCACAATGGCCACAAGAGTGGAAAATATCTGTAAAAACATTAAAATAAAAAATATAGGGAATGCACCTGAAGAAAATGTCAAATCTTATCTGAAGCCTGACTGTCTTTTAAATAAATAGGCATGACATGCTTTGAAATATTTAAGACATGCCTTAAAATGTTATTTTTAAAAATATCTTTATTTTTTAAACTTAAGGTTTAATTACATCCAGAGAAATTATAACCCTCTTCATTGATGTCTTCTCAAATGTGATTATACAAAAGAAGTATAAAATAAAAGGGCAGAAAACTACATCCAAAACCGATGATCAAGAACTCCTGGCTCTGTAACAGTTATCAGAAAGTATGTTACTGATATAAAAAATTACAGTAGATGAACAGAAGATACTCGTGAAACAAAACGAATTAGACAACCAACTTCTCTAATTCAATTTGTGAAAAAACCGTAACAAACATAAAAATTATGTTTTAAAGTGTCAAATTGGTGATAAAACATGATGCTTTTTGTTAACTTCCTGGAAAAGATGAATGTAGATGGTTTATTTTTGAGACGTCCAAAATAAATTTTGGCTAGAATATATATTTAATGAATCTATTAATAAACCACAAAAGGCAGATGAATGAAGATGAATGAATATATATGTCAGATCTCAAGGGCAAGAGGAAGTTGCTAACTCAAAAAACAAGAGAGAGAAAGAAAACCTTGAAAACATTTTGATAAATTTTTCTATGTGATTTTTAATTTCAGTACATCAAAAAAGGAATCATAATTAAATAAGAAAGCATCAATATTTGCAAAATAGACCAAAGATTAACAAAATCAGTGTTTACATTAAAATTTTATGCAGAATGTAAAAAATAGACTACACAAGGCCTTTTTTTGAAGACCGCAGTAAACACTGACAACAGGGCCTGAGCACACACACACACACACACACACACACACACACACACACACAGGCATGCTCATACTTGGAATAGTCGATCCCAAGTGAAAAGAGCCTGAGAGTCCTAGGCCCTTCAAATTCAGAAAATGTGTAAATTTTCCCAGCTCACAGCCCTTCTATTTGGAAATTATGTTTGTTAACTTTTTCTATTCCTATATAAGACAGAAAATATTCTCAAGTAAGGAAGTTTTTCAACAGTCACCATGAGCTTACCTCATTTACTATGAGAAAAGCAATATGGACAAGTTAGAGACTGAGATGAGAAGGAGGAAGAAGGAGAGAGAGAGACTCTGGGAAGTATGCCAAAATTGTAATTTTATTTTGTTTGGACATGCTCAGTAACAGAATTATTGATGACTTCATTATATTTTTTACACTTTGAAATATGTTTGCCTGTTGAAGAAACTTAGAATGAACAGACATAGATTTTATCATGAAGACAAAAATTAATGAATGATTCATCTTAAGATACATAATCCTGGTTATTATGTGGTTACCTACAATTCATTTTGCAGACAACAGTGTTAAACTGAGAAGTGCCAGGACTTTGAAATCTATCAGTCAGCAGAAAGAAGTCCATGGAAATTTCAAAGACTTAAGAAAAATATCATATTTACAGTCATGAAAGCAGAAACAGCATTCTAAATTTATAAATTTTATAACCCAAGATATTTTATTTGCTTTTGACTTCTCCACCGTATGTCTAAGAAGATAGTTTTCCTCCAAAGTTTTTAGAAAGTACATTTTTACTTTTAGTATAAATTATAATATGCTCATGTATATGACCACATAAATATTAATATTTCGTTGAGAGGAGTGTAGTGAAGGGGAAAAGACCACTCAACTGAGAACCAAAAATCTATCTCTTTCTCCAGTTCTATCACTAACCAGCTGTGTAATCTGACTGGATTCAACATTTAACTCCTCTGAGCTTTAATTTTCTCAAAATACAAAATTTAGAAACAAGGTTTGGGATTTTCCAACTCGTATTTTAGGACAAGGGACACACAGGTTATATTTAAGTCACAATCTTTCACTAGTGCAGTTAATGCGGCATCTGAATCAGGAAAAGCATTTTTTCCCCTTCAATTTGAACTAAACATTAGCCTGGAATTGTTTTCCTTCTGTATTGCTGGGGAATAGAAATGAAAGTCTACAGTTAAAATGTAACTCGAAAGAATTTATGTGGTTCACTGGGTAATAATTGCAACATTTTCCATGGCCTATTAAAGAGCAATTTCTTTGGTTTTATTAGGTGTTCCAGAATATTTTGGAGGGTTTTGCCTAGTGTAACTTTTCTTCTTCAATTCTAGTGTGAGTGGCATGATATTCCTTTATTTCAATGGAGAAAGGGGAACTAACATCATAAAATAAAAATTTCCAAAGCACTTCTCTTAATGGTGATTTTATCCATGGTGAATGAAGAAAAATGAATCCTACAATATTCTTGTGATTTGCTATTTATTTTAAACACGTTGATTTACATGTACTTTTCTTGATGCATAGAAGACAGAAAATACTGGTTAGCTTCTCACTACTCAGGGGTTTAATTAAAACATGTCTTCTGAAATGTATCTGACCATAATACATAAACAGAGAATATTTCATTTTCCTTTCTTGCTTTTTTTTTTTTTTTTTTTTTTTACCATCGTAAACCTAACTTGGCTCTTGACCAAAGACTTTAAAAACCATTAAGGCTTTTAGAGAAATCATTTTCCTTTGTGAGCTGCATGAATTTCACAGTCACCATTGCAGTGGGAAATGAGTTGGGCGTGAATCTGGTTGAAGTGTCTAGTCTAGAGAGCCACCAGCCATGCAGCTGTCCAGAATCAGTCAGTGGGTGGCGCCACAGGACTACATTTACACCAGGAATGCATGGGCAGCTGCCAGTGTGTGAATCTAATCTTAACAATTGCAGCCGATAAAAATCAGCTTTTCCTCTTAATTACTGCTAAGTGAATACCTTCTGATATAGCAGTCAGATGGCAAGGGTGATTATTGAGCAAGAACTAACACTTCTTGGGAGCCAGAAATTCCCGGGGCACTCTACTGAATATTTTCACATACACGTAATACCTCTTCATGCAATCATGTCAATACTGTGGCAAAAACACGTACAATTTCAAAAACGAAGAGGCTGAAACTCGGAAAGTTTGCCTCATGAACAGGCTGCCATAAGTCTCAGAGCCGTATCTTGATCTGAGGGCAGGGGCGGTGAAAACATATTCACACAAACAAATGTTTCCTAGACCCAGTTAATCTCAGGATCAACCAAGAATGATTCCTCGGACATCACCATAATGTCACAAAACAATAAGGTATTCGGAATACAGAAGGAGCTGGTGTTTACCAGCGAGAAAGTTCCAGAAACTGCATTGCCATTGCTGTTCTGAGTGGAATAAGCTGGTCTGGGAAGACGGGCAAGTCCAAGGGTGACAAGTGGCACTTGTGCAGTGGTGAAGTCACAGAACTGAGGAAAGGAATGAAGGTTTCTTTCCAAGCAAGACATACACGTTAAAAAATAAAGTCGATTTGAGTTTATAAAGAGCTCACATGATTAAAAATATACCCTCCACTGAAGCAAAAAAGCAATTATGTCTTTTTTTTTTTTGCATTTTTCTGAAGTGGACATGCTTTGTAACAAGATGTCCACTGTGATAAACGCTGCCCTGGAGTTTTCTTTCATATATTGGCATCACTGGGATATTGTCAGCCTCTTGCTTTAACTAAGTGAACAAAGACACATAAGCTTAATCCTAAGTAAATCAGCACATCATTCTAAACACCAAGACTTGCCCATATAAAATGGGCAGGTTCCGTAGGTCCCAATTCCATGTTCATATCACATCTGCCAGGTCAATGTGTGCTTTCTGTGCATGTGGGAACACTCCCCTGGGTGGGCTTCACTTCGCCAGTAGCAAGAAAGAGCATGGTCAAGCCAGAAGTGATGATTCAGCTGCCTCCTGCAGCCTTGCCTGTTAGGAGGAAATAAAAGAAAATGCGTGTTTCAATGTGCAAGCTGGAATGGTTATTAAGCTAATTAACGTGATGATCTTAATAAGACTTTGAAAATCAGCTTTATTGAGGTCTATTTGACATAAAATTGACTGCACATATTTGAAGTGTTCGGTTTGATGAGCTTTAACATAAGTTCTCACCCATGAACTATCACCACAATCAAGATAATGAACATACTAATCATCTCTAAAAGTTTCACTGTGATTCCTCCTTTTCACCCTCCCTTGTGATCCTCAAATGACTACTGATCTGCTTTCGAGCTCTGCAGATGAGTTTGCATGTTTTAGAAATGTATAGGAATCATACAACGTATCATTTTTTTCCTGACTCCTTTCACTCAGAGTAATTATTTTGACATCCATCCATGTCGTAGCGTGTATCCATAGTTCATTCTTTTTCATGGCTGAATAGTATTCCACTGGGTGCATATACCCCAGCTGGTTTATCTGTTCACCTCTTGATGAGCACTTGAGCTATTTCTCGTTGTTGACTATGATATGGTTGTAATAAACACGCATTGTGCAAATGTATATGTGTATACATTTGGTTTCATTTCTGGAGGGTAAATTTCTAGAAATTGAATGGCCAAATCATATTGGGAGGGCATGTTTAACTTTTGCAGAAACATACACTGTTTTCCAAACTTATTGTCATTTTACATTCCTATCAGCAGTATACACGTGCTTGAGTTTCTCCATATCTTCCCTGACACTTTGTAGGCTTACCTTTATTTTACATTATTTTATTTTATTTATTTTTCTGCAACTTGGTCATCCTAGCAGGTATGCAGTGGTATTGCTGTGGTTTTCATTTGCACTTCCCTAATGACACAGGATGCTGAGCATCTTTGATGTGATCGTTTGACATCAGTGTCCTTTCTTTGGCAATGTGTTTGTTCAGATCATTTGTTCATTTTTAAATTGGACTCTTTGTTTTCTTATTATCAAGTTTTGTTTTTTTCACATTTGTGGTAAAAGTTCTTTATTAGACACAGGATTTGCAAATATTTTACTCAATCTTTTGTTCTGTTTTTATTCTCTGAAACTGTGTTTTGAAGAAGAGAAGTTTTTAATTTGGATGAAGGTCAATTTGCAGTCTTTTTATTTTACAGACTGGGATTTGGTGTCATGTCTAACACATATTGATCTAAGCCAATGTCACAAGGATCCTGTGTTTTCTTCTTGATGTTTATTTTTAGATTTTGTATTTAGCTCTACGGTCTCTTTTTAGACAAATTTTGTATACGATATAAAGGTATAGTTCAAAGTTTATTTTTATTTTACAAATGGATATTAAAATATTTCAGCAGCTGGGCACGGTGGCTCACGCCTGTAATCCCAGCACTTTGGGAGGCCGAGTCTCACAGATCACAAGGTCAGGAGATTGAGACCATCCTGGCTAACACGGTCAAACCCTGTCTCTACTAAAAATACAGAAATTAGCTGTGTGTGCACGTGCCTGTAGTCCCAGCTACTAGGAGGCTATGGCAGGAGAATCGCTTGAATCCAGGAGGTGGAGGTTGCAGTGAGCCGAGATCGCGCCACTGCACTCCAGCCTGGGTGACAGAGGAAGACTCCATCTCAAAAGAAAAAAAAAAAAATTCCAGCAAAATTTGTTCAAAAAACTATCACATCATCACCAAATAGTCTTTGCCACTTTTCCAAAAATCGTTTGTTCATATATGTGTGGCTATGTTCCTTAACTCTATTTTCTGTTGTAATGATCTATCAGTCAATCTTGATACCACATGGCCTTGACTGATGGGCTTTATCATAAGTCTTGAAGTCAGGGAATATTATTTCTTGAATTTGTTATTTTTCAATATTGTTTGAGGTATGTCCTTTGCATTCCCCTATAAATTTTAGAGGCAGTTTGCCCATTTATACCAAAAATATCTGCTGAAATTTTGATTGGGATTGAGTTTAAACTTCGGGCCAATTTGAAAAAAAAAATAGACATCTTAACAATATTAAATCTGCCAACCCAAGATCACAGTTTATCACTCCATTTATCCAGTCTTCTTTAAGTTCTTTCAGAAACGTTTTGTAGTTTTCAGCGCTCTGCTTCTTGCAAGTCTTTTCTCAGATGTATATTTTTGATGCTATTGATATTTGCATTTTAATTTTCAATTATTCATTGCTAGTGGAAACGCAATTAGCATGTGTTTATTGATCCTATATCTTGCAAACTTGCTAAACTCACTTATTAGCTTCCCTAGCTTTTGGAGATAACCTCAGATTTCCTACATAGATAATCTTGTTATTTTTAAATAAAGACAGTTTTACTTCATTCTTCCTAATTAGAATGCGTTTTCTTTATTGCTCTGAGTAAAATATCTAGAAGTGGTGAGAATAGATATCCTAATCTTGGGAGGGACATTAAGTAAATCACGATTAAATAAATATTAGCTGTAGATTTTTTCAAAAAGTCGGGTTGAGGATGCTTCCTTCTATTCTTTCATTTCTGAGAGGTTTTATAAGGAATAGATATTGGCTATTGTTTTTTGCATCTATTTACCTGATCATAGTATCTTTATTTTTTTCAGTCTGTTAATACGATGAACTATATTGGTTGATTTTGAAATGCTGAGCCCATTCAGAATTCCTGAGATCAACTCCAGTTGGTCATGATGTATCATCCCTTTTTATATACTGTTGAATTTTATTTGCATAATTTTGTTTGAAATTTTTGTACCTGTGTTTATGGGAGATATTGGATTATAGTTTTCTTTTCTTGCAAATGCCTTTTTCTTGGTTTGGGTATTAAATTATTCCTTGCCTCAAATAATAATTTGAAAAATATTTTTCTGTTTGTTTGTTTGTTTTTGAGGCAGAGTCTCATTCTGTTGCCCAGGGTGCAGTGCAGTGGCACAATCCCAGCTCACTGCAACCTCCACCTCCTGGGTTCAAGTGATTCTCCAGGCTCAGCTTCCCTAGTAGCTGGGATTACAGGCATGCGCCACCATGTCTGGCTATTTTTTTTTTTTTTTTTTTTTTTTTTTTTGTATTTTAAGTAGAGATGGGGTTTTGCCATGTTGGCCAGGCTGGTCTCAAACTCCTGACCTCAGATGATCTGCCCGCTTTGGCCTCCCAAAGTGCTGGGATAACAGGCGTGACAATTGATCCATTTTATCCAAGTTGTTGAATTTGTTGGTAAAAAGTTTATTCATAATAGTTCTTTATTATACTTTTTGTGTTGGAAGTCCTCGCTCTCTCTCTTTCCTGATCACTGGTTTAGCAACTTTGTTGCTGTTCTGAAAGAATCAGCTTTGGGTTTTATTGATGTTTTCCATTGTTTTTCCATTTTCTATTTCACGTATTAACTCTCTAATTTTGTTTTCTCCTTTTTACTCAGTTGGAATATAGTTTGATTTTCCTTTTCTGTTTTTTTTTTTTTTTTCCAACATGAAGGTTGTTTTCTCTTTTTTACTCAGTTGGAATATAGTTTGATTTTCCTTTTCTGTTTTTTTTTTTTCCAACGTGAAGGTTGAGGTCATTGATATGTTAACTTCCTTCTTCTCTAATATTGCTGTGTAGTACTCGCCACGTCTTCTGCGCTAGTATCGGAATCATTCCTAACCCATTAGTAAGTGTGAGTGTAAAGTCTAAGATCTTTAAAAAAATGACTGTTTTTAAAAATAAGTAGAGAAATAAATGTAAGTAAAAATTACTGTTTTAAACAAAGTTACATGAGAATATTTCTGTATTTTAACTAAAGATCTCAGAAACAAGTATACCAGCTTCTTGGAAAACATTCGTCACTTCAATTTTCCCTCTGGAAACCAATCACATTATACACGTATGGGCCTTAATTTGGAGGTAGCCCTAGGGGCCCCGGTTTGTGAAAGCTGTCTTTATAACATTTCTCTTGTTCTTGACACATTTTTTTAAATAACTTCTCTGCTTGGAGTTCCTGCAGGACACATAGAGTGATTGTTGCGGGGAGAGCTTCACCCACATTCATGAGTGGGCATCGGCTGACTTGTTACTCTCTCAGCTGGAGAACAAAGTGGTCCTAGCTCCATTCCCATGAATGAAGGACGGTCCTTGAGATTCCTGGCTTTATCAGAGCATGGGTGTCAGCTCCCTACCTCTCAATGACTTGTGGTCATGCCTCCTATTCTGCCATGGGTGTGACATGCAAAGCCCACACCTGCCTCCACCCTTGGCCTGCATCAGCGTCAGTTCTAGACTTTTTCCCTGGCTGTAAATGACTTCTACAATTTTAGCTCCTGTGGGTTTCTGTCTATGTTTTCTCCATTCTTCCTCCCCCTCCTCTTCTGCCTCCCCCTTTTTTCTCTTTCTTCTTTCCCTCCTTTATTTTGTCTTCTGTTTCTAAAAATAAAATATCTTATATTACTCTTACACACAAAATTTATAGAAAAACATTATAGACATCCATAGACCCATCACCAAAATTAAACCAATAGATAATTTGTCTTTAGTAGCCCCAGACTTCTCTATTGCTGCTTTTTAATTTAAAAGTCATTATTTTATATGTACAGTTAAAACCTTAACCCACATCCATTTCTTTACTTCATTCCACAAAAACAATCATCTCTAGTTTAGTATGCATGTTTTTACTTATTATGCTTTTAGAAGGTATATTTGGACATATAGATAATGTAAATATTATCATCATATTTTTCAACATATAAATAATGTCACAATACTTATTATATATTTGTTTTCAACTTGTTTTTTTAAACTCAACAGTATTCTGTTGAAATTTTAACAATGGTGATATGTAGATATAGTTTATCCAATGATCTGCCGTGTGATATTTCACTGAATTAAATGAACAAAACTTGCTTACACATTCAGCTTTTGAGGGAAAGTTGTTTTTGTTTCTCATTGTTATAAATAATCCTGCAATAAGCATTCTTGTGCCTGTGTCCTGGTGCGCATAGTTCGGTAGTGTGGAATATGTATGTAGAATGAAGCTGTATATTTGTATGTGAGCATCTTCACATTTACTAGTTATTGCCGAGGTATTTTCCAAAGCGGTTGAGCCAATCTGTACTCCCACCCACAATTTAGATTTCCTCCTATTTCCCATAATCTTCCACATACAGCATTATTAGACTCTTCAACTTTTGCCGATGTCATTTCATAGTGGTTTTAATTTATGTTTCCTGTTTAAGACTGATTTGATATGTTTCCATATATTTATTAGTGACTCAAGTTCCTTCCTTTGCAAATTGCCTGCTCCTCTCTGGGAAGGGACCTCAAACCTGGAGTCTGGTGTGTCCCGGGATTCTATGGCAAAGAAGGGATCTCGATTCGTCCAGTCTTCAGTAAACACGTGAATACATTTGGGTTGGTTTTTCTTCCACAATTGCTTAAACCTGTGAGCCAAGAGACATGCAGGTAACATCTCCAAAGAGTCTGGGGACAGACTGATAAGCAGGTGGCCATAATGTATGTGTGTATGCACATGTACATGTACATGTGTTTGCATGTCTGTGTGTACATATACTGTAATCATATATTAATAGCTATATTTCTTTTTTCATAATCCTTATATATTACTTCTGCTCCCCTTGACGATAGCAGAGTTGAGATTCTCCACTCTTGCTGGATTATCACACAGTTCCATCTCATTACTGCCAGTGCCTGTGTGCTGTTGAAAGGAAACTTGGCTTCGGTAGGCCTGGAACACACCATAGAAGTAAGCTGCCTCCCTTGCTGATGAACTCCAAATGGAAGTTTCTATTCATTTCTGAGTGAGAATATTTTGCCCTCTATTTCTGATGCATAATTTCATCAGCCAAATATGACAACTGGTGAAGTAAATTAAAATGGACACCAGGCCAGCCAGGTGTGGTGGTTCACACCTATAATCCCAGCACTATAGGAGGCCGAGGTGGGTAGATCACTTGAGGTCAGGAGTTCGAGACCAGCCTGGCCAAAATGGTGAAACCCCGTCTCTACTGAAAATACGAAAATTAGCTGGGCGTGGTGGCAGGTGCCTATAATCCCAGCTACTTGGCAGGCTGAGGCAGGAGAATCGCTTGAACCTGGAAGGCAGAGATTGCAGTGGGCCAAGACCGAGCCGCTGCACTCCAGCCTGGGTGACAGAGTGAGACACTGTCTCAAGAAAAAAAAAAAAAAAAAAGGCCGGGCGTGGTGGCTCACGCCTGTAATCCCAGCACTTTGGGAGGCCGAGGCGGGCAGATCACGAGGTCGGGAGATCGAGACCATCCTGGCTAACACAGTGAAACCCCGTCTCTACTAAAAATAAAAAAAAATCAGCCGGGAATGGTGGTGGGCGCCTGTAGTCCCAGCTACTCGGGAGGCTGAGGCAGGAGAATGGCATGAACCCGGGAGGCGGAGCTTGCAGTGAACCAAGATGGCACCACTGCACTCCAGCCTGGGTGACAGAGCGAGACTCTGTCTCAAAAAAAAAAAAAAAAAAAAAAAAAATGGACACCAGCAGGCGGGCAAAGTACCTGAGCACATAAAGCCAGTTAGGTCTCATGAGCCACCTTCACCTTGCTCGATTGGTGAAACGGTGTGAATCTACGTCTCCACCGAATCTCATGTCAACTTGTCATGCCCAATATTGGAAGTGAGGCCTGGTGTGAGGTGATTGGATCATGGGGGCGGGTTTCTCATCGATGGTTTAGTACCATCCCCTGTGTGCTGTCCTTGTGACAGTTAAGAGTTCTTGTGATACCTGGTTGTTTTAAAAGTGTGTGGCACCTTCCCCACCTCTCTCTTGCTCTAGCTCCCTCCATGTGAGATCCCCCTGCCCAACCCCATTCACCTTCCACCATGAGTGGAAGCTCCCAGAGGCCTCCCCAGAAACAGAGCAGATGCCTGCCCCATGCTTCCTGTACAGCCTGCAGAACTGTATGCCAATTAAACCTCTTTTCACTATAAATTACCCAGACTCAGTTATTTCTTTATAGCAACACTAAAACAGCCTAAAAAATTGCAAGCATAAGCAAAACTTGCAATATTTATTGTAAATGCCTATATTTAAAAAAAAATGAAGTTAAGGCTAACGAATGAGAAGCCACCAACTAACTTGTACTTACAAAACTAGAACCTTTCCAGCAAAACAGACCCAATAAGGCAACTGGATAACTATAACCAATCAACAGTATATTTGCGTTACTTCCATGTTTGTCCTATAAAAGCCTCCCCTTGAGTTCCCTTGGTGGAACCCCCAAACCACATCTGGGTTTCGAGCTGCCTAATTCATTAATCATTGTTTGCTCAAATAAACCCTTTAATCATGTTGTGCTTCACTTTACCTTTTAATACAACAAAACCTTAACTTTACTTATTTCTCTAAGGTTTCCAATTTTTAATTTTTCTCATTAATTTGCTGAAATTTTAATCTATTCTAGAGAGTGTTCTTTTGGTTTGCCATGTGGTGTGTTATTTGTTTGTATATGCATTTATTCATTTAAAAGGCTGTAAATCTTTGGTTCACCTTTTAATTAAGTTAATTAAATTGAACTAGTTGTTCAATCTTGAGGAAATTACTTGATCTACCATGCCTCAATATTGTCTCAGGAAAAATTATGATAACAACATTATCTACCTGATAGATACTTTGAAGATCAAGTGAGTTAATATTAACAGAAGGAAGAGAACAAGTCCAGGTCAAAATAAGCACTATATAACAATTTGTTATCATTATTATTAATGGAGTCATTTGGAAAAAAGAAGTTTTAATGTTAATGTAGTCAAAATGCACAACTGATTTGAGGACAGCTTGTTGATCTTTTGAAATTACTTAAAAAGTACTTCCCTACACTGATGTTAGATCAATAGTTTTTATGCTGTCCTCTGAAAGTTTGTACTTGTGCATTTTAATTAATTATTTAATCCATCTGGGACTTGTTTATAATTTTGTTTTTTTTGTATTCCATTTTATCCTTTTTCAAATATAGATAATTATTATAATAATGAATAGTCTGCTTTTCTCACTCATTATTTCATCTTTTTTCAAACACAAGATATTCACATATACATGGATTTTTGAGCATCTCTATTTTTTCAGAAAGTCAATATCTGCATCCATACACCAATGTACACTTTTTAAATTGTTATAACTTTGTCCTTAAATTCTGATCAGGTGAAAATGCTTCCTCACCAATGTACACTTTTTAAATTATTACAACTTTGTTCTTAAATTCTGATGAGGTGAAAGTGCTTACTCAGTCTTCTTGGCTTACTTTGGTGCTTTGTTTTTCCATAGGACTATAATAATGAACTGGTCAATATCTATGTAATTTTATTGAGTTGCATAAAATGTATGAATTAAAATTGTGTTGTATTTATACACCAAGGAAAGAAGAAGTAAGAGCCTTTCTTCCCATAAATAAATATAATATGATAGGGTTCTTATTTTATTTGCGTCATCTTTTATGACTTTTATTAGCATATTTTGTTGGTAATTTTTCTAGGTAGCTCAGTAATTTTTATTTCTACAATAAATTAGATACGGAATTTTTTTCTATTACATTTTACAATTAATACTGGCTCACCAAAATACTAATATACATATCTATGTATATACATAATGTTATATATAGTATAGTTGCCATAATGTGTGTATATATGCACATGTATATATGTACATGTGTTTGCATGTCTGTGTGTACATATACTGTAATCATATATTAATAGCTATATTTCTTTTTTTATAATCCTTATATATTACTTCTTGGTTTTCTGCTTGGCTAGGACCTGAGCACAACATAGAATCAAATCAACTATAACTGGCATCCTTGCTGTCTTCTTGGCATCAAGAGGAATTATTGTGATGTTTCAACACTAACTATGGCTTACACTGTAGTGTTATTAAAGTAAGGTATTATAGTGTTAAAGAATATACTTTTCATTTCAAATTTGAGACCTCATATAATTTGTAATGAGAGTTGAGAGTTGTTTGAAATTTATCAAATAATATTTCTGAATTAATTAAGATAATATGTGTTCTTTATTGTGATTATTAGATTGCATTAAATTCCTGTTAAAGTTTATACTACTGTTTAGTAATGACTTATGTTTTTGTACATAGAGGAATTTGCTTTGCTACTATCTTATTTAGTATCCTTGCATCTATGCTGCCAAGTGAAAATGTCCTAGAATTTTTTTTAACCTCTTTGTAATAAATGTAGATTCTACTAACCTTGTAAGTGAGTTATGGAGCTCTCCTTATTTTTTCCTTTGAAAGGGTTTGTATAACACAAGAATGATATATTCCTTGATATTTTGATAAATGTCATTAAACATATAGCCTGCATATAATTAGTTGGAGGGGGAGAGAGAATAGAAATTTACCAATGACTTTATTTACTTAATGCTTTCAAATCTATCCAGGCTTTCTAGGTTTTTGACTTAGTTTTCATAAGCAATGTTTTTATGGGGATTGTATATTTTATCTAAGTTTTCAGATTTGTCAGCATAAAATAGTTTGTAGTTTCTCATAATTTTTACATGTTTTTGTATCCATTAATTTGTCACAATTTACAAATTGAATATAGTTTTACAAATTTTCTTCCTTTTTTTTTTGAAACAGAATTTTGCTCTTGTTGCCCAGGCTGGAGTGCAATGGCACAACCTCGGCTAACTGCAACCTCCACCTCCTGGGTTCAAGCGATTCTCCTGCCTCAGCCTCCCAAGTAGCTGGAATTGCAGGCATGCACCACCATGCCCAGCTGATTTTGTATTTTCAGTAGACACAGGGTTTCTCCATGTTGGTCAAGCTGGTCTCAAACTCCCGACCTCAGGTGATCCACCCGCCTCAGCCTCCCAAAGTGCTGGGATTATAGGTGTGAGCAACTGCGCCTGGCCAAAATTTTCTATTCTCTTAATTCATTTTGACAGAGATTATTTAACCATTTTTTTTAAATCAGGTATAATTTTTATTGATTCTTTAGTATTTACTTTATTTTTTGCTGTTTATTTTTTGTATCTTTATTGTATCTATATATTTACTGAGTTTATTCTTTTATTTTTTTATTTTACTTGAAGTTCCGGGATACATGTGCAGAACATGCAGGTTTGTTACGTGTACATGTGCCATGGTGGTTTGCTGTGCCTATAAACCCATAATCCAAGTTTTAAGACTTTCATGCCTTAAGTATTTGTCTTGATGCTCTCCTTCTGCTTGCCCCCATCCTCGACAGGCCCCAGTGTGTGATATTCCCCTTCCTGTCTCCATGTGTTCCCACTGTTAAACTCCCACTTATCAGTGAGAACATGTAATGTTTGGTTTTCTGTTCCTATGTTAATTTGCTGAGAATGATGGCTTCCAGCTTTGTCCATGTCCCTGCAAAGGACATGAACTCATTCTTTTTCATGGCTGCATAGTATTCCATGGTGTATATGTACCATATTTTCTTTATCCAGTCTATCATTGATGGGCATTTGGGTTAGGTCAAAGTCTTTGCTTTTGTAAACAGTGCTGCAATAAACGTATATGTACATGTGTCTTTATAGTAGAATTATTTATAATCCTTTGAGTATATACCCAGTAATGGGATTGCCGGGTCAAACGGGATTTCTGATTCTAGATCCTTAAGGAATTGCCACACTGTCTTTCGCAGTGGTTGAACTAATTTACACTCCCACCAACAGTGTAAAAACGTTCCTATTTCTCCACAGCCTTGCCAACATCTGTTGTTTACTGACTTTTCAATAATTGCCATTCTAACTGTCATGAGATGCTATCTCACTGTGGTTTTGATTCGCATTTCTCTAATGACCAGTGATGATGAGCTTTTCCCTGTATGTTTGTTGGTTGCATAAATGTCTTCATTTGAGAACTGTCTGTTCATACCCTTCACCCACTTTTTGATGGGGTTGTTTGGTATTTTTCTTGTAAATTTGTTTAAGTTCCTTGTAGATTCTGGACATTAGACCTTTGTCCGAGGGGTAGATTGCAAAAAGTTTCTCCCATTCTGTAGGTTGCCTGTTCACTCAAAATGCCAAAAGCAATTCCAACAATAGCCAAAATTGACAAATGGGATCTATTCTTTATTTTTAAAACTAGTTTACATAGTTGCTTTTCAATTATAATTCTAACTCTAGTTTCTTTACAGATAAGCTATGTTTTCTTTTTTGGATCTTTTAGGCTTTCGATGTTTTTGGAATTCTGCTATTTCACTAATTCATGTCTAGATGTAGATTTAATTTGATCTATTCTGCTTGGGACAGAATTAGCTTATCCTCCTTTCATTAATTCTTAAAAATAAGTCACCAGTACTTTTTTGAATATGGCCTTTCTGTACCCTCTGTTTTCTCCATGTTGGTTATGAGTCGCACCTTTTCATGGCATTCTCCAGTGTCCTCCTGCTCTCTCACTTCTACTTTCCATCTTCTACCCTGTTTATTCTTCCCCGATAATTTCCTTTATTCTATCTTTCAGTTTACCATTTCTCTTTTCCTGAAGCAAACTATTGGTTGTTAAGTCATCTATTGGGTTATACATTTTACTTAT
The DNA here is from genome assembly GCF_000001405.40 of Homo sapiens. NCBI lineage: Eukaryota > Metazoa > Chordata > Mammalia > Primates > Hominidae > Homo > Homo sapiens. The sequence goes on along the minus strand of NC_000005.10, from coordinate 4,687,729 downwards.
TGTGTTTTCACTTCTAAACACTATTTTTATTATTTTAATATTTTTTATTTTCCTGGTATTTTTGGATCTTTTATTAGCTTTTAAATTGTGATAATTTTAATTATTTAAAAGCTCTACCCAGTTATGCTATTGTTCTGAATGCCTAGATGTGTGCATGTGTGCATGTGTGTGTGTGGGAGCATGTGTGTATCTAGGTCCAAGAGGAGGTCAGAAAGGACTAGTTACAGTTATTTGGATTTTATTGTAATGTGCAGTGTGTTAATATAAAAATTTCATAGCCTTAGTTTTGTTTAAGTAGTTAATAATTATTTACAAACCTTACTGTTCAATTTATTAATCTAGCAGCTTTTACTGTTTTTAAATTATTATTAATTAAATCTAATGGACTGACAGATAACTTTAAAACACTCAGGACCATTTATTTATTTGAATACATTATCTTAAGTATTCCAACTCCATTTTGAGTTTAATGTATTTGTCTCGTTGAACACTTTACATTTCTGACAAAGTGAAAACATACAATCTAAAGAATAAAATATTCTCAGAAAATAAGATTTTGCAAATCTTAAAAATGAAACGCATGGTTTAATACATCAAGTGATTATAAATGTGTTATGTTCTAAAAATTTCTTAACATTTTTAGTTCAAAATTGTCTGCCAGCAGCCTTTAACCAGGAGCCTGTACAGGAAAACACAGGGTGACATCAGCCTGTTTTTTTTTGTTTTGTTTTTTTAATTTTTTTTATTTTATTATTATTATACTTTAAGTTTTAGGGTACATGTGCACTATGTGCAGGTTAGTTACCTATGTATACATGTGCCATGCTGGTATGCTGAAACCATTAACTCGTCATTTAGCATTAGGTATATCTCCTAAAGCTATCCCTCCCCCCTCCCCCCACCCCACAACAGTCCCCAGAGTGTGATGTTCCCCTTCCTGTGTCCATGTGTTCTCATTGTTCAATTCCCACCTATGAGTGAGAATATATGGTGTTTGGTTTTTTGTTCTTGCGATAGTTTACTGAGAATGATGATTTCCAATTTCATCCATGTCCCTACAAAGGACAGGAACTCATCATTTTTTATGGCTGCATAGTATTCCATGGTGTATATGTGCCACATTTTCTTAATCCAGTCTATCATTGTTGGACATTTGGGTTGGTTCCAAGTCTTTGCTTTACAACCAAAAAAGAGAATTTTAGACCAATATCCTTGATGAACACTGATGCAAAAATCCTCAATAAAATACTGGCAAACTGAATCCAGCAGCACATCAAAAAGCTTATCCACCATGATCAAGTGGGCTTCATCCCTGGGATGCAAGGCTGGTTCAATATACACAAATCAATAAATGTAATCCAGCATATAAACAGAACCAAAGACAAAAACCACATGATTATCTCAATAGATGCAGAAAAGGCCTTTGACAAAATTCAACAATCCTTCATGCTAAAAACTCTCAATAAATTAGGTATTGATGGGACATATCTCAAAATAATAAGCGCTATCTATGACAAACCCACAGCCAATATCATACTGAATGGGCAAAAACTGGAAGCATTCCCTTTGAAAACTGGCACAAGATAGGGATGCCCTCTCTCACCACTCCTATTCAACATAGTGTTGGAAGTTCTGGCCAGGGCAATTAGGCAGAAGAAGGAAATAAAGGGTATTCAATTAGGAAAAGAGGAAGTCAAATTGTCCCTGTTTGCAGATGACATGATTGTATATCTAGAAAACCCCATCGTCTCAGCCCAAAATCTCCTTAAGCTGATAAGCAACTTCAGCAAAGTCTCAGGATACAAACTCAATGTGCAAAAATCACAAGCATTCTTATACACCAATAACAGACAAACAGAGAGCCAAATCATGAGTGAACTCCCATTCACAATTGCTTCAAAGAGAATACAATACCTAGGAATCCAACTTACAAGGGACGTGAAAGACTTCTTCAAGGAGAACTGCAAACCACTGCTCAATGAAATAGAAGAGGATACAAACAAATGGAAGAACATTCCATGCTCATGGGTAGGAAGAATCAATATCGTGAAAATGACCATACTGCCCAAGGTAATTTATAGATTCAATGCCATCCCCATCAAGCTACCAATGACTTTCTTCACAGAATTGGAAAAAACTACTTTAAAGTTCATATGGAACCAAAAAAGAGCCCGCATTGCCAAGTCAATCCTAAGCCAGAAGAACAAAGCTGGAGGCATCATGCTACCTGACTTCAAACTATACTACAAGGCTACAGTAACCAAGACATCAGCCTGCTGAGACTCAGCTCCACACCCACCATCCTCCATGGGCCAGACTGTATTTCCCAGGATCCCTTCACCCACCCTGCTCTGAGCTGGTCACTCTGGGATCCCTGTCTTTCCAGTACCCTGTGTGCTGCAATGGGAAGTGACCACAGGGCATGGCTGCTGCATACTGAGCCTGGCAGAGGTTGCCAGGAAAGGCACTAGTGTGATTGTGCTGCAAGTTCAACTATACATGTTCTACACTGAACACCATATTTAATTGAAACAACATCTGACAGACAAACTATAATTATTCAGACATTGGTAGACATTTGGTAGACATTTTCTTGAAAACAAATCAAATGAGCCTGACACTTCAAGGAAAACAACTGACAGTATTTGTAGCCAAGGATAAAATTTAAGTTTTTAAGCCTGAGCTTGACAGCTTCTCAATACTTAAAGGCTTTTCTGATGAGATTGGTGATGGTATTAATAAAGGCAATTTTTTGATATTTTAAAATGAAATGTGTCAAGATTTAGATCTGTAAAACTTAGTGAACCAGTATTTTCCAAATGACCAATGCAGGATGTTACAATTTCATACATGGGTAACAGATCCATCATTCAAAGTGCAAAATAGACTGGTGGATTTTAATGTAACAAAGCCTGAAAAATTGATTTATTTGTTTCAGATCCACATCGCAGGAAACTACTGCCTGTCTAGTTTTAGTAGTATTACAGAAAAATATCCACAAATAATAAGAGGTTATTGCAATGTTTCTCCCTTTTTTGTAAGCCAGATTTCCTTCATATAATTCAACTGAAACCACACACACAACAGAGTGAAATGCACAAGCAGTTATTAACATCCAGTTGTCTTCTGGGAAGCCAGACACTCAAGATACTTGCAAAAGGTAAAAACAAACAATGCCGCTCCTCTCACTGTCTTTTCTTTTTAAAAGTAAAATTACTTTTTACAAAATATACATTATGTATACACACATGCATTCAGCTAATTGTTTTTTAATAAATAAAAAAGTATAAAATTTCAGATTTTATTTCTAAAATAGTGAATATTAATAGATATAACCTACATATATAAAAGTCTTATGTTTCCCAGCTTTATCGAGATACAGCTGAAAAATAAAAATTATGTATATCTATGATGCATAATGTAGTGTTTTGTTACACGCATACATTACAAAATGATTAAAATAAAGCTAATTACTATATTCATCACCTCATATATTTATCATTTTTTGTTATGAGAACATTTAAGATCTACTCTCTTAGTAATTTTAGATATACAATACCATATGTTAACTATAATCACTGTGCTGTACAATAGATTTTCAGAAGTTATTTATGTTTTATAATGAAAATTTAGTAATCTTTGATGAACATCTCCCCATTCCCTACCAACCACTTTCCAGTCCCTGGCAACAACATTCTACTCTTTGCTTCTGTGACTTCAACATTTTTAAATTGTACATATAGGTGGGATCATGTGGTATTTGCTTCTCTGGACCTGGCTTATTTCGCTTAGCACAATGTTCTCCAGGTTCACTGATGTTGCAAATGACAAGATTTCCTTCTTTTTGAGGGTTAAGTTGTATTCCATCTGTGTGTGTGTGTGTGTGTGTGTGTGTGTGTACATGTGTATGTACATTTTCTTTATTCATTTATCCATTGATGGACACTTAGGTTGATTCTACGTCTTGGCTACTGCAATGAACATGAAAGTTGCAGGTATCTCCTAATGACAATGAATTTCATTTTCTTTACATGTATATCCAGAAAGTGGATTGCTGAAGCCTATGATAGTTGTATTTTTAATTTGTTGAGGAACCTTTATACTGTTCTCCATAGTGATTGTACTAATTTACTTTCTCAGCAACAGTGCAGTGTTTCCTTTTCTCCACATCCTCGCACTCACTTGTTATCTTCTGCCTTTTTGGTATCAGCCATTCTACCAAGAGTGAAGTGCTATCTCATGGTGGTTTTGATTTGCATTTCCCTGATGATTACTGCTGTTGAGCATTTTAAAAATACACCTGTTGGCCATGTGTACGTCTTTTTTTGTAGAAATGCCTTTTCAGATCCTATGCCCACATTTTAAATTGGGTTATTATTTTCTTGCTACTGAGTTGATTGAGTTCCTTATGTATTTTATCAAATGTACAGTTTGAAACTATTTTCTCCCCTTCTGTAGGTTGTCTCTTAACTCTGTTGATTGTTTTGTTGCTATGCAGAATATTTTTAGTTTGATGAAATCCCACTTGTCTATTTTTACTTTTGTTACTTGTGTTTTGGGGGTCATATCCTAAAAAAATTATTGCTCAGACCAATGTCCAGGAGCTTTTTTCCCATGATTTCTTCTAATAGTTTTACAATTTCAGGTCTTATGGTTAAGTATTTATTTTGAGTTGATTTTTGTATGCAATGTGAGATAAGGGTCCAGTTACATTTCTCTTCATGTGTGTATCCAGTCTTCTCAATATCATTTATTGAAGAGATTGTCTTTACTCATTGTGTGTTCTTGGCATCTTTGTTGAGGAGCAAATGTGTAGATTTATTTCTGGCCTTTCTATTGTGCACCATTCGTCTATATGTGTGTTTTTATGCCAGTACCATGCTGTTTTGATTATTATAGCCCTGTAGTATATTTTGAAATCAGATAGTGTGATATCTCCAGCTTTGTTCTTTTTGCTCAAGATTGCTTTTGCTATTCAGGGTCTTTTGTGGTTCCAGACACATTATTATTTCTTTTTTTTCTGTTTTTATGAAAATGCCATTAGATTTTTTATATGAATTGCACTGAATTTGTAGACTTCTCTGGGTAGCATGGACATTTTAATACTAATTCTTCCAATCTCTAAATGTGGGATATCATTCCATTTTATTTATTTATTTATTTATTTGAGACAGAGTTTCGGTCTTGTTGCCCAGGCTAGAGTGCAATGATGCGATCTCAGCTCACTGCAACCTCCGCCCCCCAGGTTGAAGTGATTCTCCTGCCTCAGCCTCCTGAGTAGCTGGGATTATAGCTGTCCACCACCATGCCCAGCTAATTTTTTGTATTTTTAGTAGAGACTGAGTTTCACCATGTTGGCCAGGCTGGCCTTGAACTCCTGACCTCAGGTGATCCTCCCACGTCAGCTTCCTGAAGTGCTGGGATTACAGCCGTGAGCCACTGTGCCTGGCCCCATTTATTTTTATCTTTAATTTCTATCGTCAGTGTTTTATAGTTTTCAGTATGTATGTAACTTATCTCCACTGTTAAATTTATTCCTAAGAACGTTTTGATGTTACTGCAAATGAGTTGCTGTACTTGATTTCTCTTTTGGATAGTTCATGGTTAGCACATATACATGCTATTGATTTTTGTATGTTGATTTTGTATTCTGCAACTTTACTGAATTTCTTTATTAATTCTCACCTTTTTGGTAGAGTTTTTAGGATTTTCTATATATAAGAATGTGTTATGTGCAAAATGAGAAATCTTTCCTTTCAATTTGGATGGCTTTTGTTTATGTTACTTGCCTAACTGCTTTAGTTAGAATTTTCAGTACTATGTTGAATAAAAGAGGTTATTATTGTCTTATTCCTGATCTTAGAGAAAACATTTTTAGATTTTTACTGTTCAGTAGGATGTTAGCTGTGGACTTGTCATCTATAGTTTTGATTATGTTGAGGTACATTCCTTCTATCCCTAATTTGTTTAGAGTTTTTATCACAAAAAGATGTTAAATTTTTTCAAATGCTTTTTCTGCATCTATTGAAATTTTAATATATTTGTATCTGCCTTCTGTTAATGTGATATATCACACTTATTGATTTGCATATATTGAACCATCCTTGCACCCCAGGAACAAATTATGCTTAAACTTTTTAATGTGCCATTGAATTTGGTTTGTATTTTGTTGAGAACATTTGCATCTATGTTGATCAGAGATATTGGCCTATTATTTTCTTTTCTTGTAGCATCCTTGTCTGATTTTGGTAACAGGTCTCGTAAAATGAGTCTGAGAGTGTTTTCTCTTTTTCAATGTTTTCTACAAGTTTGAGAAAGATTCACATTAATTCTTATTCCAGTGTTTGATAGAGTTCACCAATGAAGTCATAGGGTCCTGGGCTTTTCTTCTTGGAGAGATCTTTGATTACTGATTCTTGATCTGTTTATATTTTGTGTTTCTTAATGATTCAGTCTTTGTAGATTGTATATTTTTAGGAATCTGTTCATGTTACTTTAATAATTTTTAAGAGGATAGGGTTCTGAAATGAAAATATTTGAGACCTGTAGTTCCAATTAATGACGAATCTAATATCCATTGTTGCCTCTAAAATGCTAGACTTATTCTAATTTGTTATTTATAAGTGATCTGATTTTTTTCTGGGCCTTTTGGAATTTGTCTTTTAATCCTGGGGTTCTCTAATTTTATGGTGTTTTACCTTAGTGTAGATATGTTTTGTACTCAAGTCACTAGGCTTTGAATGAGTCCTCCCTCATGACAACTCCCTTTTTTTTTTTTAATATTTTTCTTTCCACTATTGCCTTTATAATTTCTTTCCAAATGCCTTTTTTTAACTTTTAATCTTTTAGGATTGATTATCTTATGTTCTAATCATTTTTCCTGTTTTCTACTTCATTGTGTTTTTCTTCTACTTTTTGATATATTTCCTTGATTTTTCCTTCATCCCTCTGTATTTTAATTTCAGTTTATTTCATCTTTAAATTTTATGAATTCTTTATTTTTCCCATATTGATACTTTTTAGTTTGTGACTCTATGTTTTTATTAGCATTATGTCATGTTAATTCTATTATTCTTACATTTTCTCTATTTTTTTTTCACATTGCCTGGTTTCCCCCATTATAGTTTTTTTATTCTATTTGCCTCATTTTGATGTCTGTTATGGTAGAGATTTTCCTCAAATACTTGGTATTGCCTAGTTGTCTAAGAATTGGTTGTGTGTTTTTTTTTTCCTCTCCTTCCTAAAGCTCAATGAAAATTGTATAAAAGGAATAAAAATATACAAGTCTTCTGAGAGCAAAGAGAATCAGAAATCACCAGACATGAGTTATCAAGAACTTTGAATTGGCCCACAGAACCATGCAATGGCACCAGATCATGGGACTGAAGCTTAGATAACAGAATACTTTAAAGTCCTTAGAGTATCCAAATACCTACCTTGATCAACCTATCAACTGATCTCATGTTGCTTTTCCAAGTCCTAGGTGTTTATTCTGGAGAAAAACTAAAGAGTTCGACACCAGGCTTGTAGATTATAAACACAGGGGATGGGAAAGTTGAAGTCTGGGGAAAAAAGAGAGAATTCAGCAGAAGTCTGCATCTCTACAAAGCTCCTAAGCTGAAAGTATATACCTTCCCAGGCAGGGGAGTAGAGGGTGTGTATGGCTCAGGAAGACACAGCTAAATAAGTAAATAGGTAGATAAATCGTCTTGGAGGAAAATCTCTCCACATTTCTTTGTGTTTGTATGTATATTAGTGTTTATATTAACTATTTTTTCCCTCCTCCATTCTACTTTATCTCATGCAAGTTAAATGATTAGCTATTTAATTCAAAGGGGTATTGTTACTGAACAAGAGCAAGCATGGATAGATCTTTTTGAGATGGATACATTAACACTTGGGACTTGTGTCTCTCCTCTGGAAAGAAAGTGAGCATGTCTTCAATGGTACATGTAATAGTTGCAGAAAGTTAGGTGGAAGCATTCTTTTATTGTTTTTATTTGGAGGTTAATTATGGGTAAAGGGGGTATATGGATTCTCACTTAAAAAAATCGTGGCTTATACTTGATTCTCTGTTTGCAATTGAACATCAGTGCCATCTCTTTCCAAGGGCTCCTCTGCAGTTTAAGGACAATATTTCTCAGCATTCCCTTCCAATGAGACACACGTTCATGAGGTTTAGAAGGTCAGGAAGAAGGAGAAGCCATTATTCTCTGTTGGCAGTGGCAGCCCCTTGTGCTGGTAAATGCAAGATTTGCCGGAGTTCCTCAGAGAGTTTTTGAACACTAGCTTCAGGACTGCAGATTTAGAAAGTCCCTGGTAGCTTCGGAGAGCCTGTTACAAGCTGCAGCAGTCTCCAGCAGTCTCTTGAGAACCATTCTCTTCAGTGCTGCAGGCTGACATACTAAACATTATCTTCCCTAACCGTTGAGATAGACTTCCTGAACTTTATCCACCATTTCTTCCAATGGTTGTGTCAATCCCAAATTCCTATATTAAGCAAGATTAAAGAAAGGGACTTTTATGTTCCTGATCCTCCTGTAACTATGATAATATGGCCCTAATGCTTTTTCTCATGTGTCATGCCAGTATGTATTTCTTCCAGTGTTAGAGCTCAGGCTCCTCTGACATGGAGGTCCCGACCTCTACAGCCTTCCTTAGTCTTGGTCTTCTGGACTCTACTCAACTCTATGGATTTCCTTGATTTCTGATATGTGGTGCCCCTTTCACAGGTTACGCCACTGTATGTCAATCTCTGATAAGGTTTGCAGTGAGGGCGCCCTAGACGTGGAGACATGAAGATCTGGTTAAACATTGTTGTATACATCCTTAATGTTGAGCCTCACTTTTTATGTAATTCTAATGACATATTTAACAGCTAAGAAGATATCACACAGAGGGGCAAGTGACTTATTAAAATATGAACCATAGACTGGGCGTGGTGGCTCATGCCTGTAATCCCAGCACTTTGTGGGGCAGAGGCAAGCAGATCACAAGGTCAGGAGATGGAGACCATCCTGGCTAACACGGTGAAACACCGTCTCTACTAAAGATAAAAAAAAATTAGCCAGGCATGGTGTCACACACCTGTAGTCCCAGCTACTGGGGAGGCTGAGATAGGAGAATCACTTGAACCCGGGAGGCGGAGGTTGCAGTGAGCCAAGATTATGCCATTGCACTCTAGCCTGGGTGACAGAGCAAAACTCCGTCTCAAAAAAAAAAAAAGAACCACATTAATACTCATTAGTCTGCTTTGTATCCTATAATCAGTTAAAGTGTGTGCTCCTATCCTTTAATAACTTTAACTTTGCTAGACTTGCTATAACTCTAATGCCATAAAGATATATAATATCATTGGAAATAGCAATTTCCATCATTTAAGCCATTATTTCAGTCATTCAGCCTTCTCTGGGAGTCCATAAGTGTTAATGTTTGCTTTTTTGTTTGGTCTTTCTCCAGAAATACACACACTCACGCACACAGAACTGTACATCCATACATTCACATGGATACATACATACGTATATATTGGCTCCTCCAGTTGGAAAAAGTTCAGATAAATTCAAAACATGATGACATATTACCCCTACAACTTTAGCTTGCTTCACCTAAGAGCAAGTATGTTGTATTGCATAAACAAGGCATTATCCCGTCAAAAATAACTAATTCATTATTAACATCTAATATCATTTCTATCTAATATCTCAACCACCTTAAAATTCTTCCACTTGCCCACTTGTTCCAATAATAAATAGAGTGGTATTTTTTGTTTGTTTGTTTGTTTTTGTTTTTTTTGAGATGGAATCTTGCTCTGTCGCCCAGGCTGGAGTGCAGTGGCATGATCTCAGCTCACTGCATCACTGCACGCTTCACCTCCCTGTTTCACGCCATTCCCCTTCCTCAGCCTCCTGAGTAGCTGGGACCACAGGCGTCTGCCACCACGCCCAGCTAATTTTTTTGTATCTTTAGAAGAGATGGGGTTTCACTGTGTTAGCTAGGATGGTCTCTATCTCCTGACCTCGTGATCCACCCGCCTCAGCCTCCGAAAGTGCTGGGATTACAGGCATGAGCCACCACGCCCGGCCTGTCTGTCTGTTTTTAACCAAGGCTACGTGGTTGCCATATTTCTTTTTAGTCAAAATAGTCCCTAAACTTTGCTTGTTTGTTTTTTCTTAATGTCCTTTAATTATCTGGTTCAATTACCTTGATGAAAAACCCACATTTTGGATTTGCTTGATTATTTCTTCATGATGTTGTTTCTTGTACTACCTTTTTATTTCATGCAAATTAGAATTTGGGGCAAGGGTTTGATCCAGTTCAAATTAAAACTTATATTGACAAACATGGCTCATTGGTAATAATGTACAATAAAATTATAACTTTTCTATTATGGAAAAAATAGTGATAAGGTTCAGTATTTTGGTCTTCATTATTTAATTAAAATAATATGCTATTAAATGAATGATTTAATTTGTTTTACTTTGTAACTCTGCGGGAAATTTTCTCTCTGCCTAGTTGTCACTGAGTAGCCCCGGAGATAACACAGTTCATAGCAATTATGTAAAAATTTACTTTGGCTATGTTATACAGATAGCAGTTTTACAGAATGACTCATGATTTGTGCCAAATGAATTTCAGCTAGAACTCTGCAAAGGCATTTACGTAAGGAAATAAAATAGTTTATTCAGCATGTGAATCCCCTCTGAATGTGACCAGATGGAAATTAATTGGAGATTTCTTTGTCTTTCTGGCCTTTCGTATAGACTTCAATATAACTTTTCTAAATGAATTAAAAGATGAACTCTTTTATATTCAAAACCGTAATATCATTTCATTAATGAACATATGACAAAGTGATTTTGGTAGAGATATGCTTGCCATTGTCATTCCAGTCATTGTTAATGCCAGAAAATGATGTTGCCTGTATTAGCTGGAACATTCTAAGTGCCTTCAGGTTTAATTCAGTCGTTTCATTGAACATCAAGAACCAATATAAACAGTATTCAAATAATACCATGTAAGACGATTCTGGGCTTGCACTGAGACTTGTTCCTTTTCTACTTATGAAGCTGACTAGAACTCTGCAAAGCCATTTACATAAGGAAATAGAATAGTTTATTCAGCATGTGAATCCCCTCTGAATGTGACAAAATGGAAATTAATCATGGATTTCTTTGTCTTTCTGTCCTTTTGTATAGACTTCAATATAATTTTTCTAAATGAATTAAAAGATGAATTCCTTTATATCCAAAAGCTTAATATTTTATTAATGAAACAAGACAAAGTGATTTTGGTAGATATATGCTTGCCATTGTCATTCTAATTATTGTTAAGGCCAAAGACGATGTTGCCTGTGTTAGCTGGAACGTTCTAAGTGCCCTCAGGTTTCATTCAATAGTTTCATTGAACATCAGGAACCAATATAAACAGTATTAAAATAATGCCATGTAAGACAATTCTGGGTTTGCATTGAGACTTGTTCTTTTTTTTACTTATGGAGCTGATTTGCTGTGAGACTTCGAGGAGGGCAAGGGACACACTCTGTACCTCCTACGAAGCTCCTTAGGAAACATCTGACCCAACTCTCTTGAGCTGTACATGAAGAAATTCCAACCCAGAGAGGGTAAGGCCAAGGATTGTAGCATTTGAAGCACAGCAGTGTTAAGACATAGCAAGGGGTCTGGCGGGCAGGCAGGCCCCAACCACATCTGCTTTCCTGCCAACATCCCCATTCTTGGGCCACGCCAGCCCACCAGTGGGTCTCCAGATTCCAGGTACTCTCTCTGTCCCCATGTGTCTGCATCTGCTGCTTTTTCAACTGGAATGCCTGCTCCCCATTCCTCACCTCGCCACCCCCAACAACCTTCCTTGGAGATCCAGCCAAACGACCCTACTTTGCTTAAAGGTGGCGCTGATGTAGCTCCCACAGGAGCTGGGAGCCCCACCCTTCTTCAACTCATTTCTATAGCACTATTGCTTCTAACAGGGCCCGTAGCAGCACACCTTGAAAGGGGCAGCCTCTTATCAAAAGTAGACACCTATCAAAAGTTCCTCCTACTTCAGAAGGAGAGGGGGCCCAGAGCTCTGAGTTGACAACCGGCTCCCAGGCAATGTGCTGGAAAGCATCACTACTCTGGTGATTTTGCTAGTGACCCTTACCTTGAAATTTCCTCCTAGCAGACTCTAAGTTTCTCATTGCCAGGGACCTTATTTCATCTCCAGTCCTCTCCTGAGTGTCGGAGAGAGAACAGGCACTAAACGTAGGCTACATCGACATGTATGTAAATGGAGATTTAAATAAGTTGCAGTTCTGATTCTTTAACTGAAGAATCTGGTGAGTGAGGAAAACTCATTTCTACCTATATCAGTTCACTGTCCTTCCAAGAACACATATCCTAGCATTTTTGCAAATTTGATTATTTTAATAACAGCTGCCAGTATTATATTTTACATGATTTATTTTTGTCCCCTTTCCCCATCGAATTCTATATAGATATTAGCAAGTTAGAAAGCAGGACGTTTTCTTAAGGAGGAAGAACAGTGCCTGCCCACCTTATCTACCAACCCTGGCCCGGTGCCGTGCCGGTGCTTTCTGGCCTCACTGTAACTGCTGCACGTGTTTCCTTAGGCTTCTCTCACATATCATAGTCTTCTATTAGGGTGGTGCAAACATAATTGCAGTTTTTGCCATTACTTTTAATGGCAAAAGTAGCAATTAACGTTTGCACCAACGTAAAACATTTAGTAAGTCAACTAAACTTTCTTTTCTCACCAGTAAATATATTTCAGGGTAACCCAGCATAAACTGGCAAAGAAAAAAAAAAAAGAAAGGAAAACAAACACTGACTCCATTTCTAACCTCTTTATCTAGGCAAACTCATCTCACAGTTAGACTGGACCGTCTTAATACACCACTCGAGTCTTCAGGACATGAGTGCATTTCAGGACAATGACGCTTCATGTTCTGTGTTGATGCTCCACGTTGCTTTGTTGTCCTGTTGGTTTGCTTTAAGGTCCAAGTCACATCAGAGATAAGGAACATGTCCCAGCACACATCACCACGAGTATGAACACACTTTGGTTAAAACTCTGATCTGGATTGATTTAAAGAGCACAGTCTTAATCTTAGGTAAAAAGAGGGTGTGGTCAGGCTGCAGCCACTGCTTTGATTTAAGCACAGAGCTTTCTGCTGGGTTATTTTGTACTCTTGCCTAAAGATTTAGGCTGGAATGAATAAATCACACCTCTCATGCTTCCACAGATATTGCAGGCCAAGCCGATGGGCAGTGCCTCTGATGGCCAGAGTGAAAAATCAGCTACAAACCTGAGGGAATGAGGAATGCAGCAATGAGGCCCCTTTACAGGAACCATTAGTAGCTGTTGTTTTTGGCTTCTAACAGAGAGAAGATCACTCTTGCTGGAAGCAAAGGGAGTATTTTCTTTTTAGTAACTATGCATTTAGCATGGAGGTAATTTAAGTGCCTGTATTTATGTGTTGCTGCTGTTGACTATCACAACCAGTTTTCCTAATTCTCTAAATGTTGAACACATCTTTAATGCCCCAGGAAGGGAGTGGCATCATTCTTAGATTCTTGCTGCATTCAGTTACTTTTAAATAACCTATAGCTGGCCGGACGTAGTGGCTCATGCCTGCAATCCCAGCACTTTGGGAGGCTGAGGCGGGCGAATCACAAGGTCAGGAGTTCGAGACCAGCCTGACCAACATGGAGAAACCCTGTCTCTACTAAAAATACAAAATTAGCTGGGTGTAGTGGCACATGCCTGTAATCCCAGCTACTCAGGAGGCTGAGGCGGGAGAATCGCTTGAACCTGGGAGGCGGAGGTTGCAGTGAGCCGAGATCATGCCACTGCACTCTAGCCTGGGCAACAAGAGCGAGACTCTGTCTCAAAAATAAATAAATAACCTATAGCTTTTTTTTTCATAAACATAGAGGAACTAAACAAGTGTAGGCTTTAGGATTTTAGTTTGTTATAGATCACAGTAATGATCAACATGAGGAATACAGCCTGGAAGTTACATTTCCTACTCGGTTATGGTTTAAGAGGTGTCTGCTGTCATCACTTCACGGCTACTTGGTGTATGCATGTCAGGCTGTCAGCAGCGATGGTTGTACCCTGCAGGTCTTTTTTCTCCTCTTGCCCTCCTCCTGGTTATTTAAGCTTGCCATTGCACACCGCCTATCTACAGTGCCTCTTGGAAGTCTCCTGGGAAGAAAGAGACTTTTTCTGACATCCTGTACATAGTTGCCTCACATATCTCTCTCCGAGCATAAGCTACACACGTAGCTTTTGAGCTAGATACCTTATTTGACCGGACTAGTCTTCTTCCAAATTTGTCAAAGTAACCCCCAGTTATCTTTCTAACAGCCCCATTAATGTCTGTTTTATGTAAAGCAGGGTTTCTTAACCTCAGCCTATTGACATCTTGGGGCAGACAGTGCTTTGTATTGGGTGCTACCCCCTGCACTGCAGGGCATGCTCCCATTCCCTGGCCTCTACTCACTGGATGCCAGGAGCAGTCCCCCATCCCCAACTATGACAACCAAAAATGCCTCCAGACTTTGCCAAATGTTTCCTTAGAGACAACGTATCCCTTTTGAAAACAGATATAAAATATCTGAAAACTTTATACAGATCAGAAAACGGAGGCACTGCAAGTTAATTATTCTGGTTTCTACCATCACCCATATACTGTGGACCTTCACGCTGTACCAGTGTGTCTTGGCTTTGGCCTCATAACATAATTCATTCAGCTGATGGAACACTTGGCATTTACCAACAACTACATGGATATTTTTAAAAGACACATTTAAAATATGATTACATTTCCCTTTCATTTACTTTCTCACTGGCATTTGTATTTAGAAGTGATGTCTCCCCACCCTTAACATTTTTTTGAAAGCAATTAGTGATTATTAATCTGCAATCAGTCAGTCATACATTGAGAGGAAGAATTTAAGAGCTTTCTGAGACCTAAATGATGACAAATGGTTTCTGGGATGTCTAGGGCTAACGCCCCGGTGTGACTGTGGGGCTGGGAGCAAAGGCAAGGCTGGACTTGGGGAATCCAAAATGTAAATGCGGAGGTGAAACTCAAAGGATTTTTGGAAACTGAAGACAAAGAAAGAGTCAGAGCCGCTGCTATCCAAGGCAGAGGAGGAGCTGGAGAATTCCTTTGGGTCTGGGGATGCACAAAAGACATACCTTTGAGGAAATAGCAAGTAAGACTCAGCAGAGAATTAGGAAGCACAGCAGGAAAATGCAAGGGCAAAGTTCAGAGACTTGGGACCAGGAATCTACAAGAAGTGAAAGGAAAACCTAGGTGCCCCTCTGCTTACCCCAGGCAGTGATAAGGCTGGTGCCATCTCAGAGACTCTGGAGTCAGCACCATATTCTCTGCCCAGCCAGAAAGCTCCCTGAAGACTTCGTGGGAGGAGAAGCCCCTGTTAAATGAGAAACTAGGTGTGTGGGTTGGTTTACACAAGATCTTTGGGGACAAGAACCATAACTATCATTTTTGGTGTCCACTCTTCATTCCTGACAAGTAATAAGAGCGTGATGAAAAACTCTGATGAATGAATGAACTCCAGTGAGATCACCCTAATAAAATCAAAAGTCAACATGAATTTGCTTCTGAGATTCAATTATAGTAATTATGTGTCAATTTCTTAAAAGTTATAAATTGAATAAAGCTCTCAGGATGCGTCTATTCCGAAGTAGAAATGTGAAGAGGGCCTTACTACAGTTTATTAAAGTCCCCTTTAAAATGTATACAGGTTAACAATTTTAACGTAAATAGATGTATTCCTTTTTATAATCTTTACGCAGAAGATTGAAAAGAGGTCACAGATTTAAAATGCTACTGATTATTATCTTATTAAAAGATATAGAAAAACTTAATATTTTAATTTTCATTATTATATGCATTTTGTTCAGTGTAGCAGGACCCACTGGGTTCTGAGTTGCATTTATGAAGCTGTCAGGGGACATGCAGGAAGCTTGATAGGCTGATCAGGGCAAGGGGCATAGCGAGGATTCTACGTGAATAAGGTGTGATAAAGCCATTTGGAAAATGTCAGGCACCATGGAGGGCAAAGGAACCTGGGGCTTTGTTCAGGGGATGCTTCCTGTGGTGGACACACCCATGTGACCCCCAGTGAATTGGGCCCTGGGTAACTCTCTCCCCTTGGGGATGAGTGGAAACTTTGGCTTGCTTCTCATCCGTATAACCTGGCAAAGGTGGTGGGATCTCACAACCTCCATGACTATTCCATCTCAGCAAACTGGAGAGAGAAACTTCTCCTGCCCACAGAATACAGTTGTCATGTTGTAATGGCGTTGCACAACTTGGAATTGCAGGGTCCTCTGGGGGCTGAGCATGGCCACTGGCCAACAGCCAGCAAGAAAATGGGGATAACGCTCCTACAACCAAGAGAAGACAAATTCAGCCAACAATCTGAAAGAGGTCCAACGTGGTTTCTCTAACATTTGAGCCTCCAGATGAAACTGCCTCGTGGCTGGCACCTTATTGTAGATATGTGAGACCCTGAGAAAGTGACCCAAACTGTGGGATAATAAATATACATTGTTCAAATCCACTAAGTGTGTGGTGAATTGTTCTACAGCACTGGAAAATTAATACACTGAGTATAGTTTGTGCTTGTCACTGACAAGAATATATTCCCCAGGGCAAATATTTTGTGAAAAGAGAAAAAAAGAAAAAACTAAAGTGTTATTTCCCCCAAATGTCAGGGAGGTTGAAAATTTAAGGCACCCACTACTTGGATTCCTGTGCCATTGATAGCAGGAGGAAATGATGATGTAAGCAAAGGCTCACACATCCCGAATAGCTGGCTGTGACCTTCTGAACCCGAATTCAGTGGGTTTCTTAGCAGAGGACATTCAAGGGGGATGGGTGTCCCCTTGGTGCACGCAGAGCCTCCACACTGGCAAGCCATCAAGCATGGTTATTGGGAGGCAGCTGCAGTGGGAGAACTTCCTCAGCAGGCATCGGCACCTACACAGTATGTGCATACTGTTTTAGATCATGAAGTGACTGAGTACGTCATCTCAGGGGTGGTGGTGAAAAAGAGAGGCAGTAGCAGGCTTGAGTGAGGGCAACATAGCACAGGTGAGGTAGCACCTAAGGATTGTAGGAATGCTTTGAAAAGGGTGGAGTTTCTACAGAAGCTGGAAATAATCCATTTTGGCCATTGCCACCACATTGTGAGAAACAGACGGGCCTGGCCTGTGGAAAGCAGTTTCTGAATTAGTTCTAAATAGGGCGTCTATCAGTCAGCATGGGAACTGATTTGAATGGGTCCCTTCAAGATCTCATGATATAGTTTTCTTAATTGTGAGTTTCATAAGAACACACCTATGTTCTAGTTTATCGCCTTCTAACCACCTTAGTATATGTCATTCATACTTAGTTACTAATCGATTTATTTATTTAGGATCAGAACTAGCTGACTTTGATGGTGATATGGTTTGAATTTTTGTCCCTGCCCAAATCTCATGTTGAATTGTAATCCCCAATGTTGGGGGAAAAGTTTGGTGGGAGATTATTGGATCAAGGGGGTGGATTTCTCCCTTGCTGTTCTGGTGATAGTGAGTGAGTTCTCATGAGATCTGGTCATTTAAAAGTGTTCAGCACTTCCTCCTTCAACCTCTTCCTCCTGCTCTGGCCATGTAAGACATGCCTGCTTCTCCTTTAACTTCCACAATGATTGCAAGTTTCCTGAGGCCTTCCCAAAAGCAGAAGCCTGTACAGCTTGCAGAACCTTGAGCGAACTAAGCCTTTTTTCTTTATAAATTACTCGGTTTCAGGTATTTCGTTATAGTTGTGCAAGAACAGACTAATACAGATGGCTTGATGGTTCAAAACTAGGCATGCAGATAAAACAACTGCTTCTTCAGTCTATGCCCTAATCACAGGGCATGCTTCTCATGACTACAAGAGAGGGTTACACTAAAAGGTACTGCTTCTGAAATTCTGGACTCCATAGACAAATTACACATACTCTAGAATTCACATTTCTATTTGGAAGCCAAAATACTTTCTTATATCATGTTATATATTAGCCACAATTTTTCTTTTCTTTGTGGAAAAAAAGTGGACTTTGTCTCTTGAAAGAGTTATGTCTGTTTATGAATTAAAATAGTCATTTGACTTTGAGGCTGTAAAAATCTATTCAAATTATAAAATGTCTATTTTTTTCTACATTTCCTCTTAACATCAACACAAAAACCTGAAAAGAGTATTATTTTGAAAGAATCAACTGGTGATGTGGGTTTTGTATTCTAGATTGTTTTTGAGTGGTTGGGTTGATTTCTGAAATTATTTCATGTTTCTAGTCTTCAATGATTTTAGAATCAGGACAAATTGACTTTAATGGCTTGATAACATAGAATCCCACATAGAACACCTGGGGTCTTATATTATCTTCTTTCTAAAATGGACTTTTAAACATTTCACTTAGATAAAAACAGGGAAGGAGGGAGAATGGGAGAAAAGGAGAGAAAGAGAGAGAGAGTGAGAAGATGAAGATAATATGGTTGCTCATGGAAACAATTAGTATTCATAAATATATGGTATAAATCTGTTTATAAAAGTTTAAGTTCTTCATTATGAATTGTTCTATTTTGTGAAGTTGCCTGACACCACCATGCGTACTGTGCTATTTGGGAATACTTCTTGAACCAGAAATTCAAACACAAGGAGAAGGAAGAAATGAATGTTCAGCATTCTGAGAGACAATACTTCATTCTGCAATAATTTGTTGTGTTCATGATTTCTCTGAAAGGGATTGATGGGTTAATTAATTTGTCTTTTATCTTACCTATGTAACTACTCAAAACCTGCTTGTATTCCAAAAGAGTGTCTGTCCCTGACATTGGCAGTATCTACCGCACCTTCTTTCACAGCCTTCCTACACAGTGACTTTACTGCAAGGGCAGAGGGCAAGGGAAATGGAGAACTGTTTCCCTGGGGCCTCAGCAGTGTTAGGAGGGCAGATATTTAAGGAAACCGGCCTCTCTGCCAAAGCTGAGCCTAGGACTTTAATGCTCTTCAGTGCATGCATATGTTTTCTGTTTCTGAT
Organism: Homo sapiens; assembly: GCF_000001405.40. Lineage (NCBI taxonomy): Eukaryota > Metazoa > Chordata > Mammalia > Primates > Hominidae > Homo > Homo sapiens. Next base: position 4,668,605 of record NC_000005.10, on the reverse strand, counting down.
ATGGAGAAGCCCTCTAAAATTTGGAGCCAGGGGCAAACAGAAGGAACAAAGTTGGCCATTTAAATCGAGTGTTGCTTTTCCCTCTTGCTTCCTGGTGCCTCCCACATCAACCCTAGGGCAATTAAGCTCTGGGTGAAAGAGGGGCTCCTCTGAGAACCACACCACATTTGCCCCACATTCCAAGCTGTAGCTCCAGTCTGCACAAAGGTGAGGGAAGAAGAGTTTTGAGCTGAAGGATATGTGAATGGAGTCTTCTGCTGAACTCCACTGCAGTCTTAAGCACTTGAAAAAGACTCACAGTGTTGGGAAATTATGGAATCTGGCCAAGGGAGCTACTGCCTTGCAGGAAAAGGAGACATTTTGATTCCTTGAAGTGCAGATAAACACAGAAGTAGGGAAGTCAAAACTGTGTCACATTGAAACCCTGAACAAGTTGAGCCATCCTAGTATAGAGGGAGGTAGCCTTGCCCATGATGAAGGCCATGGGCCCACGGCTTACTACTTATGGTTCTCATACCCATGTCAGACTCTTCTTAAACTCCATGGGAACAATAGTCAGAGCCACCTTGTAGGTTTGTGATGAGAAAACATAAAGTTAATGCATGTAAGGAACTTAGACTGAGGTTGGCACAGAGTCAGCACTATGTAGCCACATAAATCAAAGAATTATCCACAGAAAGACTCTCTTTACAAATAAGCTTCCTTATATTGGTTGAAATCAGACATGATCTTCTTACAAACAGGACCCTCTCTCATTATCACTGGATGTAGTAATAGCACAGTACTCACCTTAACTAGCTTTCCCAAGCCCAGGAAACATCCATCCCAGCATCAAATCCTGCTAATTTTATCTTCCATGTCTTTCCAATTCATCCACTTTGATCCACCACCATTATCACCACCACCACCACTGCCAATACCACCACTACCGCCACCTCCACCACGACCATGCCTGGCCACGCTTGAAGGGTTATTAACCCCACAGGTGGGTTGGTGCATGGTTTCTGCCCTCTTTTCCATCCTCCTCCATCCAATTTCCATAATCCAGATGGTGCCATCATTTCAAAATATATATATGAACATAAACACCCCCTTTCCCACCCTACCCACCTTTTAGCTCCTCAATTATTTTATATAAATATAATTAGAATAAATTATAACTGGTCGTGAGAGAAAGACTTCCTACTTCCTATTGCTTGTGAGAGGAAGACTATCTGACCTACAGCTACCTTCATAGTCTGGGTCTGTCTACAGCCTTCATCTCTCTATATTTGATAAGGTTTTGCTGTGTCCCCACCCAGATCTTCGCCATGTGTCATGGAAGGGACCAAGTGGGAGGTAATTGAATCATAAGAATGGTTAACTCCATGCTGTTCTCATGATAGTGAGTGAGTTCTCACAAGACCTGATGGTTTTATAAGGGGGCTTTTCCCTCTTTCACATGGCATTTCTTGCTGCCACCATGTGAGGAAGGATGTGTTTGCTTCTCTTTCGGCCATGATTGTAAGTTTCCTGGGGCCTCCCAGCCTGTGGAACTGTGAGTTAATCAAACCTCTTTTCTTTATAAATTAACCAGTCTTGGGTGTGTCTTTATTAGCAGCATGAGAAGGGACAGATACAATATTCATTGTGTTTACTCCATTTGATCATCGTTGCACTGTCTTGCACTATACACAGTTATTTTTCAGGAACTTGGCAAGGCTGTTCTCTCTTTCTGTAATCATTTCTTTTCAAGGCCAGCTTTAGGAACCCATACAAATTATTCAAACCTTGGCTGAGAGCTGCTCACTCAAGAAGGCTTCCTCAAGCTCCATAAACAGCTCACATCTCCTTGCTGTAGATCTCAAGGCACTGGTCTTCCCATGCAGAACTAATCAGACACGCAGTTTCCCATGTGTTGGTGTGGCTGCCAGCTCCAGGACCACAGGTCTAAGGCTGCTTGGTTTTCTGCACTTCCCCTGGGGCACAGCACAGAGCAAGTGCAGGTGCCTAGGGAAGGCGTGGGATGAGAGGTGAAGGTGGAGACATCAGGGAGCCCAGAGTTAAGGAGCTGGACCAGAGTCTGGGAGCTGGGTAACAGCAGCTTCCCACCTCTACCCTTCCCTAGGCTTCCAATATTGACCAGTTATAATTTATTCTAATTCAAGGAAAAAATGAAAAGATGAGAAAGCAAACAATCATGTGTTTAATAGTTTTAATTTCAAGTAGCTCATTGAACTGTCTTAATTGCTTATAAAATTGGGACAAATTGTGTAAGCGTATATCTGAAAAATAAATACTATCACACATGAGATAAATATCCATTACTAAAAAATGATAATTTGCTCTATGTCCTCAGTCAAGCAGTATTTATCAGGAGTATTGATTTAACTAGCGGCTATTGGCAGATACAAATGGATGATGACAGGAAACAAAAAACCACCTTCCATCGCCATAAGGGGGCTTTTCATTTTCATGCAATGCTTTTTTGGAATTACTGATGCTCCAGCTACACTTCAAAGATGAATGAGCAGGCTCCTGCCAGGTTTAATACATCACACTTCTGGAGCTGACTTAGCCTATGTGTTGCAGTCATTACTCTGGAGTTTAAAAACACCTTGAGGATTTACTGGAAGTTTCAGTCAAACATAAAAACAAATACACAGCTGAAGCAGAAAAAGGAATAAAACACAATTTAACAATGGTTTAAGTTTTTAAATAATTTCTCCTTTCAAAGCTTGTAAATATAAAGTATTATTATTTCCCACGTGAGGGAAAAAAAAAAGCACGAAACTGCTGAGAAATTCTGTAGAAGCCACCACTGACAAGCAGCTTTGTGTGTGGAGACACTGAAACCAGCATGGGACTGTGTGCCCCATTTGGCTGGATTAGCAGGCACCTTAAGAGCTATGAGAAGAAAATTGCAAGAATCAGACAATAAGTTAAATCACAGAATATGACTGACAATTAAAGCTTCTTTTCTTTTCATTTTTTTTTTTTTTTTTGAAAATGGAAAGAATAGAAATCACACTTTACAACATCAGTAAACCCAGAACTTAGAGCCACAACTCTCTCTGTTTGGGGCTTAAAATAGAGTTAGGGGACTTAAAACAGGGACCTATTGAAACCTATAATGTAAAACACATCAAGTGAGATCCTAGATGAATTACCCTCTGCTTTCACTTTGGTTTTCCTTTCTGCCATCATCAGCCATGATGTCTCAAAGCCTGCCTCCAGTTAACATATTTGGGATTCTACAATCAAAAGCAAAACAGCATTAAGGGGCCAGGAGGCTAGTAGTGTGGCCCAGATGGCCTTCAGGTAGTCACATAGATAGGGTTTAGCCACAGAGCCTCTCTTGTAGTCCTCACAGGAGTCTGGGAGCCCATGGGTCCAGATAGGGCAGGTGTCCTCAGCCATGCACAGGTGTGCTCAGTGACGGGAAATCCAGACCCTGCTGGCATTCTGTTTCCCTCGTCCATCCTGGGCAGTTGCATTCAAAAAATCCATGGTGATGTCTGTCTACAGACCTGGCCAACATTACTAACAGCCCTTGCTATAGAGATGAATGCTCACTGAAGGCTTATATTGTCCAACTCTAGCCAGCAAGAGGATTGCCCTGCCTGACTATGTGGGTAGTATGTTCATGAGGAACAAAAGTTCAGCACAGGCGTAATTAACAACCCAGCCTGGAGCCGATAGGTGTTCTGTGTTCAAAATGGCTTCACAATCTACTAGTTGCGTTATAAAAAGGAAGTTCCATATCTTCTCTGAGATTCCATGTCCTTTTCTTAAAATGGAATCAGTAGTAATAGTGAGCCCATCCTACCTCATAGAATATTGTAGAGGGTTGAATGTGATAGTTCATGCAAAAATAGCCTGAAGCCTGGGAAGATGTCAGCAAGCATCTCCTGGTGAGACCGTCCTCATTCTTACCATTGTTATAATAAAGACAACTCAGGGAGAAACAGAGAGAGGGCTTCCTCTAAAGAAACAAGGTCAGGATTGGGGAATGATCATTTATACCTGTTTTTTGTCTTGAAATCACACAAGACAATAGTTCTCATGGGCATTTAACCTTCCTGAAGGCCAAAGCAGCATTCTTCTTTACTCCAGTCCTTTAACCCCTGTGAGTTAAATGATCCCCCAGGGCTGATTCTGCTTCTGAGTAAAGGGTGGGGCCTTTGGAGTGGAATTAATATTGCACACTCTTCAAGGGTCTGGATGATGCTTTTTCATTCTATCTCATGAATTTCTCTAAGGATATTGATCAGAATGCCATAATTGATAGCTGCAGAACACTGACATATGCTACATTAAATGAATAAATAATTAATTAGGCACCATGGTAGGAGCAAATACTTAAGAAAACTCAATTTGTAAAAATAAATAATTTTCCTAAATGTCAAAGATAAGATAATTTTCAGCCTCCTTAGTCATACACATGCTGCATTTCAGATTGAGATAATCCTCTTCTGTTTCGCTGTAATCTACCCCCACCTTCTTGTTTTCATGTTAGTTCATATTTTCATTGTTTCCATGCATTTAGTGGATTAATTTGCTCCTGGCCCAGTAGGGTCGCTCCCTTCTAATACTCAAACTGTAAAGCCTCCCTGGAAGGCTACAGCACACACATCTGTCTCTATTGCATCTAAGTTTGGGTTTATTGTGCCCCAAATACAAGTGATTTTCTCTCCTCTCACCGCCTGAATGATAACTTTGAGTTACCTGGAAGTTTGCAGTCACATCCAGATTTCTATTAATGAAATGCTGCTTCATTTTATCTGTTGCTGAAATGCAAACACTAATAATTTTCTTCCTATTTACTCGAAAGAATTTGCATATTCCGTCTTAAGGCAGACTCTCTAGATAGATGTGTTGAACTAATTTCAAATCTATAAAAAAAATGCCAAGATGCTTTATTCACACAATAGGTGCGCTTCCTGCTCTGGAGAGCTAACAGGATCTTCTGAGATACAGGGATTTCTGAAATTGCACTAACAGAAGCAGCCACAGCCTGGAGGACCAGGTGTCCCCGCAAAGAAAACTCACCATCTGGGGACAGAGCCCTTGTGTCATGGGCCTGTCTTTTCCCACTGAGCAGCAGAAGCATAGGAGATGTGGCAGCTTTATGGGATGAGGAGCATCTCATTTTAACTTTTCTTCGAATTGTATTTGTGTAATTATTTCATAAACAAGTACAAGATAAGAGAATTTAGGACCTATGAGATTCACACATACGTGAGTGCCCTCTGAGTTTTGTTCTAAACGCTCTGAGGAACAAAGAGTCCAGTGGCCCCACACATTTCTTTCTCACATTTTCAATGTTTTCAATATTTTTTTTAACCTTCTGCCATAAAGGATCTGGGATGATTAGGAGAGCAGGTCATGTGACCAAACAATGAACTAAAGGCCCATCAGAGCCTGACAAGTCAGTGAGCCATATTAAAAATAGCCCTGTCGTCATGCTTAGGAAAGACAGCTCATTTGCATGAGGCATTCACAAAATCACACATCGCACTATTGAATATTTTGTTCACCAGGACACAATCCTCCATTGAACACAGCCCGGTGACTACCTCCCTGGGATGTGCGCAGAAGTGCTGTCATCCTCCTCACTCTCTTTTGTTAATCCTCCCAGGGTGTAATTAGCACCACGTTTCCAAAGATCAAGCTATTACAATTTCTCCCATCTGCTCCTTGATGCTTAAAACCCCTTCACAGAGCACAAAGCTTTTCATTCAATAAGCAGAGATACTGTTTAAAATGAAAGTATTCTTGGAAGAGGCAACACAGTGACTTAAAAGTATCACCGAGGTGTAATTGACTAACACCACTTTTCTCTAGTGCTCAGGTTTTGTGTTGGAAGATGACAAAGGATGACCCCGAGGATTCCGTCTGAGGATGAAATGAGTTAATGCACATAAAGGGTTTAGTACAATGCCCGGTGCAGTGTCCGCCAGGGAAGGGGTCTGCTATTATCTCCATTTACGCAGGAAGAGATGGCCCAGGCAGGTTAATGGCTGTGGTCCACACTGCAGCTGACTCCACTGCCTTGCTCCTTCTCCTGTAACAAGCTGTGATAAACGATGCCTCCTGTGAAGAAAGCCCAATTTAGTTCCTTTAAACTAGGTTATGGGAGACACCAGCAGGTGTGTTGTCTCCTTAGCCATCTTGGCCTCATTATGGTCCAGACAGCCAAGGTTTCAGCAAGTGGGTCAAGCCACGTAAACGCATGCAGTGTGTGAACGTCCTCCAGGTTCTTTGATCTCCGCTCACCAGCCTCAGGGAGAGAGCTTCCTTCGGTCCTGATCTTCCTGGGCTGCTGCTCCGGTTGGTTCCATGGTGCTAAGCAGGCTTCGGAAAGCCACCAGCGTTCCTAAACTTCTTGAAAACCATTCCTACCCTTTGTTCTCCCTTTTCCTGGGGGGACCAAAATGAGTGAGAAATGATGAATGATCCTGACAAATGGATCACGATCCCAGGACGTTACAAAAACAGTTCACCGCCAAGCGACCTGGCTTTAACATGAAAATGTGACCATGAGCAAGCACACTGCCGGGTTTTCTTCTCCAAGGTCCTCATTTTTTGAGGATGTGTAACAGGACACATCACCCTGAGTTTCCTGTCATCCTCTGGGTTAGTTTTTAAAGCAGCCACATTTGTTTGTGAAAATGGCCTCACCAAATGCACTCAGCGTCCTGTCTGCCCAAGCAGGGTAGATCGATGTGTGAAAAAAGAAAAAGCAGAAATTAAATCTCCCCTGCAATACAATGCCACATAATTGAGTTTCTGTATACGTTGTTGGGAGACAGTAACAGAAATGTAAGCCAGGATCCCTGAAGCTGGAACAGCTTGTAAAATCTGGTTAAGCCATGTTGAAAAATACTTGAATACCCCCATTAGAAAACACATATTATTTATTACTTCCTTTTCTTTAGCCCTATGAGGCATAAGCTCCCTTTTTTTATATTCCTTTCTCCCCCCTTTCAAAGTGCACTCATTGAACTCCTGGCAATTAGCGTAATTGAAATTTATTGACAATGTGGCTGACGTGGAAACCCCATTGTCCCTAAGCGTCTGAGGCTGCGACTGCTCCCCAGCAGCATCCGGCAGCCCGGGCCTGGTGCAATCACATCAATGGGCCACCGGCTGCCAAGGGTTCCTCTGGGGGTATGAATGTTACTTAGTGATAAGAGCCTTTCGAAACAGGATCCCTGGACCCCATCTCTGGTGGGAGATGGAAATGAAATATGTATTTGGCTGCTGTGGAAAATTAATGTAATTGGCTCCCAAATAAAGCTTTGACAAGTTGACCTGTTTGAAATCCGAGGAGGGCTTCTAGCTCCGTATCATATTATCTTCAACGAACCCAACCATGCTTGGTGCCCCCCACCCCAAACCCACTGGAGGTGAAATGAAATGGAATTTCGGTACCAATGTTTAACAACACTTCTGTTGAACACAGTTATTATGTTTGCATGTGTAGCTTCAAGATGAAGGGGTTGGGATGATTGGATTTTTGCGTGCATGTGTCTGTGTTGATAGCCCTCAGTTTGGGTTTTCCTTCCATTGGCAAGGCAAGGGTTGAAATGTTTGGAAATGTATGTGGGCACATCTCTCTTTAGACCAGTTTTCTCTCTCAAATATTCAATGGGACTCTAAAACATAGATGTGTAACTTGATTAAATTTAATTGGATTCATTTAGAGGTCAGTACAGACTTCCAGGTTTCTCTTCTGAGAGGACAGATATATTTTTATTTTAATGCATGGGGATTTAGGCATGTAAAACTAATAGGGGAGATATATTTAAATCTCTGCCCACAGAAATGGGCGTATAATGTTTTCCCTCAGGGGAGTTTCTTAGGAGGAGATTACTATGGTGAATTAATTTTAGCCGTGGTCCTGCCTGGTTCCTAATTCCAGATAATATTCCCTTTTGATTTATTTAATAGGACCCTAAAATGCAACACCCCAGAGTTTAAGAGAATACAGTGATAAATTGGAGAGCATATGAGAAAGCATCTGTTTGTGTTTCTTCCTTTGAGAAAAACTTCATGCTGTTGTTAAATCCTGAATTATTTGCATACATTAATGTACATAGGCCCTTTCCTTGGTACCATTTTAAAGGTAACCCAGAAACAATAAGTTAGTAGGTTTTATTGATTACACATTTAAAAACGGATTGAGTAACCACCTTTTAGGTGGTTATGTTTTTCTTCCCTTTTAGGTGGTAGAATTTGTTTCTCTGTAGAAGGTTTATTGCAGCTAAGAGAGATTGGAAGTTTGTTTCTCAACAACTTTTAAAACTTCAAAGCTTTTTTTGTTGTTGTGGGTTCTGTACTACAATAACCAAGTATTAGGGCATTATCCTAAAAGTCTTGGGTGGCACAAGAAAAAAGCCCAAGCCCGAAGGACAAAGGATGGATTAGGCAGAGGGGCTCCAATGTGGCAGGTATTTGCTAAAATAGATGTCCAATGAAGCTCATGGTATCTTAGTGACATCCTGTGGACACAAAGCCAAAACAAGGCCTAGGTCTTTCAAGCCACTCATTGTAAAACACAGAAAATTGTGAGAAGGAAGAAGTTGTGATCTACAGGAAGTTGTGAGTAGCAGGAAGTTGTGAGAAACAGGAAGGAAATGAACATAATAGATATGCAGAGAGATTTGAAAGCTAGCAAGTGAAGACAGAACTCAGTTCACTACTTCATTTTATTTTACTGTGAAATTTTTTTATTACAATGTTGAGCTGCTAATGGTTATAAATTCAATGTGAACATGAGCTGACCTGGTAGAAGCCCTAAACACAGCAAGCATAACATGCATGCAGAAAGAGTCTCCACTGCGGACTCAGCTTCTGTAACTAGTCATCAGCAGGAGACACTGCTCGCTGAGAGGGAAGCTGAATTGTTCTCACCCCACACAGGCATTACACACATTCAGTTACCTTTAAACAGAAATTCTTATGCTGTTCAGGCTTTAGAATATTCAGAGACCACCTAAAAGTTTGGTCAACACTTTAAGTGCATTTTCTCGAGGGTTGGAATCCATGGTTTTTCTCTTTTTTTAATTTCCTTTATTTTTTCCAGTTCTATTCAGGCATACATTGACAAATAGGAGTTCCATAGATTTCTGGTGTACAACTTGATGTTTCGATATATGTAGACATTGTGAAATAGTCACCACAATCAAGCTAATTAAAATCTTCCTTACCTTGTTTAGTTACCATTTTCTTTCTTTTTTTCTTGTGGTGAGAACACATGTAAAGATCTACCCTACTAGCACATTTCAAGGATTTAATAGAAGATCGTTAACTGTAGTCACTATGCTGCACATTCGATCTCCAGAACTCATTCCTGTTGTTTAACTGAAACTTTGGACTTTAGAAACCATGGCTGACACCTGAGTATCCAGAGCCTCCTTTTCCTATTGTCCTGTGGGACATTTCTGAAGCTCCCTATTCTCTTTCCAGTGACCCTTTGGTGATTCTTAAGTCTGTACCCCATCAGATCCCGCAATGATGCAGCCTCATGGTCCATTCAGCCTGAGTGTCCCAGAGAGGTCTCAGACCCAGTATGACCAAACCAGTTCCTAGCCTTGCCCCCAGATTTATTCCCCCATTCTGGCCAGTGGTCTTGTCTCCACCAGCCAGCCAGGACAGGGGTCTGAGCAATAGGCCCTCCTCACCCCCTCTCCTCATGACTCCTGTTACAGCTCTCCTCAAGCCATGCGTTTTTACCTCTTCAAGTGGACTTGAGCCCTCTGCTCCATTCTCAGGCTTTAATTATAGCTCTCCATCTCTTCAGGATGACTGAGATCATCTCTTACTTGATTTCCTGCTCTCTCCCTTGCACTGCTCTGACCCAGCCTCCAAACAACTGCCCAAGTTATCTTTCCAAAGTGAAAATCTGTTCATGTTTTCAACTGCTTGGGATCTCTTGAGTGCCCCTCAGTGTGCATAAAGTTCAGTCTGCACAGGACATGTGACAAGCTCCTTCCTGATCTGCACAAGGCCTGTCTCTCTGGCCTCATTCTTCCTCCCATTGCACCTTGGCCAAGCCACCTACAATGTCCCAAGTGTGGCCACGTAGCATGGCGATGCCATTCCTTTGCACCTGCTAGTCACGATCCCAGCAATTCTCTTCTGATTCAAGTGTTGACTCCTCTGTGGAGCACTGTTCAGGCAGTGCCACCAATATCCCATGTACCTCAACTAGAGCTAGTGGGAACCTCCTTCCCTGATCTTCACCTGGGTTTACGTGTCACTTTGAAAGAATGAAAAAAAATAATAAAGTATTGCATAAATACAATGTGATGGGCAGAGTAATGACCACCAAAGATGTCTAGATTCTCAGAACCTGTGACTATGAATTAAAAGGGAAAAGAGACTTTGCCAATATGATTAAAGAGCTTGAGATGGGGAGATTATCCTGGACAATCCAGGTGGCCCCAATATAATCACAGGGTCTTTCTAAGTGGAAATGGGAGGCAGAAGGGGAGGATGGAGGGATGGGATCTGAGAGGAGCTCAACCCAGCACTGCTGACTTTGCGGATGGAGGAAGGAGCCAGGAGCCAAGGAATGCAGCCACCTCTAGAAGCCAGAAAGGCCAGAAATCAGGTTCTCCTCAAGTGCCCCCGGAGAGGAATGCTGCCCTGTGGACACCTCGGTTTTAGTCCAGCAAGACCCACTCCAGACTCTGATCTCTAGACCAGTAACACAATCAATACATGTTGCTTTAGCTCCCAAATTTGTGGTCATTTGTTACAGCCACAAAACAAAAATAGTGCACAAAGTTAGTGATTAATTTCTGTGTTCTTGAAAATGCTATTGGCCTCATTTATTTTTGAAATTAAGGTGGAAAACTGTATGTTCTAGGCTTCAAGTATTTCATAGAAGAGCCAACAGCCCACAAACTTTTTATAGAATTTATTACCTGTGGAAAACTATGATTTTTACTCATTAATGAAGATATTACCTTATAATAAAAATCAAAATATAATCTATGACAATTACTTTAAATTGTAACTTACTTTTCCTTTTTCTTTTCTTGGAGACAGGGTCTCACTCTGTTGCCCAGGCTGGAGTGAAATGGCACCATCTTGGCTCACTGCAACCTCCACCTCCTGGGAGTAGCTGGAGCTACAGTCACACAGCACCACACCTGGATAATTTTTGCATTTATTTATTTATTTATTTATTTATTTTAGCAGAGACAGGATTTCAGGCTGGTCCCGAACTCTGGACCTCAAATGATCTGCCCACCTCGGCCTCAAAAAGTGTTAGGATTACAGGTGTGAGCCACTGCACCTGGACATAGCTTACTTTTTAGATGTAAACAAATTGGAAACAAATGAGTCCAAATTAACTGATTATACAAATATACATATGAATCAAATAAACTTGAAAGTATTTTAAACCTATTTGGTAGCTATTATAATATTGTACAATCTCTGAAATGAAGCACAAAACAAATGGCATGAAATACCTGTGTCCCACCCAAATCTCATCTTAAATTATACTCCCATAATTCCCATGTGGTGTGGGAGGGACCCGGTAGGAGACAATTTGATTCACGGGGGCAGTTTCCACCATACTGCTCTCATGGTAGTGAATAAGTCTCACGAGATCTGATGGTTTTATCAGGGGTTTCCACTTTTGCATCTTTCTCATTTTCTCTTGCCACCACCATGCAAGAAGTCCCTTTTGCCTCCTGCCATGATTCTGAGGCCTCTCTGGCCATGTGGAACAGTAAGTCCAATTAATCCTCTTTCTTTTGTAAATTACCCGGTCTCAGGTATGTCTTTATCAGCAGCATGAAAACGGACTAATATAGTAAATTGGTACCAGGAGTGGGGCATTGCTGAAAAGATACCCAAAAATGGGTAAGTGACTTTGGAACTGGGTAACAGGCAGAGGTTGGAACCATTTGGAGGCCTCAGAAGAAAGGAAGAAATGTGGGAAAGTTTGGAACTTTCTAGAGACTTGTTGAATGGCTTTGACCAAAAGCCTGATAGTGATATGGACAATAAGGTCCAGGCTGAGGTGGTCTCAGATGGAGATGAGGAATTAGTTGGGAACTGGAGCAAAGGTGACTCTTGTTATGTTTCAGCAAAGAGACTGGGTGCATTTTGTCCCTGCCCTAGAGATTTGCAGGACATTGAACTTGAGAGAGATAATTTGGAATATCTGGCAGAAGAAATTTCTAAGCAGCAAAGCACTCGAGATGTAACTTGGGTGCTGTTGAAGGCAATCAGTTTTATAAGGGAAGCAAAGTATAAAATTTGAAAAATTTGAAGCCTGACATTATGATAGAAAATACAAACCCATTTTCTGTAGAGAAATTCAAGCCAGCTACAGAAATTTGCATCAGTCATAAGGAACCAAATGTTAATCCCCAAGACAATGGAGAAGATGTCTCCAGGACATTTCAGAGGCCTTCGTGGCAGCCCCTCCCATCATAGGCCTGGAGGCCTAGGCCAAATAGTTTTGTGGGCTGGGCCAAGGGTCCCCATGCTGTTTACAGCCTAGAGACTCTATGCCCTGTGTCCCAGCCCCTGCAGCCAGGGCTGAAAGGGGCCACTGTAGTGCTGGGGCTGTGGCTTCAGAGGATGAAAGCTGCAAGCCTTGGCAGCTTCCACATGGTGTTGAGCGTGTGGGTGCACAGAAGTCAAGACCTGAGGTTTGGGAACCTCTGTCTAGATTTCAGAGGATGTATGGAAAAGCCTAGATAGCAAGGCAGATGTTTGCTGCAGGGACAGGGCGCTCATGAAGAACCTCTGCTAGGGCAGTGCTGAAGGGAAATGTGGGGTTGAAGCCCCCACACAGTGTCCCTACTGGGGCACTGAGTAGTGGAACTGTGAGAAGAGGGCCACTGTCCTCCAGGCCCCAGAATGGTAGATCCACCAAGCGCTTACACCGTTCACCTGTAAAAGCTGCAGACACTCAATGCCAGCCCATGAAAGCATCTGGACGGCAGGCTGTACACTGCAAAGCCACAGGGGTGGAGCTGGCCAAGACCATGGGAACCCACCTCTTGCATCAGTGTGACCTGGATGTGAGACCTGGAGTCAAAGGAGATCATTTTGGAGCTTTAAAATTTGACTGCCCCACTGGATTTTGGGCTTACATGGGCCCTGTAACCCTTTGTTTTGGTCAATTTCTCCCACTTGAAATGGCTGTATTTACCCAATACCTGCACCCTCATTGTATCTAGGAAGTACCTAGCTTGCTTTTGATTTTACAGGCTCATATGCAGAAGGGACTTACCTTGTCTCAGATGAGACTTTGGACTGTGGACTTTTGGGTTAATCCTGAAATGAGTTAAGACTTTGGGGGACTCTTGGGAAGGTATGATTGGTTTTGAAATGTGAGGACATGAGATTTGGAATGGCCAGGGGTGGAATGATATGGTTTGGCTCTATGTCCCCACCCAAATCTCATCTTGAATTGTGCTTCCATAATTCCTATGTGTTGTGGGAGGGACATGGTAGGAGATAATTTGAATTATGGAGGCGGTTTCCCCCATACTGGTCTCGTGATAGTGAATAATTCTCATGAGATCTGATGGTTTTATCAGGGGTTTCCACCTTTGCATCTTTCTCATTTTCTCTTGCTGCCACCATGTAAGAAGTGCCTTTCACCTCCCACCATGATTCTGAGGCCTCCCCAGCTATGTGGAACTGTAAGTCCAATTAAACCTCTTTTTCTTCCCAGTCTCAAGTATGTCTTTATCATCAGCATGAAAACTGACTAATACACCAATCCAATTCTACTATGGTTAGAGAAGTGTGAACATTCAAACCCAATGAGGAGGTGACTCTACTCCATCCAGTCAGAGTTGTGTTACCAAATGGAAAATATTAGCTAAAACCCAGAGATATCATGAAACCTTAGATATGACAAAACAGCTTTAGTTATTAATCATTATTTTATGAAGTTTGTTATTCAGCCAGGAAGCAAACTATTCTTTATTTAGAGAAGTGCTAAAATTGCAAAATCTAATTTTGGTCAATGGAGACAGAGAGAGGAAAAGTATCTACCTCTGTGTGAGGACACTCTGAAATGCGTGTTTCTTCTGCAAAGAGAAAGTTTTAAAAAGCCCAGTGCTCAGTGAGTAGACCTGGCAGAAACCTCAGAAAAGAGCGCCTTATGATCCAGTGAGAAGTATTCAACAGAAAGTCCAGTGAGCAGTGTTCCAATGCAAGGTCCAGTGAGCAGCATTCTAACAGAACATCAAATACACTCTTGTCCTGATAAATCGACAATGCTGTTATTTGTTTCAATTAGCATAAACTTAACAAGGCTATTCCTGTTTGAAATTTTAAGTTAAAGATCAAAGCTGGAGAAAGGTTTGGTCCCTTGGAATGAACCAGAAGATTGAAGAAGAGAGAGTATTCTGCAAGTCATCCATTAAAGGAGTTTGATAATCTTGGAACGTAAATTTTATTATGCAATTTTTCACTACAGAAGTATCTTAATAAAGTCACCAGGTAATCTGAAAAAGTGCATTGATTATGATGTAAAATATTACATAAGCGATTTGGGCGACTGTCAAATCATGACCAAGATCCTTGGAGTCACAGAGACACAGTGGTGTTTTTGTACTTTGTGTGCAGCAGCCTGTGGAAGCAGCTTGGGGATGGCACAGCTGAGGTGGCTGCAGAAGGAGACACAGAGAGATGATGCTGTGGACTGGATGTGTGTGTTACCCCAAATTCATACATTGACATCCTAATCTCCAGTGAGATGATATGAGGAGGAAGAGCTTTATGGGGGTGTTAGTCATGAGGGTTGGAGCCCTCATAAATGGGATCAGCCCTCATAAAAAGTCACAGGAAAAAAATGATCTCTCTCTACCATGTGAGGACACAGCAAGAAGTCACCCATCAGAAACCACAAAGAGGACTCTCTCCAGGAACTGAACAGACTGGCACCTAGATCTTAGACTTCCCAGCCTCCAGCACTGTGAGAAATAAATTTGTGTTGTTCAAGCACCCAGTCTATGCTATTTTCGCTATAGCAACCCAAACTAAGACAGATATGAACATGGCTTTTAAGCAGTCTGGGGCACTTTGAGAAGCTTCCTTTGGGAGAATTCTTTACCTTTATAAGACAGCAAGGGCAAGGGGGCTCAAGAAGATGTATTTAAAAAACAACACGTTCATCTTGAGGAATTTTATAGTAGCCATTGTTTCATGCATTTTTTTTTTTTATCACTTGGGGACAGGGAGAGATGTACCTGGCCCCTTTACTTGGATCTTAAAAGTTGTTTACCAAATCCCAGCTTGCTTATGACATGGACAAATGAGGAAGCACTTTGCAAAACTTTAGCAAGCTCTATGTTTTACAGACTTCCTTTAGTGCCCATAGAGTTGAGTTTGGAGGGCATTTCTGAAAGGCAGATTAAGACAAAGTGGATCTGTCTTGTGAGCCAAGGGAACGTGGAGCTAGCTAGAGAAGGGAAATAAGGGAGAAAGACGGACAGTCAATTATAAAGAGTTGGAAATGTATTTAATGAAACATTGCTGTTTGGTTTATTGCTCTTTGTCCAACACAAAATAATTTATCTGCTGGCTTGCATGTCTGTGTCACCGAGTCTGACTTAGCAGAGGTGAGACCTCTGGGTTTCAGAGCACATTCTATTCCTCTTGCTGTGAGACTTAAAGGGCAGGGGAAACGCTCCCCCAGGAGTGATAAGGAAGACACGAGTGAGATACCGTTTAATTCTTGCTCAGAGTCAGGAAAGAAAGAACTGATGATCACTTCTAAGGCAGATCACTGAAGTTTAGGATAGGACAAAATTTAACTAGACTGGTGTCTTCATTTTACATACATGAAAACTGGAGCTCTAGTTTAGAGAGGCCAGTAGAAAGGAAGACAACAATAGGCCATCACAGGCCGCAAACCTCAGGGAAGGGAAGAATCTGATTTACAGAATTGTCATGTTACAATATTTACAATTCCAACTTTTAATAAAAAGACTGTGAGGCATGCAAAGAAACAAGACAGCATAGCCCGATTACAGAAAAACAAAATTAATAGGAACTGTGTATTAGGAATCCCAGGCACTGGGCTTAACTAGAAAAGTTGTTAATTCACTCACCTTACATATGCTCATAAAACTAAAGGAAACGGTGGACAAAGAACTCACTAAATCAGCCTGAGTAGCATAGTGATTTCCTCATTAATGCGGACTCATCTTCATCACCTTCAACCCTGCTTTCAACTTCCTGGGGCTCTGACTCAGCATTTCTCCCTGACTTGCTAAAAAATATATATAAATTCCAGTTGTTATATATGCATGCATGTTCATGTTCTTAAACTCCCACATTTCTCAAGGACTAGGATCACAATAAGTCATACTAATCTCTGCGCTGTACTTACTGAACAAGAAAAATTGCTTGTGAGATTCCGCCATAAAAAAGAGTCAAATTGAAACTCAATTAGTCTAAGATAATTCCTCCATTCCTCAATATAAGCCAAGAAAGAAAAAAGGATGAAACCTTCAAAGACGAAGTAGACATTCCTCCAGGTGGGAATTCAGGGGAATTCCACAGCCTTGGAGCATTCTCAAAACAACTAGAAGGAATGGTGTATTGGTCCATTCTCACACTGCTATAAAGACATGCCTGAGATAGATAATTTACAAAGAAAAGAGTTT
This sequence comes from Homo sapiens, assembly GCF_000001405.40. Taxonomy (NCBI): domain Eukaryota; kingdom Metazoa; phylum Chordata; class Mammalia; order Primates; family Hominidae; genus Homo; species Homo sapiens. Next base: position 4,651,962 of record NC_000005.10, on the reverse strand, counting down.
TAATTGACTCACAGTTCTGCATGGCTGCAGAGGCCTCAGGAAACTTAAAATCATGGCAAAAAGTAAGCGGGAAGTAAGGCACATTTTCACTGGCCAGAGCAAGAGGAAGAGAGAGAGAGAGAAGGGGAAGGTGCTACACATTTTCAAACAACCAGATCTCATGAGAACTCTATCATGAGAACAACAAGGGGGAAGCCTGCCCCAGGATTCAATCACCCCCTACCAGGCCCCTCTTCCAACAATGGGAATTATTATACAATTCAACATGAGATTTGGGTGGAACACAGAGCCAAATGATATCAGATGGTTTCTCTAATATTTTTAAAGGCATTATAGAATCCAGTCCTTTTGAGCACCTACTTGTGCCAGTCACAGTGCCCAGAGGCAGAGCAGTGAGATGAACACACCTGGCCTCTCCTCTTGCAGGCCTTGGGAAGTCTTTGATTAACCCTCCAATGGATGAAGGGAGTTGAAGTGTGCCATTTTGATCTCACAAGCATATCATTCAAAGGATTTCACAGCCAGATTATACATTTTTATTTGCCAATTCCACCAGTGTAACATTTTCACTTTGTTATAGAGATTCAGGAATCACCATTGTAATGTGTCATGAATGTAAATAATCATTGAATTTAAGAAGCATAACTAATAATCATCATTATAAACAGAGCATCTATTCTGTGACAGTTGCTTGGTATGTGTTTCTTAAAAGTTATCTTATTTTTTAAGTCCTCAACTTATAGGGTGGGTATTTGATACATTCACAGATAATGAAACTGAGGCTTAAAGTGATTGTCACTTACTCAAGGCCCCAGAGCTGGTGAGTAGTGGAGGATACTTTTAATAATAAACTATGGAGAGGTAGTACCACCCCCAGGGCCCTGTGGGCCATCTGTCCAAATCCCCTCTCACAAGCCAGCAAGGAAGAGATTCCCAGGGCCCTATGGGCCATCCGTCCAACTCCCCTCCCACAGGCCAGCAAGGAAGAGGTTCCCAGGATCCCCTATGGGCCATCCATCTAACTCCCCTCCCACAGGTCAGCAAGGAAGAGGTTCCCAGGGCCCTATAGGCCATCCGTCTAACTCCCCTCCCACAGGCCAGCAAGGAAGAAGGTCATACAGGAGCCAGTGAGGCTAGTTTGTGTCCTCGGATGGATAAAGCTGCAATGCCCTTGTCATGAGTATTTGTTCTGCATTCCACATCAATAAGAGAACAAGAATCCCACCGGACTCGTGTTTTAAAATATCTATTAAAGTATTCCTCTTTCCTACTATTGGAAAGTAAAAATATTTCCCCAAGAAACAAATAGATATATACCCAGCATCCTATTCCTTTTTAGAATTGATATAAAGAGGGTCTGTTGGAGGTGCAAATTATGAATGAATAACTGGTATTTTGGCAAACACAGAGGTTCATGTTGGAAGAGAAATTATCATGAAAGAGCTCTGAGTGAGCTTGTAACACCTTTGAAGACCTTTTAGCATCCTTTAGAACACAAATACAGGCAACAGATGACTAAAAGTCATCAGTGTGCGGAAGATGTATTTTGAATTTAGATGTTTTTCCTTTATCATAACTTCACTAACCTTTAAAATAGTCTCAGGGTTTTCCATATGGCCCAGTGTTGAGGGAGGAAGGCAGCTGCATCTTCAGCACCAAGGCAAGGGTTTGGGTTTTGCTCTGCTTGCATGTAACGAAGGTGCCAGATCTAAGTAGAGGAAGTATCACCTTGAACAGATACTGGCAGACAATGTCCCCACCTCTCCTGAGATGAGACACTCATTGAGTAGGTGAGAGCCACTGGCTGAGAGGAGGCAGGGAAAGGAGAAAAATTGGCCCAGTGGATTCCCTATGTGTGGCTGTCATTTCATTCTCTGCCTTTGAGAGGTGTAAAGCACACCGAAAGGCCACCTTGTGCTCTGAAACTCTCACCACCCAACTCTCTTTTTTTTTTCCCATTTTCTTCCTCAGCTGTCTTTTTGTTTTTCTTTGCCCGATTATCTTCTGCATGGCAGATGGTGCAGGGACTTAGAAGGATGGAAGGAGACCTTTCCAGTCCCAGCACCTGCTGCAAACACGGACGAGGCTCAGCAGGGGCAGGTGCTCAGGGGATGCCCTACCTTCAAGGAAATATGTTGCTCGACTTCCAGCTATCATCTCTCATGGGGCTTCAGAGTCAATTGATTAATTAGAACTGAGTTCGGATCTTGATTCCAAAACTAACTTATGCAACTTTGAGTAATTTTCTCAACCTTCCCAAACCTTGGCTGCCTCAATTCTAACTGAATAAACTAGATTGTACATGTGAAGTATTGACTGCCTGGCACAAAGCAGGTGTTCAGTATTCAATACATTTGGCTTTGCCCTTCTCTTTCTCTCGCATAACCTTTTCTGCAAGGGCAAGGCTTTTTCTCTTATGCATCCCAGCACCAGCACCACCTCTGGTACAGAGAGGTGCTAAATAAGCATTTATTGGAGGAAGAGCAGCCCTGGCATTCTTTAGGTTGTCCCTCCTGTGCCATTCTTTCACTGCATTACTGCAGCCCAAATACTGAGTAAAGGAATGGGAGCTGAACAAAAGGGCAGGCATGCTAAAGTTTTCCAATCTACAGGAACCCACCCAGATTTACCAGGCTTATGTCCACCTACAAGATTAAGAAAGTCATCTGTTCCCATTGCAGCTAATCCTCTCTGTTTTGTTGACCCTAAATGAAGCGTAAAGATACTGGCCAATGCTACACACCTGTGTTCCATCAGTCAGGACTTCCTGTGTCAAGTCCTCACCCACAAGTTCTCAGGGGCCCCCGGGCTCCATGTTGTTGACGTGATACGATGCAGGCTTTTACCAGGACAATTTTGTGATCATGGATTCAACAGTCCTCCACAAGATTCTGAACTCCTGGAAGGCACAGGCTAGCTCACCTATTTTTCTTTAATGTCTTGCTCAGTTTATTGGTATTTGGTAGAAAATAAATGTGTGGAGTAAAGGTGTTTCATTATCTACAGCTGCATAACAAATTATCCCCAAAATTTATTTAATGTGTTACAACCAAAACCATATTATCTTACTGTTTCTGTGGGTGGAAAGGTGGGTGCAGCTTCCTTGGGTCCTTCTGGCCTAAGATCCCTCATGAGGCTGCAGGGAGGGTGTCACACTGCGCTGTGGTCTCCTCTGGGAACTCACCTGTGAAGGGTGAAGTTCTGCTTCCAAACTCACTCCTGCAGTTGTTGCAGCAAGCATGTTGCAGCATCCATCCCTTGCTGGCTTTGGCCAGAACCTGACCTTGGTTTCGTCTCTCATGGGCCTCTTCACAGGGTAGCTCACAACCTTACACCTGCCTGCATCAGAATAAACAAGTACAAGAAAATGCCTGACAGAGAAGCTGCATCTCGGGAGCCCATGAACACCCCAGCACCTCCGCTGCACTCTGCTTCCATGAAGTGAGTCCTCAGGTCCCACAGGCTTTCAAGGGCAAGGGATTACAGAAGGGTGTGAACTCTGGAACAGGGACTGCAGGGGACCCTTCTGTAACAAATTCCTATTCGACCATCTGTGATCTGTTTTAGTTCACACCTGTCTTTTGCATTATGAAAACTTATATCCACCTTCATCCTGGAGAGATGTGGATCAAAAGTGGACTTGCTGACAGCTCCAACAGCAATCTCGCCATTGCTGAGCCAGCACTGTAATGTTTCTCTAGATGTTTGAAGTTTCACCTCAGATATTCCTCATCTTCGCTTGGACATAACCTCTTTCCTTTTGAAGGTATATTCGTGGATATGCCGTAGGACACATTCTCCATAGATTTTAACTGGGTCAGCAATTTACTTCTACTGGGTCCATGGATTCTCTGCTTTAGGTGAGTTATGTTATTTAATAGGACCGATGGCTGCTGGAGATACAGAAAATTTTACAGAAAAGATCTTCATGTAACATAATCCCCATAAACATAACATTTTGCAAAATACATTATTTTCTGAAACTTACACGTTAGTCTGAAGGTAGCGTAGCCTCATGAATATGCACCAGATTCTGGAAAGTGCCTGCATGGGTTCGGCTCCCTGCTGTATCATCTGGTAGCTACACAACCTTGGGTCAATTACCTGATCCCTCTCTGCCTCGGTTTCTTCATGTACAACACAGGAATAATATTAGTATCTTCCTTACTAGGGATGTTGTGGGTATCAAATGACTCACTATTTGGAAAATGCTTAAATCAATTTATGTCTTTTGTTATTCAGTTTTAAAGTGTTTGTTAAATAAAATAAATGGCTTTGGAGAAAGGATTTAACATTTTCCTGGCAGATGTGCCTGGCCTACATAATATTATTTCAGTCATTCTTATGAATCTTAACTAATTCTTGTATCCTCAGGAGGAACCATGTAGAATAAATAATTTGTCCTTCCTTGAATCTCACCAACATGAGCCCAGTTCCCCTTGGGGATGGGAGCAGGATCTTACTTCACCCTTTCTGGCCGAGGTTTCTTATTGTGCCTGGCACGTGGAAGGCATTCAATAAACAGTTGTTTAATTAATTTCATATTGTTTGGGGGTGACAATCTGCAATGAAAGAATGAAGGGGATATTGTCCTTTAAATAGAGTTTATTTTGGCCACATTTGCCTGCAGTTTAGAAAAGCGAGGTACCTTCTTGTTCCATTACATCACCCAGCCAATTAATCAACACTTGAATGAATCCCCAGACAGACCCTTCATTTTGTCTACTTATTAACTTTCATTATGTGCAATAGCCAAAGTGTAATTGTGAACAGGATGGATTATGCCGTAAACTTTTTTCCTATTACACCATTCCTTCACAAATCCCCTTATTAAAGTGTACCAAGGGTGATATATTATGTTAAGAAGGTTTAAAACATAAGGTGACAATGACCTTCCCTTTAATTAACTATGATGGAAACAAAGGTGAGAACAATGATGATGAAGCTCGGCTGAAAACCATAAATCACCCTCCACGCTGGAAGACAGGACACAGCTACAAAAATAACCTTGCGATTCACAGGTTAAGTGAGTGTTCCAATGTGCTGCTTCCACCATTATTTATTTACACATAACTCCACAGTGTCACGGGGCGCAGAGAACACTCAAAAAACCTGCAAATGAAAGCCCAGCTGCTGCTCTCTGAGATCAGATTTCAGAGCTGAGGTTATTTTGTTTTTTAAAAAAATCAACATTATTGAGTGCTAGTCTAGTAATATAGCAGATAAAGAAAGCGTAGAAGTTTACTATTGTTGTTGAGGTGTAATTTACATACAGTAAGATGCACAGATCTCGGGTGTTCCGGACAATGAGTATTGACAATTGCATGCATTTAAGTAATCACCACCCAAAATAAGACATATGACAGTTCCTTCATCCAGAAAGCCCCCTGGCACCCTTTTCCCATCAATCTCTCTTCAGTATCACTCTTCTGACTTTTACTAGCACAGATTCGTTTTGTCTATCCTTTGATTTCATGTAAGTTGAATCATACAGTATGTATTTTTGTAACTATATATAAGTCTGTGCTTTGTATAGGCACCATCTATTTTGATTTGTAAATACATTTCTCCATCTTTTTTTTTTTTCTTGGAGAGAGACAGAGAGAGACAGAGACAGACAGAGAGACGGAGAAAGGAGAGCATGCCGTCTGTGGGGCAGACCTGGCTCACTTGCTTTCTCTGCTGTTCTGCCCATGCTCACTGTGTGGGTGAGAATTGCTGGCCTTCAGGAGCTGCAGTGCCAGTCTTGGTCCACTGGCCAGCTGTGTGTCCCACGCTGTTTACCAGAGGAAAATGCCCACAGAGTCAATCTCATCTTTACTGCTCCTGGCTCACCTTCCATCCCCCATTCGCCCCATCATCCCTCTGTATCACAGTGGAGGAAGTTTTATCTTGACAGAAAATCTCTATAGTCTTAGCTGCATGAGGTGGCTCAGGCCTGTGATCCCAGCACTTTGGGAGGCCAAGGTGGGTAGATCGCTTGACTCTAGGAGTTTGAGACGAGTCTGGGCAACATGGTGAAACCCCGTCTCTCCAAAAAATTAGCTGGGTTTGGTGGCACATGCCTATAGTCCCAGCTACTCAGGGTGCTGAGGTGGGAGAATCACTTGAGCCTGTGAGATTGAGGCTGCAGTGAGCCCTGATTGTGCCACTGCACTCCAACCTGGGCAACAGAATTAGATCCTGCCAAAAAAAAAAAAAAGGAAGAAAGACAGAGAAAGAAAGGAAGGAGAAAGAAAGAGAAAGAAAGAAGGAGGGAGGGAGGAAGGAAGGAAGGAAAAGATAAGAAAAGAAAGAGAAAGACAGAGAAAAAGAAGAAAGAAAAGAAAGAGAGAGAGAGAAAGAAAGAAAGAGAATATCTCTTTAGTCTCCGTGTAAGGAATTTATTTCATTGACGTGTTGGGGATGGGTCCTGTGATGATGGGTTAGAGTTTCTCAGAAGTCTGAAAGGTAAGAGAAAAGAAAAACTAGGGGCTTATCCCACTTGGCTTTGTTTCACTGGGGTAATTTGACCAGACAAGAAACAGGTCCCTGCTCCTCAGCATGGCTCTGCTTCCCAGAACTGGTTTCTAGCCACCAAAGGCCGACCCACGCCCTGAAGAGCCGTGCTTCAAGTGTCTGCAGACAGGCACCCAGTGGGATTAGAACAGAATTGGAGGAAGAACAGGAAGTTGTGAGAATTAAGGATTTCCTAATAAATACTTTATGTGTTATGGGGACCTTTTATTTAATATGTTTGTCAATTTGCAGATTGACACCCAGTCAGCCAGGATCACATTTTATTTTAAAATCTATGAACTTTTATTTTTCAGAAGCTCACCTGAAAGTGTGTCCTGATGGGTTTGGAGTCTGGGTTGTGAGTTGGAGGCTCAGAAATTGTGGTCACAAAGGGTAGAACAGCTTTCACCTGCTAAGTGGAGAGGCTCTGGAGCACAGAAGCCTGTGGTTCAGCTGCCCACACTTACCATTGACACTGTTAAAGCAAACTACATAGGGCCTGAGAAGGGCTGCATACTTCTCTATATCAGTCCTTGTGGATGAACTGCCACCTAGCTTAATAGTCAGACAAAATTGAAAACCTAACTTAATAGTATGCGCCTGTAACAATGGCTGAGTGTTGGCCAATCCCAGCAGCCATACTTCAACCACTCATGGACTGCTGAATATTCAAACTGCCTTCAAATAAGGCAAACACCGAGCTGTGACCAATCTCACTGTTTCTGTACCTCACTTGCGATTCCTGTACATCACTTTACCTTTTTTGCCTATAAATGTATTCTGACCACGAGGCACCCTTGGGGTTGCTGTTGGAATCTGCTGTGATTCTGGGGGCTGCCCGATTCGCGAATCGTTCATTGCTCAATTAAACTCCTTTACATTTGATTTGGCTGAAGTTTTCGTTTTATCAACACTGACAACCTGCACCCTTCAAGCGTGGGTAAGATTCTCCTACGTATGCAAAGAGCCCACCTGCTCAAATTTTCAGTTTCTTCAAGTAAGCTCCACTGTAGAGCATTTAATATGGTAAAGCAGGGATGGAAGTTGATGTGTCCCATGACAGCGTGAAACAGTCACCTGCCCCGTCCATGTCCCGGAGAAAGTGGAGCAGAGCCCTCTCCTGGAGGTTTGCTCTCTGTCTTCACCTTCTGACTGCGGAAGCGGCAGCAGGAAGGGTTGCCTCTTAGTTGGTCCACGTTCCACTGCTGAGCATTGTTGGTGGTGGGTGCTCAGTGAGAAGCCGGGGGCTACCCCGGATTTTAATTCCACGCGCGCCTCTCTTTGCTGGCTCTTGTGCAGGATGCTGGTGCGGGGAACGCCTCTGCTGTGCGGGACTGCACATGACGCAGTTGCTTCTGTCCTCAGTCCCAGCGCCGCCACGATTACGTTTCTTAACAGCATGAGCTCATGTACGACATAAGAAGAAACTCAAGTCAAGCAGAATTAAGAAACTTATTTCAGTCTATAGAAAAAACATTGGGATTTCAAGGCAGACCTCCAAATCATCTTGTGTAGCGATGAGGTTCGAAGAAAATTATTCAGGGCGGGGTGTGTGGAAATGCCAGGGAGAGCTTGGGGAGAGATCCTGCAAAACGTCACCACGGGGGTCGGGAAAAGGCTGTGCCAAAGTGATGCTGTGGCTGCTCCCGCCCAAAGTATTAGAACTATGAACTATGAGTGAGTGAGGATAGCTGAGGCCACAGCAAGCACCGCGCTGGCAAGGCCCTGGGCAAGCCTCTGCTCTCATTGTGGCGTGGGGGCTGGAGTGTGAGGGCACCTTCTATCCCCAAGGAATTTCCAGCTGTCCTGAGGACATTTGGGAATCATGGTACCTTTTTAAGCTGGGTCTGTCTTATTTTTTATTTATTTTATTTTATGTAGGAGTCTTTTAAAACTACTCTGCACCATTTTGACACAGTCTGCGATTCTAAAAAAAAAAAAGTGAACTTCAGAAGTCATATTAATATAAAAGGATTGCAGTACCTGTTACTGGCTGAAGGTTTGTTTCCCTCTAAAATTCCTATGTTGAAGCCCTAGCCCCTAGTGGTGGTATTTGGAGGTGGGGCCTCTGGGAGGTGAGTGGATATAGATGAGGTCATGAGGGTGGGGCCCTCATGATGGGATTAGTGCACTTATAAGAAGAGATCACTCTCTGTCTCTCTTAAAGCATGAACTGAGGAAAGGTCACGTGAGGATTCAGTGAAATGTTGGCCATCTCCAAACCAGGGAGAAGGCCTTCTCACCAGACACTAGATCTGCTGGCATGGACTTCCAGCCTCCAGAACTGAGAAATAATTTCAGTTGTCTAAGTCACCCAGTCTGTGGGATTTTCTTATAGCTTTTCAAGCCAACACAGTACCTGTTCAAATGGACTGGAAGGCTTAGGGACCAGGCAATAGAATATGTGGTCTTTTGCCTCTCGGTTGGTGGGATTTATGATGTCTGAAATGTTAGATGTCCAATGATTAGTGACTTAGCAGAGCCACCACCTGTCAGCTCTTGGTTCATTGACAGGAACACAGGGCACTGACAATTGCCAGGAGGAGAATCTCTGGGTGGCATGGCAGGGGTGAAGCTAGACACTATTTTTCCTCCATTTGCCAAGGTTTTGGCACAGAGATTCTTTGTAAATTGGAAGAAAAAAAAAGATTTCAGCCTCAAAGACTATTGTCTTCCTGAACACAAACAATGCATTTTATCAGTCTTGCAGAGCTGGCGGCTATTTATGCTGAGTGAGTAGTAAAAAATGCTGATTTAATTATATTTCCTATCAATGTACATTGGGAGGATGGGGTGCTAATAAACTCATATTTTTTACAAGGCTATTTCTTTGTTAGTACTGCACAAAGCCTAAGTAATTTGGTTTTGTTTTAATTTGATAAATGATTGTATTACATGGAGTGTGCATGTGTATGTGTGTACAGTGAGGAGGAAATGATAAAGAATTATACTTTGGGAGACAGCATTTTTTTAACTTAGAGTAATAGTTGTGTATCTTGTATGCAAAAGTCAATACTCCCTAAATATGCACATGAAGACATTAGACTACCAAACACAAACACACACACACACACACACACACACACATATAGTTAATTCAGGCCATGGCTGGCTTGTACAACAGGAATGAAACTAGAGTTGTCTGCCTATGCCTCTCCTAGGCACGTTCATTTCTCTCTCTCTTTTTTTTTTTTTTAGAAGGAGTCTCGCTCTGTCGCCTAGGCTGGAGTGCAGTGGCACGATCTCGGCTCACTGCAACCTCCGCCTGCCAGGTTCCAGCCATTCTCCTGCCTCAGCCTCACAAGTAGCCGGGATTACAGGCACACACCACCACGCCCAACTAATTTTTGTATTTTTTAGTAGAGACGGGGTTTCACCATATTGGACAGGCTGGTCTCGAACTCTTGACCTCGTGATTCGCCCGCCTTGGCCTCCCAAAGTGCTGGAATTACAGGCAATAGCCACTGCGCCAGGCCGGCATGTTCATTTTCTTTGACATGCAGCTCTAACTCTGGTCGCCTCTGCCTGCTTTCCTCACTGCGTAACACTGAGCAGTCGAGGTGTTTCTCTTTCCCAGAGCTCCCAGGCATGTCCCAGGGCCCACTCAGACCACAGAAGGTCCTTGGTGATGTTTAATGAGTGAATGGATGGGTGAATGAACGAATAGCACACTTGCCAGGAAAAGAACTCAAAGTGGAAGCTAACCCACAGCAAGCAAGAGGTATCCTGGGAAAAGGATTTCAAGTGATAAGTGTGGTTTAACTAGTAATAATTGCATATTTAATCATTTTCCCAGAGGAAACATGTTTTGAAAATGTTAAATATATGAATTAGATAGAATGTCATTAATTGCCATAAGCAGTCTTTGGGACAAATAAAACATGGAAAGTTTTGAGTAGGGTAAATAAATTTATCATAAATGTTTGATATATACATATACAAGTGATATATATACACACATATACACAAACATTATAAATATATGCACATATGCACAAATGTTATATATATAATATTTTATATATATATATATATATATATATATATATATATATATTCCCTGCAGTCTCATTTCTTTCAAACTGGAAGGAGCTGGTATAAAGGGAAGCATGGGAAAGTCAAATCGATTTGGCAGAACTTTTATTGGGAGGTTGAGTTTATTGCTATTTTAATATTTTCCCATGCTTTTGCTAATAAGGCATGACAAATGGAGCCACCTTTGAATACTCTTTGCACTAATAATGCCATAAAATAACTCCCTTTAATTGTTACCTCTGGCCAGTCATCAAGGCAGCTAATGAAGAGAAACTTGTGGCAGGTTTTACCTGGGTAGCGTTTATGGGGGGGGTTTCATCAGCTTCTGCCTAGGCTGTACTTACGAGGCCATTTTGGAGCTCCTGGCTGGAACAAGGAAACATGTGGCTTTCCCCAAGCCTGGGCTGCTCACACTTCCACACAGCCCTGCTGTGTTTCATGTTTCCCTCTTGGAGGAGTAGAGGGAGCTGTTGGACCATCCAGATGACTGCTCCAGAAAACAGGCCTTTTCTAAATTTTAAACCTAGGGTCAGTATTTCAAATTACCATTTCTGTTTAAAAGTTTCCCTTTTTTTCTGATGCTTTTCTGGGGCCTCTTTTATAATTTCTGTCTGTCAGAAGTTTGGCACTATTATAAATGAGCAGCTCCCCAGTTAATATTTTGGAATGGAGCTAAGAAATATAGTGACTCTCATTACAAAATTAAAAGAAGAGGGAAAAAATCAGAGTTAACTGACAAGAAACAATTTGGTCACAGCACTAATAATACCATTGTTTAAGTACATGCCTCCCTCATTCTGTGGACGTTTGAATTCTAGAACTGTATTCAATGATGTCACAGGCTGAGATAATTCAAGTGATAGTTTAAGAGTTGTCTAATGTAAAATACCAAATCTTCCTACAGCATCAGTATATCCTGAAGAATTGTAGAAGTTAGCTTTTCTCTCTTTTGTTCTCACATTCTTGCAGACAATAAATTATTTGGTTATGGAATTTTGGTGGAATTTTTATGCTAATGATTAACCCTTTCTTTGTTAGTATCTTAAGAAACAATGAAGAATTGCATACATCTGTTAGACTTCAGAAAACACATTCCAACTCTGCAGTGCACGTGGATGTCCGCGTGTGCATGTTTATTATTCTCTCAGGCAGGTGCTTTGGAAGCCGTGCTCTCAGCTAAGCAGACAACCCCCTTTCTCATCATAAAACCTCATCAGCGCTGCAATCTTCTCAGCTTGTGGAGCGTGAACCCAAGAAACCACGGGCAGGATGAATAGTTAGTTAGTGATTTGCGTAGAGAAAATGCAAGAGTGGAGAGGAAACAAAAACAGCAGCAATAAAGCATCATCGACCCATGGTTGACTCTGTGATTGTCTCCACAGAGGCAAAGATTTAGCTCTGAGGGAAAATCCCACATCCGCCTGTGGCTGGTACAGTCCCGCATTGTGGGGCTGGGTCTGCAAGATTTTCCCAGCATGCTCCTGATTTACAATGCTGGCCCTTTCTGAGGCGCATTAATTATTTTAGGTCACTAGGATCCCATTAGGGATACTGTGGTAGTCATTAAAATTCACTACCAGGAAGTAACTTAAGTCTGGTCTTTAAAAAAAGATTAATGATAATAATTACAGCTTTAAGATACTTGAAAGCTGAAAACAATTACTTTATGGCACAAAGAGGACATTTTTAAACTGCATAACAAATTTACAGATTCCTAGACTTTTAGAATATTTTTACCTAATATTTGAAAATTAGATGCATTAATTTGAAAAATTAGAACAAGCTTTAGCTTAGAGGAGCCAGTTTTCCTTTTCAGCCCCAGTTCCTTCTGCAGTTAATACGCAGAACTTTATGTATGTTAATGGAGGGAGAGGCAATTTTAAGGCACTTCCAAATTTAGAAAGAGGAAAGCACAGTGTATCCCTTGTCTAGAATTATTTAGTTAATTCACTTTAGGGTGACTTTATGATCAGTTGCAGACAAGTCTAAAATTAACCATCTGGAGGGATAGAGATCATATGCAATATGTTATAATTAGAGATTATAAATAATACATTAAGTACTCTTTCTAAACTTAAGAAAGTTAGGCACAAAGTTGACTGTCTTTAGTACTAATGTCATTTTAGTTTTCCTTCGAAATATGCTTGCTTCTACTCTCCATTCAGAGAAAACTAACCGGTGAAAATTATTTTGTCTTTTGTGAAGTAGTGAGTTATCTATATATTACATGTGTATGGCTGTCTTTAGGGTTAAATTAGTTTAGTCTGAATGCACTTCTATCCAGCTGTAAAACCGTTCTTCATTTATCAAAGTCTGAGGCTTAACTAGAGGATGCTTAATGATAAATATAATTTCTTCATATTAGTTTAATCAATTCTAGTTGCATTTCAGATCAGAAATAAATATAGAACTGCCTTTAAGTCCTTAGAGACTGTGTTAATTGCATGCGTTAGTGACTGAAATAAAAATAATCAGACATAATGGCATTGTAATAAGCATGCTGAATCATAATCTCACATTAGCAGTTATTATTCCCCTTTCAGATTAAATTGAAACAATGGATAGCCTGGTGTGCTTTGTGTATCATTTTCCCTGACATGATTAACTGCCAGGAACCTACTTAGTACAGTAGTTAGTGGATGAAGGGATGGATACCATAGTGGTACCGCACAGCGGGTTCACTTGTGAGGATTTTTCTAAAAAGTAATCCTAAAGAAACTGCAACAAATGTACTTCCACTACGTAGAAACAGCAGCATTTCTTCTAAATTTAAATAAAGAGTCATGAAGGAAATACTACAGAGGAAGAGTTGACCTAATAGTATATTTCATTTTTAATTGCTGAATATATTTCAGTGAGAATTCAAAGAACATAATTTGCCATGGTTACATGAAGTTGCCAGTTTCTTATGCCCTCGGATAAACTCCTCTATGGAAAAATAAAAAAGTTAATAGGTCATGATCTTTATTAACCTTACTGAGAGTGAAGTTTGTATGCTCGTATGTGGGGATTTACCTAAATTACACAGCAGATTCTATCACTTCCTCTGGAAGACACAGGAGAAAATCTGGAAGATGTGAAAGATGTAGGAGAAATGGTTCTAATATTAGAGGTGACATGTTTTGTGCTGTTTCGTTCTTCCTTTTTCATCTTATGTATAGGTAAGAAGGGCTCCTGAGAGAGAAAACTGAGGATTATTCTTTTAGCTGAAAGGATGGAAGAAAATGATCCAAACTCTCTGTGCGTGTGTGTGCATCAGCATGTGTACACTGGATACCTGCATGGGTACACGCACCTACAGTTCCTTCTTATAAAATCCTGGGAATTTATATATAATGTATAATTCACTTGCCTTGATTGCAGCAATGGGAAAGGATCTTGTAGTTTCTTCTTATTCTGACATATTCATTTGAAAATGAAAGTGTGGTAAAAGGCTAAAATATATTTTTTTGTTACATAATGAGATAGATAATGAATTCCTGTAACGTATAATTGAAAGGTGGTAAACCACCTCTCTCATCTGGAGTCTTCTATAAACATAATACACGCTATAATTTCTAACAGATTGTGTGTGTGTGTGTTTGTGTGTGTGTGTGTGAGAGAGAGAGAGAGAGAATGAGAGAGAGAGACACTAACTTCTTAGTTTTAGTCATTCTTTCACTGCCTTTTTTTTTTTTTTTTTTTTTGCCTCCCACCGCAGGAAGAAATTCTGTTGCAAAGTGCATGGACTGAAATCTGATTTGTGGGAAGACATTATAATGAGACACTAATGAGGGCCCTGAGTCCAAAGAACGAATGTCACCTGGAAATTTTGATACAGGAGAGCGGGCTGATGAGCAATCTCTGCAGCCCACAGCCCAGTGGACCCTCTTGCCAGGTGGTCCTGGCTCATCCCCACGGGCCTGCTCTGGGGCAGGAGGCAGAGGATGCCCAGTGAGCATTCAGCGGACCCCGGGTTGCCCTGCCTCAGGCCAGCACGGGTCCTCTCTTTGCTCAGCGTTACACAAGTTGGAAAGGACAACACAAAAACAAGGACAGAGGCAAACTGAAAGCTTTCCTCTTCACTGGGTATGATGCAGGCATTTAAAAATAAATTAACTTCCCAAACCTCTGAGGATCTCAACTTAAACACCAATTTCCTTGTTCCCTTTGACTCAAAACTAGCCCAGACTTTTTTCAGCTTTAAAAATTACACTGTAGTCTTGCTTGTTGGGCAGATTGGAATGTTTTAGTGGGACTAAGATATCTATCAGTGCCGAAAGTTTTCCTCTAAATTTACTTTATTTAACCATTTGAATGTGTTTCATTTTTCCTTTGAGAAATAAAGCACTTCTATAAGCAACCATTAAGACAAAAGCATTTTATCCTAAATCAACATATTTTTCCTTATTCCAAAGCTCTACTGTTCATTTAAAAGTAATCATCCCTTTATTTAAAGGATTACATTCCATCAATTGGTAACTTAAAAGATTATACCATTGAATGGATGAAGGAAACATGAAATCCCAAGCACACGTAAAAAATACATTTATTCTCTCGTTTCTTCTTTCACTGTTTTCTTCAAGTGTCACCAACATTACGCTGTGTCAATGAACATATGCTTCTGGTAGTTAAAACAAGATTGTGTTTTGTGACATTGGTTAGCCTTGCTAGTGCTAACATTTGAATTGTCCTGAGTGGCTGCCCCCCTTCCAGTGAGCACAAAAGAGGGCAGGCTTGCTTCACCCCATATTCAATGCGATCCGCTCACAGCCATTCCCAGTTGAGAATGCTTAGGTCTCCTTCCATTGTTCTCCTGACAAATGGTGAATGTCCTCCATTTGCAGTGTCTGACCTTGACTAATTATGTAGAATTGCTGCAGCTGTCCCTTGCTTTACCAAGTGCTGTAGCCCAGAACATGCGAGCAAGTTCTTGCCACCACCATAGAACTTCACTCTGAGAACTTCATCACCAGGGACAATGCCTGCTCTTTGTGTGGACTTTGAGCTCGGCAACGCCCTCCGCTACCATATGTTGACAAATAATTTATATTCATACTGGGCTTTGTTCCTAATTTTTTTCGACAGACTATTTTAAAACAGGTTAGAAAAGTTTCCTGAAGTTATCTATCAAAATAACCTTACTAAAAAATATTTTTAAAAAGACTGATGGATACACAAAACTCACTTGACATTAGTAGTATTTGTTTTTTAGGCACATTTTATGGCTCACTGGGAAACTTTGCAGAAATGATTTTTAAAATAGCTATTCTTAACAGCGAGCTGGATGGTCGCAAATACAGGTAGCTGCCATAATTAATATAGTGTACAGGCTTGCAAAGATAGAATCATGTTGCCATGTGTTTATTATTTCATTACACAAAAGTAAATGCAAAATACATTTTTATAGTTTTAAGTGGAATGAATATGTCAATTCTGAAAGCATATTATTTACAAACGGGCCATTTCTGTTATAACATGAGTTGTCTGTTTTATTCTTATCTTCCGAGTTGCTCTCTGTGTGGAGCAGGTTGTCATCAGTTTTTAAACACGGCATTTCTAGGAAAGAAAAGCTTTTAAAAATGTTCTTGTAAACCACAGAGGGAGAGTTGGTGTTTTAAAAATGAAGTATTAAAACAATTAAAAATTACAATTTCAAAAATTATACAATACAAAAATTATACAATATATTTAACCTAAATATTTCTATACTTAGTGATATAGCTTTTCATAAAACAACACCGTGTATTAAGTAATCAGTGGACTGAGTGGTATAACCTCTTTTTGCAGGGCTGTGAACTATCTTGTATTTTGATCCTAACTGGGAGACCATTTCCAGACCACCTTCTGTTTTGAAGGTCTAACTTAACACCCCTATAGAAAGCACATATGGCTATGTCTGTATTTGCATATTTATATGTAGGAGATGGAGCCCTAGGTATTTGTGGTAGAAGATGTGTATCCTCTGAAGCCCTGGCTAGCGCAAAGTGAGACTCCCCTGCAGACACAGGGGAGAAACAATCCCAATTTTTCTGCCTTTTCCTGGAAGAAAACAGAAGGAAAAATGTGGTTCCAAAAAAATGCAAATTTTGCAAATAATATTTAATTTTTTAATGGAAAGAGTTTGAAAGAAATTAGATCCTCAATGTCAAAAAAGACTGAAATGCAATAAGAAGCCCAGAATTCTGAAAGCAAGAGGGAACTAACATCTTGAATTCTTATATTTTTACATATATTTGATGATCATCAGTTGCATATGCTATAAAGCCATGGGTTTAAATATTAAGTCCTTAACTGTATATTTGCACTTGATATTAAGGAAAAAATAATTATCACTGCCAAAATAAGAAGAAAGAATGTATGGGAAAGAAACATTCAACTTTGTTGAAAGAATAAAGTGTTTTTAATACTTTTGTAGCCAAATCACAAACTATGAATAATAATTGTAAATTTGATATGCTAAAAGCCCTTCCAGAACTTTTAAAGCAGCATGATAGTGAAGGATTAAAATGCATTTCCTTCAAACTTGCTCACACCGTAAGTCTTTCTCCACACCCATTAGACTGCATGTTATTATGCATGCTTGATCCATAAGATGCCTTTATTTAGGCTTTGGTGCTGTTTTGTTTTTTGTAACACAAGAAAAGTGCCATTCTATATTAAGTCGGTGCAATAATCCAATAGCTTTTACATCTCTTATGCAGAGATTTTGTTTAACTTTGCTCAATATTGAGTCTTTACATTACAGAGACAATGTGTGCATGATTTTGCACCTTCCAGTGTTCCTGCGAATAGAATATTCTGTGCTTTCTTTCCCCTTAAAGCAAAGTTTGGTTAAAAACTATGTCTGCCCAGATGCCATCCATAAAGTTGCATAATGTAAGTTTCTGTTTTGCTGCACCGTGTGTATGCCTTCCCCTCCACAGTATAAGGGGTGATGTTTATTTTGCAAACCTCTCCCACAACTGTCATGCCTTCCAAGAAAAGCACAGTCATGTCTTCTTTTAATGCAAAATGAAGATAATGATAACTCTGAGGGCAGATTGCAATAATGCCTGCTAATATTTTAGACCATCTAAATGCAATCCTAAGGGGAAAAAAATTGTGGAGGTTTTCTTTAGGATTAATCAGAATTTCAATGTAAGGTTAGTATGAAACAAAGTAGTCATAATTTTAGGTTGTGTGTAAAATTTTTATTTTCATTTTTAAATCATAATCTGACATTACTTACTTTAGTGTAATATGGGAGTCCCTATTTGAAAGAAACTATCATGGTAGGAGGATGAGTTTCTCTGTAAAGGATGAAGGAAAGTGTGATTAAACATTTAGAAGTTTTTCCAGTTTACCTGCTATTTGCTACAAATAACCTGAAACCAGCCTCAAAGGGGAAAATAGAAAAAGGCCAGACCAGTGTGTCAGAGCTCCTTTTTGCTGTTTGTTCATAACTTAAAGCCTTTTTAAAATGTGACATCATAACCATGTCCACTTGTACATTTAAAACATAGTCAATTGTTCCTAGAAATTTATAACCCAGAATGTTCAACTTTAAGCTTGAAGCAAAACTTTACATATAATTAAACACGGTGATAATCTTTTATGATCATCGTTTGGCATTTCTCCACAATGGACAGAATGGAACTCTGTCTAACAGAATCCAGAAATAGACACGACTACAGCTGACCGGCTGGTGGTGTTGGGACGGCTCCCATCAGCATGTAGGGACGGAAGTGGAGGTTGATCTTTTATCAAGAGATTTTAAAAGATTAAGTAAAAAGACTACTCTTATATAAGGCAAATTTAATGACCTGAAGAAATGCTAAGTCCTTTCTCAGTTCACATGAATGAAAAGTAATATTGTTATGTTCAGCTAAATGATGTCATGAACATACGTTTTTAAAATCTAGAATTTCCTCACACTGGGAGGCAATATTAGCAAAGGCTGCATTTTGATTAAGCACTGCATGAAATTGCTGGCAGTTTACAGAACACCTCCACCAAGAGCTGGAATGGGAAGAAGGACTCTATGTTTGCAGAGAAGACTAACTTTCTTTACTTGTCTGTCCTACCAGAGCCTAAGATCTTTGAGGGCAGCTCAACTTGACTTCTCACCCAGTGTTTGCCGTAGGGCACTAACAATGAATATGAGTATCACGAGGTGTTCAGCAAACAAAAGCTGACCAAATGTGTGAACTTAACATAGACAAGTTGACTTCTGCTCCTACAGTAGTGTTCAAGTCCTGCCTAATGATTATAATACAAGAAAAATACCAAAGATGTTACCTGAGTAGTTTCCCATTTACAAATCAGAGGCTAACTTCTAGTAGTTCGTAAGAAACACTTCATCTGGATGGTTATCTAAAATTTTTGTTTTAATGAAGACATATCCAGAGTTCTTTAATTAAGCCACATATGTTTACTAGAAAAAAATATACCACTACAAAGAAAATGTGGTGTATACACTATGGAATACTATGCAGCCATAAAAAGGAACAGGATCATGTCCTTTGCAGGGACCTGGATGGAGCTGGAAGCCATTATCCTCAGCAAACTAACACAGGAACAGGAAACCAAACACCTCGTGTTCTCACATATAAGTGGGAGCTGAACAATGAGAACACTTGGACACAGGAAGGGGAGAAACACACACTGGTGCCTGTAAGGGTGGGCGGGGAGAGGGAGAACGTCAGGAAAAACAGCTAATGCACACTGGGCTTAATGCCTAGGTGATGGGTTGATAGGTGCAGCAAACCACCATGGCACACACTTACCTACGTAAAAAAACCTGCACATCCTGCACATGTATCCTGGAACTTAAAATCAAATGAAATAAAATTTTTTTTAAAAAAAATACACCACTATCAGTAGTATCGTATATTATTCAAAACTGTGCATGAGGAACCAAATATAAATTCAACATAAGCCATGGGACAACAGTCCAGCTTGATTTGCACCTCTTGAACAATGGGCACAATAGGGCCTTTCTCCCAGGTTTGCTTTGAATTTAAACACTTGATAACTGCTTAGTGTAACACATGGCACAGGGGAATGATTTTAGAAATGGTAAGAAAAAGTAAAACCTCTGAATGCTTCAAGACTAGATCTCTCTCTCAAACCCACTGTGAATTCTGAGACCAGGCTGAAGCTTAAAGGTGGACCTTCCCCTACCCCTGCAGGCTTCTGTCAATGTCACAGGACTCTGACCTTTACCTGTGGGGACATGGAAGCCCACTTTGGAAAGGAGAGCTTGGCCAATCATGGTTTATGCAGAGTCCCATCCCCAATGGCTCCAGGAGGCATGTCCTGAGCCACCCCACCTTCCTTCTCCTCCCTCCCTACCTCCCTCTTATACACCCATTTCCCGAATTCTAGCCCCTCCACCTGGCTTGATTGCTGGAAAACGAAATCCCCCTTTAGCCAGGAAAAGAAGGGTTAAATAAACTCAGCCCATCACTCGGGACACAGCCATGGCACCACCTCCAGAGAACATGTCTGTATCCGTCAGGTAGGCTGACTTTGTCTCTCAGCTCCAGCATCCAGCTCCTGACACAGACCCTTGCTGCTGGCATTGCTTAAACCACATAAAACTTACGATCCCCTTCTCCCTGTACCCTCCCTCTTGCACATCCGCACACACAACACACACATACACGACCGTGTCATGGGTGAAGCTGCTGACTTTGTGATGATTTGGACACAAGTTGTCACAAGTAAGTGGTACAATTAAAGATGTTCCTCTCTGAATTGACTGAAAAATGCAGTTTTCTTTTTCCCTATAATTGAAATGGATCAAAGATCAGGTGCCAAACCCAGCAGCTCAGGGGTATAGCTTGGGCATACTTGCTGAAACTAAGAAATTTCCTGTTTAGCGTCTTTTTCAATCATGACATGGAACCTAGAATGAATGCATCAATCTATGTTCTTATTTATAAAAGTGCCTCGATTTACTTCTGTAAAAATAGTCACTATTTTTTTCCAAACTAAATGCGAGTCACTGTTATATGTTTTCCCAGATAATATTACTGTGAAACAGATTTGGAGGACTGTAGCTGAATCATGCAACCTAAGGTAGAAATATCACATTTAAAATGCTGCAGGATTTTCTAACCGAATCCTTTCTCTGCCTCATTCCCAGGCTTCTAGAGCCCACAGCAGCTGCCCGGGCTGTCCCGCTACATCCAGGGACGTCCCATCCAGAGTGGAGGTACAGCTTCTGAGTGGCCCAGGGGTTCCCATCCTGCTTGATCTTGCTGCAAACAGCCCAGGGGCTTTTTTAAAGAACCCGTTATTAGGCATGAAGGACACCATGATAAAGAAAACACAGCCTCCCGGATTAAACTCACTTCCTGCAGCCAGTCCGAGAACCTAAGTATTAGGCAGGTGAATCGGTCAGAAATAGAGCTTAGCTGCTGTATCAGAATCATGCAGACTCAACTTCCCGCACTCTGAAATTCCCTGAGTTAGAAGTCATTCCAGGTTAGAATTATTCTGCTTTTCTAGGATTTTCCAGGTAACGTTGGAACTGAAACACTTTTGCTGGGGAAGATGATTGCATGAACAGCCTCAAGGTCACCTAGAGGCCAGGCGAGGGGGAAGGCTTCCTACAAAGCCGGATATGCCACCACAAAGAAAACATGGCTGGCCGGGCGCGGTGGCTCACGCCTGTGATCCCAGCACTTTGGGAGGCCGAGGCGGGCGGATCACGAGGTCAGGAGATCGAGACCATCCTGGCTAACACGGTGAAACCCCATCTCTACTAAAAAACACAAAAAATTAGCCGCGCGTGGTGGCGGGCGCCTGTAGTCCCAGCTACTCGGGAGGCTGAGGCAGGAGAATGGCGTGAACCCGGGAGGCGGAGCTTGCAGTGAGCCGAGATCCCGCCACTGCACTCCAGCCTGGGCGACAGAGCGAGACTCCGTCTCAAAAATAAATAAATAAATCAAATCAAATAAAAAATAAAGAAAGCATGGCTAAGGCCAGCATCTGGATCAAAAATGAATGGGCTACCACTCTGCCTGCCCTCCTGGAAGCTCTACGTGCTTTTTATTTGATGTGGCAAATGTCCCACAGAGCAGAACTCGTCAAGGTGTCAGGACGTCAACCTGGGGTAAGGACAGTGATGGGCTGGTAAATGATTAACCACCAGCCAGTTCTCAGAGCGGGGAGACAAAGGCCCGATAGGTCTCATTTGCCAGTATCCATGGTGTAAACGTTGCCACCACGGTCAATTTCAATCTACAAACATGACTCACTGAACATGAAGTGGGGCAGGCTAGGCAGCAGCGTCACTGTACAGTATTGCATCATTCAGATGCAAGAGGCCGAACAGCCTCAAGACCCTAAGTGATAACAAAATGCACTCAAGTAATTCCGCAGTGATATACACTCAGATTTATCCGTTTTTTCTATAATAGAATATATTTAATTTTAAATGCACATAATTAAAATATCAGCGATGGCTGTGTTTAACAACCACCTCACTGGTACAAGCTGGCTCTAGCATGCCATTGGAAACAGGCTTTTCTGACATTTCTCACCGCTTATAATGTTGTTTTAATTTTCAAAAACGCTCTATTGCAAATAACTCTGGAATGATGGACTCTATAGCATGCGTTTGCTGCTTTCCCTACCTTCCTCCAAATGTTCTTCACCCTGCTACACTGTGATATTTTTCCATTGCTTTTGTAGCAACCTACAGATTTGTGCTTTTATTATCTCTGCAATGTAAAGTTCCCCTTCACTAGAATCTAAGTGTCGAGAGAGCAGAAAGTTTTACTCTCGTGTCCCTTGAAGCATCACTGGTGTCTGCAACCCGGCACACAGTGGCAGAGTGGGCTCTCAATCAACACTCATCAGATAAAAAAAGGTTCTGCCAATTATTAACATGTCACTTTTCTACACTAATGCCATTAAGATCAGGAGGAGTACAAATCCTGTCTCAAACAGTGCACAACACAAAGGGTGGTGTACGGCGCGGAGGGTTAAAGGATGCCGCCTTGCCACTCTAAAATAGGCTTTCCATCCTTGTGCTCTTCGGATGGGACAAAGGTGAAATCATTTTGTCCTAACCATGACACGGCTCCTTGTTTCCACATCTAAGCCCTAAATTAAACTAAATGTAAGCCCTGTCGCTTCCTTTAAAGTAGGCTCACGTTTTTGCTGTGTGCGTACCCAGTTGAAACAAAGTGCTCTCTTGGTAGACTGATAACAAGACCCAAGAGAAAGGAACTTGGAGGCCGGGCTCAGTGCTGGGCGAGTCCCACACACAGATTCAGAGACGCCGCCCCTAGCCTGAGTTGGCACAGCTCTTCAGAGTCCCTGTCATGGAGGAGATCCAGGAGGGGAAGGCAGCCCGTTTCCTGGGGAAATGTCCGTCTGGATTTCCCCAGTTAGGCTCAGCTTGG
This sequence comes from Homo sapiens, assembly GCF_000001405.40. Classification (NCBI taxonomy): domain Eukaryota; kingdom Metazoa; phylum Chordata; class Mammalia; order Primates; family Hominidae; genus Homo; species Homo sapiens. The sequence continues at coordinate 4,629,049 of NC_000005.10, read as the reverse complement.
AACCGGGAAGTTTGTGTTTGAAGAAAGAAGGAGGTGGCAATTTTCAGTAAACAACATCCTTCCAGTTTATATTATTGAGTCTCATTCAAGGATAATTCAATACTTCCCATATTTTAGTTCCAGTCTAAAGGCATGGTATACAGTGTTCTCAGTCAGAATTTAGTTTCTGTTTCTTTTTGTATAGATGGCCTATTTTGGTGCCCCCAACCCCCCCAAAATAAATATGAACATCTGGTGAAGAAATACTACAAAAGACTGAAGCTGTGTATTAAACACTTTGATTTGCATGAAGGCAGCCATCATTCCCTATTCTTAGTGTTGTGGTTTTTTCTTCGTTTTTTTTTTTTTTTAATAGAATACACTTTTCAAAAATTTCATTCGGACGGGAAAATTTCAGTGCATGTTGGGAATCATTGCATGAGTATGGAAAGTGGTATCACATTGACTGATAAGCGACCTCTTCCTGGATGGTAGCCCAAATTAGCTAGCCATTCCATCCGGCACACTGGGGCGTGTTTACGAATTAAACCCACACATAGAAGGTGTGATGACACCATATCCAGAAAATTAATCCTGGCTCCAAGAAAGCTTACGAGCAGGAAGACACACAAGGGTTAATGCAATTTCCATCCCAGCGAGTTTTGCTTGCCATTATTTTCTTTTTCTTTTCTCCCTTTTAACTGATTCGTAGCATAAAATCTTCCTGGACACCTAATTATCAAGCCAGCTCACAGTCACAGCTGTCTGCTTGGAGAACCCATTAGATGCAGCAGTTGAAGCCTCCATAATTCCCCAAACTTCCCGGTTGTGAATATTAAGAAAAGATTTTTACATGTCATATGCAATTCGAAGGTGGAGTGAATGGCCTCGGAGATGACGAGCCCTGAATGCTTGTCCATCACTCCATTCATTGGTTACAGGTGGTCTCATTTTCCACTTTCAGATATCGGCTGGCTATGACAGCAGGCACTTAATTTGCATGTTCGACAGACAACAAACGGCCCCGTGCATGTCAAAATAGGTGGTGATGCGTGACAGTTTCTACACAATACTGTCTCCTCTTTGTGTGACCTTTGACCTCTCTGCATGTCTTTTTTCCACAATCAGAAAAAAAAAAAAAAAAATGCACTTCTCTGCTTTGGAATAAATTTGATACCAAATTGATTATTTTCCTTTCTTCTTCCTCTTCCTCCTCCTTTTCTTTTCTTCCCCCTCCTTTTAAAGGGTGCCATGCATCCGAATTTTCATCTTAACTGTTACAAAACTCTGCCAGAAGAACCTCATAAAATTTAAAAGTAGGGAGTCAGTGCAGACAGGAAGCTGTCTTGTGGAAATCCATTGTAGTTAAAATTGCTTGGAACTTTTTTTATAAATGTCACCTTTAAGAGGGAACTCTAATCGGATTTTTATTTAAAAAGATCATAAAATTAGAATCTTTAAGACTTTTCTTTAACTTGTGTTAATTAGATTCTTGTCCTTGCAACACTTTTAATATTAATATTTTACCATGGTTTGAAATTACTTTCTCTAATTGCAGGTTTGGCCTCTTTGTATTAAATGTAACACTGAGCTATTCTAATTTTCTGTAATAGGCATAATGAGTCTCAACCCCTTGCTGTACTTGGAACACAAACCTGCTAATGAGAACACAGCTCACAAGTGTGCTTAAAAGGTTAAGAGAGTGTGAGTCTGAAAATGCCCTGGCTTGCTGTTGACATCAGAGAGTTCCAAGACCTCTGCATTTTGGGGCATCCGCAGCAAATTATGCAGCCTCAAGATTTCTGCTGGAGTGCCCGCTGCTCATGCTTCAAGGAGGGGTCCTCAGGGCTCTGACCCAAAGCTCTCAGGGAGCCCACACACCCCTTGTCTCGGCAGAGAGGAATATAATCCTCTCCCCAATCCTATTTTAGTGCTGGTTCTTGTTTAAATTAAGAATTAAACCATGACAGCAGATAATCATGCCTCTTGGGTCTTATAAGATTTGACTTGCAGCTGTGAAGCCAATCCCAGGGGGGTGATTACCCCCTGATTGCCACACCCCCTGAGGGTCGCCCTTCAGAGAGCCCACGGAGGGTGCAGGCTAGGTGTCTGGCTGAGTCTCCGAGGAAGGGGCACCTGCTTTACAGGGGGTGAATTCACACACCGCACCCCATCCTAGATGCTCAGAATCAGAGGGTAGTATTTCCTGTAATCTTGGCTGAGACCCGTGTCTTATAGATGAAGGAACTGAAGAGCATATGGGAGCACCCCAACTGAGCAGAGGCTGAGCCCCGCCAGCAGACGGCCCTCCCTATCTCCATTCCAACTCCCCACATCCTCTCTGGAAACTCACTCATCAGGCCGGGAAGGAGTGGACCAAATTGAAACAAAAGTTTAAAAAACATACCACTTCCAAGGAGTTGATTGCTAGTCTTATTTGCACATTGCTCCCAAAAAGTAAGTGAATATTGTTGCCTATTGTTTTTTATGCAGCAGGTTATTTTAATTTAATTCAAGAATAGGCCATGGTCACTAAACCCCTGATGCCTAGGCCACCTGGACCCTACGCGGCCCCACACCTGGTGCTCACCTGCATAATTGCACTGATTACTTAAAAGCCCAGCATTGAATTTGCAAAGCTGCAGGATGCACTGTGCTGTGTTCATGTGTGTGTGAAAGTCGCACGTTTATGTGATACTTGTGGGTATGGGCCAGGAGCAGCAGTAGGAGAAGCAGTGCCTTTGCCTGTGTGTTTCAAAGTCAATCATTTGTGCCTTCCCCATTTAGGATGTGAGACAATCTTGGTAAAGAACTCAGGGCAGCTGCCCCAGTTTTTGTGAATATGAAAAAGTAGACAGAGCCCTGGACTTGGTGCCAGACACCGGTTTCTTTCTACATGTGTGATATTAAGCAAGTGTTTTAAACTCTCTGTACCCTTGGTTTTCTCATTTACAAAAAAGGAGTAACAATATTATTTACCTCATAGAGAATTCAATGAGTAAATAGTTAGAAAGTGTAGTAGGCTAAATAGTGTCCCACAAAATTTGTGTCCACTGAGAACCTCAGCATGTGTCCTTATTTACAAAGAGAATATTTGCAGATATAATTAGTTAAAGATTTTAAGGCTAAAATACCTTGGATTTATATGGTCCTTAACTCCAATGGCCAGTGTGCTTGGAAGGACAGCAAGAGAGACAAAGAGAGGAAGGTCATCTGACAATGGAGAGGGAGATTAGAGTGATGCATCCACAAGCCAGGGGATGCTAGGATTGCTGGCTGCTGTCAGGAATCTGGAGAGAAACATGTAGAGACTCTCCTTCAAGCCCTCAGAAGGTACCAACCCCATCTGTTACCAGCAGTGGGCTCTCTATCCTCAGTAAATAGAAATAGACCAAGAGTCTGGTAGGGGCTTGAGTGAGGCAGTGCATTGGGGCTTTCATCTTGAGCAGAAAGGGACACAAGAACGTCATCTTATTATTATCTTATATCTCTAACGAGGGATGTAATTTTTGCTATTAAATTGAAGCAAAGGTTAGATTAGGACAAGCTGAGATTTCACTGCGTATGTGCAATGGGGGAGGGTCTTTTGGAAAGTCCTTTTAGTTGACAGTCAGGGTGCCTGAGGTGAAAGTACTCCATTTGTCTCAGATGTGATTGGTCTATTTTGTGAAGGGCGGTGTCTGTGGTTGCAAGGCTGAAAGGCTCAGTGCACACAGTGTAGCCAGATGTGTGCAAGGGAAAATGAAGAGGGGGTCCCTGTCCTGTTTTTCCGTCTGCCTCATGTCATTACTTTGATCTTGGACTTCTGGCCCCTTGAACTGTGAGACAGTACATTTTTAAAATATTTTTTCCAATTTTTAATACACATAACATAAAATTTACCACCTTAACTATTTTTAAGTGTAGGTTCAATGGTACAGTATCAAATACCTTCATAATGTTGTACGGCCATCATCATCATCCATCTCCATAAACACTATGTCCATTAAACAATTATTTTCCATTTTTTGCTTTCCTGAATCCTGGGCAATGATCCCTCTACTTCATGTCTCTATGATTTTGTGTATTCTAAGTACCACCTTTCTTGCTGTATTCAACCTTTTATTAAGATATAATATCCTCCTTTGTCTCATGTAAACTTTCTTGATTTAAATTTAATTTTGTCTATTGTTAGTATAACCATACCTGCTCTCTTCTGGTTACTATTTACCTAAAATCTCGTTTTCCCTTTGTTCACTATTAATCAATTTGTGTCTTTGGATACAAAGTGAGTCTTGTAGATGGCATAGAGTTGAATCATGCTTTTTTGTTGTTATTGTTTTTAATACACTCTGCCAATGTATATCTTTTGATTTCAGAGTTTAATCCACTTACTTTTATAGTAGTTACTGATAAGGGGTGGCTTTTTCCATCATTTTGCTATTCGTTTTCCATATGCCTTATAGCATTTTTGTCCCTCATTTCCTGCACTATTACATTTTCTCATGTTTAGTTGATTTTTCTTGGTGAAATGTTTACATTTCTTTCTCATTTCCCTTTTTATACATTCTGTAGCTATTTTCTTTGTGGTTCCAATAAAGATTACATTTAACATCCCAAAATTATAACACCCTAATTTGAATTCTTATGATAATAACTTCAATAACATACAAAACTGCTTCTTTAACAGTTTCCTCTTCTTCTTTTCTGGTTGTTGATATCAGGAAGTTACATCTTTGTACATCATAATTTGTATATTGTGTGTCCCAAAACATAAATTAATAATTCTTTTAAATCATATACAAAACAAAAAGTGCAGTTATAATCCATTGTTACAATGATACTAGCTTTTAGAATTGTGCATGTATTTACGTTTAGTTAGATTTTTATTTCTCTATAGAGTTTTGAGTTATTATCTAGTGTTCCTTCAGTTCACCCTTCAAGACTCCCTTGATCATTTCTTTTAGCCAAGGCCTAGTGGTAATGAATTTTCTCAACATTTTTAAATCTGGAAATGTTTTAATTTTCTTTCTCATATTGAAGGACTGTCTTCTCGCATATTAGATTCTTTGGCCTCCAAAGTTTCTGATAGGAGAGTAGCTAATAATCTTATGGAGGATTTTTTGTGTGTGATAAGTCACTTCTTTCTTGCTGCTTTCAAGATTTTCTTTGTCTTTGTCTGTCTTTCTCTTTGCCTTTGTCCCTTTGCCTTTCTCTCTTTGTCTTTTGAAACTGATTATAGTATGTCTGGGTGTGGGTCTCTTTAAGTTCATCTTACTTGGAATTTTTTGAGCATTTAGATGCTTATGTTCATGTCGTTCACCAAATTTGAAGACTTTTCAGCCATTATTTCTTCAAATATTCTGTCTTCTTTCTCTTTTCCAGAATTCCCACAATAGATATGTTGATCTGCTTGATGGTACCTGACAGGTCCTTTAAACTTGGTTCCTTTTTCTTCAATATTTTTTCTTTCTGTTCTTCAGACTTGATAATTCTTATTCTTCTGTCTTCAAGTTCACTGATTCTTTTTTCTGCATTCTCAGATCTAAATCTGTGAGTTTTTTATTTCTGGCATTGTACTTTTCACACCAATATTTCTTTTAAATTTCTCTTTAAATTTTCTATTTCTACATTGATATTGCCATTTTCTTAGTACATCATTTTCGTTTCTTTCTCTACATCTTCCTTTAGTTCTTTGAGCATCTTTTTAAAGACAGTTGTTTGATGTCTTTGCCTAGCAGACCTGCCAACAGGTCTTTTTTAGGGAGGCACAGTTTCTGTTGATTTATTTATTTTCTTTGGTTGGGCCATGCTTTCTTGTTTCTTTGTATGCTCTATGGTTTTTGTTTGTTCATTTATTTGTTTAGGAAACTGGACATTTGATCCAAATAATGTGGTAACTCTGAAAATCAGATTCCATTCCCCACCCCCCTCCCCACTCCAGGGTTTTCTATTTTGTCTCTTTAAAAAGGTATTTATTATTATAGGATATCTCTGTGGGAAGGACCAGACTCATGGGTATATGCAAAGTTTTCATAGGTCTTCTCTAAACTTGTCCCTTTTTCTGGGTATGCACAGTCACTTTATACTTTTCTTTATATATGCAGCTGCTTGTGAATGTCAGGCTCCCAGAAGGTGAAAAAAAAAAAAGAGGAAAATCAAGGAGGTACAAAGGAGAAAGGGTGCTGGCCCTTTAAATTCCTTGGAGGTCACTTAAGTCAGAGGGGGAGGGGATTGCAGCCATGTGGGGAGATGCAGCAACAGTGGCAGCCCACCTCTTCCTGTGGCATCATTATTCTTATTAATCAGAACATTCATAAGAATGTTCTTTGTTTTTGTAAGTTATCTTATATCCAACAGTTTGGTCTAAATCTCCCAGTAGCTATAACAAATTATCTATAGATTCTCAAGGTTTTGTATGTAGACATAATATTGTTTCTACAAGGAAATTTTTGTTTTTCTTTTCAATTTGCATAGTTTTTGTTATTCATTTGTTTCTTGTCTCATTGTATGTGCAAGAAACACATGTAATATTGAATTCAGACAGAAAAAATGGACATCACTGACTTATCACTGATTTTTAAAAGAATGATATCATTCTGCCATCAAGCGTATCAGTTATATCTCTAGATATCCCATATTAAGTTGAGACATTTTTCTTCTATTTCTAGTTGGAATCAAAATGTTGAAATTACCTAGTTTTTGTGCACATCTGCTGAGAAGGGCATTTTGGAATGAACAACTGATTTACTTTCTAAGGTGAATTAAAATTCAATGCAGGTGGAATTTGTTATGAGGTAATATGTCAAGTAGAGAAGCTAACCTTACTGTATTTTTTAAAAATATGACTACTAAATTGCCCTAATATAAAATGTTTAAACACCAGTCCATTTTTCTCCCTTTCCCCATTTTTTTCAACTTTATTTTGGATTGGGGGGGTACACGTGAAAGTTTATTTATAGGTAAATACGCATCATGGGGGTTTGTTGTACATATTATTTCGCCTTTGTGAAACAGTAAGTCCCTATATATGTTGGTCTAATCCTGTGATTTTAGTTGATTTGTTTTTGTAAAGTGTATCTAACTTTTCATGTGCCAGTACCACAGTATTTTAAGGCTTAATAATATATTTTAATACCTGATGGGCTAGTTTCTTCTCATTTCATTCCACAAACTTTTGGTGATTCTTATTGGTTTCTTTATATAAATGTTACCATTTTCAAAAAATGAAAATAAATTCTGGTTGACATTTATAGTGAGACTACAACAAAAAAATTGTTTGGCTATTATTTAATAAATACACTACAAGCATTTTTATACAATTTGTTTTGTAGACATATAAAACTGTGGTTTTCATTTGTGGTTCTTTGATTACTAGAAAGGTTGAACTTCTTTAATTATCCATTAGGTATTTGTGTTTATTATGTGTGAATTGCTTAGTTAATTTCCTTTGCCTTATGTTTGTCTTTTAGATGATGAGATAAATACTTTTTATTATGAAATCTACCTTTCATTTCTAATTTGCTATTGGTTTGTATTATAAATAGACATTGAATTACATTAAATGTATTTTAAATGTGTTATATGCATCTTTAAGATGATCAAAAGTAATTTTTCTTTAAATTGCTAATTTAGGATATTATGTAAGTAGATTTTCTTTTTTTTTTATTATACTTTAAGTTTTAGGGTACATGTGCACATTGTGCAGGTTAGTTACATATGTATACATGTGCCATGCTGGTGCGCTGCACCCACTAACTCGTCATGTAGCATTAGGTATATCTCCCAACGCTATCCCTCCCCGCTCCCCCCACCCCACAACAGTCCCCAGAGTGTAATATTCCCCTTCCTGTGTCCATGTGATCTCATTGTTCAATTCCCACCTATGAGTGAGAATATGCGGTGTTTGGTTTTTTGTTCTTGCGATAGTTTACTGAGAATGATGCTTTCCAATTTCATCCATGTCCCTACAAAGGACATGAACTCATCATTTTTTATGGCTGCATAGTATTCCATGGTGTATATGTGCCACATTTTCTTAATCCAGTCTACCATTGTTGGACATTTGGATTGGTTCCAAGTCTTTGCTATTGTGAATAATGCCACAATAAACATACGTGTGCATGTGTCTTTATAGCAGCATGATTTATAGTCCTTTGGCTATATACCCAGTAATGGGATGGCTGGGTCAAATGGTATTTCCAGTTCTAGATCCCTGAGGAATCGCCACACTGACTTCCACAATAGTTGAACTAGTTTACAGTCCCACCAACAGTGTAAAAGTGTTCCTATTTCTCCTCATCCTCTCCAGCACCTGTTGTTTCCTGACTTTTTAATGATTGCCATTCTAACGGGTGTGAGATGGTATCTCATTGTGGTTTTGATTTGCATTTCTCTGATGGCCAGTGATGATGAGCATTTTTTCATGTGTTTTTTGGCTGCATAAATGTCTTCTTTTGAGAAGTGTCTGTTCATGTCCTTCGCCCACTTTTTGATGGGGTTGTTTGTTTTTTTCTTGTAAATTTGTTTGAGTTCATTGTAGATTCTGGATATTAGCCCTTTGTCAGATGAGTAGGTTGCGAAAATTTTCTCCCATTTTGTAGGTTGCCTGTTCACTCTGATGGTAGTTTCTTTTGCTGTGCAGAAGCTCTTTAGTTTAATTAGATCCCATTTGTCAATTTTGTCTTTTGTTGCCATTGCTTTTGGTGTTTTAGACATGAAGTCCCTGCCCATGCCTATGTCCTGAATGGTAATGCCTAGGTTTTCTTCTAGGGTTTTTATGGTTTTAGGTCTAACGTTTAAGTCTTTAATCCATCTTGAATTGATTTTTATATAAGGTGTAAGGAAGGGATCCAGTTTCAGCTTTCTACATATGGCTAGCCAGTTTTCCCAGGAATCCTTTCCCCATTGCTCGTTTTTCTCAGGTTTGTCAAAGATCAGATAGTTGTAGATATGTGGCGTTATTTCTGAGGGCTCTGTTCTGTTCCATTGATCTGTATCTCTGTTTTGGTACCAGGACCATGCTGTTTTGGTTATTGTAGCCTTGTAGTATAGTTTGAAGTCAGGTAGTGTGATGCCTCCAGCTTTGTTCTTTTGGCTTAGGATTGACTTGACGATGCGGGCTCTTTTTTGGTTCCATATGAACTTTAAAGTAGTTTTTTACAATTCTGTGAAGAAAGTCATTGGTAGCTTGATGGGGATGGCATTGAATCTGTAAATTACCTTGGGCAGTATGGCCATTTTCACGATATTGATTCTTCCTACCCATGAGCATGGAATGTTCTTCCATTTGTTTGTATCCTCTTTTATTTCTTTGAGCAGTGGTTTGTAGTTCTCCTTGAAGAGGTCCTTCACATCCCTTGTAAGTTGGATTCCTAGGTATTTTATTCTCTTTGAAGCAATTGTGAATGGGAGTTCACTCATGATTTGGCTCTCTGTTTCTCTGTTGTTGGTGTATAAGAATGCTTGTGATTTTTGTACATTGATTTTGTATCCTGAGACTTTGCTGAAGTTGCTTATCAGCTTAAGGAGATTTTGGGCTGAGACAATGGGGTTTTCTAGATATACAATCATGTCATCTGCAAACAGGGACAATTTGACTTCCTCTTTTCCTAATTGAATACCCTTTATTTCCTTCTCCTGCCTAATTGCCCTGGCCAGAACTTCCAACACTATGTTGAATAGGAGCGGTGAGAGAGGGCATCCCTGTCTTGTGCCAGTTTTCAAAGGGAATGCTTCCAGTTTTTGCCCATTCAGTATGATATTGGCTGTGGGTTTGTCATAGATAGCTCTTATTATTTTGAAATACGTCCCATCAATACCTAATTTATTGAGAGTTTTTAGCATGAAGCGTTGTTGAATTTTGTCAAAGGCTTTTTCTGCATCTATTGAGATAATCATGTGGTTTTTGTCTTTGGTTCTGTTTATATGCTGGATTACGTTTATTGATTTGCATATATTGAACCAGCCTTGCATCCCAGGGATGAAGCCCACTTGATCATGGTGGATAAGCTTTTTGATGTGCTGCTGGATTCGTTTTGCCAGTATTTTATTGAGGATTTTTGCATCAATGTTCATCAAGGATATTGGTCTAAAATTCTCTTTTTTTATTGTGTCTCTGCCTGGCTTTGGTACCAGAATGATGCTGGCCTCATAAAATGAGTTAGGGAGGATTCCTTCTTTTTCTATTGATTGGAATAGTTTCAGAAGGAATGGTACCAGTTCCTCCTTGTACCTCTGGTAGAATTCGGCTGTGAATCCATCTGGTCCTGGACTCTTTTTGGTTGGCAAGCTATTGATTATTGCCACAATTTCAGATCCTGTTATTGGTCTATTCAGAGATTCAACTTCTTCCTGGTTTAGTCTTGGGAGAGTGTATGTGTTGAGGAATTTATCCATTTCTTCTAGATTTTCTAGTTTATTTGCGTAAAGGTGTTTGTAGTATTCTCTGATGATAGTTTGTATTTCTGTGGGATCGGTGGTGATATCCCCTTTGTCATTTTTTATTGCGTCTATTTGATTCTTCTCTCTTTTTTCTTTATTAGTCTTGCTAGCGGTCTATCAATTTTGTTGATCCTTTCAAAAAACCAGCTCCTGGATTCATTAATTTTTCGAAGGGTTTTTTGTGTCTCTATTTCCTTCAGTTCTGCTCTGATTTTAGTTATTTCTTGCCTTCTGCTAGCTTTTGAATGTGTTTGCTCTTGCTTTTCTAGTTCTTTTAATTGTGATGTTAGGGTGTCAATTTTGGATATTTCTTGCTTTCTCTTGTGGGCATTTAGTGCTATAAATTTCCCTCTACACACTGCTTTGAATGCGTCCCAGAGATTCTGGTATGTTGTGTCTTTGTTCTCGTTGGTTTCAAAGAACATCTTTATTTCTGCCTTCATTTCGTTATGTACCCAGTAGTCATTCAGGAGCAGGTTGTTCAGTTTCCATGTAGTTGAGCGGTTTTGAGTGAGATTCTTAATCCTGAGTTCTAGTTTGATTGCACTGTGGTCTGAGAGATAGTTTGTTATAATTTCTGTTCTTTTACATTTGCTGAGGAGAGCTTTACTTCCCAGTATGTGGTCAATTTTGGAATAGGTGTGGTGTGGTGCTGAAAAAAATGTATATTCTGTTGATTTGGGGTGGAGAGTTCTGTAGATGTCTATTAGGTCTGCTTGGTCCAGAGCTGAGTTCAATTCCTGGGTATCCTTGTTGACTTTCTGTCTCGTTGATCTGTCTAATGTTGACAGTGGGGTGTTAAAGTCTCCCATTCTTAATGTGTGGGAGTCTAAGTCTCTTTGTAGGTCACTCAGGACTTGCTTCATGAATCTTGGTGCTCCTGTATTGGGTGTATATATATTTAGGATAGTTAGCTCTTCTTGTTGAATTGATCCCTTTACCATTATGTAATGGCCTTCTTTGTCTCTTTTGATCTTTGTTGGTTTAAAGTCTGTTTTATCAGAGACTAGGATTGCAACCCCTGCCTTTTTTTGTTTTCCATTGGCTTGGTAGATCTTCCTCCATCCTTTTATTTTGAGCCTATGTGTGTCTCTGCATGTGAGATGGGTTTCCTGAATACAGCACACTGATGGGTCTTGACTCTTTATCCAATTTGCCAGTCTGTGTCTTTTAATTGGAGCATTTAGTCCATTTACATTTAAAGTTAATATTGTTATGTGTGAATTTGATCCTGTCATTATGATGTTAGCTGGTTATTTTGCTCGTTAGTTGATGCAGTTTCTTCTTAGTCTCGATGGCCTTTACATTTTGGCATGATTTGCAGCGGCTGGTACCGCTTGTTCCTTTCCATGTTTAGTGCTTCCTTCAGGAGCTCTTGTAAGGCAGGCCTGGTGGTGACAAAATCTCTCAGCATTTGCTTGTCTGTGAAGTATTTTATTTCTCCTTCACTTATGAAGCTTAGTTTGGCTGGATATGAAATTCTGGGTTGAAAATTCTTTTCTTTAAGAAGTTGAATATTGGCCCCCACTCTCTTCTGGCTTGTAGGGTTTCTGCCGAGAGATCCGCTGTTAGTCTGATGGGCTTCCCTTTGAGGGTAACCCGACCTTTCTCTCTGGCTGCCCTTAACATTTTTTCCTTCATTTCAACTTTGGTGAATCTGACAATTATGTGTCTTGGAGTTGCTCTTCTCGAGGAGTATCTTTGTGGCGTTCTCTGTATTTCCTGAATCTGAACGTTGGCCTGCCTTGCTAGATTGGGGAAGTTCTCCTGGATAATATCCTGCAGAGTGTTTTCCAACTTGGTTCCATTCTCCCCATCACTTTCAGGTACACCAATCAGACGTAGATTTGGTCTCTTCACATAGTCCCATATTTCTTGGAGGCTTTGCTCATTTCTTTTTATTCTTTTTTCTCTAAACTTCCCTTCTTGCTTCATTTCATTCATTTCATCTTCCATCGCTGATACCCTTTCTTCCAGTTGATCGCATCAGCTCCTGAGGCTTCTGCATTCTTCACGTAGTTCTCGAGCCTTGGTTTTCAGCTCCATCAGCTCCTTTAAGCACTTCTCTGTATTGGTTATTCTAGTTTTACATTCTTCTAAATTTTTTTCAAAGTTTTCAACTTCTTTGCCTTTGGTTTGAGTGTCCTCCCATAGCTCAGAGTAATTTGATTGTCTGAAGCCTTCTTCTCTCAGCTCGTCAAAGTCATTCTCCATCCAGCTTTGTTCCGTTGCTGGTGAGGAACTGAGTTCCTTTGGAGGAGGAGAGGCGCTCTGCTTTTTAGAGTTTCCAGTTTTTCTGTTCTGTTTTTTCCCCATCTTTGTGGTTTTATCTACTTTTGGTCTTTGATGATGGTGATGTACAGATGGGTTTTCGGTGTGGATGTCCTTTCTGTTTGTTAGTTTTCCTTCTAACAGACAGGACCCTCAGCTGCAGGTCTGTTGGAATACCCTGCAGTGTGAGGTGTCAGTGTGCCCCTGCTGGGGGGTGCCTCCCAGTTAGGCTGCTCCAGGGTCAGGGGTCAGGGACCCACTTGAGGAGGCAGTCTGCCGGTTCTCAGATCTCCAGCTGCGTGCTGGGAGAACCACTGCTCTCTTCAAAGCTGTCAGACAGGGACACTTAAGTCTGCAGAGGTTACTGCTGTCTTTTTGTTTGTCTGTGCCCTGCCCCCAGAGGTGGAGCCTACAGAGGCAGGCAGGCCTCCTTGAGCTGTGGTGGGCTCCACCCAGTTCGAGCTTCCTGGCTGCTTTGTTTACCTAATCAAGCCTGGGCAATGGCGGGCGCCCCTCCCCCAGCCTGGCTGCCGCCTTGCAGTTTGATCTCAGACTGCTGTGCTAGCAATCAGCGAGACTCCGTGGGCGTAGGACCCTCCGAGCCAGGTGCGGGATGTAATCTCGTGGTGCGCCGTTTTTTAAGCCCGTCGGAAAAGCGCAGTATTCGGGTGGGAGTGACCCGATTTTCCAGGTGCCGTCTGTCACCCCTTTCTTTGACTTGGAAAGGGAACTCCCTGACCCCTCGCGCTTCCCAGGTGAGGCAATGCCTCGCCCTGCTTCGGCTCGTCCACGATGCGCGCACCCACTGGCCTGCGCCCACTGTCTGGCACTCCCTAGTGAGAGAAACCCGGTACCTCAGATGGAAATGCAGAAATCACCCGTCTTCTGCGTCGCTCACGCTGGGAGCTGTAGACCGGAGCTGTTCCTATTCGGCCATCTTGGCTCTCCCTTAGTGTAAGTAGATTTTCTGATGCTTAACTGTATTTGCATTTCTAAGATATATCTGACTTAGCTTGCATTTTAATTAATTTTTGCATCTATATTCATAAGCTAGAATTTCTTCAGCAGGCTTTAGTTTTGATCGTCTTTTCTTGTACTTCCTTTTAGATCAAGCTATAGTAGCCTTAAAAAACAAGTTGAGTAGCTTTTATTTTTTTCTAGATTTTGAGTTTATTAAAAATGAAATAAGGATGATTGGTTTCCTTAGTTGGATTGAAATGTTTGACCATAAAATTATGTGGGACAGATACATTTTCATGATGTGAATGGGTGAAGAGGGGGTGGTGAAAATCATATTATTGGTTCATTTTCTTTAATGGTTATGATAAGCTGAAGAATAACACTCCATTTTATCCACATCCTAATACACAGAACCTGTGAATGTTACTCGATATGGCAAAGGGGGCTTTGCAAATATGGTTTAGTTAAGGTATTGAGATGGGAAGGTTATTCTGGATTATTGAGGTGTGCCCTAAGTGTAATCACAAGTGTCTTATAAGGAGGAAAAGGTTGATTTGCCTACAGAGGAGCAGGTGATATGATGATAAAAATGTTGTGCCGTTGAAAGGGACAGGCAATCAGCCACGAAACACAGGCCTCCAGGAGCTAAAAAAGACAGGAAAATGATTGTCCTCTAGAGTCCCCAGAAGGTATCAGCCCTGCCAACACCTTCCCTTTATCCCTGTGAAACTGATTTCAGACACCTGGCCTCCAGAACTGCAAGATGTTAAACCTGTGTTGCTTTAAGACAACAAGTTTGGGTTGATTTGTTGCCGTGGCAACAGAAAACTAATGCAATAGTTTTTGGTATATTGTTTATCTGTGTTTTCCATTTATAGTTTATAAAATTTTGGTCAATTGTATTTGCCTTGAAAATTATCCCTTTCATCTCTGCTTTTGTGTTATTTATTAGCATTAGGCTTTGAAAGTTGTCAGATTCAAAATGGAGTCACTTGTATCAGACCTTGGCAGATGGAGCTGGGGAAAGCCGTGAAGTGGGGAGTGTCATGCACCATTTGCCTGATAACAGGAGCTATCACAAGGGATTTTCCCAAATCGCAGCTCACTACATGAGTCACAGGAGGACAGCCAGCCGCTTAGACAAGAACACTTGCATGACACAGTGTCTCACAGGCGCAGTGCAAAACTACAAAGCCCTAACCCTAACACTAGGATAACGGGCCCACCCAGTGACTGCTCACTCTGGCCAGTCAGCACTTGCCAGCCCTTAGAAATCACTGCCAGAGCCAACGAACTTTCTTTCCAAACAATCTGGGTGACCTCCTCTTTCCCAAATAAACCCTAACCTTTTCCTTTGTCCTCTGCACCTACCAGAGACCACCCTGATCTGTATGGATGTCCTGGATTGTAATCCTACTTCTTGTATATTGTTCTAAATAAAACCTTTTTACTTAGGGATCCATCTGTATATACTTTTATGTCGACAGGACTTTCCTAGATAATTGTTTTGTGATGTTTACATCATTCATTTGGTCTTCTTCTCCTGGTTAAGGCAGACTCCCCAATATGCTCGCAGATCCCCTAGAGCCAAACCCAGGGGCAGCCCAAATCCAGGTAGCTTCAGGCTGTCACGTAGCTTTTGGCTTCTGCTCTCCTGCTTTTCAGGCCTCCTTGTACTGAGCCTAGGGCTGCCTTTGCTTTAGACCTTCAGCTTGCTCCATGTGCACCTGACCCAGAGAAGTCACATCAAAGCCTCGTTTACTTGCCGTGCCACAAGAAGCCCCCGAACACTGCACTATTTCCTTTTCTGGTTTTGCCGCTTCTCTACTTTGCATCACTGTTGAGTGCACTGGCTGAGACCAGGGCTAGACGGGAGCATCTGAGCTGAAACACAGCTCTTCCCCCAGGTACTTCTGTGACTCAGTAAGTAAAGTCACCTCCTCATGCCTCTGTTTCCTCAGCTATAAATAAAAATAGAAATAGTATCCCCCTCATGATGGGTGGAGAAGATGCAAAAAGATTTGTGAAGTGCTTCACAGAGTGTGGCTCACAAGAGCTCATTACGTTTCTTGTAAAATTGTTACTACCATTGAGATGAATTACCTTGTCCATTGAATGCCAAGCTTCCAAAGCAGATCATAACTGCCACTGAGATGAATTACTTAGCCCAAAGAAACCAAGCTTCCAAAACAGATCGTAACTACCATTGAGATGAATTACTTTGCCCATTGAACAACAAGCTTCCAAAGCAGAAAAGTCCTCACGTGCTTGGTGTTCAGCGTCAGCCCATGCTCCTTGCCCTGCCTGCATCCTCACGATGGTCGCCCTCACCTTGCCTCCTCTTTCCAAGGTCCAGGCTCTGTCACCTCTGTCTGGATGCCTCAGCACTGTCCTACTGGTCGCTCAGAATCTGACTCCAGATATGCACCCTCCCTGCCAGTCCACTCCGATTTTTCCTGTGAGCCTTTGCCTGGTCCATCTCCCTGGAGGTAGCCCTCAATGTTCCAGGAGCAATAGTCAAGCCTGCAGGATGGTCCCAGTCTCATAGGGCTGGCAGCAGTCACCCACCTGCGCCCCCTTAACAGTGCCAGTGCTTCCTGAACATCCAAACTGGCACCTGACTTGTCCTCCCAAATTTACCAACAAGCTATTGGTCACAGTGGGAAGACAGGCTAATTTATCTCACGGTTTTTCTAATACTCAAACTATTCCTCTTTCTGAAGTAACCATCCTCAGTTTCCCATTGTTCATCAAAACCTTCATCCATCCTTCTCTGAAACCTCTTCCTGACCAAGGGCCCCCTGTTTTAGCTGATTTATAACATGCCTGCTTTCAGGATGCCAAGCTTTTCGGCCCATTTTCCTGACCTTTACTCTGACTCCAGTCTCTGGGGGCCCCAGGCTTTGAGGGTCCCACAAAGTGCTCAATCACTGCCATGTATCAAAGTAAATTATCAATTTATTTCTCTCGTAATGTGTATGAAAGTAAACATTAACTCGTATCTTTTTTTTTTCTACTAGTGTTAATCCCAAAGAAGCCTGATTATGTCTTCTATTTTTCTCCTTGACCTGCTGGATTTTTCTGTGCCCCTATGCTCCGCTTCTCTCAACCATCTTTAATATGATTCCCCCATAGACTCCATCGTGTTCTTCACCATGGACACACATAGAAGAAACTCAATAGACTTTTAGGGAATCTAAACGTTTTTTCTTTCCTTGTGGCTGCAATGTTATACAGCAATCTACTTTTATAAACTGGAGAAAATAATGAAACTGCCATTCATATCATTTTTAACTTATTTTATGGTTTCAACAACTTTTCAATTCATTATGCCGTGGCCCAAATTGCTGCTTGTGAAGGAAGTGGGAAACTTGGCTTGGTTGTTCATTCAAGAAATGGGGAAGCAGAGAAGCAAATATGGAGCTCTCCCCAGAGCAGAGGGTCTTTGCCTTTGCTGGGTGCCACCTACACTTTCAACTCAATTTTACTTAAAAAATATCCTATTTTGTCATTAAATTCCAATTTCTTCATCTTCACAGGCTATATTTCTATCATAGTCTACTGTAATATGCTATAATACTATAATATGATGCCATAAAATGATTGTGTTACAAAACTATATTATAATATTTTGTATTACCAAAGATAGATCAATCTGAGCTTTGACTCACATGTAAATGTCGTGGACAGATCACTCTGATCTGTCGTGCTTTTTAGATTGAGATCAAATTTTCAGTTTTGTTTTTAATTTCTAATCATTCCATTGGATTTGTATCTGTTTTCAGCATCCAAAATAAGATAAAAACCATGCCAAACTCCAAGGCAGGCTTTCGGATGTGCTTATTCAGTGTGAATTTCAACTCCAGAAGCTTGTACAACATTTGTTTGAACTCGGGCTCTAGTTCCTAACTGCTACTTTGGAATCCAAGGAGGCCCTGTGATCACCTACCCAAGAGCCCCCTGTTTTAGCTGATTTATAACATGCCTGCTTTCAGGATGGCAAGCTTTTCGGCCCATTTTAGGATTTCAGAATGTACTGCTTTATGACAGGTTGAAGTTGAATGCCAAACTCCCTTTTCTCTGTTCCACACTTCATTGATACTTTTATATATTGAACACCCACTTCTGCATCACTGCAGTGGGCCACATTTCTGAAAGTCATAAAAATGAACTATTAATACAAACTTTTAAATAAGCTTTTCTAAGTCTAATAACAATATGGGCACAATGAAAACTTAAGAACTTGAAAAATCACAGAAAGTTGAAACAGACACAGGAAACAATGAATATATTAAGTCCATTCTTGCTCTTTCCCTCTCTTGAAAAAGAGATAAATATAGATATAAACATAGATATAAAATTAAATGTACAATGAACTCCTTCCTACTCAACTGACTTATGGCAGATCTTCAAAGCACTGTCACATAATAATTTGAAAAATACCCTCCCTTTTCCCTTCCCCTGAAAAACAGCCTTATTCTAAAATTCATCATTATTACTGAATTGTTTAATTGCAATTATAAATGGTTTGCTTAGAACAGCTATTTTTGTTCTGCTGTACTCAAACACACTTTATTTTATTGGTTACCCTTTTCCTTTTATTTATAATGTCTTCATCCATTCTATTTTCAAACTTCAAAATAATATCTACTTTCATAGAGGTCTTTTTAAATTCTTATTAGCTTTAATAATATTCAAATTCAGCTGGGCGTGGTGGCTCATGCCTGTAATCCCAGCACTTCAGGTGGCCGAGGTGGGCGGATCATGAGGTCAGGAGATCGAGACCATCCTGGCTAACACGGTGAAACCCCGTCTCTACTAAAAATACCAAAAATTAGCCAGGCGAGTTGGCGGGCACCTGTAGTCCCAGCTACTCTGGAGGCTGAGGCAGGAGAATGGCGTAAACCCGGGAGGCAGAGCTTGCAGTGAGCTGAGATCGCGCCACTGCACTCGAGCCTGGGTGACAGAGCAAGAGTCCGTCTCAAAAAAAAAATAATAATAATAATCTTCAAATTCTAAGTTAGCCAATATTTTCTAAATAACAGCACAGGATAATAAGTGAATGAATCATTCCTTATTAATTCCACTATCTTATATGAATGCTATACATTTGAACCCATTAAGATATACTTCTACACAGTAAATGTATTACATTACATGTAAGACTGTTCTAGAGTGGTTTTTCTCTTGGATATTAGATGGACTGTGTGAAAATATGCCTTACATTAAACCAAGATAAAATTCTAAGTTGTTTATAGCCTCTCTTTTTGAATAGTAATTAGACAAGTGTTTGTAAAATTTAATCTTGCTTATCAAGGAACAGAGTAGCTTTCATATTCAAAGGCTTTCTTATTCACATTCCAATGCATTGCAATGCAGAAATAGGAATCGGAGATGAGGGGCAGCCTGTGCAAGGCCTGGGAAGACAGCGATGTGCTCAGGGAATTGCAGGGAGTTCAGTAAGGCTGGAGGCACCGCAGGGAGGGAGAACCAAAAGCCATGAGCCTGGTCTCACGAGTAGAGAATTTCAATTTGGGGTCTATGACCCACACTCACCCCCACCTCAATGCTACCCCCAAAGTCACAACATATCATCCTTCCAATTCAGGGATTATATGCTCCCAAATATGAATTTTTTTTAACCTTTAATTTAGGTTTTGGGGTATATGTGAAGGTTTGTTACATAGGTAAACAAGTGTCATGGGGGTTTCTTGTCCATATGATTTTATCTCTGAGGTATTAAACCCAGTACCCAATAGTTATATTTTCTGCTTCTCTCTCTCCTCCCACCTTCCCTCCTAAAGTAGATCACAGCGTCTTTTGTTTTCTTCTTTGTGTTCATAAGTTCTTATCACATGGCTCTCACTTATAAGTGAGAATATATGGTATTTGGTTTTCTGTTTCTGCATTGGTTTGCTAAGGGTAATGGCCTCCAGCTCCAACCATGTTACTGTGAAAGACATGATCTCGTTCTTTTTCATGACTGCACAATATTCCATGGTGTATATATACCACATTTTCTTTATACGATCTGCCATTGATGAACATTTAGGTTGATTCCATGTCTTTGCTATTGTGATTAGTGCTGCAATGAATACTCATGTGTACGTAGCTTTATGGTGGAATGCGTTTATTCCTCTGGGTGTATACCTAGTAATGGGATTGCTGGGTTGAATGGTAGTTCTACTTTCAGCTCTTTGAGGAATCACCGTACTGCTTTCCACAATGGTTGAACTAACTTATACTCCCACCAACAGTGTGTAAGTGTTCTTTTTTGTCTGCAACCTTGCCAGCATCTGTTGTTTTTTGACCTTTTAATAATAACCATTCTGACTGGTATGAGATGGTATCTCAATGTGGTTTTGATTTGCATTTCTCTAATGATCAGTGATATTGAGCTTTTTTCATATGCTTGTTGGCTGCATATATGTCTTCTTTTGAGAAGTGTCTGTTCATGTCTTTTGCCCACTTTTTAATGGGGCTGTTTGTTTCTCTCTTGTAAATTTGCTTAAGTTCCTTTTAGATGCTGGATATTCGACCTGTGTCACGTGCATAGTTTGCAAGTATTTTCTTCCATTCTGTAGGTTGTTTGTTCTCTCTGATGATAGTTTATTTTGCTGTGCAGAAGCTCATTAGTTTAATTAGATCCCAATTGTCAATTTTTGCTTTTGTTGTGATTGTGTTTGGTGTCTTTGTCCTGAAATCTTTGCTTGTTTCTATGTCCAAGATGGTACGGCCTCGGTTGTCTTCGAAAGTTTTAATAGTTCTGGGTTTTACATTTAAGTATTTAATCCATCTTGAGTGGATTTTTGTATATGGTATAAGGGAGGGGTTCAGCTTCAATCTTTTGTATATGGCTGGCCAGTTATCCCAGCATGATTTATTGAATAGGGAATATTTTCCTCATTGCTTGTTTTTGTAATCTTTGTCAAAGATCAGATGGTTGTATATGTGCAGCCTTTTTTCTGGGCTCTTTATTCTGTTCCGTTGGTCTATGTGCCTGTTTTTATACCAATACCATGTTGTTTTTGTTACTGTGGCCTTGCAGTAGCGTTTGAAGTCAGGTAATGTGATGCCTCCAGCTTTGTTCCTTTTGCTTAGGATTGCCTTGGCTATTCAGACTCTTTTTTGGTTCCATATAAATTTTAAAGTACTTTTATCTAGTTCTGTGAAGAAGGTCACTGGAAGTTTGATAAGAATGGCATTTAATCTGTAAATTGCTTTGGACAGTCTGACTATTTTAATGATATGGATTCTTTCTATCCATGAGCATGGGATGTTTTCATATTTGTTTGTGTCTTGTCTAATTGCTTCTAGGAGTGTTTTGTAATTCTCATTGTAGAGATCTTTCACCTGTCTGATTAGCTGTATACCTAGATATATTATTTTTGTGTGTGGCAATTGTGATGGGATTGCATTTCTGATTTGGCTCTTGACTTGGCTGTTGTTGGTGTATAGGAATGGTAGTGATTTTTGTACATTGATTTTGTATCCTGCAGCTTTGCTGAAGTTGTTTACCAACAGAAGGAGCTTTTGCGTTGAGACTATGGGGTTTTCTAGATATAGAAACATGCCATCTGCAAAAAGAGGTAGTTTGACTTCCTCACTTCCTACTTGGATGCACTTTATTTCTCTCTCTTGCCTGATTGCTCTGGCTAGGACTTCCAATATTATGTTGAATAGGAGTCACGAGAGAGGGCATCCTTGTCTTGTACTGGTTTTCAAGAGAAATGCTTCCAGCTTTGCCCATTCAGTATATGTTGGCTGTGGGTTTGTCAGAAATGTCACTTATTATTTTGAGGTATGTTTCTTCAATATCTAGTTTATTGAGAGTTTCTAACATGAAGGTATGTTGAATTTTATCAAAAGCCTTTTCTGTGTCTATTGAGAAAATCATGTGGTTTTTGTTCTGTTTATGTGATGAATCACATTTATTGATTTGCATATATTGAACCAACCCTGCATCCCAGAGATGAAGCCTACTGAATCATGGTTGATTAGCTTTTTGAGGTGCTGCTGGATTTGGTTTGCAAGTATTTTGCTGAGACTTTTTGCATCAATGTTCATCAAGGATATTGGCCTGAGGTTTTCTTTTTTTGTTGTGTCTCTTCCAGGTTTTGGTATCAAGGTGATGCTGGCCTCAGAATGATTTGAGGAGGAGTCTTTCCTCCTCAATTTTTTTGGAATAGTTTCTGTAGTAATGGTACCAGCTCTTCTTTGTACATCTGGCAGAATTCAGCTGTGAATCCATCAGGTCCTGAGCTTTCTTTATTGGTAGATTATTTATTACTGATTCAATTTTGGAGCTTTTTATTGGTCTGCTCTGGGAATCAGTTTCTTCCTGGCTCAGTCTTGGGAGCATGTATATGTCCAGGAATTTAGCCATTGTTATTGGTCTGTTCAGGGAATCAGTTTCTTCCTGGCTTAGTCTTGGGAGGGTGTATTTGTCCAGGAATTTAGCCATCTCTTCTAGTTTGAGTGAATAGAGTTGTTCGTACTTTCTGATGATTATTTTTATTCTGTGGGGCTAGTGGTAACATTCCCTTCATCATTTATAATTGTGTTTATTTTGATCTTCTCTCTTTCTTCTTTATTCATCTAGATAGTGGCCTGTTTTATTAATTTTTTCAAAAAAACAACTTCTGGATTCATTGATCTTTTGCATTTTTTTTGTGTGTCTCTATTTCCTTCGGTTCTTCATTGACTTTTCTTATTTCTCATCTTCTGCTAGCTTTGGGGTTGATTTGTTCTTGCTTCTGGAATTCTTTTGGTTTTGAAGTTAGGTTGTTAATTTGAGATCTTTCTAACTTTTTGATGTGGGCATTTAGTGCTATGAATTTCCCTCTTAACACTGCTGTAGCAGTGCCCCAGAGACTCTGGTGTGTTGTTCTCCTTATTTTCAAAGAGCGCCTTGATTTCTACCTTAATTTTATTATTTACCTAGGAGTCATTCAGGAGCGTGTTTAATTTCCATGTAATTGCATGGTTTTAAGTGATTTTCATTGTCTTGGCTTCTATTTTTATTGTGTCATGGTGCAAAAGTGTGTTTGGTATGATTTCAGTTGTAAATATGGATCTTGTTCATGATTGGCAACACTCATACAGGTGATCTAGCCTGGAGAGGAGAAATCCCTTACTTAAATGCTCTGTGCATTTTAAACAAACAACATCTTTATGGGCAAGGAGTATGGATATGGAAGGAGACATTAGGAGTGGGATTAAGGAATGAAGACCAAAAGACATTGTGGAGTTCTGAAAAGAGGGACTTTGTGTGAAGAGATGAAAACAGTGGGAACCTTTTGGAGAAACAAATGAGCTATGGCCATTTTCCCCCTTAAAATGCAATACACACTCATTCACCCCACACACACACACACACACACACACACACACACATACACAAAAACACACACCCCTACACATACACATGCAGAATTTACTTTAAATTTTAGAGGATGTAGGTGCTTTCCAAAGACAAGGTTCAGGATCTTTACCCAAAGGGAAAACCTCTTCCAGCAACTGCATTACTGATCTACCACACCCACTCTAAATAGCATAGAGGAGAGAGTGAGTGGTAGAGAGAGAGAAGAGGGACTATTGTCTCAGGGAATAGTGGAACTACAACAAAAGATACAACATTTGTGTCATCAGAGCCCTGGAAGAAGAGGTGCAAGATGAAGAGGATAAAAAGCCCACAAGAATATAATGGCTGAAAATTTCCCAAATTTGAGAAAAGCCATAAATGTATAGATTCAAGAGGCTGAGGAAATCCCAAGTAGGATCAACTTAAAGAAATCCGCACCAAGACACATCCTAATTGAAACCACAGACAAAAAGAAATCTCAAAAACAAGACAAAAATCTTGAAACCAAAAAGGAAATGGTACCTTATTTATAGGAACACACACAGCAGCCTGATAACTCTCCAGAGAATTATGCTGAGTAAAACAGACTGTCCCTAAGAGTTACACGCATCCAATTCGATTTTTGTCACGTTCTTGAAATAAGAAAATTATAAAACTGAAGAGCAAATTAGTTGTTGCTGATGTTTCAGAAGGGAGAGCAGATTGGGAGAAAGTTTGTCGTGACTATAAAAATACAAAATGAACTCTCTTTGTGGTGATGGAAACGCCCTAATATTTTAACTATTTCAATGTCAATATTCTGGTTATTGATATTGTATGATAATGTTTCAAGATTCTATCACTGGGGGAAACCTGGTAAAGAATCATAGTTATCTATATTATTTCTTACTACAGCATTTGAATCTACATTTATCTCAAAATAAAATGATTAATTTAAAAAATAAATATGTTTGAATATTCAAATGGACCAGGTTAAGTAGTTTTCACTCTTTAAAGAGCTTTCTTTGTTTTACTGGATGCTGTTGTTTTACTGTCTTCTGTATGTTAAGGACAAAGTTTTCAGAAGCATGGAATAAGACAGAAGTTTCTGTTGAGATAAATTTATGTCAAACCTTCCCTCTGCAATAGCTTTAAAGACATGCAATCTTTTGTGGCCACTTACATTTTGCATCCATTTTTCTTGTATTGATTTCTGTGTTTTGCACGAAGGTCTAATAAATCAATCAGCTTATAATAAATGCATATCATTGGAAATTACAAGTAAAATAAAAAGGCACTGGAGAATACTTCCATAGAGTAAACTTGTATTTGTTTAGGAGTTGCCATACTTAAATTATTTTGGATTGACTGACAAAAATCTGAGAAAGTTATAACTAAAAGCTGTAACTAAAAATGGAATCTTTAATCCTGTCACGTATCATTTCTTATTCCCACATGCATTCCTTGGATTTACATAGTGATTTTGAATTAGACCCTAGAACGTGGTCTAATTGATCAATATGTTAAAGTAAAGCCTTCGAACCAAGGTTTGAAAGAGCAGTGCCTCAACTATCATGGAACACGTGGTGGCCTGGGAATGGATGCTTTGTGTTTGGAAATCACACAACTGTTCTACTTAGTTTGAAATTTACTAAAGGCCATTTGTGTCTAAATAACGACATAAAAATACTCAAAGTTGACTTTAAATTTTTATTTGCTGTACGACTGGCATACTGAAACTAAAAGTTTAATAACTATTTATTTTAACTATGGCTCTTCCAAACCTTTTTGCACTATACCCTTCAGGAATATTCACAGTGGTATTTTATGGGCTACGGGTTTTAAGTCTATACTATACTATTGGGTTTACAAAATTAAAGTACCACTTTCACCAAAAAATATTTTAATGTATTTGAACCATATCTAATGAAGTATTTAGCAGTTGGAATATTATTTTTCTTCAAATAGATTCTCTACTGTGCATATATTGCATCTTTAAATTTATATGTTACCCCCGAATGTTATCATATTAATAAATGACAGCAGGAAGAGCTCAGGAGTTTGCTTAATTTCTTTAGTTGTTCACTGCTTTCCAGTTCAAAACTTGGCTGTGATACTACCACTACTAAAAGTGACATATATTTGGTATTTCAGTGAGCTGTGAGACTGCCTTTATTTTGCTTACCATCTAAGTCTACTGGGCTGCATTTGCATGATTTCTCTTATTTGCTTGAATTTTATTTATTATTTTTTGTTTACTTCCTCTTACAATACCATTACTTGAGAAAATGTGAGGTGTCTTGTAGTGTACCTCTACCCATCGGAATGTCGTTATCTTTCTCCGATTAGGTTTATAGCACTATTTTGATAAAAACAAAGGTCTGGGTAGAGCAATTTTATCTATTTTACTGAATTTTATTTAGTCAGTGTTTTTCTCAGTTGTAAAAGTTCTGTGTGAATACTGAAATGCATCTCTCATTCATTGTGGCTGCTGGATAACAGTCCTTTACACTGGATTTCATGATGTTGCATGCACTTACTTTACACATTTTTGTTTCTGTTGGAATCATCTGGATCAAATTGTAGAGCTTGTCAGGAGCAAGGACCTCCAACTGTGGTTTAGTAACTGAAGAACATCGTTAGTTATCTCAAGAAAAACTATAAATATGATGTACTTTAACATCATACATTGATCGAAATCAAGACTCTGACTCTAATTTGAATGTTTGGCTGTTCACAGCTTAAGTTCTATCCTTCTTTCTCCCCATTTTTCCTCTTATCTGTCAAAGCCAATGAAAAGTTTCCGTGCTCCTTCCTTTAGCAAAAGTGGGAAGTTCAAACCAGCAATCTCAAACCAGAAGCAGGAGCCGTCGAACTACCCCAACGCTAACCACAGGTAAAGCTGTGCCAGTGGGCCCATTTGGCTCTCTCAAGCCATATTTGGAACTGCCTGGCAGTCTGTCCTGATTCCCCCAGAAAGCTTCATTATTTGGGTAATGACATTTTTTTATATCCTCTTTGTGTGTGTGTGTGTGTGTGTGTGTGTGTGTCTGTGTGTATGTGTGTGTCTGTGTGTGTAATCATTTTCTCAAAATTTGAATATTTTGGGTTGAGGGCTTCATCCTGCCTTCCTGAAATGACTACAGCATTAACCATGTACTGTAACATCTATCATTTATGAAGATGTCATAAAACATCACAAAATTATATAAACTGCTATGTACACTTTAAAATATATTATAAATCATCCATCTTTGTTGTCTCAACATTAGTTAAGAGAAAAACTTTTATTTAGTGTATGCACTTTTCATCACTTCTGGGTGAGACATCCTGGATTAAAGATAATGATCTGCAGTTTTTATTATGATCTAACAGGCTTGGCAAGCATAGGTGCTGTCGCATCAATTTCTGAGAGTTCTAGTGTTTCTCTTGTCATTAGTTTTGGTACCTGCTTCACTCTCTTCTTTGTGAATCTTGGCCCTTGAATGCACCCACACTGATCACCAGACTTGGTGGCTGTTCTTTTCTTCTACTGAGTATAAATTACTAAACCTGTAGATGTCACTAAGCAACTCTTATTACCACACAAGTCCAACTTCTGCGGACAGGAGGCAAGCCACTGTGTGTTAGAAACAAAAATTCTATGCTGACCTGCAAACTTTCCCTTACTCTCTGTTTTTATAGACTATTCAAACCCAATTCCTTTTGTAACTATGAACACTTGGTCTTTATTCATTAAATATAAGTTTGTTAAATACGTAATTGAATGAATAAATGTTATATCATTTCTAAATGCCTCTCCCTAACACCCTTTTCTAAAGCAGATGGAAGAAGGTAGATGTGACATGGTTTAGCTAACACTTTAGTGTGGTCTCTATCAGTATAAGGATTTCCTGGTAGAGTCAGCCTGGATACTTGAATGCAGCTGATCATAAGAGACTTGTGTGCTTAATCATTACAAAATAGGGATAAACTCTAAGGGACATGTACACAGTAAGAATTTAAATAATAACTTATTGGTGACATTATATGTCAGGTTACTTAATCCAAACCTGCATAAAACCTCCCTAAATCACTCAATTATGTGTAGGTCCCAGAAATTTTAGCCTATATCACTAGTTTTGAGAAAAAAAGGTGTCTGGGCTTTTGTTTTTAAATGTATTGCTGGGCGGGGCACGGTGACTCATGTCTGTAATACCAGCAGTTTGGAAGGCTGAGGTGGGTGAGTTTCTTGAACCCATGAGTTTGAGACCAGCCTGAGCAACATGGTGAAACCCTTTCTCTCCAAAATATACAAAAATTATCCGGGAGTGGTTACATGTGCTGGTAGTCCAAGCTATTTGTGAGGTTGAGGAAGGAGGATCTCTTGAGCCTGGGAGGTCGACACTGCAGCGAGCCATATTTGCACCACTGCACCCCAGCTTGGGCAACAGAGAGACACCCTGTCTCAAATGAAAATGTATGTATTGTTTAACTTTGAAGCAGAAAATGAGGAAAGGAACCAATGTGTTATTCTAAAATGTCAAATATACTCTGGACATAATATATCATGTTTGTGTTGGTAACTGTAATTTTGAAGAATGTACTGAATATCTTAAAAGAAAAATGCCCTGGCATAATAGATGAATTTCAGAACTGTTCTTCTTTCTAATTTAACTGGAAGGGGAAAGGCCCAGGATTGACCTCTGTTTTCTATGAAGATTTTTCTTAATACCCTACTTAAAGATATTGCTAGAAATCAAGCCAATGTACTTCATTATAGAGGAAGGGAGGCAAGTCCCTAGGAAGACATTATAAAATATGTGGCATATTCAAGAAAGCAAATGTGAAATGACCATTGACTAAATTATTTAAGTTCTGGTTGAAGAGTAATAGCCTATATCTTCATTTAAATCAGAAATGCTGTGGTTGGGATTAGACTTATTTATCACAGGTTTAAAGTTAATACTTACCAACCCATTAATTTTACTGTAATATGGCATAACTAGTGCACTTGAAGGATGTGATTGCTGGATAAATCTGTAACTAATAACTATGGCCCTCCATTTAGCAAAATGCCCTTTAGCTCAATATTGAAGAGCAATGCTTAGTTCCATCCTTGGTGTGAACTCAGGAACATCTTTCCTTCCCAAAGAAGAAAGACTCACGTGTGTTCAGAAGCAGTTGGTCCTGAATTGAGAACTCACTCTTGCCCATGAGTGTCTGTAGTAGTTTCCTAGGACTGTCACAGAGTACCACAAATTGGGTGACTTAGAAACAACAGTGTATTGCTCTAGAGTTCTGGAGGCTGTAAGTTAGAGATGAAGGCATTGACAGGGTTGGTTCCCTCTAAGGGCTATGAGGTAAGGCGTGGCTCCAGCCTCTCTCCTAGGCTTATTGATGGCTATCTCCTCATGTCTGTTTATAATTTTTCCTCTACAAGTGCCTGTCTCTGTCTAAATTTCTCCTTCTTATAAGGACATCTAAGATATCAGATTAGCATCCACCCTAATAACTTCATCTTACCCTATTGCCCTCTGTAAAAACCCTGTATTATTCTGTTATCACATGGCTATAAAGAACTGCCTGAGACTTGGTAATTTATAAAAGAAAGAGGTTTAATTGGCTCACAGTTCCGCGTGGCTGGGGAGGCCTCAGGAAGCTTATAATCATGGCAGAAGGGAAAGAAAACACTACTTCACATGGCAGCAGGAGAGAGAAGTGCAAAGTAAAGGGGGGGAAAGCCCCATTATAAAACCATCAGATCTTGTGAGAACTCACTCACTATCATGAGAACAGCATGGGGGGACAGTCCCCATGACCTAATAACTTCCCACGAGGTCCCTATGCCAAAATGTGGGGATTATAATTTGGATTTCAATTCAAGATGAGATTTGGGTGGGGACACAGAGCTAGACCATATTAGACACCATATGTAAATAAGGTCACATTCACAGGTGCTGAGGGTTAGAAATTCACATATAAATATTAAGGAACACGATGCAACTCATATCAGTTTCCATGGACTTCTCCGTTTTCTGAAGAGAGCTGGATATGACTGCCTACACAAAATCAAATAATGGTTTTTCATTCCTTAATCACATCTATGGTAGGAAGAAAAAGTGGGTTCTACTTGGTCAGCTTTCTTGCTCACAGAAATTTCCACATATTTAAAATTGGCTTGCTGTTTGGAAGATTCATTCTCAGTACTGTGTCTGTACATGGCCCTATGATACAGTCATATTTCATTAAGGGGTAGAAACCTATTCCAAACCAAAGTAACCAGATGATTCTTTCCCCAGGAATTTTGATTTTTGAACTGAAAATGATAAGAGGCTGGGAGTTGTTGGAACCAAATTACATTAAAAGTAGTATTCTAGGAAGAAGTCTCCTAGTACCCTTAAAATTGTATCTTTATCACCTATCATATATTCCAATGGTTCAACCTTCCTTGCATTCCATAACATATCCTAATTTCTTTTTCAGGGATTCCCTGATTTTTCTCACTCATCGGAGCTGGTTTTTTTGTTATCTCTATCCAAATATCTAATTTCCTAGTCACATAGGTGTTTTAAAGAAAAATTTCTTCTCATTTCCAGGACAAATAAGCAAGAAATCCTGGTAAATTCTGCCATGACAACACCCATTATTTCTTTCCACGGTGGGTGGTCTCTCAAGTTTATGATCTGTCTTGAGGATTAGTGTATGGCTTCACTAGGTAGCAAAGGATAGGGACCCAATGGGATAATGGTATATTCCAAGGCAAACGTTGGATAGGAAGATGATGAAGCAACCACTGCCAAAGATAGTACGGCAAGAAAACACAGGGCTTCCAGGGGAGAATGAAATAGTGAGTGACATATGAGTGTCTACTGGTCCCTTAGTGACTGTACATGAACATATTTTCCTGGTCAGATTTTGCAAGTGATATGCAGCTCTCTCATACTCTTATGGCTCATGTTTTAAGATGCAACAAGAATCTGATGACTACTCAAAGCATTCGGTATCAGGAAGGTGACACTTGAGAAGGCATTCCATGCTGTCAGGAAAGGATCTATGAAGGATGTCATGCTTCCCATTCCCTGGGCTATGCTGGGCCAGTGGCAAAACCACAATCTCACTTGTGAAAGTCCTTAGGTCCAAAATAACCCAGGGAACCAAGAAAGCTGTAACTTACATGGAGTCGGCTAAGGAGGGAGGGATGGGATATTTATTTTAACAAAAACCATTGGCCTTTAATGGTTTTAAACACATACACACAAAAGAAATTTGAAACCTACTCACACCACTTTAAGTCGACATCTGAAATATTTTATACATTTCAATGGTTTAGCATATAGCAAACAGTAACATTGAAAAATAAAACGGCACACTATATTTAAATGTATCTAATAAAATCCAAAGACCACTTTGATGTGATACTCATTTTAAAACTGTATGTAAATGTTCTTTGACAGCTCAGTGATTGATACCCTTGATTTTCCACCTTGAACAAATCCATCACACATATTTCTCATAATTTTTATGAAAAAAATATATTTATAATTGAGTATCTTAGAGGTCATCTTACCAAGGTGTGTATATGTTTAATATACATTTAAAAAACTATATATGTAAATGCAAATCTTTATTTTTCATATTGCCTCTGATTATAGGCTCTAAGAATTAAAACATTACAAATAATATTAGTACACAATTATTAAAAACAATAAAATAGATGTAAAACTTTTATAAATTTTAATAATAAATTTTTTTTCAAATTTATTTTTATTTATATTTCAATAATTTGGGGGGAACAGGTGGTGTTTGGTTTCATGGAAAAGTTCTTTAGTGGTGATTTCTGAGATTTTGTTGCACCCATCACCTAAGCAGTGTACACTGTACCCAGTGTGTAGTCTCTTATCCCTTGCTCCTCCTACAACCTTCCCCTTGAGTCCTCAAAATCTATTATATCCTTCTTATGCCTTTATGTCCTCATAGCTTAGCTCCTGCTTATACCTGAGAACATACAATGTTTGGTTTTCCATTCCTGAGTTACTTCACTTAGAATTATTGTCTCCACCTCCATCCAGGTTACTGTGAATGCTTTTATGGCTGAGTAGTATTCTTTCTATCTATCTATCTATCTATCTATCTATCTATCTATCTATCTATTCTGACTGTTGATTGTGCCAATGTCAATGTTCTCCTTGTGATGCTGTACTACCGTTTTGTCAGATGTTGCCTGTGGGTAACTTGGTAAAAGCTATATGGGATCGCTCTGTATTATTTGTTACAACTGCATCTGTCTGTCTATCTATCATCTATCTATCTATCTATCTATCTATCTATCTATCTATCTATCTGTCTATCTATAATATTTTGTTTATATACTCATTGGTTGATGGGCGTTTAGGCTGGTTTCATATTTTTGCTATTGAGAATTGTGCTGCTATAAACATGTGTGTGCAAGTGTCTTCTTCATATAATGACTTCTTTTCCTCTAGACAGATACTCAGTAGTGGAATTGCTGGGTCAACATTTTAGTTCTACTTTTAATTCTTTAAGGAATCTCCATACTGTTTTCCATAGTTGTTGTTCTAGTTTACATTCCCACCAGTAGCATAAAAGTGTTCCCTTTTTACCACATCTATGCTAACATCTGTTTTTTTTTTTTTATTTTTTAATTATGGCCATTCTTGCAGGAGCAAGGTGGTATCTCAAAAACAACAAACAAACAAATCAATGAATAAGTAACTAAAGCCAGTCCCAAAAGGTTACATACTGTGTGATTCCATTTCTATAACATTCTTAAAACAATGAAATTACAGATGTATAGAACAGGTTAGTGATTGCTAAGTGTGAGAAGGAGGCCAGGACAAGCAGGAGTGAGCATGGCTATCCACAGGCAGCCTGAGGGATCCTGGTGGAGATGGAAATATTCCGCCTGTTGATTGTGTCAATGTCAATGTTCTCCTTGTGATGCTGTACTACAGTTTTGTCAGATGTTGCCTTTGGGTAACTTGGTAAAAGCTATATGGGATCTCTCTGTATTATTTGTTAAAACTGCATGTGAGTCTGTTAATACATGATCTCAAGATTCTAAAATATTAATTTAATGATGGATAATTTATGGCTCTATGAAGGTCAACAGTTAGTACAACTTGACACTTAATTATTCACTGAATTGCTTTCAATTATCAAGAAATATTTTAAGCTTTATTTGCCTCTCTGTGATTTTTATGAGTTCCATATTAGGACTTGTGTTCTTGCTGTAATTAAGTTTACAAAATTACCTAAATATTTCCAACCCAAGCAATTTTCTATTGTTTGCTATTATGTGCTGAAATACATCAGGCAAATTATCCAGGATAAGCAGTAAATAACCATATATTTTAAAGTCAATATTTGTGTACATATATAGATGGATTAAATTAATGGATATGTAATATCTCTGTTTTGGTAACCAGCGTGAAATGCAGCAGATACTAGCACTATCTGTATGGTCACTTGCTTGTATCTTATTTCAACTGGGCAGAGCCCACCCATACCTTGCTAAGAAGAGCAGCATCTCACTTTGAATGACCTGACCCTGTCCCTCAATCTGAATTGTCCTGAAATCCTGTGGCTGATCCAGATCAAAGGGAAGGAGTGTGAGGCTGTTGTGTCCACAGACAGGCAGCTCCACCCCTGTGACTCTACAGGGTACAGTCCCTGTGGCTGCTTTCACAGGCTGGTATTGACTACCCTAGGCTTTTCCAGGTACATGGTGCAAGCTGTCAGTGGATCTACTGTTTTAGAGTCTGGAGAACTGTGGCCTTCTTCTCACAGCTCCACTAGGCAGTGCCCCAGTGGGGACTTTGTGTGGGAGCTGCAACCCCACATTTCCCCTCCTCACTGCCTTAGTAGAGCTTCTCCATGAGGGCTCCCCACTGCAGCAGACATCTGTCTGGACATCCAAGCATTTCTATAAATCCACTGAAATCTAGACAGAGGCCCCCAAGCCTCAACTCTTGCCCTCTGTGCACCTGAAGGCTTAACACCACATGAAAGCCTTGACAGCTTCCAGCTTTCACCCTCTAGAGCAGAGGCCTGAGACATATCTGGGACCCTTTTAGCCATGGCTGAAGCTGGAGTGGCTGGGATGCAGGGTGCCATGTCCTGAGGTTGCACAGAGCAGCAGGGCCCTGGGTCTGACCCACAAAACCATTTTTCATCCCAGGCTTCCAGGGCTGCCGTGAAGGTCTCTGAAATGCCTTGGAGGTATTTTCCCCATTGTCTTGGCTATTAACATTCAGCTCCTCCTTAGTATTGCAAATTTCTGCAGCTGGCTTGAATTTCTCCCAGAAAATAGGTTTTCCTTTTCTACCACATGACCAGGTTGTAATTCTTTTATACTTATATGCTCTGCTTCCCTTTTAAATATAAGTTCCAGTTTCAGGTCATTTCTTTGTTTATGCAAATTATTATGGGCTTTTAGAAGCAGCCTGGCTATAACTTGAACGCTTTGCTGCTCAGAAATTTCTCCTGTGAGATACCATAAATCATCTCTCTCAAGTTCAAAGTTCAACAGACCACTGGAGCAGGAGCAAAATGTCACCAGTCTCTTTGCTAAAGGATAGCATGTGTGACCTTTACTCCAATTCCCAATAAGTTTCTCATCACCCTCTGAGACCACCTCAGTGTGCACTTCATTGTCCATATCACTATCAGCATTTTGATCACAACCATTTAACAAGTCTCTAGGAAGTTTCAAACTTTCCCTCATCTTCCTATCTTCTGAGCTCTCCAAACTGTTTTAACCTCTGCATGTTACCCAGTCCCAAAGTTGCCTCCACATTTTCAGATATCTTTATAGCAATGCCACACTTCTCTGGTACCAATTTTCTGTATTAGTTTTTTCTCACACTGCTATAAAGAACTGCCGGAGACTGGGTAATTTATAAAGAAAGGAGGTTTAATTGGCTCATGGTTCTGTGGGCCGTACAGGCTTCTGCTTCTAGGGAGGCCTCAAAAACTTACAATCATGGTGGAAGGCAAAGGGGAAGCAAGTACTTCTTCACCTGGCTGACCAGAGAGGGCAGGGAAGTGCTACACTTTTAAACAAGCAGATCTTGAAAGACCTGAATCACAAGAATTGTAAGGGGGAAGTCCACCCCATGATTCAATCACCTCCTACCAGGCCCCTCCTCCAATACTGGGAATTACAATTTGACATGAGATTTGGGTAGGGACACAGAGCCAAACTATATCAGAGCTGTTATTCAGGATGGGGTGGGAACTGTTCTTCAGGATGGGGCTTTACCCTAGAAGGGACAGGCCATTTTGATTTCACATCTCTTCCAGATCTGTGTTGCAGAAGTTTTATTCCAGACACCCACTTCCAAAAGGTCTGGAGCACCTTTCTCCTACTAGCACAAACTCTACCCTCTGCATGGCAGATTGAGATTACTGGATTGTGATTTCCCCTGCCCAGCTCACTTGTGGAGTAGAAATTCCATACCAGGAAAGACAAAGGAAAAGACCAGGATGACATTACTTATCCAGCACCTACACATAGAGCAAAGATGACCATCTATGACAAGACCATGCCCTGCTCGGGAGAGATTCTGCCAGTGGAAAGACAGTGCATAAGGACTGCACATGCTACAGTTCTGCCTGATGGGACTCATTATTTGCAAAAGAGTGTGAAAAACTTCATGCCTAAGGACATTGATTTTTTAATGTTGATATAATTTGGATTTGTGTCCCTGCCCAAATAACATATCAAATTGTAATCCCCAGTGTTGGAGGAGGGGTCTAGTGGGAGGTGATTGGATGATGGGGCATATTTTTTCTTTGCTGTTCTCAGGATAGTGCATGAGTTCCCACAAGATCTGATTGTTTTAAAAGTGTACAGCATGTCCTGCTTCATTCTCTTCCTCCTGCTCCAGCCAGTAGAATGTGCCTGCTTTCCCTTTGCCTTCTGCCATGATTGTAAGTTTCCTGAGGCCTCCCCACCCATGCTTCCTGTACAGCCTGCAGAACAGTGAGCCAATTAAACCTCTTTTCTTTATCAATTACGAAGTCTCAGGTAGTTATTTATAGCAATGCAAGCAAGGACTAATACAAATGTCAAGAATATTAACCTCTTTCAATCAAGTAGAAAATCCTATTAATTAATAGATGTGTCTGCTGTTATTTAAGATGTTGCTTTTTAACTTATTTTTAGTTCCTATATTTTCTTGTTAATCACTAAGGACATTGTCAAAACCATGGCAGGTCTTGGTTTTGGACCTAACAGAAAACTGGTAGGTCCATGACACAAGTTCATCTTTTCCAAAAGAATCAAATTCAGGTTTCATTGATTTTTCTCAATTGCATTTCTTACTCTATTTTATTTATTTCCACCATAATCTTTATTATTTCCTTCCATCTGCTGTTTGGCATTTAGTTTGCTCTTCTTTTTCCAGTTTTGTAAAGTGGAAGGCTAGGTTATTGATTTGAGACATTTCTTCTGATTTATAAATTTAATGCTATCAATTTCCCTCATCTCTTTGCTAAGGCATTTGAGGCTGTGACCTTCTCAGAAAGTCGTCCTTCAGTGTTGACAGACTCTGTAGACTTTGTTGCCATGAAAACTGTACACTTTGTCAAAGAGCTGGTGTGGTCTTCCTGGAGATTAAAGCTGAGATTTTAGTCATGCTATGTGGTGTTTTTTTTTTTTTCTTTTTTTTTTCTTGAGTTGAAGTCTCGCTCTTTCACCCAGGCTGGAGTGCAGTGGCAGGACCTCGACTCACTGTAACCTCCGCCTCCCGGATTCAAGCGATTCTCCTGTCTCAGCATCCTGAGTAGCTGGGATTACAGGTATGCTCCACCACGCCCGGCTAACTTTTTTTGTGTTTTTAGTAGAGATGGGGTTTCGCCATGTTGGTCAGGCTGGTCTCAAACTCCTGACCTCAATCCACCCACCTTGGCCTCCCAAAGTGCTGGGATTACAGGTGTGAGCCACCATGGCCGGCTTGTCATTCTATGTTGTGTCTTATTAAAACATAGACAATACATTTATGTATATCAGGAAGGTGATTACCGTATTTTAAGAATGGATATGAAATAGGGCCACCAGACATATTCCTGCTGTAAAAAGCTGTAATTCATCTAAGGGGCCATAGGTGCTGCCATTCCACCAGAACAGAATGTGTGTACTAACCTTTCTTGTAAGAGAGCAAACTTTCCGATTCTATCCCAAGAAGTTCCCTTCAGAGCCTCTACAAGTGTTAGAACTCTCCTGCATGTAAAGGAACATTTTTCATGATAATGCAGCCATAATTACACTCACATTTAATATGAACATAATAAATATGCATTCACTATTATACCAAGAGCTCCACAAGAAACTGAGAAAGAAAAACACAATGTTTGATTACTATGAAGATATTGATAATAATTCCTTAAATTTACCATAAATTTGAATTTTATTTTTTAAAACTTGAGATGACAAATTGATAAGCAGACTTTTTCACAGCATTGGATGACAAATATGTTTACTCTTTAATGAAATCTAAAGAAATTCATATTTCTTAGGACCTGTCCCCACAAAAGGAAAATTATAAAAATACTTTGAAAAGAATAAAAACAAAAACGCAACATACCAAAATTCATGGCAGATAACTAAAGGACTGTTAGAGGAAACTTTGTAGCTGTGAGTGCCTGTAGTATTTAAAAAAAAATCAGATAAATAAGTTAAACTTCTACCTTATCGAACTAAACAAAGGGACCAAAGTAAACCCAAAGCAAGCACAAATAAGAAAGCTTACAGATAGCAGAAACAAATGAAACAGAGAATAGAAAATAGGCAAAGTCAATGAAACCAAGTTAGTTATTTGAATAGACCAATAACATGGATAAACATTTATCTACTCTGACCAAGAAAAAAAATGAAAGAAAACTCAAATTACAAAAATCAGGAACAAAAGAGGAGACTATTATTATTATTATTATTATTATTATTATTATTATTATTATTATTATTATTATATGAGACAGCTTCCACTTCCCAGGTTCAAGCAATCCTCCCAACTCAGCCTCCTGAGTTGCTAGGATTACGGGGGCGTGCCACCATGTCTATCTAATTTTTGCATTTTTGGTAGAGACAGGGTTTCACCATGTTGGCCAAGCTGATCTTGAACTCCTGACCTCATGTGATCCAGCCACCTCAGCCTCCTGAAGTGCTGGGATTACAGGCCTGAGGCACCATGCCTAGTTGAGACATTATTATTGACTTTATTGAAATCAAAAGGACTATGAGGGGATCCTATGAACAACTGTATGCCAGTAAGTTAAATAAGTTGGATGGCATGGTTGGGAACGAAATGAAGGGAAGCCTGGGAAGGGTGCTCTAGAGAAGTACATGGAGCCTGCATGGGTGCATCCCTCTAGCTCAGCAGTAGTCCTGGCCTGTGTGGAGAGGCACAGACAGGGAAGTCAAGTTCTAGAGCATGCCACCATCATCTGGGTCTTAGGGAAGCTGTGATTTCAAAATTTAGATTCCTTGACTATCATGAATTCTCTATAGAGTTATAATCACCTCAGTTCCCCTAGTTTGATTATTGCTTATAAAAAATGAGAATTGATCGATTTCACAAATATGCTTTGATAAATACGCTTTTATATATTCCATTATGTGTAAACATTGTTATTATTTCACTTTTAATCTATACTATTATTTTTCTTTAGTACTATAAAACACAAAGTCTGTTTACTAATCAAGCTATGCTGATCGACTTAGTGATACATATGTACCAATGTATATTATGTAGATATACAGGCTTTGAAAAATGCACTGCCAATTGGAAGGAAGAAAATACATAAGGTTCACATTGCAGTACATTTTCTCCAGCCTGTTTGGTCCACAGCTATCATGATATAATAGTTTTTTCCTTAGAATCATTGAAGTAAATGATTTGCAAAGGGAGTATGCCTATTTGTGTTCTACAACACTGACATTATTTTAAAAATGTAATTTCTGCATAAACTGATTTACATATATAAACATGCTTGACACTGACAGCAATTCTCAAAGTCACACACCCAAGTGTTTGTTTGCTCTAAAGCCTCATCTGGTAGAAGGAGGTAGGTAGGGATGCTGAGGATGAAATAAAGAAGGGGCACCTGTGAGGAGTCAGGGGATCTCAGTGCACTCTGGGTGACTATATGAGCTGCCCTCAACTCCGGGATGTTGGTTTCTCTTGGAACTCTGTCAAGTTCAACTTTCCATGATGACTCTTCAGAACAAAGGGCCAAGTGGTTCTTTTCAAGTTTAAGGTAACATTGGATAAGACTTACTTATCCTGATTAAAAAAAAATCAGTGTTTTTAAAAATCAATACCTTGATCTGACATATGTCTTTTTACTCTTGGAGGATTTCAGTATAAGCAACTTATAAATGTGAATGATATTTATGATTGAAAACATACAAGAATCAGAGTAATTGGAACACATGCAAAAATTCTTAGTCACTTAAGAGAGATTGATAGAAATAATTGCTCATTTTCCCCTTTAATTATTAACAGGACATATTTACACATTAAATCTGAAAATGAGTTGTTCAAGGTATTGACTTCCAGGAAATCTCTTGTTAATTATCTTAATGGTATGCCTTTGAACAGCTTAAGTAAATTTAAAAATTGTAATGATCTGCCCAGGCTTCATTATCTTTTCAATGATGTAACAAAACGAGCTCAGTATTTGCAATTGCATAGATCTGGGTTTGGATTCATGGTTTACCATTTACTGGTTATGAAATATTAGGCAAGTTGCTAGACTCTTTTCATCTCTAGCACTAATTTACAAAGTAAAGATTACTGAATTAATTCACAGCAGATTTTGGAGTAAAGCAGATAGAAGGATGGTTAGAAAATTATAGATTTAGGCAGACTTGCATACACAAAATTGGAACGGCTGTTCTTGTTATTACCATTATGCACTGGGCTGAGGCATGCTACCAACCTTGGGTAAAGACATGAACTTCAGGTGCCTTTCAACAGAGCAATGCAAGGAGACTCTGAGCTGAAGTGCGGGAGCAGACAGCAGAGGCGTGACATATGGAAGAAGTGGACATGCACAGCAGAAGTCTGGTAGCCACACTTGATGTGTAATTGCCTTAACATAGAGAATAGCGATTTGGAAATTGAGTTTACAGTGCTCGTAAAATTCAGGGAAGCTATGAATGCTTTTCCATTTCAACATCCAAGAAAAATCCTTGTACAACCCTGTGTGATGTTGATATAGGATGCTCCATGCATGAAAGAAGCAAACACATTCTTCATGTCTGTTTTGCAAAGCGAGTGATGTCATCTTGTAGAGAATCTCTTTTCAAAGGGAAAAAAAAGAATGCATTACTAGGTGAATGTATTACTTGCTGTAGCAATATGTTTAACATGTTTAACTCAGTCCAGGTGTGCTCAGCTGAGAGCAGGCGGTCTGAGCACGGTATGCCTGGCATCACGCTACTCAGACCTGAGTTTCTCCTATACAGGTCCACTTTTGAATTTCTCCATGCCCTTGATGTAATGAGTAAATTGTTACTGATGCAGATGGAGTGCCATCAAGATCTGGAAGTCCCTCAGAGGTGACCAGATGGCTTCCTCTCACCTTTTAGTATTTAATGATGGTCCTTGGGCATGCTCCAATGACTGAAAAAAAAAAACAAAACAAAGTTTGAGGAAAGAACATTTTCACACCAATTAAAAGAAAAAGTATCAAAGAAAATCTACCCTAAATTATTTAAACTTTTAGATTAGAATGTTTTTGCTTGAACTTAACACTAAAATGTTTGCCAAATATTTTCTTCAAGGGTGGATTATTCTTTAGTAGGTGTCATTGAGCCCAAAAATCCTTTCCCATTCTTAATTATATAAACTGATGACAGGCTGCTAGTACAAAGTTACAGGAAAGAAGCAATATTGAGTAAAAGCCTGATAAAATTGCTATCTTCCTTGTTAGTTTTATCATATCAGTTGTACTCAGAAGCCACATTTCTGTCAAACACACTGCCCTGGAATTCTTGGTGCTGCTGTTTGTCTCTATTTTATTTGGAGAACAAACTTTTAACATCAAGAGGCATTTGTTTAAACGCTTCTGAAGGCCACTTTTTGAGTTTGCGGGGGCATCATCAAGCGCTGTGGTCTCTGTCCTGAGGAGATGTGTAGTGTAGATGCTTCTATAAAATGGATAAATGCCTCGTAGAGGCCTAAGTGGCACGTCTGGCTGTGGAAGCTTCTAGTTTATCTTTGAAAGTATATAATTTATTCTGAATGATTAATATTTTACAGTTACTTAGTCAAGCTGTTGCATGAGCTGGTTATATTTTAAAATTCTTATCTCTTCTTCCATCAAGTAATTTGTGTTTTCATCAATCAGTCATTTGTTCTACCATTCAATAGATTTGTGAAAACATATTCTTCTTGGGTCTGGTGTAGGCACTGGAAACTCTGAAATGAATATCATAATTCCTGCCCCCAAAGCTGTACACAGTCTTGCAGGATCACAGTCAAGTGACGTTACATTGATAAGAGAGTACAAGTGTTATGATGAAAAGACCCTCTACTTAGGGCTCTAGGGCTCAGACTTAGGAGTAAATATTGAGAACAAAGTTGAGAAATGGAAATTGGTGAGGTTGAGGGAAGACTTCTTACAAGCTCATTAGATTGGTGCAAAAGTATTGCAGTTTTTGCCATTCCTTTTAATTTACACCAACCTATTAGATTTAGTCTCAAAAAACCAAGGAGGAATTGAACAGGTCAGGAGTGGTCTTGGAGAGCTTTCTGGGATAACACAGAAATTAAGATTTTGACAGAGAGCAAGACAAATTTAGAAAATACTCACCTTTTGGGTATGGAAAAATGTATGGTGCAGGCATGGTGAAAGCTGAAGATAAGACAAACTCATATTCAAAAATTGGGTATCGCAGGATCTAGTAACATATGGCACACTTGTTCCAATTATTTTTGCATGTAATTTTTCATGTTTAAAAATATAGAATGAAGACACTGAAGGTAAAGTTATTAACTGCAAGTATGAAATCTTGGAGGTGATGAAAGGACGTGAGATTCAGAACACAGCTGAAGATGTTAATTCTGGGGAAGAGGTGCAGTAGCAAGTATTTGGAGAAAGGAAACAAAAGACAAAGAAGAAAGATTTGCAGTAGAGCATGGGGACACGGCATTTTCTCTAGGTAACTTCTGCTCTTTCCACTGTGTGGATTGCAGCTGGGGTGGGAACACCAGTGCATTAGTAAATCTCTGGACCAGAAGCAAATAAAAGCATCATTAAGACATACTGGGGCTCACTGGAGAGAAAGAATAAACATCCAGCGCCCCAGTTATGTCCATAGCATGATTTCCTTCTGGAGCTCTCAGCCACCCATGAAGAGCCATAGAGCATATATCCTCAACAGGAAACACATCAGAACCCAGGGGGACAAAAACTGTTTTGAGGGTGACGGGGAGAGAAAGTACTCATTTTTTGCATAAAACACAGATATATTTCCAATTCATAAACAAACATACAGTTGGTCTGTGTTCTCAAATTTATATGGGTTGAGGCCATCAAGAAAACATATCTAAAAAGGCCTCTTAAGGTGATTGAAAAGGTGATTGAAAAACCCAGCTGTAGAGAAAATGGCTGGAAACCTGAAGGTTGGTCATGTCTTTGTAAAAGGCAAGGAATACTTGTTGTTGGTAATTGTATTAGTCAGGGTTACCTAGAGGGACAGAACTAAGAGGATATATAGGAGTTTATTAAGGAGTACTGAATCACATGATCACAAGGTGAAGTCCCACAAGAGGCCATCTCCAAGTTGAGGAGCAAGGAAGCCAGTCCTAGTCCCAAAACCTCAAAAGTAGGGAAGCTGACGGTGCAGCCTTCAGTCTGTGGCCAAAGGCCCAAGAGCCCCTGGCAAATCACTGGTGTAGGTCCAAAACTCCAAAAGCTGAAGAACATGGAGTCTGATGTTTGAAGGCAGGAAGCATCCAGCACGGGAGAAAGATGGAGGCCAGAAGACTAGCTAGTCTAGTCTTTCCACGTTCCTCTGCCTGTTTTTATCATTTGTCTTCCCCAAGAGGGAAACACAAGAAAGGCTAACAGGGTGGGGTTTGCCAGTGTCAGGGAGAGAGAGGCCCCCCTCCAATGTGGAGACAGAGGTCAGCATGCAGGTGAACAAAGGCCCAGACAAGAGCCCAGTGGATGCGATTGTCATTTGAGTATCTCAGAATGACTGGCTGGTGAGTGTCCATGCAGTCCCATAAATGGCAACACTTTAAACTTGGCGGAGCCCAGCTCACCCTATCTGCACAAAATCTCCCTCCTCCAGCGGTCTTTGAAATTCCCATAGGTGCATATTTTCACTCACAATGCTGATTCAAGGAATCCTTTGGCTTGGAGCTGAGAGAGTTGCCTTGGAACATGTCTTCCTCTCCACCGTCACAGGGCCAAGGAAACAGTGGGGCTTAACATCTGTTGCCCCCGGCCCTGATGGGGCTGCAACTCCACTGTCAGCTGATCTGCACCATCCTGAGAAGCTCGGATCCACTCTTCTGCAGGAGAATAGTGTGTCTGTGTGCATGTGTCTATGTGCGTGTCGGCACATGGTGGCTGGGTTGATGGTCTGGTGCTGTTACCTTGAGTGAATGAGCCCCTACATGCTGTCCTGGAATGATAAAGGGCTTTAGAGTCAAGAGTCATGCATGGAGCCTCCCTACTCACACGTGTGTCCCAGGGCACCTGCCAGGTGGAGATTTTATGTCAGCTGGCATGTGTATGTGTGTGTGTGAGAGAGAGAGAGAGAAAAAGAGAGAGAGAAAGAGCGAGATAGAGAGACATGTGTCCCTTAATGATGGGGATGTGTTCTGAGAAATGTGTTGTTAGCTGAACATCATGGAGTGTTCAGCTCAGTTACACAGACATAGATGGTACAGCCCACTGCCTGCCTAGGCTAGGTGTATTGCTCCTAGGCTACAAACCTGTGTTGCTATGACTGTACTGAATAGTATAGGCGATTATAGCACAGTGGTGAGTATTTGTGTATCTAAACATAGAAAAGGCATAGTAAAAATATGGTATTATAATCTTATTGGACTGCTGTCCTATATTCGGTCCCTCATTGACTGAACCATCACTGTGTGGCACATGACTGCATATATGTGTGTGAGTGTGTGTGTGTGTGTGTTTGCATGCATGTGTGTGTGGGGGTGAGGGGTTTGTATGTGCATGTATATATACACATATATATGTGTGTGTATACATAATATGTTTATGTGTGTGTGTTCATACATGCACACCCACCCACCCACACACCCCCCTCCCACACACACATATATGGAGAGAGACAGAAAGACAAGACAAAGAGAAATTTTAAAGAACTGGCTTATACTATAGTGGGGATGATAAGACTAAATACTGCTGCAAAGTAGGCCCACAGGCTGGAGACCCATGGAAGAATTTCAGTTTAAAGTCCAAAGGTTGTGGCTGAATTCCTTCTTCTTCTGGGGGCAAGCAGTCTTTCCATTAAGGCCGCCACTGCTGGGGCGAGGCCCATCCATATGAAGGTGGGTCATCTGCTTTCCTGAAAGTCTACTGAGTTAAAGATTTATCTCATCTAAAACATACCTTCACAGCAGCATCTACAACAATGACTGACCAAACGTCTGGGAACTATGGCCTAGTCAGGTTGACACATAGAGTGAACCCCCATGACCTACATGCTGAAACGAGGCCTCCTCTCCCTCTGGAGCTCTGTAGCTGAGCTGCCCTCACTGCACCTAACCCCTGTCCCTCACTCTGGAGTCTGACTTGGCTGCCCCGTCCACCTCCACAGATGGCCAGCCCCTCCTTGTGTCAGGCTCCTTCTGAGCTGCACGGCAACGTGGCTGAACGCCCACTATATGACTCACCTGCTGTCATCAATGGAAATGTAAGACGTGATTCATGTTTTCTTCACCCTGGAATTTGGAGAGGATTCTCGTGTTGTGATAGCAAACGCCCTCATGGAGCAGCAGACTGGCCAAGTCTTGAGAGTTTTGGAGAAGTGAGGGAGTATCTGAGAATTAGTCACCTTAACTTTTACTTCAGGTCTTTTTAAATTTATATTTTCAGGATTGGTTTGTCTACCTTTTCTTGTACACATTTTGTAAGATGTTTACAATGGTAGATTCTAACTGTTCTTCCACCTTCATACTTGGGGTCCTAGGCTTGGAGCAAAGAGCTTGGCATCAGTTGCAGCTGCACCCTTCCTCAGCTCCCGTCCGAGCATGTGGCTTAACCCTCCAAGTCCCCCTCCTGACAGGATGCAGTATGAAGGCAAAGGGCTAGCAGGCTCCGCACACTTCACAGGACCCTGCTTGGTGCTGACCTGATCCAAGTCTCGGGAGGATTTTGTGGTTGTCCCGTGGTACCCACCTGTGAAAGAAAAATAAATCCTGGGACCCCAAACTCACTAAGCCCAAGGAAAAAGTCAAGCTGGAAACTGGGTCACACAAACCTGCCTCCCATTTGGTTCCTAAATAAGATAGTTACAAAGTTAAAAAGCTACATATCTCCCTCCCAACTTGCCCACCAGGAAATTCCTTGTGGGCCCCAAAATCTTTACTCTAAAACAATTCTGTGACGTTTCTCCAGGCAATGTAAATGGATAGATCCTCTTCACAGGTGCAGGGCAAAGGACGGGACTCAAAGGCATCCCTCTGCTCACCTGAGCCAAATGCATGTCTGATGGCTTCCTCTGACCTATTGTTTACATTGTCTCATGTAAAAATG
Organism: Homo sapiens; assembly: GCF_000001405.40. Lineage (NCBI taxonomy): Eukaryota > Metazoa > Chordata > Mammalia > Primates > Hominidae > Homo > Homo sapiens. The sequence continues at coordinate 4,584,324 of NC_000005.10, read as the reverse complement.
CAGATTCACTGGGCCGGACCAAGACATATGTGACTATTCCTCTACCCCTCCCTCACATGAAAATTGTATATTCAGTGAAAGGCTGACCAAAGACTCAAAAGGATATAACTGTTTTTCTCTTATCTACCCACACATTTTAAACATTTCTTCCTCTTCCTCCAATATCTGCCCTTTCCCCTTTAAATATTGAAGCTTTCAAAATCATCTTTGGAGAAAGGCATAGACCCATCTCCCAGCTGTGGAAGCTTAACTTTGGCAAATAAACCTCCTAAAATGATTGAGATTTGCCTCGGTCATTCTCTTTGATTTACTTGCCTCACAGATGTTTCCTGAGGATGCCAGGAGAAATATAAAAACGCATGGCCTTTATGCCTGGCATATTATAATGATTTTATAAATTATATCTACTTATAAACCTATAACTATGGACTGTGCCCAACGGTAAATTGTTAGAAAATTAAGGAAGGTTTTTAATATGTACAAAGAGAGGTGTCATATGTTTTTCATGAAGACAACTTAGAAAGTTTATTTATATCAAATATGAATTTGTGTCTTGATATTCCTTAAAATAGTTCCCCAAAGGGAAGAAATATTTGATAATTGCTCCTTTATATGGGAGATCCATTTCTTGACCCAATCAGGAAATGCAGTATGGCCATTGGTCTTTGAGGCCAGGAAGACAAAGGTGATCATTCTTTGCCTGTGTTTCTCTACCATGCAACTCAGAGCCAGGAAACAATATACGTATTTAGAATACAATAAAACAAAACATATTCCCTGAATGAAGACTAGCAAGTGTACGTGTAATGCCGACATGTGTTCATAGAAGCATCTGCCCTCATCTTTAGGAAATCACCCTTTATCTCATGAGCTCCTGCTTGGTGTTCACAGGGGCTCAGCGTTTTGTGCTGTTATTGGCTTTGTGTTTTAATCGCGCATAGCAGGAATAAACATGGACCATTCTAATGGCAATTTCAAAGCTCCAGCTCCATATTCCGAAAACTCCTACGGCACATTTGAATTAATGGTTTCTGTCTTGAGGAGAAAAGCAACTAGAAAGTCCTTCTGTGGCTTAATTAAGACCTTCTCTCATTTAAAGTACAGACTCTTTTTAAAATGGTGACTATTTCGCCTACGCTCTCCAAAATTTACAAATAAGCAAAGAGGTTGTTCACTGTGCACTCCCTTCTCTACGCATAAACATGTCTTTCAAACAGATGATAGGGAGGAAGATTGCTGGAAGCTGTTTCTTGTGGAAGGTACTTCATTGTAGAAATTTGTATTTTAATAGAAAGTGTCAACACTCATATTCTCTGCCTTCTAACTGGAAAATTTGGGTCAGGGCACCTGTGTGACAAACGTGCATCGCTGCTGAGTCCTGTGCCCCCGGTTTTATCCACAGAATATTCTAACTCTCTCCTTATATCTAGTACATTTGGGAGCATGTGTTGTTGAAATTCTCAAGAATGATTCTAATGCTTAGCAGAAAGGAATGGGCGATGGGAGTTGGTATGGAGTCAGCACACTGTTTGAAAATTCCGGGAGCTGGCCCTGGGATCTTTGAAATGAGCCCCGTATGATGGACGTGGACACTCAGACTGAGAGTCTTCAGACGCACGGTGCAGATGGTACTCTCCTGTGAATCTGGATGAGAAACTCAGCACCTCTGTGCCCTACCCCATGTTTATATAAGAGACTTTGAGTTAGACAATCTCTAATGTTCCTGATTATTTTAGTCTCTGGTTCTAGGATAAATCAATTCCAACTGCTGCAGAAAATTTATGTCAAGAAGTCTTGTGCATTCCTTTTTTTTTTTTTTTTCAGTGCCATGTTACTCTGGTTCTAAGGCGAGTGAGGATGTGCTTGATGGCCTCAGTCCTGGGTTCTTATACTGCATGTACCAGTTACTAGCAGGGTTAGTGATAGCAAGTTCCTTACTCTTGGTGCCTCAGTTTCCTCGTGGAAAACTGAAGCTGTCCTGGGACCTGCCTTCTGTGGAGGCTGGGAGACAAGGAAGCCATCTGCAGTGGTCACTGTGGTTCATTTGCTGCCAGCCCCTAAACCGCAGGAGAACCCATCTCACGTCGGAAACCTTCTCATGCCTCAGCTGACTGATGTTCCGTCTGGGCTCGGCCTGTTGAGTGCAGGAGAAGCTCCCCTGTGTTTTGACACCGCTACACTCTTCTTATCACTGGAACAAATCAGATCCCAGTCGTCGGTGTGCAGAGCTGTTTTTCCTTTAATCAAATTCACTTTCAATTACATTCTGTCTTGACAGTTTGAAAGCTAACTACCAAACCAGAAAGTAGTTTTGGAATTAATGGGAAGTAAGAAGTTGTGTCAGCTTGGGAAGGTGTGATGATTTATGAATGCAGAGCTGCTCAAAGGGCAGGAACTCCAAGTTCCTCCTTAAAGACTGTCCTTATGACACCTCCGGTCACCAGAAACAGTGATCACTTTTTAATCACCAGCAGGTTTCCTGTTGTTGAACTTGATTCAACTTTGATTTTTATTCACTGAAGGTCAAATTAGGGCCCTGTAGGAGAATGGGGGATAGATTAGGACAGCACATGACCGTGATCTGGAGTTTGCAGGTCGCTCACGTGTGTGTTCTCTTCTCTGCTTGGCATCTGAAGAGCAGTGCGGGGAGACGGGTTCCATAATGATGCCCCACAATTAAAGCACTCAGTTAATTGACAGCCACTCAGCCTCCCATGACAAATGGCCTCGGGCACACCTCAGTGTTCAGAGCCCTTTTGTAACCCTTGTTTAGCAGACAGAGGCAGGATGAGAACTGAGGAGCCCACAGAGGTCAGGGCACTGGGCCTGTGTCCCTCAGAGTTCACGAAGCTGCCTCTGTGCGTGTGGGCGTGGACTTGAGAGTGAGCCGTGCTGCAAACATGTGCCTGTCCACGTGTGTGTGCGTGTGCAAGAGCGTCGCTGTGCGTGTGCCTGTCCACATGTATGTATGTGCTCTCCAAGAGCGTCGCTGTGTGTGTGCCTGTCCACGTGTGTGTGTGTGCAAGAGTGTCGCTGTGCATGTGCCTGTCCACGTGTGTGTGCGTGTGCAAGAGCGTCACTGTGCGTGTGCCTGTCCACATGTATGTGTGCTCTCCAAGAGCGTCGCTGTGTGTGTGCCTGTCCACGTGTGTGTCCGCGTGTGCAAGATGTCGCTGTGCGTGTGTCTGTCCACGTGTGTGTGTGTGCAAGAGTGTCACTGTGCGTGTGCCTGTCCATGTGTATGTGCTCTCCAAGAGTGTCGCTGTGCGTGTGTCTGTCCACGTGTGTTTCTGTGTGCAAGAGTGTCGCTGAGCATGTGCCTGACCGTGTGTGTGTGTGTGTGTGTGCAAGAGTGTTGCTGTGCATGTTCCTGTCCACGTGTATGACCATGTGCAAGAGTGTCGCTGTGCGTGTGCCTGTCCACGCGTGTGTGCATGTGCAAGAGTGTCACTGTTCGTGTGCCTGCGTTTTCCAGGGGGCCCAACCTAAGTTGGGCACCTGCTGTGCTCACTGCCCACCGGTGTTCCATGAGGGTAACAGGGCACTGTGTTCAGGATGGATACATGCGCCCGACCCCCTATTCAGGACACTCCCCTCAAATGATGAGACTTCGAGTGTTCCCCTGATTTATTCCTGAGGTTCCTCTTACGTTGCAGGGGGAGAACGCTTTCCACCATGCAGAAGCCAGTTGTTCCCCTTAACCGGTCATCTCTCTTTAGTTTCAGTTCCTTCCCTTCAAACAAATGTGTTATGGGAAGCAAGGAAGTGATTCTGTCGTGTCTTCCTTTGTTCACGCCTTCTTCTGAGTTTGTCAGCCAAGTCAGGCTTCAACCCCCGTTAGAGTTGTTACTTAGAGAGATTGGGGTATTTCTTTTACTTCCTATGCTGATTTGCCTCCTTGCTGAGCTCTCAGATGTCTAGCCTGTCAGTGACTCTTCCCCTCCACAACCTCCAGTGGGTCAGGGGCTTTGTCCCTCCTTGAGTGCAGAAGCCCAGAGCCTGACTCCACCACTCCAGCGAGCTCAGAGATCGGCCAGACTTGGTGGTGATGGAACTGCAGATCAGGAGCAAAAGCGATCTCAGTCATGCGCTTCTCTCCAAAGAGCAGGCCGGGGTTGCAAAGTGGTCGACGCTCCTCTCAGCAATCATGACTTTTTTCTTTTTTTCATCATCAATCGGTGTTTCAGGGACACATTTATTGTTTATTTACTAGTTTCATAAACTGCCTGAAATGCTCGGGTAGGAAGAGGAGGGTCATAAGGCCAAGTTGACAGACATGGGGGAGTGGGGCCAAAAGTCATCTTCCTTCAGGGCCTTAAGAAAGTGGGATCATTTTAGGGAGAGGGCGGCGCCATCATGACATGGTTTAAAGGAGTGGGTGGATTGGAGGAGGAGTCGGATTCTGCGGTGGCACAAATGCCCTCTTCAAATTGCTGTGGCTCCTTAAAGTCCACAAGGGCTCTGGTCTCCCTCTCCTGGCTGGAAATGGCCATTGGCCAACGGGAATACAAAATGGGCAGAACTCTTTCCTACCAGTCAGACCTGTGGTCTTAAAGCTCGATTAGAGATAAAGCAATGTCCCCCTCCTTCTAGAAGGGTCTGAGATTATCACGCCACACAACTTCCCATGGCAAGGCATTGCTTCTTATAGGGATGAGAATAAACAGAGCGTCCAGGGAGGTTGATAGAGAGGAGAGTTGCACGTGGGCTCCCTCCACTGTCATATGTGATTGCTTGGTGGCCTGGGCCGCCCTCCCCTCCCACAGAGCAGAGGGCCAGGTGCTGGTGTCTGCACTGCCCAGGTAGCAGAGAGTCAGTTTTCAAATGTACTTTGTACTACTTTGTAAACACTGCTGCCTCACTCTGTAGAGCAAATGTTGGAGAAGAGTCACAAAATGACTTTGTACTTGTGGACTTATTCTTTATTGGCATAACTATACATATATAGTGATATATATATAGTTTTATATATATAGTGATATATATAGTTATATATATAATGATATATAGTGATATATATAGTTATATATATAATGATATATAGTGATATATATAGTTATATATAGCGATATATAGAATTATATATAGCGATATATATAATTATATATATAGTGATATATATAATTATATATATAGTGATATATATAGTTTTATATATATAGTGATATATATCGTTATGTATATAATGATATATATAGTGATATATATGATATATATAGTGATATATATAGTTATATATAGTGATATATATAGTTATATATATAGTGATATATATAGTTATATATATATATAGAGAGAGAGAGAGAGATGAACCACTTTGTTCCTCTCATGCCCTACTGTATTATCCTCTGCTAAACAGAACTAGGGCCCAAGCACATCCTTTAGCATGTTTGAATATTCACAGCTCTAGGTAACGGGGTTAACTAGTGACAGAGGTTAACAGCTTACCCAGGAAAGTGTTTCTAACGAAGGGCCCTTGTCTAGGCTTCTTCAGAGCCCCGTAAGACCCAATCTCCACATGGTAAGCACTGATCCTTCAGCTACGGTGTGTGGATCCCTGAGATTGGAGATAAAGGTGTTGGGACAGCATCCTGTGAAACCTTTGGTGTAGTGCTTCATGCTGTGGACTCCAACAAACCACCTACTCCATGCTTTCTGTATTAAATGCCACTTACTAGGTAGCATGTAGAATAAATAATCCAATCCCTGCAGGATTAGGTTTCTGTGATAGCATGGCTCATTCTATTTAAAATGAACAGAGGAATTCAGGAGGATCGCTGAGTGACAGGGCATAAGGTATGGCCATTCTTGGGAGAGGATGAGTTAATATGAAGACAGAATCATGCTAGTTGTGGAGAACTAGTAAGAAATAGAAACATTTTTACAGGCATTTATGGTTTTGAGACTACAGAAACCAAATGAGTTCAGCTTTCTGAGAACTGGATTACTATTATGTTTGTAAAGCTGTTTGAAAGTCTTTATTTGGCTTTAGTCTTTGACGGTCAAAGCTAAGTGATCCACTCAGACACTAGCAGTTGTCGTGACTTCCAAAGGTACTTTCTTTGGAATATGAAACCAAACCCAGGTAGCCTCTTTCCTGAGAACTCCCTCCCATATGCTTCCTACTAGTAGAGTCACACACCAACGGGAAACTGTCGAGGCTATTGGTTCTAAAATTGTGCCTACCTTGATGCTAATTTCAGTAATAGTGCAAATGACCTATTTCTAGGTCATTCTGCCATGCTTCCTTCTGCTTGCCAAGGATAAACAGCTTAAATCAGTGTTGTATAAAACCCAGACCATAGGCAGTGAGGGATGGAAAGCATCTAAGCTGAACTCGTAATGAGGTTTATCCCGTGTCTCCCCATCCCCTACCACAGTAACCAGTACAAGCACAGGTTGGATATTTTAAAAAGAATGGTGCTAGATGTAAATTTTCCAAGTTTGGAAAAGATGATTCTAAGCAAAGTGCAGTTGTGGTTTGACTTGTGAAAATAATAATTAATAATAATAATAATAAAACGAAGCTGATCCTGCATGCTCTGTTCAGTAGGGAACTATCAGCTGGTAGGGAAGACCCCAGCATTCACTGACACACATATGCTGCTACCAAAGTGTCTAGTAATCAAAAGCAACAAACAAACAAAACAGCACAACACCAATCAACAGACAGCACAAGCTGATTCTACTTCCCCAAATGTGTCCACTGCATCTGACTCCAACAGCAGCACGGTTTCTACTCTAATGGGAAAGTCACCTGGAATCACTTCTCCTTTTATGTTCTCCTCTGTTTCTTTTGTGGCTTTAGTCACGGGCACTATTTGGTGCTAATGTGTAGGGCTTGACTGACATCTGGAATGAGCTGCTAAAATGAGAGTTTATTTTAACAAAGATGGGATTGAGGAGAGGTTAGTCCTTTGCTTCACTTCCTAGTGTCAAAAAAATTTGCTAGATTTTGATACTCGCCTTTGTTCCCGACATTAGGGAATTAAGGTCTATGATAAACAGGCATTACAACTTGTTTCAGGAAGTGAGTGGCGGTGGCGTGACGGACGCCCCTGGCTCGCTCTAGGCTGCCATTCAGTAATTGCTGCCACGAGGCACAACGTAAACCCACCTGCCTTCAGCTCTCCTTTTGGACAATGTGCCCTCTTCAGAATTCTCCTGCGAACCCCTGAGCTGATTTTAATAACTCCCTCGCCATGTCCCCGGGCTAGCTATCTTGGCACTAAATCCTCCATCTTATAAAACCCAGTTGCTTAGGTAACACTTCGCTCCCTCCAACGTGATGTTCTGTGATTCTGCGATGCACTCGCTCAGCCTTGTTCCAGTGGCTTGAAGAGGTAATCAAGTAATTTACTTGGAGCCACATAAAGTTAGTGTTCTCTTCTCCAGGAAAAGGGAAAATAGAACATAATTTAAATCTGTTTTATTCTAAATCTGATTTATTTTAGAATTAATTTTAGAAAAAAAAATCTGGACCCTGATAGGCAGATAAATCTACTTTCTCAGATTTTGAGTTACAAATTTGTGGCCATCCCATTTTGTTTGAAATTGAATTATTTAGCCCTCTCTGCATCATGTGGAAAAGGTGCTCTGTAGGGAAGAAGAAAAATTTTCCCTGTTTAGGTGTCTGATGGAAAATACATTCCCTAAGTGCTGAGTGAGTGCATAGAAGATGTCCCTTCAATCAATTGACAAAAGTTTGAACTCTGCCCTGTAGGTCAGACAAACTGAGTGCCTCTGAATGAACTTTTTATGAATGAGCCACTATTTCCTGTGACAACAGACAGACTTGTCTTGGGGGTTGGTGGGGAAGCTACTGAAAATTCTTAGTAACATTTCAGCCTCATTTGAGGTAACAGGATCCGTAAACGATTTACAATTTCTCATCTTTTTAAGCACTGTTACAGGAATTGTGGTGGCCCCAACCTGTCTCATTGGAACTGTGAATTAATATTATGGGAATAAGCAGAAAACATGAAATAATTTCACACTGACTCACAGATTCCATTGCACGATCACACATGGTACTCATTTGTCCCAGCACAAAGAGGTCATGTTTGAATTATTTAAACCCAATAGAAAAATATAAACTATGATTTGGCAGTAAACTTCCAACAGTCGTGTCTAGGTTTAAGTAAATGTTCTGGCTCATTTCATTAGTTGAAGGATGTATAAATCTAACATACTGTTGTATGTGGCACTGGGCATGCATGTTTAAAAGTACAAAAAGAATGTAATAAGATAGAGATTTACACACATCAGTACTTTCCAACATATGTGCCATGTGCTGTATTCAAGAATTTAATAATTTTATAACTGATAAAACTGTCACTAAATTTATTTTGAAGCAGAGGGACTCCTGAGTCCACATCGAGCCTTAGTGTGATGACAGACCCTCCAACATCTCAGAGTTTTCAAAGGTATTCAGAGGGCTTCCTTGTTCGACAGGCAGCTAAGCAGCTTCTTCGTGCAGTTACCTCCAGTTTCATGATTTAAATAGCTTGACTTTTAAAACCAAAACCCAGGAAGGCCCCATGAGCATAAAGAGCATTCACAGGACCCCAAAGTGCGGTGGTTCATCAAACCACAGGTCCTTTTTCCTCCTTTAGATTTTTCTTAATTTTCCCCTGAGGTTTCTCCATTTTAAGAAAATAGCACTCATGACCATACAGGCTCCTGCATATATCAGTGAAGAAAGAGGGAGTTAGGTTTTTATGAACTCAGACTTTCAGGAAAAATTATCATTTATTTCTCATCTTTCATTCAGTTTTGTGCTTGAGCATGTTCTCTGAAAATGCATCGATGCATCTTCTTACTGGAAGTGAAGCTATTTCTGTGTACTTCAGGCACTTCCTGCCATTTTCATTATGCCTGTGCAGTGTGTTGTGCCATTGTGTTTAGAAATACTCCTGAAACACCTGCAGCAGAGGAGGCTACCATTTTCCATGACAGGCCGCTCCTCCATTATACTGCCCTGCCTTGTCGGATTTGCATTCTAAAATGAATTCTCACCATGTTGAATTAGGCTTAAACATCACTTTGCTATAACTTGGGAGAATTTGTTGTTGCTATTGCCTAACACTTTTCAAAATGAATATATTTATCATATTGAGTATTTTGGTAAAAAAAGGAAAAGAAAAAACAAAACATAACCATTATCTTGACTTTAAAAAGTTTGTTCAAAATCAAAGAACGGCTTTCTGAGCCCATTCACTGAATCTTTCCACAGCTTTAACACTTATCTTTCCCTTCTTTTCTAATGGTTCTCTTACCCTCCGGATGCTATGCAATTCCTCTCAACCCCAGGCATAGGTCCTCCTCCTGAGTACCTCATACCAGTGTCTTCAGGGCCTCCTGTATGGGGTTGAAGAACTGGGCACAAATTTGGCCATCCCTAAGCACTAATCAAAAAGACAATCCCTTGTATGATGGTGCCTGGCACAGCTAGACGAGATAGCTCTCTCCTGAAGGAGGTGGGCATTTTCAAATGTATTCCAGACACCCCACAGGGCATTCAAGGTCAACATGGTCTAACTGAAAGTGTCTTCCTTGATTTTTGCTCTGACGTGAAGAACTTGGAAGTTGTCACTCCAGTTCTCACAAGAAAAAGTTGAACAAACTGTGGCTTTTTTTAAAAAAAAAATAAGAATTTTAAGATAGGGACAACGTAGCATTAAACCAAGTGTGGGACACTTCTGAGTATGGGGCCCTGTGCAGCTGCATGGGATGCATGACCATGAAGTAGACTCCACCCACCCAGATGGAAGCACTTTGCTGGTGCTAGGTGTGCTGCTGGCAGTGGTGGTAGTGGTGGTGGTGGTAGTGGTCATGGTGGTGGGAGTGGTGGTGGTGGTGGTCATGGTAGTGGGAGTGGTGGTGGTAGTGGTGGTGGTGGTAACCCTAGTAATAATAGTGACAGCGGCACGAATAGTTGTATAAGTAGTACTAGTAGTTCTAGGAGTACTATTAGATTTTACTGCTACTGTTACTAGTAACACTAACAATAGTAGTAAAATTCTAATCACACTACCAACAGAGAAATCTGAAAATATATCTAGCATCTTATTTCTCCCTTTGCCCTTACTGTCAATTGGTAGATAACTGTTGATCATTTTTAATCAGTTAGATTTCTCCCAAAATATTCTTCTCTTCACCCCTATTGCTCTTATCATATCTATCCTAGATACTGCAATGGATTTCCAATTGGCTGCTGCTCCTCTAGGTAACCCTTTTCATCCATCCTTCAGGTCTTTTTGCCAGATGAATCATTACAAAACACAATCTCAAGATCTTACTCCCTATCTGAATGCAGTCCAAGGTGTGACACCACTTAAAAACAGCCTGGTGGGCCAGGCGCGGTGGCTCACGCCTGTAATCCCAGCACTTTGGGAGGCCGAGGCAGGTGGATCACGAGGTCAGGAGATCGAGAACATCCTGGCTAACATGGTGAAACCCCATCTCTACTAAAAATACAAAAAAATTAGCCGGGCGTGGTGGCAGGTGCCTGTAGTCCCAGCTACTCGGGAGGCTGAGGCAGGAGAATGGCATGAACCCGGGAGGCGGAGCTTGCAGTGAGCCGAGATCGCGCCACTGCACTCCAGCCTGGGCGACAGAGCGAGACTCCGTCTCAAGAAAAAACCAAACCAAAACAAAACAAAAACAGCCTGGTGCCTCTCATGGCTAGAAACAGCCTTCTATCTCTCTCTTCCCTCCACCCCACTCACAATTCATTCTCATCTCTTCCTAGTCACTCTACTCCCCTCAGAATCCCTTTTCCCCCAAATTTAAAAAAAAAAAAATTGTTCATGGGTTCTGACAATAATCTACTAAAAGTTCTTCCTTTTTTTCCACATACAATTCTCCCTCCCCTCTGAACTGTTTTGAATATTTCTTCTTATCTCTTATGACCATTATATTTCTATGTCCCTTTGGTTGGAAACTTTTATTCACCTTTCTCCAAACAGAATAAGACATTTTCTCCCCTTTGCTTGGACGTCTTCTGTTCTTGCTTCTCTAGATCCCTAATTGCACTGCAGTGATGATGTGTTTTCAGATTTTCTTTCTCATTCACCCTTGTGTACCCCAGACTGACCAGAGAGCATGTTCTAATTATTGTCTATGCAACATGCATATGAAGTTCTTAATAAATTATTGAGGAGTGTGTGGTGAAAACATGAAGGAATGATAAGAGAATTAAGAGAATAAATGGCTCACTTTCAAACTGACAAAGTAAAATATAGGAGGATTTTAAATGTCGTTAGAGAAAAAGAATCTTGCATAGAGGGAATTTAAACAGAATATCTAAAATACAAGCTGACAAGTTACCATTTATCACTTCCCTTACTTCATGAGTTAGAAGCCAGTCACTTAGTTTAGTTCCCACTCAGGGAAGAGGAATTATGCTCCACAACATAGAAAATGTATCAAAGAATTTGTGGGCATGTGCCAAAACCACCACTTTGATTAACAAGTATATTGGAAGAGATCATGTAAGCACATGCAAATATCCTTTTCTCCTTAAAATTCTTCCAGTGATTTCATCAGTGAATGTTCTCTGCAGCAATTACTCCCTGGTGCATTTTTAGTTTCTTCATTTCTTCTACATTTATTGACAGGAATTTTTCTGTAAGAAATATTTCTCTCTTTTTCTCCATTTATTTATAATTTTACTCATTTATACATGTCAGTAGAGAGTTCTGGGTATTTAATTTATTCTTGCTGTTATTACACAATATGATCCCAGTTTATTTTGCCTCTTCTAATTTGGCCTGTGGAAAACGTATTAGATTTCCCTGAGACTGAAGTCTGAGTCACCCTTTTTTGAGCGCTTACGTACTGCAAGCTCATTTTGTATTTCTCTCGACTCTGCTCTTGAATCGGCATTTTTTTTCAAAGTTTCTTGATTTCTTTTATTGGAGAATGGTACTTAGAAAACAAGATCTGGGTGCTGGGTGTGTTTATTACTACTGGGACAATAGTGCATCTATGCATCTTGGTGCATGCTACCCCAGATATACACACATCTGTAATTGTTTCTGCATCTGTGTGTTTGTGTGTGTGTGTGTGTGTGTGTGTGAGAACCTAAACATGGGATTATACTGACATCACCAACTCCAAACCAGCACCTAGAAGTAGCTTTGTCAACTGCAGTAATCTCATTTTGCCCTGGCCTCTCTCTTCTCATGTGGCGTCTGCACTAAAATAAGATATGCACACACCTAGCTTATAAGTCTAAAATAGGCAAATTGAATAGAATCTCTATTAATCCAAAAATGTGCTAGAACCTTGGCCAATGTGGTTTTCATGCTAAATGCATTAGTTTAGATCAATTTGAAATTCTTTAGATTCCTTGAGTAACTTGACCCATGTTGGCTCTCATTTGGTTTGGAGTAAACACCACCCTTATTAGCACCTATAATAAGCCCTTTGCTGTTGATATTTCCTCAAACTTAATTTTGGATTTTCTCTTTTTGTCTTTTCTTCCTGACCCTTTAGTAAATGCTAAAAATGCAAATAGTCTTAACCAAGTAAACACTGCTTGGAGAGAAAAAAATTGTATACGGTCCCAGTGACTCACTGCTTACAAAATCTGTGTCTACGTTTATGCATGTTTTTTATCGTACTACTTGTAGAAATTGTATGCATGGCTTACTTTATGTATTATTATTCTGAAAAAAAAGAAAGCATTCCTTTTTAATAGTGTTACAGTGAAAGCAAGAATGAAAGCAAGAAAAAGAGAGTGAGCAAAACAGAGGGCTTGCTCTTTTCTGAAGGGCCCAGAGTCTCCAGCAGCAGAGACATTCAGAAAAGGAGGCACGTGACCTAGAGGCAATGGCATGCAGGCCTAATCTACATTTGGTATTCTACAGTAATAGCAATACCTGTGACAACAGGCAAGTCACCAAACCTCTCAGGGCTTCGGATTCCTCACCTCTAAAATAAAGGAGCGGAGCTACACAGATCCCCCTGTTACCTGTGACCTCTATGGGGGAGTGCAGTTCTGTCCATTCATGGCTCACGCCTGAGCTCATTCAGCTTTGCTTTCACAGGGACTATTTGACTTTTACTTTCTTTCATTGCAACAATGGTGAAAATTATGGATTTCACTTATTTTCCTTCTGTGTTAAGGAAAAAGCCCGACAGGCACAATGCAAGTGTCCACTGATTTCCTGATCCTGCTTTATTTCATCTCCTCTAAACATTGTCATAACTCACTTACAGGCCTTTCCCTTTGGAAACTCCTCTGTGGCAGTAAATATTCACACGCTGCCCTTGCCTACTTGTGCTTCACAGAAACAGTTCTATGAATTTGCTGGTTTTCTTTGTATGCGTCACTCCTGTCCAATTGCTCCATAACATCTGACATTTCTCTCCCTCTCTCCCTCTCTGCCTCTCTTTTATAAAGGATTGAGTTGTGTTTTATCCTCTAATCCTTTCAAAATACTGTGTACCTTTCTAAATGATGGCAACCGCCTGACAAGGCAAGGGAGATGAGAAGGCTGGAAACCACATCAGAAGGATCCGCTCAATCTGCTGTGACAACAGGGAAGGAATGCTAGGACTTGCTCCACTTAGGTCTGAAAGCACCTTTGTTATATTTCAGAGGAAAAAGAAAAGAGGGTGGAGGCCTGGCAGTGTTTAGCCTGTCCCCTCTGCCTGTCAATCACATTAGCATTGAAGAAAAAAATAAAAGATGAAGGAAAAGTGGGAGCAAAATCTAAAGGGAAAGACATAAATAAAAGAAGCATTTGCATAGCTCTAAATATCACAACTGCCCTATCTCTCATACACTGAGATGATTACAGTGAAAAAAGATGACTAATTTGTGCCTGGAGGAATGTAGCTGAGGTCACCAAAATTGGATTCCTGGCTTCCATCTTGGTTGAAGATTTTTTGAATACTGAATGCACTTTAAAGAAAAGATGTATTCAGGAATTTTTTTTCCTTGCTTGCTTAGTAAGAGGTTCATTTGCATCAGGTTGTCAAGAGTTATGACATTTAATGTTATTAATGTCACTTCCATTATTCCACTGAATCTCAGTTGCCTTCACCTACAAAATGTAAATGTTTCTGACTACATGACCATAACTAGAGACCCCAAGGAAAGGGAAAACAGAAACACAGGCCTCTGTACTGTGGGTAGGCTGACTTGCCAGCTCCCGGTGTCATTCACTGCCATGAGTTTGAAAATAAATTCATTCAAATGTCAGAAGTATTACGCACATGCACACACACACACCATGCACATACACACAGAGGTATTTTTATTGCAGAAATCCAATGTATTTTAATAAACACTTGGAGCTAACCTCTTTAGAAGGAATTGTGTCTGGGTTGAACAAAGAGGGAAAATTTACTTCAGTGAACCAATAGCTGAGCCAAAGAGGGCCCCAAACTCAAAGATAGGAAGGACAAATGTTGGAGGACGGTGGACCCATCCTTTTCTACAGAGTTTAATGCAGTGAGAATTATTCTATTATTGAATTCTAAAATGGCTTCATGTTATTTACAGAAATATATTAATTGGCATATGAAATAATTTTGTAATGTAACCACATCATTAAAAATTATGGTTTCTGTTATTTTAACTTGGGAAATGCGAATGATGACTTTTAATATAATTATATTTCCTATTTGAATAATCTTAAAGTTCAAAAAAAAGATTTAGATAGTGCCCAATCTTTTAAAATTATCTTTAAAACCAAAATTCAATTCTGAAATAAAAATAGTTTAATCTATAACTTTTACTTTTATTATAAAAATTTCAAAACTACAGAAAAGGCAGAAGAATAATACAATTACATCAATTACAAAATTAGCATTTTGTCTATTTTTTACATTTACCTTTTTGAAATTTTTTAATCTCATTCTCTATATCTATCTCTGTTTATGTCTGTGGGTAGATGCTAGAGAAATATAGAGAGATGGATAAATGTCTTGTTAAACCTCACATACCCAGATAGATCCAACATTCTATTATCACACTAGATAAAATGAACAATTCTTTAATATTAGTTTAACCCACAACATTTGCTCAGTTTTCTATTTTTTCCAAATGAGTTGTAGAACTGATTTTATCAGCTTCATGTCTTTGCATTGCATTGCTGTGATTTTTTTTTTGTTATTTTAAATACAGAATAGCCCTTCCTCTTCAAATTCTTAATTTTTCTTCATGATAATAAACTTTTTTAAGAGATCAAGGCTTATGATTACTTTTTAGTGCCAACATTCTGGACGTGTCACATTATTTTCTCATGCAGTCTAACTTGTTTCTGTAGCTCTTATATTTTCTTTGAACTCAAGGTTAGGTCTACATTCATGGTCATTTTAGCAAGAGCACTTCCTGTGTGATATTACATGTGTGAGATTTCAGTGTGTCAGGAAGACCTCATGTCATATGGCCCTGTCATTATGATGCTAAATTTAATCACTTGGTTACAGTGGCAACAAACTTGCATCTGATGGATTTAGCATCCACTGATGATACTGCCTGCATAAAGAATTTTACTGGGAGATTGCAAACTTATTTTTAATTCTATTATTGCTTCTATATTTATAAATTGACGTTATGATGTAAGAATACCTTTAACTCATAAATGGGGGTTATCTATACTTCCATCTAAATTTTTTGAGGAAGGAATTAACACCTTCCATTTAAAATATATTCCTCACAGTATGGAGTTGATGTCATAGTCACCTGCAGTGATGGACAGTGAATTTATTTGTTTTTGCCACTCCATATATAATAAAGTAACACATTTTATTAGTTTGACATGCTACAATCAATTACATTTATCATTTTTGGTTGACACCAATGATTCCCCAATTTAGCAAGTTAAAAAGGAAGAAGCCAGGAAGTGTGTGCTAATTTTTGTCTTTTTGATGAAAGACATTTTAACTGGGGTGAGATGATATCTCCTTGTAGTTTGGATTTGCACCTCTCTGATGATTAGTGATGGTGAGCAGTCTTTCATGTAACTGTTGGCCATCTATATGTCTTGTTTTGAGAAATGTATTTTCAGATAAATTGTGCATTCTTCAGTTGGATTATTTGTTTTTGTTTTACCATTCATTGTTTGAGTTCCTTATATATTCTGGTTATTAATCCTTTGTGAGTTGAATAGTTCACAAATATTTTCTCCTATTCTGTAAGTTACCTCTTCATGTTGTGGAACATTTTCTTTGCTATGCAGAAAATTTTCCACTTGATATGATCCCATTTATCCATTTTTTTGCCTTTATTGTTTATTCTTTTTAAATCTTACTCAAGAAATCTTTACACAAACCAGTGTCCTGAAACCTTTCCCCAATGTTCCCTTTTAGTAGTTTCAGAGCTTGAGGTCTTACACTTAAACCTTTAATTCATTTTGATTTGATCTTTCTGTATGGTGAAAGGTAGGGGTCTAGAGTCATTCATATGCACATGGATATTTATTTTTCCCAGCACCATTTGCTGAAGAGGCTGCCCTTTTCCCCATGCATGCTCATGATGCTTTTTTCAAAAATGAGTTGACTGTAAATGCATGGATTTATTTCTAGGTTCTCTATTCTCTTCTATTGGTCCACATGTCTGTTTTCATGCCAGTACCATGCTGTTTTGGTTATTATAGCTTTGTAGTAAAATTTGAAATTAGGTAATGTGATGTCTCCAACTTTGTTCTTTTTGCTCCAAATGGCTTGGATTATTCTGGGTCCTTTGTGGTTCCATATAGATTTTTTCTATTTCTGGGGGGATTGTCATTGGCATTTTGATAGGGATGTCATTGAATCTGTAGATTGCTTTTGGTCATATGGACATTTTAACAATATTGATTCTTCCCTTTCCTGGACATAAGATACATTTCCATTTCTTTGTGTCCTCTTTAATTTCTTTCATACATTTTTATAGGTTTAATTATAGAGATAATTTATATTTTTTGTTAAGTTTATTCCTAAGAATTTTAATGTTTGAGCTATTGAAAATAGGTTTGCTTTCTTGGTTTCTTTTTCAGATTATTTGCTATTGGCATATAAAAATATTACTGATTTTTATATGTTGATTTTGTATCCTGTAACTTTACTGAATTTGTTTATCAGTTCAAACAGGTTTTTTTTTTTACAGTCTTCAGGTTTTTCTAAATATAAGATATTTAGATGTCTGCCAACAAGGATAATTTGGCTTCTTCCTTTTTAATTTGGATGACCTTTGTTTCTTTCTCTTGTCCCATTGCTCTGGCTTGGACTTACAGTACCATGTTGAATAAAGGCAGTGAAAGTGGGCATCATTTTGTGTTCTAGCTCTTAGAGGAAAGGCTTTCAGTTTTTCCCTGTTCAGTATGATATTAGCTCTGGGTTTGCCATAAATGGTCTTTATTATGCTGAGATATGTTCCTTCTATACCCAGTTCATTGAGAGCTTTTATTATGAAAGAATGTTAAATTTTATGGAATGCTTTTTCAATGTCTATTAAAATGATCGTATGGCTTTTATTTTTCATTCTGTTGACGTGATGTATCACATTTATTGAATTGCATATGTTGAACCATCATTGTATCCCTTGAATAAATCCTACTTGATTATGATGATATTTTTAATTTGTTATTGAATTCAGTTTGCTAGTATTTGGTTGAGAATTTTTGCACCTATTTTCATCAGAGGTATTGGCCTGTAGCTTTTTTTTTAAATGTCTCTGTCTGGTTTAGTATCAAGGAAAAGTTGGAATTATAGAATAAATTTGGAAGTAGTCCCTCCTCTTTAAATTTTTGGAATAGCTTGCATAGGATTGATATTAGTCTTTCTTAAAATGTTTGGTAGAATTCAGCAGTGAAGTTATCAAATCTTGGACTTTTATTTGATAGGAGGCTTTGTATTACTCCTTCTATCTCAGTACTTGTTTTTGTTCTAGTCAAGTTTTCTATTTCTTCATGGTTGAGTTTTGGTAGAATGGATGTATCTAGGAATTTATCCATTTCTTCTACATTTTCCAATGTATTGGTATATTGTTTCTCATTATAATATTTAATGATCTTTTGGATTTCTGTGTATCAGTAGTAATGTCTTCTTTTTATTTTATTAATTTGCGTCTTCTCTTTTGTTAGTCTAGCTAAAGATTTGTTGATTTCCTTTATTTTTTCAAAAAAACTTTTAATTTTATTCATCTTTTATAATTTTTAGTCTCAATTTTATTTGTTTCTTATCTGCTCTTTATTATTTCTTTTTGTCTGCTAATTTTGGGTTTGGTTTGCTCTTGCTTTTCTATGTTGTTTAATCTGCATCATCCCTTTTTTGATGTGGATATTTATTGTTATAAATGTCCCTCTTAGTAAGACATTTTCTGTATTCCATAGGTTTTGGCATGTTGTGTTTCTATTTTCATTTGTTTCAATAATTTTTTTAAATTTTCTTCTTAATGTTTTTAATTGACCCAAGCATCATTTCAATGGCATGTTATCTAATTTCCATGTATTTATATAATGTCCAAATTTCATCTTGTTGATGTCTAATTTTACTTCATTTTTGGCAGACATACCCTTGATATAATTTCATTTTATAGAATTTTTTAAGTTTGTTTTTTGTCCTAACATATGGTCTCTTCTTCAGAATGTTCCATATTCTAAGACAAATAATGTGTAATTTTTGCAGCCGTTGGATGAAATATTTTGTAAATATCTATTAGATCCATTTGGTCTATAGAGCAGATTAAGTCCATTTTTTAAAATTTTCTGTCTAGATGATCTGCCCAATGCTGAAAGTGGGATGTTGAAGCCTCCAACTATTATTGTATTGGATTCTATCTTTGTCTTCAGCTCTAATAAAATTTTGTTTACATATTTGGGTGCTCCATCACCCAAAGGTGCATATGTATTTACAATTGTTACATCCTCTTGCTGAATTGACCCCTTTAGCATTATATAGTGATGTTATTTTTCTCTTTTTATATATTTTGTTTATAAATAGAAATCTATTTTATCTGATATAAACATAGTTTGTTTTTTATTTCATTGCATAGAATATCTTTTTCATCTCTTCATTTCTTGCAAGCAGCATATAGTTTCTTTTTTAAAAAATTTATTTGGCCACCCTATGTCTTTTGATTGGAGAATTTAGTTCATTTACACTTAATGTTATTGTTAATAGGTAAGGACTTACTACAATTGTGTTATTTGTTTTCTGGTTGTTTTGTTAGTACTCTCCATTTCCTTTCTCCCTGTCTTCCTTTGTGTATCAGTAATTTTAGCTTGTAACATGTTTTGATTTCTTGTTTTTTATATTTTGTTTATCTATTATAGGCTTTTGCTTTTTAGTTAACATAAGGCTTGCAAGAAAAACATTTTATAACCAAATATTTTAACTGATGACCGCTTAACTCTGATTATAAAAAAAAGCCAAACAAGTGAAGAGATGTTAAAAAAAATACTCTGCACTTTAACTCCAGTTCCTTATATTTTGATTTTTTGTTGTCCCTATTTATAATTTTGTATTGCCTTTCTCTTAACAAACTGTTGTAGTTATGCTTTTTTGACAGGCTTATCTTTTAGTGTTCAGGCTAAAAATATGAGTGATCTACACACCACCATTATAGTATTGGAGTATTCCATTGATTCAGATGATTTCTTGTTGCACATTAGTGCCTTTATCCTTCAGATTGAAGAACTTCCTTTAGCATTTCTTATGAGACAGATCTGGGTATTAATGAATAGTTTTTGTTTGTCTGAGAAAGTTTTTGTTTTTTTCTTCTTGTTTGAAGTATAACACTGCTGGATGCAGTGTTCTAGGCAGAAAGTTTTTTTTTTCTTTTCTTTTCCCCGCACATTGACTATGTCCTTCTGCTCACTCCTGGCTTGTACGGTTTCCCCTGAGAAGTCTGATGCCAGCCATATCAAAGTTCCTTTATCTTTTATTTGCTTTCTTTCTCCTGCTGCTTTTAGCATCCTTTCTTTGTCCTTGATTTTTGAAAGTTTTATTATTATATGACTTGAAATAGTCTTATTTTGGTTGAATCTACTTGACGTTCTTTGACCTTCTTGTACCTAAATATTCATATCTTTTTCTAGGTTTAGAAAGTTCTATGTTACTATTTATTTGAATAAACTTTTAACCTCAATCTCTTTTTCTATGTCTGCTTTAAGGCCAGTAACTATTAGTTTTACTTTTTTAATGTTGTTTTCTAGCTCTTATAGGCATACTACTTTCTTTTTTATACTATTTCCTTTTCTCCCTCTGGCTGTGTCTTTTCAAATAACCTGTCTTTGAACTTACTAATTCTTTCTTTTGTGATAGGAATCTTGCTATTGAGACACCCTGATAATTTTTTTTCAGTTTGTCAATTGAATTTTTTAGCTCCAGCATTTCTGTTTATAACTATTATTATTATTATTATTTTAATCTCTGTGTTAAATTACACTGATAAAATTCTGAATTTCTTCTCTGTACTATCTTGCGGTTTGTTGTGCTTTCTCAAAACTGCCATTTTGAATTCCCTGTCTGAGATGTCACACATCTCCATCACTCCAGCATTGGGCACTGGTGCCTTATTTAGTCGGCTTGGTGGATTCTGTTTTTCTGGATGTTCTTGATACTTGTGGATGTGTATCTATGCCTGGGCATTGAAGAGTTAGGTATTTAATTCAGTTTTCACTGTCTGGCCTTGTTTGTACTCATACTTCTTGAGAGGACTTTCTGAGAATTCAAATGGGCTTAAATATTGGTACCTAAGCTTGCGGTCACTGCAGCTGTTTCAGCACTAGGCGGTGCACTAAGCTCAAGTATGCTAAGATCCTTGCAGATGCCTAGCTGCACATCCTTGGTGGATCTGGGTTAAGATAAAGGATAATTCCCTGGGTCCACAGATCAAGTCCTTTGCTCTCTTCCCTCGTTTTCCCCAAAGCAGAAAGAGTCAGTACATTGGGCTGCCTGCAGTTGGGGTAGGGGTGAAGTAGGTAATACAAGATTGTTCTTCCTACAGTCTTCAATGTGTCTTTCCTTGTTATCATGTTAAAATCAGATACTGTGATAGCTCATCTGATTTTTTGTTGTTGTTGTTCTTATGAAGGTGCTTTTTTGTTTCTATTTGGTGGACGATTGCTGGAAGGTTCTCTTTGTCCTTGTTTCTCTGCTTCCTGTCTTGTATCTCTTTGACATGGTTCTCATTTGTCTTTGAACATATTTAACTTTCCCTGTTGTGGTTAAAATTAGCCTTCGTCAAAGGAATATTGGCTGAACAGTATTACAGTCAGCACTAGATGTGCTTATTGCTACAGGAGTCATAACGCCTAGTCTGCTTTAGTCAAATGTGCTTGGGAAGATATATTTTTATAATAAATTATAAAATTATATTTCCAAACAAAATGTAGCATTAGAGGGTATTGCTGTGAGCCTTTTTATTTTTTACTTTTATCTATTTTCTCTTGTATTGCAAATCTTGGTTCATAATATTATTAATGTATTTGCTTATTTGTCTCTCTCACAGTCTTCAGAGAATAGTGCCAAAATTATAATACCATTATCATCACTGAAAAATAGTCTACTGAGTGAAGTTTAAGATTCATTTGCAGTTCCTTTGAGTCTTGAAATATATCTCATTGAAGATATATTACCAGAATTATGTGTTAAAAATAACTTGAGATATTTCTTATCTGTGTGGTTATGTTAGCCATCTAATATGAAATTAGGGTAATTTGCTTTCATTACATTTAATGATTAATGTTTCTTCTTGAAATATATTTTAACTGTTAATATGTAAAACATTGACAAAGGTCAAAAATATATTGAGGCTTGGAGTATTGGCTCACGTCTGTAATCCCAGCACTTTGGGAGGCCAAGATGGGTGGATCATTTGAGCTCAGGGGTTTGAGACCAGCCTGGGCAACATGGCAAAACCCCATTTCTAAAAACAAAAAAAAATTTAGTCAGGTGTGGTAGTGTGTGCCTATAGTCCCAACTACTTGGGAGATTGAGGTGGGAAGATTACTTGAGCCCAGGAGGTCAAGCCAGCAGTGAGCTGTGATGGTGCCACTATGCTCCAGCCTGGGTAATAGAGCAAAACCTTGTCTCAAAAACAAAACAATGCATTCAAAGGTATACTTACAGATATTTTATATTATCCCTACCTACCCAACTCCAGCTAGAGGTGACTATTTCTATTTGTATTGGGTTTTTATTTCCACAGTTTTTTGTTTGATTAGCTGTTTTTTTTTGTTTTGTTTTTTGTTTTTGGCAAAGATAGGCTAAAGTATGTTTATTTTAACCTCTTTTGTTGTATAAAATGCAACATAATAACCATGCCACTCTGTAACTTTATTTTTAAACTACATATGTATTCTGAATATCATTTAAAAATTATATCTCAGTTTTTACACTAGCATAATATTACATTGGGTGAATTTTTTTAGAAATAGTCTTTTATTTATTTTTCATTCATTTCTGTTTGTATGTATTCTGTCAAGAATCTGAGAGCAACTTGATTTTTTTATTTGCTAGTAACTTGGTCTTTATAATTGCAGGTTAAGGTTTAAGTTTCTATTGCAATATGTTTTACAATTAATGTTTCTGGGTCAAAATTTTCAGGTGTATTATGAGCCTCTCTCAACGTGTAAATTTAAGTTTTATTTCAAGAAAGAGTGTGTGTGTGTATATGTGTAACTGTTACTGTTTTAAAATTAATTTTGCTTCACTGTTTCGTTTTTCCTCAAAAGCAAAGGTTTAATACTGGGGGAGCTAATTGCTCCAATTATACCTCTATTGGAGCCTCTTTACGTATTTTCCACACCTATTCTTTTCAGATTCTTTTGATAACATACTTAATTCTTTCTTATTTCCTCAGCTTTTTTACTCATATTCGATATTTTTAATACTACATTTCCAGTTATACATGTCCTTCTCAACAATTGTAATTTAATCTTAAGGTTGATTTTTTTGTTTGTTTGATTTTTCTTTTGAGATAAGGTCTCACTCTGCCACTCATGCTGGAGTGGAGTGCAGTGGTGTGATCACAGCTCACTGCAGCCTTGACATCCCCAAGCTTAGGTGAACCTCTCACCTAAGTCTCCAGAGTAGCTGGGGCTACAGATACATGCCACCAACCTGGCTAATTTTTTTTTTTTTTTTTTTGAAGATGAGGTTTTTTCATGTTGCCCAGGCTAGTCTTGAACTCCTGAGCTCAAGCAATCCAGCTGTCTCAGCCTCCCAAAGTGCTGGCGGTATCGGCGTGAGCTACTACAACCAGCCAATCTTGATTTTAGATACACATTTTTCCTTTTTCCAACTTCTTTCTGATACTGATGAGCTTCCACTTTGCATTTTCCTTTTCTTTAGTCTAGAACTATCATGAGTTTTTAAATTTATTCTTCAAGATATTTTTAATATTTGCCTTTACATGAACAATCACTGAATTTTAAAATTTAGTTGTTTTATTATTGTTTCCTCTGCTTTACAGCTGTTTTGATTGTGTGTGTGTTTGTGGGTATGCATGTGTGTGTGTAATCTCAGATTCCAAAAATTTTTGAGCCTCACTTTTTCTTTTTTCATTTTTTTTTTTTTTTACTGTTGTTATTGTTGATCTGGATCACTTTTTTTTTTTATCTTGCTGTGATGTAGCTACATTTTAAAATAAATGGACATGTTGACTTGTGTCTGTCTTTTCCTGGTTCTTCGTATTACCTTGCTTCACTTGCTTCATTATTACTCTTCATCACACTTAAGGGCCAAATCACAGGATACCAAAAGTGATTTTTTATACTGGTAAGAACAATTGATCCAAATATATGAAAGTCTTTAATATAAATGTGCTTAAAAGTACAATTTTGAAATTAGAATTGAACAAACAGGATAAGGGGGGATAGGTGGGAAATAAATTTCAACTAGTCCTTTGATGAACTGGTATAGTAATATTGAAAGAACAAAAGTAAGAAAGATATAAAAAGTATAAATAACATGGTCAATCAACACTTTTAGATAAAAGTTTAAAAACTTATATTCAATAAGTAAAGACTACACATTTTGTTATGTTTTCAAAAATAGACCATGAATTGGACAACAAAAGAAGACTCAATGCATTCTAAATAATCAGGGTCCTAGAGTGTTCCCCAACCTCACAGCCAACAACAATAACACGTTTTCACACATTTGGAAATCACTAAGCCCATTATTAAGTAACCCTGAGACTACAGAGAAAATAATACCTGAATTCTGAAAACAGTATAGCATAATGATAAACAACTTTAGGCATGTAAGGTTATGAGCATACATTTAAAATAAAAATTGGAGCTTTTTTTTAAGTTTAAATAAATTTTTGAGAATAAAATGGAAATCTAATTTTAAAAAACTAATCATCCCTCTAAACACCTAGGAAAAACATACACTAAAATAAAAGGATAATAAATTTAAGTACTATAATCAATTTTAAGAGAGAACAGAACAAAAAAAGATTAAAATGAAAAAGTGATATTATTAGCAATACTAATTAAGAAGATAATGAATGCAAATAAACAGAATTTTTAAAAGGAAATGACCAGAGAGGTAACATAGATAGTTTGCTCCAAAAATAGCAGAAAAAAATAATGGCTTATTCCTTCTCCTTTTACAAATCTCCCCAAATGATCAGCGATAGAAAGTAACCAATAAGAACAAACAAAAAAACAGTCAAGCCCAACAAACTAAGCCTGTTCATTTCATCATCTCCCAGTAATCTCATGTCTATAATTTTTCTTTCCTTGTAGATGGGACCACAGAGCAAAAACACACCAGCCATGACAATTCAAGTATTAAATTTCCATATATATATTGTCTTTTTCATTGTAAAATTCCAAAAGAACACCTTATACTTTTATATCATGTTCAGAAATTTGATAAATAAATTGCGTCTTAGAGTTAGAGCTGTTCATTCTATTTATTTAGCGAATATTTACTAAGTGTCCACCACTATTGTTTTAAGTACCACCTGTTCAGTGAAAGAAGCTCAGATGAGGGTCCTATCCATATAAAATGTACATTCCAGCATTAGAGTCAGGTAATAAAAAGATGAACAAAACATTTCAAGTGAGTAGTGCTATGGACAAAATAGAAGAAGGGTTTGGGGGAGGGATGGATGTGTGTATAGGTGTGGGTATTAATTTAGGGGAGGTCTTGAGATGAGACTGAAAAATAGTGAAGTAAATAACCAGAGAATGGAAGAAATGCAAGTCCAAGAACTAGATGGATCCCAGCAGATGCAGGTCCTCACAGGGCCATGTATCAATTGCACCTATGGGCAAGTAATACAGTCTTTATTATGATGAGTTCAATACATATGGATTAGTTTTACCAGGTAATCGGAAGTCTGAAGTGGAGGTAGATAGTTTCTGGTGTTAATTTAAAGGCTCAAAAGTGTCAGCCACTAGATTTTACGGAAACCTAATAAAAAAAACTAATCATCCATCTGAAAACCTAGGGAAAAACTTATGAGTAAACAAAGAAAGCATAATAAATTTCAGAACTATAACCAATTTTAAGAGAGAAAAGAACACAGAAGTTTAAATGAAAAAAGTGATATTAGTCTTAATACTAATCAAAATTGTATCCCAGACAGAAAAAAAGGAAGAAAGGGCAATGAGGGTGCTGTAAATCTTGCATCAGCAAAGTCAAAATTCTCTCAGAACTTTCTAGTAGAATTCTGTAGGAGAGTGTCCTTTTTGGTAGAAAATGCTTAACAGAGTATTTAAGTGTGATGGGGCATCAGGCCAGTCAATTCCTCCCCAATTCATGAAAAAAAATTATTTAAACCATACTTCTAACTTCTCTTGAGGTTTGTAATTGCTTTAAATTTTAAAGGAAAACAATAATAACCGTGCCATATTACCCTAGGAATTAAAGATGCTTCTTTGTTTTAGCTACCATTTCAGAATTTTCTAGCCTGTTAGGGGTATGTTCTTGCTCATATTAAATGGATAAAGCAGCCACATAAATTCAGTCATTAATATACCTCTTCAGCCCTGACAATTTTATAACTCCCATGTTCTCAGTAGCATACTGACTAAGACTAGATGCCAGCCTACTATAAAATCAAATTTTATTTCTTCGATCCTAAACTTGTTCAAAAAACACCTGCTCAGAGGGCACTCACTTTTTACTATTATAGCAGGTCTGCTCTGTAGAAGATTCCATGGACTTTTTAGAAGGGGTGTGAGAGTTCAGAGTTCTCTTGAGAATGTTAGGGATAAGTTAGCATACTGTTTGCTAATTGTCCAGTAGAAGAAAACACTGGAAATGTCACGATGTAATTATTACTTACAGCGCACCTGCTGTGCAAGCATCCTTTCAGTAACTGTTTGTTGTTGATACCTGAGAGAACTCCCTCCAAAGAACGCAAAGCACATAATTACCAGCCCTTAGTGCAAGCCCTTTTGGAGAAATTCTCAGTTAAACCCACTCTTTAGAGTCAAATAGCAAAGGGCCTTGTAATTAGATGAGCTGTTCTTTAGACATGAACCAACATAGATAATGCCAGATAATTAGTAGATAATTTTCTAGGTATTCCTGGCACTGAGTGCTAAAAGCAAAATTAAGTCAGGCAAAGCACTCTGAGAATTGCCTGTGGCCAGCATGTTGTAAGTGTTAATTGGGAAGTGAGAGGAGGAGATCTTTAAGCTGGAATCTGAATTACTTTTTCCATTGTCCTTTTAATCGAGTGGCCTGTTAATGGCCAATAGCATGGATAATTTGGTAATTGAAAGGCAATATATGATGTGAGTCATTTATTGGAAACAGCTCTTAACTTTAATCACTGGTTTGAATAATATTTGAATTGTGGGAGGGAAGACATTCGACAAGCTTTTCAACAATCACGCATGTGTTTTGTAAGTTTCAATAGCCCCCTTCATTCAGTGAACTGCTAATTGGTGTATTTACATCCACATTCTAAGAAACAGTTTGATTGGGGTGGTGCCCAAGTTCTGAGGGTTTGGAGATAGATCTTGCATGTCTCTTTTCAGGAATTAATACAGTACTTCAAAATTTCCTCAAAAACGTCACCAAGGAGCCACTTAATTACATAACCATAATTTTAAAAATGTGTTAAGACAGAAGTGGGTCAACTGTAGAAGAAGTGAGGGAAAAATGCGGAGAGAATGTCTAAAAGAACAAACTCAAGATCTCCATTGTTGAAGCCTCTTTAGAATAACTTTATCCATTTAATCGGTGATACACTGCTAATGATAGACTTCTCTGGCAAGGCTGTTGCTTTCAGCCAATCCATTACCCAGAATTCATATGCCTGTGATGAACAGTGCATGTGTTTGTTTGGGAGTTAGGGACTTCCATTCTAAGTCCAGTGTTAGTGCATATTTCCTGCACGATCAAAGGCATATAATTTTCTTTCTTACTCCTCTGTTTCCCCACTCATAAAAATTAAGTAAAAGCCGTGTTTACATAAGGCATTATTTGAAGGATTAAATTATATAAAATCTTATAAATTAAAATTGTAGCATGTTATGTAAGTGTTAGGTGTTATTTTCATTATCATTATGGATTAAAGGTGCCATGAAATTAAAGCACAGAAAAGGAATTTGTACAGTCAGAAGAAATTGAAATAAATGCTTACAGCATTGTAAAATACATTGCCAGTCAAGAATTATGGGCAACTTTTCTCATTGTAAAAATCATTTCTGCCCATCGAATCAGAATCCTACCTTTTAATAGTTTTCTGCTCTTCTCTGTCCTCTTTCTCATCTGTTGAACGCGAAATCCTGCCTCCTCTTTCTGGGAAGTATTTCCTGGTCTTATTCTCTCCTTTATCCTTCTTAGTCTCTGTTCTCATCTTCTCCTCTTTGAAGAGGACAAGAATTTCCTGTTTAATTGGCCTGTTGTTGCTGTATCCTTTCAAGTGGTTCCCAAACTAGTTGAGTTACAAAATTCTACATAATCTCTACATTAAACTAAAAATAATTAGGCCTATACATTTGTGCTAAATTTGATATGAGCTTACATTTAATTCTAACAGACAATTTAGGCATGAAATGAAGACTTTTTACATTATGAACATTTTCTGAGCATACTTCCCCTGGCTTCGTGTCCTTTGGCATTCCCACGCCTGGCATGTGGGCTCCAGCATTGGATTTGGGCATCAGAGCTCCAGGGCACATCTGGGGGACAGGGCAGTGCTCTAGGGAGCTCACTTTAAGAAGAATCGCTCCAGAGGGCAGAAAGAAGGCTCTCCAGTAACATTTGCTTCACATCATTCGGAGAGAAGCGGAGGAGGGCCACTGTGCCACGGGGAGCGTGGCCGGCTGGGTGAGGTCCTTGGGGCCACACAGAGCAGGCTGTCAGCGGCTGTGACACTCGGGGAGCCCTGTGGGAGAGAAGATGTTCACTGAGTTTCCACCCGCCCTTGATGGGTGTTGATGCAGGTGGATGTGAGGTGTCTTCTCGTGGTGACGTCATCAGGATGGATGGACTCATTAGGGTGAAAGGCGGCCTCAGTCACCCACTAGAGTCCTGGCAGGAGCTGATGAGAGCATCAGACAGTTAGGGTGGTTTATTTCAAGTGAAAAATCTCCTTTCTTTTTCTAAGAGGGTTTCTTTGTTCTTATCCCAGTTAAGTGTCAAAATTAAAATGATTTTTAAAACCCTTTGTATTCCCCAAATCAAAATAAGCAAAATGCTTCTGTTGGAGTCCGCAGATGAAATGAAGCTCTCAGGATCTGCTAAGATTCCCCAGCCCTAGAAAAGGATCGCAACGCCTTTCCTCACCATGAAGCCAGGTTTGCAGGCTGCTGGTCAAGGCATCCCAAACCCCCGAGCTGGGGCTGTTGCCTGTTACAAAGCTTGATGCATTTGCTTTTGATCATATGCTAGAATTATTATTTGAAGACAAAAACTACTTATTATTACATAGCACCCTCAGCCATGTTCACAACCAGGGGGCATTTAAGATATATCTTGAGAATTCATTTCTTGTATGGACAAAGGCAATTTGTCAATGAAAAGCCAGCAAAGGTGAGTAGGGGACCATTCGCCCTGCCTGCCACTCAGCAGGTGAGTCGTGCTGAGATGGCTTCGAAGGTGGCAGGGAATAGGACCCTGCAGAGCTGACAGTTTAGGCTCTGGGAGGCAGTTAGGCTCTGGGAGACAGTTTAGGCTCTGGGAGACAGGCTCTGGGAGACAGTTAGGCTCTGGGAGACAGGCTCTGGGAGACAGACTTTGGGAGACAGGCTCTGAAAGACAGTTTAGGCTTTGAAAGACAGTTTAGGCTCTGGGAGACAGGCTCTGGGAGACAGGCTCTGGGAGACAGACTTTGGGAGACAGGCTCTGAAAGACAGTTTAGGCTTTGAAAGACAGTTTAGGCTCTGGGAGACAGGCTCTGAAAGACAGTTTAGGCTCTGAGAGACAGTTTAGGCTCTGGGAGACAGGCTCTGGGAGACAGTTTAGGCTCTGGGAAACAGGCTCTGGGAGACAGTTTAGGCTCTGGGAGACAGGCTCTGGGAGACAGTTTAGGCTCTGGGAGACAGTTTAGGCTCTGGGAGACAGGCTCTGGGAGACAGGCTCTGAAAGACAGT
Organism: Homo sapiens; assembly: GCF_000001405.40. Classification (NCBI taxonomy): domain Eukaryota; kingdom Metazoa; phylum Chordata; class Mammalia; order Primates; family Hominidae; genus Homo; species Homo sapiens. The sequence continues at coordinate 4,554,811 of NC_000005.10, read as the reverse complement.
TTAGGCTCTGAGAGACAGTTTAGGCTCTGGGAGACAGGCTCTGGGAGACAGTTTAGGCTCTGGGAGACACTTTGAGGAGTCAGTGGGGAATCAAGGCCCGAGCTCCCACTGGGAGGTCAGTTCTCAACAGCTGCAAGTCCACTCGAAGCTGCCTTGCCCATGAGTGGGCTTCTGAAGGGATTCTGTCCCAGATCCAGGGAAAACAGTTTGCTATGGGCTCAGGTTAGAGCCCCGTGAGGGTCGTCTTCAGCTCTGCCTGGCCAGGTAATGGATGTTTGGTGGCCTCAAGGGGTTAAAGATGAAGCCACCCGCAAGCGCTCCTGTGATCTCAGGGTGCAAGCTGGGCCTCTCTGCTGCTACATCACATTTCACCAAGAAGTTGAAAAAGCAGGTCTTGTAGGAAAAGAGAACCTGGCTGCTTTTTCGTCATAGCCGTTGTTGTTCCAGAGGGACAGGATGGAACCCTACTTTAAAATTGTGTGGATGTTTGTAAAGCCAAATGGTTTTTGTTCTGCTTTTTCTCCTCTTTGACTTTCATCCGTGTGGGTTTCTTTTTCCTATTTTTAGAAGCAACTTTCTTCATTTTGAGTGTGCTTCTAGTAATTCAATCCCAGGGTAATTCGACCCCAAGGCCTCCCTGCTCCATGCTGAGAGTGGCTTTCAGTGGCTGTCGTCTTGACCAGGCCCCGTCTGTTGGGAGGGCTGGTGGCGGTGTGCCATATGCAGAAAACTGAAACTGGATCCCTTCCTTATACAAAATTATACCTTATACAAAAATTTGTATACCTTATACAAAAATTAACTCAAGATGGATTAAAGACTTAAACGGAAGACCTAAAACTGTAAAAACCCTGGAAGAAAACCTAGGCAATACCATTTAGGACATCATAGGCATGGGCAAAGACCTCATGACTAAAACACCAAAAACAATGGCAACAGAAGCCAAAATTGACAAATGGGATCTAATTGAACTAAAAGACTTCTGCACAGCGAAAGAAACTAGCATCAGACTGAACAGGGAACCTACAGAATGGGAGAAAATACATCTCAAAATGAATTGCTTCAGGTGAGGAAGACCCTGTCCAGCCCTGTGACTCTGGGAGGTGTGAAGCCCAGTTGATGTGAGGACAAATATGACTTTGAGGAAGGAACTGCCACCACCAGAGATAATTAAACAAATCTTATTTTATGCACAGTGCCCACAGTATTTTCACATGAGGATGTGTGCTCATAATCTACTATGAGTGTTAGGAGATCACATTCCCTTCCACCCTAAAGCAGAAGGCATGATTCTTCCTTGATTGAAAGCCCTGTTACCTATGGGAGCATTACAGCCCTGCCCTATCCAACTCATTGGTGGTCATATAATGGGGTTTGGCCACTGAGAAGGGAGCAAAGGTGGTCTGAGTCACCCACAGGGTAACATGGTCACATCCAGCAGGAGAAATGAGAGTAGTCCCTGAAAAAAGAGGAAGTGCCCTCTTTTTTCCACTGCTGAGGTGACAGGCAACACTTCACTTGTGGCTGCTCCTCAGCCTGCATCCTAGAAGGAGAATGACAAATGACTCAGAAGACCAGCCATCTCTGGAAAGAACACCATCATGTGTATGTAACAACAAGTGAAAAAGCAGCCTCTCATGGTACTTGCCACTGAGATGTTATTGTTGGGTTTGTCATTACTGCAGCATGATGCTGCCTGTCCTGACTGATACAGCCCCCAATTTTCTGCCAAGCAACTCAAAATTTAACTCTCTCACCAGCTGCTGTCTAGGCATTTTTTTCTCCTCTCTTTGACCAACTGCCTTTACTACATAGACCAAAGTAGGCTTTCTTTCCTTCCCTCTACCTCTTTGATTCTCTCCTCTCAGATCGTCTCTTGAGTCCATGCCACCCATATGCAAGAGCTGATATATGTTGGCTGGGCTATCAACATAGGAGGAACTGAGTGTACAAAAAAAGGGTAAATTCTGGATGCTGAAAAGTAGAGGGTGCTGTGAAGACTGTAGCCTCTCAACTATTATTAAATGTCAAAACTATATATCAATATATGTGTCTGGATGATACTCACAAGAATGAAAAGCAATCATACCTTGCTTAACCAGGACATGTTCTGAGAAATGTGTCCTGAGTCATTTTCGTCTCTGTGCAAACATTCTAGAGTGTCCTTACACAAACTTGATGTCGTAGCCTACTGCACATCTAGGCTACATGGTGCAGCCTGTTTCTCCTGGGCTACAAACATGTGCAGCATGTTACCGTACTGTAGGCAAACATAACCCAATGCTATGAATCTATGTATCTAAATATGTTTAAACATACAAAAGGTATAGTTAAAAAATAGTATTATAGGCTGGGCATGGTGGTTTACATCTGTAATCCCAGCACTTTGGCAGATCACCAGAGGCCAGGAGTTCGAGACACAGACTGGCCAACATGGTGAAACCTTGTCTCTACTAAAAATATGAAAAAATTAGCTGAGTGTAGTGGCACATGCCTGTAATCCTAGCTACTTGGGAGGCTGAGGCAGGATAATTGCTTGAACCTGGGAGACAGAGGTTGCAGTGAGCCGAGATCACACCACTGAACTCCAGCCTGGGTGACAGAGCCAGAGTCTGTCTCAAAAAACATATATAGTACTATAAATATATGGGACCCCCTTCACATATGTGGTTTGTCATTGACTGAAACATCATTGTGTGGTACATGACTATAAAAGTGTAGGCTCTTGAATTAAAACCAGAGTCTATTTATCTTCTGCAGAAAATATTTTTTCTGATTTTATTCATAAGAATTGTACATTCTTTGGTGGAAATATGCAATATTTTGATATTGCATGCATTCACTACAATATGTATTGATCAAATGAGGGAAATTCGTATATCTATCACCTCCAATGTTTAGCTTTTCTTTGTATTGGGGTTATTCTAGTTCTTCTCTTGTAGCTTTTTTGATCTACGCAGTACGATGTTGTTATTATACTCATCCTACTGTGTTTTTGAACACTGGATCTTACTCCTTCTATCTAACTGTATTTTTATTCCCAATAACCAATTCTCTTCATCGCCCTTCTTCTCTCCACTTCCCAGCCTTTGAGAACCAACGATCATCTCTCTGTCTTCATTAATTCCACATACTGAGCTCCCACGTATGAGTGAGAACATGTAATATTTGTCTGTCTGTGCCTGGATTATGGCAGTTAACACGATGACCTCCAGCTCCATCCATGTTGTTGCAAATGACAGGATGGCATTTTTTATGGCTGAGTAATATTAAATTATATATATAATATTTATATTTTTATCCATTTATCCATTGATAAGCACGTAGGTTGATTCCATATCTTGGCTGTTGTGAATAGTGCTGCAATAAACACGGAAGAGCAGGTATTTCTTCAATATTTTGATTTCCTTCACACACCTAGTAGTGGGATTGCTGGATCATATGGTCACTCTATTTTTAATTTTTTGAGGACCATCCATACTGTTCTCTGTAGTAACTGTGCTAATTTACATTCTCACCAGCAATGTGTGAGCACTCCCCTGTCTGCATCCTTGCCAGCATCCGTTAGTCCCTGTGGTTTTGATAAAAGCCATTCTAACTGGAGTAAGATGATATCTCATTGCGGTTTGGATTTGCATTTCCCCGATGACTAGTGATGTTGAGAACTTTTTCATACAACTGTTGGCCATTTGTCTGTTTTCTTTTGAGAAATGTTTATTCAGATCTTTTACCCATTTTTAAACCAAATTATGTGTTTTTTGCATCTGAGTTGTTTGAGTTTCTTACATATTCTCGTTACTAATCGCTCATGAAATTGATAGTTTGCAAATATTTTCTCCTATTCTGTGGATTGTATCTTCACTCTGCTGATTGTTTCCTTTGCTTTGCAGAAGCTTTTTAGCTTAATGTAATCCTGTTTTTTATTTTTGCTTTTGTTGCCTGTGCTTTGAGGTCTCATCCAAAAAGGCTTTGCTCAAACCAATGTCCTGAAGAACACATTTTAAAAGCTTCCTTGTAACTTAACGTGGCATCTAAGGCCCATTAGGTGGTGACTTGGAAAAGGAGAAGGCTACAGTCTCTGGACTATAAATCACTGACCTCAGCACCTCCTCTCTCTCATCAGCGAAGGGCAGAGCCACCCATTCATTGTGTATGCCAGGACCTTTGGGGCCACACTCCATACCCCATTGCAACCTCCAACTTTCTGTCAGTGGGTCCCAAGAACTCTCCCTCCTAATACTGTTTCTCTGTCTCACTTGCCAACCTCTGCTGCCCACATTGCTGTGTCCTCCTGGGGCCACTGCTAAGGTGCAGACCAGCCTCCTCCCAACCCTGTGGCTCCCCTCCATCCATTATCTTCAGTCCAGCATTGTGGGCCTTTTAAATTCAACAGGTGGGCCATGAATTCGCTGGCTGGCACCCTCCATGGCTTCCCATTGTTCTAGAGGCCTGGACCCAAATCCCTACATTGTTTGCAAGACCCTACATCATCAGTCTCAGCCTGCTGCCTCTGTGATCTGGCCCCTGTGCCAATCAGCTCAAGAGATCCTCATCTCATGCGCCCAGACAAGAATGACCTTCCAGTGTCTCTTTCTGAATCAATTACTCACAGGTTAAAAATAATCTTCAATGACAAGGTTTCCATGAGTGATTTCTTTAAAGAAGTTTTTTGACCCCCAGGTAAGCCCTACACTGACATAGCTTGTCATTGGTTATGATCGAACCCTGCACATTCTCTACTTGGAACTTTCACTTTTGATAATTAATTTTATAAATAATGTGACTATTTGCTTAACATGTTCTTATATCTATTTTTCTCTAATTCCCAGTAAGCCATTCTCCAGAGAAAAATTTTTGATTCTGTTTAAAATATATCAGAACAGGCAAGCCTTCTACTTAAGAGCTACCCGATGGCTCCCTTTTACTCCTAGAAAAATATCCAGAAGGCTTCATGACTCCTTGGTCCCAGGTGACCCCACAATCCCACATGACCCCACTGTTCCACTGTTCCCCACTGTGACCTGGCCCCTCGCACCTCCCTGAACTTCTTGCTGCCATGACTGGTCTCTAAAAGGGCTGAACCTATTCCCTTTCAGGGCTGAACCTATTCCCATTCAGGGCTCAATCTATTCCCATTCAGGGCTCGATCTGTTCCCATTGAGAGCTCAACCTACTCCCATTCAGGGCTGAACCTATCCCCATACAGGGCTCAATCTATTCCCATTCAGGGCTCAACCTATTCACATTCAGGGCTCAATCTATTCCTAATCAGGGCTGAACCTATTCCCATTCAGAGCTCAACTTGTTCCCATTCAGGGCTGAACCTATTCTTATTCAGGGCTTGACCTATTCCCATTCAGGGCTTGACCTATTCCCATTCAGGGCTCAACCTATTTCCATTCAGGACTGAACCTATTCCCATTCAGGGCTCAACCTATTTCCATTCAGGACTCAACCTATTCCCATTCAGGGCTCAACCTATTTCCATTCAGGACTGAGCCTATTCCCATTCAGGGCTCAACCTATTTCCATTCAGGACTGAGCCTATTCCCATTCAGGCCTCAATCTATTTCCATTCAGGGCTGAACCTATTCCCATTCAGGGCTGAACATTTTCCTATTCAGGGCTCATAGACCTGCTGCTGTTGTCTCTGCACACAGTCACTCAAGGTCTCCACATTTCTCCTGCTTCTCTTCATGGGGTCTCTGCTAAAATGTGATCTTCTCAGAAAAGCTTTCCCTAAACTCTCTATTCAGTGCCCTACTATGTTGTCAGCACTGGAAATAAATTGTGGGAAAATTCAGTCCAGAAACCCTGTACTTAGGGCTCTTTCTCTTTAGTGGGAGTCACTGCCCCACAGCCCCCTCCCATTCATTTATTTACCCATTTATTCTGATTTGTCTTATTCTCACATTTTGAATTGCTCCCTTGTTTTCTTCATTTCTTTCAAAAAAGGATTCATGGCCACAGTCTATTATGTTCATCATTCTACTCTCATCTTCTAGAAGAGTGCCCAGTATTTTGTAGGCCTTCCATGAATTTGTTCAATAAGTAGTCATACCTTGCAAATTGGGTAGACTTTTCCAGAAGTGTTGGTGGCCAGAGGTAAGACTTCCTTGGAAGAAAAGTAAGAACTAGAAAAAGGCCACTACAGTTAAAATACATGTAGACTGGATAAGAAACTGGGCTGAGGGCTTCAGCAAATCAGAGCTTTACCAGCTCATCGAAAAAAACAGATTCAATTTGGTAGAAGGTGGGTGCATGCAAGACATTCAGTTAGAAAGTGGCATTGATGTAACAGGCACAGGAAATGAGTGTCTTCTCCACTAAAACCCAGGAGAGGAGTTTCATTGCTAACCTTCACTGGAGAGACTCCATGCACTAAAGGATGCATGATGACCTCTGTAAGAATCAGCAACAAAAGTTTGCAATAGAACAGTGTACAGATGCAGGAACCATGAAATAGTCCATACTCCATGGGAATGAAATGCCCTGGCTAGAAGCTCAGGCTGTGTTTTTGTCCATCTGGTCTGTTACATAACAAAATACCTTAAAATGGGTAATTTATAAGCAACAGAAATTTATTACTCATAGTTCCTCAGGTCGGAGAGTCCAAGATTGAGATGCCAGCAGGTTTAGTGTCTGGTGACAGCCCGTTTCCAGATTCACGGGAAGCTGTTCTCACTGCTGTCCTCACGTGGCTGAAGGCATGAAAAAGCTCCCTTGGGCCTCTTTTCTTCCCGAGGGCTCCTCTTCCATGACATAATCACCTCCCCAAGTCCCCACCACCTATACCACTGCCTCGTGGGTGATGTGCAGCATATGATTTTAAAGGGACCCAAATGTCCACAGAGAAGCAGACCGCAGATCTTGGAGAGGTCTGACGTCTGTGGTGGGAAGGGTGAACTTGCACCCAGGAGAACATCTCTTCAGAGCTACATTTTCATTCTGAAATTTTACGCAAAGAAATCCTGAGACTGAGCCTAAACTGTCAGTTTTCTGGGTCCACTTGGCATTCAGCCAGTGTTGTGAGCTGTGATGTGAAGATATAGATGCCACCTGGCCTGTTTGGAGCAGCAAAACTGAAGCTGGGGTGTCTGAGAGAAGCAGCTGAGGAGGCCTTGCTGGGAAGCCCTTGAGTTGAACGCCCTGCAAGACTCTGTCCAGAGTGGTCCCCTGTCCCTCTACCCTATTCCGCACCTCCCCTCGCCAGAGCCAAATGTGGTAGGCTGCTCTGCGGTACCTGAGGGAGAGCCCCATCTCCCTTTCACATTTCATGACGCCATTTTCTGCACAATTTGCTTTTTCAAGGCTGAAAGGACTAGCATAATTTAACTGGGGAAAAATGTTGATAGTGATAGTGATAGTTGATCGTGACAGTGATATTTTAAATCTGCTTAATTATTTAGAAAGCACTAGGCTCTCTGTGAAAGCATTGACACCACCTGGCATGGGAATTGATTGTTTGGGTGATTTCAATTAAGCCAACTGCTATGCAGTCAAGCAGGACAGAACCCTACCTTATCAGCCTGATGACCTTGGCATGTCTGGGATTAATTGTGACATGTCAGGTAAGTTTTTAAAAATATGTGTGCAAAAATGCCCAGGCCACACCACAGGGCAAAATAAACCCTATTTCCATCCTTCTCTCCCTCCCTTTCTCCTTTTCTTTTTTTTCCTTCTCCCCCCAGCCTCTTTCTCTTTCTTTTCCTTCTCTCTTTTTTTTCCAACACACTAGCTGGTGGCTGAGATACCTTGATGTCTTTCTTATGAAAAGATGTTACTACAGACTCACCGTGAGTTTGGGTTTAAGCTTTAGTTCACTGTTTCATTAGCATTCCTCCATTTGTTAAATATTTATGAAGTGCCTGAAATCTGGTGGACCCCACAAAAGCTTAGTAAATATTAGTAAGCATGTGTAAGTTTCTTCTCTTGTTGAACTCGGATTCTAGAAGCAGAGACTGACAAGAAGAAAAAGTAAAAGCAAATAACAAACACATAAACAGACAGAAATGTGTTCTGTGGGAGCAACTGTGACCATCCCTGGGGTCATAGTGATGAAACTGGAGAGGAAATAGCAAACCTAAGATTGGTTTTTGAGACAGAACTCATCGTGTCTCCTGCATTTATTAGTCTAAAGCACCTGCATCATTTTCTCACCCCCTTCTCCCAGATAACCTCCACTGCTGTGCTCAGATCAGTGGCATTTTCCTTCACATGAGCTTATAGCAGTGAGGAATACAGTGCTGATCCATGTGCACTGACTACAAACAGGACATCAATACATGGTAGGCATTGGGATTGGTGAAACTGAAAACCCAGGGTAGTGTGTAAGCACACCAGAGGCTGATGCACAGGGGCCTTAGGCCCAGCTTGTTATGATGCACACACTAAGGCCAGTCTCAGGAGGCTGAGCTGAGAAAATGCAGAACGAAAACAAAAACACTAAACCTCCTGCATCTCTGCAATGGTTTAAAGTGTTATTTTAACTTAATCATGTATTTTGTGTTTGACTGTGTTGGGGTGGGACTGAATAATACTGAAAATCCTTAGAGATGCTTCTATGTCATTAGAACTTGTTGAAGTAACCATTTTTTTCCCCAGAAAATGGACCCAGATCTGAAAAGCAGATGAATTCATTGCAGTTACTAAAATGCCTGAGTTAAATAACTACCAACAGTTATGTTATGTCACCATATTAAAATCAGCTTACATACAAAACTGTACAAAGCAACCTTTGTAAGATACTGATTGCTGTTGGAAGCTCCTCCATCAGGATATCAATCAGGATGTCACTGGGATTGTACCGTGCCCTGGGAAGTACAAGCCACCCACCCCACACTGTTCAGGACTCTGTGGATGCCTTTGTTCCCAGAAAAGCAAGATGCCTCTAAACCTGCAATTGTCCCAGGTTTATAGACTCATGCCCTTCTCTTTGTCAAATGCACCCTGTGAGCCTCTGCTTTGCTTCCTGTTTATGCCTGGGCTAGTGAGAGGGAAGTCATCCCTCTGCTACTGCCCAGCCATTTGAATTTCTGGAGACACTGAGATGTGAAGACGCAGACGTCAAGGGAACCATCTCCTGTTTGAGTTGGACAAGCAGCCTCCAGGTTTAAACCCCTGAACTATACTCAGATTGTACATACATCAGCTTGTGTTTCTTTGTGGCCGGCTGCTTGTTGGTCCATTCCAGTTGCATGTTTTTATTTATTTAATAGATGTGTGCTGTGCACCCCTCTGACTGCTATCAGAGAGAGAGAGAGTAAACCTTTAACCCACCCCAGCGAACAGTGAAAGAACTAGAGAGAGCCTAAAAATTATGATGAAGTAACATCCCCCAAATACCTGAAAATGATGCCATTTTTCTTCTCTGTAACTATCAGCAAATAATTTAACCTACTACATTGGCTCAAAAAATAAATTGGGGAAACTGAATGGAGATACTGAAAAGGAAACAGTGAGGAAGAAAGCATGCCAGGTACAGCTAGACACAGTTTAATGCCAGTAATAAATGTTTAACACCTCCAAATACATTAATTACTGCTTCAATTACTTTCCTATTAAAAAGAACAATTCAAATCAATTTCAACGTGCTAGTGTCTAGGAGAAACTGGCAAAACTCACCTGTGGAATTGACTATTTGACAGTAAAATTCACAAATGTGTTTGTTAGGCAAAATAAGGTGATGATTATATCCACAATGGTAGGGCATTGTTCTTTGGAAAGTATTCAAGGTTTAGATATCTTTAAAAAGGGAGAAGGAAGGAAGACAGGGTGGGCAGAGGGAGGAAAGGAGGGAGAACAAACCACTCTTTATTGGCTGATGGTAGATTTAAAATAAAATGCCTGTTTTCAACAGGTTCTTTAAAATAAAGCAAGTTTTGGTTTCCACGGTATCTTTAAAGAAAAGCAACTAAGGTGCAGTGTGGAGTTCTCACATTTCAGGTGCACCCCTGCCTTCCCAACACTCCTGCTGAACATCTTGGCCGGACCCCAGCAAGGTGCCTCCAGATAGGTTGTGACAAGCGTTGACTGACGATTTATTTTGCCAACCTGTCAGAGTAATCCAATAGTTTGCTAATTTAAGGCAAGGTCTTTATTTGAAAACATCAAATGTGTTTTACTGTACACATCTGTGTCAGGGACAATCCTGCCAACATACAAGCTTTTGCTCATTTCAATAAATCAGCGATATAAGTATCAAGAGGAAAATGTGCTTGAGGGTTTCAGGAGCCGCGGGTTTCTGAGCATGCAGAGGCAAGGGAGGCAGAGTGCTCCGGGCTCTACCCGGCATTCCAGGGAGGTGTTAATGACTTTAAGCCTGTCAAGAATGTCTCTAGTTTATATAGAAGAGACAATTCATCGGTTTAATATAAAGGTGTAACATTTCCTACAGGTGAGCTCCACTGATCAAGGGATAAAAAGGAACTTTTGTTGCCACTTTGGAAAGATGTACTGCAGAGTTTAACCCATGCTTTTGATGTAAACTTCGAAAGCTTCCAAGGCTTCCCATGGGGACCTGTATTGGCAGATGCTGGGCCAGTCTGCAGGATGACACAGCACATTGACTTAAAATGCCAGAGAACAGAATGGCACGAGGCTCCGTGGGGTCAGTGCTGGGCCACTAGAGCTGCAGAGTAGTTTCCCCACTTTTCCCCTTCAAATTGTATCAACAAATCCAAGCATTTTACAACAGGGATCCGTTAAGTCTAGGCACACTTTTCCAAAGGGCACATGATAGTTTGTATTAATGAGGCCTGGAAATTATTGCTCTTAATGTAAAAAGTGATGAATATCAATGTCGTTAGTGGCTTCACCATGGACGTCCTGCTGCACCCTCCTGTGGGGCAGTGGGGAGCTCTGAAGAGCTCCAGGATGTGGTCTCTGCCTTCTGCGACAGCTCAAGTCACCCATCCTTTGGTGAAATCTTGAAATTATAAAATCCTGGTGAAATTATGAAATCTGACAGAAACTTTCCAGAGAGTTCAGGTTGGCTCCAGAGGTGTCGTGGCGTGGCTGCAGCACAGAAGTTCTCTCTATCAATCTAGAACATGCCAAAGGGGTTAGAATTTAGAGGAATGGTTGAGAAGCTGCTGAACAGAAACTCTCCTCTTCCATTTATCTTTAATAATAATCGCCTCTTCTCACACCTACGATATTTCGATTCCAACCCCAACTCCCAAACGCAAGCCAGATCTGCCCCAGTCTGGTTGGTTTGAGTAGCTAAGTGCCTATAAAACCGACCAGGTTTGCAAACAAATGTGTAAGACAAGAGTTGTCGTGAGAGTTCATCTCTTATAGAATTATCAAGCATATATTTTGTTTCCCTGATGAGCAGTTCAGGGTGAATTCTCTATAAATAAAAAGCTTATACTATGTCTGTTTTCTCCTTGTGTTATTTTTTCTCAAGTTTGACAGTAGCAAAAATCATTGTACAGCTTTTTGAAGCAGTGAACAGAGCTGAGTGTTTAAAGATCTGCCATTAGAGTGATGAGCCTTGTTCTCTAACATAGATGTTGGTTCGAGGTAGTCCCACGGACACCACCGGGTGGGAAACTCACTAAAATCGGGACAGGAAACAGACAGATCATGTGTTATGATATGTCCTGCCATTTCCATGTTTTAAAATGCACCATTAGCTAAAAGGCTGTGTAGGGTTTCCTCCAAGGGCACTATATCATCAGCAATATGTAAATGTTGTCTTTGTCAGTTTATTTTTCCAGGTGAAAACTCTTCCTGTCTGTGAAAGAGGCCTTTTGTGACCACATCTCCCTGGTTTGCAATAAAATCAGAAGGGATCAAATTCCTTTAGAAAACGTGCTGTCTAAACTTGAAATCTGAAATCGACTTGTCAGAGCAAGGGGCTGATAAACAAGACCTACTTTAAGTTAGGTCCTTATCTCATTTTAGGAAGGGGTGGTCAGGGGCCTGTTCCCCCAAGGCATGGAGCAGACACTTAGAGAATATTCTTCTGTCTGTTGACTTTAACCTGCGCTCCCTCATTGGAAGGTAAACACAGACTCTGGTTTGGGGGCATAGATAGCAATTGGCCTCTCTCCTTCGTAAATTCTATTTGTGGCAACAGTTTTTAATCAAACTATCCACAATCATGTCATTCAATCTCTGTTCCTTCTAGTTAAATTTTTTTATGGAGAATACCAACATGGGAAAAGGTGCTGGTGGCATTTAAGAGGCACCCTGGGCAAAGGGCCATAGAACAGGGCTTTGTGTTCCAGGAAATAGTGACGGAAAGGATTCTCCAGCTCGACGGCTTCTCCTGTTGGACGTGTTTTGACTTGGCAATTATAGATATTTTGACATCTTAGGAAACAGGCCCAGAAGTGGATGTTCAGTCCTGGATATGCAGCAAAATGCTCCGTGTTTATCCTCTGAAGCCTGCACTGACCCCACGCCTCTATGGCTTTAGCCTGGGTGATGATGTGTGCTCAGGAAAGAACATGCTTTACTCCTCACTCATCAGGAAGCCAGGCTTCCTCTCTTTCCCCGCCGGACCTCCTCATGTCCACTGAAAACAGTGGCGTCTTTCAGTTGGGTTTCAGCAGAAATAGACTCCAGCCGGCGTGTCAGGGGTCTGCCCTCCTGGCTCAGCCTCCCCCAGGTGTCTGGCCTTTCCTGATCACTTTGGAATTTCCACCCTAGCTGAGATGCCTTAGAAAGGTCGGGTGAGGACCATATGAGACAGAGAAGCCAAAAATAAATTTTCACACACAAATAGCTTTGACAGAATAGAATAAAAGGAAAAGACATTGTAGTTCAATGCAGCATTTTAATTTAAAAAGCCAGAAGATAAATAATGAGCTTGAAAGCTTCAGTTTCCACTTGCATTGCTTCATGTGGAGGACAATACAGTCTTGGTACAGGGTTGTGCATTTAGAAATTTTGTACTATATTTTAAACACTACATTTTAAACAATGGACTATGTCTTAATTTACAATCATGTGACATGAACAATAGACTATGCAAGGTATAACAGACACAACGTCTTTAAACCTCACCAAGTCCTGTGAGAATTACTGTCAGTAATTTCCAGAAGCTAAAATTCAAATAGTGTGTCTAAATTCTCCCTAAATAGCACATTGAGTGTCAGGATGTGAACTGCAAGTGTGGGCTCCCATGAGATGGAGTCAGAAAATACTTCCACTGCATCTAAGACACTTGTGAAAAGCTGCAGCCCTCTAACTGTGTGCAGTAGCCCAGCCCAGGCAGTGAGCACACCTAGCAGCCAGACAGCCTGGGGGCAGGCCCCAGGTCTCTGCTAGAGTGAATTCTGGGGAGTGTCCGCGCTGTGCCTTCCTTTTCTCACCCATAAAATGTGGATCTCCAATAGTATCTGCCTCCTAGGTTTCTTCTACTGTGGAGGTAAAGCACCAAGAACTCAGGCACACGTGGCTGGCACTCAGAAGTTGGTTGCCATCACAGGTAAAATGCAGAGGTAGGGCACGACTGCAGGTTGCTTTGTGAATTATGTAGAAAACACCTTCTGGCTTCTTTTATTAGTATGCACATTGCTTCGTATTTTGGAGACTGTTTTCATGCGACGCACCTATGGGATTCATTTACTTGCCCACACTTATGCACTCTTCACTTGGATCTATGCCTAGGGTTGGAGCGCTGAGACCTGCTGTCTGTCCCAAGCAACTTCCAGGCAGTGGGTGGGTGAGAATAGAGAAGGCACAATTGAATGTGGAAAGTGGGTGGAGGAAGAACAGCATGTAGAAGGAATGGGCCGGAAGGGGCACTGGGCCACCCAGCCTGGTGGTGGAGGTGGAAGGGCAGGGAAGGCTTTCTGGGGAGGTGATTTCCACATGGGTCCTGCTGTCTGAGAGAAGCTAGACAGGATGTTGTGGAGACAGGTTGCTCATCTGGAAACGGGAGGAGATGGACTTCAAGGTATTTATGAGGAATCAACACCAGGGGAGAAGGAGAGGAGGGAGCAGGGGTGGGTAAAGGGAGAAGTCAGTCAGTGATGCAGACCCCAGAAAACTTCAGCTGCCTCAGAGGGAAGCTTTGGGGATGCATTTCTCATTACAAAGGCTGACATGGGACCAAACCCTGCACTGCTTGGGCACAACTGCCTGGGGAAGAACCTGGTCTCTCACTGAAGGCTTTGCTCAGGGAGCCCACAGCATGACTGGGGAGCAAGGCACCTCTGCAAGGACGTCTGGGGAATCAGCAAACCTCTGGGTCTACCACAACCCAGCCCTTGCACTGCCCAGACTTGTTTCTCTCTGTACATTTCAGAGCAGCCCTTCCTCATTGTGCAGTGGCTGCTGATCCTCCCTCTGCTGAAAGCCACCTGTACCAGGAGGTTGACACCTCTTGTTCCCTGCTGGCCCATCAGTGAAGAAGCTCAAAGCCACGAAGCTTATAATTCACTGGGACTCTTGCTTTGTCCCTCGGCAAAAGTGCACCCTTTGTGAGGACAAGAATCTTTAACTTTGTAAAGCCCAGAGTTGTCCGGAAGAGTCATGGTGACGGATGCTTAGAGAGGATGGGCACTCCTCAATGCCAGACCTGTGCAGTCTTCCATCGGTGCAGTCATGGCCTGTAAGGAAATTTGGTTCAATGTAGGCACTGTGCTCTGGAGCATGACACCCCATCCTCCCAGGGTATTACTACTAGGCTGATGACAGCATATGACATAATCATGAATCCCATAATTGTGGGCCACCCCTGCTACTCTTATGCTGAGGAATGACCCTGAGTTGGTGCCTTATTAGGTGGAATCCCAAGCCAGTGGGTTAAACCCTCTGTAAGTTCAGGACAGGGGGGCTGGCTTGAGTTTGTGGGAGCAAATTCAGAAGAGTGTCTATTTCTGTGAGAACGCACTGCTGGATCATTAGACGAGAAGGGGCCCAATGGAGACAACTTGTGGGATGTTGTTTCCTCCAGGATTGCTGCCTTACCAGGAACTCCGTGTTGGTCCCCAGGACTGGCAGTTTGAAATCACTGGCAGTAGTGGCCAGCTCAGCCTCCTTAGCTTCAGCCAGTGGGGTCCCGGCTGCTGGGCAAAAATGTCAATTCCATCTGTGCCACCACGGCCAGTTTCTCATACGTTTGTCATGTCAGCATAAGGATAGGTGTTGCCAGAGGGGAACTGTTGCTGCTGAGCAGGCCAATCTTTCTACTGTTTTAGTATCTCTTCTGCAGGGAATGTTTTTGCATGGAAATTAATGTATACTATAAAGATCTTCAACCTCTCTACCCTTCAAACTCTATGGGATTCCTCCCATGTAGCCATGCTCATGCCTCTGCCATAGGTCTTCCCTGATCTTCCAACCTTTTCTTTCCAGGTTCTGGCTAGTTGGCTAGGGCATTGGCCACTTCCTATGGCTCCATATGTATTCTTTGGAATGACTTCTCTTTCCACAAAGAGGTGACTGGGTTTGCTGTTGACACACTTCTTATTGAGATAAACTTCCCTTGGTACTCTTATTCAAAGCCACTCCCAAATGAGCATGGAGGGCGATTGCTGTCTGTTTTTGCCCTGGACTCACAAACACATCCATAGGTTAGGTTTCTCCCTCTTTCTTCAACTGGCTGGAAGATCTCCCATGGAGTCATGGATGGGAACCAAGGGAGGGGCCCTGCTGCAACAGCACTGAGGCCAACACAGTCCAGAAGATCTGCTCAGGCCCTCGGTCCTGCTCATGTTCCAGCCCAGATTTACCACTTCCATCTTAGGATAGAGCTTTACTGGTCCTGTCTGAGCTGGGCCCTCAGTGGGCCTGACACGATCCAGCTCATGATGGGCAAGCCTGGATGCGTGGTCACCCAACCTCACAGGCCCAGGATTCGGTCCCTGTGAGAGTCCAGGAGCATGCCGGTTGCTTTGAAAGAGGCAGACCATGTTCTGCTGTGAGTGCCATGGTCTTGCTTCAGCCCCCCAGGGTCCTCCCGTGCTGTGAGTTTACTCAGGCATGCTGCACAGCCCACCCTTCATAAAGTGCATTTTCCCTTCCCTGATAAATCCATCAACACCGAGGCTGTCAGATCCTGTGACCGAAATGGAAGGGCTTTTTGAGTCACTCAGGTTATGGAATAAAGAAGGTTCCTGAGGTGTGGAATATCCTCCCTATAGACCCGAACAGGCCTTCCAGGCATTGTGTTTGTTTTTCATGGGAGGGTGACTTTTCTTAGCATGCTCCTGATGATCAGTATCCACATGTCTATGGATGTGGCAAGTCTCTGAATTTCTGCAAGGTTTACTACCAGCCTCAGGAGAGCATGTCTTCTACCAAGGCTTTAGGCACACTAGCCACCTCTTACTCACCTGGCCTGACCGATATAATCACATTAATGTAATAGGTCAATGTCAAGACAAATAAGATTCTTTGGACTATTATGCTAGATGCTATAGGGATTACAGTCCTGGGGCAAAAATGTAAATGCCTATTGTTGTCAATTCCATGTGGAAACAAATCATTTCTCATTCTATTTTTCTGACTGAGATGGAAGAAAAAAAATGTTTGCCGAATCAATGATTACATACAATGTACCCGAGACCATGTGTTCCTGCTCTAAGAAACATGCTCCATCTGATAGAGTGGCTGCAATCAGGTTGACCACATGGATGAGCTTGCGGTTGTCTGTGACATTCTCCAGATCCATTTTCTGCAGAGCCAAACTGGTCAATTAATGGATATATGAGGGGAGCCACCAACCCATCTCTTTTTAGCCGTTTGTGATGGCACCAATTTTCATCATGCATTCTGGGTTGCAATGTTGCTTTTGATTTCTTACTTTGATCAGGGTTGATGAGGGGTGACTTCCACTTGCCTTCCTTATTACAATAGCTTTTATTACACAAACCAAGGGCCTGTTTTGAGGGTTGAACCAATTGCCAGGGTTGCGCATTCCAATTATAGATTTGATCACTGGGGAAACGAGTACCAAATGGGTCCATTGACCCAATAGCTTGCCTGTAAGTCAGGCCTTGGATGTGGCTCTGTTTATTGGCTAACTTCAGGATGAGATGGGTAGTTCCCCTGACCCGCTTTGTGGGTGGGAACTGGAGTGGCTCGTTTCACTCAGCCCGCTGCTGGCCACTCCTCATGAGAGGTAGTGTGCAAGCAAGCGAGCGCGGGAACTGGAGGGAACGGACGCTGGGACCAGCCAGTCACCCTCTCTGATGGGAGAAGGCTCTGTGTGGGCCCTGCAGCAGTGTCCAAGCCCCCGCCCTCTTGGCACCTGGGTTCTCGTCCAGCATCCAGGAAGAATCAGGTTACACAGATTGAAAGGCAATGTATGAGGAGGATTTTATTGGGTGATGGCACTCAGGGGGATGGGAGTTGGAAAGAGAATGGTGTGGGAAGGTAATCTTTCCCTGAAGCCACACTGTCTGAAGTTAGCGGTGTCTATCCATAGTCTCTGATGCTCAGTTGCTGCTTCTCTGCTCACCGCTAAGCCACTTGTATCTCTGTCGCTAAGCTGCTTGCATTGCTCTGCCAGCTGAGGTCTTTTTATGAGCACAGGACTGGGATGTAGAAGGCCAAAAGGCAACATTTGGGTGGAAAAATGGGGTCAGCTGTTTTCTCTTAGGGTCACACTTCCAGACTTAAGGGTGGGGTTTAGCTGGGAGCCCAGCCATTCTGTGTCAACATGTACTCTTCTGTGTACGGAAAGTGTGATGAACTTTTATCTTTGAGTATCAATGTAATTCCGGATACCTTGTCCAATCATTGTCAATATATATCCCTTTCCTGCAGGCACAGATTCCTGGGTAAATGTCCATAGGTCTCTTCAGGAAAGACAGAGGAGAGAATCATCCCATGTTACTTGTCATGGTGTGATAAGATTGATCTTCACTCCTGGGAACTCAACATCTCTTCAGTCAGTGGGTTCTGGGTCTGAAATGGGCTCAGGTGTGGACACTGGGCAAGGGAGCAAGCTGTCTTTGGAGAGAGGGTCCTCAGTCTCCTGGTCATCCACACTGACACCTTCTGCTGCTCTAAGCTGTCAGTGCCTTGGCCTGAAGCCCATGTAGACCTGCTGTATCATCGTAACCATCTCAATTACCCTGTGTGAGTCAGGACCCCTAGGATGCTGCTTAAAGCCGGCTAGTCATTAAGAAAAGTGCCATTCCTTGGCACCAGCACATTGCCTCATTGTCTCAGGGTCCAGTCAACTCCATTGCTAGCAGTGAGAGGAGCCCTATTGTCCTCTTCTCCTCTCAGCCCAGGCCTGCAGGTGAGGGCCACCCCTGAAAGCTTTATAGATGCTTGTGTCCTTCTATGCTTGGGGAAAGTGTGAGTCCTTCAGCCTTCCTGAAAATGTGGTGGGTTACCAGGCTATATCCATTCCAGCAAGCACACTTTCTAAGCCTTTCAATCCCTCCCTCCGTGGCCCACCACAGCAATGCTGGCATAGCAGCTGTTTGAAGACTGGGCAATCACTTTGGCCAGGCTTGTCTGAGCAATTCTAGTAGCAAGTCTGCACAATTCCCTGGCATCCTTGAAAAGGTGGTAAATCCTACAAAGAGGAAGAGCACTCCCAAGCCAATATACTCTTTCATGTAAATTTTATGTTCTAGTTTCCTTAATCAAGCACCTTCAAAATACAATCCTAGGTATATCCTCCTGGCTTCTGCTGGTGCAGGCTGGCTACATTTTGAAGATCCTTTGGAATTCAGTCCCTTTCCTCCTGTAGAAATATCCTGTGTGTGCTATAACAAATTTCCTCAAACTGGGTGGCTTAAAACAAGAGAAATTTAGTCTCTCATAGTCCTGGAGGGCAGAAGTCTGAAATACGGAAGCCAGCAGGGCCACACTCCCTGAGGGAGTCTGGGTGAATTCCTTGTTGTTCACTGGCTTGCAGGGGTATCACTGCAGCCTCTGTCTCTTTTGTCACCTGGTCTTCTCCTGGTGCGTCTGTCTTCACACGATGTTTTCTTCTTCTTATGAAGGGACCAATTGTATTGGTTTGGGACTCAGCCTAATGGCTTCATCCTAACTTGATTGCATTTGCAAAGAACCTATTACCAAATAAGGTCACATTCACAGGCACTGAGGTTTAGACTTCCACATATCTTTTAGTGAGCCACACGTTGACCCATGACATCTCCCCAAAACATTTCCCAGTGACTTATGCTGCAACTAAACCCTCATCATGGGCCTACTGAAAGGGCTGCAAAGTAGTGGCAAGTTCTGAGGGAATGAATGTCTTCGTCCATTTGAGCTGCTGTTACAAAAATACCATAAACTCTGTGGCTTATAAGCAACAGATGTTTATTGCTCACAGTTCTAGAGGCTGAAAGTCTAAGATCAAGGTCCCAGCTGACTTGGCGTCTGGTGAGGACCAACTTCCTGGTTCATATACAGCACCTTCCCACTGTGTCCTCACATGGTGGAAAGGGTGAGGGAGCTCCCTGGGACCACTTTTATACTGGCACTAATCTCATTCATGAGGCCTCCACCCTCACAACTCAAAGACCTCACCTTCTAATACCACCACTTTGAAGGTTAGGATTTCAGCCTATGGACTTCAGGAGAATATAAACATTCAGGCCTTGCAGAGGGCCCCAGTTACCTTGTGGGGGAGGGGCCTCTGCACTGTGTCCAAGTAAGGTAGACTCACTGCCATATACTCAGAAATCATGGGATGATTCTGCCCGTTGGCAGTTCAGGGCATCTGAGGAGTCAAAAGCTGTGGGAGTGATAGTTGGGTCTGTGTCCCCGCCCAAATCTCAGGTCAAATAGTAATCCCCAAGGTTAAAGGTGGGACCCAATGGGAGGTGATTGGATAATGGGGGTGAATTCTCGAGAGAATGATCTAATTGCCTTCCACTTTGGTGCTGTTCTCGTGAGAGAGTGAGTTCTCCCAAGATCTGGTTGTTTAAAAGTGTGTAGCACCTCCCTCCTCTCTCTCTTCCTCCTGCTCCAACCATGGAAACTTCCTCTTGCTTCCCTTCCCACCATGATTGAAAGTTTCCTGAGGCCTCCCCAACCAGGCTTCCTGTACAGCCTGGGGAATGGTAAGTCAATTAAACCTCTTTATAAATTACCCAGTTTGAGGTATTTCTTTATAGTAATGTGAGAATGGATTAATATAGGGAGCATTCTCCAAGATGCATTTAGCCCACAGGCAGCATCCCAGACTTTCCCAACCAAGGTCCAGATCTTGGCAGAACAGACCTGCTTTGGTTGGGTGTTTACATTTTTTTGAAAGTCAGCTACTGTGTCACAGACTTAGTCTTTAGCATTTTCTGTCCATTCCCTTCAAGAGATGAGAAATTCTTTGTGTGCAATGGAAGAGTCTGTGCGGCCTTCACACAGAGCCCCTCACCCTCAGGAACCCCTCCCTCACCATCAGTGGCAGCACATGCTCACACTGCCCATTTCCCACATATCTCTAGTGCCTAGAATGCTGCAAGAATACTACGTGGACGTCTATTCCTTGCCATAGTGCATCTTCCCAAGTCACCACTGTGCCATATCAACATCCATGCTCTACCTTCAGTCTGAGTCTGTATTGTTGGCACCAGAATCATACCACACAAGATCAAAGCTTCAGTAATGAATCCTGCCTTCTGCACACCTTTTGCACATTCACCCAGTTTTATTTGAAATCAAGAACTCAATACTGTTCTACCGTAATCCTTCATCAAGGGTGAATTACCGGATGAATAAATCAAATGAAGAACTTAGTTTTTAAAATATTACTGAAAATATCTCCTTGGGTATTAAACATGTTCTGGTCATATTAAATTAATGTGTTATTACCCAGAAGTCAGCTTCTTTTCCTAATCTCTCAAATTCTATCTACAGATTATCTCTTCATTCAACTAATGAAGTGCTTCTCTCCCCAGCTCCCAGATTCTAGGAGTGAAAGAATCTGCCCTTCATGTTTAAGACTTAATTGAGAAATAAATGAGTCATCAGTGGGTGTCTGCCATGCAGTAAACCACACACTTCTGGAGACCCTGCAAGGGGTTTTCAGTGATTTTAAAGGAGAGGGGAGATCCTTATCTTTTGAAAAGAATAATTACCTTCAAAGAGGAGCTAAATTTCCCCTCAACAATAAACAGCATTTATTCTTTTCTCCTGTGAGAGATTTGCTTGGAAATTTGGAGATGTCAAAACTAATCCCAGACAAAGCAATTGGGAAATTCCCATAGTAGTCTGGGAAGCGGCCAAAGGCTACACTGTTTCTTATTTCATCAGCTACATCCTCACACAAGCCGGTCCTTAATTCCATCTTATTGTGCTTCTGAAGAATATCAGTTCTCCATAGATGAATTCCAGCCAACTTTCTCCTTCTCAGTTCAAATCTAAAGTCCCTTAAGCGGGCAAAGGAAAATTAAATACAAGAGCTGATTAAATTCATCTCACTATTTTGGAGTATGGATCCGTAACCTGTTGGCTGGGTTTGTGTCAGTACGTAAGCACAATACACATGCACGCCCTTACAGTGTCATGAATGTTACTGATGAGGTTGGAGGAGCATGTAAATGGTGCTGTTTGAGAAAGTTGATCTCAAAAACTGCTCTGGAGCCAGGACAAAATAAATAATGCAATGAGTTAATCACATCTCAATTGTAGTTATTCTTATGATCGTATCTTTCTTCAGTGTTACCATCATTACTGAGTGTAAGAAGATGAGGAAAGTAGGAGAAATCTTCTCGTGCAAGGCATCTTCTCCAGGTAGTACATGTCTATAGGAAAATAGACACTCTTAGTAGGAATCTGCATCACACATGTGCTCCAAGCAATTCACACCTACAGGGCCTTGTGTGGTTATATATTGTTTTTATCCCCATTATAAAGAAGACATAATTGACCCCAAATCTCAAAGCTTGTGGTTGGCAGAAGGAGAACCCAGCATCAGTATCAGTGAAAACCTCACTGAATGCTCTCCATGCTCAGGGGGACACCCTCTGCAGATGGGAGCTTCAGACTCCTCGGCACAGCGTTGAGTCAGGGAGGATGTCATCTGTGATATGATCTGCAGGCTTTGGTGGCACAACTGCCTTCTCTCTCTCCCAGCCATGGCATGAGAAATTATCTGTGTAGCAAGCTGAAGTGCGCAAAGGCGCCCCTGGAGTGCACGTGGCAGTGGAGGGTTGCCGTCCAGCCCTGCATGCCAGGCGCTGCTCCAGAGGTACCCGGAGACAATCACAGGAGATTCCACTGTCTTCCTGGCTTTTCTGCGTGAGGTGGGAAGACTCCAGTGCCCATTAGGCATTTTGTTCCTTATCACTATCACTCACAGGCAGCTGTCACCGAGCCTGTTCTGGTCTTTTCAAGATCGGATGTGGTGCACGGAACGGCACAGCACACTGTATTGGGGAGGTCTTACCCCAGGTTGCTGACTGACTGCTCACTCTGGCAGGTCACAGGATTCCTTCCAAGAGTTCTCCTGAGGGGGTCTTCAGTAAAGAGAAGGGATGATTTTTGAAGTTGTGTTTTTTCTTCTATCTGTTAACTGCCAGGAACTTCCAGATATAGCCCCTGCTCTCTTTCTTGTTAGAGGAGGTGGCAGGTGTGGGCTGCAGACTTTTCACTGTGTTCAGCATGAGTTCAGGGCTTGCCCTGTTCTCTTCTAATTGGGACACAACCTGCTTCATGCCTTTGTTCGTAGTGTCTGCCTGCTATGGCCTCCTCTTGGGTTTAAAACTACAGCTCTCACCTCCTTTCTCAGTGAGGAATCATGATAACAGGGAGAGAGTATTATCAGCGCTGGATTCCAAAGAGGGACCTGTTATTCCTGTAACAGTGAAACATTCCAGACTACAGGGAGAGCAGATTTTGTGTAAGGTGTTGCATTATTTTGAGCGTGTTTGAGACAGACCCAAACTATGTGAGTTCAAGGAGTTGATAATTACACTGGTGAGTTGGTAGGGTTCCTTTTCCCCTCAGGGCAAAGACCACACACACACACACAACACACACACAGTAAATCAACCCAATGGCAAGTATAAGAACAAAATAGAGGGTAGGGTTTCTATTTAAATAAACATCACAGTCAGAATGTTTACATTTTAAAAATAGAATACAAAATAATTTTGTTTTAAACAAATTTTCTTCTATGTTTTTTTTTCTTTTTCTTTTTTCAACCTTGTAAAGTGGCCAATTTAGCTTCACAATAGAAATCAAATGCCTCTTTGAACATCTAAATTTACGACTGACTCTACAGAAGGGAGGCCTCCGCCGCCCTTATAGCAGCAATATTCCCACCTCTTTTTTTTATTATTATTCCTTAAAAGTGCTTATCAAGATGAATGAGCAGAGCAGTGTGTAATTTCAAAGATGAAATTGCTTTTCTCTCCAGATTTCCCATCGTGTTTTCAAGGTCACCATAACAAGGAGTCGGCCGAATGCCCGGCCTTCTCCGGGCTGTGTCAGGGTCCATCACGCCTCATGGGGATGCAGGGTGGCTTTAGAAGTGTTCTGCTTTATTTTTCCTCTCAAAAGAGGGTGTGAAATTCCTGCTCATTGACACACGGTTGGGTGAAATTGAAGTGTTGAGGGGACCCCTGCCCTCTGTCCCCAGCACAATCACCAAGGCCAAGACCACTCAGTGCCCCAAGTCCCAGGGAGGCCCATCCTCTGTGTCAGCAAGGGAAGCCCGGGTCATGTCCCAGCGACCAGCCGTAGACAGCAGCAGGGATGCAGAGATGAATAACGTTAGATTAGGCTCACAGTCATACCCAAGGTGCGCATTCCTGTTTTAAAATATAACAAACCAGCAAAATGATAAGTTCTGCTTGTTTCCATCCCACACCCGCAAGGATGACACTCCTTTAAACCTTCATCTGAGAGCTGCATTTACAATCCACTGACTGCCCAAATATTCTCCAGCATGAAATATGGTTAACAGAACTAAGAAATCATCAAGATATTCTGAGATTTCCTCCTTTATAGATAAAATAACACGTCTTGATAATCACTTGTGTAGGACAAATCAGTAGGTTAGTACACAGTTTTCCTTAGGTTAAAGTAATTACCATATTTTCATAGGTAATCTGGTCATACATTTCTAAAGCTATCTGGAAATATTTAAAAATGTATCTTTTAAATAATAATTTTCTTAAAATCAAGATACTTATGGTTCAAAGTGACAATTTGTTTACTTCCACAAAATTCCTCTTTCTACGCGATAGTAACAAAATGTATAAAATTTTAAGGGAAAATGATTGACAATGACTAGGTTGAGATTAAAATCCTCAGAATTTTTATTCGAAGTCAAAACATAAAGCGGTCATATAGCAACACAATGAGATGTGACGTATTTCGAGGCAGCCTAGGTATCAGCTGTAGAATGTACAAAATTTGGAATTAAATTCTCTAGTTCTTGGTTCCTTGATATTTATTGAGATTATAATATATATCAGTCTCACACGATTTTGTGAAGAGTGACATAAATACCGTGTGTTACTGTTTAGTAATGCTCAGTCAATGCTAACGGTTTTATTGGCATTATCCAAATGAAGTGATCAAAGCATTTAGGAAAACTGTTTATAGAAGAAGCTTTTTAAAGACAAAGGAAAAGTCATGATTGACAGTCTGGTGATCTGCCATTTGTCCTGCTTTGCATAAACTTTTTTTACTGGTTGAACTGATTTGATCGTTTAATTTCCATTCCTATCACCCAAGTTTTCAGTAAGTTTTGGGGCATCATGAGAGGATGTAACTTCAACACGAAACTCAATAGTGGAAAACATTTTGAAACAAGACATAAAAATACAGCAAAGGTCACTTTCTATCCATTTACAGCTAGATTGCAGCTAATCTTCCCCTTACATGACACCTACAAGTTAAACAAACTGCAACTAGGAAGATCGTGATCATTTGACTAGGACCTGGATTGTTTGAGAGAGGCAGTCTAAAAGTAAGTTTTTACTAATTATTTTTGAACCTTGTAATGGCATTTTAAGCAACTGCTTTCACCTACAATAATAGTTACTTATTTTACTTTTCCTGAATAAGCCAGGCTCTTTCCTAAGTTTATTAAATGTATTGTCTACTCTACCCCTTATACCACAGACTCACAATGTAGATACTATCATGATTATAATAATCATACTATTAATAAAAATTAATATTACTTTATTTGTATTATGGCTACTATTGTTCTATTGACAAAAAGAGAAGAGAGGTTAAGTAACGCGCATAGAGAGATAAGTACCAGGTCCCCAAATAAACCTCAACCATGTGGTTAAAGCCTATTAATAG
The DNA here is from genome assembly GCF_000001405.40 of Homo sapiens. Classification (NCBI taxonomy): domain Eukaryota; kingdom Metazoa; phylum Chordata; class Mammalia; order Primates; family Hominidae; genus Homo; species Homo sapiens. The sequence goes on along the minus strand of NC_000005.10, from coordinate 4,529,617 downwards.
CCTGACCACAAGCCCTCTGAGGTGGGAGCCTGGACACTTAATATCCTATTAATCCCTACTGTGCTGTGGGCTAGAGCCTATGTGTCCCTTCAAGGAGCACAGGGATGTTAAGTGTGGGTCTGTAGCTCTGGGGAGCTGTTTTCCTTTTAGGAATACTCCTTGCTAGTTTTCAAATAATTCTTTAGCACTGAAGTTGGGACCCCTGAGACATTTTTTTATGTTCTAAAGACCACTCTGTTAGTTAAGTAAACCTGACTACAACCTTGAACAAATTTATAATCTATTGAAATGTTACAGTAAAAGAAATGCGAAGGTAAAGCAAAAATTCTAATTATTTCAAAGGTAATTGCAAACTATCTAGCTGCCCTGAGAGTCTCCCCAAAGTCCCGGCATTGCTTGGCACTACCACACCCTGTTTTCTGGAGGATTTTTAGTTCAAACACGTACCTAAATTTGACCAGATATCTAAATTCCCATTTGGAGACACATCATGGCATGTAGGATACTTTCCTACTTTTTCGCTAAAAAAGGTTTTCGATCGAAAGTTGAATGCTGTGGATGTTGAAGTCCCATGCGTCTGAGGTCCCAAGTCTCAGAAGCCTTTCCTCATGCTGTTTCCATACGTGTTTTCAGTTCTTGGAATGAAATTCTCAGATTAGAACGCATCAGACCTCTCTTAGTTCTCATGGAGTATGTAGAGGCCATGATGAACTGAAGATTTCTCTCTGGTGTGGATATGTTTTCTCTTTTACCTCTGAACTTCTACATCAAGACTTCGTGTGAATGAGCTCTGCTTTTGAGGATTCATGACTCTTTTCCTCCATGATTTGAAAATGTATATTCAAAAGATTAAAAGATGGAGCTGGCCGAGTGAGGTGGCTCATGCCTGTAATCCCAGCACTGTGGGAGGCCGAAGCAGGTGGATCACTTGAGGTCAGCAGTTCAAGACCACCCTGGCCAACATGGTGAAACCCTGCCTCTACTAAAAATACAGAAATTAGCCAAGTGCAATGGCAGGCACCTGTAATCCCAGCTACTCGGGAAGCTGAGGATGGAGAATCACTTGAACCCTGGAGGCAGAGGTTGCAGTGAACTGAGATCACACCACAGCACTCCAGTCTGGGTGACTCAGTCTTGAAAAATGAAATGAAATAAAATAAAATAAAAGATAGAGCTGGAGTTTTGCTGGTTACTATTATTTAATCAGAGGACATATCACCCTCCTCACAAAGGTGAGAATCACACAGTCCCAGGAGGTTGTTTGGGCACCAGCTACAGGCCCACAGTCACCGTCAGCAAAATCAAATGTGTGTGTTACACACAGACGTCTCATCTCCATGGGCTTATAGACACCAGGCTAGGCAACTAAAAGGGAAAAGTATTTTTTATTTTTATTTTGTTTCTTCCAAGTTAAAGCATGCTTTTCCTGTTTATAAAACTTCTGTTTTTGGAAACACTTCTCACTGTACTTTACCATGAGCAAGGTAAGATAAGTTTTATAAGTAGGAAAGCATGCTTTTATTTTTGTTTTTATTTTATACAAGTAAAGAAGAAAATAAAAGCAAAACAAAAATTTATCTCTCTCAAGTGTCTACTCTCAATGTTTTGTGCTTGCCACACCCCATAGTCTATACACATACATACTTACAAAGAGGATTGTTCACCTGTGGGCTTGTTTAACATACATTTATTTTATAATGTATCATATATATCTTTTCATAATTTTTAAAAAATTATCTCTTCACTATAATGACTACATATGTTTGCATTCTGGGGTGTTAATTTAATTTAATTAGCAAATCATTTATCAATGCATATTTACTGTGACTATGATTGTTTATATTTTAACTAATGTTGTGATGACATTCTTGTGTATATTTTGTTGCAATACATTTCCCAAAGGACAATTTTTCAGCCTTAGGTTTTTCACATTTCATATCTCTGAGACTGTGCTCCATAAAGCTATATGGATTTGGATCCCCGTTAGAGACGTGTCTACACTCATTTCTGATAAATGCACACAGGTATCTCCAGGACTTATGCCCTGCCCAGAATACACTGGTTTTCTATAAATACTGTTGAATGAATAAATGTATCTTTAACATTACCATGGTGTTTTTTAACCTCTGTCAACATGAGAAGCAAAACCTACCTCCTTGTTTTAATTTACATTTGTTTAATTGCCTGTGAGGCCCAACATCTTTTCATAAATGCCTGGCTAATTTGTGTATTTATTTTTCCTCTTGTGAACTGCCTACTCATTTTCTTTTGATGTTATTGATGTGTAGGATTCTCCTTGTTGACTTGTAAGAATAATTTAGAAACTAGTGAGTAAATCTTTGTTTTGTGTGTCAATTTTTTTTCAATTATTTGCTTGTCTTTTATTGTTTGGTTGCTTTTACCTTAGGTAAAAAGGTAAGTGTTATGTCTTTCTCCAGGTTTAATTTATTTATTTTTTTGGAGGAGGGATATTCTGGGTCTTTACTACATAACCCACCTCTACTCCAAAAGCATAATTTTTCACTATTTTTATAAACATTAATATATGTCCCAAACATAATTTTTGTCCTCATTTTTTTAGAACACAGAACAACACACAGTTTTAGAACATAAAGCATAAAATTTTTGAGTGTATTAGTCTGTTCTCATGCTGCTTATAAAGACATACCCAAGACTGGGTAATTTATAAAGAAAAGAGGTTTAATGGACTCACAGTTCCACATGGCTGGGGGAGCCTCACAATCATGGCAGAAGACGAATGCGGAGCAGAGTCACATCTTACATGGCTGCAGGCAATAGAGATTGTGTAGGGGAACTGCCCTTTATAAAACCATCAGATCTCGTGAGACTTATTCACTATCAAGAGAACAGCAGGGAAAAGACCTGCCCCATGATTCAATTACCTCCCACTGGGTCCCTCCCACAACATGTGGGGATTATGGGAGCTACAATTCAAGATGAAGTTTTGGGGGGGACACAGCCAGACCACATCAAAGGGTCTTCATTTGAATTGTTTTCCACATGAGGATGAGAAGATTTCTATTTTTTTAATTTAAATACTAGTCAGCTGAGTATTTTTTACTCAGTATCATTTACTGAAAACCTAACTTTTCCCCAGAGTTGAAAGGACATCTCTGTTAAATATGAGATTTGCATATAAAACTGGATAAAGCTTAAACTCTGAATTCTCTTCTTCTTATCCCCCCATCTATTGCTAGGCCTGTAACATACCCTACCATTTGAATTATTTACCTTTCAAGTGCATTTTATGTTTTCTTAATTTATATGGTCCTCTTTATGCTTCCTTGCATAATTCCCACTCCCATTTTTGTATATTTATTTTCTGGATAAGCTTTAGAATAATTGCTGTTGTGTTTTAAAATATTGGTGGAACTTTATTAAGATGCTATTGAATATATGAATTAAATTGGGAAGACTTGTCATCTTAATGAAATAGAATCTTCCCATCTAAGAAGCAGGTATGATTTTCAATATTTCATCATATGTTTATACATACAACATGGCTTTTAAATTTCATTTCAGGAAAGTATAGAAATATGGGCTGACTTGCTATCATTTTTTTTTTTTTTGAGATGGAGTTTCATTCTTGTTGCCCAAGCTGGAGTGTAATGGCGTGATCTTGGCTCACTGCAACCTCGGCCTCCCAGGTTCAAGCAATTCTCCTGCTTCAGCCTTCTGAGTAGCTAGGATTACAGGCATGCGCCACCACAGATGACTAATTTTGTATTTTTAGTAGAGACAGGGTTTCTCCATGTTGGTCAGGCTGGTCTCGAACTCCCAACCTCAGGTGATCCACCCGCCTTGGCCTCCCAAAATGCTGGGATTATAGCCATGAGCCACCGCGCCCGGCCCAAGAGTTGCTATCTTAATGAAATATAACCTTCCCATCTAAGAAGCAGGTATGATTTTCAATATTTCATCGTATGTTTGTATATACAATGTGACTTTTAAATTTCATTTCAAAAAAGTGTAGAAATATTAAAAATGATATATAAATAAATAGCAATTGAAGGTCATTCAGCTCTCCAGGCATTCTGCTCAGTAAACAGCCTCTGTGTACCTTCTGAAACATTGCATTGCAATGTTGAATGAAGGGCTCAGATAATCTCAACATTTGTCTCCAAAATATTCCTTTTTAAATCCGTCATGCATGGATTTACGGAATGAATCACTCACAGCCTTTGCTGGTCCTGAAGGTCTGGAGCCCTCACCATGTCTTGGGGAGAATGGAGTTTCACCTCCCAAATGCCTGCTGTCATGGGGGAGCTGCTCCTCATTTAGTGGAAAACAGGTCTTTCCCACCTCCAGGGCTGCCTTTGCCTTCACCATTCCCTTATTCTTTTACTTCTTGGCTTGGTCATTGTGTAAGCTTTGATTATATCATTGTTCAGTGTTTAAATTTAATAGGAAAGGTTTCTAATATCTTTAGCCTGGTCTCAGACATAGCCTCAACTTTCTGATTCTCTGGTGGAACTGCAGTTTTATGAGCCAGGTACTGCCACTGTCTCTCATTCACAACGGAAGGCTTGAGGCTGAGTGGAACGAATATGGTCATACCACTTAAGAAGTGGAGCCAGGAAGCAAGCCCCATCAGCAGGACCCAGGAGTCAATATGTTCTGCATTGCTGAAGTTGAGAGCAATATTGTGCCCATCTCTGAAACAGAGATAAAATAATGCTACAGTTGGATCAGAAAAGAAAAATGAAAAAAATAAAAGCTTTGAGGAAGAACTTTGATGGAAGAAACTATTTCCATGACCCTTTTCCTCTCTGTCTACAATGGCATCACCTTCTTGGTGAAGGGACATTGAGATGCTACGGCTGAGAATGCAGAGTGAAGAGCCCTTGGAGGCCCTACCAGCTGCTACCAGCCTCCTGTCTTCCCTGCCTGGGTCCATGGCTGGCCTGCCCTGGCATCCATGTGGCTTCTGGACTGAGTTCCAGCTGGTGAGATGCGAGGGGAAGCTGCACCTGCTGCACCCAGACCTGGCTCATACAACCTTGCACAGGCGACCTCGGGGGGTTTTCCTTCTGTGGACGGACAGCCCAACAAGCTTGGAGCCCATAAGCTGAGGGTGAAGAGTCTCTGAATTGCTGCTTGGAGAACAGCCTGCTGCCAGCTAGGATTGCCTGGTTTGGATTTTATCTGAGAGAGAAATAAACTGCTTTTATTGTGTTGGACCCATTGGGCATTTTGAGCTGATCAACTAATATTACTAACTCCTTTAGTTATATGTCCTTCCTTTTAAAAGGTCTATGAAAGATGATTTAAAAATACATTCATGTTGCATGTTAAAGTATATTTCAAATAATTGAGAAACTCTAAGTAGGATAAGAATAAAGTTAGGAAATGAGGATGGAGCCAGGAATGAAGCTGTTCTGAAATGGGGGGAACATGAAGCCCCATTCTCTGGCTTAGGGGACAAGTTTGAATCCAAACTAGAAACGGAGGACAGGAAAAGGGAAATAGAATCAATGGCAGAAGAAAAACACAAGTAGAAATAATATCAGTGATGGCATTGCATCTGTCATCTGGACTGAAGCATTTATTTACTGTGAGAAACCCTTTAGGAATCTATTTTCATCCTTTTATGTAGATAAAGACATCGATATAGTTGACATCAATACAGATCAAACATAGACAGTGATCTAGTTATAGACACAGACCTAGACTTAGACATGGGTTTAGATACAGCTTAGAAATGCCTTTATTTCCCACTCTCCTCTCAGCCTCCACCGGTGTGTGAAATTGTCCAATCAGAGTCTCCTTTTGAGTCATCCATGGACGACTACTCATTAGCTAACTCATCTGGCCTCTTTCTTCCTCTAACCTTTTCTTCCCTTTTCTCTGTGCCTCTTCGCCTGCCCCAACTTAGTCCTGAGCATCTGTGACCTCCTGCTCACTGTGCATGCCTGCAGCTCTGACTCCTGTCCCGCAAAGTTTCTTGTTCTTCAAATCTTATTCTGGGTCACTCCTGTTTTTCTCAAGGATGCCTGTGGCTTTATCTCCCTTTCCTTAATGATGCACCTCAAACCTCCGTCTCCCCCTGAAATGCCTCCTCATTTACCTAACAGGCTGGTGACTGTCCCCTCTGGTGCCTGACCTAGGAAACTGACACATCTCACATTCGGAACAAAGGCTGTGCCCTCCTCGACAGTCCTCTACCTGGGGTCTCACTGCATTGCCATTGTTTCAGGGCTGCTTCCCAAGCCAGAGAAGTAGCAGCCATCCTGGATCGATTCCTTCCTCTCCCCACAGATTCCATCAGTCCACAGTGCTGCTGACTTTGCTTTCTGCACGTTTCTTAGATTTCCCACTTCTCGCCATCACCACCCTGGGAGCCACTTGCAAAGTACTGGCCTGGTCACCATCGCCTCTCGCCAGCTTACAGCAGGTGTCCCCTATCCAGCCCACCTTCCTCCAGTCTTGCTCCAGTTCAGTAACTTATTCTAGCATCTTTAGTAAGTCATGTGCTGGGGCTGACGTGCCTCTACATGGCTCCTCCTTCTTGTCTTCCTCTCCTTTGCTAGCATTACTGACATAGCCTGCATGTCCCTTTGTGCCAGGAACCGTTTAAGGTGATTTTCTGCTATTATCCCATTTAATCCTCAATATAGCTCTCTGAAGAAGGTAGCCTAGTCACCCTCCTAGGATGGCGAGGCAACCAAGACTGTGTAGTGCCTTCCCCTTGCACGCATAAGGTCACCTGCACATTGTTCTCTGCTTGTGGCATTATTTCCTCCAGCTTCACAGGGAGAATCTCAACCCATCTTTCATCCCTAATTATGGACACCATCTGCTCAACAAAGGCATATGGTGCTCCTCCATCTGCCCAGAGAGTTGCTGAGCCTCTGTACATCAACAGCCTTTAGCTGCCTCTACGCCGTGATTGGGAGGAAGCTCCCTGAGGACAGGGCCATATCTGACATTTCCTCAGTTACATTTTCCACACTGAGCATAATATGGTCACATAGGGGGCACTTATTAAATACTTCCCTAAAACATGAGTAAACATGACATCAAAAAGGTATCACTCACTGCAAGGAAAATATAGCTTATGACATTTTACAAATGTATGAAAATTTAAATGTATTTTTTGTTCATGAATAGTCACTGTGGTGCACGTAATATATTTAACCAGGAGTATGTGGCTTAGTGAGTTAATGCAAGTGAGAAATATGTACCCACATGAAACACCTCATATATGAAGTTTTTTTTTTTTTTGACAGAGTTTTGCTCGGTCACTCACGGCAACCTCCGCCTCCTGGGTTCAAGCAGTTCTCCTGCCTCAGTCTCCCGAGTAGCTGGGACTCTACAGGCATCCCCCATCAGGTATGGCTAGTTTTTTCTTTTTTTGTATTTTTAGTAGAGATAGGGCTCTGTCATGTTGACCAAGCTGTTCTTGAACTCTTGATTTCAGTTGATCTGTCTGCCTTAGCCTCCCAAAGTGCTGGGATTATGAGTGTAAGCCACCATGCTCAGCCCTCATATATGAAGCTTTGAGTGCTATGTATAGGGATTCAGACTTTATAGGCTGCCACTTTCATGATAGATTTACATTGCACCCTACTGTTAATCTCTACATTTTTAATTTTAAATTCTTAAGGATCATCTTGTCTTATCTTCATTCTAGTTAGTTTTTTTTTAAAATAAAAACTAACAAATAAAAAACAAACAAATAAAAAACAGGCTAGACAAGTTAAATGATCTGCTTTAGCCCGAATACTGGCATAGAAGTAACCAGAAATGCTCTTACTCCTAATACATACATACATATGTCCATATACATATGTTTCTTATTATCCATATAAGTGCATTTTGATTTTGGACATAAAACAAAGGACTACATGAACGAATATATTTGTATTATTATATAAGCAATATGAGCTTACTGAAGAATATCTAAAAATATTGAAACAGTTTAACAAAATAATATTCATAATTCTATTACCTAGCAGTAACTCCTGTAAATATTTTAGGATATTTCATGCTTGTTCTTTTATTATCAATATATTTTCCTATTTGATATTTTTGCAACTTGAGTGCAAAATTTTCACTTAATATTATAATTATTATTTCCCAGTTTATTAACTATTATTTTAAACATACTTTTATGTTTGTGTACTCTTCTATCACATGTGGTTATTTTCATTAACAAACCATCTATAATTTTAGATGTCTATCAGCACTAACATGGGTTATTGTTGCTGTTATATTTAATATAATTTCCTCAGGATCAATTTATATATTGTAAGCACTATGTCAAATTCCCAAATATCTTGAATTTCTTTGTGTGAGTTGATTTTTCAAATGATTGTACCGGTTTACAAAAGCAGAGTTTAAGAGGATTCATCCCATATCATAAATAAATAGTGGTTTCATGATATGTTCTATAAATGTATTTTGGGAAAGTTTAAAGTCGTTTAACTATGGTCATATCCTACATCCTAGATGTTGTTCTGTTGGGTTTCATTTAACCAGTCTCAACAAATGATACAGAATATTTCCTAAAGAACTTATAATCCAATAAATGACTTTTTGATGCCTCATGGAGAAAATTGGCTTTGAGACCACACTTCTTCCCACTTCTTCAATATAAAAGAAAAACAAGTTCTTATTAACACAATTTTGGACACTCAAGCACATTCTATGGTTCTGTATTGGTGATGAAAACTGCCTATGAGCGACTACCAACCTCTTTTATGCTGCCTATTTTTGGAGATGTCCAAATTTAAGATTAAGGATTCTGGAAATTTGTTTCACATATTCTCTTTCTCTTTCTCTCAAGGTTAGGGTACCCAGTGTCTTCCAAACTAAAGTATTGTAATATTACCCTGCCACCTAGGGGTATTGCCAAAGAAATTTATGCATGTATATAGACATTTAGTGTATTGGTCAAAATGTGACAATTATGTTATTAAAGTATGTAATTAACAGTCACAATTGTGTTTTTGTATTTTGTTTTCTCTTTCATAATAGTCTTTGTTCTTGAAACCAAATGAGAATGGTGTGATGGAAACTAGTAAGAATTCCCCCTTTCAGAAACATGGGATTTTAAAAGACAAACATGATAAAACTTAGCATTAACTTGTGGTGGGCCCACTGGTGGTTCACGGTTTTTCAAGCTCTCGAGGCCTCCTGCATATTATTTCTCATTTATGACAATTTGAAGCACCCAGGGGACAAATTTCTGTTTAGAACACAGTCACTTGGTCGCCGCTTCGGGTGGACAGTGAGTCCAGATCATAGTATAAATATATGGTCTTAGTGATCAAATTATTTATACCATTACATGTGATGACAAATTGTCCCCCAAATTGTTGACCTGTGATGTCAGTCTTTAGGTCTAACAACCTTGTCTCGTTCCCTAAAAATAAGCTTTTCCTGATGAAATGTACTAAAGCGAGGAATCTAGGTATTCAACCACAGCAGGACTATCTACATACTTTGTGGATACGGGACTTTTGCCTTGAGAGATGTAAGCATGAAGATGAATTTAGAGAAATAGTGGGCACACACTTAGAACAGATGCCAGCATTGTTGGAGAAGCACACTTTGCTCTCGTTTAAAGTCATTGGAGCAGGCAAGCTAAGTTTTGTTTTGAAAATGCATCCCCTATGAGTCAGTACAATTTCTCCTTGAAATTGAAGCATTGAAAGAAAGACGTGGCAGAGAGGCTCACGCCGCCATCTATCTCTGGCATACATGCCATCTCAATTTTGTGCTGCTGATCCAGGAGAAAACGAAACCCTGCAACATCACAAGACAAATTAATCAATCCAAAACTCAATATTTTGACAAAATTAGCATGACTAAGAGAAAGAGAGGGCGTGTTGCATCAGGATTGACCCTCCTGATCCTATTCCCGCAGTTAGTTGGCCCAGTGAATGTTGAGTTGTTCTCTGGCCTTGAAAAGATGTAATTACTCCCTGTAAGAATATTAACAGAAGACGAATCTTTCCCTTCCAAACATTAGAAAAATCCAGCCCACACCTGTTTTCTTATATTTCCTCTTTTCAAGGCAGCGAGAAGAAATTGAAAGATGTAACTAGTCGGGGTTTTGCTTAGCTTGGGGCTTTTCTTCATCCTGACAGGCCTTTGTTCCCTGCACAGAGAGCGCTCTAATTACACCCTCTCCAGTCAGGGCTCCAGGTGGAGGGCGATGCAAATGCCAGGTGCCTTTTCTCTTCTCATTACGATCTGTCTCTTTCTGAGCACTTCACTTTCAGGAAGGGTGGGGGCTCTTTCTTTTGAGTTAAAAACACCCTTTCGTCATCTCCATTTTATTCTTACCAATTTTGCTCCAAATCTCATTCCTGTTAAGATGGCTGAATACAATGCTATTTTTGATTGTTTGCCGTATATGCTAATATTTGAATTCAGGACTTTGCAATAAGGGTATTGAGTTGCCTGTGTCACCCCTCATGCTGACTGCAGCTTCACATACAGATCCTGGGAGGCTGTCTGGGAACACGGCTCCCAATATGACCGCACTGGGCCAGCATAATGACACCATTCAAAATGCAATCTAGGCACTCCAGGACTCTCAAACCAATATGAAAGAGGCTCCAATTAGCTGAGCCCTTCTCCATTTAGACTTTTTATAGGAGTTTGATTTGTGCTTTTTAATTAGCAGGTTATTCTAATAACCTTTTAAAGCAAAGTTATCCAATAACCAGACTAGCTTTTTTAATAAGCCCAGTTGTTGAACTAGTTAGGAAAAAAATATGAAAAGGAGCTGTATAATATTTTGGTGTAATATAAATCTCTTTACAAGTCCTTTTCAATTTTGCATTTTCTACTGTAAGTTTTGGCAGTGACATTAGTTCAGAGGATTCCTCTTCTTTGAGGAGAGTCAAATTTTCAACATCTGATGGAATGACACAAATAGAAATTCTTTGAGTTTTTATTTAACTTCTTATTCAGTTTTAAAATTTAACACAAAAGAGGAATTAACATAAGTTAAATGATTTGTAATAAAATCTCTACTTTTTAAATAAAAATTCTGAATAGAAAGTTATGACTAATTTTTATAGAGGTACAATATTCAAGTTATATACAATAAATGGAAATTATTAACTGTGCTGTAACTTGATATTTGCTTGTACAAAAAAAGTTTCTTGCTCTTTGCATTTGTTTAGATAATAGATAATGGACTACAAATTTTATAAACAGCATTTAAGTTATTTTTGAAAATTAGGGACCTACATATATTTTAATATACATATAGGCATTCAATTGAGTTTTTGAGTAAATATTATGTCATAAATTGTCAATTTTTAAAATTATGTCCTCTTATGTATACTATGTATTATTTTAATATGCTCAGTTCCCTTAATAATACATTGTATTGAAAACACTGACATTAATTAAGTTGCTGTTGACTTTACAATGTTTACTTTCTTGATTTATGTTTTTAAAATTAAATTATTGTTTTCTATTAGGAATCACTTTTATAAAATATCTTTAAATGATGAAATCAAGTAATTGTTATATTATAAATATAAATTATGTGTTATAATTCTCATATGTCATTGAATAGGTGATCATTTCTGAAATCAAGCATTTTCATTAACAGGTAACTATATTCCAACTTGAACTGTCCTAATTAATTAGCCCCAGTGTGCTATACTGAGATTACATTATTACAAGTAAAATGAATAGAGGGAAAAATTAGATCCCACAATTTTTAAAATAGCCATTAGCTATTGGTGAGTATAGTATGGGATTACCTTTACAATTGTTAAATTCAATTGATAAAATTTTATGGTTTATGTAAAATAACTCACCTAACTCAAAGATTCTGAGCTAAATGGGTGGCAGGATGATAATGTTTCTAGTAGTATGATCTTTTGAATGTCTGTCTGTGTTCCAAAATCACACTCAATTTTATAAAATGTATAAAAAATAGAAAGTGGTGACTATGTTCTTGTAAATTTAACCTTTCTTGGGAATCACTGGAAACGTCTGTGTGTGCTGCAAGGAGTCTGTGGGAGAAGGAGTCACTCCTGCCGGAGTGCTGTTTCCCCTGAGATTGGCTGAGCCTGGAGGAGAGAAGTCCAAGCGCAGGAAGCACATGTGTGCATGAGAACTTGGAGACTCAGCCCATGTCTGATCAGCCTCACCAGACACCTTCACCTCCAGAAGCTCCCGTGCTGCCTGAATGGTTCGCAATGATGCTGAGGGCTTTTCTGAACAAATACCATTCTCACTCTCTTTGCTGTAATCTAATATTAGGTGCACCAGATTTTTCTCTGCTAAAATCTGTACAGGAAAAACAATTGGAGGCATTTTAGCCATTTTTTTTAAAGTAACATATTTCTGAAGTCAATGATTTATTTGCTATGGTTTACAAATCAGATGGACTGCCACTGGGAGAGTTCTACTGTCTTACTGAGTGCACATGTTGAAAAAAAAGTATCCAAAAAAAAAAAAAAAAGGAAAGAAAGAAAACTTGGTGAAGTAGTGCACTTTTGAACCATTTCTATCTTAACATTTTGTGGTCTTTTTTCCGGGAAGCCAAATTATTAACAATTTAGAGTAGGAGTTAATGAAAGTAAGCAGCATATTTGACACTTAATTCTGCTGTTGCAAGAGGTGAATAATTATGCACACTGTCAGTTATTCCAAAGAAGAAGGAAGAGAAGGAGTGGGGGGAGAGGAAGAGGAAGAGGAGGAAGAGGAGGAGGAGGAGGAGGAGGAAGAGAACAACAACCCCCACCATTTCAGCAAAAGAAACTGAGAAGGAAGGAAAGAAGGAAGAATAGAAGAAAAGTAGAAAGGACGAAAAGTTTCTTCTACCAAATCAATGGTCAAGCACTGAAGTTGTTTAACTTTTTGATTAAAAAAAAGTAAAGATGACAGAGGAATTTCTTGTATACTAGATCTCCCTAGGTAGATCAAGATGAGGATTAATTCACTTCTCAAAACAAACCTTTACAGCGCGGGGAAACTCAGACAGAGTTATTGAGTGACTTGCTCAGTGTCACGCAGCTTTCATGTTGTGGAACTGGAGTTGGAACCAGACATTCTAGCTCTCATAGCCAAATCTCAACCCCTGATACCTGAAGTATGCCCTGCCTCTTCAGTGTGGCTGGCAGCAGATCAACTCCCTATGGTTACACTGAGTGCTCTCATGTGTAATGGGGGATTATAATACCACGGTTGCTGCAAGAATTAAATGATGCAATTATTTAATGTCACATGCTTTCTACTGTTTGTGAGTTGGGGGCAGGGTGTGTGTGTGTGTGTGTGTGTGTGTGTGTGTGTGTTGCTCATGCGTCTCTAATCCTAGAATTACCATATAGTCTTCATTGTAGTAGAAGCTCAATAAATAGAAACAATTTAAGCACTGTGTTTAAAGTGTTCTTGGAGAATAACTTTAATCATTTAAAAATCTCATTATTATCTTTATTTAAATTGTTATTTGTACATTCATTGTAACCTATTTCTGTTATGAGACCATAAGATTATTTAGTTGAGAGATGGTAATTTACCAATTTTTATACTCTCTAGTTCAATGCGTCTTACACAGTGTGCACGAAATAAATATTGGCCAAATGCAATTAAGTCGCCTTTTACTGCAGGGCATTGTAACTCTTTGTTCATTTTGGAAGTGTTGAATTAAAGAGAGGACTTGTTTTGCAGACTTAATATTAATAAGGTATCTCTAACGATGAGGCAAATTTACCCTCAAGCTGTCTTTTTCCCAAGTGTCATATACACTGGAAAGGAAACAGCTGAACCATACCTGGCTTTCTCTGAGGACTCCCTAGTCCAGTGATGCCTTGTGAAAATGGGCAGTGCAATGTGAAATAGACCGTATTTCAGGAAGAAGAGACAAACATTGGAGGACATTGCATAACTGCGGATGCAGATGAGAAATCAGAAACAAACACAGATGGAAAACATTTATGAATAACAGTTTCAACATCAGCGACCGACCTCCTCCTGAAATAGTAGTGCAGAGAGCAGGTGTAAAATGTCTTACTTTCACTCCACATTTTTGTTAGATTAAAATCTTTAATGTTTGCTTTCACCGTGGCTCCTCTTAAAGACATGAACACAAGGAAATAGCATGTTTTGTGATGTCAAAGGCTGCTATTAACTAGATAAAGCCAGTTGCAGACCTTATGAGTCCAGTCTTGTCTCTTGGCGAGCCTCCTACCTCAGCAGGAGAAAATCTGAACTCTTCTCACCTCTCTTTGATTTCCAAGTCAAGCAGAGTTTACGTGTAAGCCCTCTGGCATCAAGCTGAAGTGCGGGGGCCTGTATCTGCAGCGAGGGTTAAAACAAGACAGGTCTTTACATTGATTGGACTGCTGGAATGAGTGTGTGTGTGCCTGTGTATGTGTGTTCCTGTGTGTGACCTCACAAAGCCCTGCCTAGTGTTCCCGTGTTGGGACATCCCATGTCCATTACCCACATAGACCCACATCAAGTAGGTGCACTTCATTATACAAATGATGTTGATGTCAGCAAACTCAAAAGCACAAAGAGAAGCAAGAATGATAAAGGGGCTGAAAGGATTGATTTATGAGAAAGAATAAAAAGAAGCATAGATAATAGTGAATCACATTTTGTCTGGCTTAAGTGATGCTTTTGGGGAATTCTAAACAGGAGCTCAGAGAAAAAAAATACCTGGAAAACAATAAAAGAGCTGAATCTTAATGAGTAAGAAAACTTAGGAGAACATGAAAAGAAATACCCAAAAAGTCGGTTAGATTAAGTGGGGAAACCTCCCCTTTGATGCTGTGATTTCTGAAGGAACACAGGCATTGCTGGAAGACCTGGTAGAAGACTCGTAAAAGGGTATTATTTTAGGTAAAAGTGAATGAACCCTGTACATTTACATTGCAAAAGGCCTACTGGAAAATAAGTAAGTGATGGATGTAAATCCTAGCCCATGCTAGAATCTGAATTATCTAAGGAGTTGGAACCTTCACACGTTAAATCTGATAGGGGAGCTCTCAGCAGATAGTGTGCTGGGATCTGAGTGAATCGCTGTGGCCTGTGAGGGGCCATCAGTATCATTTCCCTTTCTATACACTTGGCTCCACAGTTGATTATAGAGGATAACTATCTGACAGTCCGACCCCTGGGAATAAAGTAAATATCAACTGGGGCTTGATATTTGCTGACATCGGGAAACAAAGGAAAAACCCATTTACCTATTGACGTGAAATGCCAAGTGAACACAAGTGCTTCCATTCAATGAAAGTTGATGACGCTTTGCAGTAATTTCTCATAATTTTTCCCTAAAGAGCTTTGCCTTTGCCCTATTTTTCAGACTCCTTCCTGTGAGCTGAGTCAGGTGCAAACTTGTTTTTCCTGGCCAGGTACCCACTGCAACTAATGGTGACATGGCCAGTGACCAATCTCCAAACAACACATAGGAAAGTGTATGTACACCATGGCCGTAGCCATGCTGAGGAATCGATTTGTAACTAAATACCTTAGACATGATGATAACTACATTAGATTTTACGTGTTTTAGACTTAAAATGTTTGATTAGCAGTGTGCAAAAATGTGTGTGTCCATTGGGGAAAAGGTCATTACATTATTTCAAAGACAGGAGATTACAGGCAGGATTAAAGAGGTTATATTATGAGTCAGAGACAGTAGACTGTAGACTGGTGTAATTTTGGGGAATTTGGGATATTTTGACATATTCATTGTAATTAAACCCACCACGTATTGCAAAGTCTGGAAGTGAGATAAAGACGAGAAAAAGTGTATTTTATCGCTAACATAAAAACCATCACTAAACTTCCTTCCCAGCAGATTTCCCAGGTAATAATTATACTTTTGATTTAGAAGAAGTATAATTAATTTGAGATCCTCCAATTTGTATCAAATGTCCCCTTAATACAATAAACATATATTTCTTAAAATAACCCATTTCACAGCACTCACTTTAATCAGAAACCACATACACATATCAGTTTCCTATGTTGCAATGCTTTTCAGAAACCGGTTTCATAGGACATTTTCTTCCTCATGCTGGGGAGCTCCCCGAGGGAAGACTAGTACCTGGTGAAATGCTCCTGTTCCCGTCCTTCTTGGAAGTGGTTATAGGACGATTTCCCTGCAATTGACTTACTGGGGCAATGGTGATTTGTAAACATTGTCTTTTCCTAGTTAATACCATCAGAGTGACTAAACTCTTTGGTCTGACTTTACATTTACTTCACTGTGAGTTCATCACTGTTTCCTCGGAGGTCAGGGGAATCAGGAGCCTCTCTCTCCTGGCCTCTGCTGATATTTTCAGGGTTTCTCCCCTCACCTGGCCCCTCCCTGCCTCCTACTTAGCCTCTGTCTACCCCTCATTACCCATCCTCTCCGCAGGCTTTCCTCCCCACCCTGTTACCCTCATGATAAGCAGATACATCACCCTTTAGTGAGGATGAGGGCAGTCCTAAATTGGTGAATTGGGAAGATTATCCAAATGTTCTTTTTCATTCACAGACTACAAGGGATATCAACTTTATTTTTTCTGTACCAAACAGAGGAATAGTTATGACCCTGAATACAGTGGTAAAAAAAAAATAATTGTGTATATTGAAGAACCACTTTTTCCAAACATGACTCTGAAAAATGACAAAGCAGTTGAAGAACATCATTTTTCAGGAGATTCTCGGTTCGTTGATAGCAAACCTGAACATTTTAAACCAAGTGGGTGATGAAAGAAAGCGAGGGAATGCTGTATGAATAATCTAATGATGCTGTAAGAGAAGGAATATTTGCTCTTAAGGAAAGGTTAGTCAAAGAGCGCCTTGCCCGCAAATTATACATCGGGGAGGCAGTCTTAACTTCCACCCATGCTCGTGGGCTCATCTGTCAGACACATTTTGACAGACAACACAATTACACAATGTCTCATTATTTACAGCCACATCGCCTCAGCACAAGACAGCAAGAATGAAACTCCCACAAGTTTTTCTTCCGTCTTGCTGAGAAGGAAAATGCCAGCCGCCTCGGCGTTTTGTTTCTATCACTTTGTTTAATTGCTCAGCGACAGGACAGAGACTGTAGGTACGCTGCCCAGGAGTTAGGGTTTAGCACCATAGCCTGACATGCCCATGAGATCAAGGGTGTCCCCCTTGCACGTACCTTTGGAAACGATGCCATGTGTCTAATGAGTGTGGACACCACGCCGGATCCTATTGCATATCGGGTTTACACCTGAACTGATACAACTGGGGGAAGCGGGAGTCCTCTAAAACCAGTCCTCCCTGCAGAGAGAGGCCCAACGCCCCTGCAAGCTCTGACACAGGCCGAGACAAGGGGCCCTAAACAAAGGCGTGCTCGCTCAGCCTCAGCTGGAGACAAGGTGCCCGGAGCCGCCTCGCCTCCCGGAGAGAGGCCTGGAGCAGCAGGTGGCAGCATTGTCACAGACCTGAGGCCAGCCTGGGCTGCGGGGACACCGTCCGTCCGGCAGGAAGTTTTGCATGTGGAGGGTACTTCGACCTGTTGTGGATTTATTGTTACCTCCTTGAGGGCTCCAATGTTCGCCTGCCACTAAATCCAGTCATTAGAGTCGCCCAGCGCTTGGGGTCGACTTGTCTGAATTACTTGCCTCGGTCACTGTTTTGACTGCGCGACATAACCTGCATTCTTTCTCCTCGATTCTGCCAGACTGAGGTCTTGGGACCACAGAGAAGCCGTGAACGTCTGTCTCTCGGAGCTTTAAAAAAAATAACGCAGACAGCAACGGCAAAGTGGAGTGGAAGAGAGAGAAGGAAGTGGGGAGAAGAGATAGTGGGAAATCCAATGTAATGTCCTCTTTTCCTCTTTAACGTTGAGAGTAAGATAACTCCATGTAGGTCGGAAACAGATTTTTCTCTCCTTCATCTTCCTTTCTCTAATCTCTTTATTAAGTAGTGATTGAGATGGAAGGCATTTGGTTCCTACTTTTCATCTGACTCTGGGTCAGGTTCAGCCCACAGAAGCCGGGAAGAAGTGGAAGGCGCGGCTGAGTTTCCCTTCACACCATTAAGGAAAAGAATAGCCCTGATCTAACAAGTTCCACTGATTTCAGGGGAAACCGGGTCTTTTTACTCCTTCCAGCTTACCAAGCCACCAGCACGAGACAGAAAGAGAACGCATTTTAAATAAAACCGGAGCGTGAGCATGTGCCAGGCTAAACTCACACGTGCAGGGAGGGACTAAGGTGGTCTGTCCTCATGGCGGCAGGCAGCACGCTGGCTTTACCTGCAAGCGTGACCCAATTAGGCTTTGATATTGAATTGCACTGGTGACATAAAATGCAATTTTTTCTGCCTTATTGTTTTTGCTCCCTGTACTAATGCACGCACAGGACGTTTCCAGTCCTGAT
The DNA here is from genome assembly GCF_000001405.40 of Homo sapiens. Classification (NCBI taxonomy): domain Eukaryota; kingdom Metazoa; phylum Chordata; class Mammalia; order Primates; family Hominidae; genus Homo; species Homo sapiens. Next base: position 4,511,258 of record NC_000005.10, on the reverse strand, counting down.
TCAACATTTTCCTGTCTCTACAACGCCATCATGCACACATTCTAACTGTCTGTCTGTCTGTCTGTCTGTCTGTCTCTCTCTGTCTGCATGTGCACACACACAGACAGAGACACACGTTTTCTTGCCCTCTCTGTCTGAGTAAATTAGTAGTGATTTCTTATATCTGTTTCATAGTTCACAAGAAAACCTCCTTCCATTAGAGGTATATCCAGCTGCCACAATGGAGGCCAAAAACTGACACCACTGAATTGCAGAGGCAGGTTATGTTTAAAATGACGCCAGATTGAAGGACCAGGATTCATTAAATCGGGCAGAGTTTCTCATTAAACGTGGGAATTGACAGTCAGAAATAACTGTCATTTGGGGCTTTTTTATAGTCCCCCTACTCGATAATTTTTTTTTGCACTAGTGATATTATCTTTAGAATAAAATAATAAAATTGTGACTATCCGGAGACTGGTAGATGCCTGCTTTGTATAAAAACAGCAGTTTGCTCCTTCTGCCTTCCTAGTCTGTCTGTGAGAAGAAGGACTCGAAGAACAGTTAAGCCCAATCAGGAGGCTAGTCACTAATATGCCCACTTTAAGTCAAAATAATAGGTAAAATAGACCCCCTGCTACCTGTAATATGTCTGGATATTAATTATAAAGAAATTCACTGCAAGGGCTTTTCATTCTATTAGCATTTAATTCATGCGTGTATTTCACTTTAACTACAGCCAATAAATCCTTTATGGAAAATTCCTCTTAATATGACTATGGAAGAAGGGTCAAAAAATTAACATCTTTTTATGCTCAGAAAAGTGACTTGATGAAGGAAAAAGACACACTCATTACAAAAATACCATTTTTCCTCAAAGATCTGAGGCCCCTAGGTGACACTGTTTTGCATCTTAACATAAAATATGTAATTCAGAACCTTCTGGTGTTAACAGATAGCGCCAGAGTACTCTGCCCTGGGCAGTTTGCAAAGATGCAAGATAGTTATGCCTTGAGGTATGTAAAGAAAATATTTCTTCCATAAATATGGGATCCTGATTGCCAATGATCAGATATTCTGGAAAGCACTGTCAATATAAAATGTCATCTATAGGCAAAGATGCTTTCCTGAATTAAAAAAATTATGTGTATGCATCTTTGTGTGTATACACATGCACACACACACACATATATATTTACTTATTCAAAAATGTATGTGAATGATGAAAAAAGCTGCAGGAAATACTCTTTCAAAAATAAATGCAGCCTTCCAAAGAACAACCCAAAGGATCTACTTGTTACTTGGAGATTTTTTTTACCAAGAAAAAGCATCTATGAATCTGTTCCCTGTTTTGGTTCACCCTTCTGTTTATTCACTTCCTTAAATGCATCCTCTAATAATCATTAAGTGTCATGAGAGGCACACTCCTCTCCGGGCAAAGTTTTCTTCCTTTTATACGCCTACTTTCTGGAAGGAACAGTTCAATTTACAATAAACTGATTTTTCGCTCACAGTCTCTTTTCTTCATTCTGTCAGAAGCTTGGATTTCTCTCTTAAGGTAAATTCTCGAAGGCCCCTTGAGCTACTATGAATGTGAAAGCGCTTTCTCCGGCAAGCTTTTTCTCATTCGTTTTTCTCATTCTTCCAGTGAGAATTCATTTCAGAGGGCTGCTTTGTAGCCTTTGTGTATAAATATAGATAGACGTAGATAGGGAAGGAGTAGATACAGATCCAGATATAGATATGCCTGTGCTTAGAGGCTCTCGGTGTCACCTTCCCTCTGATTTGCATGCCTCCCTCTCTTCCCCTAGGGCAGGTAGAGATGTTCTGGTGCTTTTTGTGTATCACTGACTTCCCTTGTCAAGCACTTAAAAAAATAAATGATTAGAAATTTATAGAAAAAAATCACCTTTGTCCTTGGATCGTAAAGTATTACTTGAACATTCTGTCTGAGCATAGCATAAACCACAGTAACATGTGCAATTTTAAATCAACTGTATCTTCATGATCTTGACATTCATAATCCTGCAAGTCAAGTCAAGATCACAAACAATATCCTCTTTAAGTTACTTAAAAAGTTTTGAATTCTTACTGTGTAAAAGAACCCAGAATACCTAAAAATATGTAAGCCAAGTAAACTTTGTGAAAAAAAAATTATTTAAAAGAATGTGACTGAATGCCTGAACAATTCTACAGCTTAATTCAAAAGGTTATGGAAAATTGAAGATGCCCACAGAGTTTATCATGGTTTTTTGTCCATAATGGATGTTTTTTGGGGAATGTAGTCCACATGCAAAAGCCAAGCTGTGAATTAAATATGTTCATTAAACATTGCCATTTTTCAATTTATGTGATTCAATAATATATGAGATTTATATGTATGATAATACTGTCATTTTTAATTAATGGGAAAAATAGGTTGTTTATTAAATACAATTGAGAAAACTAGATAGCCATCTAAAAAGATACAGATTAAATAGCTCAGATTTTGCAGTGCATTCTCTGACTACAATGAATTAAATTAGAAATCAACATCTGATACCTGAATAATGCCACAAAATTTGGAAAATAAGCAACATACTTTTAAATAATCTCTGTGTCAAAAAGGCCATCCCAAGGGAAATTGGAAAATCTCTAAAAATAAAGTACATTGAAAGCATGTCATAAAAAATGTATAGGATGTAGATAAAGTAGTACTTTGAGGAAAATGTACAGCATTAAAGACTTAAGTCAAAAATAAGAAAGGTCTCAAGTCAATTGCTAGAACTTTCACATCAAAAAATAGACAGAAAAAGAAAATTAAAACTAAATTAAGCATAAAGAAAAAATAATAAATATAGCAGCAGAAATCAATAGAATTGAAAACAAAATAAAGCAGAAAACATTCAATGGAATCAAAGCAGATTACTTTTGAAAGGTCAATGAAATTCATTAACTTTTAACCAGACTGATCAGGAAAAAAAGACAAATTATTAATATTAGAAGTGTGAGAAGTGACATCACTAGAGATTCTGCAGACATAAAAACGATAATAAGAAAATGTTTGTAAAGATAAGCAAAAGAAGTGATGGCATAAATTTTGTGAATGATGCAAACTAGCAAAGCTCATTCAAGAAGAAATAAATTCCCAGAATAGTACAATTCTATTAAAGAAATTAAACTTATTTTAAAATATCATCACAAATAAAACTCTGGACCCACATATCTTTACTGGAAAATTCTATCAAACATTTCATGGAGACATAATATCAATTCTATAGAACCTCTTCCAGAAAATACAAGATAGAGAAAACTTCTCAAGTTATTTTATGAGTCCAATATTATACTTGTATTAAAACTAAATGAAAGTATTACAAGAAAAGAAAAATATAGTCTAATAACCCTCATAAATATGGTCACAAAAATATTTAACATAATAAAAGCAAATAAAATCAAGCAATAGATAAAAATGATAATGTCATAATTGAGTATGAGTCATATTTTCAACATTTGTAAATCAACCAATGTAATTTTGTATGTCAAGATGTTAGAGGAGAACACCTATATAATCACTTCCATGGAGGCAGAGAAAAATGGACAAAATCCAGTCATTCTTGATAAAAACTCAGGAAACTATCTGGAAAAGAACACTAACTTGACCTCACAAGGGTCACCTCCAAAAAAAAAAAAAAAAACACAGTTAATACCATATTAATGGTGAAAGACTGCATATTAATGCAGAAAGACCCCTAAGATTGAGAATAAAGCAAAGATGTTCTCTCCCACCACTCCTATTCAATATCTGAATTAATTTTCTATTGCTACTGCAAAAAAATTACCACAAACTTAGTGGCTTGAAACAACCTATATTTATTATTTTATATGTCTGTGGGTCTGAAGCTTGACATACTTCTTACTGAGCTGCAATCGAAGTGTCACCAGGCTGTGTTTCTCACTGAAAGTCATAGGAGATAATGCATTTGTTGCTCATTCCATTACTTGGCAGAATTCAGGTCAGGAGCCAGCTCCCGTTTTCTCACTGGCTGTGCACGGTGGGCCATTCCCACACTCAGGGGTTCCGATCCTTCTTTCTCCATGCTCAAAGCTATCCATGGTGAGCCAACTCCCCCTCACCTGCTGGATCTCTTCTCTTTGTTCATCCTTCTCACTTGTGTCATCCTACCTGAAAGGACTCCTCATTTGTAAGAACTCATGTGATTAAATTAGGTCCATGTGGATAATTCAGGATAATCTTATTGTCTCGAGGATAATCCTATTGTCCATATTCCTAAACACTCCAGCAAAGTCACTTTTACCACTCACATATTTACAAGTTCTGGGGATGAGGGTGTGAACATCTTTTTCTTTCTGCGGGTTGGAGCATTACTCTGCTTACCACAATATCATAGTGAAGGAACTCTAGTACAATGAAACTAGAAAAGAAAAACCATGAGAATTATAGAATATTGAAAGAAAGAAAGAAAATTGTCTGTACGTAGACTATATGGTTATTGGTGTCAGATGTTCAAAGCATGCACAAAAAAGCACTCCCTGATATAATACATGAGTTCAACAATATTGCTGCTTCAAAAGTCAATATACAAAAATTAATTGTATTTTTGTACATTAGCAATCCACAATTAGATAGTAATTTAAAACATATACAACTTGTAATAACACCAAAAAAACTTGAAATATTTATGTCTAGATCTAAGAAAATTTGTTTAAGATTTGTATGATGAAAATTATAAACTTTGGACAGAAAAGTCAAAGAAAGACTAAATGAAAAACAGAGTATTTATGAATTGGAAATCTGAATTTTGTAAAGATGTCAATTTCCCCAAATTACAAATTTGAAACAATTCTAACCAAATCCCTGCAGACATTTTTGTTGAAAGCAATAGCCAATTGTAAATTTTATATGGAGATCCAATATATCCATAACTGAAGTCTCCAAAATTACAAGATAAAACAATGAAACGAAAGCAAATTTTCCTTGCTGGAAGAAGGGACTTCCCAGACTTTACAAAATCTGAAGTCTTTCCCTTATTCTGCCACAGAGAAAGAGATGACCTCCTGTATATCTGCCATCTAAAAAAACATTTTTTGTGAAATGAGATTTAAAATTATGTTTTCAAAGTGCACCTTTTGAGGCCAGGAAAAATTGACCTAAAAATTGAGATCTATCTTGACAAAATTATTGTGTTTCACACACAAAAACTAAGACTTTTTTTTCTGAATGCTTACATAAACTACCAGATAAGAAATTTCAGCCAATCAAGAAATGATTATGGAAATTATATCTTCAAAAATCATCGGTCAACCTAGAAAGTATGAAGCAAAGACTACAATCACTAATCAGGGAGGCTGAACAGAATGAGAGGTTTCACAAGGAGGCTACTAGCAAAGATTGCAAGAAAAGAGAAAATGATATAATGTGATGCATAGTATACACTTTAAGAATATCATAAAGATATTTAACGCAATAATGATAATGCCGAAATAGGTAACATTATTGACTAAAATTGATGCTGATAGAGGACAATGAAGAGAAAGGAAAATGGTAACTTTATCACTGCTTTAAGAGGGGGACTATTAGAAACTGCCTAAGTAATGAAAGGATGAAAGGTACCATATAAGGTTACAATTATAAATAATCACTACAACAACAACAGAAATACAAGCTTTCTTAAATGTCAGAAAACTATGCACAAAAAATGCACTAAGAAAACTGAACACAAAGATTTTTAAAACTTCTATGAACATAGAACATACATAAAATAATATGGCAAAGCTGAGACCAAACCTATTTCTCATTTCAAGAAATGCAAACAAGCACATTTTAAAATTCAGTTGCAAAGTAAATTGCAAATTTAGGTTATTCAGTGGGACATTACTAAAACAATGTGATTCTATAAAGATGAGAAAACTGATGAATAGGCAAAGCTAGGCCAGCAAAGAGAAACAAAGCAGGAAACACGAGCTTCCTATCAGACAAAACAAGCAGTAATTTAGCTATAACCATTAAACAACACCAAAATTAAACAAAGGAAATTATAATATAAAAATGAACTATTGACCAATAAGATGTAGCAGCTCTGAACTCTACACATGAAATAGCATAATAACTCTATTCATGAAGCAGAAGCTTCAGGGACTGCAAGAAGAAATAGAAGCAACTTGAGTTGTGATCACTTCGATTCATTTATCTACATCCATGACAGATCAAGTTTTAAGTAAGAATGTATAAAAGTCCCAATCATATAATTAATAAAGGAAATTGGCTTTGTGTAGAACAAATGGTATATTCTGATAATAGAGAAGATATCTGGTTTATGTGATCATGGAATGGTCACTAAAACTACCCATCTAATAGGACACAAGTTAAACACGTGAATTTGCAATACTTCTTGTGTTTCACTATTGAGTATAATCCTGGCTTTGGAATAGAGGTAGACACATTTTATCAGTTAGAAAATGGTCACCTGTTCTAGATTTGTTATTTTTTTTAACATCATGAATGGTTGTTGAATGTTTCCAAATGCCTGTCTGCACCTATGGAAATGAGTATAATTTTTTTTATTTAAATATTTTAATATTATGAATTAGATCAATAGAGTTCCTAAAGATATACTGTCCTGATATCTGAAATAAGCTCTATTTGATTATTAAATGATTATTTTTATAGGCTTTTTAACTATGTTTACTCATTTTTCATTTAGGATATTGCACTCACATTTATCCAGTGAGATTGCTGATAGATTTGTGTGTGAAATCATTTATTTAATGATCATCATTCTCATTATCATCAACATCATTTAACAATAGCTAATGCAATTATAATAAAACTGAGATATATAACTTAGAAAAGATTACTCTATTACTATATGATAATAGAGCTTCTTGAAAAAAATAAGAGAATCAACTAAACACTGTTGCAAACAATATTACAATTCAAAAGTTGTGCAATGTAGAAAATTAATTAACAAGCATAAATAGCTCTGATGCAGTTAAATTCCTGATGTAAAATAACAAACCTTAAATATAAGATGATTTGGAATAAATTGAAGAGAAAACAAGCCACATTTACTTGAAGTAGACTTCCAAAAGTTATTGAAGGGCACAAAAATGAACTGAATGTATGAAAAGAAGTACCAAGTTCTTGAATAAGAATACTCAAAACTAAAGCTAAAGAAATGCCTGTAATTCATTTAACAAATTTCACATAATGCCAATAAAAAGATATCAACAGATATTTTAGGAGAAATAAGACCAGTTGATCCCAAGGCTCACGTTGAAGATAAGATTCAGGAATACTCTAAAAGGAAAAACAAAGGAAGGTGAAACACACAACAAAATTATCATTATTAAAATAGTGTGATATTGGCACATGAAGAGATAGAACAAAGGAAATACACTGAAATGCACTGGGACTTTGGAGGACAATTAATATGGCAATTAAAATAAGAGGGTAAAGATGATCTTTTCAATAAGTGGTGATGGGGCAGCTGGGTTGAGTTATGGAAATATTAATCCTGGACTCAGTCTTCACACCACACCCCAGGAAAAATCTGGTTTCAATATTTAATTATAAAAGCTAAGTCATTAAAGAACTGGAAGACACAGCCAAATTCCTTTATAACCTTGAAGAAAGGAAAGCCTGCCTGACTAAAACCGAGAGACCATAAAAGAAAATGCTGCTAAATTTGACTGCAAAAGCTAAAATCTGTGCAAATCAACAACAACAACAAAATAATAATAATAATAAATAACATCGAGATAAAGGTCATACTAGAAAGACTATTTGCAAGAGAGAGAAGAGCACTTAGCTTGAGCTTGTGCTAAGTGGGTGGGATGGGGGTGAGGGATGAAAGACTACAAATTGGATACAGTGTATACGGCTCAGGTGATTGCTACACCAAATCTCAGAAATCACCACTAAAGAACTTATTCATGTAACCAAACACCACTTGTTCCCCCAAAAACCTATGGAAATAAAAAATAAAAATAAAAAATAATAAGTAAAATAGAAAACGATTCAAAAACCTATAAATTTTTACTCAGAAATTCCACTTTTTGGAATTTTTCCTAGACACAACTTTGCATGACTATAAAACCATGTGTGTTAGTAATTATTTACCACAGCGTTTTTTTCTAATAGCAAAATGGAACCAATCTAATCCAAAGATTCATACGTTAATTAAATTCCTGTTTACATAAATCAATACCTGCATAAAACAAAATTTTAAAAAAAGCACAGAACACAAATAAATGCAAGAACATCCATGTTTATGAATTGGAAGACTTAATATTAAAATGTCCATATCACCAAAAGCAATTAGAGATTCAATGCAATCTCTATCAAAATCCCAATGACCTTTTTTTTTTCAGAAAATAAAAATCCTACAATTCATATGGAATCCCAAGCAACTCTGAATAGACAAAATAATATTGAAAAAGAGGAACAAATCTAGAGGCCATTCCTTTCCTGATTTTAAAGTATATTACACAACTATAGTAATCAAAGCAGTGCGGTCCTATCTGGAAGACAGACTGAATAGAAAAGAATTAACAGCCCAGAAGTCAACTCTCCTGTGTAATGTTAAATAATTTTTCACAAGGGTGCCAAGACCACATGACGTAGAAAAGACAGTGTTGAGAAAACTGGATATCCACATGCAGAACAATGAAGTTATATACGTCAAGCATGCACAAAAAATGAACTCAAAATGAATTAAAGAAATAAATATAAGACCTAAAACTACAAAACTCCTAGAAAAAAATATAGGGGGAAAACTTCATGATACTGTATTTGGCAATGTTTTCTTGGACGTAACACCAAAAGTACAGGCAAAAAAGTGAAAATAGACAAATAGGACTACAACAAACCTAAAAACTTTGGCGACCAAAGTGAATCAAAAATAGACTGAAGGAGGAGCCAAGATGGCCGAATAGGAACAGCTCCGGTCTACAGCTCCCAGCATGAGTGACGCAGAAGACGGGTGATTTCTGCATTTCCATCTGAGGTACCGGGTTTCTCTCACTAGGGAGTGCCAGACAGTGGGCGCAGGCCAGTGGGTGCGCGCACCGTGCATGAGCCGAAGCAGGGCGAGGCATTGCCTCACCTGGGAAGCGCAAGGGGTCAGGGAGTTCCCTTTCCGAGTCAAAGAAAGGGGTGACGGAGGCACCTGGAAAATCGGGTCACTCCCACCCGAATATTGCGCTTTTCAGACCGGCTTAAAAAGCGGCAAACCACGAGATTATATCCCACACCTGGCTTGGAGGGTCCTACGCCCACGGAATCTCGCTGATTGCTAGCACAGCAGTCTGAGATCAAACTGCAAGGTGGCAGCGAGGCTGGGGGAGGGGCGCCCGCCATTGCTCAGGCTTGCTTAGGTAAACAAAGCAGCCAGGAAGCTCGAACTGGGTGGAGCCCACCACAGCTCAAGGAGGCCTGCCTGCCTCTGTAGGCTCCACCTCTGGGGGCAGGGCACAGACAAACAAAAAGACAGCAGTAACCTCTGCAGACTTAAGTGTCCCTGTCTGACAGCTTTGAAGAGAGCAGTGGTTCTCCCAGCACGCAGCTGGAGATCTGAGAACTGGCAGACTGCCTCCTCAAGTGGGTCCCTGACCCCTGACCCTGGAGCAGCCTAACTGGGAGGCACCCCCCAGCAGGGGCACACTGACACCTCACACGGCAGGGTATTCCAACAGACCTGCAGCTGAGGGTCCTGTCTGTTAGAAGGAAAACTAACAAACAGAAAGGACATCCACACCGAAAACCCATCTGTACATCACCATCATCAAAGACCAAAAGTAGATAAAACCACAAAGATGGGGAAAAAACAGAACAGAAAAACTGGAAACTCTAAAAAGCAGAGCGCCTCTCCTCCTCCAAAGGAACTCAGTTCCTCACCAGCAACAGAACAAAGCTGGATGGAGAATGACTTTGACGAGCTGAGAGAAGAAGGCTTCAGACGATCAAATTACTCTGAGCTACGGGAGGACATTCAAACCAAAGGCAAAGAAGTTGAAAACTTTGAAAAAAATTTAGAAGAATGTATAACTAGAATAACCAATACAGAGAAGTGCTTAAAGGAGCTGATGGAGCTGAAAACCAAGGCTCGAGAACTACGTGAAGAATGCAGAAGCCTCAGGAGCCGATGCGATCAACTGGAAGAAAGGGTATCAGCAATGGAAGATGAAATGAATGAAATGAAGCAAGAAGGGAAGTTTAGAGAAAAAGGAATAAAAAGAAATGAGCAAAGCCTCCAAGAAATATGGGACTATGTGAAAAGACCAAATCTACGTCTGATTGGTGTACCTGAAAGTGATGGGGAGAATGGAACCAAGTTGGAAAACACTCTGCAGGATATTATCCAGGGAACTTCCCCAATCTAGCAAGGCAGGCCAACATTCAGATTCAGGAAATACAGAGAACGCCACAAAGATACTCCTCGAGAAGAGCAACTCCAAGACACATAATTGTCAGATTCACCAAAGTTGAAATGAAGGAAAAAATGTTAAGGGCAGCCAGAGAGAAAGGTCAGGTTACCCTCAAAGGGAAGCCCATCAGACTAACAGCGGATCTCTCGGCAGAAACTCTACAAGCCAGAAGAGAGTGGGGGCCAATATTCAACATTCTTAAAGAAAAGAATTTTCAACCCAGAATTTCATATCCAGCCAAACTAAACTTCATAAGTGAAGGAGAAATAAAATACTTCACAGACAAGCAAATGCTGAGAGATTTTGTCACCACTAGGCCTGCCCTAAAAGAGCTCCTGAAGGAAGCGCTAAACATGGAAAGGAACAAGCGGTACCCGCCGCTGCAAAATCATGCCAAAATGTAAAGGCCATCGAGACTAGGAAGAAACTGCATCAACTAACGAGCAAAATAACCAGCTAACATCATAATGACAGGATCAAATTCACACATAACAATATTAACTTTAAATGTAAATGGACTAAATGCTCCAATTAAAAGACACAGACTGGCAAATTGGATAAAGAGTCAAGACCCATCAGTGTGCTGTATTCAGGAAACCCATCTCACATGCAGAGACACACATAGGCTCAAAATAAAAGGATGGAGGAAGATCTACCAAGCCAATGGAAAACAAAAAAAGGCAGGGGTTGCAATCCTAGTCTCTGATAAAACAGACTTTAAACCAACAAAGATCAAAAGAGACAAAGAAGGCCATTACATAATGGTAAAGGGATCAATTCAACAAGAAGAGCTAACTATCCTAAATATATATGCACCCAATACAGGAGCACCCAGATTCATAAAGCAAGTCCTGAGTGACCTACAAAGAGACTTAGACTCCCACACATTAATAATGGGAGACTTTAACACCCCACTGTCAACATTAGACAGATCAACGAGACAGAAAGTCAACAAGGATACCCAGGAATTGAACTCAGCTCTGCACCAAGCGGACCTAATAGACATCTACAGAACTCTCCACCCCAATTCAACAGAATATACATTTTTTTCAGCACCACACCACACCCATTCCAAAATTGACCACATAGTTGGAAGTAAAGCTCTCCTCAGCAAATGTAAAAGAACAGAAATTATAACAAACTATCTCTCAGACCACAGTGCAATCAAACTAGAACTCAGGATTAAGAATCTCACTCAAAGCCGCTCAACTACATGGAAACTGAACAACCTGCTCCTGAATGACTACTGGGTACATAACGAAATGAAGGCAGAAATAAAGATGTTCTTTGAAACCAACGAGAACAAAGACACAACATACCAGAATCTCTGGGACGCATTCAAAGCAGTGTGTAGAGGGAAATTTATAGCACTAAATGCCCACAAGAGAAAGCAGGAAAGATCCAACATTGACACCCTAACATCACAATTAAAAGAACTAGAAAAGCAAGAGCAAATACATTCAAAAGCTAGCCAAAGGCAAGAAATAACTAGAATCAGAGCAGAACTGAAGGAAATAGAGCCACAAAAAACCCTTCAAAAAATCAATGAATCCAGGAGCTGGTTTTTTGAAAGGAGCAACAAAATTGATAGACCACTAGCAAGACTAATAAAGAAAAAAAGAGAAGAATCAAATAGACACAATAAAAAATGATAAAGGGATATCACCACCGATCCCACAGAAATACAAACTATCATCAGAGAATACTACAAACACCTCTACGCAAATAAACTAGAAAATCTAGAAGAAATGGATAAATTCCTGGACACATACACTCTCCCAAGACTAAACCAGGAAGAAGTTGAATCTCTGAATAGACCAATAACAGGAGCTGAAATTGTGGCAATAATCGATAGTTTACCAACCAAAAAGAGTCCAGGACCAGATGGATTCACAGCTGAATTCTACCAGAGGTACAAGGAGGAACTGGTACCATTCCTTCTGAAACTATTCCAATCAATAGAAAAAGAGGGAATCCTCCCTAACTCATTTTATGAGGCCAGCATCATTCTGATACCAAGGCCGGGCAGAGACACAACCAAAAAAGAGAATTTTAGACCAATATCCTTGATGAACACTGATGCAAAAATCCTCAATAAAATACTGGCAAAACGAATCCAGCAGCACATCAAAAAGCTTCTCCACCATGATCAAGTGGGCTTCATCCCTGGGATGCAAGGCTGGTTCAATATATGCAAATCAATAAAAGTAATCCAGCATATAAACAGAGCCAAAGACAAAAACCACATGATTATCTCAATAGATGCAGAAAAAGCCTTTGACAAAATTCAACAACCCTTCATGCTAAAAACTCTCAATAAATTAGGTATTGATGGGATGTATTTCAAAATAATAAGAGCTATCTATGACAAACCCACAGCCAATATCATACTGAATGGGCAAAAACTGGAAGCATTCCCTTTGAAAACTGGCACAAGACAGGGATGCCCTCTCTCACCACTCCTATTCAACATAGTGTTGGAAGTTCTGGCCAGGGCAATTAGGCAGGAGAAGGAAATAAAGGGTATTCAATTAGGAAAAGAGGAAGTCAAATTGTCCCTGTTTGCAGACGACATGATTGTATATCTAGAAAACCCCATTGTCTCAGCCCAAAATCTCCTTAAGCTGATAAGCAACTTCAGAAAAGTCTCAGGATACAAAATCAATGTACAAAAATCACAAGCATTCTTATACACCAACAACAGAGAAACAGAGAGCCAAATCGTGAGTGAACTCCCATTCACAATTGCTTCAAAGAGAATAAAATACCTAGGAATCCAACTTACAAGGGATGTGAAGGACCTCTTCAAGGAGAACTACAAACCACTGCTCAATGAAATAAAAGAGGATACAAACAAATGGAAGAACATTCCATGCTCATGGGTAGGAAGAATCAATATCATGAAAATGGCCATACTGCCCAAGGTAATTTACAGATTCAATGCCATCCCCATCAAGCTACCAATGACTTTCTTCACAGAATTGTAAAAAACTACTTTAAAGTTCATATGGAACCAAAAAAGAGCCCTCATCGTCAAGTCAATCCTAAGCCAAAAGAACAAAGCTGGAGGCATCACACTACCTGACTTCAAACTATACTACAAGGCTACAGTAACCAAAACAGCATGGTACTGGTACCAAAACAGAGATATAGATCAATGGAACAGAACAGAGCCCTCAGAAATAATGCCGCATATCTACAACTCTCTGATCTTTGACAAACCTGAGAAAAACAAGCAATGGGGAAAGGATTCCCTATTTAATAAATGGTGCTGGGAAAACTGGCTAGCCATATGTAGAAAGCTGAAACTGGATCCCTTCCTTACACTTTATACAAAAATCAATTCAAGATGGATTAAAGATTTAAATGTTAGACCTAAAACCATAAAAACCCTAGAAGAAAACCTAGGCATTACCATTCAGGACATAGGCATGGACAAGGACTTCATGTCCAAAACACCAAAAGCAATGGTAACAAAAGCCAAAATTGACAAATGGGATCTAATTAAACTAAAGAGCTTCTGCACAGCAAAAGAAACTACCATCAGAGTGAACAGGCAACCTACAAAATGGGAGAAAATTTTCGCAACCTACTCATCTGACAAAGGGCTAATATCCAGAATCTACAATGAACTCAAACAAATTTACAAGAAAAAAACAAACAACCCCATCAAAAAGTGGGCGAAGGACATGAACAGACACTTCTCAAAAGAAGACATTTATGCAGCCAAAAAACACATGAAAAGATGCTCATCATCACTGGCCATCAGAGAAATGCAAATCAAAACCACAATGAGATACCATCTCTCATCAGTTAGAATGGCAATCATTAAAAAGTCAGGAAACAACAGGTGCTGGAGAGGATGTGGAGAAATAGGAACACTTTTACACTGTTGGTGGGACTGTAAACTAGTTCAACCATTGTGGAAGTCAGTGTGGCGATTCCTCAGGGATCTAGAACTAGAAATACCATTTGACCCAGCCATCCCATTACTGGGTATATACCCAAATGACTATAAATCATGCTGCTATAAAGACACATGCACACGTATGTTTATTGCGGCATTATTCACAATAGCAAAGACTTGGAACCAAGCCAAATGTCCAACAATGATAGACTGGATTAAGAAAATGTGGCACATATACACCATGGAATACTATGCAGCCATAAAAAATGATGAGTTCGTGTCCTTTGTAGGGACATGGATGAAATTGGAAATCATCATTCTCAGTAAACTATCACAAGAACCAAAAACCAAACACTGCATATTCTCACTCATAGGTGGGAATTGAACAATGAGATCACATGGACACAGGAAGGGGAATATCACACTCTGGGGACTGTGGTGGGGTTGGAGGAGGGGGGAGGGATAGCATTGGGAGATATACCTAATGCTAGATGATGAGTTAGTGGGTGCAGCGCACCAGCATGGCACATGTATACATATGTAACTAACCTGCACAATGTGCACATGTACCCTAAAACTTAAAGTATAAAAAAAAAAAAAATAAGAAACCTTGCAGAAACCACCTTAACCAAGGGATGAACATCAAAATCACCAATAATAAGACATGCTGACATCATGAACCTCTTGATACCATTCACAGAGGATACTTCCTTGGCGTTCCTGCCAAAAATGCATACCTCATTCCAAGCATGAGAAAACATCAGACAAACCCAAACTGGAGGCATTCCGCAAAATAACTGATCAATATTCTTCAAAAGTGTCAAGATCATAAAAAATAAGACAAACTGAGAAACAGTTTAAAATTGGAGGAGACTAAAGTGAAATAACAACTAAATGTGGGATTATGGAACAGAAAAGGAGCATCGGTAGAAAATGGGTGAAATTCAAATAAAGTCTGTAGTTTATAGTGTCAAAAAAAAAAATAGACTGAAAAGACAACCTACCAAAAGAGGAAAAATATTTGCAAAACACATATTTGATCAGGGATGAAAAGCAGAATAAAAAACAAAAATACAACTCAACAACAAATAAATCAATAACCTGATTTGAAAATGTATAAAGGACTTGAATAGAGATTTCTCCAAAGTTAGACACCATTCCACCAAGCACATGAGAAGGTGCTCAACAGTGTCCATCACTCCGGCAATGCAAATCAGAACCACGAGGAGAGAACATCTCACACAAATTAGGGAGGTCACTACCAGGAAAAAGAATCCAAAATCCCCAGAAAATAACAAGTGCGGGCAAAAATTGGGTGAAGTTGGAACCCCTGTCCGCTGTCTGTGGGAGGGTAAAATGGTGCAGCCTCTACGGAAAACAGTACAAAGATTCCTCAATAAGTAAAATGAAGAATTTCCACATATAAAAAGGGATTGAAAGCAGGGACTTGCAGAGATATTTGCGTATCCATGTTGATTGCAGCATTATTCACAATACTCAGGAAGTGGAAGCAACTTGCATGTCCATTGATGCATAAATAAAGTGTGGTATACATAAACAATGGAATATTACCCAGCCTTTAAGATGAATGGAACCCTGTTACATGTTACAACATGGATAAACCTCGAAGACAGTATTTTAAGTGAAATAAACCGGTCCCATGAAGACAAGTCCTGGATAATTCCACTTATGTGAGTTATCTAAAATAGTTAAACTCGCAGAAGCAGAAAGTAAAATGTTGGTTGCCATTGGCTAGAAGAGGAGAATATTGGGAGTTGTTTAATGGGTATAGAATTCTAGGTTTGCAAGGTGAAAGAAAGTGGTAGAAATCTGTTGCACAATGTGAATATATTTAGCACTACTAAACTCTACATTTAAAAACGGCTAATACAGAAAGCTTTTTACCTGCTTTCATAGAATATCTGTTTTGTTTTGTTTTGTTTTGTTTTGTTTTGTTTTGTTTTTTGAGACAGAGTCTCACTCTGTCACCCAGGCTGGAGTGCACTGGCATAAGCTCAGGTCACCACAATCTCTGCCTCCTGGATTCAAGAGATTCTCCTGCCTCAGCCTCCTGAGTAGCTGGGATTACAGACATGTGCCACCATACCCGGCTAATTTTTGTATTTTTAGTAGAGACTTGGTTTTTTCATATTGACCAGGCTGGTCTTGAATGCCTGACCTAATGTGATCCACCTACCTCAGCCTCCCAAAGTGCTGGGATTACAGGCATAAGCCACCGCACCTGACCACATAGAAATATCTTAATGATTTATTTTTAAATAAAAAAGGAAGCTTAAGAATAGAGTGCATAGTATTTCTCCCTTTTAAATAAAAATGAGACATTAAGAACATTTCTTTGTGATTGCTAGAATATGCAGAGAGAAACTTTGAAAGTTTACTCAAGAAACTAAACTCACTGTTGACCTGGGAGAAGCACGGGGTGTACAAATGGGAACTTCACAGACAGTAGAAGTGTGTAAGGGGAAGGAATTGCCCCTGGCTCGGTGTTCATTTACTTTATTTTTAAATCATAAAAATGTCATTTATTTTTAAATCTTAAGAATGTAATTCATTTTGTAAATTAAAATTTTTTGATGAGATTTTCTTTTCTTTTATGCCAGAGGATCAGTAGATCGGAGGTCCTAGTTGGACAAAAGGATTGCTTAGCAAGACACAAGGTGTTGAGCAAAAGTGGAATGTTTGTATTTAAAATGTAGATGAGGTTTAGTTATCAATGGTGACATCATCCAGAAATTTGACCACGGGAGGCAGTGAGGACTAAAGGAAGTGACCGTGGGCAGTGGTGAGACACAAACACGACAGCCTGATGTTGGCCTTGTCTTCCGCGTGGCTGTTTACATCTTGCAGTGATTGGTGGTGAGAACAGGAAGAAGGCAACTGAGGCTGACACCCTCGGAGAGTGATGAGCAAGCCCAGGAGGCCTGCCTGTGTCTGCAATTAGGGCACTGCGTGGTGGAATTAGAAGCACTCACTTCAGCAAAGCTGGGGGTTTTCAGGGAGACTGGAAGAGAAATAGTCCCCAAGCTGGAATAAAGAACAGAAGACCTTCTCCCCTCAGTGACACATTCCCTCATCTGCGAAATGGAACTATTAAGATGACAAAATGGGGTCAAATTATAAAAAGTGTTAACAATCGGGAAAGATACATAGTTGATATATTGAGATTCTCCCGAAAAACAAAGTAGATAAGAAATCCATATCTATACTGATATCTATATCTATATCTACCTATGTCTATGTCTACATCTATATCTACATCGAGTTCTATTTCTACTCCAATACGGAGAAAGAGAGAAAGAGAGGCAGGAGGAGAGAGAGGAAGGGAGAGATGGATCAAGAGGAACTAGCTCCTGTGATTATGGAAGCCGAGAAGTCCCGGGATCCGCCTCTGCAAGCTGGAGGCCTAGGGAAGCTGGCGGTGAGATTCAGTTAGAATCCAAGGGCCCGAGATCAAGGGGAGCTGGTGGTGCAGCTCCCGGTCTGATGGAAGGAGATGAGATGGGATGATCCACTTGAAGCAGTAAGGTAGAAAAAAGGGGGGACAAGTTCCTCCTTCCTTTGCCTTTAGTTCTACTCGGGCTCTCAATGGATTGGATGGGGCCGGCCCACATTAGGGAGGGCAGCCTGCCTTACTGAGTCCAGGGATTCCATGCCTGTCTCATCCAGAAAAACCTCACAGGCACCTAGACATAAGGTTGAACCTGGGCACCCCTGCCCCGATTAGTAGACACAGAACATTAACTATCATTGTAAGTGTTTCCTGGGGCAGAGTGAGGAGCACACCCAGAGGCCTGCCTGTGTCCACTGCATGGTGGCGTCTGAAGCACTCACTTCAGCAAAGCTGGGAGCTTTCAGAGAGACTGGAAGATAAATAGGCCCCAAATGGTAATAAAGAGCAGAAGACCTTTTCCCCTCAGTGACATGTCCCGTCATCTGCAAAATGATAAAAACAGCCACCTCTGATAGGGCTCCAAGACAAACAGTGTCCTCCGGAACTGACAAATGCCAATCAGAGCAAGAGATACAGGGAAGTGCGGAGAAGTTGAACATACACAAGATTCTTGGCCCGGTAGAAGCTTTGAGAGGTAGGAAAGGGCAGTGGCTGCTGGAGCTGGGGAAAGATGAGCATCCCGTTAATGGCAGAGTCAGCCTGGACCTGGCCCCCTGCTGCCTGGGGGTCCACAGGAGTGGGAGGCCTGATGGGGTGGTGCTGAGGGTCTCTGGACAGTAATGATAACATGACAATAATCACGATGGCTCTTGGCGTGTGTCAGCCCTGCTGCCGGTGCTTGTCAGGTCTTATTGGACAACTGTGGTGGGGGTGACTGATGGAAGGGCTGGGGAGGAGAGGGCTGCTGCTGCGTGGTAGCTTAGTCCTGACAAGGTGGGTCACACGGGGTCCTCTGTGGGTATCGAGTGGGCCATTGCCAATCTAACAGACGATTGACCTCAATACGCTTAATGGAACGAATGAGACCATAAAAGAGGATTTCTTTTCTTGTCACTGTGGAAGTGATAGAGTTTGTATAGTTCTTTCTTTTTTCCCCTGTGGGGATAGATGCATGCTCTTCCTAGTGAAATAGCAAGTCATTTCACAGAGTGAGTGCTGGAGCCCTCTGTCTTCCACATGGGTGTATTTTAATGAAGAATAAGAAAACATAACTCCAAATATTACAAATGAATGATTTATATGTTAGGAAAGGATTTCTATTGCCTTTTCTAATGCAAGCTACAGCTGTGATAAAAGCTGTGTATAATTATTTTGCACTATTGCAGACCTTGCAAGACTCACAAATTATTTTCTCAGTGTTTCTTTATCTGCTGATATACTGTGTTTCTTCTTTAAAGGAAAACCAGACTACTCTTTTCTATGCTCGTGCATATAGGATCTGGAAAATCACCATAACCTCACTGCCAAAAGATTCATCGTAATCATAAAAGTGACAATTTAGTTGTTCACGATGCACAATTTCTAAACCTCAATAAATTATGGATTTTAATGGAACTTATATATTTAACATACCCATTAGTACTTGAATATATAATCACATTATAGCTGTTCCATTTTATTTTTATGGTAAATGAAGAAGTACATGGTTCAAGCATATTAATAAAATTAAGTAATGTTTGTAAGACATTTATTTTCAAAGCACTATGAATTCCATCTGCAAATAACCTCTTCAGAATACAGTAGAGGGTAGTTTGGAGGAAGCATGATGCAATTTATTAATCTAAGAGCATGTGTCTTTGTGGAACCTGAATGGTCTGTCTTCCTTTAACAATACTTTTTTTTTTTTTAGAAGACAGAAAGAACTGGTTTTATCTTAGAAAAATGTCCAACCAGTATGAGGTGTTAGAACTATAAAGCTTATCTACATATCAATTTTTAAAAGTACAGTATCAGCAACTCAATATTACAAGCAACTTCCTCCATTGCATGAGTTTCCTTTACAAGTACAACAGCTGATTTGAAGAGTCCCATAAAGTTCAATGTGCTTGCATAACATTACATGAATTGAATTATCTTTGCATCAGTGGATAAAGCACAGATTAGCTTGGGGCAAAAGTTTGCAAAAGAATGAACCAAGTGGCCCAATGTCGCATGCCACGGGCTCCAGCTCCAGGGGCAGGAGCTCCCTCTCTGCAGGCCTTGAGTGTGGTATAACAGAACATAAAGTACTGACCACGCTTTCAAAGGGTTGCAAAGATAAAATCTTTGATGCAGGAGTCTGACATCTAATTTCAGGTTTCTCTTTGTGATGTGCAGTAAAGAACGTGTGTTTCTGCTCTGATGACTGTGAGCAGTTTTCCAGGTTGGGTGATAGACGGTCACCTATGCAGATGGCCAAACTGTTAGTGGAGACAATGAAAACTCAACTCAGAATGCACCTCACCACCGGACAGTGGCCTTTGTGAATATTCACAGGACTGCGTCTAACCAGTATGCATCTGTCCCCCTTACGGGTGACAAAGGGCATGTCACTTATAGTGAATGCAGAATCGTTTTCATTTTTCTCCTTCAAGAAAGGCTGGTGGTTACAGTAGTGCTTTGCCCCTGAGATGATGTGCATGAGAACAAACACACACACACCTTGGGCAACAAGGAAATCACATTACTGAGGGCCGTGGAAAAGTGCAGGAGACACAGCTGGAGGCTGCTCAATCAGGTGATGCTTCGAGAATATCTCAATTAGCAGGTAATGCAGGTTCTAAGTCATATAGAGATAATAAATCATAAATGTAGCTCACATCGTAAGGCTCTCCTCAGATTTTTCTGTTCCATTTTTGGCATGGGGGTGACAAATAGAAATAACTATGTTGGTTAAAACCAAACTATCGCCTAAAAAACAAATTCTGGAGAATGGCATTAACATTTCACTGATAATACTCTTTTCCTAAATCGTGGCATTCCCGTTAAATTATTCATACAGTGTTCTATGAGAACATATGACAATTTTTTAAAAAACGTATTCTTCACAGCCTCTTGCAATCAGCCAGAATGCCAATCCATGGGTTATTTTTCTGAATCTTGCCATCTGAATGTTCTGAATAAATTTTACTTTATTCAATAAGTTTCACTGTTGTTTCCAAGCATTTCTTTTATGATTTCTACAGCTTCACTTCTATTGTATTACGCTTCTATTTTATTTTTTCCCAGCGTCTTGATTTCCCTTTATATCCGCCGTGTGCTTCACTTTACCGTTTTTGCAATATATCGTTTCAGCTTTGAGAAAAGATATTTCCTATGATCTGATCTTCTCTTGATGTACTTAACTTTGTGACGCTCGTATTTCTCTGAGTGACCTTTCTGATATAATTCTTTGGTGTTACATCTTGAAAGTGCCTGCTGACAGATTTAGCGGATGCCCTTTTAATACCCATCCTGGAACCACCCTGCCTGTCTATAATGCACTTTCTGCCAGCCCTGAATCGTCTGTGTAGTGCAACAATAACTCTTACGGGTGCCACTCCCTAGTCACCTCATGCATTTTTCTTTTTGGAATTGTCAGATGACTTTTTCATAGTTATTTGCCTAAAGAAATCTCGAGTCAATGTAATAGAAACATATAGACATCATCACGTAGCCCCCGTCTCAGGAGGGAGGACTGATGTATGCCTTGCAGAGAACCAACTGACACCTGCAGACTCGGGGGTGCTGATCAGGGGCTGAGATGCCCACTCTCCTCCTTGTGCTTTTGGGCACTCTCCCTCCTCGCTCCCCAAGTTCTGGCTTGTGACTTTCCAGTGGGAAGAGTTTCTGGTTGATTCTGGACCATACCCTCATTCTACCATGGTTATCCTTAACTGCAATCCATTTTTCCAAGGTAATGGCAGCCCTGCCCTGCCACAGCGGCCTGATGCAGTACAGGAACCTGTCTCTCCTCTATGTCGGTGGATTAAAATGAACCAGACAGCACCAAATCCTGGGAAATGGTAGAAGCCAAGTAAGAACTGCCCCTCCTCCCCACACTTTGAACTAATATCCTCTCATTTTAATCATTTCATGCTTTAGTCTAAGCCATGATGTTTACTTTGTTAAATAAATTAACATAGTACTTGGGAGGCTGAGGCAGGAGGATCACTTGAGCCCAGGAGTTACAAGCTAGTTAGCTTGGATCGTGCCACTGCACTCCCGCATGGGTAAAAGAGGAAGACCCTCTCTCTAAAAAAATAAAAAATATATAAATTAAGATAAATTGTTTAATAAGTAAGAGATTATAAAGACCCTGGTATCATTCCACAAACAGACTCTGCCATGTGCTGTGTGTTGTGTACTGGGTTACAGTGGGAAATAGAATAAAGTCTCTGCCCTTATGGAAATTGCCAGTCTAATGCAGAAGAGCAACAAGCTACAGAAAAATCCATTGTCAGTATAATGGGTGTTGCCAGTAAAAATGAATGCAAAGCCATGTGCATTAGACTTCTATTACCAAAGTCTGCCTGAGGTGGAGCAGGGACCTGTTTTAGGGGTCAGCACCCCTTTTCCACAAGCATAAAAATAAAGGGAAATCTTGAATACCTTCAAGATAAATTCCAGGCACCTAGCTGGCCCCGAGAAGTAAATGAGTAAATGAGTGACTTCATAAGCAAGAAGGTAACGGCCCCCTAAAACAACAGCCAAGGAAGGCAGAGCCATGAGATGTTTGGTTCCCAATAGAAACCAGAGATAACAGCTTAACATATGTCCTTGAGTTACATGGACCCCCACCAAAAGGATCTGCTGGCACGGAGACCTCAGATAAAGGGGGATTGAGGACTGAACGCTCACCACTGTTCTCTTCTAAATTTCTTCCTGAGGGGCCTGGAGGAAGTCATACCCACGAGCCAAAGCTAACATTCTTTTCTGCTGACCCCAAGTTTTGAAGCAAAGCTTGTTTTCCTTAACTGATTGAAAATCAGAAAAGTGTTAAATCTTCCTATTACCTGTAAGATTCAGCTTCAAGATATCCTGCCTTTTTAGGCCAAATCAATGTTTGGTATTGATTTGCAATTTTGCCTGTTAAGTATTGATTTGTGATTTTGCCTGTAATTTCTACTTTCTTGAAAATTTCTCCTCACTTTACAAACCCTTGCTTGCAAGGCATGGGGTTGGTTAGGTCTTAAGCATGAGCTGCCTGGTTCTCCTTGTCCAGTACCCTAAAAATAAATACCCTCCTTTCTACTGCTGCAAACCTCAGTGTGGATGTTTGGCTTTCATGTGTTGGGTGAGCAAACCCCAGCTCAGTTGGGCAATATGACACAGGTTTCAATGAGCCAAAATCAAGGTGGGCTGGGTTTCTCCTGTGAAGCTCTAGAAGAGAATCTATTTCTTGGCTTTGTCCAAAGGGCATCATATCCCTTGCCTCATGGCTCTTTCCTCCATCTCTAAAGCTAGAAACAGCAAACTGAGTCCTTCTCACATCGTATTGCTCTGCCTCTCTCTCCTGCCTCTCTCTTCCACTTTTTAGGGCCCTGAGATTACACTGGACCAGCTGACTCATGGGGAATCCTCAGGTGATGGGAAGACATGGGGGAGCTGTAAGTAGATAGAAATACAATGAGAGTTGTATTTTTGAGGTGATTGTTCAGAATTAGCATAAACAACAGAGGCGATGGGTTGGGACTGGGACAGTGACAACAGAGAGCTGGTAGAGAATGTTTCTCAGAAGGCAGGAGATGACAAGGCACCTGCTGAAAATGTGGTCTCCCACGTTTTGTTTCTAGTTACTCATCCAAAACTATTCATCTAGTTACTCCAGTGGTAACTGCAGCATAACTTCTGCTAGGAGGATGATAGCATTTTAATCTTGAGGGTTTGGTGTTTAGAAGTTGGTAACAAAAATGCCACCACAGATTGGGAGAAGACAATCAGAAACAAAAGCCCTTGAGAAGCAGATCAACTGATTATCCAGTTCTTCATATAAACCAAGATTATCTTTAAAAATTGCAAGAAAAATATAGTTCATTATTTTGAATGTACTATATTAGATATCTTATTCTCCATTTCTCTTTCAATCATCATTATTTTCTTCAAAATGCAGCTCCAGCAATTGTGGTTAATGCTGGTGCAGGACAGGCTTTCATGACCATCAAAACTACTGCCACCACCAAAATTCAGTGGATGCCTGCGTGAGTTGGGGTGAAATGGCATCTTGAACCTTTCAAATGACATTCATCCCAGGTCAGTATACTGTGGTGTATTGAATAGTTTAACTTGAGGTGTACCTTATGTGTGTATTCATTAAATTATCAGCAGTGCATTCATTAAAAGGAGTCCCTTCCTGAAGTTTGAAGAAGTTTTAGTCATTTTTATGTAATAGTACAGTAAATACAGGGATGTATTCAAGTGAGTAGAAGTTTCACATATCACCATACTGCCAAACTAAGCAATGAGAGCTATATAAATCAAATGGTATATGATTTTGCAATATTGCTCCAAACTCATTAATTATATAAAGGTCAAAATAATGAAACGAAAAAAATGGCTTTATGTTGATTAGGTGAATTTAGCTTTCATTCTCTGTGCAGATGTCATCTCAAGGATATGGACTTCTCTTCCAGCCTGTTCTACATCCGTGGAAATCATGTCCTCTCCTGGGTAACTATGTCCATGATCTGTGTTTTATGAATATGGCCACATTCAACCTCTTTTGGCCCCTGAGCATGTGCTGGCTTGTGGATTGTTTTTGTTGTTTATTTCATCAGCACATGGAGCATACAGAGTTAGTATATATTATTTAACAGAAAAACACATTATCTGGTCCAAAGGAAGGTGATATGTTATCTCTTATATGAGGGTAGACTCCTCCATTCGTGATCTAAAGTTTCTTTGGAAGGAAAGGAGATTGTGATTTATAAGTAGACTTTATCATGGAAAGAAAATATATACAATTAAACTTTTTACAATCATGAATGAAATAAAAACTGTGAAAATAAATTTATACTGGAAGTCATGAACAAGTGCAAATATGAGGGATTGCAGGGGCTTTGAAAAATATAAAGATGGACAAGAGAAGTTTCTTTACACAATGGTTAGCAAATTTATAGAACTTAGCATATTTATAGAGCCTCACGAGTGTCATTAAACTACATTATGCAAGTAGGTTTAAGTAGACTGTATAATAGTGTCAAGGATGGAGAACTATAATAACTGTTAAGAATGGCCACAGATGTTTTAAGCAATGGCAAAGTCAGGGAATATAATTTTTAAGACAGTGGAAGGTAATTACACTAAGTGCCAATGGCAGATGAGATTCTTTGTGTTAAGTATTGCAAGTTGGATCCCAAAGCACGTTTAATATTTTCACAAGGAGATTTTCACAAGGAGAGTATGCTCTCCTTTCAGATGTATTACAGAATCATAACTTGAAATGTAATGATAGATTTGTGTGCTCAGAGAATGCTGGGTTATGCTTAGAAAAAAGTGAAAAGGCATTGTTGTAAAAAGCCTTCTAAGAAATAATATTTATGAAACTGAAGAAGGCATCATGTGTAAGTTTTATAGTTTTAAGCTAACATTTATGTCTGATGATTCATTATGAATTAAATTTTGCATATGGTATTGATGTATAATTTTTATTTTTTGTTTTGTTTTCATTTCCTTGCACATGAAAACCTGTTTGTCCCAGCACCATTTGTTGAAAGATTATCTTTACTCTGTTGATTTACCTTTGCACTTTCGTGAAAACTCAGTTGTCATATGTGAGGATTTGTTTTTGCTCTGTATTTTTTACTATTGATCTGTCTATGTTTATGTCAATACCACACTATCTTGATAACTATAGTTTTATAATAAATCCTGATGGATAATAATATTAGCATGTTGTTTTCAGTTGCCTGTTTTGAGGCATTTGTTGAGATAAAAAATTATTCTAGGAAGAATCTATACCAATGTCACCCCTCTCAGACAAGATATTGGTAAATTTTGTCTATGTCAATTATATGGGTTTTCTTAAAGAAAAAGTATTTGATTTCCTTGATTTTGGGGATGATTTTTTTGGTGTTTATTTCATATTTGTCTGCTCTGTCCTCTATTATTTTATTTTGTTGCTGCATGTTTGTTCTTCCTTAACAAGAAAGCTGAAGTTATTGACAAGAGATTTTTTTTTGCTTTCGAATAGAGACATCTATTACTATAATCTCACCACTCCCCATGCCATGTACCACTTTAGCTGCCTCCCAGAAGTTTGAATTTGTTCATTTTTTTCTTTACACCAAAAATCTTTCTAATTTCTTAATTTTTAATGTATTCTTTGATGCATAGGTTCTTTAGAAGTGGGTTATTAGTTTCCAAATACTTAGAATTTTCTAGATGTTCCTATTAGTAACTTCTAATTGAACCACGGTAGTAAGAGAAAATGCTTTGTGTGAATATTGAGATTTTTGTTATGACCCAAAATGTGCTCCATCTTGGTAAATATTTCCTCTGCACTTGAACAAAATGTATTCTTCTGTTGAATAGGATGTTCTAGAAATGTCGCTTAATGTTGGCTGACTAATATTGTTTAAATATTTTGTGTCCTTACTGATTTTCTCTCTACTTGTTACACTAATCACTGAGAGGGAGCATTAATATATTGGGCTACAATTGTTGGTTTTATTACTTCTCCCTATGGTTCTATCAGTTTTTGTTTCATATATTTGGAAACGCCATTATTAGTTTCAGAATGTTAAGTCCTCCTGATAAATTGATTCTTTTCTTTTTTCTTTCTTTCTTTTTTTTTTTTTTTCTGAGGCAGAGTATCACTCTGTCACCCGGGCTGGAGTGCAGTGGCGCAATCTCGGCTCACTGCAACCTCCGCCTCCTGGCTTCAAGCAATTCTCCTGCCTCAGCCTCCCAAGTAGCTGGGATTACAGGTGCCTGCCACCGCACCCGGCTAATTTTTGTATTTTTAGTAGAGATGGGGTTTCACCATCTTGGCAATGCTGGTCTTGAACTCCTGACCTCGTTATCCACCCGCCTCAGACTTCCAAAGGGCTGGGATTACAGGTGTAAGCCACCGCTCCCGGCAGATAAATTGATTCTTTAATAATTGATAATGACTTAACTTAGAGGGCTAATATTATTTTCTCTAGTATATATATTTATCTGATATTAGTAAAGTCATTACAGTTTCTTTTCATTAGTGTTATCATGACTTTTTAAAAATTTTTTCAAAATCTATTGAGTCTTTAAATGCGTTTATTATAGATAAAATACAGTTTGCCTCTATTTTTTAAATTTGACAATCTCTGCCTCTTAATTTGGATGTTTGCACCATTTTTATTTAATTACATTTTGAAATTAAATCTACTATCTTGCTGTTTGCTTTCTAATCGTTTTCTCTGTTCTTTTTTGCTCTTGTCTTCTTTTTTTCTGGCTTCATTTGAAATAATTAATTATTTTTAAGGATTCTTTTTTATCTTAATTTTGACTTATTACTCTAACTCATCACAGTCCCAGTTTGAGTGATATTATACCATGTTATAAAAAATGTAAAAAGCTTATAAAATAATAAAATTTTATTTGCTCAACTCTCAGATCTCTTTTCTCTTTTTATTGAATTTTTTACGTTGTCATATTGTCAAATATTTCAAGTTTACTTTATATTATAAATATGATGATACATTGTTATTATTGTTATACAAACAATTAATTGGCTTTTAAAAAGATTTAAATAATAAGAAAATAAGCTACTCATGTAGTTCCCATTTTCAGTGCTCTCCATTACTCTGTGTATAATCACAGTTTTCAGGTAACATCTTTTTTCTCTCCGAAAAGCATGTAAGATTGCTTTTAGTGTGGATCTGCTTCTCATCAATTGCATGTGTAAAAAATCTCCATTTATGTAAGAAAAATCTTTATTTCACCTGTGTTTTAGCATTTTATGTTGGAAGTTTTCCTTTTACATTGTTTTCATTGTGCTTGAACATTTTATGTTGGAAGTTTTTCTTTTGAACTATTTTCAATGAGAAAATTGTGGTCATTCCTATCTTTGTTCCTCTGTACATACTGTGTCTTTTTTCTTTGCCTGCTTATAGGATCTGTGTGTTATTGGTAGATTTGAGTACTTTGAGTATGATGGACCGAGTATATTTTTTTTGTTTGTTTGTTTTATGTTTCTCATGTTTGGGATTTGTTGCATTTCAAGGATCAGTTCTTTGTTGTATTAACAAATTTGAGAGTTTTCAGACATTATTTCTTTAATCAGCTTTTGCTATGGCCCCCTCCATTATCAGGGAGTCCATGTGCATGTGCATGAATCTATTCTAAGTTTTCCCAAAGATCACTGATGCTCTGTTCATTTCTAATTCTCTTTGCTCTTTATCTTTTATTTTGTATAGTTTATTTTGCAATGTCTTTAAGTTTACAAATATTTTCTTCTGCAATGTCTACACTAAAATTAATCTCATTAACTGAATTTTTTACTTTATATATAGACTGTTCACTTACTGAAGTTCAATTGAGTCTCCTAAATAATTTCTAAGTCTTTATTGAACTTTCTGAACATATGCAGTACAATTTGAAAAAAAAAAGTCTCTCTGCTAATTCTGACATCTGTGTAATTTTGTTTGCTTTTGATTGAATATTTTTTCTCTTTATAATGGCTCATATTTTTCTGTGTTTTAAAATGCCTGGTAATATTTTATTGCATTCTTGACATTGTGAATTATATCTTTTGGCTACTGGATATTTTTATATTTCTATAAATGTTTCAGATCTTTTTTCATGAGACACAGTTATGTTACCTGAAAACAGTCTGATCCTTCAGGTGTTGCTTTTAAAGTTTGTGAAATGGAAGAGGAACAGTGATTGGTCCATGACAAGCTATTCTCCTCTCCTCAGATGAGACCTTCCTGACTGTTCCCCTCCATGCTCATGGGTCATGGGTTCTTCCAGTCTGTCTGGTGAAAACCGATGCTATCTCAGCCTTGGGCGAGTGACCAACACTGATACTTTTTGTTCTTTCTGATGGTTTCTTCATTTATGTGTTCTGATCAAGCCTTAGCTGAACATTCTGAAAGGATCCTCTGCAGTTTTCTAGAGGACTATCTTTATACAGTTCTCTCCCCATTGCCACCCTGTTCTGCAGAACTGTAACCACGATTATCCCCCTGGGTGCTCCGTTGCACCTCTTTAACTCACAGAGCTCCCTGGGCTCCATCCAGGCTCCCCATCCCTGCCTGCTGGCTTGAACTCTCTCAAGGTACTAACCTAGAACAATCACAGAACTCACCAGGGATCTTCACTGCCGAGTGTTCAGCATCTCGAGATCCAATACATGATATAGTTCATCAGTTTTTCAGTGTTTCAGCCAGAAGGTAACCCTGGTTTCTGATACTCCGTCTTGTTTCAAAGTGAATTCCCTAGAATAAGAATCCTTCATGACCAAAATCTTGCCATTATAGTTGGCTATTTAAGTTCAATTAGAAAGTGTCAAAATAACAGATAAATGTATTTTTATCATGTAGTGTAAGAATGAGACATGTAAAATTACTAGAAGTAATTGAAAATTTCAAACAGCTTTCTCTCTCCTTAGCTGAGGAGCCCTTGTACAGTGCCCCCATCACATCAAGCCTATCACTTTACTTGTCCTAATATAGTGACACTATGTCTCTTGTTTGTCATTGCTATTTTGTCATATGTCTATTTATATGATTTCATTGAGCACTTATGTATTAATAGTTTCTCCTATGGGTTTTATTAACCAGGGCTTGAAAACAGAAATCCTGCCAAGTCCCACGTTTTCTTCGGTTCCAAGCACAGAGAGACATTGTAAGTATATGTAAAATATGTATTTTCATAGCTACTGGCTTTCATATTGACCTGTAAATTGATTTAAAACAAAGAACTACTCTAGAGAGTCAAATCGTATGCAAACCAAGCATTTCCTGCCCGTAATACTTAGTGTTTAGATTGTTTGGTTTGTGATCCATTTAATTAACATCTTTAATTAAAGAAAATAAATTAACAGTCAATGGAGGGCCACGGTTGCTCAAGCCCCTGGGAGAGTTCCCTTTCGCCATCAGAGTCATTGGGATTCTGTTCTGCTTCATTGCACCGCTGGCTGGAGTGGAAATTTTAATGGTGCTCTCTTATGCAAAGGGTGTGCTCTACAAGTAAAACAAATAAAAATGGGGAAATGTACGCTTTGTACCTTCGAAAGGTTGCATTCAGTGGCACATAAGACTTGGGTTACAATAACATCTGAAACGAGCTGGGCACTGGGAAGGTTGCACGACTTGTTTCAGAGGAGAGCCAGTTGACTAAGCACTGGCGTGATTTAGTGCACCGTCCATTATTTCCTGCCTGTCATTTAAACAGGCTATCTATATGCATGGTAGGACCGAGAGTGCAAAGAGGAGGTGGACGGCATGATTTATGGGTGAGGGCAAACACCTGTGGGTTAAGCAGCTCAGAAATTAGCCACAAGTAGCATATTAGTGCAGCTAATCAGGCACGGTTCAGTATTTCGGTTTCTTGATTTACCCATAAATAAGCTTCTCTCTGGTTACCCGGAGGCCCTCAGTGATTAACTGCCTTGACCTACAGTAAAATACACAGATCAAGCAGCACAGTGGAGTTTGCAGGTGTACGCTGTAATCGTGCGATTTTAAACTTGTACGTCTGTGGGCAGAAGGGCTGCCAGTTTTGAGAATCGTGTTAAGGAGGCTTATCAGAGTACTTAACAATCAATTTGCTTTTCATTCCTCTCCTCCTGTGATTGTGTTGACAACTTGTAGACTCAACTGCCCTGTGACCAGTCAGTGACCATGAAATATTTTCTGCCTTAGTGTCTATTGCAGAAACAGAAGCGATGCTTATCCTGCGAGGTGTATGTGTTAATGTTGCCACTTTTAGTAAAATCCAAATCATCTATGGTATGTGTTTTTTGTTTTATTTTTTGTGGGTGGGAGCCTTTTGCACTGCCTGGTATGTGTTGCTGTGTGCCTGAAGAATTCTGTCGTATTGCCTCCCATTTATAGTGACTAAGCTGGACTCTTTTATGCTAGAAATGAAAGACAGCATAACTAGACGACAGTGGAACTAGTAGTCAAACTACCATTGACATCCTGTTAAATATCTCTTATGCATCCATTCACTAAATATTGTCTCTTTCTTTTATCTTAGAAAAAAGAGAAAAGTACTCATAAAAACAAAAACAGCCAGAATCCTGGGGCAAATGATCTCTGAGCTTTAGTGAGGGGTTGATATTAATGATGAGAACAAGACAACAGATCTAGATGACTGAAGTGAAATTACACAGGTAACTATAGGCACTCTCACATAGCCAGAAGTTCACCAGGAGAGCCAATGTTTCCCCAGATTTTTAAGGAGTTTTCTGGATCTCCTAGTCTATCCTGTGCTGTTTGTATGGTTCCTGAAATTCTTTCAGCCTGTGTAAAGCTCTGGTTATGTGGAGAGGGTCACTGCTCTTATTCCAAGTCTTCCCCTGGCTGACCCCAGATCACTGTAAACTTTGAGAGGAAAAGTAACAGAGGGACCAAGCTGCTTGCAGATGCTGATTCTTAGAAGTATGTGGAATATATTATTTTTAGTTAGCAGTAGAGAGAGCAATAAAATTACCGAGTGGTTAGAACCTGTAGTCAAAATGTGGAAATAAAGAGAAAGTCAGGACTCAAAGCACTGTTGTGGAGAAACGAGCTGCAGGATTTGGTAAACAGATGGCATTTTGAGTGCCAAGGGCAAGAGA
Source organism: Homo sapiens (assembly GCF_000001405.40). NCBI lineage: Eukaryota > Metazoa > Chordata > Mammalia > Primates > Hominidae > Homo > Homo sapiens. The sequence goes on along the minus strand of NC_000005.10, from coordinate 4,479,752 downwards.
AGTCAGAGGTACCACAAGATTACAAGCCTAGGGAGAGCGGAACCACCTCTGGAAATGGGGAAGTTAAGAAGCCGTTACTGAAAGATAGTAAACTATTTTAAGTGTATTTCCATTTGTAAGTTAATAAATTCAAGAGAAACCCAGCTGAGATCTGAATGCTCAGCCTACTCCACTGTGAGTTACATTTTAAACCAAACAGGACTCTGTGGATGATATCCCTTAAGGCAAGTAGTGTCACATGAATTGCAAATACTAAACTGCTAATAGCTTTCTCAGGAGTTTGCTTCCTGTTAGGAACCCTTCAATGACTACATCCACTTATGTGTGGAAAAATCTTGCAATGGTGAGTTGAAGCCCCAGTTCAGAATATTTCTGCATAATTACCAATATGCACAGACCATAGGTACGGCCCCATTAGCTGTTTATAATATTCTTCATGGCAGTAAACAGTAACCTCTTCCCCCAATAGCCCTTTGCTGAGCAGAGTGCAAAGGGTCCTCTCATTGTTCTTATTCCACCCCCGACCCACCAGAGGTTCTGTCAATGGTGGAGCCAGGGAGCTCTGTCCTCTGGGAGGACAGGAGAGAGGCAGGGAGTCCAGTCCTCTGCCTCTCTCAGGGGTTCTGTGCATTTTATTCAGGCCAAGAGTTCAGATATCAAGGCCTCGTGACAGAAACAGGTGGTAGAGTTGAGCAACCTGTATTCATCTCCCTGAAATGCTCATAATAACATAATTTTTTAGATTCCATTGTTCTGCCTGTAAGTATCTAAATGAGGTTATATCGGCTGGGCATGGTGGGTCACGCCTGTAATCCCAGCACTTTGGGAGGACGAGGTGGGCAGATCACTTGAGGTCGAGAGTTCAAGACCAGCCTGGCCAACACAGTGAAACCCCATCTCTATTAAAAATCCAAAAATTAGCCAGGCATGGTGGCAGGTGCCTGTAATCCCAGCTACTTGGGAGGCTGAAGCTGGAGAATTGCTTGAACCAGGCGGCAGAGCTGCAGTGAACCAGGATCTCACCACCAAACTCTAGCTTGGGCAACAGAGCAAGACTCCGTCTCCAAATAAATAAATAAATGAGGTCATATCAGTAATTTATTGTCTATGGGCCTTGAGTGGAAGTGAGGGGTCACTTCTAGGTCAATACATCTAAAAGTGGCTGTGCCTTTTCCATTCTTTATCCTCCACATCCTCCAGTCCCAGTCCTCTAGTCTGGAAGCAAAGGACTCCAACATGTGAAGTTCCCGTGTGTTGATAGCCTGAGTCCCTGAGTCACCACTTGGAAGAGATCTGTTTATGTGGACCACCAGATCCATGCCGCAATAGCAAAACTTTTAGTTCTGTAAGCCACTGGGGTGGTGGGCTTGTTATTGAAACATACCTGGTCTACCCTGACTGATAACAACCAGTTTTTATCTAACAGTAAGCCATGTCTCTATCTGCGTATAGAGTAGTCCCACTGGGATTTAAATGTACGAATGCATGGAGAACACTAGAAAAGTGCATCATGAGTACCCAAGAAATATTAGTGGTTACAATTATTACATGCAGATTTTAGTTTCTCTGTATATTTACCAAGAACAGCTAAGAAAGTATTCCTCGTTTCTCTAGGGAACACAATGTGTTCCTCCCAACATGACTTTTTCAACATGAATTTTTAAAGTGCAAAATATCACAGATGATTCCTCTTTGGTCTTTCTGTTCTCTTCTCATGATGATTATTCTGGGATGAGCAACATAGTAAACCTGTTTCAGTTGTGTCATTATTTTATATTCTCTGATTTGGGAGAACATTCTTTTCCCATCAAAGCCACTAAAAACATTTACTCCACCAGGAATACTAACTGAAATTTATATGAAACACAGAGAAAAAGAAGCCTTAGGTATGTTGTAAACTTCTCATATCCGGAAGATCAACTTTAGCTTCCAGTAGTTTCAATTAATTCCTAATTACTTTTGTGTCATCTTTATATGAGAGGAGACACACTAGGAGTGAGGAATAATAATGTGTAGCACTGTTTCTTTCATAGAGTTGAAAGAAGGTTGTGTTTATTATGAACACTACAGTAATGAGAATGATCATTAGTAATTCTTTACATCTGTGTTTTTCTACCTCTGAGGAGCTTTCAGATAATAAATTCTCCACTTATAGAAAAAAATCAAGGAGAAGATTTTAGTTTTTCCCCATGGACATCCCATATTTAAATTGTTTCACAGGATATTATGATTTCACTGAGAAAACCCTCTCTGGTAAGTACTGACCATTTCCTGACTTTGAAAGGAGTCTATAGGACATACTAGAATTCCAATTACGTTATAAGATTCGGTAATCTTTCAGATCATAATACAGCTACTAAATCTAAAGAAATGAAGGGAGGGACTTACCAAAGCCAATGCCAGGCTGCTCTGAAGCCAGATGACTCCCTGAGAACAAGCACTTCAAAAGGGGGCGGGCACAGGAGCAAAGCAAGTCTTAGTCTTAGAGTGCCTCCCCGAACCCTTTTTGTCCAGGAAGCTCAAATCAAATTCTACCTTTGCGTTAAGGTAGAAAGAGGGAGGTCACTCTCGGCACTTGTGTTAGAAACTCCTTGAAGTGATAGAGGCTGTGACAAGAACGGGTTTGCTTCTGATGGGCCTGTAACATAACAGGATGTTCTATTTCAGGCTGATGTGAGAAGATCAATATGGACCTTAATGATTCCTTTGTCATAACGTGTCCTAGTTTAATCCTGGAGATGTGGGTAGGTGCTCTTGTAGAGACAGCGATTGTGTTATTGTCAGTCAGAGAATATCACAGCTGCCCTTGAACATTTAGCTTTAAAGAAAAGCTGTTTCTTTGCCTTTGGTGGTATTTTAAAATAAATTGCATAGTGATTACTATATTGCACATGCTTTCTCCATGTGGGAGTGCTTGCCACTAACAAACGTTCTTCACACTTGCTTGATTCCTGTTTCCTCTCAAAAATAACCAAGGGTTTCATTTATTTCACTTTCCACTTTGAGAGTTCTTTATTGTTAGTTGTAAAAAATGTTATTTACATTACTGTAATGAGAAATAGCTTTATCTCCAAACTCCAAAATACTTTTTTTCTCTATCATATAGTCATTTGTAGAGTCATTTATGTATCAAGTGGTAATTTTCCCTAATTTTTTCTTTAGCACCAAAGACGAATCTTTATGAATGTATAATAAGACTTTTTCGTAATGGGTAAGCAAAAAACAAACAAACAAACAAACAAACAAAACAAAAAACAAAAAAAATTTCGGAAACAGGATTCTTATGTATTTAATTCTGTTTAAGCCTTCATTTTCTTTTTTTGCTAAGCCCAAATGACCATTTCTGAACTTTCTGCTTGCAACATGCTCATTAGAATCTATTAGGCCAAGAATTGTTTCTATTTTGATGGCTACTGTATCAGATTTCCATCTTTGACCGTCAAACAATTGGGAGGCCATAAGTCAGCCACTTGTTTAAAGTTGTGGCTATCCTGAAACAAAGAGGTTCTGGACTAGAAATTCACAACTCCGTAGTTCAAGAAACAGAAGCTTAGAAACACGATCTGCTTTGCTAGGACCGCAGAGTGTCAGCTGGAAAGGTGCGCTAAGAAATCAGCTCTTCAGCCACCAGGGAGGTCAGCAATGGAATGTTAAGGTAGGAGAGAAAGCATAGGTTTTCCAGTGAGCTGGGTGTGGGTTCAGGTCCTAGCTAAGGACTCTGCACATAAACACATTTAGTCTCAGTCCTGATAATTCATCTGGTAATGGAACTGACCTAGAAAGGTTTACAGGAGGATTCACTAAAGAAATACCTAAAAGACATTTGACATAGTACTTGGAATATGTCGTTGCTCAAAAACAAATTCTTTCAGCTAACCTTTCACCCCTTTCTTTCTTATTAAAATCCACTGATGTCATAGATCTGTCTGCTAGTCACAGATGGTAATTGGGGTGGGCAGAGACCTTGTGCTTGAGAATCTTCCTAATTTCATGATTCTAGTTTTCTTTTCTTTTTTCTTTCTTTTCCTTTTTCTTTTCTTTTCTTTTTATTTTATTTATTTATTTTTTTTGAGACGGAGTTTTGCTCTTGTTGCCCAGGCTGGAGTGCAGTGGTGCGACCTCGGCTCACCACAACTTCTGCCTCCCGGGTTCAAGTGATTCTCCAGCGTCAGCCTTCCCGAGTAGCTGGGATTACAGACATGCACCACCATGCTTGGCTAATTAATTTCACTATTCAACATATCTTCAAATATTACAAAACCTCTTATAATGCAATTTGTTTCTTGCAAATGGCATTTATTCTTGACCCTCTTTATGACAGATGTCCCCTCCAATGGCTCCCAGTGATCTCCACCTAGTGTCTTCATCCTCTGGCATCATCATGTCCATTTAAATGTGTGATCATCTTATTGAGTCTCTTCTTAGGAACAGACGTGACGGAAGTGATGGGATGTCCCTCCCCAAATCAGAATATGAAAAGACTATGGTTTCCATCTTAAGTTGTCTCTGGAGCTGTGTCTTGGCTCAGCTGTTGCACACTGTGAGAACATGCAGACGGCCTGTGGTAGGTGTGGATGTGGACGATCAGTCCCAGTAGGGCCCGGAGAAGCCTGCAGTCCCAAATGGCGGCTTGACTACAACTTCATGTAAGGCTCTGAGCTGGAAACCCAAATAAGCTATAGCAGTTTCTAGACACACAGAAACTGTGTGATAAGAAATATTTGTTCTTTCAGGGCCTCTACATTTTGGGGTAATTTTTACAGAGTAATGGATACCCCACAATATACAATTCTACAACAAGTTAGAAACCTATAGATTGGAGAACCATTTTTCTCTTTGGGTGTTGGAGAGTCATTTTATTTTTCATTTTAGAATAAAGCCAAATCTTAATATATATCATGCTGAAATAACAAGATTAAAAAATCTACTCTTAAGAGATGAAGTCTTAGTAGGCTAATAAGATAAAAGAAACAGTTTAAGCTGTAAACCTAGTTTGACAAAATAGATATTAGGTGTCTTGGTTTATAAAATGCTAACTAGGCTAATATCATTAGGATATTTTAATGTGTCATCATTGCACTTAATCATATAATCCTTTATTTATTTATTTGACAGATATTGATCAAACATCATGCAGTAGCCATAAATATAATTAGAACCCAGAATCTGCCTTCAAAAAGATCAGAGTGTGCTCTTTTACTTTTGTGTTTTAAATCTATTTTGAAGGATCACAAAAACCCTCAAAATTTTTGATAGAAAACTTTAGTTAAGGATTAGCACCTTGAATTTTGAATAGTTATCTATATTAACCAATGGGAATGGCTCAGTGACAAACATCTTATTTAAAATAACACTTTCATTTTAGCCAAAGGGATGTTTATATCTCAAGCAAAGGCAACTCAAAATGACTACATGAAATCAAGGACTGGTTGGAAAAAAAAGAAAAAGATTTTATTGTGAGAACCCTGAACTGATATCTGATGATGCTTGGAACAGCTCTTGAGATGTCAAAGATGATAATACAGTAACAACATTTGGGAAGTATTTCTAGTCTTACACTTAGCCTTTTGGCAGGAATTTATTAAGACAGAATAAGCCTGTGACTTTTCAATTCTGAGTACAATTTGTTTCTCTAATACATCCGCAGGAGTAATGTGTGATGGAATTTTTCCCTCCCCAACCCCTCCAGTGTGGATGATGATATGCTATAATAGGTTCTCACAGGCCATATCTCAGCAATATAAAGCACAACACATGTACATCTGTGGCCCAGTGTCAGGGCCTTAAATGTACATCAGAAATGCATTAAATCTTCTGATTGCTATTCTGTTTGTACAGGTTGTTGGTTCAGATTTCTTCCTGTAATGCACTCTGCTGATTACCTTGAATTATTGGTATATCCTTGGTAGAACAAGCACAACTTGTTCAGAAATACAATCATACAGATGTGGCTTGAGCCCTTTCGGTGTTAAGAAGGAAAAAAAAAAGCAAATATTTCTTGGAAGTTAAAACAGATAACCATGTGCTTACTTAAAACCACATCTCAAAAGCATTTTTGCTTGCAGGTAATCTTCTCGTCAGCATAGCCTCACTAGGATGCTCACTAGGTGCTCCATGTTTGATTCACTGCAGGCAGATGCACAAATATGCAAATCTCTCTGCTAAAAGGAAAGGAAGAAGGAAAATAGTTTCTGGGTTGGTCTGTGTTCCACGCGGGAAGAATGCCCCTTGGTCTCTTAGTGCACGATGCGAAGGCTGTGCAAATACGTCTTAGCATTCAGAACATTCAGAATCATAGTATTTGAGAATTTTATTATGATGTGTTACCCGCAAAGTTAATACTATTTCCCAATTTTTAAAATGTTTCCTATAGTTGTGATTTATAAGTAATATTAGTAATAATACCAAAATATAATATTTCAAAGCCTATTTGGATGTTGTTGTCTCAGTATATGAGCTTGAAAAACTGTAAGTCTTGTCATCTTTTCCTAACTGGTCACTGCTACATAAAATAAGAAAATAAATTAAGCAGGTATTATTCTTCATATAGTACTATCACAAACCTCAGAGACTTCAGTTCAGCTGTGTAAAAAAAATGGCCTAATTGTTAATATTTATGCCTCTATTCCTTCATTGCTAGTCTATTTTATTTAAGTCTATACACTAATTATAGTATGTTAGTTCCATTTCTTATTTCTAATTGGAGCAGACCTTTTGGGCTGCTGTAATGAAATACCTTAGACTGGGTAATTTCTAAACAGAAGAATTGCATTTCTTCAGTTCTGGAGGCTGGGAAGTCCAAGATCAAGGCACCGGTAGATTCAGTGTCTGGGAGGGCTGCTCTTTGCTTCAAAAATGGTGCCTTTTCTCTGTGTCTTTACATGGTGAAAAGGACAGAGGAGCTCTCTGGGGCCTCTTTTATAAGAATGCTAATCTCATTCACCTTCCAAAATCTCCAGCTGTTGATACTGTTTTATTGGGGATTAGGTTTCAACGTAAAAATTTGGAGGAACAAACAGATTTTTCTCTAATGGAAATAAACTCTTATACAATCAAATTGTTAAAAAAATAGAATTTTAAAGGGAAAAAGAGGAGAAGGAAGAAGATGTTATATTAATAGCATAAACCCTTAGAAATTTCAAGGTGTTTGGGGTCTCAAAATCTGAATCTTTAGATTTTCTGTTCTCAGCTACATCAATTTAGACAAAACAGCCAATGTTTTATAGCTTCTGATTTATCATCTTTAAAAATGATGGAATAACTTCCCTCCTATTCTTACAATTTATTAAACTGTATCAAAGTGCTTGGAAAAACTTAAGAGACTGTTTACATGTAGACATTTAGGAATCTGGTTAATATCACCATAGTGAAGAATGAATGAAAGTAAAATCAAGGTAGCAATGTAAAGTATGTAAGAAAATAAATAAGCATATATCTCACTTCTTGCCCTATTGCTTATTGTTTAACTAAAAATACAAGCAGTGTGAAAATGTTTAAAAGGCAGCTCTCTTCCAAAAGCTGATAATAAGCTAGCCTGTTACAGCAGCTGACATTTCCTAGTACACACAAAGAAGAGTACATGTCATGAAAAATTAGATGTGTACAGTATTTTAATGTTAAAGAATTTGCAAGCAATAGACCTCAATGCTGTTACTAACATCAAACATGGAGACACTTAAAAGGGATTGTGTTGAAAATGAAATTTTATTTTCATAGTTTCCCTTAGACATTTCACTTTTTTCTTTTGCTGACTTTTCTAATTGTCGCCTAGAAAATTTGTTTTATTCAAAACGTAGACATTTTGAGAGCAGTGTCTTTACCAACAACAATATTTCTGTATTTATAAGTTCCTGCAATTTGCAAATATTGATTTTTGGGAATGAGTGCATGGTGAGCCTATTGCCTCTGCAGGTGTAAATATTCTGGCAAGTCTCTTTCTTTAATGCCTCTTTCATGTGTCTGTTTGTGTAGCTACTGAGTTTCCAGAAATAGGTGCAAGATATCTTCTGCTTTCAAGAAATTCATAGGATAATGGCAAACCCCTATTTTCTAGGATCTACAGTGTTCAGTAGTGTGTGTGTACACATATTGGTGAGCTCTTGTGTAATGCATTTTAAATATGTAATTACAATAATTTTCTAGACTGAATCAGTGTGGCCTTGGGCTTGTGCCTTGATGTGTAACTTCTCTCTCTCTCTCTCTTTAACACCAACTTTCTGAAAAGGGTCTTGATCATCCCTTGCTTCCTCCAGTTTGGGCTCTAGCCATGTCCATTATGTGTGTCAATCAGGTCCAGCCTCATTGCACCCTTCCCTTTAAATTCCTAAAGGAATTGTTTTAACCTGGGTGTGTAATACAAATGTGACTCCTCAATACATTTCAAGGAAGGAGATTAATAGGTAAGAATAAGAAAGAGGGTTCGAACTTGTTCATTTTGACTCTCAAAGACTATCCAAGGCCCAGTAGGTTTTACATTCCTGTAGGAACTGAGATGTTGCAGTCATCAGATTAAGAACGGAAGAGTTTCTCTACTTCTCAGTCTTACTTAGGTTCTTAATCTCCTAATATGCAGCCTTAGAAACGTTAATGCAATGATCAGAAATCAGTGGGAGTGAGAAATACATTCTCACTTTCTATTTACTGATCACTTACTTGGTGCTCAATGCTAACAGTTTTTATTTTATTTTATTTTATTATTATTATACTTTAAGTTTTAGGGTACATGTGCACAATGTGCAGGTTAGTTACATATGTATACATGTGCCATGCTGGTGTGCTGCACCCATTAACTTGTCATTTAGCATTAGGTATATCTCCTAATGCTATCCATCCCCCCTCCCCCACCCCACAACAGTCCCCAGAGTGTGATGTTCCCCTTCCTGTGTCCATGTGATCTCATTGTTCAATTCCCACCTATGAGTGAGAATATGCAGTGTTTGGTTTTTTGTTCTTGCAATAGTTTACTGAGAATGATGATTTCCAATTTCATCCATGCCCCTACAAAGGACAGGAACTCATCATTTTTTATGGCTGCATAGTATTCCATGGTGTATATGTGCCACATTTTCTTAATCCAGTCTATCATTGTTGGACATTTGTGTTGGTTCCAAGTCTTTGCTATTGTGAATAGTGCCACAATAAACATACGTGTGCATGTGTCTTTATAGCATGTGTCTTTTTTGCAACCTACTCATCTGACAAAGGGCTAATATCCAGAATCTACAATGAACTCAAACAAATTTACAAGAAAAAAACAAACAACACCATCAAAAAGTGGGTGAAGGACATAAACAGACACTTCTCAAAAGAAGACATTTATGCAGCCAAAAACACATGAAAAAATGCTCACCATCACTGGCCATAAGAGAAATGCAAATCAAAACCACAATGAGATACCATCTCACACCAGTTAGAATGGCAATCATTAAAAAGTCAGGAAACAACAGGTGCTGGAGAGGATGTGGAGAAATGGGAACACTTTTACACTGTTGGTGGGGCTGTCAACTAGTTCAACCATTGTGGAAGTCAGTGTGGCGATTCCTCAGGGATCTAGAACTAGAAATACCATTTGACCCAGCCATCTCATTACTGGGTATATACCCAAAGGACTATAAATGATGCTAACAGTTTTAAGTGCATCATCTCACTGAATCTACACAAATAAATAATTTAATGGAATAATTATGGAGGAAGGACAGGCTGCCTGCCACTATCACATCTTTTTATTATTGAGAAGAGAGCAGGGAAAAAGTGGGATTATTCATGGCTATCTACACATACGCAACATCTATGCCAGGGGAACAAGGGAGATTTAGAAAAATGAGCTACTACCTTTCAAGATGGGGTTAGGAATAGGAAGGTAAATTCTATAATTTTCCAACTGGGATCTTCCTGTGGGGCCTAAATACCTATACACTGGCCTGGAAAATGCTAATATAGACATAGAGAAATATGTGTGTATGCCTATGTCCGTATTTATATCTCTCTATTAATGTATAGATATTAGTACCTACATTTATATAGAATCTGTATCTATGTCCTTGTCTATGCCTATCTATCAATATCAATATTGACAACAGAATCTATATTTATCTATCTTGACATTAACATCAACATCTATATTAATATCCACATCTATATTTTCAACTATATCTAATCAATATCTCTGTTTATACCTATATTGATATAGCTAACGATGTCTATATCATATCTGTATCTATATCCAATTAAGTGTATAGTGAGTCCATATATCAATATTGACATCAATATCTATTACTATATCTAGTTTATATGTATAATGATATAGATATACACAGGTGCATCTAGATATATGTATGTAATCTATGTGTATGTATTTATTTATATCCATATATTGATATCACTGTTAATATTGGCATCAACATCAAACATTCACAGTCAATATAATTCTATGTCTATAGGTATATCTATGTCAATGTCTATACCTATATCTATGTCAATGTCTATACCTATATTTAGATTCTGCTTTCGTGGGTCTTATGTTCTAGTGGAGTAAACAAACAAAAAAAGGAACAAACAACAATATAAACGTAGTCTTTCATTAGTATCCATGGGAGATTGGATGCAAGGCCCCCTACAAATAACAAAATCCACTGACGCTCAGGTATGTTATAAAAGATTTTGTAGTATTTGAATATAACCTATGCACATCCTCCTTATACTTCACATCATATCTAGATTAGTTATGATACCTAATACAATGCCTGAACATCATGTCATTTACATGGATTTGGTGTAGTATTCAAGGCTGGCCTTTTGAAAGTTTGTGAATGTTTTTGTTCCAATAGTTTTGATCCACTGTTGACTGAGTCCATGGATGGGGAATCCATAGCTATATAGGTCCAACTGAACACATCAAAGAGTGAAAAGTGCTTTGATGAGTATAAGACAGTTTTCTAAAGACAGGTGACTGCCATGTGAGGCAGTTACTGTTTTACAAAGGGTGGTCAGGACACACATCTCTGATGAGATGACATTAATATAATACCTGGAGGAAATGAGAAATGAACCTTGTTTATATGTAAAGGAAGAGATGCCTCGACAGAGGATGCAGCAAGTGCAAAGACCCAGAGGTGAGAGCTGACTCAGCAGGAGGAGAGAGGAGGAGAATGGGAGGAGAGTGAGAGAGAGGAGAGTAAGAGATGAGGTGGCCAGCAGAGAGGGAAAAGGGGCTGCCATGTACAAAATCAACTTCAGAGGACATGAGGGGAAGCAGAGAGATCATTTGGATACTACTGGCAGTCTTAGGCCAGTGTAGTTGTGCCATCAGCTGGGTAGATGTTCACTGAATCACTTCCTCTTCCAAACCCAACTCAATCTCATTTCTCAGCTACTTTGCTTCTAGAGGTGGGGGACAAGGGCTCACCAAGAGAGATGAACGTGAATGTCATTTCTGGCACAAAGCCATTAGGAGAGGAGGTTTCTTCTCTGGCTGGTCTCTCATCTCCTGGTGCTGTGTCAATGTTGAGGCCTAGAGGAACACTGGTACACACCCTTTGAAGCTGTCTCAGGCTCTTCCAGAGTGGATTCTGACAAGACAGTCAAGACAGTGTGGAGAACGTCCCACCCTTCATCTTCACCAGCATTAACCCTGATGACTGGTGACATGGGACAAACACCTTCTCTATGGTCAGCTGGTAATATGTGAGATGTGTTTGTTATAGGATCTAGCATTACTTACCCTGACTAATACTTCTACCTAAAAGGAGAATGCTAATGAAATAAAACCTAAGACTTATAAACTTGACTTCATAGTTGTGTAGTAGACACTGAATAGGGACATATCTGAGCTGAAAAGATGTTGATTCATATCGTGCAAAACAGCCAATCATGGACTGAGGTGGCATCTCCAGGGAAAGTGCTGGAAATCAAAGTGTTAGTGTGATAACTGACCAGATTGCCAAGGATAAATGGCAGAAAATAGAGTAAAAAGTATGAAGTCTTAATGAATTGGAAAATCCAAGTTTTCCTATACCTTACATGGGTGAAAAAGCCCATAATAAACCAGAGTGTATTAAAGGCCAGCTACAAATTGGAGACCAGATTTTAAATATGCCTCCTCCTCAAACCATATGGTTTTTTTGTTTGTTTGTTTTTGGTTTTTGGTTTTTTTTGAGATAGAGTTTCACTCTTGTCACCCAGGCTGGAATGCAATGGCTTGATCTTGGCTCACTGCAACCTCCACCTCCCGGATTCAAGAGAATCTCCTGCCTCAGACTCCCGAGTAGCTGAGATTACAGACATGCACAACCACGCCCAGCTAATTTTTGTATTTTCAGTAGAGATGGGGTTTCACCATATTGGCCAGGCTGGTCTCAAACTCTTGACCTCAGCTGATCCATCCATCTCAGTCTTCCAAAGTGCTGGGATTACAGGCATGAGCTACTGTGCCCAGCCCAAACCATATAGTTTTAAGGGGTGGCCATTAAGTTGAGACAGAAGAGTGAATGTGAAGATTCAAAATGATAAAACAGGTTTGGGAACTTCATCAAGGAAAGAACGTTAGAAACAGTTGCAGAAACACAGACATGACTAGAAGTTAGTAACCAGCAGCATACTCCATTAGGAGAAGCCTCACACTTTGGGAGGATTGAATTCCAATCCTACAGCAGAAATTGAGCTTCCTTTGCCTGTGCACCAATTCTATTTTTTTTCTCCTTTTACACTTCTCCCACTCTCTTTTTCCCTACAAACTAATGGGGGGGGGGGTGTTTTTAAAATTGAAAGTACAGAAAGAACTTTTAATTCTTTACATTGTCTTTATTAACCTCCAAGTAGAATTTTTTGGAATTCCAGATTTGAAGTGTGCATAGGAACTTCAAGTTTTTAATTAGCGGGGGTTTCGGTATAATTATTGAGATATATTTTGTCATAATGGTGTTATAAGTACAAATACAGTTTCTTCCCATTTCTTCTATAACATCTCATACCTATTCTTTCTAATCTTCATTGTACGTATTTGGAAGAAAAATGGAGAAAGTAACACTTGCTGTATAATCCTATAGAGAGTAGGTGAAATGCTGATGTTAAAGCACCTAAAAGCACCCAAAAGATAGTCGTTTCACCTTCCCTTGCTTCTTTATTTATCAGTGAAAACTGCATTGAGGTATACTCAACATATAATAAACTTCACATTCTCACAATATACAATTTCATGAGATTTGGTATATGTAGACCTTTGTGAAATGTCATCATAGTGAAGAATCTGAACACAGCCCAAATCCACAAAATAATTTCTCAGGCCCTTTTCTAATCCTGTCCTCTCCCTTCTTTACCCATACCCATCTCTGGACGCCAGGAAACTATTGATGTTCTGTCACTTTAGATCCATTTGTTTTTCTATAATTTGTTATTATTAGAGATGGAATCATGCAATATTCATACTTGTTTCTCTAGCTTCTTTCTCTCAGCATTTTTGTTGAATTTCTTTCATGTTTTAATACATATCAGTGATACATGATTGGTTTAATGCTGATTAGTATTTCATTGTGTGGATGTACGGGGTTTGTGTATCCAGTCATCTGAGGTGTATAGGTTCGAATTGTCTCTGGCTTTTGATTATTACAATTAAAGCTGCCATGAACATTCACATAGTGGACATCGTGTAGACATGCCTTTTATTTCCCCCTTCTCTCTCTCTTTTCTAGGAATGAAAGTGCTTGTTATCTTTAAAGTGTATGGTTGATTTTCTAGCAAACTGCCAAACTGCTTTCTAAAGCCAATTTACATTTTACATTCCATCAGCAGTGTGTGAGAGTTCCTGTCCTTCATATATTCACCAAAAGTTGCTATGGTTAGGGTTTTTAATTTAAGCTATTCTAATGTGTGTGTAATGGTTCCTGATGTGGTGTGGATCTGTGTCCCCATCAAATATCATGTCAAATTGTAATCCCTAGTTTATTACTCAGGGTTCTCTAAAGGAACAGAACTAATGGAATGGATATATATATAAACATATATATATACATATACACACACACATACATATATATATACATATATATATACACACATACATATATATATATATATATATACACACATATATATATATATAAAGGGGGTTTAATAAGTATTAACTCACACGATCACAAGTCACAGGTTCCCACAATAGGCCATCTGCAGGCTCTGCAGGCTGAGGAGCAAGGAGATCCAGTTAGAGTTCCAAAAATGGAGAGCTTGGAGTCCCATGTTTGAGGGCAGGAAGCATCCAGCACAGGAGAAAGATGTAGGCTGGGAGGCTAGGCCAGTCTCTCTTTTCACATTTTTCTGCCTGCTTAATATTCTAGCTTCTCTGGCAGCTGATTAGATTGTGCCCAACAAGATTAAGGGTGGATCTACCTTTCCCTGCCCACTGACTCAAATGGTAATCTTTTCTGGCAACACCCTCATAGACACACCCAGGATCATTACTTTGTACGCTTCAATCCAATCAAGTTGACACTCAGTATTAACCATCACAAGTCCACCCCTTGTCAACTTGAACCCATACACATCCCCTGAGATCACACATAATCTTCAAGTAAAGCAATAATAAGGTCATAATAAAGCCTAACATAATACAACCATCCTTCGTACAACCAGAAATGCACCAATCCTCAACCGAAATATGATTATATGCAGTTAACAATACTTAAATTCTGATGTGAAGTCAATAAATCTTAAGTCAAATAAAGGAAAAGGAAATAAAATGAAGATATTTTCTTAGTACAAGGTGTACATGCACAAACATGCATTTAACAAAAGAAGGAGGAAGTACTCATGACAATCACAGTCCTCATTTCCGCAGCTGGTCCCGTGATGGTAGATGGTATTGATGACTACCTTCTTCTACTACTCATTCTTTATTCCCTTTGCCTTCAGCAAGCAGCTCAGCAGGTTGTGTTTTTTTTTTTTTTTTTAATTGGTGGAGTGACCCAAACCTTTATTCCTGAAGGGTCTGGGTCACTTGTAGTCCTGCCTGGATTGGGCTGTTGTAGCTTCCCTTTAACCTTAATCATAGAGTATGTTAATACTAAGAGATGCCGTAATGGATCTCCTGTATTCCATGCATACACTGCCTTACCTCTGTTGTGGAGTAGTAGACTGATTTCATCTTGATAGTCTGGGTCAATCACCCCAGCCAGCACTGTAACTCCCTTCTTAGCCTGTTGACTTAAAGTTAGGAGGAGTCCAAAGTGTCCAGGCGGCAATCTTAACTTCTAGTTTAATGGAATTATTGTTGCGTCTCCTGCTGGCAGCTTTCATCCCTCTGGAACTAAGACCTCTAGGCCAGCAGAACATAATGTCATGGGAACAGGAAGTAAAAATTTTGCTACTGGATAACTAGGGTTGATGGTGAGTGGTGCCACTTCCACTTCCACCCCTTGATTCCTGGACCTGTGAATCCTTGCTATGGGAGAAACAGCACCATATATTGGACACTCACCAACAGATGACCTCACCAGAGGAGGATTTTAATGATCAAGTGGATAGGATGACCCATTCTGTGGACACCACTCAGCCACTCCCCAGCCACCCCTGTCATCGCCCAATGGACCCATGAACAAAGGTCCATGGTGGCAAGGATGGAGGATACACAGCCTTCTGGAGAACTTTGCCCCAGAGCACACACAGCCTTCTGAAAAACTTTGCTCCAGCCCTGCAAAGTATTGTCACTTAGTTGGCCTTGGAATTGTGACTTCAAAAGGCCATTCCACTGTTCTATCCAGCTGCTTTAGGATGATGGGGAACCTGGTAAGACCAGTGAATTCCATAAGCGTGAGCCCACTGCCACACTTCTTTAGCCGTAAAGTGAGTGCCTTGGTCAGAGGCAGTGCTGTGTAGAACGCCATGACAGTGGATAAGGCATCCTGTGAGTCCACAGATGGTAGTCTTGGCAGAAGCATTGTGTGCAGAATAGGCAAACCCATATCTGAGTAAGTGCCTATTCCAGTGAGGACAAACCTCTGCCCTTTTCATGACGGAAGAAGTCCAATATAATCAACCTGTCACCAGGTAGCTGGCTTATCACTCCAAGGAATGGTGCCATATCGAGGGCTCAGTGTTGGTCTCTGCTGCTGGCAAATTGGTCACTCAGCAGTGGCTGTAGCCAGGTCAGCCTTGGTGAGTGGAAGTACATGTTACTGAGCCCATGTGTAACCTCCATCCCTGCCACCATGGCCCTTTGTTCATGGATCCACTGGGCGATGACAGGGATGACTGGGGAAATCAGCCGAGTGGTGTCCGCAGAGTGGGTCATCCTATCCACTTGATTATTAGAATCCTCCTCTGTTGACATCATCCGTTGGTGAGCACTCACATGTAATACAAATATTGTCACAGTTTTTGAACACTCAGAGAGATCCATCCACACACCTCTTCCCCAAATTTCTTTGTTACCAATTTTCCAATCATGCGTCTTTCAAGTTCCTGATCATCCAGCCAAGCAATTGGCTATAGCCCATGAATCAGTATATAATCACGTATCTGGCCATTTCTCCATCCATGCAGAATGCACATCCAAGTGCATTGCTCAAAGTGATGTCCACTGGGAAGATTTCCCTTCACCGTGTCCTTCATGGATGTCCTAGAAAGGTGCTGTAGTGCTGCAGCTGTCCACTTTCAGGTGGTGCCTGCATATCCTGCAGAACCATCTGTGAACCAGTCCCTAGTCTTCTCTTCCTCTGTCAACTGATCATAGGGAACTCTCCATAAGGCCATCAGTGCAGGCTTGGGGAGAGAAGGCAGGGTGGCAGGAGTGGAGACCATGGGCATTTGGGCCACTTCCTCATGTAACTTACTTGTGCCTTCAGGACTTGCTCGAGCCCGATCACATATATACCACTTCCATTTGATGATGGAATGCTGCTGTGCACGACCCACTTTATGGCTACATGGGTCAGAAAGCACCCAGTTCATGATAGGCAGTTCAGGTCACATGATGACTTGATGCCCCATAGTCAAAAGTTCAGTTTCCACTAAAGCCCACTAACAGGCCAAGAGCTGTCTCTCAAAAGGAGAATATTTATCTGCAGAAGATAGCAGGGCCTTGCTCCAAAATCCTAGAGGCACCCACTGTGATTCACCTATGGGAGCCTGCCAAAGGCTGCAAACAGCATCCCTATCTGCCACTGACACCTCAAGCACCATTGGATCTGCTGGGTCATATGACCCAAGTGGCAGAGCAGCTTGCACAGCAGCCTGGACTAGTTGCAGAGCCTTTTCCTGTTCTGGACCCCACTAGAAACCAGCAGCATTTTGAGTCACTCAATAAATGGACTGGAGAAACACACCAAATCATGAATGTGTAGCCTCCAAAATCCAAATAGGACTACTAGGCATTGTGCGTCTTTCTTGGTTGTAGGAGGCCCCAAATGCAGTAACTTAACCTTCACCTTAGAAGAAACATCTTGACTGGCCCCACATCATTCGACCCCTAGAAATTTTACTGAGGTAGAAGGACCATGAATTTTAGTCAGATTTATTTCCTATACTCTGGCGTGCAAATGTCTCACCAATAAGTCCAGTGTGTTTGCTATTTCATGCTCACTGGATGCAATCAGCATAATGCCATCAATGTAATGGACCAGTGTGATATTTTGCAGAAGCAAACAGTGATCAAGTTCCCTCCAAATGATATTACGACGCAAAGCCAGAGAGTTGATATATCACTGAGGTAGGACAGTAAAAGTATACTGCTGGCCTTGCCAGCCGAAGGCAAATTTCTTCTGGTGGGCCTTAAGGACAGGAATGGAGAAAAAGGCTTTTGCCAAGTCAATGGCTGCATACCAGGTCCCAGAAGATGGGTTAATTTTCTTAAGCAATAAACCACATCTGGTACAGCAGCTGCAACTGAAGTCACCACTTTGTTAAGCTTACAGTAATCCACTGTCATTATCCAAGATCCATCTGTCTTCTGCACAGGCCAAATGGAAGAGTTGAACAGGGGATGTGGTGGGAGTAACCACCCCTGTGTCTTTCAAGTCTTTGATGGTGGTACTAATCTCCTCAATCCCTCCAGGGATGAATATTGTTTTTGATTTACTATTTTTCTAGGTAGAGACAGCTCTAATGGCTTCCATTTGGCCTATCCTGTCATAATAACCATCACCCTACCAGTCAGGGAGCCAATGTGGGGGTTCTGCCAGCTGCTAAGTATGTCTATGCCAATTATGCATCTGGGCACTGGAGAAATGACCACAGGATGAGTCCAGGAACCCACTGGACCCACAGTAGGTCAAACCTGAGCTAAAACTCCATTAATTACCTGACCTCCATAAGCCCCTACTTTAACTGGAGGACCACAATGACGTTTTGGGTCCCCTGGAATCAACTTCAGCTCATAGCTAGTGTCCAGTAGTCCTCAAAGTGTCTGATTATTTCCCTTTTCCAATACACAATTACCCTGGTAAAAGGCTGGAAGTCGCCTTAGGGAAGGATGGGAGAAAGATTAACGGCATAAATTGTCGGTAGCGTAGTGGTGTCCTTCCTCAAGAAGACCCAGCCTCCCCTTCATTAATGGGGTTCTGGGTCTGTAAACTGGCTCAAGTTTGGAAATTGATTGAAAGGCTGTGATTCTATATTTTTATAATTCAAATTAGTCTTTTTTCCATTCGACCTAAACATTTTCTGCTTATATAAATTAAGTAGGAATGCAGTAGGCTTCCTATCAATTTTACTTCTAGTAAGACAGTGATTAATTAGCCAGTGCCAGAGCTCTACATGAGTCAGACTATTCTGATTGCCACTTTGCCTTTGTTCTCCATTATGGTAGCTATCTCCACCTTGCTTTTGATGGTTGAGGGTCGGCCACTTGGCCCCTGCCACCTCGGGATCCAATAACTTCCATGATATTTAAATTTTGTAGTTGAGTGGCTGCAGTTCCCACTATTAGCTCAGAGATACAAAGAGCAATTACAGGGCTCTTCAAAGATGCAGGTGCTGCCCTCACACATCTATTTCACAAGGCATTGGTCAAGGGTATATCTTCTGGGCCCTCCCAGCTGGGATGAGTAGGTCTAAAGTGACTAATCCACTCTACCATCCCAATCTCCCTAAGCCTTCGGATCCCTTCCACCACATTAAACCAAGGGAGATCAGGCATTTCCAGCTCGCTCACAGTGGGCCATCTTTTAATCCATATTTCAGCTAACCAAGCAAATAAATGATTAGAACCTTTTTTAAGTCCTTGAGCTGCAACATTAAATGCAGAGTCCCTACTTAGTGGGCCTAGATCAATTAATTCTTCCTGATCCAACTCTATGTTTCTTTCACCATTATCCCACATCCTTAGCATCTGTTCCCATGCTGTTCTCCAGATTTCTGCTTATATAAACTAGAAAACCCAAGCAGTTATTTTTGCATGTAGTGCACCTCATGGGTCAAACTCAACCTCACCTCTAAGGCCTGCCAGGACTTTAGTCTAGTTATAGATCTAGAAACAAACAGGGATTTTGGGGGTGGCTCCTGAGCAGAATCAACATTATCTTGCCTGGCAACTGCCTCAGGGGAGGCCATCATTGTTGCCTCAGGCAACACAGAGTTTCTCTTCTCAGACAAAAGTGAAAAGGCTGATGGCAGCATAGGTTGGGGAGGGGATGTTGCCACTACTGGGGATGGGGAAGCTGTTTCTTCTGGCAAAAAAGATTCATCAGAGTTTACAAACTCAGTGTCCCCAGTTTCATCAGGGTCCTCCCACACATCGCCATTCCAAATTGCGGGTCCCTTTCTTTTCCAATCAATGCCCTCGCTTTAACAGTAGACACTTGGCGAGACCATGCATGCACCTTTCATGGCAGGTCAGCCACTGGTATGATAAAAGCTTATGACTGTTTTTCCACAATTTCAGCTCTTTCTCTACAGGAGATAAGCCTTTCACTCAGGGCAATCTTAGCAGATTTGAGGCTCAGTATCTGCTTCTGGAGTTGGGAGATAGAATCCCTGAGTGCATCATTTTCTTTCATTACTTTGTCCACTAATGTAGGAGCAACCAACCAGCTTCATTATGTTCCCTGGTTCTTCACATATGGTCAAGGGTGTTATATAGAGAGTCACTAAACTACTTGCCTCTTATAAGCGATGAATCAGGAGTGTCAAATGCATTTCTTTTGCGTAACTCTCTAAAAACTTCATGCCAAAGACTATTAGTGTTCCCCATACAATTAGAAGTAGAGTCCTTAGCATTTTGGGGTCTAATCATATTAAGCAGCCAACTCCAGAAACCCCAAAATCCAGGAAAGAACTCCACCCTTAATATTTTCTTCCTCTAGAACCACTCCTCATACCAAAATCTGTATTATTCAGTGTTCTCTAGAGGAACAGAACTAATAGGATATATATGTATGTATATATATCATATACATATGATATATATGTATGTATATATATCATATACATATGATATATATGTATGTATATATATCATATACATATGATATATATGTGATATATATATGGGAGTTTATTAAGTATTAACTCACATGATCACAAGGTCCCACAATAGACCATCTGCAGGCTGAGGATCAAGGAGATCCAGTCTGAGTTCCAAAACTGAAGACCTTAGAGTCTGATATTCAAGGGCAGGAAGCATCCAGCACGGGAGAAAGATGTAGGTTGGGAGGCTAGGCCAGTCTCTTTTCACATCTTTCTGCCTGCTTATATTCTAGATACACTGGCAGCTGATTAGACTGTGCCCACCCAGATTAAGGGTGAGTCTGCCTTTCCCAGCTCACTGACTCAAATATTAATCTCCTTTGGCAACACCCTCATAGACACACCCAGGATCAATACTTTGTATCCTTCAACCCAATCAAATTGAAACTCAGTATTAACTGTCATACCTAGTGTTGGAGGTGGGCCCTGTGGGAGGCCAGTGGATCAGGGAGGAAAGTTCTCATGAATGGTTTTAGCGCCATCCCCTTGGTTCTGTTCTTGTGATAGTGAGTGAGTGAGTTCTCATGAGACCTGGTTGTTTAAAAGTGTGTGGCACCTGCCCCGTCAGTCTCTTACTCCTGCTCCGGCCTTGTGATGTGCCTGCTTCCCCCTGACCTTCTGCCATGATTGTAAGTTTCCTGAGGCTTCCACAAAAGCAGAAGCTTCCATGATTCCTGTACAGCCTGTGGAACTGTGAGCCAATTAACCCTCTTTTCTTCATAAATTACCCAGCCTCAGGTAGTTCTTTATAGCGGTGCAAGAGCAAACTAATATAGCACCTTGTTGTGTTTTTAATTGGCATTATCATAATGACTAACGATATTGAGTATTTTTCAATGCGTTTACTTTCTAGTCATATATCTTCTTTGGTGAAATGTTAAAATCATTTACCTATTTTCAATTGGGTTGCCAATTATTTTAATGTTGACTTTTGAG
Source organism: Homo sapiens (assembly GCF_000001405.40). Lineage (NCBI taxonomy): Eukaryota > Metazoa > Chordata > Mammalia > Primates > Hominidae > Homo > Homo sapiens. Next base: position 4,458,365 of record NC_000005.10, on the reverse strand, counting down.
AGTTCTTTACATGTTATAGGTAGACATTCTTTAGTAGACATATAATTTGCAAATATTATCTTCAAGTATGTGTCATGTTTTTTCATCCTTTTAAGAGCAGACACTTTAAATTTTTATGAAGTCCAATCAACCAATGTGGTTTTTTTAAACATTATGTTTTTGGTGTTGTACTTACAACACCAAGAAATTCTTGCTAAACCAAAGATCATATAGCTTCTGTCCTGTGATTTCTTCTGAACATTTTGGGGTTTTAGATTTTTACATTTAAGCTTATGATCAATTTGGAGTTAGTTTTTGTTATTGGTGCAAGGTGTGGATTGAACTTCTTTCTGCATGTGAGACAGCAGATGGATAGTTAATCATTCTAGCATGTATTGAAAATGCTATCCTTCCTCCATTGAATTACTTTGGCCCCTCAATTAACCATATATATTTTAGAACTTTTTATGAATTTCCTATTCTGTTTCATTGATCTTCTTACCTAGTAACTTTAAGTCAATATCACATTTTGAATGTTGTGCCTTTATAATAAATTTTGAATTTAGGCAGTCCTATGATTCAATTTTTTTCACTGCCACTCTGACTGAGTCTTTGACATTTTCATAGAAATTTTAGAATCAGTGTAGTGATCTCTACAGAAAATAATGCAAGGATTTTATTGAATATAGAGATCTACTTGAGGAAAATTTACAACTTAGCAATATAATGTGTCTCAATTTTTCTAAGTCTTCTATAATTCCTACCAAGTATGCTTTGTAGTTTTTGGTGCACAGATCTTGCACATATATCCATAAACAAGTCACATATGATGATTATATTGTATATGGTATTGCTAATTAAATTTATGACTATTAATTGCTAGTATAAAAATGAAATTATTGTATATTTACACTGTATTCTGCAGCTCTACTGAACTCAGTTATTAGTTTTAGTAGTTTTTTTTGTAGATTTCATAGATTTTTATATGAATTAGCATAGTGTCTGTAAATAAAACCATGATATGTCTAGGTTTGAATATCTTTGATTTCATCCTAATGGAGTTTGTTGAGAATCTTATATGTATAGATAAAAGCCATCGAATTTTCTGTCAGATTTCAAAATTTTTAGACATGATATGTTCAAACATTCTCTCTATCCTTATCTCTCTCATCTGTCTCTGGCATGCTCATTTATATTTGACTATGTTTAGTGGTATCCTACAGGATGCTGAATTGTGTAGCCACTGAAATCTCTGCTTGGTTAGCTTAGTTGTCAGCCAATGATTAGTCAGAAGTTTCCCTTAATGCCATGAGCTAGTAAGTCTTCCATGCTCTGCCATGGACTCCATGTGTGTAGGTTGGGGCACACCCTCATCTCACAGGTATTTTACAAGTCTGACTTAGCCCTGAATTATTGCTGTTACAGGGTGTAAAAGTCAACTGAAGATGACTGGGCCGTCTCAGGTCTTTCATACAGCTTTGGGCATTTATACAGCTTTGCACATGTATATGGTCTTCTAGGGCCCAAAAAATATGTTGGAACTTTTCAAAGACCCTATTAAAATCACATGACCCAATTTGATCTTACTGGTTGGGCAGTCTCAGCTTCAGTGTTAAAAACAACGGCAGTTGATTGTTTCTGGAAATGCCTTGGGATAGGACTTTTTTCTTGGAACTCAGAGCCAGGTGACACATAAACATCTTGCGAACAGAGTTTTTCAGGAATTTGCAAAACAGGTTAAGTTCTGAAAATTTTCTGGATTTGGCGATTTTTGAAGAGCTCTAGTCTTCCCCCACTCACTAGTGTGAGGTTATTGGTTTTTTTTTTGTTTTTTTTTTGTTTTTTGTTTTGTTTTTTGTTTTTTTTTTACTTATTTGAGATTTCTCACCCTAGCTAGAGTGCAATGGCATGATCAAGGCTCACTGCAACCTTTACCTCCTAGGTTCAAGTGAGTCTCCTGCCTCAGCCTCCTGAGTAGCTGGGATTACAGGCATGCACCACTACATCCGGCTAGTTTTTGTGTTTTTTTGTTTTAGTAGAGATGGGGTTTCACCATGTTGGCCAGGTAGCGATATCACAGAGTTGGGGAGTAGATGGGAATACATTGAGTTAAAACATCACGAACCCTATTTTGTTAGTCATTAGTTGTTTCTAAGTGAATGCTCTTTGGATAGTTGTGTTAATTTCTAGAGTTCTGAAAAAGTCGATTTGACAATTCTGTCACTATTTTCATTGCCTTTATAAAATAGTTCTGTGGATTTTCTTATTGCATCTTTTTATTAGTTCTGTTCTTTTTGTTCTTTAATAGAATCTGTTTCTATGTTTTAGAATAATGGGTACAATAAAATCTGTCTGCAATAAAAATAATGATAAAAATTTTCATTTGTTCTAATTTTTCCAGAGTTGGTTTCCCTTTGCCTTAGTTTTCCCTAACAGAGCATATATTGAGAAAAATTAAATACTGAGAAATATTCTAGGAACTTTTTGCTTGTTGTCTCAAACTGTATTGGTTTTACTTTTCTAAATGGTCCTGAGTATTAACATAGTAACACTCATTAAAAGTGAGATTAAGCCACTAAATTGTTTTTATACTCATTGATAAAATCTTATGATAACACAATCTTAAGGAGGTGTGCAATTTTAGGCATACTCTCATGTTTACAGGAGTTTTTGCCTTACTGTCAAAACATGATACTTTTAGGATAAACAGTAGATTTAAACTCATTCTGAGATCTGAGTTTTGTTATTGTATTAGAAAATATTATATTGTTCTGCCATGGTAGTAATTACTGATGGTTAAATTATGACATCCCCACACTCTCACTGATCTTAACAATATTTATTAACAATTTATATATTGTTATTATTTATAACAATTTATAAATGGACTGTTTCTCTTACTTTACATTATTACTTATCTTTTTAATTAAGTCTAATTAACTTTTCATCAAATGTATGTATGTTCCTTAATCCTACAGAGAAAATATCTGTTTTTTTCCTATTTTTTACCCACACTTTCAAATTCCAGGAATCTAACATATACCTATATATATTAAAATACAGGCATTTTAAAAAAAGAATTTACATGTATTCATCAGATAACAATGTAATTGGATAGCATCCCCAAGTGTATGCTAATCATTAAAAATATCTTAGCTTTTTGTGTGTGTCTTGAATCTGAATTTAAAATATGCTTTATTGCCCCAAACTCTCCTCCTTCTTCTTTCCTCCCTCTCCATCCCTCTATTTCTTTCTTCTTCCTTTCTTTCCTCTTTGTCTTTTTGGTAAAAAAAAAAATGAGATGCACTCTCCATGGGAGGAATCCTCTTTCACATTCTATTTACCTGTTGATTAATTTGTATTACTAGGACTACAAAGATATGATGAACGTTGCTGTCTTGCAGTTCTGAACCTCTGGTGGAGATAACAGTAGGAGCCTCTGCTGATACTTTATTCAATAGGGTCTGTTTATAACTTCAGCAAAGGCTGTGTTTTCATTTTAAGATGGCTGAAATCTAATTTATTTGGAAGAATTAGGATACACTTTCCCCTTAGAACTGTCAGGCCACACATGGAATAAAATGGAGCTTGACAGCAGTTTCTAGGGTACCAGGATGAGGCATAAAAGCAGCTCTGGCAAGTCGACTGCATTGCCTCCATTTTCAAAGAGTGTTTCAGAAGTTTATCAATTTGTTTCTAGTTAGGAGGTACATAGATGTCAGTATGTTCCTTTGAACAGTCTTCAGGGCTAGCATTCTGCTTTTTTAGGAATAATATGAGTATAAGAAAATAAAACTCATCTCTAAAAGAGGACTTGGGGGCCCCTGTTAGGAGGCGGATGGTGAAACCAGTTTTGAAAGGACTTTCAGATACCTGATAGGTTCATCGTTATAGCAACCAATGGTAAAGTTTGACGATAATTAAACAAAGAGCAGTTTTCTGTCATTGGCAATTTTCTTTCAGTTGACTGGGAAAAGCACACATTCTTACCTGGGGTAATACGTTATAAAAAGAAAAACACTTAGAAATGTGAAATGATCAATACTTTCCAAAATGTTTTTCTGAAGGATGAAAAGACAAGAAATGTGGCAAGCTGTATTGGGAAAATACTTGAATGTCACTGAAGGAGAAATCTTTCGTTTGTTTTCTTTATTTTTGCTTTGTTTTATTTGTCTGTTTTTAACTTGGGGAAGATAACAGACATAACAGACAACAGTATAGCTCCTTTAGTTACAATACACATTGCATTATGCTTTTTTTAGCTCACTCGTAAATCTAGGATAAGACTGAAATTGTAGAAATATCGTCAAAATGAAAAAGAAAAAAAGATGCAAAACAGAGGAGAGGTATAAGGAATAAACATACACAGCCATTGCAAGATTAAAAATATATGCTTAAGAAATATTTTAACAGCAATGTCCCTTACTTTTCTGAAAAAATATACGTTTGTTTGTGTTTAATGACTCAACGAAATGTTTGTTTCTCTTTTAAATTTCTATGTTCCGTAGGGATTAGTCATGTATCACCCAACATAGTATCCCTATGTCTTAGCTTAGCACATTGCAAATAGCAGATGTTCAGGGCACTCAACATCCGTATGTGCAGACATATGTACATTAGAACAATTGCTTTGATGCAGACATTAAATGAGTAGGATGTTATAAAATCATTTTTTAAAGCATGTCAATTTCTCCATTCTGTCATGAATAAGTCCTTCATGATTCCTGAAGGATTATTCCTGACCGCGTCGGCATATCTAGCCATGTATCAACAATGCAATGCTGGTGTTTTATTCCTACTAAAGGGACACGTGTACTTGAATACACTGAAAGAGATGGGTTGGTTGTCCATGACTAAGGGCCTTAGCAGGAGTATATCCAGGAGTGCAGCAAGGTCTGGACTGTTCAGCACACTTGGCTCAGAATTCCAGGTTCCATGGGAGAGCACTGGTTTTGCAGCTCATGTTGGAAGCTTTTACAAAACCAGTTCCCCTGGCAGGCTGGCTTCACTGAGGGGAACAAGGGCAGAACTCAGAAACGTGAAGCTAAGATAGTTGGGATTCTGGCATCCAAGAAAGGTCCCGGTGAGCAGCAGCCAGGTATCTCGTTTTTGCATATTTTCATTTAATTCTATTGAGGTCCATTTTTAGTATCTTCAGGTCAGTTAACTCCATTTGAAGTACGGAAAAGGACTGACTATTTCCAACATAATCAGCTATATTGAGGTATACATTTTGTACCCATTTTAAGTGTACAGCTCAATGAGTTTTGAAATTTGTGTAGGTCCATGCAACATCCGCTACAAAGAGTGAAATTCCTGTCACCACCAAATAGTTATTTGAGTCCCCATTGGAATCAATCTGTAGCCCTACCCTTGGACCTAGAACATCAATGATCCAGTTTCTGTCCTCCAAAATTAGTTTCCCTGTTTAAAATTTTACATAAATGGAAATAAACAGTATGTATTTTTTTGTTCCTTGCTCATTTTTTCCCAAGAAAAAGTTTTGAAAAATCATCCATGTCATTGCATTTATCTGTACTACATTCTTTTTTGTTGCTAAAGACTATCCTATGTCATGAATACACCACATTTTGTTCATTGATTTACCTCTTCATGGACATTGAAGTTGTTTAAATTTTGGGGACATTACAGTTTTTCTTTAGGTAGTTTGTATTTCACTGAGTAATCTTGAGAAACTTTTCAAGAGCATGTTTACCACATGTGAGTCTTCTTTGTTGAGATGTCTGTTCAAAAATCTCTCTCTTTTCAACTGCATTGTTTATCCCTTTGTTATTGTGGTATGAAAGTTATTTATAAATACTGAAAAAATAATTTTATCTAATCTATGTGTTGTGAAGATTTCCCAATGTGTAAACTTTTCTTTCTCTTAATGGTGTCTTTGGAAGAGCAGATTTTTAAAATTTTAGATAAAGTTCAGTTTATTGGGTATTTTTTATGTTTTGTATTCTGTGACATTTTTAGAAAGTCTGTCACTTCTTCAAAACCTTAAAGATTTTCTCTCCCCCCACCACAAAAAAAGAAATCTTTCTGTTCTAGCTTTTATGCTTAGTTACATTTTCCATTTGGTTGATTCCTTCCTGCTTATTTTAGAGTAGTTTACAAGGTAAGGTTCAATGTTCATCATTTTCCTGATAAATCAGATATTCAAGAACCATTTGCTGAAAAGACTATGTTTTACTTGCTGAGTTACTTTGACAACTTTGTTGTCATCAACTGGATGTACACAGGTGTGTCTATTTCTATATTTTCAATTTGATTCCATTGAACTATATGTCTATCTCATCAATATCATAATGTCTTAATTTCTGTAGCTTCAAGAAGAATTTGGAAAGCAGAGAGGTTAGTATTGACAATTTATTCTTCCTTTAACAAAATTATTTTAGTTCTTTATCATCATTTGCATTTCCACATAAATTTTAAAATTATATTGTCGATTTGTTCATAAACTTTGCAGGGGCTTTGATTGTGAATGTATTGAATTAGAGATTTGTTTTGTTTTGTTTTTGAAATGGAGTTTTGCTCTTGTTGTCCAGGCTGGAGTGCAATGGTACGATCTCAGCTCACTGCAACCTCTGCCACCTGGGTACAAGCGATTCTCCTGCCTCAGCCCCCTGAGTATCTGGGATTACAGGTGCCTGCCACCATGCCCAGCTAATTTTTGTATTTTTAGTAGACACAGTGTTTCACCATGTTGGCCAGACTAGTCTCAAACTGCTGACCTCAGATGATCCACCCGCCTCGGCCTCCCAAAATGTTGGGATTACAGGCAGAGAATATTTTTTAATTGAAATTTTAATAATATTGAATTGTCTAATCCAGGAACTTTCTATATCTCCATTTATCAAGGTCTTCTTTAAACATATGACAATATTCTGCAGATTTTAGTGTACATGTTTTACACATATTTGCTTAATTTAATGTCCTAAGTACTTGAAGTTTTCAATGTTATGGTAAATGTTTCTTTTAAAAAGTTTTCAACTATTCATTACAAGTGTGCAAAAATACAGGAATTAATTTTTTGAATTTTTATACTACAACCTTGAATTTTTACTTGTAGTTGAATTTTAGTGAGTATTACCTTTTTTGTAGATTCTTTATGATTTTTATATATTCTGTTATGGTCTATGAATAAAGATAGTTTATTTTTTCCGGTTTGAACTGTGTTTCTTTTAGTTCTTTTTCTTGGTTTAATGTTCTAGCTTGAACCTCTTTTAAGAGCTGAAAACAAAAAGATAAAAGCATGTTTTTTCTCTAATTTTAATTTCAATGTCATGAAGAAAAAAACTCATTATTCTTCACTAAGTATGATGTTAGCTGTAGGTTTTTCTGCGCATGTTGTTAATCATCTTAAGAGAGTTCCCTTCTTTTCCTAATTTACTGAGTGTTAAAATTATGAACAGACTCTGACTTTGTCAAACTATTTTATATATATATTGAGATAATCATGTGGTTTTCTTTTTGTATTTCATCAAAATGGCTAATGGTTAATGTTTATTTTTAAATGATAAACAACCTTGTATTCTGCAACAAACCACATTTGATTATGATGTATTGTCTTTCTTATATATTTCTTAATCCAATGTGCTAAAACATGATTAGAATTCTTTTCAGATATAATCATGAGGTATACTGGTTTCTAGCTTTTTCTTTTTCTTGTCATTTCTGTCTGAATTTGGTTTATTTAGGTAATTCTAACTTTATCAATTCAGTTAGGAAGTGTTCTCTTTCTCTCTTTTTTTTCAAAGGTTGTGAGAAAAAAACGAAATTGTTTTCCCATAAGAAGAAATTCTATCATGTATCATTGACAATACCTAGGTGAGCCTGTAAGGATTTTGTTTCATTTTGATTTGGTTTTGTGAAAATATTTTAATTACCTAACAAGTACAAGGGTATTCATAATCTTTATTTCTTCTTGGGTCTGTTTCAGTAATTTGTTTCTTAGAATAAGTTTGTCTATTATGCTTAAGTTAATGAAATTGTAGCAGAATTCATATTGTTGGATTGTTATTCTTTTAATATGTTTAAGATATTCAGTGATATGCCTACTTTCAATTCAGGTATTGGTAACTTTACTCATGTCTCTTTTTATGTTGATCTGTCTAACTTTGCAGTTACCAGTTTTGTTGAACTCTTCAAAGTAACTGGCTATATTGGCATTAATTTTCTCTGCTGTTTTTCTCTTTTCTATTTTGTTAATTCTTTTTCTGATTATTAATACTTCCTTACTCCTACTTATTTTGAGATTCAATTTGTTCCCCCCCTGCATTCTCAAGATAGAAGCTTAGATCATTGATTTTAAAGTTTTTAAAAATAAAATATTTCAGGTTGTAAATTATCCTGTGGAAACTGATTTATCAACAACAAGTTTTAAAATGCTGTTTTCCTCATGATTCAGTTAAAATATTTTTAATCTTGCTTGTCATTTTTATTTTCAAGCCATGAGATTTTTAAAAGTGTTTTAACTAATTTCCAAATATTTGGGAGGATTTTATAGATATATTATTGTTATTGATTTTAATTCAATTCTGTTGTGATAAGATAATATGTTCTATATGATTTTAATTCTTTTATGTTTTTAATTCTTTTATGTTCTTTTATGTTTACTGAAACTTATTGTGGCATATTATAAGATCTTTCTTGATAAATTTCTAATGTGTGTCTGAAAGGACACACAGTTTTAAATAAATTTGACTTGGTTAATAGTGACTAATTTTCTTTCTATATACTGTCACTTGCTGTAAGAAATGTGATGAAATATTCAATTAAAATTGTGAATTTTTCCATTTGTTCTTTCAGTTCTGTGTACTCTTCCTGAATACATTTGATATTCTATATGTAGGTGCATAATCAGTTAATATTGTTGTGCATTCTTAACTAATTTATCCTTTTATCATTGTAAAATGTCCCTTCATCTCTGATAAAATTATTTATCCTGAAGTCAGTTTTAATTAATATTACTGTAACCATTCCAAATTTCTTATCAATAGTGTTTGTAGTGTATATCTTTTCCCATAGTTTTAAATTATCTCTCTCTGAATGTTAAATATGTTTCTTGTAGGCAGCATATTGTTAGATTCTACTTTTTTATCCATTGTGACAATCTCAGTCTTTTAATTGCAGAGTTTGATCATTCACACTTACTTGCCAATATTGGTGAGTTTGTCTTGTGTCTTGATATTTGATTACTAAAATATTATAATATTTTATTATCCTTTGTCTCTTCTTTCACATTAAATGTATTATTAAATAATTTTACTGTATTATTATCTTACTAATTACATCTCTTTTTGTAGTTGATTTAAGGTTTCTAATGTGTATTCTAATATCTCACTTTCTACCTTCAAATCGTATTCCACCAATTCACACAAAATATAAGCTTACATTGTGTACTTTCATTTTCCCTCTCCCATTATTTTATATTTCTGCAAATATTATATATTTTATTTCTGCATATATTATATTTATGCATATATTGTAAGCCTTTAAACCTTGTTCTTATTTTTGTTTTAAATTATCAAGTAGCTCATAATTTCACAATTAAAAACACTTTAAAAAATTTGCACATATACTTCTCTTTTCTCTCACTCTTCATTTCTTTTTATAGTCCAAGTTTCCATCCAACATCCTTTAATTTAACACCCAAAAACTATTTTAACCTTTTCTGTATTGAAGTTCTCCAGGAAAATATTATTTCAAGTTTTTTGTCTGAAAATTCTATTTTTTTTAAAAAGCATTTTTCTAGATATACAACTTTACTTATTTTATTACTTTAAAAATATTATTTTTTATCTTGTGGATTGCATATTTTCTGATTATAAACCTGTGGTCCTTTGTAATTCTGTTTTCTTATATAAAATATCTATTTCTTCTCTGTCTTATGATTTTCTTCTTATTACTCATTTTTGATAACTTGATTATTATATATTTTGGTGGTGTTTTCCTTTTGTTTGTCTCAGTGCTGCTTTTTGAGTTTTTGCAATATACAAGTTTTTAATCAAATTTGAAAAGCATAGTGAAAATTTAGGCATTTTTCATTCACACTATTTTCTGTTTCTTCAGCAAATCCGGTTCTATGTATGTTAGAATTCTTGGTAGCGTGTCACATTTCATTACGGCTGCTTATGTAATTTTTTCTTGTCTCTTTTCTTTCAGTATGTCAATTTGGTTTGTTTATATTTAATTCAAGAAATAATTATATTGCAGTATTTATTAACTTACATATTATTGTAAGTATCTATTTCAGATGCTGATATTTTTAACTTTATAATTTGCATTTGGTTCTCTTTTTTTTGTAATTTTCATTCCAATTTTCATTATGTATTCCTTTTGCTTTAATTCACAGAGCATTTTAATAGCTATTTTAAGATGATTGTCTGATAATTCCATTACATCTGTTATTTTCAATTATTTCTCTAATGACTTTTAAAAAGACTTTTTTCATTCCATATTATGAAATTTTGTTTCTTTGCCTGTCTAGTAATTTTTGACTAGATGTTTGACAGTGTTCTCATTAGGAAATTGAATATTTCTATTGTGTTGCTTTCCTAAAAGAAGTATTGAATTTTGTTTTGTCAGGTTATTAAGTAAACTACAGATTATCTTTAGGCTTCCTTTTAAGTCTCTAGATTAGACTTTCTTTCTTGCTTTGTTGAACTCTACTATTAAGCCGTATATTTGTTTCCTATTACTGTTGTAGCAAATTTCCACAAACTTAGAGGCTTAAAACATTGTAAATTTATTATTATCTTACAATCTAGTAAATCAGAAGTCTGAAATAAGTTTCACTGAGCTAAAATGAAAGTGTCAACAGTGCTGTACTTTCTTTAGGGTATAATCTGTTTCTTTTATTTCCCAACTTTTAAAGATATTTCAATTCCTTGGCATGGGCTCCCTTTTATCTTCAAACCCAGTAAAGTCAAGTCGCATGTTTCTCACACTACATCATTTGGAGACTGACTGTCCTGTTTTTCTCTCTCTCTTACAAAGGTCCTTGTGGTCACATTGGGTCCACGCAGATAATCAAGGTTAATATCTGTATCCCAAGGTCATCTGATTATCTAACTTAATTTTATCTGCCAACTTAATTTCCCCTTGCCTGTGTAACAACATATTTACAGGTTTGGATATTAGAATATGGACATTTTTTCAGAAGCTATTATTCTACCTAATGCAAAGCATAATCTTTCCCTCTCATCTACTAAATGCCACGTGTTTTAGCAAGTTCTTTCTTCCCTAGATCTTCAGAATTCAAATGTTTTCCAGCTCATTACACGTTTTTGGAATAGTTCTACTTATAGAAACTCAGGAGGTTTTTGTTTACCTTTACTTAGTTTTACCTTACTCACATAGAGCAACAGACTTAAAGGGATTATGTGTAGTGAATTCTCCATATCTCTCTCCTCTTTGTTATTCTGCTGTAAAAATTCCAATTGTACCTAGCACCCTGAACTCTTTCCTCTACCCCCTTTATTCAGTAAGATTACTATGTTCTGTTTGAGTACATCTCTCACTGCAGTTTGAATATTGTCTCTGACAAAAATGAAGAGTGATTTTTGGTTACTCCAAAATGTGATTTGGCAGATTTGTGATCTGCCCATCTCGGCCTCCCAAAGTGCTGGGATTATAGGCCTGAGCCACCGTGCCCAGCTGCTAGTTGCTTTTTTAATGTACACTCACATGTATACACAGACCTTGTCACTTTATGTACTTCATACGTAGATAATCATGGTAAACCCATGAAACTAATAACTTAATATTTTTCAGCATGGTGTGTGAAACAAATATGTGTGTGTGTGTGTGTGAAGTACACACAATTGCATGCAAGTGACATCAAGATCTTTAAATAAGATAACATATTAAAAAAACAATATATAAAGATGTAATTTCCACATAACAGGTCTTTAGAAGAGATAATATTAAGTTTGAATGATATTTATCTCTCAATCAATCAATTGTGAGATGTACCAAATTTCTGAAACACTCTGCTGTGATTAACCAAAATCAAACAATAAACAACAGCTTATATCTCATAATTTAAGAACAACATAAAGTAATGAAGAGACACTAAAGGCTTTTTAGATGAGAGAGAGAGAGAGAGAGAGAGACGTTAGAGATAAATGTTTCTCAGACTGTATAATTTATATTTATCTGTCTTCCAGTTCACTCACCCTCTCCCTTTCCATCTCTTTTTTGCTGTTATGCTTATCCATTGAATATTTTTATTTTACTGATTTCACCTATGATGGTTAATTTTATGTCAACTTATTTGGGCCATGGATTGCTCAATAAAAGACTATTACTGGGTGTGTCTGTGAGGGTGTTTCTAGATAATATTTACATTTGAATCCATGAACTGAGTAATCCAGAATGTGGAAGAACATATTATACAATCCACTGAAGGCTTGAATAGAACATGGTGGAAGAAGGAGTAATTTTCACCTTTTGTTTCTGCCTTAGTGTTTGCGCTAAAATATCTCATCTCATTTTCTCTACCCTCAAACTAAGATCTACTTCACTGGCTTCCCTAGTTTTCAGATCTCTGGACCCAGACTGAATTACACCATCAAGTCCCCAGCTTTTCTGAATTCCCAGCTTAACGACAGCAGCCCATGGAACTTCTCGGTCTCCATAATTGTGCGTGTCAGTTCCTCCCAATTTTTCTCTTCTTTCACATACACATTCTATTGATTACTTTTTTCTGGAGAATGTGTACTCATGCTATATCTTTTGGTTTTAGAATTGTCTTATTTGTCTACACAGATAGAGGATTCTCTGCTGAGATGTTTATCATTTCATTCATTATGAAGACGTTTCATTGGCATTAGTTATAATCACTGCTTTAAAGTGTTGTCCACTTATTTTATCCTTCAGGCTATCATAGGGTTGGTCTCAGTTAATTTTCTCTTCTCTTTAGAATGAGTCACATTTTTTTGGTTTCTTCATGTCTAGTATTTTGCCCTGTATCCCAGAAATTGTAAATATAATGCTGTGAAGACCACGGATTATGTTTTTATTCTTCTAATAGTATTATAATTTTCTGTAGCAGGCAATTTACTTTATTGAGCTCAATTTTAAACTATGTTTCTTAGATGTCAGCACAAAACTAATTTGAGTTGTTTCATCCTTAGCTGAGCTGTTTGCAATCCTCATCTGCATGGTTCAGAATAGAGCCAGAGATTTTGACAGTTTATAGCTAGAATGTCCCTCTCCAGTTCTCTTATTTCCAGAATATCTTACTACCCAGTACATAAGTCTGCCTTGAATTCTGTCTTTTGGTTTTTCAATGCAGAAATAGTACAAATTTTCAAGGATTGTGTCCACAAAACTTGGCATGGAGTACAGCTTTCCTTGAAACTAAAATCTATAAAATAGTAAAGTTATTCTTAACCATTCCTCTTTCAATTATTGATGCTGCTTTATATTTTGCCTGCTTTGTCATTTTGGTTTGTTTTGCTTTGTTTTTAATTTGTCTAGAGAGTATAGTTATTATCTGTAGGAGGGTCTATCTGATAGAAGATTACTTGGCTATAACAGATCCTCTTCGATTTGAGCTCTTAAAATACATCAGAAAATATGGAAGACTGCGGAACAAATACACCTAAGACATGGGATTTCCTGTCAAGGAAATTAGAATCTGAAGAGAATATAATATTTGTGCACAAACACATAATACCAGTAAATACATACAGTGAGATGCAACAGACATACAAGAAGGCATAAAATTTAAAAGCAAGAAGGCTCATTCTTCACAATTGTTGAGAGCCTACTCTTTGTGTGGTATAACACAAGTTATCGGGGGCTAAAATTTGGGAAGACAACCTTTGACCTCAAAATCTCCACAGCCACGTGGGGTATTCTGGGAGTTTGCTGACAACTTTTGGCATCCCTTGGCTTGTAGAAACATCACCCTGGTGTCTGACTTCATGTTCACTGCGTTCTCTTTCTCTCTCTCTCTCTCTCTCTCTCTCTGTGTGTGTGTGTGTGTGTGTGTGTGTGTGTGTGTATGTGTGTCCATGTTTCCCCTATTAATAAAGACACCAGTCACATTGGATTAGGGCCCACCCTAAGTCCTTCACCTTAATTAATTACATCTTCAACAACCCTGTCTTCAATTAAGGTCACATTTGGAGTTTTTGGGATTAAGATCTCAACATATAAATTTAACCTATAATAGCATGTGTTTTATTTAAATTTAACCTATAGCATTTTCACTCTAAAGATCAAGGTTGAGCTGATACTAAGGATAGATATGCATTTTCTAAGGAGATAATTTTCTACTTTGGTTCTTTGGGGAGTCAGGGAGGGGAGAGGGCCAGAGATGGAGAATAGCAGAGGAGAAGCCTCTGAGAAAATAAGGGTTCAGGGTGAAGCAAAGTGATAAAAACAGGTTCTAAAAATATTTTTATTTTTTGAAGTTTTAAAATTTGTTTTATTTAAACTAGAAATTAATAACAAGAGCTATTTTGGAAACTATTAATGTAAAAATACACAAAAATTAAGCAACAAGCTCCTGAATGACAAGTAGGTCAGTGAAAAAATTAAAAAAGAAATTGAAAATTTTATTGAAATGAAATTTGTTTTATCCAATACAAAACATTACTTAGTCCTCAGATGCAATGTATAAGCTTTCAAACTGCAGAAAGTAAGTCATCTACAATACACCTTTCTAGCATCTGGTTGTCTGAAGCATCCACCTCTCTAGCATCTGGTTGTCTGAAGCATGGGTTTGCAGGGTGTGGTTCTTTTCTGTTCTTTTTATATTATGCTTTAGCAAAAATGTAGGCATCTTCCACTTTCTTTTTTATTTACCATAAAAATATTAAATTAGAGCTTTGTTTAAAAGGAGACTGATTCTTCCAAGATCTGCTCGAAGTGGCTGGCTGTCCTTTTTCAGGCTTTCTGCAGTTCATCCAGTGGAGAGCGAGGCTGGTAACACATGAAGTGATTCTGTCTGAAAGGGCATGGGGAGAAAATATCAGGCCATGGATGGTTTTTTATGACTATGCTTTAGTAGGAGAATGAAAAAGATGTTATTATTGACCTCACTATTGAGTGTTTCATAGGAACAATTTGAAATATTGGCACCGACAAAACAACACTACTTGAAATGAATATCTTCAATATACTCTTCAGACTTCTTTGATTTATAAAAATCAATAAACTCAACATTAAGTAAACCTAACCTGTGACCATGGGCACAGACAATCTTGCTTTGTAAATGTTGAACGTTGCACATTGCATTCATTGGGATATTTGGGAAGAGATGGGGATGGAGAATCAATATTCTTTGAATGAAACAAAGATATTGCAGGAAACAAAAGCATGGCAAGGGTAATGAATAGTTTATTTTGTATTTATTAATTTTATTTCTGGCTTTATTTTTTAGGTTTATACTGTTAAGTTTGGTGAGAGAATGCAATACATTATTTAATCACTAATTAACTAGTAGTCATCTTCACCACTAATATGAATTTTCTTCACTGGAGCTGGGGAATCCTCTTAAATATTGAGAAATCAGTTTTTTTAAAAAATATATATATAGTTTTATATATAAACATATATATAAAGTTTTCAAATGCATATAAATATATGTTTGAAGATTTCAATAAAATGCAATTACATGAATTATACTAGATGCACGGCTTCAAGTTTCTGAGTTAGAGGTGTCACAGACTGGAACGGAGTCCCGTGAGCACATCCGTCCTGTTTGACACTCATGCACAGGCATTGCTGCTGGCATTGCCTAGGCAGCCTATTCTGGGTCTCAGCCATCCAGTTTCTGCTGAATCTAAAATTTGTTATTTTATGATATCTTATATTTTTTTCAAATTCTAATAACTACAAATTGTCTAATAGGTTCACATATGTCTACCACAAAGTGTGCACAAATCCCCACCCCGCCCCTGCAGTCACTGGAACTTGTCTCCTTGCTCCAGCTGGCCCCCACATCCTGTCTGTCTCCAGCTGGCAGGGGGATCACAACCCACGGAGCACCATTCTTGTCTCCATCTGCAGTGATCTAGGATTCATCACTTGACTTCAGTTTCTCTTACTATAACCAAGGACTGCTGATGCGATCTTGTGCATATGTAACGATGCCACTTTTTCTTCTATCCTCTTGGCCTCTGCCTTACTCTTTTTTTTGTTGTTGTTGTTGAGACGGAGTCTCGCTGTGTTGCCCAGGCTGGAGTGCAGTGGCGCTATCTCGGCTCACTGCAAGCTCCGCCCCCCGGGTTCACGCCATTCTTCTGCCTCAGCCTTCCACGTAGCTGGGACTACAGGCGCCCACCATCACGCCTGGCTAATTTCTTGTAATTTTAGTAGAGAGGGGGTTTCACCGTCTTAGCCAGGATGGTCTCGATCTCCTGACCTCGTGATCCGCCCACCTCTGCTTCCCAAAGTGCTGGGATTACAGGCTTGAGCCACCGCGCCCGGCCCACCTCTGTCTTACTCTTGATCTTCCTTACCTTTTTTCTGGCCAATGGAAATGACCTTTGAACTGATTTCTCTGCTTCTTGTTTCCCCTGCCTATTCCAACTGGAACATCTTCACTCCAGCCCCAAAATGTTACAAATAAGGTAAAATTCTGATAACGTTACAACACACAATTATATTTTTCCAGCTTCTTTCCCTGTCAATAGGATCAAGTGCAAATCCCTACTGTGTCAGATGCCCCATCTGTCACCTGGACTCATGTGCATCTCTGCCTCACAGCCTGTCCCTTTTCACGTTGGGCCTCATGTGCAGCATTTCTCAATTACACAGTTGCCAGGACACATTTGCAATTCACTTGCAGTGATGCCTTCAAAAAGGGGCTGAATAGTAGAATGGCTATTATCTATCTTTAATTGCCTGGGTCATGCACAGAGCCTGGCACACGGTAAGAGCTCCACAAACGTGTTTTTTAAAGCACTATGCTATTTCACTAAAATTGACAGGATAAAAATGGGAACTGCAGCTCTAACTGCAGGCAAATGGTAAATAAGAAAATGGTATTGCCAATATAACTTACCTTCACCATCTCAATGGAACTCTTGGTATTTGAGACTATGGGTAAGGACAGAAATGCTCAGGTAGCTTATGAAAATAAAACTGGGTGAAGGAGATACAAAAGAAAGGTATTTAAATAGTTTCATGCTTCTCAAATTTTTATCCTTACCCTTAGTCAGAAAGACATCAAAGCTAGAGTTAAAAGGTCAAAATGTAAAGACAAACCCTTTTGACTTGACAACATATGAATTATGTGCACCACGTTTGAGTGCAGATGAGATATTCAGCAATATGGTTTTCATAACAAAGATAAAGATGAAAAAGACTGCAACATGTGATGAATAAAGAGCTCTGTAGTAGCCAACAGATACATGCATTTCTGTTACAAAATGCCTCTTAAGCTGAATTAATTTACTTCAGTGTCATTTTGACTTTTCAGTGCTCACCCCACCCACCCTAAAACAAGATCCTTACTCCCTGCAACATGCACTCTTCACTTAGCCTCCATCACAGGCAGCACAAAAGTCAGCTTTAAGTTCCAGGATCCCACCCAGGATGCCACATAACATTTATCTATCCCGTCCCCTTAGGCTCCTCTCAGCTGTGACACTTTCTCGGACTTGCCATGTTTTTGATGACATTGACAATTTTGAGGAGGACTGGTCAGGTATTTTGTAGAGTGTCCTCTATTGAGATTATTTGATATTTTTCTCAGATTAGACTAAAGATGTGTTTTGGAAGAAATAGCAAAAAGGTCAAAGGCCATCCTTATCACATCATATCAAGAGTGCATGTTATCAACATGACTTATTGTTGTGTTAGTATTGATCATCTGGCTGTGGTAATGTTTTTCAGGTTTCTACATGGTAAAAAATACTCTTTTATTCTCCTTTCTACACTATACTCTTTGAAAGGAAGTCACTATGCACAGCCCACACTTAAGGCACACAAACTCATGTTCAACCCCCTTCAGGGCTGCATCCACATAAGATATTTGGAATGCTTTTGCACAGGAGATCCATCTATTCCACCATTCAATCATTTATTTTACCAGTATCAACTCATGGATGCTTCCTTTATATTAAAATGTAATTGTAGTCCAATTACATTATAAAGTTTCTTGTGCAAAATGTTTCAGCTCTGGTGACTGGAAGCCATTTCAATTGGCTACCATGTCAGTTTGACATACTTCTGTAATTGTGTTTTGTTTTTATCTATTTTATTTTACATACTTATTTTTAGTACCTCCTATTTCCTGGTGATGCAAGAGTCTTCCATATGCCCATCTTCTTCTCTCTTTCAATACTTGCTTGCTCAGTCCACAAATTAGCCATTTTTCTAAGGAGTCTGGTCCTTTTTATTAGAGAACGAAATTAGAATACAAGATCTGGGATCTGCACCTACTTGCTGGTACTGAAGTGGTGTTGTTTCTAGTCCCTCTGGGCTGTCACCATGAAGATACATGCATGTACACCAACGCATACATGTACACACATCTAAAACATCGCTACATACAACCATTCATATCTGTAGCAAGCTAAGCATGAGTTCATACTTGTGTCCAGCTCTAGTCATTTACCACATGGGTTATTCTCCCCTTTCTTGTCTAGAACCTCCTACTCTATCTGTGAGAAATCTGGCGCTTACCCTCTACCATTTATTGGTTATTTCTTCAATTTAGTGTCTACATAGATAGCATTATCAGAATTGTGAACCCATTCCCCTGTCATCACCTGAAGTAAAGCGCTCTGTACAGTTTATGTTGCCTTTAGTGTGAGAGACTCCACCCATTCCCAAAGTTACATAGACTGGTTTCTTTTCATACACTCTTTTCAATGGGTTTGTTTCATACATTTGTAATACCTTTAGATTGTTTTGTCACATTCTGCATTTTATGGTGCAATTCCATCAGAAAGTACATAATTCTTTTTTAATTTGCATGTACTATGATTCATTTTTTTTTGCTATAAAGTTCTATGGGGTTTGGCTAATGGAAAGTATATAAATGATTACAGTGTCATACAGAATAAAAAAACAATTCTTCCTTTGCTGCTTCTATTCCACTCTTCTCCTTTCTCTGAACTCCTTGAACCCAATGATTATTTTGCTGTTGTTGTTGTATGAATCTCTGGTTTGGCTTTATCCAGATGTTGTATAATTGAAATGTTTTAGCCTCATGTGAAATTATGAAACAATTGTGGCTGTAGTATTCTGAATTTCCACCAGCAACGAATGAATGAGTGTACTAACTGGCTATACAAACCACAGTGGCTGTACTATTTTCATTTCTACCGGCAATGAGTGAATGAGAGTTCTTCCTTCACATTCTCATCAGTAATTGGTGTTTTGGTGTTTTCATTCCCCTACCCCTGTCTTTCTTAATTTAGCTACCCTAATAAGGTATATAACCGTAATTTATTGCTGTTTTAACATGCATTCCATGAATTAGACTAAGGATACACTATAAGTATTTTTTTCAAATGTTTATTTGCAATCAGTATAGATATATATAACTTTTTCCCTGGGGTTCAGAGATTTTGCCCAATTTTTTGTTTTTTGAGGTGGTGTCTCGCTCTGTCACCCAGGCTGAAGTGCAGTGGTGTGATTTTGGCTCACTGCAACCTTCACCTCCCGGGTTCAAGCAATTCTCCTGCCTCATCCTCCCCAGTAGCTGGGATTACAGGTGCCCACCACCAGGCCCGGCTATTTTTTGTATTTTTAGTAGAGACGGGGTTTCACCATGCCAGCCAGGCTGGTCTCAAATTCCTGACCTCAGGTGATCTGCCCGCCTTGGCCTCCCAAAATGCTGGGATTACAGGCGTGAGCCACTGTGCCTGGAGGATTTTGCCCACTTTTTAATTAGGTTGTTTGTAACTTATAGTTGAGTTCTAAGAGACTTGAAAAATATTTTTAGATATAAACTCTTTACAAATATACACTTTGCATATATTTTCTTCCATATTCACTTAGCATTGTCTTAAGCAGAGAGGAAAGTTTTGAGTTTAAGTCCTCCTCCTCCTCCTCCTTCCTCTTCCTCTTCCTCTTCTTCTTCTCCTTCTTCTCCTTCTTCTCCTTCTTCTCCTTCTTCTTCTTTTCTTCCCTGGATAGTTCTTTGTATTTGGATCTGAAAACTCATCATTGGAGGTGACGTGGAGCAAGACGGCCAAATAGAACACCCCAGTAATCAACACCCCCAGCAAAAACTTCAATTTGAACAACTATCCACACAAGAAGCACCTTCATAAGAACCAAAAATCAGGTGAGTGATCATAATATTTGGTTTTAACATCTAAGTAAGGAAGGAGGCACTGAAGAGGGTAGCAAAGAATCTTGAATCACCTACACCAACCCTCCACTATCTCCTGGCAGTGACCTGTTGCACAGAGAGAGAATCCGAGCAGTTGGAGGAAGGGAGAGTGCAGTGATTGTGGGGATTTGCATTGGAAGTCAGTGCTGCCTGTCACAGCAGAAAGAAACGCAAGGCAGAATCCAGCCAAGACCTACAGAGGGACCACTAAGATCAGCTCTTGCCAGAGAGGAATCATCTGTTCCAACAGTCAGAACCTGAATTCCAGCAAGCCCCACCACCATGGGCTAAAGTGCTCTAGGGTTCTAAAGAAACTTGTAAGTCAGTCTAAGCCACAAGGACTGCAATTCCTGGGTAACTCCTGATGTTGTGGTTGTCTTGTTGACAGTGGACTTGGGGGGCACATGACCTAGTAAGACACCAGTTGGGGTGGCTAAGGGAGTGCTTGTGTTACCCCTCCCACAACCCTAGGAAGCACAGCTTGAAGCTCTGCGAGAAACTCCTTCTCTCCACTTGAAGAGAGAAGAAGAAAGAGTAAATAGGACTTTGTCTTGCAACTTTTATACCAGTTCATTGACAGTAGGATAGGGCAGCAGGCAGAGTCATGAGGCCCTCATTTCAGGCCCTAGCTCCTGGATGATATTTCCAGACACACCTTTGGCTGGAAGGGAACCTACTACCCTGAAAGGAAGGAACTAGACCTGGAAGGATTCATCACTTGCTGACTAAAGAGTCCTTGGGTCCTGAATGATCAGTAGTGACAGCGAAGCAGTACTTACCGTGGGTCTTGGGTGAGACTCAGAGATGTGCTGGCTTTGGGTGAGATTCAACATATGCCAACCTGTGGTGGCTGTGGAGAAAGACTCCTTCTGCTTGAGGAAAGGAGAGGAAATAACAAAGGTTATATGGTTTGGCAGTGTCCCCACCCAAATCTCATCTTGAATTGTAAATCCCATAATTTCCAAGTGCTGTGGGAGGAACAAGGTGGGAGGTGATTAAATTATTGGGGTGGGTCTTTTCTGTGCTGGTCTTGTGAAAGTGAATTGGTCTCATGAGATCTGATGATTTTAAAAATGGGACTTTTGCTGCACAAGTTCTCTCTTTGCCTGCTGCCATCCACATAAGATGTGACTTGTTCCTCCTGGCCTTCCACTGTAATTTTGAGGCCTCCCCAGCCATGTGGAACTGTAAGTCCAATAAAACTCTTTCTTTTGTAAATTGCTGAGTCTCAACTATGTCTTTATCAGCAGTGTGAAAATGGACTAATACAAAAGGGGACTTTGTCTCGCAGCTTGGGTACCACTTTGGCCACAGAAAAGTAGAACACCAAGAGAGCTCCTGTGGTCTCTGATTCCAGTCTTGGCTCCTGCAGTATTTTTGGATCCTCCCTGGGCTTGAAGAGGATCTACTGCTCTGAATGAAGAGAATCAGGACTGCAGCATTCAATACAAGCTAACTGAAGAGCCTTTAAGGCTGCAGTGATCAAAGACTTAGATCACAACACCCAACCTCCTTTGAATACTTGGAAAACCTTCCAAAGAAAGATAGGTACAAACAATCCTGGACTGCAAAGGCTACTATGAATACCTAACTCTTCAATGCCCAGAAACCAAAGAATATTCACAAGCATCAAGACTATTCGAGAAAACATGACCACACCAAATGAACTTTATAAGTCATCAGTGACCAGTCCTGGAGAGACAGAGATATGTGAACTTTCGGAAAGAGAACTCAAAATAGCTATTTTGAGGAAGCCTAACAAAAGTCAAGATAACACAGACAAGGAATTTAGATCCTTATCAGATAAATTTACCAAAGGGATTGAAATAATTTAAAAGAATCAAGCAGAAATTCTATAGCTGAAAATGCACTTGACATACTGGAGAATGCATTACAGTCTCTTAACAGCAGAATTGATCAAGCAAAAGAAAGAGTGAATGAGCTCAAAAACAGTCTATTTGAAAATATACAGTCACAGGAGACAAAAGGAAAAATAAGAGGAATATGGTACACTTATAAGATCTAGAAAATAGCCAGAAAACAAGTAAAGAGAGATCTAGGTAGAAAGTTTATTTAAAGGGATAACAGATAACTTTTCAAACCTAGAAAAAGCCATAAATATTCAAGCACAAGAAGGTGATAGAACACCAAGCAGGTTTAACCCAAATAGTACAACTTAAAGATATTTAATAATCAGACTTCTGAAGATCAAGGAGAAAGAAAGGATCCTAAAAGCAGCAAGGGAAAAGAAATAAATAACATAAAAGTAGCTCCAACATGCCTGGCCACAGAATTCTTTGTGGAAACTACAGGCCAGGAGACAGTGGCATCACATATTTAAAGTGCTGAAGAAAAAAATAGTTCTAGAATAGAATATGCAGTGAAAATATCCCACAAACATGAAAAAAAAATAGACTTTCCAGACAAACAAAAGCTGAGAGACTTTATCAACAACAGACATGTCCTACAAGTAATGCTAAGGGAATTTCTTTAATTAGAAAGAAAACAACATTAATCAGTAATAAGAAAAGATCTGAAGGTGCAAGATTCACTGGTTATAGTTAACACAGAAAGACACGGTATATTATAACACTGTAACTGTGCTGTGTAAACTACTTGCATATTGAGTAGGAAGACTGAAAGATGAACCTATCAAAACTAATAATCACAACAACTTTTCAATACAGAGACAGTATAATAAGAAATAAATATAAATAATAAAAGTTGAAAAGCAGAAGGATGAAATTAAATGTAAAGCTTTTATTAGTTTTCTATTTGCTTGTTAGTTTGTTTATGCAATAAGTATTAAGTGTTCATCAATTTAAGAAAATGGGTTATAAGACATTATTTCCAAGTCTAACAGTAACTTCAGATAAAAAAATGGCAGATACACAACAAATAAAAAGCAAGAAATTAAAACACACCATCAGAGAAAGTCACCTTCACTAAAAGGAAGACAGGAAGAAAAGAAAAAAGAAAGGCCACTAAACAACCAGAAAACAAATAACAAGATGGCAGGAGTAAGTCCTTACTTATCAATAAAATACATTGAATGTAAATAGATTAAACTCTCCGATCAAAAGACATGGAGTGAGTGAATGTACATATATATACATCGGAACCCTGTTAACATATAGCACTTGTTTATATTATATATACTATGTATATATAATTCAGATATATATACCATATATAAATATATAATTCATACACACATGCACACACACACACACATATATATACTCATTCCAACCCTTGTTTATATATAAACAAGACTCAGTTATCTGTTGACTTACAAGAAACTCATGAACACAATTTACCTGTATAGACACATGTAGACTGAAAATAACGGGATGGCAATTATATCAGAAAAAAAATAGATTTAAAGACAAAATTTATAAAAAGAGAAAAAGAAGGTCATTATATAATCACGAAGTAGTCAATTCAGCAAGAGGATATAACAGTTGTAATCTGCACTAAACACTAGAGCACCGAGATATATAAAGCAAATATTATTAGAGCTAAAGACAGAGATAGATCCCAATAAAAGAATAGCTGGACACTTCAGCATCCCACTGTCAGCCCTGGACAGAGTATCCAGACAGAAAATCACCAAAGAAACAACAGACTTAATCTACACTATAGACCAAATGACGCAATAGAAAAGAAAAACCTATTTTGTGAGGAGAAACTCAAGCCAGCTGCAGAAATTTGCATAAGTAACTAGAAGCCAAATGTTAATCACCAAGACAATAGGGAAAATGTCTCCAAGGCATGTCCGAGAACTTCATGGCAGCCCCTCCCATCACAGGCCCAGAGGCCTAAGAAGAAAAAATGGTTTTGTGGACCAGGGCCAGGGCCTTGCTGCTTTGTGCAGTCTCAGGACATGGGACCCTGCATCCCAGCCTTGGCTAAAAGGAGCCATCTTAGAGCTCAGGCCATTGCTTCAGAGGGTGCAAGCCCAAAGCCTTGGAAGCTTCCACGTGGTGTTGGGCCTGCAGTTGCACAGAAGTCAAGAATTGAGGTTTGGGAACCTCCACCAAGATTTCAAAGGATGTATGGAAACATCTGGATGTCTAGGTAGAAATCTGCTTCAGGGGTGAGGCTCTCTTGGAGAACTTCTGCTAGGGCAGTGAAGAAGGGAAATGTGGGGTCAGAGCCCCCACACAGAGTCCTAACTGGGGCACCACCTAGTGGAGCTGTGAGAAGAGGGCCACTGTCCTCCAGACACCAGAATGGTAGATCCACTGACAGCTTGCACCATGCACCCGGAAAAGCCAGAGACACTCAACACCAGCCCATGACAGCATCAGGGAGGGAGCCTGTACCCTGTAGAGCCACAGGGGTGGAAGTGCCCAAGACCATGGGAACCCACCTCTTGCATCAGCATGACCTGGTTGTGAGATAGGGAGTCAAAGGAGATCATTTTTGAACTTCAAGATTTGACTGCCCTGTTGGATTCTGGACTGGCATGGGGCCTGTAACCCCTTTGTTTTGGCCAATGTCTCCCATTTGGAATGGCTGTATTTATCAAACTCCTTTACTCCCATTGTATCTAGGAAGTAACTAACTTGCTTTTGATATTACAGGCTCATAGGCAGAAGGGAATTGCCTTGTTTCAAATGACACTTTGGACTGTGGGCTTTTGAGTTAATGCTGAAATGAGTTAAGACTTTGAGGGACTGTTGGGAAGGCATGATTGGTTTTGAAATGTGAGGACATGAGATTTTGGAGGGGCTGGGCTGGAATGATATGGTTTGGCTGTATCCCCACCCAAATCTTATCTTGAATTCCCACATGTTGTAGGAGGGACCCAGTGGGAGGGTGTGAGAATGGACTAATATAGAAAATTGGTACCAGAAGATTGGGACACTTCTATAAGAACACTTGAAAATGTGGAACTAGGAAACAGGCAAATCTCAGTCACATTATAATGCTCAGTGTTGGAGGTGGGGCCTGGTGGGAGGTGATTGGATTATGGGAGTGGTTTCTATGGGTTTAATGGTTTAGCACCCCCCCAGCCATTGCTGTCCTTATGGTAGATTTCTCACAAGATCTGGTTGTTTAAAAGTGCGTAGCAGCTCCCCCACCATTTCTCTTGTTCCAGCCATGTAAGATGTTCCTGCTTCCCCTTCATCTTCTTCCATGATTGGAAGTTTCCTGAGGCCTCCCCAGAATCCAAGCAGATGTCAGACGCATGCTTCCTGTACAGCCTGTGGAACCATGAGCCAGTTAACACTCTTTTCTTTATAAATTACCCAGTCTCAGTTATTTCTTTACAGCAGTGTGAGAACAGACTAATACAATAACTAGGGGTAAACTTAAGCAAAGATGTGAGAGATCTCTGCAATAAAAATTACAAATATTGATGCAAGAAATTGAAGAGGAGGCAGAAAAAGGAAAAATATTTTATTTTTATGAATTGGAAGAGTAAATATTATTGAAAGGTCCATACTACCAGGAGCTATCTATAGATTCAATATAAACTGTATCAAAATACCAATAGTATTCTTCACAGAAGGAGAAAAAAAAATTAAAATTTATATGAAGCCACAAAAGACCTAGAAGAGAAAAAACCATCCTGAGCAAAAAGAAAAACAAAAAAACCGGAGGAATCACATACCTGACTTTAAATTATACTACAGAACAGTAGTAACCAAAACAATATGGCACCAGCACAAATACAGACACATTGACTAATGGAACAGAATAGAGAACCGGAAATAAATCTGTACATCTACAGTGAACTCCTTTTTGGCAAAGATGATAAGAACATGCATTGGAAAAAGGACAGTATCTTCAATAAATGGTGCTGGGAAAACTGGATAGCCATATGCAGAAAAATGAAACTAGACTCCAACTCTCATCATATACAAAAATCCAATAAAAATAAATTCCAGATTTAAATCTAAGACGTCAAATTACGAAACCACTAAGAAAAAACATTGGTGAAACCCTCCAAAACATCGGTCCTGGCAAATGTTTCTTAAGTAACACCCAATAAGCACAGACAACCAAAGCAAAAATGAACAAATGGAATCATGTCAAGTTAAAAAGTTTCTGCACAGCAAAGGAAACAATCAACAAAGTGAAGAGACAAACCACAGAATGCGAGAAAATATGTGTAAACTATTCAACTGACAAGGGATTAATAGGAGCTGAAGCAACTCATAGGAAGAAATCTAATAATCATGTTAAAAGTGGGCAAAATATATGAATAGATATTTCTCAAAAGAAGACATACAAATGGCAAACAGGTATATGAAAAAGTGCTCAACATCATTGATCATCAGAGAAATGAAAATCAAAACTACGCTGAGATATAATCCCATCCCAGTTAGTATGACTTTTATCCTAAAGACATGCAACAACAAATGCTGGAGAGGATGAGGAGAACAGGATGTGGAGAAGATGTGGGAAAATTCTTAGTTTCTGGGAATATAAATTAGTACAACCATTATGGAGAACAGTTTGGAGGCTCCTCAAAAAACTAAAAATAAAACTACCATATGATCCAGCAATCCCAGTGCTAGTTATATACCCAAAAGAAAGGAACCCATTATATCCAAGAGATATCTGCAGTGTCATTTTTATTGCAGCACTGTTTACAACAGCCAAGATTAAGAAGAAACCTAAGTGTTTATCAACAGATGAATGGTTAAAGAAAATGTGGTACTTATTAACAATGGAATACTATTCAGCTGTAAAAAAAAAAAGAGAGAGATTCTGGGGCCAGGCATGGTGGCTTACACGTGTAATACCAGCATTTGGGAGGCCAAGGCGGGAGGACCACCTGAGGTTGGAAGTTCGAGACCAGCCTGACCAACATGGGGAAACCCCATCTCTACTAAAAATACAAAAATTAGCCAGGCATGGTGGCTCATGCCTGTAATCCCAGCTATTCGGGAGGCTGAGGCAGGAGAATCGCTTGAACCTGAGAGGCGGAGGTTGCAGTGAGCTGAGATTGCGCCATTGCACTCCAGCCTGGTTAACAAGAGTGAAACTCTGTCTCAAAAAAAAAAAAAAAAAAAAAAAAAAGGAGAGATTGTGTTATTTGCAACAACATGGATGAAATTGGAGGCTATTTTGTTAAGTGAAATAAGCCCGGCACAGGAGGACAAATTTCACGTGTTCTCACTTATCTGTGAAAGATAAAATTTAATACCATTGAACTCATGAAGTTAGAGAGAAGAATGATGGCTACCAGAAGCTGCGAAGGAGAGTGGGTGGTAGAAATTGGGATGGCAAATCGGTACAAGAATATAGTTAGATAGATCAAATAAGATCTAGTATTTTATATCAGGACATGGTAACTGCAGTCAATAGTAAATTATTACACATTTTAAAGTAACTAAAATAGTATCATTGGATTGTTTGTAACAAAAAGAAAGGATAAATATTTGAGGTGATGGATACCCCACTTGCCCTAATGTGATTATTATGTATTTTAAGCCTGTGTCAAAATATCCCATGTACCTTATAAATATATATTCCTACTGTATGCCCATAAAAAATGAAATTAAACCTCATCATCAAGGCCAAGGTCATCTAGTTTATCTATAAAATTATAGTTTTATGGTTTATGTTTAAATCTATGATTTCTTTTGAATTAATTTTTGTGAAAGGTACATGATTGGTATTTAGGTTTTTTTTTTTTGCATATAGACATACAATTGTTTCAGCACTGGTTGTTAAAAAGACTATCATTTATTAGTTTAGTTATCCACATACTATAATCACCTAATACCTTCTTACCATTATTACTTAAACTTTCATTTTTACATTTATTAAGAATAAGAAAAACAAAAAAGATTTTGTTTTCTTCATTTATTTTTTTCTCTGATGTTCTTATATACAGAATTGAGATTTTTTATCTATACCAGTTTTTTCTTCTGCAAAGAATATTTGCATTATGTTCTTTGCAGAGGAAGAAACTGGCATAATATTAGGTTGGTGCAAAAGTAATTGCAGTTTTTGGCATTCCATTTTTTTTTTTTTTTTTTTTTTTGAGACCGAGTCTCTCTCTGTCACCAGGCTGGAGTGCAGTGGCATGATCTCCGCTCACTGCAAGCTCTACCTCCCGGGTTCACGCCATTCTCCTGTCTCAGCCCCCCAAGTAGCTGGAACTACAGGTGCCCACCACCACGCCTGGCTGATTTTTTGTATTTTTAGTAGAGACGGGGTTTCACCGTGTTAGCCAGGGTGGTCTCGATCTCCTGACCTCGTGATCTACCCTCCTCGGCCTCCCAAAGTGTTGGGATTACAGGCGTGAGCCACTGCGCCCGGCCCAGTTTTTGGCATTACTTTCAATGGCAAAACTGCAATTACTTCTGCACCAACCTATAAAAACACTAACATTTCCTCTGTTCATGAGCCATGTTTTTAATGCTGGTTTCAAGATTTTCTGATTGTCTTTGGCTTTCAACAGTTTGACCATGGGGTGTCTTGTGTGGATTTCTTCTTGGACTTTGTTGAGCTTCTTTTCCTGCTATTACTGCTTCCTGTGTTCTTCCCTTCCTTTCTCTCTCTCCTCTTCTGGAATTCCCATTCCACATATTTGGTACAGTTAATGGTGCTACTCAGATCCCTGAGGCTCTGTTCATTTTCATTTGTGAATTTTCTCTCTGTTCTGGAGATCAGATAATTTCTATTAGTGTATCATGAACTTCATTGACTTTTTTCTTCTGGTGTCTCAAATGTACTAGACTTTTCAATGTCACAATACACACATCATCCTTTTTATGATGTATATTTTTATCAACCTTCTTTGGGTGTAAGTAATAGGCATACAAAATTTTCTTTAACTTTTAATTTTTTTTTTAATTAAAAGCTGTTTAAACACTGTTTTAAAGACCTTTTGTAAGTCCAACATCTGAAACCCTCAGAAAATGTTTCTATGTATTATGATTTTTTCGAGTTTCATTGAAAGTCTCATTTTTTTTAAGCCTCATCCAGGGATCCACCCTTATCCATCCTGAGAATTATTGTTGTTACCCGTTTTCTTTGTTTAAATTGGTAACTTATCTGGAAGTGTTCTATGAAGTCTGTCTCTCCAGCAATATGCAGCTACTGATATCTCTGTGAAGATTTTTGTTTGTTTGTTTAATTCTTGATTTTATTTTTAATTCTGGTTTTCTAAGTGTATGCCACATCAGCACAGCTTAGAGGTCAGCCAATGACTTATCAGATGATCTGTTCAAACTCCTTGAGCCAACAAGACTTACACCATTTGCTGCTGCATCTGTGTGTGGATTGGAGAACACATCTAAATGTAAAAGTCTTCCCTGGATCTTTCTTTCTCCTGGCCTTTCTTGTGTTCCCTCCACATGTAAACATCATCTCACGTTTAGACTAGAACATGTGGATAGCTGGGACTCTCTCTGGTTTCTTCTTAGTGTGTGCACAGCCCGTAGAGGTGAAATTCCAGACGACCAGCATTATGTGTTAGCTGACAAAGGCCCATTGCAGCTGTGTCATTCCCTACATCTCTTGGTGAAATATCTGACAGGGTTGCTGGTCAGCTGCTTGGCCCCACTGAGATTTCAACTTTAGATCACTCATAATGTTGGCTTTCGCCATGCATTTGCTGCTGAGATGGCCACCATTTCCAGTGTTGCCATGGATTTGGGGTTTTTTTTGTTCCAAATCAAGGAAGTTCTCTTCTCCAGAACAAAGTTCTTGAGTTTCACAGCTTGCTTCACTCTTATAAAATCTCTGTGTTAATAGATCAGGGAAGGGATGGGAGCAGCCTTAGACAAACAGGCCGCAGAGTTCCACTGTTCTAACCCTAGGTTGAATAGTTTCTCCTGAATGAATGCTTATCAAATTTTGTATAGCTTGCATTAATTTCTGGGGTTCTAAAATTATGTTTTTGACAGTTTTGTCCAATTTTGTCATTGATTTTGGAGGAGAGAATTTGCAGAGCTTCTCACCCCACTGTTACAGAAAAGGAACTCCATTAACAATTACATTTTATTATAATTAGTTCCCTTTTCCAACTTATTGCATTAAGCATATTCCAGGAAATAGGTTTTCACATGTGCCCTAATAATTTTAAAGATTAAGAGAAACTTATTTGTTAGCTTATTCTAATCGCATTTGTGGCTAAAACAAAAACTTATATTCTGCTAAATTTGAAAGCCTTCCAAAATGCCATTTAGAGTTTCCTCTCAAATGCCTCCCCCACTTAAAAAAAAGACCAAATGAAGTATAATAGAACTGCTGAGAAGATTTGCTATAATCTTTTTTTTGCCCAATTTTGCAGTCCAAGTAAAGCTACTTTAAAGTCCTTTTACATTCCTGAATGAAGATGAACTGATTAAGAAAAGCCATGAAGAGAGTCACATCGCTGGCTTAAAGTGGATGATAGAAGCCTGTCTGTGCAGCATCTTACAGAGAAGCTCACTTCCTCCAGCTTCAATTGGGAGCAGAGTCTGTGGCTGGAAGGATGATCTCTATTAAAAAGTCCCATCCTAAGTTATGGGTACACCATGGATCAGGACATATTTTTAAAATTTGGAATGCTAATCCTCTGTTTCTATTCAAGATACTAAATACAAATTTTAAGTTACTTAGATACACTTTTGAAATCAAGTTCTGAAGGAGATACTTATTATGCTAAAATGCATACTTTTGTTAATTCAGTTGAAACATTTGAAAATGCATGCATTCACTACATAGAAAAGAAGTCATATCATACAATATGCTTGAAAGAAAAAATAATTTCCTTATGAATCTTATTTGGAATTTCAAAGCTTCAGACATCATCTATTTATATACAACTTCATGGCTGAATTCATCTTTTAGAAGGAATAGGAAAGCATCAATAAATCCCTGGGATAGAATAGAGAATATTTTCTAATATGCAGGTCTAAATACTCAGTTGAAACAAATGTTTGTGATATTGTCTTTATATGTCTCTATCTTCAGTTCAGGCTTTAAAATAGGCATTAATTAGGTATTGCTCATAAGGTACACTTGATTCAAAACTAAAAACATATTATCAAACCATTCACCATTATATCCCTCTGAAAAAACAAAATGATCAAATTCACTGCCTGTATAATCCCCAGATTAAAAAATTATATTTCTCAAAATTGCTGTAAAATCTATCCTTTTAAAATATTTTTCACCTGAAAATCTTGCCAACTGTTATTTTATCAAACCCAGTTCATTGTTTTTTAAAGCCACTTTATTAAGATATGATTAGCATTGAAAAACCTATACATATTTAATATTTAACACTTTATGAGTTTGGAGAAAAGTCTATACCCATGAAATCATCACCACAATCTATACCATGAACCTATCCATCACCCCCAAAAGTTTCCAATCACCCTCTGCAGGGCAGATTCCTCCCTGTCTGAGCCTTCTCAGTTCCTGCTGACATCTCAGTCTGTGGCCTTGTGGGAAACTCAGAGAGAGAAACCCAGTGAGGTACTGCCCAGGTTCCTGACCCATAGTATACAAGATAACAGATGTTCGTTATTTTAGGCTGCAAAGTTTTGGGCTGATTGGTTATGCATCAGTAGATAAATAATAAGGTTATTTAATTTAACAAAAAATAGAAAATAATATTTTTCAATACTTTTTAAAAAAGAATGAACAGAGAAAGAGCAAGAGAAACATGTGACTGAGTGTATTCTTAGCAACATGATGGAAGGAGAAAGGAATAGTATATTAGAGAAAAGTCAAGAGAATGAGGACTGAAAATTTCTTGATTAACAAAAATATTACTTCAAAGGAAGTAATATATTTGAACATATTAAAGTTTCAACCTTTGAAGTTTGTGGTTGTCTTATCAAAAGGAAGAACAAGGTTGTGGCAAAATAAGGAAACAACCAGGGCATGGAAGCAGGAAAATTGGGCAAGAATGAGAGCAGCAGGTGGAAGATTCATTGAGCATGCAGTAGTGGACTACTTGGGATGCTTCAACTTAGGAATGACTTGAGCATATTGATTGGTTCAAAGAACACTGGTAGAGAGAGTATGAGTTTGAAACGTTAATTTAAAAAAAGAATCACAATTTTTGGAGCAGATCCATTAGGTGGAATGGAGAAGCCTTGCAGATCCCTCTGGAAAAATGAACCATGGAGAGTCCCAAATTCATGACCCATGCCGAGTCCTCAGAGTCTAGCCCATGGGAGGCTGCTCTGCCTCCTTGGTGTTTACCGTCCATCTGATTCTCCAGCAACACAACATGTGGAGGGCAGTGGGTGGGAGCTAAAACAGTCAGAATATGGTGCTAAAGGAACAGGTTGGCACCACCCTACACGGATTTATCTCTTTCCCTGCTACCTGTTTAGCTCTTGATGATTCTTCTTGGTTGCTTTTAGAAATGGTTACTCAGTATGTTTCATTTTTAGATTTTTTCCTGCCCTCATTCCTTTGTGTTACACAGTCAAACTACAGTTCCTAGAAAAAGATATTTTCATGAAGTTGATGCAATTTAAAAATTAATGTTACCTTTATTAGAATTTTAAAACAGCATGGGCTTCAAATCTACATTTGTGATAAAACTGATCTTGTTGTTTCTGGTTTGTTTGTTTGTTTTTTTCCCTAACAATGGTTATAAAATTAAAGAAAAAAATGAGAAAGCTTTAACCTAATGGATTTTTTTCTGATTTGCATGCAATGCTTTTCAAGAACAAGGTATATATTTATTTCTGCGGTTAACAATCCATTTCTCTTAAAATTTTAGAGGGTATCATGAAGGAAGCATGCATACGTGTGATCCACAGGGCCTGAGGTTCTTTGACATCAAGTTGATTTTTCTAACCCACAGAGTGATATTCTAGCACTTAATTTAGAAATGCAGCTTAAATCACAGAAGCCATAATATGTCAAATGATCCCACACTCGCAGGGGGAAAACAGTAAGTAATGAAAAAGCTATGATTGCTTTTCTGTCCCTCCAAATGACAGTTATCACCTCAATGACCTGCTCCGGGCGGACCAGTCTAAACCTGACACACTAAGGGATAACGTCATCTAACAGGGTAGTTACAAAAATCAATACAAAACCCATTTCAGAGATACTCTGTGTAAGAATCCTGGTGTAATGTTCATTTATTGAATAGGCCTGGGGAAAAAAACACAACAACTTTTCTGATATATATGCCTTACCTCCCAAGCAAAGGAATTCTGTAGGTAAGCAATAATTGTATTTTTCAATCTATTACTTAGACTTGCCATGGCTCAGGCTGGAATCTAATATATGGGTGATGGCTGTAACTCAATTATGGGGCCTCCACAGAGTCCTAGTGTATTCAAAGAGTAAAGACACAGAACAGGATAGCCCCCTAAGCTTCTCTTGGAAAATGTGTGTGCCTTTGTGTGTCAGTGTGTGTGAATGTGTGTGTGTGCACTCTTCATTACAAGCTCCTCTTGTTGCCTTTTTGGCTACTAAGGAATTTGAATATTTAAATTATGACGTTTAACTAGTTAATGTAATTTCCTTGGATCCCTTGCTCTTAATTTCTCGTCCCGTGCATGTTAGATCCACAATGGGAACAAGTTCATTCTTGTTGAAAAAACAGATGTGCAGAGGCCATGGCTGGTTGGAAGGGCCATGTTAAATGTTGGAGGTTGACAGCCCCAGCCGAGGGCAGCCATGGGGCTCTCCCACTTGCACATCTGCATGACAGCAGCTGGGACAGAACCCTGGGCTTGGTAAATCTTGGGCTCAGCCAGAGAGGCAGTCATGAGAAATAGCTGAAAAATGGCACGTAGTGGGGACGCCCTCGACAGCAAATTGCAAAGAAATATTCTGACAGCTGGAAAAAAGATTTTAGCTTGAATTAGTTCTACTCCTGGGAAAGCTAATGTAACCTGCTAAATCAACCTACACACCAGAAGTCCAATCATCTTAACCTTCACACTTGATGACCATCACACAGCTTCATTACCTGGATGTTCTGATTCCAAATGAAGAGTCATCGTGACATTCTTCAAATCACGGAATATTAACACGAGCACTGTATGGTCAGAGTAATGCATTTTCAGACTCTTTATGCTAATTTCTTAGGGCCAATACTCATTGACAATACTGCTTATTAAACCTAGTAATGAATTGGACTTTAATTATTTTCAACTCCCGTATCATCTTCTAAATAGGTATTTATGAAATGACCTAGAAAGTCTTATTATGACAGCTCTTGCTTGCTTGTTCAACAGGTTCCCAAATTTGGATGATGTTTTGGCTGTCATCCAAACATTATATGAATGCAGTTATTGGACCCAGAGTCACATTCAGCTGTCTCATCTTACGCCAATCAATCATAATCTCGATAGTTGTCATGAAGTCCACACACGAGCAACAGACAACTACAGAGATGAATGCCTGCATGGAAAATCGTAAGGTGAAAGCAGAGTCCTATTCTTGTGTAAAAGCCAATTTTCTATTATTACTGAGTTTGATACAATAGTAACCTTCTCTTTAAGCTTCAGAGTGCTGCCCTCATTTCCTGAAGATTGACTTTGGATATCATTATTCTTTTAGTTTTGATGCTTGAGAGACAAATAGATTCTGGAGCTAGATCACCCCATTTCAAATTATGACTTGCACATACATTGCACAATGGGAAAATTATCCTCAGATCTCTCTCCTAAAATGTGAGCGAAATAGCAATTAACTCAAGGAGTTAGTGTGAGTCTTGATTGAGTTAGCATGTGCAGCATATTAAGGTCAGTATCTCCAACAGCAAACTCGTTGCTATTTCAGATAAAGTATGAGATATTATTTTCTTAAAGGAGTTTTTTTTTTTTTAAATCCCAGTTACCTGAACTGCATACACATCTATTTCTTGGTATACATGATGAACTGATGGGTTAGGTGTCTAACTGTCAAGGTTCCATCTAGGAGACAAGATGAGCAAGAATTAGAGTGGATGACAAGAAGTAGAGGTGGTTGCCTGAGTCCCTGACTGCAGTGGCTAATTCTATAGGCTGCCTTAGCTCCAGCCTATGACCTAATTATCCAGAACCTCCGTGAACATCCTTTTTAGCCTCCAGAATAGACATAACAAAGCCCATGGGGCCTGAACTTTGGACCACTGTACCTGTGGAGCTGGAGTTTTGCACTAATCTTACCATTATTGATAAAATAATTTTTATAGGTTTGATAGTGTGAACTAGAGGAAAATGGGTAGCTCAGGACAGATATAAAGTAGAATATCACCTAACATTCATATTTAGAATCTTCTAGTTACTTAAGTATTTTTGTCTTTAAAGCTACATGAAATATATTCTGGGGTGATTCATTTTTCCAAGAAAGAATTACGTTTGGAAATGGAAGTCAACAAAAGGAGAATGGGTAGCTCAGGATTGATATAAAGTAGAATGTGACCTAACTCTCATATTTATAATCTTCTAATTACTTAGGTATTTTGTCTTTAAAGCTACATGAAGTATATTCTGGAGTGATTTGTTTTTACAAGAAATAATTATCTTTGGAAATGGAAGTCAACAAACGTAATCCAGATTACAACTTTACAGTTTACCACATCATGTGGATGAATAGTCAAACCAAGTTAACTTTCATGACACTTTGCAAACACTTCTCTATTAGAAAGGCAAGCAATGCATGGAAATGCTGCTAACTTGTTTGGAAATACAGATGACATCATCTCTGGAGAACAGTCATACTTGTAAGCCAAAAAAATGACATGAACTAGTTTACAACGAATAGTATATATGATTACTGGTTACTGTTTTTTTATAGAAACATTTTAATTTACTTGAAGATAACGAACTACAATTTTTGTGAATATTTTGTTCCACCCCAAAATTATTGGTTTTAAAACCACCATGATTCTGTATTTAAAAATCATTATGAAGAGGGCCAAATAAATTAGGCATTAGTGTGATGGCAGCACCCACATAGTTCAAAATGCCAGCTCTCTGGCTATTTACCCTTCAGGCTATCAGATGAGTGGCACATGGTGTCAGCATGTTTGGCCCTGCACAAACACAGTGGAGAAAAACAAAACATTGTCTTCCAGATAACCGTTTGCAATACTATGTGCCTAATGATGGTGTTTAAACATGACGTGCTTCAGTTTGAGACTCTTTAAAGAAATAAATACACATTATAAATGCAATAAAATGATGCTAATAGCTCATCAGGAATGTAGTATGGTATATAAAAGAGACTTATCCTGGCAGTATTCAGGGATTGGAACAGACACCCTTGGTTTCCTCTCCAAAGGCCATGTAACCCACAGAATGTTCAGGTATTGGTGCCAGATGCTTCTGTGAAGTTCTGGTCTTCCCTCCATTCTTGGAGTAAGCGTTGTTTTGTTTGGGTTAATCATAATTGTTTTATACCCACGACTTTGAAACAAGAGAAGTTGGGGCTATTTCAAAGGATCCTTCAGCTAGGTTATCTAGGGAATGCCCTGTGCTCACTCAAGAGACTTCCTTGATCATTGGAGCATAATCATTAAAGTCACTTGATCAAAACTCCAGCTCTGGAAAATCCTTAGAGGAAAACTGCAAGATTTCTACCTGTGTGACTCCTTTTCAAAGTATGATTGTAATATTAGGAAATGCTTGAAAATAAGGAAAATAAACTCTCATCCTGCCTTGCAGCTTACTGAGAGAATTATGGGGGAAAACACATAAACACAAAGGTCATCTGTCTTAAGGCAGCAGAAAAAGCTGTCATTTTAGATGTTTACCTTGAATCTCTATAGCCAAGAAAGGCCAACAAGAGAAATAATTGTATTCCTTAATATGAAGCTGAGATGTGTTTGTAGTAATGAACATTGGTCCTTGGAGAAGATAAGTGTGGGTACAGCTCACTATTACAGGTTCTTACTCTTGACCTTAGATAATCCAAAAGCAGAAGGAACACTTGCTACATGTTGTATTTCGTGATTTAAATATTGTGCTACAGTTGGAAGATCAAATGCCAATTGGAATTTGATTACTGTTTTATTAGTCCTGAGTAACTCAGACTTTAGGAAAAAGTAATACCATTACATCCCCCAGCTCAATAAACAGCACCGCCACCCACTTCGTCACTCAAGACAATAATCGAGGAAGGCTTTTTGATTCTCCTCCTTCTGTCTTCCCCTGCAAGTACTGCCCTTACTAGTCCATTAGCCTCACTGATGCAATATGTGACTGAATACACATTTATCCAATAGTCAATGAATCAGTTAGCTCCTGGGGCTGTCAATGACGGAGCTGGAAAAATAGATGACAGTTTAAGCCCCTTCCCTAAGGGGACATGAGGCTTTGTGCTGTGGAGACTTAAAGCAGTTTATGAGCAAGAGGAGTCAAGACTGGAGAGCCGGTCCTGTCCAGCTGCTTGTAAAAATAGTCCTATTCACAGGCAGCCTGAAATTCCAGAAACCTAGAGTGGTTA
This sequence comes from Homo sapiens, assembly GCF_000001405.40. Lineage (NCBI taxonomy): Eukaryota > Metazoa > Chordata > Mammalia > Primates > Hominidae > Homo > Homo sapiens. The sequence goes on along the minus strand of NC_000005.10, from coordinate 4,420,699 downwards.
CTGCGCTCACCCTCAGGCCTTCATGATATTCCCATCACTCACAAACCTCGTAGGTGGTGCTGTGAGGAATTAGGGAGATGCTTACAGCAGAGTGTCGGGACAAATGTCTTCTCCTGGATTCACGAGGACACAGAAACAGGACATGAAGGGGCTGTGGCCAAGGGTTCCTGGTGTGGATAAGAAGCCATAAGTGGTGGGGAAACAGGCTCTGTGCAGAGTAGCTGGATGGGAAACTGTGAGCAGCATGGAGGTAGCCTGTGCAAAAAAGCATGTGGTCAAGGGAGCATGCGCACACACACACACATACATATACACACGTGCACACACAACAAACACAATACACACACACACAACACACACAAGCACACACAAAAAACACACAAAAAGCAAAGACAACACACACAACACACATACAACACACAAACACACACAACACACATACACACAACATACATACACACAACACACATACAAACACACAATAAACATAACAAACACAAACGCACAACACAAACACAAACAACACACATGCAACATACACACAAAACACACAACACACACAAGCACACACACAAACACACACACAACAAACACACACAAACACACAACACACACACACATACACATGCCAGGCAGGCACATGCTGTGCAGAGCAGCTGGCAGATTTCGATGTGACCAATGTTTTAGGAGGGATCAATCAATATTTGAATTTGTTGGTTAATAGCAAACTGCAGTGCTTGGCTAGGGGCCGAAGTATCTGTTTTTTTTAGCCTTTGGAGAAAATATGACCCTTTCCCTCTGTAGTCTTGGAATCCCAAATCCCCATGTCATCTAGGTCAGAGAAGAACCAGGAAAGAGAGAAGTTTCTGGCATAACTTTGCCAAGGTACCAGCTGGAGTCGTGTTGTTGACTCTTCCAGTTATTCTTGTACTTTTCAGCAACTTTAATGTTGATGTTATTTAGACTTTATGCTTCCAGTCCTATGACATACTTTATAAATATTCAAGGTGCGTGGTGGACTTTGGCTCTTGCTTAAACTTAGACCCCAATTTGCCATCCGAGCGGGGGTTTTGACTCATCTGAGTGAAAGATGAGGTGCACAGGACCGGCCTGGATTGCCCTTTTAGAAATCCTTTGAAACTGCAAGGAACCATCCTGGGTGACGAGGACCTGTCACGGGGTAAGCTGGGCACTTTCCACAGTCAAGGCTGGCACGTCCCAGCATACGTGCTGCATGTTACTCATTGCAAGACTAGGGCACGCCTCAGTAATCACAAGGAAAGCATTTTTATCTCCTATGTTATTTATTTCCTGGAGAGTCAGTCTCAGATTGTCACTCAGTATTATTTCATAGTGACTTATGGTGAGTTAAACTAACAAAATAAAGTTTCCAGAATAATATTTCTTAGAGGTTTTACTTATCTGTGAAGTTTTAATCAATGACTGTATTTGTTACTGTGAACAGGGAAAAAAACCTTCTGTGATCTCTAAAATTACAGATTACGGGGGAAAAATGCACTTCACTCTTGCAAGTTTACTGTTTTATTTACTTTCAGAAACGATTTCTGATTTATTATTAATAATTATTATTATTTTATTTTTAGAGACAGGGTCTTACTCTGTCACCCAGGTTGGGGTTCTATGGTGCAATCATGTACCACTGCAGCCTCAAACTCCCAGTCTCAAGTGACCCTCCCACCTCTGCCTCTCAAGTAGTTGAAACCACAAGTGCACCCACCACACCCAGCTATATTTTTTTATAGAGATGGAGTCTCACCTTGTTGCACAGGCTGGTTCGAACTCCTGGGTCCAAGCAATCCTCCATCCTCTACCTTCCAAAGTGCTGGGATGGGATTATAGGCATGAGCCACTGTGTCCAGCTCTTATTTGATTTAGGATTGATATTAAGTTCATGTGTATGCACACACACACACATAAACACACACAGACACAAATTATCCATTATCAAATTAAGAAACAGGACTATTACGTATGTCAGAGGTATAAAATGACAACAGATTTTTAAGTCCATGATTAGGTTTGGGACAATATGATTTGACCCATATCTGAATCCATAAAAGAAGAATTCATACACTAGGAAATGCTGGAGGGGCCCTTCATTGAAAATATAACTCATTATTTTTTAAGTAGGAAGAGACATATGCAAAATCATTTAAACGATAGACTTTAAAAATACAACTTACTTTTCTTCACAAACTGCATTATATTAATATGCCAGAAAACACACACACACACACACACATACACGAGAGAGAGCCCAAGCCAGGGCCAAAAAAGTCATTTGTTAGCATATATTTTGTTAAGACAACAAGCTCTCCATATTTCTACTCCAATTCCCCATGGGAGTCTTCAGTCCACAGAATGATCCTAATTGAATTTTCCCTGCCTAAATGGAGTCTGCCCTGATGTGAACTTGCTTTGAACATGATGACAGGATGGGACGTCTCAGAGCTTCAGTTCCCTGAGACCTAGGGCCCTCATTCTATTACCTCCATTATCTAAACAAATAACCTTGGACAAATCAATTTACATTAATCCAACCTTGTGGTATGCAACTCCCTAGCTCCTTCACAATGTCTCAATCAAGATTCAAATGAATTTACTTCAATATTTAGCTATAAGAGAACTTAATCTCCTACATAAAACTCAAGTCCATTGAACATTATCTGCAAATAAAAAAATTCAATATAAAATAGTTAAAAATCTAAATAAAAAAAGAGATTGTGTAAAATTATATTTTCTTTATGTTTAGAAGAATAGAATTCAAAATGTCTTCATGTGAAAACATAAACCAAAGGAGAAAATGGCACTCTAAATTTGTCAGAGACATTCTTTGTCATACATTGAAAGCAGCCCTTTAGTTTACAGGTGTTTTTCTTGCATTTTTTTTGATGCTCAAGGCTGATTATGCTTAGTGTTTGTACAGTAGAATCTTGGGACATGTGGCAGCTTTGCAGCTTTGATTCTTGTTCAGAAATAGTCACCGTCTCACCCCTTCCAAGCTGCATATTCTTTTTTTTTTTTTTTTTGCTCTGCCATGTGTTTTGCATCTCCTCTGCATGGAGAAAATATGCCTTCCGCTTCTTGGTCTGTGTCCAGCCTGTGACTTGCTGGGGTTAGTGGGATGTGAGTGGAGTCAATGCAAGTGGATGCCATTGTCATAAGAAAAGCATGGTGCTCGCTACCACATTTTCAGCCTATGCCCACGATGGACATATTTGAAACAGATCTAAACCAGATGCCTGGGGAAATTCCAGATCCAGGTGATGCACAGAAGATTCAACCGGCTGAGTCCAGCCTATATCAACCCTTCCCCAAGGACACATAAACACAGGTGAAAAAAATAATAACTGCCGTTTAAGCCAATGAGTTTGGGGAAGGGGTAGTTAAGCAGAAATGGCTAACTGATTAGGGCGGGTACACTGCACAGATGAGCAGCCCCATTTTCTTCATGCAACTAAGTCTCAAACTTTCTCAGTTACATGCCTTCCTTTGTCTATACTCATACTCATCGTGTCTGGCGATTCAGAGGTACTCTGAATTAGGAATTCTGAATAAGAAGTCTGAGATGAACAATATGACTTCAAGAAAAAAATGTTTATGGGAAAGATTTGAACTCATTTAGGATCTTAACAACGCAGTTAATTACTTTTATGTTAGGTGTTGGCTAACGAAATAAAGCTCATACAAGTGCAGACAGAGAGCACTTGCCATTCTTGCTATGAGGCCTCCGGGACATGCTCTGGCCTATTCAGGCTCTGTGGTTCTAATTCAGGGAAGAACAGCGTACTTGAGGTGGGTAGTCAGGTCTCGTTTCCCCTGTTTCTCCAAGGGAGGCTCTCTTATCACCGTGTCATGCCATGTTATACAATCTACATTCACTCAAAAAGCAGTGGGTGCACGCTTAGGCAGACATAAAGGACAACCAGCCACAGGCGTTGTTTTCAAAGAGTTTTAAGAGTCTCATAAAAATAATCTAGACAGAGAGACAATTAACTGTAATTTGAATGAGAAATACATGTCATAACAACACAGTAATGACATAAGACGATAATCAAGGGCTTATGATATGTTAGGCACTGTGTTAAATGTTTTATGTACCCTGCCTCAGTGAATTATCATAAGAATGATCTAAGTTAGACATTACTGTCGTCCATGTACAGTTAGAAAATGAAAGTGCCTACAGTTTAAGCAACTTATCTACACTGTCCCCACTGGTAGATTCTTGATGTGAATTTGAAACAAGATCTTTTGGACTACAAAGTGCCTGCCTGAACCTCAGTGTTTCTTCCCATTGATGTTCCCCGATAGAATGTGATAGAACTGAGAAGGAGACAGGATTATATCCACGAGGGTGAGCTCAAGCAATACTTTACAGGCAATGGTCCATGGCACTGATCCTAGAGGAATGTCCTGAAGTTTGACAAAATAGGTGGAAAGAGATTAGGTTTACTCATTAGAAGAATTTAGCTGATAGCAGCAGAAAGGAAAAAAAATAAAGCCATGGAATTGGCCTGGAAAAAAAAATTTGACTCAGGAGGTAGGAGGCTCCAAAAGCACATTTTGATTTTTCTTTTCACACTGTCCTCTTGGGCTAACCCTGCTAGTAGCACTCGGTAACATGTGCACAAACTGAGTGTTGCTGCTCTACATAAGTGGTAATTTTCATGTTTAATACTTTAAATTTTCTTCAAATATTTGGAGTCTGTGTGTATGTGTGGGCATGTGTGTGTGTGTGCTTATGCCTCTGTCTACTAATAAAACGGCACTTTTAATTTAGACTTTGTTCAGTAATATTTTAAGTACAGTGACACTAAGCAAGTCATTTGGATACGAAACTTTTTTCAAGTTTATAGATACATGGTGTGTATAGTCTTCTATTTACTCCCTCAATTATTAGTTTTTATGTCTTATTATCCATTATGTGTAATTTACAATAGAATTTGGCTCAAGATGACTAAAATTTACACTGGAAACTTCCCTAGAGTTTGTTCAGAAATTTCTCTACCATTTTGATTACATGTTGATTTCTGTGATCAAAATACTAGCACAGAGTGAGAAAGCACGTGTCCTGGTTCTGTGGTATAGAGGGCAGAAGAGCCTGCTCTTGTACCAGCATCGTCCTGTTCTGTAAATCATTCCTATGCACTTGTCTCTATAATCTGTTCCTAAAGTATTTAAAACAAGAAGAAGCTCTTACCTTGAAAGATCCTGAGGCCAAAGTTCCACAAAGTAGTGTGGCTCAGGACGGAGGGATGAGGTGGGCCCACCAAGACCACTGCTGGAGTGGGCTGGATCAGACAGCCCATGTCATCTGCATGACCCTAGGCAGTGAGGCTGGGCTCAGGCTGGAATGGAAAGAGCACAGATGGAACAGAGTGACCTGAGGCACCGTTAGCTAGCTACCCAAGAAGGAAGCTGAGTGTTTTCTGTGATGCTCAGGGAGTCTAGGAAAGCCTTCAGATGATGAATAGAAGGAGGGGTACATGAAAGGTTTCTTGAATTTGGTGAATAACAAGAGAAAGAGGACAGATGGGCAGTTATGGCCATCAGATTGGGATTGATTCTGAAGCAGCAAGGCTCGGGGCCAGGCTGAAATCAGTGGGAAGGTGACCCAGAAACCAAAGAGAAGGTTGCCTCTGTTCTGGACAGGGCAACTGTTTGGGATTGAACAGATGACCATTCCAATGCAAATGCCCATACTGTCCAGAGGACAACCCCAGCAGGACATCCTGGTGGCAATTTTTTTTTTTTTTTTTTTTTTTTTTGGCAGAGTCTTGCGCTGTCACCAGACTGGAGTGCAGTGGCGCAATCTGGGCTCACTGAAACCTCCACCTACTGGGTTCAAGCGATTCCCCTGCCTCAGCCTCCCGAGTAGCTGGGACTACAGACGTGTACCACCAAGCTTGGCTAATTTTTTGTATTTTAGTAGAGATGGGGTTTCACCATGTTGGCCAGGATGATCTCGATCTCCCGACCTCATGATCTGCCCACCTCGGTCTCCCAAAGTGCTGGGATTACAGGCATTAGCCACCATGCCCTGCCCCTTGTGACATTTTTGACAACAAAGTTACCAAAACGTGAGCATCTGCTTCTTCTGATTTCTATTTTTAGATGGATCTCACAAAGAAATTTCGGTAACAATGCTATAAAATCCATAGCTAAAGCCTGCTCCACCGCCTCTATTTCAAATGAAATTTAGTAATATCAGTAACCAGGGGATTAACTTACTTGACGCAGTCACCAGACAAACCACACATCTTAAAGGGAAAGAACTTTTTACTGTGCTTTACAATAAAGACGGGTGCACTTGAATTTAACTCCCCCGCATATTAACATACAGGGTGAGAGTCACCAAATGCACCTGCTGCCTTTCTTCTGAGAATCTTGCAACACTTCACAGGAATTTGAGTTTCCTTTATCCTCGAAGTAAACCTTCTAAGTACACAAATTAGATTACTTCTGAGAAGCCCCGAGAATTCCACATGTGATTACTTTATCCTCAACATCTCTGGCAGAGGCAGAGGCGGATTGTAGAGCAGCCGGGGGAGGGCTTCATTTTTCCTCTGACTGAGAAGGGATTTGAGGAGAGTAGATGCTTGTGAATTTCACATTTTTCACATTAATTAATCGGGGGGGATAATCAGAATTAGAAAAAAGATTTCTGATGACAAGCTCGGGCCAAAAGAATGTCATCGATATTATTCCAATTTAATTGAATTTGCAAAAGAAAACACACAGTGAAATATCAAGGGGCTGTACTCAATACATGATAATATTTTAATAGCATAAATGTAATGACCACAATCTGTTGTAGTTCCCAGTGACACTTGACACATCCTTTACTTTTCATGTTTTAGTCCCAGGTTTCAGATTAATTGTACATTCAGCATAATAGAGCTATAAACAAATCCACTATGTGTAATTGCAAGGAAATTTTTTCTATGTATAGTAATCCAAAAAGCATTTAAAAGTAAAAAAAAATGTGATTTTTCAATTAAAAAATCATAATTTTTCCCATTTTCTTCTTTGGTTCTCAGATTATAAAAATGAACATCTTATAAAAGATGTTAATCTTTTTTTTTGTTTTTTGTTTTTTTTTTTTTTTTTGAGACGGAGTCTCGCTCTGTCGCCCAGGCTGGAGTGCAGTGGTGCGATCTCAGCTCACTGCAACCTCTGCCTCCTGGGTTCAAGTGATTCTCCTGCCTCAGCCTCCCGAGTAGCTGGGATTACAGGCGCCCACGACCACACCCGGCTAATTTTTGTATTTTTAATAGAGACAGGGTTTCATCATGTGAGCCAGGCTGGTCTCGAACTCCTGGTGATCCACCCACCTCAGCCTCCTAAAGTGCTGGGATTACAGGGGTGAGCCACCACGCCCAGCCAAAAATGAACATCTTATAGAAGATGTTAATCTTATGTGATGATACTGTTTTGACTTATCTTTCACCTTAAAGGGAAAATTGTGCTCTTCCTTTATGACTTTTTCCTCCCATACTATATCACAGGCAACATTTTCCTCCATTACACATCTATGGAATACGGCACTTCCCCTTTTATTCTCCCCAGCAAACAACTTGCCCCCTTTTTCCCTGGAAGTCCACACTTCCCTGTGGGTCTGATCCTTGCAGCCTGGGAGAACCCTTTCCCTTTGGAATGGAAGTGTCCCCTCCTGGTGCCACTGCAGCTCCACAGAGCAGCCAGAGTACCTCTCTAAGGAGTCTGCTAGCATCCTGCGTCTGCTATAACAACTAGGGTAGCTTAAAACAGCAGAAACCTATTTTCTCACAGTTCTGGAGGCCAGAGATCCAAAATTAAGATGTCAGCAGGTTGAATCCTGCTGCAGGCTCCAAGGAATAAACCCAGTGCCTCTTCCATCTTCCAGTGTCTGCCACAGTCCTTGGTGCCATGTCTTGCCTTGCAGGTGCACCCTTCAGTACCTGCATTATAATAACTTTGCATACAGATTTTTACTGTGCAGTTCTTTGTAATCTACTACCTATTGTTGCAATGACCTATTTTTGAAAACGCTTTATTTACATATATCTTTTATTTCAGCTACAGCAAGAGTTTCACAGCTTATTGGTTTTTATAAATTTTTGTATGTGAAATATCTACTAAATGTGTTATATTTTTCACTTCCTCTCTACCCTTCCAAATTTAACAGATTTTATCTCTTGTTGTTTTACTTTTTTCTCTTCCTCATAGTATTTGAGTTTAGCTCTTTGGCAAGTAACTCAACACTCGAACTCAGCAAGTAAAAAATAGGACAGAAAATAATTTTTAACGTAAACAATGTTAAGTGTGTTCCCAAATTTCCTGTTCAGTTTTTGCTGAATACATAATCTTTACCTAACATAAAATGTATGGAGAAATGCAGCTCCATCACCTGTGGGTTGAGGGAGAATGCATTCGGTTCCTTCACCATTCTAAAGCACTCACCTCTGAAAGCATGAAAGCGTGAAGGAGGTAAGCATTAATTACCAAATGTGTTATTTCCAAAAATCACTTCCTAGAAGTTTACCTAGTATCTTCCTGCTGTGAAATGAAACAGCCAACTCAGGCACTCAGCCCCAAATGCGGCCTCTGCCGCTTCCTCCACATCATTTCTCCTGAAAGTGGTTTGGGCGCCCAAGAGAAGACAAATATACTGATTTTTACTGGTCAAGAAATGTGTGCTTATTGGCTGTATATGGGTTTTCATCCTTTGACCTTTGATTGTGAAGTAGACAGATACCACTTTTTTTTTTTTTTTTTTTGAGACGGGGCCTGGTTCTGTTGTCTAGGCTGGAGTGCAGTGGCGCAATCTCGCCTCAAGGCTCACTGCTATCTCCCTTTGCCAGGCTCAAGCAATTCTCACGCCTCAATGTGCCGAGTAGCTGGGAATACAGACACATACCACCACGCTCAGCTAATTTTTTGTATTTTTAGTAAAGATGGGGTTTTACCATGTTGCCCAGGATGGCCTTGAATTCCTGATCTTAGGCAATCTGCCCATCTCGGCCTCCCAAAGTGCTGGGATTATAGGCGTGAGCCATTGCATGCAGCCCAGATACCACTTTAAATAATGTAGGTGACGATTCTGCTTTAATATCTGCAAACCATTATTTATTTCCTGGGAGCTTCCTCAGCATTGCTACCATCAACAGTGTCTTATTTGGGCAGGCAGTGTACTGGGACTCTTGGAAACGGTTGAAAGTCCAGCTCAACTCCACTCTGTGGTGGCAGCTGCTGTCTGATCTCCAGCGGGTACCCTGGACACCACAAGCATTCCCTCTACCTGATTCAAATCCAACCAAATTATCAATGAGGCTCTGGTGCCTCCAGCTCCTCAGATTTGACAGCATGCTTGGTCCATTTCTGAAAGCATTCTCTTCACACCAGCGATGAGAGAAGCGAAGAATTTTTAACCCAAATGCTTTGAACCTCAATAAAAATGATACAGGGGGTGAATAGAAAAGAACAATATAATCCTTCCACTTGGAATAAGCATATTCTGCTCATGATCTTATCTCACAAGATCGTGCAGCTGTTGAGTAAATTTTGAGAATCTCTACTTAGGGCTTCTTGTATTAATCAAGAAAAATATGTTCAAATTGGATAAAAATATGATTGCCGCCAGAATTGACAAGAACATCTGGAGAAGGGTTTAGTTCTCTCCTGGAGGCACATGGCTTCAATATTAGCAGGCAGATGAAGCTTGAGAGAAATCAAAGGATGCAGAAAAATTAAAGACAGTCCCACAGAATGCTTTCTCTTTAACATGTTTGCACAGAACACCAAATCCATGAGGGCAAGGACTCTTTCTTATTTATTTTGCAATCGCCAGTGCTTAGCTTGGGAGGGCACTTAGGTGGGGCACATTCAAGATTGTTTAATTGATGGAATTAATCTGTTTTCAGAAGACTATGAATAATAAGACAGCCACAGCCTTTACTTGTTCATTTCTTCAATAAATATTCATTGAGCATCTCCTGAGTGTCTGGTCATCAGTCCAGCCAGAGAGGACAAATGATTTGAGAAACCAAAAAGAAAAACCCTACTCTCATGAGACTTAGCTGGTGGAGGAGAGAAACAGAATAAGCATAATATGTCAGGAAAATACACATTATATATTAGACAGTGTTAAGAGTTTTAAGAGCATTTCAGCAAGAATAGAGGCTAAGGAGTTATGAAAAGAGAATACAATTTTAAATAGGCTGGAAAGGAGAAATCACCCTAAGAAAGTGCCAGTTGAGCAACTTTTAAAACGTAGAGAAAGAGACAGCCACTTGGGCGGTGGGAATGATAAGCTCACAGGCTCCAGCCAATGCAGTCCGAGACATGGCGGGGGCCGGTGTGGCCACCCCAGAGCCTCAGTGGGAAGGAGCAGTGGGTGAAGCAGGGGGCCCACTACAGTCCTGGGGATTGGGTATCCCAAACTCAAGAAGTCCAAGCCTGTGCCCTTCATCTTCCCCCAACACCTGTCCCATCTGCCATCTTCCCCACATCAGCAAATGGCAATTTTACCTTCTAGTTGCCCATGGCAGCAATCTTGGCAGCATCTCCCCTTCTCTCACACCCACCTCTAAATCCTTAGATTAGGCTTTACTTCAAACACATGCAGACTCCGAGCTCCTTCAACCCCACAGCTCCCCCCGGCCCCTGCCACCACCACAGCAGCAGCCTCTGAACTGATCTGTGGCCCCCACCCTGGCTGTCACCCTCCGTCTGCCTGGTCCTACAGAGTCTCTTCTCTGAGAGGAACCCTCAGTAGAAGTCAGTGAGGTCCTGTCAGGTCAGGGCTTCCAGGGACACGGCTCCCAATCCTCAGAGGAAAGCCAAGCCCTACGGTAACTTGTGTGCTGTTTCACCCATATCCATTGAGGTCACAGCAAGAGTCAGAGGCTATGCTCAGATTGGAATAATTTGAGGAGGGTTTAATAAAATGATTCTTCACAAAAGCCATGAGCAGCGGGGCGGGAAAACTCCAGGGAATTGGGGAATGGCTGGGCTAGCAATGAGTGTCTGATTGCACGGGGGCTGGGGTAGGAGTGGTGGAGAGGGCTGCTGTGGAGAAGCCCTGAGCTTCACAGAGGGAGGCAGGCAGGCGAGGGCCTTGCAGGGCACAAGCGAGGAGAATAGGAATCTGGAAGGAAGCCAGGGGAAGAGGAGCATTGACACGGACATGGGATTCAGCCCATGGGGCACAGGTAGGGTGCAGAACGCAGACCTCAGACTCATGGTGAGAGATGACTCCCCGCATTTCCTCTTTGGTGTCACTTCCTCCACACTGCCGACTCTCACTCTGAAGCAGCTTCACCGGCGTCCTTGACTCCTGCCTCAGGGCCTTTGTGCTGACCATTTGCTGGCCTGAGCATGCATCCCCCTCACATCCTCAATCACCAACCCCTCCTTCCAGTCACCCAGCTGCTGCCACCTCCTCAGGGAGTATCCCTCCATTTCAATAAGCGGAACTCTGTCCTTCTCACTCAGCCCAGTCCCTCCCTCACTCCCAATTGCCTTTGGACACTCTATGTCAGATTTTTTCCAGAGCCCTTGTCAACCTCTGCAAAAAACCTACAAAATGTACTTACAAATTATGTTGATTGTGGTAATAAGGCTTTCCAGGGAAACAGAAATGGTAAGAAATATGTATGTGTATTTCACAACTCTAAGATAAGAAATATATATATATTTAATATATTTAAAATATGAAATATACATGTACATAGAAAAGTACACATATGAGTGTGCATGTGCTTGCGTGTGTGTGTGTGTGTATGTGTGTGTGTACTGTGTGAGCTAATTCCTTTTAATAATAAAAGGAGATTTTTTTATGAGAAATTGGCTCATGCAATTCTGGAGAACCAGAAGACACACAATTTACCTCCTGCAAGATGAACACCCAGGAAAGCCTGGTGTAATTCCAGGCAAGCCAAAAGTGTGAGAAACAGGAATGCAGGTGATGTAAACCCCAGTGTGAGGGCGGAGAAGACTGTGGTCCCAGCTGAAGCAGATAGGAAGAAAGGAAAGGGGCAAAGTCCTCCTTTCTCTTCACCTTTTTGTTCTGTTCAGGCCTCCAGGGACTGAAGGAGGCCGACCCATATTGGGGAGGAAAACCTACTGGCTGAGTCCAGAGACCCAAACGCTGATCATCCAGAAACACCGTCACAGGCACACGCAGACATGAAGTGTAATTTGATATCTGAGCAGGCCCTGATCCAGTCTAGATGACAGGTAAATTGATCGTCAAAACTGTGAACCCTATGCTAGGGTGTTTTCCACTGACTGACCCTGGGCACCTGGAGTGCAGGTGCCCCCAGAGTGAGCGCCCACCTAACATCTATTGAGTGAATGAGTGATGGTGGCTGTGACTGAGGCTCCTCCTTTGGGACACAGTGAAGACACTGTGTAGCCCACTGGTTTACTAAGTATCTAAAATCCCAGATAAAATCAGAGAACAAATATCTCAGATTTCTCTGTACTCATAAAGCAGCCATTTTCTGTGTGTTAAATATTTGGGTAATTTTATTAACCAACAGCAAACTTCAGTTAAATACAGGTCCAAAGAGCCTCATTAAATTTTAATTTTAAAATGAAATCATGAGGATGAAAATAATTTTAGGGAATTGAAAGAGCCAGGACAATGACCTCTCAAAGATGTCCATGCCCTAGTTCTCGAGACCTGCAAATATGTTACCTTTCATGGCGAGGGACTTTGCAGATGTGAATAAGGAAACATCTCGAGCTGTGAAGAGTATCCTGGAATATTCAGTGTGGTGGGGAGCGGGGGCTAATGTAATTCCACAGTCCTTGTGAGAGAGCAGCAGAGAGCTGCAACCAGAGGCTCCAGAGACAACCAGAGATGAGAGGATGGAGGCCGAGGTCAGAGCTACGTGCGGCCAGGAGCCAAGGCCTCTAGAAGCTGGAAAGGGAACAGGTTCTACCCCACAGCCTCCAGAAGGAAGCAGTCCTGTAGGCCCCTGACATCCAGGGAGCCCCATGTGGACTTCTGAGCTACACGACTGTAAGATGAGAAGTGGGTGCTGGTTTCAGCCATCGAGTTTGTGGGAACATATTACAGCAACACAGGAAACTGGTACAGGAGGCGAGGGGAGCTGTTCTGGCCTTGGGCAGTGTCTGTGATATCAGAGAGTTGTTGCCCCTGGGCCAGGATCCTCAGGCTTCGGATTCTGTGCAGATTTGGCCAAATTTAGCAATTATTTGGACACATGACAGCCTTAGGATTCACGCATCTAATTTTGTAATTTTTATGGAGATCCTGGGGGCAAATTGTTTTAAAATTTCAACATCCTTGCCGATAATTGTGACTCTGAAGTAATATTGGTATACTTTAAAAGCTGTCAATTTAAGAATAGTATGATTTTTTTACAATTTTACCTTTCTCTTTCCAAAGAGAAAAAGTTCATAGATATAAATATGTAAATATAGGTGTGCAACTACCACCAATTACTTTGTTAATTTGATTTTTGTCATTTTCTCAGTATGCATGTGTGTGTATGTATGAATGGTATTATCATATAGACTATAAATCGTTAGTAATTATTACTATGAACATATAGCTTTATTAATAGTTCTAATTTTAGAAATAAAGGCCACTAAAATATCTGTGAACTTTCTAAGGATCTGCCCACACACTTTAAATAATACTTCTACCATAATAAGTTTCAAATAATCACTTAATGATTGTAATTTTCTTTTGATATTCACCTCAATTTTAAGCAGAGAAAGACCTGCCGGTCACAGTTGATTTCTTGAACAAAAATGTCCATTTTGCATTAACCTAGACTTCCAAAATGATTTGTCTACTTTCACTTTGATTTTGGAGGGAGGTGTGTATGGCTTCCCTTCTAACTCACCTAGTGAGGGCATTCTAAAGCCACCATCAGAATTAGATTCAAATACACTTCCCTGTTATTTCTTCTTCCTATCACAAATGTCCTTTCACATGGCCAATGGTTTTGTGTGAAGTGAGCTCACAATTTCATTCTATTGCACATGTCATATAGTTTTACCCTTTTTCTTCAGTGTGGGTCAGAAGTGGGTGAACACACTTGACTATGAAGCTCCTGGTTTGGGGATGGGTGCTGGAATCTGCTGCTCAGTTGCATGAGTATTTTCTTTTGACTTGGGGGATTTGTTTACTCAGAAAATGACCAAAAACTACCAAAAATGCTATTAAATTCAAACTTAAAATGAGTTATGTCATTTAAGATTGATAATTTCTGGCTGTTAATAAAGAATTTTCCCAGTTAGCTCATCTAGTTGTTAGGGGAGAGAAAAGGTCATTGTAAAGTACAGTACTATGTAATGCTTATTCTTGAAGAGAAAACATCAAGACCGCAAACTCCTTTCCCTGGGGTTAGAGGGTTAGAAGGGCATAGCAGAAATCAGGCTCAGTGATGTGGCTTGACTCAGGTGCACACTTGTACCAATTTGCACGTCTGGTAAAAAATGCACTTTTCGTTAGTCCTCACATTTCTCTTTTAAATATGAATGAGAATTTCTTCATCCCCCTCCTTCTATTTCTCTGTCCACATCTCTGTCTCTGTCTATTTTCTGTCTCTGTCCCTGTCTTTGCCTCTTTTGTTTCTCTCTCACTGATCACAGCTTCTCAGCCCTCTTTGATGGTGCCCAGGCCTCTTTCTTCTCTTACTCTCCCCAGACACTCACTATAGTGATGATCTCATTTTTGGCTCATGGCTCAAAAATCATCTGCATGTTGGTAATTCCCAAATTTATGTCCCTGAACTCTGAACTCTTCTTTCTAAACACGTTCGCATTCACACTCCAATGTCTAATTGACATCTCAAACCTAACACTTAAACCACTTAATTATTCAGCTAATTGTTGATAAGGAGACAGCAGGGTCCGCTGTGTAACTCTTCTACATCTGTGGACATCTGGTCTGCTCCAGAGTTGGGGAAGCAAGGCTCTCTGGATCGGCGTGTCAGTGTGTCTATTGCAAGGAAAGGAGAGCAGGAATTTATACGGGCTTGAAGGACTTCCACCTTCACCTATAGTGGCCATTATGCCCCCCTGCCCCAAATCTAAAGGCATGTGTGCTTGCTATGAAAGTACGTCTTTCAGAAAAATCAACTGCCCTCCCCACCCACTCTGCCAATGAGGCTGCTCCTGCCCAGTCCTTCTTATGAAGAAACTCTGTGGCTCCATTTCAGCCCTCCCTACTCAAGCTTCCCCTGCAGGTGTTGGTCCACAGATGTAAAAGAGGTTAGTGCCCGCTAGATGCTCAGTGTTTGTCAAGCCAAACTCTTCTAACTCAGAACATATTCGATAGCCTTGTATATTCAAAAATATTATTTGAAAAAGCATTTGACTGTGGAGGTAAAAAAAATGCTTAACTGACATTTGCACTTCAAAATGTCAGTCATAAGCATCAACAGCACAGACTCTAGTATCCCAAGTGTATGTTTAATTCTAATGGAAATAATGTGAACTAAATTTGCCCCAAGAGCTCTTTAATTATCTCTATTGGAAAAACTTCAGCAAAAGGCAAAGTTCAAATATTAAGCTAATTTATAGTGGTTGAGAAATGCTTAATGACTAAAAACAGTGAAATAAATGTAGATTTATTATGGGTAATAATGGATAATCACAACCATTCCAATATATTCCATGATGGCATAACATTACATAAGCTACATTATATTTATTATGAACATCTGGCATACTGTGCTCTATTCAGATAACTTTAATTAAAGCAGCCTCCAAGCTCCCATATAATGCAATGGCAGCTCTAAAGAGGAGAACAGCCTGGCACATTCATGAACCACTCAGCCTTAGAAGTCGGTCACGTTCAAGATTAGTAAACTGTTTCCTTTACATAAGAGGGATTTAAGATAATAGTTTGCTGAACACCTTTAACTTCAGACATAAAACTGTAACTTCACAAACATAGTTCTCGGTCTAGCCACCTAAAAATCGGTGTGTTGCAAACATTCCAGTCATTCAGGGCAGCACCTTTGGATTTGGGGTACAGAAAACCATGGGGTTTCTAATTCTTTAGGGTGGAGCTAATCTTCTTCATTCCCCAATGGCGGACAGGTGCACGTGAGGTAGAGAAGGCAGTTCCTGCTGGCCCTGTCTTCGCTGTTGACTTTGCACGTGAGGCCTAGGGGCTGCGGGGCAGGGCAGGGAAGGGAGGAAGGACAACAGCACGGATGGACTGAGGCATATTCCAGCAGCAAATAATGCCAGAACCCCACTACATGCCCCACACACTTCAAGTTTCCAGGAATACAGCAGGGAACAAATCAGACATTAACCTCTCCGTATCAGCACTTATGCTGTAGTTCGGGGGAAGACAATACACAAAATCAATGATTATTTGTTAGTGACAAATACAAAGAAACAGAGAAGTGGGGAAAAAGGATGGGAAATGGGGGAGTTGAGACATTAGACTCAGGGGTTGGAAGACGCCTCATTCAAAGAATGATGGCTGAGAAAGAACTTACCATTGTCAGGTATGTTATCTAACACACACACACACAGATACACACAAACACACAAATGCATACATAGCAATACATCTATATGCACTCTCTCACACACACAGGACACACAGGCACATATGCACACACAGGAATACATATATACACAAGCATGCACTCATATATAGATTCACAAAAAGACACACTCAGAGACATATTCAGACACACAAATATATAGCCAAGAAGACATATATACACATACATGAACTGTCTCACACACACACACAGACACATACATGCATACACAGGAATCCACATATGCACATGTATGCACTCACACATAGGTGCACATAAACACACATGCACATACATGCAAAGGAATACGCATATGTTCATGCATGCACTCATGTGTAGATACACAGAGACACACATGGAGGCACATTCAGACACACAGACATATCCAAGAATACACACATACACACATAGGCACTCACACACACAGATTGTAGCCTATCTTAAACATGGTGTTACAAGGAAAGATGAAAAGCCTTTAGAAACAACTCTTTAAAATTGGGCCCCTGGCTAAATAAAGAGAAAGAAAGGTTCTTGCTTTCCCTAGGAATAGAATATATTTTTCCTTCAAAAGTAATAGTACATGAAGTCCAATAGAAAGACAGATAAAAAGGAGATGTGCCCTAGTCATGGTGTGGATGGAGCCCAGAGTTGGGCCACCCTGGACTCCACAAAACTCCTGGGATTCTTTTCATGAGTGTGAGAAATGTGACGTAGAGATTAACATTTTGCTTTTTAGCTTTATTTTCCCCTGATATGGTTTGGTTATGTCCCCACCTAAATCTCATCTTGAATTTTAGCTCCTGTAATCCCCATGTGTCATGGGAGGGACACAGTGAGAGGTAATTGATTCATGGGGGTGTGATTTTCCTGTGCTGTTCTCCTGATAGTGAACAAGTCTCATGAGATCTGATGGTTTTATAAAGGGCAGTTCCCCAGCACATGCTCTCTTGCCTGCTGCCATGTAGGACATGACTTTGCTCCTCATTCACCTTCTGCCATGATTGTGAGGCCTCCCCAGCCATGTGAAATTATGAGTCTATTAAACCTCTTTTTATTTATAAATTACTGTCTTGGATATTTCTTCATAGCAGTGTGAAAATGAACTAATACATTTCCCAAACTTTTGGAAGAACAGAGTTGTTGGGCGAGTTAAGCAATGGCATCTATCTAACATAAAATAATTAATAAGATTGTGAAAGGTTGAGAGGAGAATAGAATCATGAGACTTATGGACAGAGACCATTGGTAACTCCTGAAAATAAAGCACTATAATTGATCTTTGGAATATTGTAAAAGCATGACTTCAACCCTAAGGAAGAATAAAGGAAAGCTAACACTCAAAATCAAGTGGAAACAAATTGGCTGATTTTTCTTCTACCTATGTAGGAAGAGAAGCATTAAACAAATAGATGTTTTTAAAAAGTAAGATTTTACTATTAAAGAAAAATCAGATTTGTTCTATTTGTTTCTAGAAAAGGAAATTTTAAAACTTCAAGAAAAAGAATAAAATTTGTATCTTAGAAAAATAACAGAAACCTATACCCAGTGAGGAGATCACAAGAGATCTCCTAATTGTTTAAAATTAATGCAAATAAGTGTCTGAATGCCTATGATGAGGGGTTTCTCTTCCGGTATGGATGTACCAGAAGACATTAGGATGGGCAGCACATTCATTTTCAAATGTACATGGTCCCAGGATTTATTGACTGATATTTTATCATTAATTCATGATAAATGTTTAGAACAAATTATTATGTAGGTTATTTGGAGGAAATTTGAGAAGTGGTCAGAGTTACCTAAGACCCCCATGGATTCCCTGGAAATGAGACCTGTCCAGTTGATCTCCCCTCTGTTTGGATGAGGTCATGGAGCACAGAGCAGCAAATGTTCTGGACACAATGGTATTGCCTTCTACAAAACGTGTGACACAGTCTTTCATGACATTTTTTGGAAACCCATAAGAAATAAAACTTGTCATTAGAGCTGAGTTAGGTGAATTTGTTGCTAGTTACAAAACTATTCTCAAGGAATATTGATCAAGTGAGCAAAATTGATATAGAGGAATATCTGGGAGGCTGTTATTAAAACAATTGGATTCACAAATTTATTCTTGATTCAAAGGAATATCTTAAAGACATTTTTATTAAAAATGTGTCTAATCAAATCCAGAAAGATTAGATAATATAGCAGCTGATTCAAGTGGGGATATTAACTTCTTGACAAGCTTGGAGCCAGATTAAAGGGCACAGAAAATATCCTATAAGTGTGGGAGAAGTCTTCTCTCATAGGCCTGAATAAAAAATGTGAATCAGTAGGGAGATGAAGCTCCTTCCATGAGGAGGCCCTGAGGGAGGGGGAGCATTCTCACGAGGGTGTCCAAAGTACTGTCCTACCTTTAGACAAAAAGATGGTTTATGGGTAATAACAGTTGAAGATGCACCTGAAGACATGGGCTGGGCTCAAAAGGAAAGAGGGTGTGGAAGGTACCAGGTCGCACGTGTTTGAGAAGAGAGCAGAGAGCCATGGAGGTTTGTGGTGAGCTGCAGCCTGCATATTCCTGCCTTGTTCAGAGAAACCTTAAGAGCTAAGGAAGAAAATATTCAGGTGGTGTATACTTTCTATATATAAACACAGATTTATATATAAATGCATAGTGCTTATAAAGTATATTATATACGAACATAAAAAGTATATCTTTATAATTTATAATCTCTTGATTTTTAAAAATTATAATTTAATTAATTATATATAGCATATATAAAAAGTATATATTTATATTTTATAAATTAAATATTTTATATACTAGCATATATAAAAGTATGTTTGTATGTTATAAATTAAATTTTTTCATCTTTCTTATTAATTTTGAATAAATTAGGAGTAGCTGATGCCAGAAATTGGCCTCTGTCACTTCCAGCAAATGGATGGAGAGAGAACTCAAGGTCTCGGAGAAAGAAAGATGAAGTAACAGCATTGGCAGCAACTGGTATTGCATGAGATGCCAGGGGTCCTTTCCCACAATGTGCCACAATACAGCGCCCCACACACACTCTGTGAGAGATACCCAGCTACAATTCCTCAGGGCTTATGGCCATCACAGTGCTGACAAGGCAGCTGAGGGGCAAGGAGAGCCCTCCAACACTGTTTTCCCGGCCCCATCCTGTATTCACCCACCTAATGTCTTGACAACAAGCTGCTCTGTCCCCTTCAGGTGGTAGTGGCCGCAGGTAGCATCCTTGTCAAACTAGATACAAGGTTACCATTCCATCCACAGTGATGCCGCCTGAACCTCTGGAAGCCAGTGGCTCTTGGAAATCAAGATCCTACCCTCAAGTGTCCTTTTGATGACAATCCACTTTCTCTCCACACAGTCTGATTCACTCATCTCCAGTGGCCACCTTGCACCTCCTACCAGTCTTCACTTTGAAATGGAAGTCATGGCAACAATGATCTGGTCAAACTCTACCTCATGGCCTTGCAGGATAGAACCTACACTTCTGCAGAGTAACACATAAGGCACTGCACACAGTGCAATCTCTGAAACACTGAGAGAGCCCTAAGCTCTTCTCCACCTAGGAGGAAGAGAAACACCTCCGATACCTGGAGTTCTCTCTCCATCCATTTGCTGGAGGTGGCAGAGGGCAGCTTGCATTTCTGGTATCAGCTACTCCTAATCCACTGGTGTTCTAGAAATCATGGTAAAGACTCTTGGAGGCATTTATCTCATGGCAAATAGTGGAAAAATCCTGTTCTGTTACACAGCGTAGCTTATGGCTAAATATTTGGATGCAAACAAATAAATTTTGTAAAGGTGCGTTAGGTCACGGATTTCTAATTTTCACCTCTAGGACCTGGATTTTCCTGAATTTCTGTGTTGTATAAACTTTAGTTGAAATTCATAGTTATATTTGCATTTAGGAAGCAAAAGTGTATTTATCTCGAGTTAAAAAATGTAAGAAAAGCTATACTCACACTAATTGAATTTTAAAAACAAAAACAAAATACGATCAAATTTATATTATGTCTGTTGTTTTAAGAATAATTTAGGTATTTTTGGAAGGCCATGGGAAAGTTCAGATTTTGTTGGTGTTTTAAAAGCTTGAGTTTGTTTGCCTTTGTACCAATTGTTGGTTTATAAAAACTTGAGAAATAAAATTAGGGAGCCATCAAAGTGCATTTTTCCCTTCGTTCCTCTTCGAAATGTTGCAAATGCTTGCATTTTAAACTTAAGAATCAAGGTCAGTTCTATCTTTCACTCCACTTACAAAGGAAAAAGTCAAAATTTCAGTTTTATGAGAACTTTTGATGAGAGATTATCGGACTAAATCTTTTTAAGATTTCTAGGAGTGATTTACATGAGAATAGACAGAAATAACTGATATTACCATCATTACGTATGATCAGCAAAAGCCAGAAGAAGCACATGACTGAGCGTGATGTTGGAAGCAGAACGTTATCTTCCTGCAAGAATCAATCTGTCTTCATCTGGGACTTCCTCTTCCGTGGGGGAGAGTTCCTGCTTCCACATTTGGCTGAAAGATTTGACCCATTTGTCAAGCTTCTCTTTAATGCCCCTTACTCTTACTCACTACCTTGGTCTTTTCCGGGAAGACCTCTGTCTTTACTTGCCTCTGTCATCTGCGGCCATCACTACTGGTTACACCTTGCCATGGCCTGGGACTGTCTGGAGGGTCCATTGCACTGTGCCTCTGCCTATCCACATCTGTCCTCCAGTCTCAAAGCCAATTCCCCTGAGGCTGTGCCTTCACACCCCCACCCTCATTCCTCAGCGAATTTACTCTTTTGATTCTATCTACATTTTATATTGCAAGGAGCAATGCTCTTAAATTCCCGTACCCCTTAACCTCACAACTCTCCAAACTTAGGTTTATTAACCACCTCTGTCCCAAGGACAGGAGGCTCAGGGGCTCAGAGGGAAACCTCACAACGCTTAAGTCTCTGAAACCAGCTCCTCCTCTGAGCCCTGTATTTGGACATTGGACTGGGCCTCCCTTATTGTTCTGCCAGAGTTCCAGGAAATGCGGGTCCCCGCATCCTTTCCAAGACAACACTGCCCACAGCTCCTTGCTCTACTAAGTTGGAAATCCTGTTGTCGGTGAAAGCTTTGGGTCCTTTCATTATTATTATTTTTTAAATTATCCTGTTTTGTTAAACTGAAACACAGCAGGACATTTTAATTATGCAAAAGTTCAGGTCCTCTGAGAAACAATGCCAAGAGGAATAAACAAGAAAAGATTTTATTAGAACTGTCTGTATGAGGGAAAATCTGGGACAGAGTCAGAGAGAGCTGAGAGAGATGTCAGAACCAGGGAGTCCGCGCGCAGTGAAAGAGCGAGGGTAGGGAAGCTGGCAAGAGCAGGCCTGTCTCGCCATTCCTGCCAAGCACAGCCAAGGGTAAGGAGCAGACCATGGACATATGGCCGCGGGGCCACCAGCAAATGGACTTCAGAGCCCAGCGGCTGGCTCTGCATCCACCATGGCCCCTACCCTGGGGGGCCTGTGAGGAACACCGGCGTGGTCTCCACGCCTTGGGACGTCTTTCTCTCGGTCTCTGTGCAGGCTTTTCCTAGACCCCTTCTTAAAATCCTCCACTTGGAGTTTATTGGCATAGCTCATTCTTTCTTCCTGTCCATATTTTCTGCTTGCTTCACACTCTGCTTGTCAGTTTTAGACACCCAACAACTTTAAATTCCACACATACACCAGCTCTCCAGATCTCGTTAATATGTGGGAGGGCCATTAACTTGTGAACATCACGCTTTATCTGGACACATCATGGAGGTATCTTATTGGCAAACGTTCTTAAATCGTTTCTTTAGAATTCCAAGTGACGAATTAAATAGAAATGATGACCATTTTGGGGTTTATTTTTCAATTTATGTAGTCTATTTATTTCCTTTTTTCCATTGTGTTAGCGAAGACCCCCAGAAACAATGTTGGCTTAGAGTTCTCTTGTTCTTGACACTAATTAGAATTTTACTAGTGTTTCTCTGTTAATTACAACGTTGCATACTGAATTCTAATGTGTTCAGTTTTTCCTGTGAACACAATCTTATTTCTATGTCTAGTTTTCTTCTGTGAAGAAAATGCTGACATTTGTCAAATACCTTTTTTATCATTTAACAAGACCAGGGAAACTTGACCCACTGAAACTATTATGGTAGTAAAATATTTTCCTGAAATTAGACTTGAAGTGTTCATAGTGTGTTTATATTTAACTTATATATTATTTGCAATTTTCAAACCTATATTTATAAGAAACTCTTGACAGCAACTCGGATTCTTGTTAAACCGGATTCAAGAAACTGAAATGAGTCTGAACTGATTCTTTTTGTAACAGTTGAGAATAAGACGGCTGTTTGTCCCATGGATGGTTTTTCCAACATTCTCTGAGTCTGGTGATTCTCTAGGGAGATGACCAATAGTCAGAAGAGGCAGATCTGAGATGATTTTCACATTATTGTCTGAGTTATTACGTTGTTCAACTTGCCAGTAGAACAACTTTATGACCATTTTTCCATGTTCCAAATAAAACCCTATTCAAATTTTTATCTAATTTGTATTACATTGTAGATTAATTTGAAAATAATTGACATTTTTAAAATGTTATTTTTAAAATTGGAAAATATAGCCTCTCCCTGTGATGCTCACATCTTTTATGTAACTCATTAGAGTGCTCCTTCTCATTTAGGTGGATGAACCACTTCTGTGCTTAGGTTGATTTGTAAGTTATACAAAGTTTTGTTGTTATTGTAGGGGAATTTTTTTTCTTAATATTGAATATACTTATTTTGCAACCAGGTGTCTTAATCTTGTCAGTTGATCCCTTTGGATTCTTCAAAGAGAGACTCAAATGTTTGTAAACAATAATTTTATTTATGTAGACCATTTGCAACTTAACATTTTTTTTCTGCAAGTACAGACCGAAACATTCAAATAATAATCCTAGTGGTGGAGATGCTGGAGGCATTTATCCTCAAGTATGCTAATGATGCAGTTTAAGAAAGATGTTCCCTATCATTTTTATTGTGATACATTAAGGTATTTATTTTTACTTTATGTTAGGAGCAGAAGTTAAATGTGGAGACATTTAATCTCATGATATTGTGATGTGGGTAATAGCTCTTATTTAACCTGTTTCTGTGTTAACAAGAATCAGTGGCTTTCCCAAGAGTAAGGTGTGTTATTTTTAATTTCTGCAGAAGGCAATGCTTGCTTATGAGGGTATTTAAAAATAGTCTATTGTTGAATTTGAGATAATAGTGTCCTGTGTTATATTTTCATCTCCACTCTTAGCTATCATTGGCTGATTTTCTTTATTGTGTTTACTTGGCTTTGTTCACTACCAAAAATTGAGATTGAGCAGCATTTATTCCTTTGACGTTCTGTAGTTGTTTAGATAGAGTGAGAGCTTACCTTTCATTTGGTTTGAAAGTCTAAAATAATTCACATTTCAATGACCTGGGTATAGTGTCTTATTTTGAAGTTAATTCTTCATTTAATTTTTAATTATTATGAGTCCATAATAGGTGTATATATTTACAGGGTGTATGTGATGTTTTCATACAGCAATATAATATGTAATGATCAAATTAGCATAATTAGGGTATCCATTGTCTCAAGCATTTGTCATTTCTCTGTGTTAGGAACTGTGGGTGCTACACACTTTTAAACAACCAGATCTTATGAAGACTCACTCACTATCATGAGAAGAGAAAGTGGGAAATCTGTCCCCATGATCCAATCACCACCCATTAGGCTCTTCCTCCAACATCAAGGATTAAAATTCAACATGAAAGCTGGGTGGTATTATGGTTTGGCTGTGTCCCCACCCAAATCTCATCTTGAATTCTCCCATGTTGTGCAAGGGACCCAGTGGGAGGTAATTGAATCATGGGAGCAAGTCTTTCCCATGCTGTTCTCATGATAGTGAAAAAGTCACATGAGATCTGAATTTTTAAAATGAAGAATTCACCTGCACAATCTCTGTCTTTTTGGCTGCTGCCATCCATGTAAGACATGACTTGCTCCTCTTTGCCTTCCTCCATGATTTTGAGGCTTCCGCAGCCACAAGGAACTGTAAGTCCAATTAAATCTCTATCTTTCATAAATTGCCTAGTCTCAGGTATGTCTTTATCAGCAGCGTAAAAACAGACTAATACAGTGAATTGGTGCCAAGAGTGGGGTGTTGCTGAAAAGATAACCAAAAATGTAGAAGCAACTTTAGAACTGGGTAATAGGCAGAGGCAGGAACAGTTTGGAGGGCTTAGAAAAAGAGAGGAAAATATGGGAAAGTTTGGAACTTCCTAGAGACTTATTGAATGGTTTTGACAAAACTGCTGATAGTGATATAAACAATAAGGTCCAGGCTGAGTTGGTCTCAGATGCAGATTAGGAACTTGTTGGGAATTGAAGAAAAGGTGACACTTGTTATGCTATAGCAGAGACACTGGAGGCATTTCACCCCTGCCCTAGAGATTTGTGGAACTTTGAACTTGAGAGAGATGATTTAGAGTATCTGGAGGAAGAAATTTCTTAGCAGCAAAGCATTCAAGAGGTGACTTGGGTGCTTTTAAGGGCATTCAGTTTATGAGGAAAGCAGAGCATAAAAGTTCAGAAAATTTGCAGCCTGACAATGTGATAGAAAAGAAAAACCCATTTTCTGAGGAGAAATTCAAGCAAGCTGCAGAAATTTGCATAAGTAATGAGGAGCTGAATGTTAATTCCCAAGACAATGGGGAAAATGTCTCCAGGGCATGTTAGAGAGCTTCATGGCAGCCCCTCCCATCATAGGCCCAGAGGCCTAGGAGAAAAAGGTGGTTTTGTGATCTGGGCCCAGGATTCCTGTGCTGTGTGCAGCCTAGGGACTTGGTGCCTTGTGTCCCAGCTGCTCTAGCCATGGCTGAAAGGGGTCAATGTAGAGCTCTGGCTGTGGCTTCAGAGATTGCAAACCTCAAGCCTTGGCAGATTACATGTGGTATTGAGCCTACGAGTGCACAGAAGTCAAGAACTGAGGTTTGTGAACCTCTGCCTAGATTTCAGAAGATGTATGGAAATGCCTAGATATCCAGGCAGAAGTTTGCTGCGGGAGTGGGGCTCTCATGAAGAACCTCTGCTAGGGGAGTGGAGTGCAGAAGGGAAATGTGGGGTCAGAGACCCCACACAGAGTCCCTATTGGGGCACTGCCTAGTGGAGTTGTGAGAAGAGGGCTGCCATCCTCCAGACCCCAGAATGGTAGATCCACTGACAGCTTGCACAGTGTGCCTGGAAAAGCTGCAGACACTCAACACCAGGCCATGCAAGCGGCTGGGAAGGAGGGTGTACCCTGCAAAGTCACAGAGGTGGAGCTGCCCAAGACCATGGGAACCCACCTCTTGCATCAGCATGACCTGGATGCCAGACATGGAGTCAAAGGATATCATTTTCAAGCTTTAAAATTTGGCTGCCCCACTGGATCTTGGACTTGGATGAGCCCTGTAGCCCTCTTGTTTTGACCAATTTCTCTCATTTGAAATGGCTGTCTTTACCCAATGCCTGTTCCCTGCCAGCATCTAGGAAGTAACTAACCTGCTTTTGATATTACAGGTTCGTAGGTGGAAAGGACTTGCCTTGTCTCGAATGAGACTTTGGACTGTGGGTTTTTGAATTAATGCTGAAATGAGTTTAAGACTTTGGGGTACTCTTGGGAAGGCATGATTGGTTTTGAAATGTGAGGACATGAGATTTGGGAGGGGCCAAGGGCAGAATGATATGATTTAGCTGTGTCCCCACCCAAATCCCATCTTGAATTCCCACATGTTGTGGGAGGGACCCAGTGGGAAGTAATTGAATAACAGGGGCAAGTGTTTCCCATGCTGTTTCATGATAGTGAATAAGTCTCATGAGATATGATGGTTTTAAAAGGAGGAGGTCCCCTGCACAAGCTCTGTCTCTTTGCCTGCTGCCATCTACTTAAGATGTGACTTGCTCCTTCTTGCCTTCTGCCATGACTGTGAGACTTCTCCAGCCAGATGGGGAAGTCCAATTAAATCTCTTTTTTTTTGTAAATTGCCCACTCTTGAGTATCTTTATCAGCAACATGAAAACAGACTAATACAAGTGGGAACACAAATCCAAACCATATCAGGAACATTCCAATTTTATTCTTTTAGTTATTGTTAAATATACAATAAATTTTTGTTGATTATTGTTATTGTGTTGTGCTATTAGATACTAGATCTTATTCATTCTAATTGTATTTTTGTGCCCCTTAACCATACACACTTTTTCTCCCCTTCTTGCCACCCTTCTTAGCCTCTGGTAACCATCATTGATTCTACTCTGTATGTGCAGGAGTTCAATTGCTTTAATTTTTAGCTCGTACATATGAGTGAGAATATATGAAATTTGGTTTTCTGTGCCTAGCTATTTCAATTAGCCTGATGTCCTCCTCTTCCATCCATGTTGTTGCAAATGACAGGATCTCATTCTTTTTGTGTCTGAATAACATTTAATTATGTATATCTGTCACCTTTTCTTTATTCAGTCTTTCATTGATGGAGGCTTGGGTTGATTCCAAATCTTGGCTATTCTGAAGAGTGCTATGATGAACATGAGAATGCATATGTGTCTTCTGTATACTCGTTTCCTTTTTGTTGGCTGCCTACCTAGGAGGATTGCTGGATCACATGGTAGTTTGGGTTTTAGTATTTTTTAGGAACCACCACACTGTTTTTCATAATGACTGTACTAATTTACATTCGTATCAACAGTTTACAATGGTTCCCCTGTCTCCACATCCTCACAGACATTCGTTATTGCCTGTCTTTTGGATAAAACGCATTTTAGCTGGAGTGAGGAGGAAAAACAGGCAAATAGACCAATTGAACAGAATAGAGAACCCAGATATAAATCCACACAGCTACAGTAAACTTATTTTGGACAAAAGTGTCAAGAACATACATTGGGGAAAGAACTGTCTCTTCAAGAAAGGGGACATCCATATTCAGAATAATGAAACTAGACCCCTATTTTTTGCCATATACAAAAATCAAATCAAAATGAGGAAAGACTTAAATATGAGACCTGAAACTATGCAACTACTAAAAGCAAACGTGGGAACTCTTTAGGACATTGGACAGGGCAAGGATTTCTTGAGTAATACCCTAGAAGCACAGGCAACTAAAGCAAACATGGACAAATGGGATCACATCAAGCTAAAAACCTTCTGCATGGCAAAGAAAACAATCAACAAAGTGAGGAGACGACCTAGAAAATGGGAGAAGATGTCTGCAGTCTACCCATCTGACCAGGGGTTAATAATCAGAACACATAAGGAGCTCAAACTACTCAATAAAATAAATCAAATAATCCAATTAATAAATGGGCAAAATATCTGAATAGACCTTTCTCAAAAGAAGACACACAAATGGTCAACATTTATGTGAAAAAATGCTCAGCATCACTAATCATCAGCAAAGTACAAATCAAAACTTAATGTGATATCATCTCATCCCCGTTAAAATGGCTTTTATCCAAAAGACAGGCAAATGAAGGTAATTCTTTGATGGCATTTTTTCAAAGTTTTAAAATTGAATTATTTTTCAAAAATTTTAACAATTTTACATTGTAGATGGGCAACACAAGTTGTACAATTTTATTTTATTTATTAGTTTTTAAATAGATTTACAGGGTACAGGTACAGATTTGTTACATGCATATATTGCATTGTGTAGTGGTGAAGCATGGGCTGTGAGCGTAGCCATCACCACAATAGGCTGTGATGTTTTTAACAGTTTTATTAAGGTGTAATTAACATGAATAAACTACACATACTTAAAGTATAAAATGTGATGAATTTTGCCATTGTATACACCCATGAAACCATCCCCAGAATCAAAATAGTGAACACATCTATCACCCTTATAATGTCTTCATGCCCTCTGTTATCCCTTTCTTCTGTCCTTCCCTACACATCGAGCTTACCTCAGAGAAACTTGTAACATGCTTTAATCTATCAATATAAATCAGTTTTATAAATGGAATTATATCATATGCATTCTTTTTTATCTAGCTTCTACTACTCTGCATAATTATTGTAAAATGAAATTATATTGTTGTTGTAGTCAATAGTTCATAGATTTGTGTTTCCGAGTAGTAATTTTTTTTATATAAATAGACTACAGTGTTTACTTATTTACCTATTGATGGCCATTTAACTTGTTTCCAGTTGTGGGCTATTACAAATAAAGCCACTAAGAATAGTCATGTATAAGTAAGTCTTTGTATGAAAATATATTTCATTTTCTCTTGGGTTTATAGTTAGGCAAGGGATAGTTCAACTATATGATAGGTATTATGCACTTAGCAAGAAACTGTCAGACTGTATTCTAAATTAGTTCCACTATTTTACATTCTTACCTGTAAGGTATGAGAGTCCCAGTTCTACCACATCCTCAGCAACACTTGGTGTGCTCAAGTATTTTATATTTTAGCCACTTTAATGGGCGTGTAGTGGCATCTTATAATTTGCAGTTCCCTATTGAGCTGTTTCTTCATGTAGGCAATCAACCTCAGTGCCTCCCCTCTCAACTCGGACTATACCACTCTATTTTTTAACCTTATTTGTATAAATGCATCATGTCAGTTATATTTCTCTCAGCAATTCTCAGTTGGAAGAGCACAAAGAGAGCAAGGGTAGAAATGTGGACTTATCTAGAGCATGCCACTTGACAGAGAAAGAAGAAGCAAGGGAGAGTGTTTGAACATTAAGGGTTATAATTTGGGAGGTGGATTTTGTTTTATATATATATATATAATTGTATGTATTGTAATAGATAATAAATAATAGTATATAATATAATATAATATAAATGAGAGACATTACAACTGATACCACAGTAATGTAAAGAAAGGGCCACAAGAGACCCAAAAACAATTGCTTGTCAGTAAATTGGATAACATAAAAGAAATGTACTAAAACGTAAAACCAAGCAAGACTGAATTAATAAAAAAAATAGAAAATTGTAACAACAACAACAACAAAAAAAACAGTTAAAGAGACAGAAGCAGTAATTTAAAACCTCCCAACAATTACAACAAAAAACCTAAGACAAGAAGATTTCAAGGGTGAATTCTACCAAGCATCCATACCAGAATTAACTCCAATCCTTTAAAACTTTTCTCAAAAATTGAAGAGGAGAGAATACTTTCAAATTACTTTAATAAAGAATTTGATGAGGTGAGTGTTACCCTCATACCAAAGCCAGATTACACTATTAGAAAAGAAAACTAGAGACCAATCTCTTTGGTAAGCGTAGATGCAAAAATTCTCAACAGAATATGATCAGTAAATTTGACAGCACATTAAAAGGATCATGTACCATGATCAAGTCGGATTTATGCTTACAGTGCAAGGATGATTCAGTGTAGGTGAATTAATAGGCATGATGCATCACATTAACAAAATGTAGAATAAAAATCCTATGATTATATCGAGAGATATAGAAAAAAAATGACAAAATTCAACTTGTTTTTATCATAAAAACCCCCATGAAATTAAATCCAGATGGGATGTACTTCAACATAATAAAGGCCGTATATGAGAAGTCCACAGAAAACCTCAGACTTGATAAAAAGCTGAAAGTCTTTCTTCAAGATCAGGAACCAGACAACAATGTACACTCTCACCACTTCTACTTAAGATTGTACTAGAATTCCTAGCAAAAGTAATTAGAGAAGAAAAAGAAAAAAAAATTTTAAATTAGAAATGAAAGTCAAATTCTCTCTCTTGGCAAATGGCATAATCCTAT
This sequence comes from Homo sapiens, assembly GCF_000001405.40. Lineage (NCBI taxonomy): Eukaryota > Metazoa > Chordata > Mammalia > Primates > Hominidae > Homo > Homo sapiens. The sequence goes on along the minus strand of NC_000005.10, from coordinate 4,390,338 downwards.
GTAAAGAAATCATTAAAGCTACTAAATGAATAAAATAAACTTGCAAGATATAAAATCAATGCACAAAAATGTGTTGCATTTCTATACAGTAAGAATGTACTCTAAAAAATTAAGAAAACAATTCCATGCACAATAGTATAAAAAAGAATAAAACATTTAAGAATAAATTTAACAACGGAGATGAAAAATCTGTACACTGAAAACTATAAGATACGAATAAATGAAATTGAAAAAGAGAGAAATAAATGGAAAGATATCCTTTGTTCATGGACTGAAAAAACTAATGTTGTTATAATGCACATATTACCCAAAACCATCTATAGTTCAATGCAATCCCTATCAAAATTATAATGTGCTAGGATGAATACCTGGGTGATGAAATAATCCATACAACAAGCCCCCATGACACAAGTTTACCTATGTAGGAAACCTGCACATGTACCCATAAACTTAAAATAAAAGTTAAAATGAATAAATGTTTCAAAGCATTTTAACAGTTTCATAAAAAAGAAAAAACTTAACATTTAATATCTTCATATTAAATATTTTCATAAAAAAGAAAAAAACTAAAATTAATATGTAGCTACAGGAGACTCTTAATAATTAAAACAATCATAAAAGTTGTTAGAGGCATCACACTTTCTAATTTAAAACTATGTTACAAAGCTACAGTAATCAAACACTATGGTAATTGCATACAAACAGATACAAACCAATGGAATAAAACCCAGATACAAATTCATGCATATAGAGTCAACTAATCTTTGACAGGTGACCAAGAATACACCAGGGGGAAATAAAGTCTCTTTAATAAATGGTGTTGGGAAAACTGGATATCTACATGCAAAATATTGAAACAGGGCCCTTGCCTTACACCATACACAAAAAAGTTGTTAGCTGGAAATAGATTAAAGACTTAAATGTAAGACCTGTCACCATAAAACTCTTACAAAGAAAATAAAGAAAAATCTACTTGATTATCCATAGAGGATAATCCTATATTAAGATCTCTTCTTAACAGAATCAGATTTCCATGTTTCCTATGTGTTTCCTTTAGAAATGATGTTTCTATTAAAAGTTACCTTGTTTTACATTGACAACATGCAATTTAGAAAAAATAATGAAGAAATTATTTTTATTTCCAGATCATTTCCAGAGATCACTTTATCTCTGAAAGATTTGTCATTGGCTGACTTTCATCTTTGATTATTGATGTGATGAGGAAGATGTCTACAACTGTTATTCCTTTTAAAATGTCATGTCAGAGATCTTCCTTACAGAACAAGTCCAGGTACAGTCTGTAGACATATCCCTCCAGAAAGTGCACTTCATCTGTCTCTCTCAGCTGAGTGTAGGTAACACTTAGGGACTGCCTTGCAAACAGCAGTGCTTGGAAAAGAGAACTTCATGACCTGTGGTGGAGAAGCCTGGAAGCCCTACCTGAGGCCAGTAGCCAAGGCTGCCCTGAACAGGATGCCACATACCCACCATGCAACCTCTGAACGACGTGATGGGAAGGCCCCTCACCGTGGTGATCTTCTTCTCTAAATCCCATAACTTTAGTTTCATGATAAGAAAACATCAGACAGACCCAAACTGGAGGACACACTACAAAATACTATACCAGTTACTCTTCAATAGTCTCAAGACTATGAAAAACAAAGGAAGATTGTGACACTATCATAAATTAGAGGATGCTAAGGAGACACAATGAACAAGGCACTGTGTGATTCTAGATTGGATCCTGGAACAGAAAAGAATACTAGTAGAAAAACTGCTAAAATTCAAATACAGTTTGCAGTTTACTAATAGTTTTGAGTATAATTTGCTTAGTTTTGACAAATGTGACATCTTTATGTAACATGTTAACATGAGGGAAATCTGAGAAAACAATATACAGCAGCTCTTTGTGTTAAAGAAATACATTTTACTGTGTATATTTAAGGTATACCACATAATGTTATAAGATATGTAACAATAAAATGGTTACGATAGTGGAACAAATTAACAGATGCATCATATCTAAGGTAGTTATGCTTTCTTCCCACTGTGGCAAGAGCAGCTACAATCTACTCACTTAGCAAAAATCCTGAATACAGTACACTTATCAACTGTACTCCTCATATTTTACTTTAGATCTTTGGACTTGTTCATCTTACATATCTGTCACTTTGTATTCTTTGACCTGCACCTTCCCATTTTCTCCTCCAGATCCCCTACGCTTAGACGTTGGTAACCATTGTTTTATTTACTCTCCATTTCTTTTTTTCTAAATCTAAATGTATTTTATAAAAAAGGATTTAAAAAATGTTATGTGGCATTGGTTGCCTTACTAATTAAAACATTGAGTAGACATCTAGCTTTGCGGTTTAAGAATAAATTACGAATCTCTTTCTAACTGCCCTTTCCAAGTTAAACCAGTTTTAGTTATGTATTAATTTAGCATGCTTAAATGTTTTTTTAAAAAATGTCATGTGCAACTGAAGACACAGACTGGAACAATTGTTGTTTGGTTTAGAGATTAGCACAAAGAAAAACAGCAACATTGTAATGCCTCCAGACACACCTTGATGAAAATCGAATCGTCTTTTGGTTTTACTAAATTGAGTATGGAGGTCAAAAGGAGTTTATCATCTGTCTGATAAAATGTCCAGGAGGCTTCCAAGTTCACTTTCTTGTGCTGTTTCATGATGATCTTCCCAACATTGCAGAATTAAGCAGAGAGCCAACAATGTGAAGAATCCTGACTGAGGCTAACCGCAAGTTTCATAAATCAGACAATTAATCCTCTGAATACAGAACTCATTCACATTTTTTCTGTACTTTTCTTTTATCACCTCTTTGTCATGTATGATTCTCATTGAAAAGGTCTAATACTTGTGGCTAGGGATCATCCATTTAGGCGGCCTTCCAGGAGGTGTCCCTGACCAATGGAGACATTTGAGAAGCAGCCCACGTAAACCATGTACTCCAATCCAAATATCCCAGCCAGGGTTTGTGAAGAGCTCAAGTCAAGTCTATTTCAGTGCATAAAGGGATTTTGCTAACTGAAGTTCATCTGGACTTCACATTGTATTACAATGTTGGAATCCAGTTTAATTACCCACTGATCTAAATTTAGGTTGATTATCACAATATCACCACACTATGGGGTAGGGTTGGGGGTGCCACCTGTTTTTCCTAAATAAAACATATTAAAATACGTCATTGATTCCAGCCTGCACATTGTGAGGTATAGAGAGACAGCTAATACAAAGGCATGACTCATAAACTGCCTGTGATAAAATAATTATATATAACATAATTACATCAGGCAGCAGATATTAAAAAGAAAACCTGTGCTTACATTGGTTTAGGGACAATTAATGGATCAATTTTAAAAGTAGAACATAATATTCAGCAATTTTGAAATTTTAATTGAAGTATAGCTAAAGAAATTATAACATCCGGTAAGTAGTGTAATTGTGCAGATTAAATTTTATTTTGTGCTTTTTAATTCCCCATTATGTTATTGAACTTAAACATGTATTTTAAGGGTTTCACCGAGATGATTGGATTTAGAATCATTGTGCAGAATAACAATAAAGTTAAATGACCTATTTAAATCCCAGATAAAGGTCTTATTCTCTAGAATAGATGGTTTTCAAAGCCCTTAGGCACAAAATTAAATAGACCAAGGAAATAACAGATTCAAATATATACATTGACATAACTGATGAATCTGACAGTCTATCACATCAAATTTTCTATATTTCTTTCAAAAGTCTTAGAGGTAAATTGAATACTCTACTGATTGTTAAGCAAGGCTTTAAAAACTAAAATTGTGCTCTATATTCTTAGTTAAATTTTAATGGCCCATTTCATTAGAATCATATATATCCATCGCTTCCAGACAAAAAATGTCCTCCCTCCTGAGAAGTCAGATACTGCATTGGCTGAATCATCTCCTCAGCTGTAATGACTTTTCTCATTTGCAGGTGCAAAATAAAGTGCCCAGCCTAGACTTGCTCCACTTCACACTGAACAATATATTTCAAGGAATGGCATGAACCTTGGCCAAATATTTCAGTCTTCTAAATTACTCATATTACAAAACTACCATGGCCCTGGTCTCTGAAAATATGCCTCTTGTACAAAACTTTTAATTAAGTTCCTGTTTTTTATGCACCTTCTATTAGTTTAATAATATGAAATCCAGATGAACTGAAACCAGTACTGACTGGTTTAATTGCCTTCTTCTGGTCAGGAGCATTTCTAGTGAATGTGTTGTAGACACTCAGGCTTTCCTGTGGAAACACAGTGTAAAAGAAGGTAAAGGAAAATTATTGTATTAGGATGAGGGAAGAAGCCTCATGACAGGTTCCACCTGGGTCCCTTACATTGTGAGTGAGCCGTTCCGGGAGGGTTTTCTCCCTTTGCTGGGAGGAAGTCAGAAGGGCTTCCTGTGTGCCTCAGCATTCCTACTGACATGGCTGCTACAACAGCCCCATCAGGTTTCAGTACGAAAACACAGGCTATTGGAGCAAGTGCTCCAAAAACATCCAAGTAGGCCCCTGCCACACGCTCCCCAAATAATCAAATGAATTAATAATCAAGGGAAGAAGAGGGGCAAAGAAGGCAGTGCCCATGGTCCCTCTGGAAAATATTGGAGATAATAGTTTTGAATATGAAGAACCAGGCGCAGCCTCACACACCTAGGAAACCTCCCAGAAGCTGTGTAGACCAGACTAGTGTGGTCTCTGGGATGGGATCCTGGAACAAAGGAAAGCAACCGGTGGAAAAACTATTGATATTTGAATAAGTTCTGGCATTTGGTTAATTGAAATGTTCCGGTGTTGTTCCCATAGTTGTGACAAATGCATTATGATAAATAAAATGTTAACAATAAGGAAACCAAGCAAGCAATATATATGGACCCTGTACTACCTTTGCAACACTTGGTAAATCTAAAATTATTTTAAAATAAAAAGTTTATTTTAAAAGGCTACAGCTGTCCTATTAATATAGAAAATGCCACATGGAAATTGACGCATGGAATACATGATACTCAGGAGCTCTTTGCGTAAGAAGTCTTACCTGGATAGATAAGTAAAAACGTAATTAACCGTTACCAAAAAATTCTAGAACCCCCCCCCCCCTCACTGAAACACCTAGCCTACCAAAAACGGAAGCAACAAAACTTCCTGTTGTCTACACTGCAACACAATGTCTGTATAATATTTTGGGAATGAAAAGTGTTGCTATCAATAAACTCAAAAATATAAGCATTCAGTAAAACTTCAAGTACAACCTGGACAAGATGCCCTACTGGTTTGGTTTTAGGACCTCTTATACATTTAATGACACTCAAGAAGCGATTAGCAGATTTACAAATGCCAGAGGATCTGTGTCTTTGCATACACAGAACTCTACCTTGAAGATTCGCGCAACTCCTCACCAAGATGACTCATTTCATAGCAGGAAATGCCCGGACTGTAATGCATTCCTTCACTAGATGAGCATTTACTGCATACCTACTATGTGAATGGCAAAATGACCACTGGGATACAAAGGTTAATAAAAGATCCCCCTGTCCTCGAGGTGCAATTTCTTGGCATAAAAAGGGGACATATAAAATGACAAATATCAGTCCACCAGGAGGCTAGAAATATGGACATGAGCCCACATTCACTGACGAGTTACATCAGTGCAAAGAAAACATTTGATGTCAGCACAATGGGAAAAAACAAACCATTCTGGTTTTGAAACAAAGCAACTCAGCCTGTGAACACAGCCTATTTCTCATTTTTTTCTGATATTAGAGAAGACTATATTTGTGTCTGCAGCACATTGTCAGAACAAGGCAAACACACTGTTATGAAGCATGTTGAGGCTTTCAAATTAATGAAATTATAAAAATTGAAGTCTTCAGTGCATCCTCGGTTGATAGTATTTACGATATGCATTTATCGTTAACCACTGAATAAATTCAGATTTTGAAAATTCACAAGAAGTAGAGATAGCTAATTTGGCCCTATGTAAGTGGAATACTATTCCATTTTTTGACTACCCAAAGCCTGAGGTGACCATAATACCCTTTAAATGTTTGATGTGGGGTTTTAAAAGCTTCTGGTTTAAGGAATCGATCCAACCAGGACATTTTCATAATGAAGTTCCTGTCCAGCCTGGAATTTCTGATGCTGGTGAGATAGACAAGGGCAAATATGGAGTCCCTCGTGTCCCCCACTTTAGCATGGCTTCACCTGCTTGTTTTCTTCTCATTCCGGCTGTATTTTTGCTGAACCTAAACCGATAATAATGATCTCCTTACATGGCCTGTTGTGTATATCTGTCATATTAAAATCTGGGCTGTTTGCTTATCATGCTGTGATCTATAGCTTTCTATTAATTTAATTATACTAAAAGATCTTAAAAGCCTTGGGCTAAGTAACATGTCAATTAGAAATGAGTTTAACTTGGAATAAATATACATTTAATACTTATAATTTATTGCTTTAAATACAAACAAAGCCCTCACTATGACACAATCTATTATTAATTGCTCCAATGACCGGAGCCCAGTTAAGTAAATCCATTTATATTTTCTTCAGAGAAAGTCAATGTTCATTTCTCATAGGAACTACTAGATGCCTACATTTTCCTTTCTCATAAACTAGTAAGGCTACAAAGCGCATTTGTGTGTAGTGAACTGTCACGTGGAAGTCAGGGGAGGTGGGAGAGCCAGTAGCCGGGCTCTACTCTCTTGGAAAAAGGTAACACCCAGACCAATGTCAGGCTTGTTTAAGTGTTTTCACAAATAAAATATGATTAGACCTGATTACAGACTAATTAACTGCCCTTTTATGAATGTTGTCGACTCTCAGTGAATATAATTCAGGTATGCATCTTAAACTGCTATAGAATGTTCTCAGCAATTACACTTGGCCTGCAAACAACTCTACTGCTAGCTTTGTTTTTTTGGGTTGGGTATAAAAAGTTGCATGTAAAAATGTCAGTCTCACTGCTGAGAATAGATAGTTAATGCCAGAGGTCACATTTTTATGGGAAAAGTTGTAAATCTCTGAGAAATAACATTTATAGTGGAAACACTGACACAATATTTTATGTACTCACGCTGTTCACAAAAGAAAGAATTTAGGAGTTTAGAAATTTTAATGTGTGACACTATAAACAAACGTACACAAATCCACTTTCAACGGTTCCTGTTATTTTAAACCCTCCCCCCAAATCTGGGAATTTTTTTATATCTTTGTCATGTATTGTTTGTGATCATCCACTGAAAATTGTCTTCCAAACATAATTTATTTTAATTTAGGTAAAATTATTATATTTTATTATCAAATATTCTAAACATTATTTTGTTTTCCAACATGACGCATACCAGATACCTCTAAAATTTCTATTACAGCTTAGTAAGAATTTCATTCTGTGTGATCTCGTGTGTGATCTTAGTTTATCAGTTGAGGCATTTGGCTATTTGCTGCAAAACATCACCATGTCCCTGAGTCTCCTCAGGGTGGCACACCATCATGCTTAGGAAGGCAGGCTCTGGGGCACTCGACCCTCAATCCATGACCCTATCTTTCATCTGGAAATGATGACAGTAACACCTATCATGGCATGGCATTAGATACAAAGAGAGCCATTCAAAATACTTAGCAAGAAAGTAGCTACCAATCAACTGTAGATATCACTTACCTAAGCAAGTGTTCATACCTACATAGAATTTAGGGACCTGGAAGGTGTATATTCAGCATCATGTTTTTCAGGCTAAAGTTTAACTCCTATGTGTGGCTTTTGCAGGTGCAACTTTAAAGTCTGTGTCTTTCATATCTAATAAAGATGAAAAAAAATGTTTGAAAGGTAGATGTCAGCTTTCCCAATTTAATATTCTACTTACTGGAATATTAATTTAATGTCTTCATCTAAAACCTTGAGAATACATTGTCAAATAAAAAAAAAAAGGAAAAGAAAAGAAAAGCATCTCCAAAGAGGCAGAACAACTCAGAGGGTGGACAAGACCTTACTATGTCAAACCGATATCCATTGAAAAGACAGAAGAGACATTTTTTTTTTGTCCTGGACCATCAGAAACTGAACAGAAATTTCTTGGATGTTCAGATTCCACTGGTGAGAGCTGAAGATTATCCTGTTAGAATGAAATGATGCCCAGATTAACTCATTCAATGATGTCTGGATTAACTTTTTTAACATATCAGATTAACATACATCCTTAAAAATAGTGGTTTCCACACTGTTTTATTTTATGTGCTCATTATAAAATGTAAGTGCATATCAATGGCAATATTCTTACACATGAAATATTTAAATTTTAAACTTCCATAGAAAGATACGTATTGCATTTATCATTGTGTTGGATTTTGTTTATCGTTGTGTTTGTTTGACAAGCATTGAGAAGACTACAACTCTTTCCTGAAGAGCAAAAGGAGTCCATCTTTACTGATTTTTAAATGTAGATTAAATGGGAAAGCTTCTGAAGAAAGGCAGAGAGAAGTTGTTTCAGTTCAGCTATTCTAAAGGAAGTTCTGTGTAGTGCCTAAAGTGAGAAATGCATTGTTCAATGGCATAGATATTAAAAAAAACACCTAAAAAACAATCAATTGCTTCGAAACTCATGGTAATGTATGCATTCATGGAAATTACCACGGTAAGAGAAAAGAAATTCTAAAATGTGTCTAGTATTGCAACGATACAAAGAAGTGATTGGGTAAAACTCAGTCATTTATCAACCGGTTGTATGCTTTCTTGGAGGATAAGGTTTCCAATATTCCTAGGACTATTGCCATACTTATAAAATTAGATTACATGTAATTTATGCACAAAAATAAAATACAAACAGTGTTTATAAATATAACAAATTAATAAAATTCAAATGTATCACTGAAATATATCATGATTTTATTTTAAATTACTTCAATTTAAATGAGGTGAAAGCTTTATAACTCAATAAACTCATTTACTATTAGAAAAACATCTTCAACAGAAACAAGCATTACAAATGGAATCGTTTGCTTATAATAAACCTGCATACATCTGTATGTGTGCACATTCACACATATCCACACTGAGAGTTATGTGACCTATGGAATATGTCTGCATACAATTCACAAGAATGAACCATGTGATAGCTCCACGTTTAACCCTCTCAGAAGCACTGGAGTAGTAATGCTCCCTAGGTACCTAATAGGGGAAGTAGCAATGCATTCAAAGCACTCTAGTCTCAGGATGGAGCTGAGATTTGAACCTGATCTCTCTGGCCATGAATGCTGAATGCTAGGTGCCGTGCCCATCTGCCCATCAGTCTGAAGGTACATAGTCCTTAACCATGTGTAGACATGGGCATTGGCCCAGATACCAGATACCTGCACCCTGAGATGATTATTCACATTGCATTTTTTTCTGCTTCTAATATTTAAATTCCATTCTTATGTTAAGAGACTATAACTGTTTATTCAACTAGTAACATCCAACCTTATCTAAATGGTGATACCCAATTCTGGCCTATAAAAGTGCACACTCTGATAAAACAACCTACAGTGATTTATAAAACTGGCATATATGTTCATTAATAGTCTATTTGAATTTGTTTATAAATATTTCCACACAAAATGTTCGCATAACCATATCTGTATCTGTGAATGCACATATATTTTCCTCTCCATGAATTAGAGATAGCTCTGAGTGTGTGAGGGAATGCAAACGGGATCTGGTCTATGTCAAAGAAATAGAATTGCACAGGCAGAGAGGAAAGTCAGGGAGCCCCACTGAACAATAAAATATTCACAAAGTAAAGCCCACACCACAAATAATTGAATTAAACAATGGTGATACAGACAGGGGCACTGTCTGGGGATTAATGATCAGCTGGGAGAGTTGATCGTCCGAGAAGGGCATCAATCCCCCAGAAAATACCCTGCACCAAGGTCACGGTGACTATAAGAACCCATTCTTTTTTGCAGTGGAGGCTTTAAAAATCCTTAATTTTTCTTGGTTTCCTGCCGTATTATCATTCCTTCAGGTGATTGTGGGAGAGATGACTTTGAATGATGCCAGATTGAACTTACTATTTCAGAATAATTGATCTCCAAGGCATCAACCAATCAAACACATTCTTCCAGAGTGGAATATTTTATCTGGGCTGAGTAATATTTCTGAGTTTTTCAAATCATGAAAATGTAGTAAACCCTTGAATAAAATTTGTGCTTTATGCTGAACCATAATGCGTTTGGAAGAAGATGTTATTAAACATATAGTCTTAGTTTTCATTGTCATTCAAAATGGGAATAAGGACACAAACCACACAATTAGTGAACTTTACTTGCAACTTCTCATCATGTCGTTTGTATATAAAATCTATATAGATTTTTGTATATAGATTTTTATGTACAAATGACATGATGAGAAGTTGCAAGTAAAGTACACAATTAAATCTGAACACTACATTGTAAAAATATTTATAAATAAAAATGTGTAATGACTTTTCAAAATCACAAGTTTGCATAATTGAATTTTTTAAAATCATTATCTACCAAGACATATTCATTATCCATTAGTAACATATGTCTTGTTTATGTACTTGTCAATAAATAATACAATAAAACAACGTTACAAAAAATACAACAGTAATTACTGTTTGCAAAATTCGGTCTAAGTTTGGAATTTAACAAGTTGGATTTTTTTCAAATTAAAATTTTCACTTGAATGATGGTGTCTTAAACTTTTACTAGTTGGCGGTATTTTCTGTGCTGTTTCAGATTTTCGTAGTCTTTTATGTCTCCAGCGTCCTTCATCCTGAAGATTACAGGACAATACCAGAGACCCTGGCAGAAGGGCACAGATCTGGCTTCCCGGAGACTGCTAAAGGCTCCAGGTGAGGCAACCCAGCGGTGCGGGGGAGTTACCGCCACAGGGAGCAGACTTTCAACCAAAGAAGTCCTCAAAAAGAGGCAGAAAGCTACAACGACTCTCTCTCCATTCCTCCCCTCAAGGGACTGGTCACCCAACAGACTAATTTTCCTCACGAAGCAGTGACCCCATGTGCAGAATTTCCTGGTGCCCCACCCCTCCTTCCTGCCTTACTTTTCTTTGACTTCAACTACACATCTCTGGGACTGCACTCCCCAATCAAACAACAGCATCCAAGTCTTACCCTAGTCTTCTTTCCTAGGATCCCAGACCAAGAGAGGTCATACTCAGTTATGCAAGCTTAACAAAATGATACTCATGTTATCCATAAACTACAAAAGAGTTCTGAGTATGAGCAATTGTTTTTCTCAACTTTTGACATTTTCTTTTTTTCACAGAATTAGCAATTTTATTTATTCGTAGTGTATTTAAACCTAGATTGTAGGTAAAGTTGAACATTTGCGTATTTGGTTAATCAAATTATAATTTGAACATTACCTGCCTAATTTATTATTCTGTATTCTTTCAACCCCATCATGTTTCAATACCTTAGGTGATATGGGACTGAATTCTATCTATCCATGTTTGTGTCTGTTCCTGACTTTTCTTGGTTCATAGGCTTTTGAACAAAATAAAATAGTGTTTTAGCAGATACTACTAGTTTACTTTTTACCCATTCTCCCCCTCTGTGATGTAACAGAATCTAACTTAATGAACAGCAGCAATGTGTCCTCTTCTTCCTGGGTCCCTTTCAGATCGAGGGACCTGATGGGACATCTGCAGTTGTTGGGATTGGGCTGGTGACCATTCACTGCTTCCAAGCACCTTGACTTCCACCTTCTAGTTCTTCCAGCATATCCAGCACTTCAGGAGGTGACCTGTAGGAAACAGATAGAGACTGAGAGGGAGAGCCCAACAGATCATGGGGAGATGGGGTACGTATTCCTTCGGCTGCATCCCTTAACTGAACATCAGAGCTCTTGTCCAACAGCTGTCTCCATGCAGCCCTCTCTGTTTCCAACACTCCATAATTTCTAGTGTGCCAGCTTTTCTTGAAGAGAAGATTGAGATTAGACACCGAAGAGCATCCCTCCATTAATAGATGTTAATGAGTCTCTCTGGAGATGTGTCCAACTCCCGCAGTATGATCTCTTCATACTTGAAAATTATTATTTCTCTGTATTTTATTGCCTCTTTCTTCTTTAACTTGCATTTAAAAACATCAAGCCCTTCCATCTGTTCATCACATCAACATTTTTTCTTTTTCTCTTCCAAACTGTGGTTACTCAGCATTCTGTCTAAAAGCAGGCTGTTCCCCAACTTTCCCTGGGGAACTGAAGGCCCATGTGATTTCCCATGGAGTAATTTCCAAAATACACCTGCCACATTCTGTGTTCTAGGTCCTCAAGCTTGAGAGGCAATTTCTTTGAGTGTATCTAACTTAGCCTATTGCTCTAGAGGTAATGTAAGGCAGAACAAAAATGTTGTTCTTGTTTTTGTCATTGTTTTAATGTGGCTTTCCTCTGTTGGACTCTACTTATTTCCATAAAGGCACCTATAAGATCTTCTCCAGCCTGGCGACAGAGCCAGATTCTGTCAAAAAAAAAAAAAAAAAAAAAAAAGACACCTACAAGATCTTAATCAGTCAGTTAAAGTTACATCAGGCATGTTTAAAGAGAAATGTTAGAATAATCTATAGTCATGTTCACAAGGAAAGTCATTTTCTTCTGCTACTTTGAGATGGAAATTGGACCTGGATATTAGCCTGCCATTCAGGAATCTACACATGGCCTTTCTCTCTGAGTCCATTCAACTCACAATCTCTGTAGCACAGGGGAAAGCTGGCAGGACCTCGATAATCCCACATGATGAGTAGGCGGTAAGCACCCTCACCCTCAAAGAACCCCAAAGTAATATTCGGCCATCATGTCCAGATTTATCTACTGAAACATGATTTCAAATTTAGAAACTGGGTATTTAAACTGGTTGTTCTCAAATTTTTCTATTTTCCACATCAACAATAATTTTGCTCTTTTCTTTGAGGGTAACAAAAATACAGATCTGAAACTAAAATCAGGAAAGAGAGCCCCAGACTAAACACAATGAGTGCTACATTCACTGGGCATGGAAGGGCAGACCTACTTTTTCTTGGTCTTGGCTTGTTGAGAAGCTCTCTATGCAATGTCCTCAAGGCAGGGTGGTGGCCCAGCTCCTGTGACCTCTGCAAGTAACACCACCATCACCAACAACAATAATAATAAAAATAATACGTTTATTATTGATCAGTTTATTTGGCAGCATACTTTACTGATGCCAGAGTCCATAAAATTCTATTCTGTAAAATACTGCGAAATTCAGAGGAATTTTCCTATGAATAGCACTACGGTAAGTGTACTTACGAAATAGAACCTCATCCAGGGTGTTCTAATTTATCATATTAGTTTCACAAGCTAACAGTAATCAACTCTCATGAAAAATATTACGAGAGCAATTTATTTATATTTTGCAAGAAGGATTTCAACAACCATGCCTTTCAGCATATTGTTTATTTTTAACTTCATATTACAATCGTCATATAACAATATGATAATATGAGTATTGTAATCTCCTGCATTTCAAAATTCATCATGATCTTTAACTGCCAAGATCCTTTACAGGATGAACAGCTGCATGTTGAAGAGTGTTGGAATCCAAGTTACTTTTATGTTTTTTTGGGAGCAGCAGGTTAGTCACTACCTTTCCCCTACGCTGAATCTTGTCAAAGAAAATGACAAGAAAAAAGAAACAAAGCAAATACCAAACACACAAGTGAAAAGGGAACGCTGGAATGGAGTATGTGTTGACACAGAAGTGCTCTATGAAAGATTTCCACTCACTTCATTATAAACTGAAAATGCTACAGGAATCTTTTGCAAAGCTCTTCATGGGGGAACCTGCTAGGTACATTAGTTATTCCCTCTAAAAGAAGATTTTTTTGGAGGAAATTAATCCTCAGGCTGAATGCATGCCATATCATGTATAAACAAAGCAATTGTTTAGAAAGACTGAATTAAAGCAGAAGCAGTCCCTCACCTGGGATCCTGCATTCAGCCCAGACAGGTGATCTGTCCACTTCCGCCTCAGTCACCAAGGTCAGGACCCCCAGCTCAGCTTTGCACTTGCAGTCTGTCCCCTTCCACCCCTTTTCTAAACTGAAATAGGATCCTCTTTTCCAAACCAGTCTCTAAACCTGGACCATGACATCTGACTTTGTTACCAGATGCAGCTTGAGTCCACACTGTTCCAGTCTCACCCACCAACTGGATCCACCGATGGTTATTCTGTTACTACACCCTGTAGTTTCTCCTTTATTCACTTAGTTATTTATCTGTCCACCCATCCATTCATCAAAGGTCTGTCAAGCCTCCCTGACAACACTTTGTATTCACATTTGTAGACACAACAGCTGCCCAGTGAAAAGACAGAGAAGGCCTGAGCTCTCACCAACCTTTCCCTCTAGGGGAGGAGAAAGGAAATAGCCCAATTCAGAAATACCAACCTAAAGTGAAAGTAGCAAATGTCAGTGGGTAGAGCACAGGAAAAGGGCACCAAGCTTGGGTGGTTTCCGTCGATGGGGTGGGCAAGGAAGGCTTCTCTGAGAAGTAACACGGAGAGCTGAGATCTACGGAACAAGAAGGAAACAGCTGGGTACAGACGGGCATGGGGTACAGACGGGAGGCTTTCTGAAGAACCACAGCACAGTTTATAAGGCCGGGAAATGACTCTCATGTTCCCATGACAGAAAGAAGGCTGGTGGGACTGGAGGACTAGAATACAAGCTATAAGATGGGGTCACAATTTTAGACAAGGGCCAGATCGCACTGGGTTTGCTGTCAAGGGAAGACTGCATGTGTATAAAAGGAAGGCGTTGGAGGGCAGGGGCATTATCTGACAGTGACTTCAAAGTGACAATGGGGGGGCTAATTGGTCACAGATTCCTTAGAATATTTTGCTGTCACACAACCTGAAACATAGTTTGCATTTCCTACAAAGTACAGTGGTCCCCTTTTATCTAAGGGGCATCTAGTCCAAGAGCCCCAGTGATACTTAGAACTTCAAGTAGAACCAAACTCTCTATATACTGTTTTCTCCTGTGCGTATACCTCCTGATAAAGTTTAATTTACAAGTTAGGCCCAGTATTCTTGCATTTGGGGGCCATTATTAGGTCGAATAATTGCTATTTGAACACAAGCACTGAGATAACAGGACAGTCTTTCTGTAACCGAGAGGGCTGCTAAGTGACTCATGGGTGGGTAGGCGTAGATAGCATGGGTGTGCTGAACAAAGGGAGGAGTCATGTCCCAGGCGGGATGACACAGGAAGGCGTGAGATTTCATCACGCTACTCACCATTTAAAACTTCTGTATTTTTTATTTCTGGAATTTTCCATTTAACATTTTTGGATTGTAGTTGACCTGGTAACTGAAACCACAAAAAAATGAAACTGCAAATAAAGGGGGACGACTGTGTTACAAAACCCTTTGAAACAGTCATAAATGGCAAAATTTAAATAAAATTTGGAGACTGGGAAGCTGAGCGGTTCTGTGGTTGTTGTAAAGGATGTGATAGAAAATACATTCTCAATATTTTGTGTTTTTTTTAATTGAAAGCAAAATAACTTTTCTGCATTATTTTTTATTTTAAGAGAGTATCAGTTTGGGGCAACACATTTTGTACGTACGAGCATGACCTTTCAAGAGAGTTGGAAAAAATAGGAGAACATAGCAACCAACAGCCTAGGGAGAGGAAGCCTCACAGCTTATGTATGTGTCCT
Organism: Homo sapiens; assembly: GCF_000001405.40. Taxonomy (NCBI): domain Eukaryota; kingdom Metazoa; phylum Chordata; class Mammalia; order Primates; family Hominidae; genus Homo; species Homo sapiens. The sequence continues at coordinate 4,374,598 of NC_000005.10, read as the reverse complement.
AAACTTCGCAAAAACTGGTTTTGATTCTTTAGACATTTGTGTGGTTGTTGGAGTCACACGATGTTCTCTCCCCTTTCTCAATTTCACAGCTATGTTGCTCACATCGTGGACACCAGAGCAGTCTCTATAATTTGCTGTCATCATTTTTGAGAGTATGTGTATGAGGGAGTTGGTAAAATTTCCTGCAATGACTTTAGAAAATGTAGATACATTTTTTAACATTTCTAAAGAATTTTTATGTTTGTATCTTGTGAAAGATTAACATTTACAAATAAGAAAACATAGAATTTGTTGTAGATTACTCTTACCATTTCTTTCTTGAGTACAAATTCTTGTCTTGAGCCATTTTTTTTCCAAATGAATGAATTGGCCAACAGGCTGAAGTGAACAGACATAGGTATAGGAATACTTTTGTGAAGTTGCCTTGCAGTCAGGATTCAGAGAATTCATACATATCCTACTTATATTTGAAAAGGCAGTGGCATAAGAACTATAAATTTGCAAGTGATTATTTTTAACACATTAATTGTAGGGTTCTGCATCCACTTGAGCAATAAAATATTGTTTCCAAATTCATCTATTTCCACTGGGCATATTAAGGGGAAAAATTCTGGCTTTGTCTGCAAAGGCGCTATCTGACAATTATGTAGTTAACATTTTGAATGCAATAAAAAGAGATAATTCAGAACAGACAACATCACTTTGTACTACAAAGTCTTGTAGCCTATGCTATTTTTGTGGTTCAAATTCAGCTCTTTTATTTATTTAATCCTTAATTATTTGCACTAGTTTCTTAGCCATCCAGCCATCATGAACTTATTCCTATGTTGATAGTTCCTGCCAACTGTTTCACACATGGAGAATATTATTAGGAACATACTCTAAATTTAATACACAGCTACAACTATTTTGCTTTCATTATGTGTGGTAATATCCATAAATAGATGCTTCGTTGTTGGCACTTACTGCTCCTCTCTCCCCGCTTGCATTGCCGAATTATGGCTCTCACTTGAATAATTTGGCAAATGCTTGTATAGCGTCTTCAATTAAAAATAAATAAAGCAGAAGAATGTTCTTTCTGTACTCCTCAGCCTTAAAAAAAGAATGTTATCCCTTAGATCTATTAAAGGAATCATTCCAAGCCTTTTCTTTCCAATGTAATTTTTCTTAGGGCAAATTAAAAATGTGTGGTATCTAATCCAAATAAATATTATGCCTTTCAACCCCCACACTTCCTATTGCATAAACTTTGCAAACAATTGTTTCATACAATTTTACCAAGCTTGGACACTGAGAGTCTGTGTCCTCTCTCCTTTACCACAGTCCCCAGTGCTGTGTAGGGCACCTGCAATTCCCCCAGTGTGACTCAGCTCCTCCAGATCTTCACCCCTTAGGAGTCCAGTGGTCTGTGAACCTGCATCAGACTGAAATAAGCTCAATCCCCTTCTAAGTTGATGCTAGAAAAAATTATCACTTACCCTCACTGCACGTCAGTCCATTTGTTTACACATGGGATCGAGGTGAATACTGAGGTTTTATTCTACCCTAATTGGAATTGTTTTGAAGTTATATTCTTTTTACAGACTAGAGGTTTTACTGATGTTTGACATAAGTAGAAGGCAACAAAAAGAAAATAGCTATTGAATCTCAGAGATGTTATGTCATACTGTGAACTTTTGACATTAAAAAGCCATGGGCTAACTGTCCTAACCACCGTAGTAAGAAAAATTATAAGCAGGAAAGTTATTTTACATTAAAAGCAATTTAAAAAAAATCATGTGAGAATTCAGGAGAGAGTGGGATACAAGAAAAGGTCTGTCTCCTTCTGAAATAAACTATTCTGGGTACGTATAACCTTTTGTTCAATTTTATAACCCTGTCTCACATGTTGAACTGAGAGGCTTGGGTATTAACCACAGAAGGATCAAAAGGTTCCCAGAATCTGACTCAGAGGAGCAGAACTGACCATCCTCATGGAATGCTTCCATAATTTCTTCATCAAAGAAAGGTTCTGCTTTTCTATGAAATAGCTTTTACCACCCATCTCATCAAAAGTTCAGGAGTAATTAATTTTCTTTCTAAGTTGGGAATTCACCTGCATTTTGGCAGGTGATATTGTAGAGGCAGGGAGGTCTTATGATCACACCAGGGTGATGTATGGTAAGGGAGGGGGTAGGGTATTTACGCACCTCACAGGCAAGTTGACTTGCCCCAAGTCTCAGAGGGTTAGGCCAGAAAATCCAGGAGGCCTAACTCTCAGGACACAGGAAGGGATATAAAAAATTTCTTGAATAATGGGAAGAACACTGAATTCTGGAAATCATATTTCTGCTGATCCACCAACTTAAAAAAATATATTTCCTCAAGATAAATTAAATTAGGCTTATAAATTATTGTCTAAAAATGGAGCAGAAAAGCAAGAATCAAAGGAGATGAAAAGAACAAGTAGAGTTTATGTTATCTTTAAAATGATTTTTGTGATGGCTGTGTTAGATTCTAGTCTGTATCAACTCTAACTCGAGGTAAAAGATTCACCAGTTGTTGAGACTAAGTCCCTGCATTGATGGCCACTCATTCTCAGCTGCCATTTTTTCTGTTCTATAGAAGATGCCCTTGTGTAATATGTTTGATAAATGTCCTTAAAGTGTGCTTCTCAATATATTCACTGAACTGCAGTTTCTACAACTGGAGTCAATTCAAATTCTAAGCTAGATTTCTAAGCAAACATGCAAAGAATATTTTTAGATCAAGGGATTCCAGAAGGATGTAAATTGTACAGAGAGAGCTGGGTACTTGGATCTGAATGGAAGAAGCATGGAATAGGGATGTGCAGGGGCCTGGGGGAGGAAGACCTGGATGGTTGAGCCCATCTGTTCCTTGATTTCCTCTTAAGTTTAAAGAGTTAGGGATAAACACGCAGTTTGCTTAAGGCTGGCTGCATGCGGTGCACACCAAGCTATACACTAGTAACTGTCAGTAATGACACCAGCATATCTGATGCTGTGGGGCTCCCTCCCTTGTTCCTGGGCAGTGAATCCAAGAGGAATCATGTTAGGAAAACTCAGAGACAGTGTGTCTTGAACACCTGTGTGTCAGGAAGCGGACCAAATGCTTCGCATATGCCAATTCACTTGACTTTTCACACCAACCGCATGAGCTAATTACTTGCTTTATTACTGATTTACAGGTTAGGAAACTGAGGCATGGAGAGATTGATTATCTTGCCCAGAAAATGTGCTAGTAAGCATCAGAGACAGAACATGAATGCAATCATCTGGGCTCCAGAATATGCACTATTATTAACTATACACCACCATGTACTGCAGAAAATTGTCTAAAGCTGAATTTGATTTTAAAATCAAATTTTAATAGGTGATCGTTTGTAATCTAAAAGAAATCTAAAAAATTATTTGTTAGTATAGTGTTATTACGGTTAGCATTATTTGTCAGCATGACCTTTCATAAGAAAATCATTTTATTCCTCTGTTTTTGTCAGTTTTTAAAAATGAAGGCCATAATACTTTTCCTGTAATAACTTACAAGACACTTACCAAAAAGTAAACACAGAAAAATTTGTCATAGTGAAAACAGTAGCATAGACCTTAGCCTTCATCCTCAGCATCATATAAAGTAAGTTTTATGCTGGCTACGGTAGGTAACCATGAAACAATATTTTGCTTCAATTTGTGAATAAGGTACTAAATATGTGGCTGTGATGTAAAGAAAGCGTCTATCTAGCCCCTGCAAGACTCAAGGAACCAGGCTTGAGTGTCTTTGAGCGAGGATTAGTTTCTTGCTGTTGCTTGAATAAAAACTTGGGATGTAGTCCAGTTGATTCTGCCAGCCCATAGCACCATGTTGTAGCAACAGTTTTGATCAACTTTGTCAATTCAAATTCAGTACAGGTTTTAAATAGAGGACGTAAAACAAAATGGCAACATACGCTTTTTGCTATAGAAAAAAGAGAATTAGGAAGCAGAGGAGGAGAAGAAAAAAGAGAAAAACGGATGTTCTCTGCTACGCCCTGTTGGCTGCTCATCTTACTGTTGATACTGGCTTTCCGTAGGTGCTCGGAGGGGGGTGACAATAGCCCTACTGTTGCCCCCTTTCCTGCTCTGAACCCAGCATTGATGATTTAAGGAGCCCGAGGGGATACTCTTTCCTATCCCAAAAACAACATTCAGAATTTTCCTTCTGTGAATGTTTTCATGAATGAATTTGAAATGCTTTTGTTTTCAGGAACAGAAAGAACTATGTTGTGTGGACAGGGAACAATTACTCATTATTTTCCTCGTGAATCCTGCATTCTTCCTTGACTGAGACAAACCACATTTCACTTTTACCTAGAAGCTTCATTTCTTAGTCTCTGACTTTCAACACAAACTTTTCTTAACCTTTTTTTTCCCTTTGGGAAAGCGATTCCTTTTATCTCTCTTGGACATGGATGTCTGTAGGTCTTTCCATTTGCTTGACCAGTTTGTGAAAGAGAATAGGATTCTACAATTTTATCGGTAGATGCAATAAATTTCCAAATTAACACTTAAGTAGTGTATCATCATCAAATCTATGTTAAAACAGCAGAAACCAAAGTAATAAACAATAGGAAAAATTTTTAAAAAAGAACAGTTGTCATTTTACTAGTAGAAATGTAGGCTATCATCTACAGCCATGAGCAGGCATAACATGCCACTCTAACTCGAGGCATTCACAAGATACAGAAACTCATTTAAATAAAAAAATATTTGCTGGGACTTTCATTGAAAAACCTTATTTTCATTAGTGTTTCCCAGCCTGCTTCTTTTTTCTGGCAAAAGCCGCTATTAACTTAAGAATGAGTTTCTTACTCTGTCCCTAAACTAAGTAGTTGTTTTATCCAGAACCCAAATGTCACATACATAATAAATTTAGTCACTATAAGAAATTAAGGAAATAGACACCATGATTGAAATTTTCATAGAACCAAAGTACAGTATGTATTAATTCCAAGCATTTCTTGAAGCTGAATTCATCAGCTTGTACTTTTTGAAATACAACTGTTTTAGCTGAGAAATAAAATTTAGTTAAGCATGGACTTGATAGTCCAGTCAATGAACCCCAACATGAGGTAATTTGCCTACTCCCCCGGGGACATCTGGCAATCTTTGGAGACAGTTTTTCTTGTCACAACTGACAGGGGACAACTGCTCTCCCGTTGTGGGAGGCAGCGATGATGCTAAGGGACCTGCAGTGAGCTGAACAGCCCCACACAACAAAGAATCATTCGGTGCCAAATGTCAATGGTGCTGAAGTTGAGAAACTAGATCAAGGCCTTCAGTTCCTCTGGGCATGGCTACCTGGTGCTCCAGTTTTCAATTCTCTGCTGTGTAACTGACATTCTTCAGAGATGTGTGATCTAAAGGCCACTAACCTTACATTTTATGGGTAGTGAGACCAGTAACGTGATCTGGATTCTTCTTCCAAATTGTAGGAATGTGATGAGTGACAGAAGAGGGGCTTTGGAAGGCCTTCGATTGCCTTGATGGGTCAATGCCAGGCAGGAAATCCTCCATGTTCTCTTTGGGTTTGTATCCCTGAGAGTGCTTCTGAAAAAACTGAGGACAAGATGTGCCTGGCACTTCCTGACGCATGCCTCCCGCTTCCTGTAGGCACACATCTGGGAGAGCATAGTGTGAAGGGCAACACTCAGCAGCTTCACCTGAGCCTGGGCTCCACATACCATAGCCCACAGATCTGGGAAAACTGTGCTTTGCAACCCATGGTCTCTGACTTGGGGTTATTACCTTCATAAGAAGTATATGTTGTTTTAGATTCCTCCACATTTTCCAAAAAAGAGAAAAAGCAGTCTTCACAATCCAGCCCAAACTGGGATTTCTGGGGAGTGTTCTCTATGCTTTGGCTTCAGGAACAGCTTTCCACCCATGCAGAGGAAGTTTTAATGGAATTATGTCTCAACTCTATTTCACATTGGGTTATATTTAGAAAAACTGTTCTTCTTATATTCACTTTGAAGAAGTGTCTTCTTTGAAATTTTATCCCTCCTCAGAGAGATTTATACGTTCTTGGCCTTAATGACTGAGATTCCCTGGTGAGCCCTTCTGAGCTTTATATTCAGAGAGAATTGTATTTGCCACATTTACTTTAAATGATGGATCTTCATGTGGATGTCTCCCAAAGCCTTAAAGCAATAGATAGGCCTTGCAGAAATCAAATAAAGAAAACTAATGAATGAAAGAGCAGCCTTGATGTACTTGACAATCAATAATCTTTATTTTAGGACCTGATCAAAATCACAAAGGATGGGACTATTTAGGGAAACATAAAGTGAGTGTTAGATGGGTCTCCCAATGGAATGCTGGTTTCCGTGGTATATAAACAAAAAATACAGGAGCTACATTGAAAGAACTGACTTGTTTGTGGAAAGGCAGATTCATACGAAAAGATGAAAAGTGCTGCAGCCCACTGAGCAGTTTCAAATGTGAGCCTTCCTCTCAGCTCCTGACTGGCTTCTTTATGTTTAGTTGCTCTGCAACACTTTTAATTTTATTATTTTTATTTTTTATTATACTTTAAGTTCTGAGATACATGTGCCAATATGCAGGTTTGTTGCATAGGTATACATGTACCATGATGGTTTGCAGCACCCATTAACACGTCATCTACATTAGGTATTTCTTCAGGACTTTTCTTCTCAATTTAAGTTATGAAGTTGAGAATTTCCCATTGCAAGCCACATTTAGAGTAAAAGATTTTTATTCGAGTTCATGATACTGTAAGAAAGTGCCATATACTCCCTAAAATTGGCTAAAATTTTAAATTTTGATGCATAGAATAGGGCGCACTGCAGATGAAAGCATGGATGGACTCAGCTACTTAGAGGTCAAGTTGGAAATACATTTTGAAAAAAAAATGCATTCTAGCACGTAGCAATTTATGTTTTGACATCGACCACAGGGCAAAGTTGCACATGTGTAGGAAGAGTTTATAAGAGAATGGCTTCTGAGGTCAGAATGGGTCAATAAGCTATTTTGCAAGGGTATAATCTAGGAACTATCTTGAATTCATTGATTTCTCTTACCTTTGATGTCCAGTTTATCAGCAAATCCTCTAAAAGTTTTAGTTAAAAAATTAAAAAGTAAAACTGAAAGATGCTATTTAGAAGCTTTAAAAAATGAGATACAACGGTATGATGTAAAATAAGATGATCTCCAAGTTAGGAGATAAGGAAATTGCCATTGATTTTATACAATTACAGTTATTTTATTAAAAAGAAATCTATGTCTTTGCATCAGTTTATATCCTTGTATAGAAATGCATAAGAAAAGTCTAAAATTCAGCCCTCAACACTGCTATCCATGGCTTTTCCTGAAAATACTGAGGAAAGATGAAGGGCTTGCGTAAGGAAGATGCAGTTGAGGTGAAACTTGAGTAATGAAGAACAAGCTCTGTCAAGGTGGGAGGAAACAGCTTTCCAGGAAGATTATATAGCAAGAATAATGGCTGCTGGCTCTAAGGTCAGCAGCCCTTATTCTGGCTGTGTTCTCTTCCTGGAAATAATAAGTCAGCAAGGGCAAGGATATAGCTAAGCAAACAGAGGGCAAGGGAGGGTGGTCAGAGGTGGCCTAGGGACCAGCACGTTGGTAGGCAGGACTGCCTAGAGTTTGGATTCCACAATTCATAGAATGAAAGGCTGTTAGAGAGTGCTAAACACATGTGATTGAGATATATGATTTGACTCACAATATGAACAACTCACTCGACAGGGTGAGTCGGCACAGGGAGGCTGGCTGGCTCTGCCAGCTCTAGGTAAAAGATTACGGTGCCTCCTATGAGGGCCTAATGACTGGAGAGGGAGAGCAGTGATCATCCCAGGAATGTATTTAACAACAGAGAGGGGGATTTCTGTTATTGCTCTTCGGCTAATCACCATCCATCCACAATTAGTATTAAACCCCAGTGAAATATTGGGCTTATTTCACAAAAAGCATTACTGTAAGTTTTGTTCTGGTGCAGACCCACACTCCTGGGGAAAGTATACGTGAAAAGGGAGGAAGAAGGATGAAGAAAGAAATCCAAAATTTGGGCCTGAATATCTGGGTAAGGGGTGGTGCCATTTGCAGAGGTAAAGGATACTGGAGAAGATTGTCCCCTGCACTAGGGTCTTGTGGGCACAGTGAGTCTAAGCTGCGGGATACATAGATATGTAACTCAGAACTCATGAGAGGAACCCAGCTCAGCAATATGCTTTTTGCCACTACTGGTATAATTGGAAATACAATTTAATTTATGTTAAAAACATAAGAGACAACATTAAAGTGATTACTTGAAGTATAAGATCTATCTGGAGGTTTTATGCATTTGCTTGTTTTCTTGGCATGGTTATTTCTACCTCAATGCACACTAAATACCTCCGTGCTGTCTGTGAAAAATAATTGCATTTTTTTGTGGAGGTCATTAGAAATGTATGTATAAGTTAACACCGGAAACCACTGCATTTTTAAATATAAGAAATGGAGGAGAAAGCAGTAGTGGAACACAGGAAAAAAAAAAGAGCTGCTGATGAAAGCTCTGTAGATCTCAAAAAGTTGTCAATGAATCACCAGGTCTTTTGGGGATAACCAAAGCACTAGTAGACAAACTAGATACAGAAACCCAGGTAAATAATGTTTTAATTACTTGCAGAGGTTATTGTGGGTCTGTGCCAGAACAAAGCTCACAGTAATGCTTTTTGTGAAATAAGCCCAATATTTCATTGGGGTTTAATCGTAATTGTGTATAGATATGGTGATTAGCTAAAGTGCAATAAAGTTAAATTAAGCACAATGATTATCAATATTATTAAATGTAGATAAAAATGCCTACCTACAAAAGAAAAAAAGATTATGGTAGAGAGATATATTTCTGATATCTTTTCTACTGAAATTTTTATCTAGGAAAAATTCTCACTTCATCTGAAACTCTTCTCCATACCTTTACCAAGGGCGAAGGCCAAAAGATTGCTGGAAGAAAGACTAACAATATAAAGCCAGTGCAGCTTCATGCCTTTTTGCTGATTCCTGGTTATCTTTTAAATTTGAGACCCTATTTGTGGCTTGATTTAAAGCAGGGACTATCTATGAATACAGTGGAAAAGCTTTTATCCAGGAGTTTATACACTGAACACATCCGAACAGTGAAATTATTCTGAAATAATAATTAACCACGTAACAAAATAATGCCATTGTGTTAATTGAGAGAAAAAGACATCTCTTGGTGTAAATTCTTCATGATCATGAGATCCACGGGGCTATGGATGCAAGCAGGTGCCAGGCCATGGCACTGGATGCAGACTGAGTGGTGGGGATGGGAAGAAAGGAGTCGAAAACAAGTCTGTCAGAGGTCATTTCCTGTTGTAAATTCCACATAAATTTCATGGAGCACGGGCCATTTGTTTCAGAGCAGAAGATAACCGAAATGAAAAGGGAATTAGAGAAAGAAGTTCTAGCAAGAGTGACCTGGGGCTCTGATGCATCTTCCCGAAGCCGTTTCTGCCTGCACTGTCCTCTCCTTTTCTTTCTGAGGATGCTGCATCAAAACCTGGGAGCACACGCAATAGGCTCAGACAGCAAAGATTTCATTTTTAGGACAACGAGCCTGAATAGTGTTGGAATTTTAACTCTTGTGTGAGAATTGCTAAGTAAGTTGCATTTTAAAAAAACATTACTAGAAAGAATGTGTGTATTTTTTTCTATTTGAAATTAACCTGGATATCTTTGAGTGGGGCAAAATAAAGATGGATCTTGGATATATTCATACCCAGCAAAAGGTTTTATGAGACATGGGTTTTTGAATCTCATTTATTTCTCCCAATCTACTTTATATCTTCTATTGTACAAATCTTTATGAGACAAAACATTTCCTAAATAATTTTTCTCTACTGGATTCAAAATATGTGAATTCTGCAACATGTTAGTTCACAACAGCTCATATACTAAGCATCATTAGTGAATGATTTTCTAATATACTAACCAAGTCAGAATACTGGTTTTTGCAATCTGAAAGCTGTGAAGTTCACTTGCATTTCTTTAAAAGTACCAGGGAAACAGGATTCCCAGTTTTAACACGAACTCACACCGCCCCACTACACACACACACATCTGTTTCAGCCTAGGCATACACAGAGAATCATACTAGATGATTTGTTAATTGCTATTACATGTAGTATTATACATAGCCAATAGTTGGAGCTCATATCCATGTTGATTTTAACTCACCAAGAAAATAACAAAGGAAAAGTAGAACACTGGAGAAAAAAAAACAAAAAACAAAACAAGAGATTTACACATCCCAGGATATACTGAGATATTTTAGTCTTTGAGATGCCGGTAAAATTACAGAGTATCCGATAATAGCTATATCTGGTGCTTTCTTTGACTGATGAGAGCCAAGGAAGAGAAAGACAGAAAGATTAAGAAGACCTTAAAATCCATATGACTAAATAAAACGATCCTTATTTACTAACATCTCAGACTGTTGCCAGAGTAGCTGACAGCTACAGTGAATCACGGGGCTGGAGATGCACCGTTACGGCATGGAAAAGTAAATGTGTGGCAGTGAAAATAAAGATTTATTTTTAAATCAAATTAATAAATGAATGAGCTACAACAGATAAACAAAACCCTTTTTATTTATGAAGGCTGTTCTTCCAGCAAATAAATCAGAGAATGAGTTAGTAGTGGTTTGCTTGTTCCTCTCTAAATGTCATTAATGCCTCAACCTCTCTCTTTTTCTATTGAAACTTCAAATCTAAAGTTGCTTAAGCTTTTGCTCTACATAAGGGAAATGTCTTAAAACTCATAAACATGATGGTTACATATTTTCCTAGAAATAAATGAAGAACTTTTGCTCTATAGAAACATATTATATGCTGACAATATCTATGTCTTTTCCAAATTCAGTCTTCTCTACGTTTGCCAGCTTCTTGGCATAAGTCCTGGAAACTTTTATCCAATATATTAAAATGAAATAGTGTTTCTTCAATTGAAAAGGCTTTAGGTTACAAGACTGACTAATTAAGTAGAGTTAATATTGAACCCGTATTTTACTGTCAACATTTATTTGCTATAACATCACTGGCCTCTTTAAAAACAGCATGGCATTTAGAGTTATGGTTCTTATCTGGGGTCCTGCTGGATGATACAAACTGGAAAAAAAAGAGAGAGAAGAGAAGAGAATGTAAAGTAAAGGAAGAAGGAATGAAGAAAAGAAAGAAGGGGAGAAAGAAAGGAACGGAGACAGGAAGGAAAGCAGGAAGAAAGAAGGGGAGGGAGGGAGGGAGGAGGGAGGGAGGGAGGAGGGAGGGAGGGAGGGAGGAAGGAAGGAAAGAAAACTTATGGGCAATCTAGCTTCTATTATTAAAATAATGATCAGTCTTCAAGATGTGTTTCTGTTTGAATGGGATAAGGAAGTGATTCTTCTGAGCATTCTCTCAGAAGAGCTCTATATAGTACTGAAATGTCACGCTTCAGGAAAATCTGGCATCATAACTAAAAATCAGCATTTGCAAAACATTCTATAAGGTAAGACATGCTGCAGTTTTTTTTTCATATATTCCTAGTGAGCGTCCCCTTTGTGTTCAAAAATGGATTTAATTATTTTTTCATGTTATATGCATAATGTTTATGAAACAAATTATTGACTTCCATGACACATGAGCGCTCCCTTTAAGGCCAATTTGCCCCAGGCATAAAGAGAGGTCACCAGGGTTCCTTTCAACTCATTCTGTAGAGTGTTGGGCCCTGCCCCAGACAGTCAGCATTGGATTACAAATGAAATGACAGTTACAGAACATTTTAATACTTTCCTGATTCTCAAGTGCCTCTTTGTGATATTCACACTTATTTTTCCTGTCTTTCAAAAGAGTGTAGGACCTATTCCCTGACCATTATCTGAAGTGAACTGTGAATCAGGGACAGCTCAGGGTTACTATCTCAGCAAAGCATGTTTACCTGCACAGGGTGAAGCTACTCGAGAGAAAGATGCCTGAGGCCAGAGACTAGGGTGAATGGGTAATGCGGTTCTTCAGATGGGATTCATAACACATCTATCATATATTCAATAGACAAAATGTATATAGAAATATGATTCATATTTTAAAAATTAATAAAGGAACATGTTGCATTTTCATATTTTAGTGCTGTAATTCCCTGTTCAAAAAAAATGAACAAAATATCTTTCCATTGCACGCTCAAGAAGTTTTTACAGAGAAAGAAATGCATCAAGATAGAAAAATATAAGCCAGACAACAAAGAACAAAGCATCTCTCATGATATGTATTTCATTGCCTATATTGGATGATCATTCTCATCACAAATCAGGCACTGACATTCCAATGGCTTATTAGGGGAATGTGTAAAGCTTTTGAGCTCTGCACCATCCCTTTATTTTTTTTCTTTGTTGCATGTAATTCCGATTTCAGATAAGATCTGCTGCTCCATTTGCATCTATGAAACCAGCTTGGTAGAGAAGCCCACAGAGATATTTGTGGTTTGCTAGAGCTTAGAAATCAACAGAAAATTAAGACCAAGTGCTGAATGCGTGCCTGAAAATCTTTTTATAGATGAGCTCCAGGAACGCATATTCACTGAAGCATGCCCTTTGAAAACCCTATTCACTTATATGTCTTCCAGAACTATTGATGTATAACCCTCTTATAATAAGACTAGCTTTTGGGTACATACCATTAACATATGGTCAATGTAAATGACACAACTGCACAAACATGTTAACATACCTCAGAGCAGGCGTTCCCTTTATGTGGGTAGGGTTAGCTATTTGAACAGGAAAGCCCCCTAAGATGAAGGGGAGAATGCCTGCAGTTTCCAAGAGAAGAAAACTTAGGCATAGTTTGAAGAGGGGCGTCATTGAGTTCCCATCTCCTCCATCCAAGTGTTACACACACCACCTCCTCTCCCATGGAGAAGACAAAAGTTAGATTTTCTGGCTTTCCCTTGTTAAAAGCAAGCACATAAACACAGAGCTGTCCTCTTAACCAGTTAGTTACAACATCGTCTTTTGTGTATTTGGGGATTTAGTGATAGTCAAACAATTTTCAACATGTGGCTCCATCTAATTCTTACAACAAATGACAGATGTAGGGAATTGTTAATTTGTGGAAGACAGCAATGAGTCTCTGAGGTATTGTGACTTGCTGGAGTCAGATACATGATTAAAACTCCATTTTACCAACAATATAAACAACACTCTATTCGTTATTGAATGCAACCTTATCCAGAGTTTATTTCACCATGTACTCATGTTAAGGTCACTGAAACAGCATGAAACGACCACATATGTCATTCCTTCATGAGAATAATGGACCAGATAGAAAACACTTTAAATATGGAGGCATGAATTTCACATAAGGAAGCTCTTTCTTTTATAACTTGTGAGACACTATTCTTCTAGATTCGACAGTGGCTGTTTCCATGAGGCAAATCCAGGTATTTCTCAATAAGATAAACAGTTATTTTCTTACCAAATTTTCCACCTTCCTGTTTAAACTTCTAAAAAACTAATGCAAAGATTACGCTTATATAACAACCAAACCAGGACCGCAGAAATAAAAATTGTGTGAAGGATGGTCCCTTATTAGCCCAGCTTCTAGACTGCTTAATGTTAAGTGGATTTCATTCTGAATTTAGAGAAGCATATGTGAATATCATATTTGTACCGTTATGCAAAAACACTCTTTTCTCAGTGATAAAGTATACAGTTTCTCATACAAAAACATTTGTCTTTAGAAAACATGTTCTATTGTTTGCTCGGGGGTAACTCATTCGAAGACTTTTGAGCCCCATTAGGAGGGAGGGAGGAAATAATAGCACAGACCTTTATCTGACAATGGTAAAATAATGCCAGTAAATTGGTAAAACCTACACCTAGATCATCAAGAAGCAAGACAGAGAATATAAACATCACTCATTGAATTATCTCAGTCAGCCACTCCAATCTGCGTTGATAGTTCTGTAATTTGGATGACTTGCAACATTAGAATTTTTCTCTATTAAAGACAGTTGCACATATATATATTTTATTTCAAGTTTTGGGTTTGAACAGATCAACAAGTATATTTTTGACAAAATACAGTTTACTGAGAGTCAATTAGTGTAACTTTCTTTACTCAAAGTTTTGTTGGGATACTAATAATTTCAGGCTCTTGAGGAACTGATGTTGCAGGATTATAATTTCTGACATTGGCTATCGAGATTTAATGTGGACAAACTTGAAAGCTTCACATAAGCTGATATAAGAACATGGATGTGAATGATGTGACACATTGAAGAAAATGGTTAATGGAAAAAAGAAATCATGCAGGAAACAACTAAAGGTATTTTTTTTGTTTGTTTTTTAAAAAGGAAACAAATAATTAAGTCCAACCCCTTCTTTTTTCTTCCTTTCTTTTCTTTTCTTTTCTTTTCTTTTCTTTTCTTTTCCCTTCCCTTCTCTTCCCTTTCCTTCCCTTCCTTTCTTTCTTTCTTTTTTTTTTTCTTTTTCAGGATCTGGCTCTGTTGCCCAGGCTAGAGTGCAGTGGTGAGATCTCAGTTCATGGCAAGCTCCACCTCCCAGGTTCAAGTGATCTTCACATCTCAGCCTTCCAAGCAGCTGGGACTGTAGGCACACACCACCACACCTGGCTAATTTTTGTTATTTTCTGTAGAGATGGGGTTTCATCGTGTTGCCCAGGCTGGTCTCGAACTCCTGGACTCAAGCCATCCACTCTCCTAAGCCTCCCAAATGGCTGAGATTATAGGAGTGAGCCACTGTGCCCAGCCCTTTCTTTTTGTTTTAAATATGAGTGAAGTAATTCATAGCTCTTTTTTTTGCCAACTTTTATTTTAAGTTCCAGAGTACATGTGCGGGATGTGCAGGTTTGTTACATAGGTAAACGTGTGCCATCCTGGTTTACTGCACAGATCATCCCATCACCTAGGAATGAAGCTCAGCATCTATTAGCTATTCTTCCTGACGCTCTCCCACCCCCGACCCCTGACAGGCCCCAGTGTGTGTTGTTGACTCCCAATGCGTTCCTGTGTTCTCATAGTTCAGCTCCCACTTATAAGTGAGAATATGTGGTGTTTGGTTTTCTGTTCCTGTATTAGTTTGCTGATGATAATGGCTTCCAGCTCCATCCATGTCCCTGTAAAGGACATGATCTCATTCCTTTTTATGGCTGCATAGTATTCTAGAGAGTATACGTATCACATTTTCTTTATCCAGTCTATCATCGATGGGTATTTGGGTTGATTTCATATCTTTGCTATTGTGAATAGTGCTGCAATGATCATATGTGTGCATGTATCTTTATAACAGAATTATTTCTATTCCTTTGGGTATATGCCCAGCAATGGGATTGCTGGGTCAAATGCTATTTCTGGTTCTAGATCTTTGAGGAATCGCCACATTATTACACTCCCACCAACAGCGTAAAAGCACTTATTTTCTCCACAACCTCACCGGCATCTGTTGTTTTTTGACTTTTTAATAATAGCCATTCTGACTGATGTGAGGATAAGGTCTACATCTCATTCATTCCACACAGTGCTTATCACTCAGCATGAAGTATATAATTGTTATATACAATTATATAAAGCATATAGGTACAGTATATAAAAGTATATAATGCATGTAGAAGGAAGGAATAAAGAGTGTTTCTAAGACAAAATTCTGCATGATACTCTGAATTATTAAGAGAAGCAACATTGCATGTCAAGAGACCTTATTTCTGGAAAGTCTTTCAATAAAAGCAATATAAAAATATGCGGGTAAGAGGAAATTATCGTGTACTTAAGATAATTAGTTAAATCTTGACAGAAGAAACACTGTGGTGGAACAATGGACATTTTGTATTACAAAAATGCTCTTCTTTTTTTGGTATGGATAGAAAATTGGCAATGTTAAGATTATTGTTTGATTTGGCAGGGAAAGCTTTCTCATTGTGTCACAATAAGACATTATTGTTCAACATCTTATCTTGATGTTCAGGAGATTGACTTCTAATTTTTTTTAAGTGGAACTGTATCACCATTTTATTTTTTAACATATTGGAATTATCTGATTTGTCCACAGGACTAATGAAGAGATTTTCATTACTGAATGAAGTGATTTACATTGGCAAGAAGACAAAAATGTCTATCAAATGGGAGAGAATGAGACGGGGGTGTAGGGATTTGTATTATTAAGTTTCAAAGGTCTTCTTTGTAGGGATGGTGGCTGACCAGTATCAAGTGATCACAGGCTATGACAATTTTCTACTTTTCTATAAATAAGCCATCAGAGCAAGTTGTTCCTGAATGTTTATGGCCAGAACGGAATCTGCAAGGCCACATCCTTCAGCTTTTGATGGAATCACTCACCCTGGCTTTCAGCAGGGCCACTCCTCCTCTTCCAGCCTAACTCCTTCCTCCTTAACAGGGAAGCATTGGTCTTGGCCACGCTGGCCCACGTGGGAGCTGTCTGGCTCTGCAGATTATTGCCTGGGTGTCCATGATCATCTTGTGGACCTGAAGTCTCATGGACTTGGCTACTGACTGGTCTCAAAAGTAAAACATTACTCCCATGGCCTCCTTTCCAGAAGTGTATTCTTTGAAATTAACTCACTGCTGCAAAACCAAGAGGAAATCTCGAGAGAATGAATATGAAAATGCCACTTACGGACATTGGTGAGATGTGGCTGAGGCAATGTGGGAAGGAGGGTATCAGGCACTCACTGCTCATTTTAAAAAAGCAGCAGTGTCTCTCAGGTGTCCAGCATCCATGCAGCATCACATGTCATGGGTTGAACTGTGACCCTGGAAAGATATACTGGAGTTCCAACACCTGGGACTTGTGAATGTGACCTTGTTTGGAAATAGGGTCTCTGTGGATGTCATCAAGTGAAGAAGAATTCTTCCTGGATTAGGGTGAACCCTAATTCAATGAAGGGTATCCCATAAGAGCAAGAAACTTTGGAAGAGGCCCTGTGTGATGACAGGCAGAGACTGGAGTCATTCTGTAACAGCCAAGAGGCACCAAAGAATGCCATGAAACACCAGAAGCTGGACAGAGCACTGTGGCTCATGTGTGTAATCCAACACTTTGGGAGGCTGAGGCGGGTGGATCACCTGAGGTCAGGACTTCAAGACCAGCCTGACCAACATGCTGAAACCCCGTGTTTACTAAAAGTACAAAAATTAGCCAGGCATGGTGATGCGTGCCTGTAGTCCCAGCTACTCGGGAGGCTGAGGCAAGAGAATCGCTTGAACCTAGGAGGCAGAGGTTGCAGTGAGCTGAGATCACGCCATTGCATTCCAGCATGGGCAATAAGAGCGAAACTCCATCTCAAAACATATATATAAAAAAAATTTAAAAAAACACCAGAAGGTGGGAGGAGGTGAGGGAGAAATCTCCCCTGGGCTCTCCAGAAACAGCAGGAATCCTGACACCCTGATTTCAGACTTTTAGTCTCCAGAACTGGGAAAGAATAAATCTCTGTTGTCTTAGGCTACCCACTCTGTCTTGCTTTGCAATGGAAGCCCTAAAAAACTGACACACAGAAGCGTAACTTTTGAGGGGAACCAGGTCATCTTCACCCCCACTTGCCTCCCATGTCTAAATAATCAAATTAGGTCACTGAACATGCATGTCTCAGTTTCCCAGACCCTGTGGCTCCAGTCTTCCCATCTCCAGGGCTCTCCCCTTGCTGACTGGCCATGTGCTCTGCAGTCTCACCCCACAGAATGCAGCCTCGGCTATGTCCAGTAAGGTGCAGAGGGATGGAAGGGGCTGACCAGGAACACATGTGTGCAAATGTGGGCACCAGACCCTGTTGTGACTGTGACCGCGGCAGACATAAGAACAGCTTTGGACCCTTTTCCCCTTTTAGTTGAGGCTTTCTTCATGTCTCTCATTGCCCTCAACCCTCCTGTGCTACCCACTGCTTCTAGTCACCTACAGAGAGCTGCCTTGCTGTCTGTCTGAAGCTACGAGGGCAATGAAGCTTTGCTGGAACTCTCTCTGTATAGTGCACTGTACACTCCCCAGCAATCTTGCCAACATTGCCCAAGCTTAGCTCTTCTCTGCCTGTTTCTACAGAATGTGGCTGCCACTGGATTCTGCTTCGGTTATGGTCTGACCCTGTAAGTTGCTCCACATTGCAAATTCTCTACAATACCCCTCCGTAGAGTTATTTGAAACTTAACGAGAAGAAGGGCTTTAGTCAAGAACATAAATCACTAGTCATGTTACAGTAAACATGGGGGAGCTGCTGGAAAGTGAGGTGAATGAGCGAGTGACTTCCCCCATAAATTAACCCTCACCGTGATTCTCTTACTCTCACACACAAACCAACTCTTTTGTGGTTTTGCCCCCAAATTACTCTGGACTGTATTATTTTAGAGCAATATATGAAAAGCTATCTCAAAATCAACTATAGAATAGACCACATCTCTAGAATTTAGGAAAGTTATACCTCTTTCCATTTATGCCTTCTTATACCAGGGATGGCTGGAGGTGAGGCCAGTAAAATCTGTTAGTAGTCGTTGATAGGTTACGTTTATTGAATCAAGCCTGCCCATGCCAAAGAATTTTCATATATAATTGATCTTTAAAGTAGTTTACATTTATTTCCCCTCCAGAGGTCACTTTCACAAGTCAAAAAGTGGCTTAGGCAGAGTGCATAGCTTACCCTCCCCATGCTTGAAATAAACCAGTAGAAACTTGGAGAGCCCTGTTTCTGGCCCTGACTTTGGACATACACATTTATGAGAATTTTCATTATGTTCAAATCAGATTCACAGGACACAGTTTTATTCCTTGAGACTAAACTACTTCTTTGAAATGCATTGAGATTTCAGAGCCACACATTTAATGAACCAGCAAGCACTTGTTTTACAGACTGCCTGGGAGAGTTTCCTTTTTGTTTTCTTACATAGAGCTAAGTTCAACCCATTGCAAACAGCTCTTACATTGATTTAGTCCACTGAGAGATAGAACATTTATAGATAAAGCACTTTCTCACGTTTTATGAAAATGATGAGTTATCAACATTTTGCTTGAAGGCACAACATATAGCCCCATCTTCATTCAAATCCATTAAATATGCTGGAGACCCAGCTGTCAATAGCATTGCGGAGTAAATTTAATTTCTAGAGTCAATGTAGAGCCAGCTGCATTAAGCATAAGATAATTCTGGCACATTATTAATTTGAATGACCATGTAAGACATTGTCTAGACAAGATATAAGCCCAAGTTTTCATAGGCAATATGTACATAAAATGAAGTATGCCAAGGTTGTAAAGAATACTAATAACACTGATCTGGCTTATTAACTGATATTGATTGCTTTTATTCTGACATGGTCCAGAAGCCTTGGAGGTGAAACGGTGAAATGTTAGGCACTGGTGCTCTTCTTCCAATAAAACAGTAAATATTACCATGCAGTTTCAAGGTGCAAAGGATGAAGGCTTTTTGTCATTTTGTGTTTTAAAGGTAACAACTGAATTTACATGTCTAAAAAATTGATAGAATGATTGGGTCTTTATGTGTGCTGGGAAATATTACAATGATCACTATCGACTGCACTTGGCTACACTTACTGCTTGTGATGATTTTGATTAATTATTGCACACTCCAACTGCTGCCCGGGGATTATTCTTTCAAGTGATTGTCAAAGTTTTCTCCTGCCCTGTCTTGTGTCATGTTAGTCACTGATATCAATGACAGGCCTCCGAGTTGCATGTGGTTCACCATCTGAAGGTCAATAACCACCCACTCACCCATCCAACACAGGTTTAGAAGGACTATCATGGGTTATCCCCAAGAAACAGGGTCAAAACACTGAATCCTCTGTATATAACTCCTAGAATCATGGGATGGTCATCTCTTGCCAGTAGAAGGCAAGGGCTCCACAGTACTAATACCAACAGAAGCCAGTGTAGCCCCATCTCATCAGTAGCCTTTCATACCACCCTGCGAATCAGCCAGCTATGGATCTGTGAGACAGACAGATCTGGGTTAAAATCCTGACTCTACCACTTACCAGGCATGGGATTGTCAGCAAGACATTTTATTGTTGTGAGACTCAAGTTTTCTCTGGTTTAAATGAAAAAGAGTAAGTAACTGGTTTGTATTATGCAGTGTCTAACCAGAAAGTAAAACAACTCTAGGTATTTTAAGCGGAGGGGAAAGAAAGCAGGGAATTTGTTACGTAGATGATGAAAGAACCGAAAAGCCAATAGAGGGAGGTGAGGTAGCTCAGAAACCAGCCAGTGCAGGAATTCTGGCAGCCTCGATGGGAGGGGAGGGGCCAGTCACCAAACTGGTGACCAGGAAGGGCTGAGTCACCAAACCCCAAAGGTGAGAAGGTAACTAGGGCCATGATGGCGGTGCTCGGCACCCTCAGTGGCCTAGCAAGATATCACCACTGCCAGAGAACACTTTCTGAAGCAGAGTGAGGGAGAAATACTCTGGATTCTCCCATCCTCTTTTCCCCTTTACAGTCAGTGCACAGATGCCAGGGCAAGGGAAACCGAGGTGGGTGACCTCCATGACCCAGAAAAGGGACAATGCCAGGAGGGGCTGAAGGAGAATGTCAGAGAGAATGTCATCTCTCTGTGGAGTGGTTCACTTCCTTTCATGTAATTACCAGTATGGAAACTCTGTCTTTCTTCATCTTTTGTTAAAATAATTTTAAGAGGTAGATTTCATCAGAATAGAGCTCAGATTTGCAATGAACAAGGTAATCTCTGGCAGTAGTCAGATCTCTCCTGCAAGGAGGGCTGATTCCACAGGTGTTTTGGAAGCCACGGAGAATAAACACAATGAGGGGAATATTGGGACATAAAGATCCTTATCTTAACTTTTGATAATTGAATTAACACACCACTGCATTGGGACAAGAGAGATGGGAAAATGAATTTATGCAAGTTGTTTTAATATGGGAATTCTATGCCTAAGAAGTTCACATACCTTTGGCTGCAAAACATTTTTTTTCATAATTACAGCTTTATCATTTAAATTTTCACATCAATAAACAGTTTGGTATCCTGCAAGTAAGCTTGCACTAGCCATTGGAAGATCTGGATTCTGATAAAAGATTCACCATTAACTAGATGCCCAAGTTAGGATATGTCTAGCCATTTCTACAACTCACTTTCCCAGATCTTTTCCAATGATAAACAAATTTAAAAAGACACCATTTGAACTACAAAATCTTCTATTATTATGAAGAAATAATCCTTTCTGGAAAATCCAAAGCTTTTGAGGATGAATTAATTCAACAGGTTTCTATTAAGTATCTAACACTAAACCAAGGAAATTTCTAAGAAATTTGGGAATACAAAGAAAAGAAAAACCTGCCTTCTAGTCTAGTGGAAACAACATTTAGGCAAATAATTACTTTAGAATGTAGTAGGTGCTATCTTTTCTGAATAATACAAAGATCTGTCCTTGTCACATAGATAGTCTGCATGTGCAAAGCATAAATCACTCTCCCCAGAACATGGCTACACATACAAATCACACTGAATTCACCCAGAACACAACTACAAATACTTCTCACTCTAAACTCTCTGTCTTGTTTAGAGAAATGTCCCTATGTGTGTGTCTTGCTCCATCTATAATAAATGGAATTTTTTTTAAATGGAGGTAAGATATATGATGTGGTTGGCTGTGTCCCCACCCAAATCTCATCTTGAATTGTAGTTCCTACAATCCCCATGTGTGTGGGGAGGGACCTGGTGGGAAGTAATTGAATCATGGGGGTGGTCACTCCCATGCTATTCTTGTAATACTGAGTGAGATCTCATTAGATCTGATCATTTTATAAGGGGCTTTTTCTTCTTTGATCAGCACTTCTCCTTCCTGCCACCATGTGAAGAAGGACATGTTTGCTTCCCCTTCCACCATGATTGTAAGTTTCGTGAGGCCTCCCCAGCCATGCTGAACTATGAGTTAAACCTCTTTCCTTTATAAATTATGCAGTCTCGGGTATGTCTTTATTAGCAGCATGAGAATGGCCTAATACAATATACGTATATAATTTACCATCTTTACCATTTTTTTTTTTTGAGATGGAGTCTCACTCTGTCACCTGGCAGAAGTGCAGTGGTGCAATCTCACCACCATGCCATGCTGATTTTTGTATTTTTAGTAGAGTTGGGCTTCACCATGTTGGCCAGGATGGTCTCGATCTCCTGACCTCATAATCTACCTGCCTTGGCCTCCCAAAGTGCTGGGATTACAAGCATGAGCCACCATGCCCAGCCCATTTTTACGACTTTTAAGTGTATAGCTCAGTGAAAATAAATAAATTTATATCATTTTTTTTCCCTCCATTCCCTCTCCCTAATCCCTTTCCCAGACTCTGGTAACCACCAATCTACTCTGTATCATCATAAGATCCACTCTTTTAGTTTCCATGTATGAGTAAGAACATGTGATATTTGTTTTTCTGTGTTTGGCTTATTTTTCTTAAAATAATGACCTCCAGTTACATCTGTGTTGCTGCAAATGGCAGGATTTCATTCTTTTTTGCAAATGGCAGGATTTCCTTCATTTTGCAAATTGCAGGATTTCATTCTTTTTTATGACTGAATAGTACTACATTAAGTATACCTACCACATTTTTGTTATCCATTAATCCTTTGACAGGCACTTAGGTTGAGTCTATATTTTGTCTCTTATGTCATTTTGTAAAAAGACGTCTTCATTGGCCAGGCGTGGTGGCTCATGCCTGTAATCCTAGCACTTTGGGAGGCCGAAGGGGGGGATCACTTGAGGTCAGGGGTTCAAAACCAGCTGGGCCAACATGGCAAAATCTCATCTCTACTCAAAATACAAGAATTAGTCAGGCGTGGTGGTGTGCACCTGTAACTCCAGCTACTTGGGAGGCTGAGACATGAGAATTGCTTGAACCCAGGAGGTGGAGTTTGCAGTGAGCTGAGATCGCAACACTGCACTCCAACCTGGGCAAGAGAGCGAGACCCTGCCTCAAACAAAACGAAACAAAAAGACATCTTCACCAAATCTAAATATAAGTTGAATTAGTCCTTAAATACAACTAGTTTATTGTGGTAGAATACTATTTCATGATTCATTTTTAAAATTCACAAATTCATGAGCTGTTTAATGAACATCTTAATTTATAAATACTGCACTTTAAAAATTATTTATGTATTATTTGCCTCTTATGAGAAGAATCCAGATACTTTACAGTTCATATAATTGAATAAATAAGTAGAGGGTAACTTTGAAGCAATTAAAAAAGAGAGAGAGGGAGAAAGTTGTAAAACAAAGAGAAAAATGCCTACAAAAAACACATGCACGAGGCTTCCTGGTTTTACAGTAGGACAGGAAACTGGTCTTGAGCCTTCCTCGTGAGGAAGGGAATGATGGAAACATGGCAGTTTCCAATACGTCCATGAGCCGCAGCAACACAGTGGCTCAGGAATGCCACTCCTTTTGGGATGAGCCCATAGAGAAAAACTCCATACGGCTGATTCAGCAGCAGCTCCCATCTTAGTCTCTATGAATAATTGAATCATGAGTTTCATAGAAGAGAGCCCTGATGTGCACCAGGACAACCCAACGTATAATGCCAGTGTGCATCCAGGAAAAGCCATCCTTTAGGCAGGGGCCAACCAACCGTAGTCTGGGGGCTATTTATTGTCCACTCCTGAAGTTAAAAATAGTTTTTAAATTTTTAAAGAGTTGTAAAACAAAAACAAAAACGACAAAAAAGAACCTAGGGCTTCACAAAGCCTCAGATACATGTTATCTAACTTTTATAGAAAGATTCTTCCAACCAGTGCTCCAAGGGGCCAAAACATTGATAGTTGAGCTCAGGGCTATTTGATGGCCGAGGGTGATTGACTAAGTGATGAATGCCATCATTCAATATTATTTTCTGAGTCCCTTCTAGGGGTCAGGAACTTACTTCCGAGTTCTAGGAAAAAACAGTGAATAAAACAGACAGGGATCCCTACTTTCTAGAAGGAGAGAGAGAGGAAATAAATGCAAAAGTATACCAGTTAGCTCTTGCTGCACAAGAAACCTACTCCAAATTTTAGTAATATAAAAAGCAATATTTATTCACTATTTCCTGTAAGTCTATAAGGATGCATGAGGCAAGCTGGTCTATGTTAGTTTCTCTTGGGCTCGCCCACCTGTAGTAAGTCTGGGACTGGCTGATCTAGTCTGGTCTTGGCTGGCCCACTTGTGAATGTGGATCCAGTGGGCATCAGCTGGCTTCTGCTCCATGTTTCTCTAACCCTTTTCATGAAATCAGCAGGCAAACTCAACCACATCCATTTCATGATGAAGGCAGAGGCTCCAGAGAGAACTGAAACACAAAGACTCTCCAGGCCTGGGCTGGAACCCTGCACACTCTTACATCTGCCTTACACTATTGGTTGAACCAAATCAAGGGAAGAAGCTGCTGGATCCAGGGTCAAAGGACTCTGTGAAGTTACCTGCCAAAGGGCCTGGGTAGAGGAAGGGGAGAAGAACCCAGCCATGATGCAATCTAGTGCGACAGAACGTAATGAAGGTGTTAGCAGTGCAGCCACACGACAGAAGCAACATTGCAGGGCAAAGGAGTGGGAAGCCCAGGGTTCGCAGGGCAATTTTAATGAGGATTCCAAAGCCAGAAGGTGGACTGTCTAAATCAGCAGGTCTTAAACCTGACCCCTCACCAGTTCCATCCAGGAAGGCCCTGCCTAGGCTGCTGAAGGTTTCCATTTTATAAGTGCTGCTTTTACTGATCCTGCTTCTCCTAAATAGAATCACAACATGAAATTCAGTGATGTTTTATTTCAAAAAAGAACAGTAAACAAGTCACCTTTTAGAGCACACTCTAATTTGTTTCAAAGAAGAGAGTTTATTTCTAGTAAGTGCAGGATTTAAGTGCTTTGGTAACAATAACTTCTTTATCAGTCTTCAGTAAAATGGATACATTCTTCTTGGAAGATTCATATCGCTGAATAAAATTTGTGATTGTGACATAAAGGAAGAACCAGAATCTCCATGTATGAAATACTAGGAGGCTTCTCAATAAACACAGAAATCAATGCTATGTAAAGGCTAACTTGTCAATATTTCTAATGAGTGCTAACCCTGAGGCTGGGAGAGGCTAATGAATGAAGTGTAGGAAGCAGAGAAAATGCAAAGACACTACGAAGAGACTTTGGCTTGTAGAGGGAAATGGGAGACATTAAATGTGAACGTGAAATGAATTTTTCCATGGGTTTCTATATGATGGCTTGGGCCAGATGTGCTGACAAAAAAAAAATTCTTGAAACCCCTTCCTGAATACTTGGTTCCAACTTAAGCTGCTCACCACCTGCAGAAACTAAAACCAGTTCCCTTAGAAGGAAATCCTCACAGTCTTTTACCTGAAATATGTTTTCCCTGGAATTTCATGACATATTTAGTCTTCTGCAATCATTTCCTGAATGAAGATGACTCAAGCTGACTTTAGTCCTTCTGCATACACTATATTACATTATCCATTTATAGGAAGTGAAAATAGAAAACGATTCTGCTTATTTCTCTCCCTTCTATTTTGAAGTCTTAACATATGCATAACGAATTGACCCCTGTTACATTGGTTTCCGCCCCACTTTTAAGTTTTTCTTTCTTGGTTTTTACAAAAGATTATACAATGGGTTTTCGCTATAATGACTTTAAATCATTCATGCATTTTTCATCTGCTTCTTCACACAGCCTGACATCTTGTTCATTCTTTTTGACTGGTGCTCTGCATAGAGCAGATGTTTTCAGTGAGCTATGATGATTTTTAGATCTTATTCTCAGGAGGTTACAACTAATTCAGAGCTCTTCGGCACAGACGAGGCATTTAATTTATTCCTCCCAGTAAGTTTCACCTTGCGCTTGTCTACAGTGAATTTCATCTGCCATCATGTTGCCCAATTACTGAGTTTTGTTCAGCCCATCTAGGAGGCTTTACTTTCCTCTGTGGTCTTGACTCATCTAATGATTGTGTGTCATCAGCATATTTCACCCTGTTGCCACTCAGTCACATTTAACTTTTGTTAATAATAGGCATTGAACTCTCTTTCTCATGCTGACTGTGCTTTTGATACTGGTGGGCAGCAGAAAGGGAGCACAGAAGTGAATTTCCAGATCAAATTTTCTGTAGGTTCTATCAAACAATCTCAGCCATTCCACTGTTGAAGGAGGACTATTTTGACCACTTCATCTTTCCCACTGTTACCTCTGGATGGAACATGCCTGGGTAGTTGTAGTCCTTCCTCCTCTTGGTCTTTTGCTCCCTTTGCTCTCTTGAGAGAAATCTATTTGTATATTCCCATGTAATTCCACAGCACATTCAATCAATTTCTTTGATACACCCTCGTGATGTGTTTTAACTCAAAAGAAAAGTAAAAAGATTTTCCACAAATACTTCCATTTTGCTTTACATTGGCATCCGTACCAGGGATTTTCTGATCCAAAGGGAGGGAGGCAAGGCCAGTTCCAGGGGCCCATACATAAGCAGGAGAGGCAGGGGCCGAGGAGGGCTTCCCCAACCCATCTTTGCTCATCTTTTCTCTATGTGCATAGCTTGAATCATTTTTCTTTCACTTACAGAATCTGAGCATTACACCAAGACAGGGAGAAAACAAAACAAAACAAAACAAATTCCAAAACAAGACACTAACAAGAGCTACTTTAGGATCACAAATCACAATCCTGTTCATCACTCTTTTTTCTAACATACATTTTTTTTCTCCTACTATCAAATCTGTGCCTGTCTTTATCTGCAGAAGTATCACTACCTGGACGTCACTACCTGCATAGGTGTGGCATCGGCTTGCTTCCCCCTCCATTACTCAAGCCTCTGATCTTATCTGCCACCTGCCTCAATGTTTTGTAACTTTTCAAAGTAAGTGTTGGGGTACCTGACTACTCCTAGTACAATGCTACTCCAAGCTCAGCATGGCATGGTATGCCAACTCCTCGTCGAACCCTCATATTGCTAATGAAAGGGTAAAATATTGCATGAATGTGCTCGTTCATTACAATGTTCTTTACAAACACAACCATTGGCAGTGCTATAGAAAAATTCTAAAAGTGCTTATGGTAACGTGCAACGGGTAAAATGCATCCATCGTTTAGTCCCAACACCTGTTACAACTCACTTTCATTATTGAGGGGAAAAAAAAACCTTCCAGGTGCTCATAATTCCAAATTTTATCCCTCACCCCACAACAGATTCATCGGTAGATGCTATTGGCTCTGTCTTCTGGATATTTTCAGTGAACCTTCATTTCCCATTCATGAGTCACAACTCCAGCCCAGGCTGCCATCGCCTGTCTGTCGGACTTCTGCACCATGAGTCTTTGAGTCTGCTAACAGATCTTGGTGCTTCCACTCTTGCTGTCTTCCACCTATTCCTAGCCAGGGGCACCCTTAAACACACACACACACACACACACACACACACACACACACACACACACACCAATTTAGATCATATTGCTTCTCTGATCAAAATTCTCCAATGGCTTCTTACCCCCTTGGAAAAATGTTGGCAGTCCTACAGCCCAGAAGGTCCTACATCAGCCAGCCTCCCACCAGTCCTCCGACATTAGCTACTCTCTCCCTCTCTGTCTGTCTCCTGTTTCCCGTCTGGCTCTGCCCATTTCTCATGCTCATCTTCCTGTTCTCCTGCACAGGGTTTCACTCTTATTACCCCTATAGCTGGGGAAGCTCTTTCCTTGATAAGCCCTTGACTGTCTTCTTCCCCTCCTTGGGAGCTCTGCTTAAATGTCACCTTGTCATAGAGGCTCTTCCCAACCACCACTACACACCAGCCTTCCTCCCCAGATCACTTCACTGCATGGCATGACTTCTATGTGTTCGGTTCCTTCGTTTCTTGCTTCTTTGTGCGTTTGCTTGGTTATGATGCTGTAAGCGCCTAACAGCAGGTCTTTGTTGGGTGGGTTACTTCTGCATCCTGAGTTCCTATGACTATGCCCAGCACACAACAGGAACTCCGTGAATAAATAAATGGATTCTCTTTGACTAAAGAAAAATATAAAATAAAATGTGTAGACCTGAGTAGCTGACTTGGGAGGGCAACTCACATCAATAACGTGAGTTGGTTGGCACCATGCTGGACTAACTCTCCATAAAGCATGTCCTGGGATTCAAGAAGTTGTATGATTAGTTCCATTCTGTCACCCATCAACTGAGGGAAGTTGGGGCTCTTACTCACTTCTCTGAGACAGTTTCTTATTCACATATGTATGAGGGATTCAGTGTTGCCATTATGTCATGGGAATGAATTATCATTTATATTTGTGTATTACATGTTTAATAGTTAATTCTTATTTTCCTAATAAACAAATATTTAGTAAAGAAAGGTCACTCACTCATGCAACCACATGGGCCCTGAATATTGATTCAGACTAAACACAGAGCCTCATAACATATGTTAAGGTGGCAGAATTTTGATCCCTAAACTGCAGAAATTCCAATCTGAGGAACGTGTCCAAGGAAATAATCTATGTCAGCAAAAATGAGTCATTTCTATAGACATGAGGTGGCCACTACACTTTATTTACTAAAATACACAATTGAAATTGTAAATCATATCTTATAAAGCAGCTTTAAAGTTGTATACTTAGCATTAATAGCCTAGACTGAAAAGAACTACATAAAGAAAACTTTTTAATTGTTTGGAGAAAAACTATTTAAATATCTGTGAATACATGGAAAGATAAATTCCAATATATCCCTTGGAAGAATATTAGAGTCATTTAAAATGTGTACAAAATTGCATAGCAGGAGAGAAAAACGCTTATGTTAAATAAAAATGCAGAATACAGAAACATTTATACTCTTTGATTACAACTTAGGGAAGTATCTGTGTATGTGTGGATGAGACTAGGAGGGAATATACAAAAACAACCTAGTGTTGGGGTGAGAAAATAATCGTTTTCTTTTGAATTTATTTTCATGTTCTTATATTTTTTTTACAACATAAGGATAACACATAAAAGGAATGAAGACCATTTTTGAAGCATAACTACTCAGCCACAATGGGGTTTCAGTTGCCATTTATTTGAGGGAATGCCCAAATGGGTATTCTAAGAAGCCACCATGATTGACAGATGATCCCTCTAGCTCACTTCTGTTCAGGCCAATGAGCAAGACACCCCTGTCCTCAACAGGAGCTGGGAAAGGAGGGAAGACAGGCACACACAGATGAATGACAAGTCAGGTGCCTTAGCTGGAGGGACTTAGGAAGAGAATGAACCATGTTGAGGAAGAAGTGTCAGAGAGACACAGAGGGAGAAGACACACGGCAACTGAGACACAGACCTTGCCTACCTTTGGCGCCTCCACTGACTTCATCCTGGCCTGAATTTGGTGGGCTTCCCAGGTACAGCTGCTGCAAGCTGCAGCAGGAAGACAGGAGGAAAGGGCGGAGTCTAAGCCAACTCTCCCCAGCTGCTGATCACTGAAGTTATTGGCCAGGATTTTTTTGACTACTCAGCTGGGTACAGATGATGATATTAACCCTCCACCCCCATTGCCCAAGAAATCCAAAACTAATTTATAATTGTGCTTTCAGCAGGCATTTGTCATGTCCTTGCTATTAGAAACCACAGTTTTTACTTTACAAACACTTTGCATTCAAATGTGCATGATATATATTTCAAAGGTGGCAGGCATAGCTGAAATTAAATTCTCCCTAAATTACTTGCAGAAATCATCAAAGATGGTTTTCCATTTGATCTCGGTCTAACATGAAGATGTTTTTCATATAGTTCTTATCATATGAGAAATATATAAATATCGCTATTAATAGGGTTTTATATGTTTATTAGTAGAATGTTATACGCCAACTTTTTCAATTGCCCTGTTTTTATTTATGTGGAAATTGAGGATCAGCTAGATCGAATAGGCCACCCATGATCCCACGGCAGGCAACAGATGGAGAAAGACTCACACCCAGCTACCATGACTACTGGGCAAGGCCTGCTGTCATGGGCCCAAGTCTGTCCCTTTACAAGCAGGGGCAGTCTAAGGAAAGGAAATCAAGGCTGGGAACTGAGTTAGTTTCCTGATGCTGCTACAAAAAAGGACCACAAACAGGTGGCTTAAAACAGCAGAAATTATACTATGCAGCCATAAAAAAGGATGAGTTCACGTCTTTTGCAGGGACATGGATGAAGCTGGAAACCATCATTCTCAGCAAACTAACATAAAAACAGAAAACCAAACACCACATGTTCTCACTGATAAGTGGGAGTTGAACAATGAGAACACATGGACACAGGGAGGGGAACAACATACACCAGGGCATGTTGGGGAGTAGGGGACAAGGGAAGGGATAGCATTAGGAGAAATACCTAATGTAGATGACAGGTTGATGGGTGCAGCAAACCACCATGGCGTGTGTATATCTATGTAACAAACCTGCACATTCTGCCCAAGTACCCCAGAACTTAAAGTATAATAATAACAATAATACAACAGTAGAAATTTACTGACAATTCTGGAGTCCAGAAGTCTGAAATTAAGGCCTTGCACTCCCTCCAAGGGCTCAAAGTCTGAATCCTTCCTGGCCTCTCCCAGCTTTTGGTGCTCCTGTCAACTTCTGGCGTAGAGCTGCATCTTGCAGGCTCTGCAGCTGTCCCCACACAGCCTTCTTCCCTCTGTGTGTTCATGTCTTCCCCCGTTGTATGAAGACCCTAGCCGTTGGATTTAGGGCTGACCCTTATCCAGAAGGACCTCATCCTAACTTGATGACATCCGTAAAGACTCCATTTCTAAATAGGGTCATATTCTGAGGTTTTGAGTAAGCATAAATTTGGGGGCAAGGGACACAATTCAACCCAATGCAGTAACAAATCATAGTGCTGAAGAAGAAGGCAATTGGGAAGGTGTGACCCTGACATGGTTCTTGGCTAGCATGACACGGATTGAACAGTTGATTTAATTTGCATTTGCAAAATAACACTTTAAAAGCTAAATACACAACATCTACAATGTTTCCAGTGTTTTAAATTACAAAGGTAATGCTGCCCTATTATGGAGATCAATAAATAAATAAAACAAAGGAGAATTATGGGCAAAGAGCATTCTCTTACATGATGGTTTCTGCCTTGCAGGTCAGCCAACCTACTGTGCTGCTCCTGTACAGTGGGTTCAATCCAAATGTGCCGACATGGGAGGGTGATTTCGATATGCTGAATGTGGACGTTGGAGACTGGCGGCAGCCTGTGTAGGGAAACACACTGATTTTCTACTGAGAAACGCATTTAATTGAATGATGCTAAATTTTGTAAGCACAGACTGTGAAAGAGCTGAAAGAGCATAGGCATGCATTAAAGGTTTAGAACGAATGAACGAATTCAATGCTTCTACTTTAACAAAACTGGTCTGTAGTAATTCATATTTAAGTGGCATTCATTGGATGCCTTACCACATGCTGGATGCTAGGTTAGTTGCTTTCACGTCTAGTGATGCATTTAGTCTTCGCAAGTGGATGTCAATGTTTCAGTTTTATAGATTCAGTAAATGAAGAAACTGAGTGTCAGAAAGGCCATGTGGCCTTGCTAAGGTCACAGATATCCAGCTAACATGTGTGCACACACATGTCCAAGCAGCTCAGCATGGGTTCTGGTGAGAGATGGAACCTTGGAGGATGTCATCCTTCACACAGTATCCAGCAAACAATGTGCTCATTTCACTCTTCATGAGCTTTTCCTATCTCTAGGTTCCTAAACATCCTCTCATTCCTTGAGAATCACATAGAGATGTCTTGTAAAAAATATAAGTAAATAAAAAATCTTAATGTAGTAATACTTTTTTTTCTATTTGGATTTGGGATTTTAATTTTTAGATCACAACTCTTTTAAAGAAAGTGTATGCAAGTTTTTACTAGGAAGCAGGAGTGGGCAACGGAAATCTTGGAGTGATTTGTTTCAAAACATCACACGTTCCTGGAGATCCTGACCTCTTGCTCTCATCTGCTTGCTAAGAGTGTGCACCCCTGTGAGAGGCCTGAATCCTGAACAAGACACCTCTTTGACTTGGCATGTGGCCTGGACAAATAAAAAGGAAGCAATATAGCTTCATCCTGCAGCTCCAGCCCGAATCCAGAGCCCACTGCTGCCTGCCTTTCCCATGAAGAGCCGTTGATCAAAATGGCAGTGCGAGAGATTTGTTCAGGCATCAGAGTCCTTTTCTACTCTACTTGAAAACAGGGCAATACTTTCTGTGCAATTCAAGTTATCCCACATTAACAATGACATTTTTGGGGGGCAGCGCCTGACATGTCATATTTATATTAAATCACACCCTGTTATTTCCAATTTCCTCAGGAAAGCTATCATTAGCAACACTTAATGACCAGCTTCAGGCAAAACCTAAGGTTCTCTCACCTCAAAAAGTCAGAACCTGTAGTAGTGACTGGTTGGGAAGAGATTAACACAATTATAAAACATAGCCCTTTCCCCAGATGGCATTAGGAACAGCCGTCACCCTTCCAGAGTTGACAAGCATTCTGCCTAAAGATCTGGGCTAGACATGTTCCACTGTGCCTCTCTTTTCTACCACCTCTTTATTTAAAAATTTAAAAAAGACATTCCTTAAATTGGTCTGATTCTAGAAGCATAATGCCAATAAATAGTTATGTAATATCAAATTACTATATGCAAAGTAATTTCCCTGAGAAGGTTGAACGTTTTTAAAAAATGATGTTAAAACGATAAAATATGCGATTTCAGATAGAAAAATTCCTTTCCTTGAAAAGTTGGCAGACAATATATGTTGCTTATCTTCTAAAATCGAAGCCAGTAAGAGAGCTTCATATTTTAAAAAAGAAAATTCAGACTTCAAAAGAAAGAAAAATAAATCAAGAGCAAATGGCATGAGGAAATCTATCTAAAATAAACTATGATCTGCTCATCTCTTTAATTTTTCATAAGCACGGATGTAAGACATTGTAGAAAGTATTTTTAAAGAAATGCCATAATGAGTTTTGCCTCAATATTTCTCACATTGCATTTGGCACACTTCACCCAGGTGGAAGCTGAAGGCTGTGCAGTTATTATAATTGGTGTGCAGAGACCATTTCAATAACTGCTGCATATGAAAAAGCCATCTGAATAGACTTTAGAGGACAAGGCACAGAGGAAAAGGTGCTGACATGGGCAAGGGCCACCTACATCCTGTGGTCAATGATCCTGGCTGCAGCATCAGGACTTTGAAATGAGCACATGCCCTTGCAGAACCCCAGCCAAGGTCTAGGGGTTTGGGTCCCTTGCTGGTATATGAATAGTAACTTTATTTAGTCCTCACAAGTGGATGTCAATGTCTCAATTTTATAAATTTAACAAATGAGTTTATTTAGGAATTTATGAATGAATTTATTAAGGAAACCTCTAATTCAAGTGAACAGGAGGGGCTGTGACTAGGGGGTAGCCCCTATCTGACTTCTAGGAACTTTTTGTAGACCTGGGAACTGCAGCTTTTACCTACAAACTCAGGTAGAAGCTGTGACTTCTGAGGCACACCAAGTATGCAGCTAGGTCCTGGGGCCAGGCCAGCGATCATGGCCAGAGTCCGTTGGCTTCCTTCCTGGCTATGCTGCCTGTGGATTTTACTCAGGGAAGGCTTGCTGCAGAAAATGTGGCTGTCACTTTGCTTTGAGGTTCCCACCCCTGACTTTTCCACCATCTTGGCCTGCAAAGGATTTCTGTACCTATTAATAGAGGCAGGAGGCAGAGAAATTCTAGGCAGACAGGGACCGGTCCCCAGTGAAACCTCACCTTCAAGCCAAGGTAGCCTGAAATCCACAGCCAAAAGTGACAACTTTTATTCCTGCTTGCCCCCTCTCTCCCAATTGGTCCTTTCTGAATAATATCTTTTTACCCATCAAATGTTGCCTTTTCCAAAACTACAGCTTACCCCCTGCCTTCCTGTGCCTATAAAACTCTCAGACTCAGTTGATAGAGGGAGAGATGGCTTGACTTCTGAGAGACGCCACAAGACTTTGGGGAAGACAGATGGCTTGACTTAGGGGAAGAAACGGCCAGAGTTTGGGTAGATGATGACCTGACTTTGGGGAAGACAACCTGCCCTTCCCGTCCCCTCTCCAACTCCCCTCTCCACTGAGAGCCATTTCCGCTGCTCAATAAAATTCTCTGCCTTCACCATCTTTCAAGTGTCTGTGCAACCTTATTCTTTCTGGATGCTGGAGAAGAGCTCAGGACCCACTGAGTATGAGTACGAAAAAAGTCTGTCACACAGGCCCTTTGCCCTCTGTAGTGGAAGGCAGCTGCCCCATGTGACGAGGCAAGGGGTCAACTGAGCTGTTAACACACAGCCATCCATGGGCAGCAGAGATAAATGAGCACTGTAGCACTTCCTCTGCAACTTCGGGGTCGCAGGCACCTCCGCCTGGTCTGGCCATGGGCCCCACACGGAGCTTGGTCCTGCCAGTGCCCAGAGCGGATAGTCAGGTCCTGCACTCACTTGCTCACATGCTCCCTCCGGCAAAAAGCTGAGTGCAATGGGCCAAGTAAACATTCACCCCTGTCACGAGTCTGACAAAGGGGCTGAAAAAAATCCTACATCACTCTGAGCCCATTTCCAGAAGGCTGTTAGATCCCCAACTTCCAGAGACACCCATCTTGAATTTCTGATACTGGAGGTTCATATGGACCGGAGGTACAGAGGAATGGCATATCACCTGGGTCTGCAGCTAGACCTCATTGCTTGCCAGGTGTGTGGCTTTGAATATGTTACCTGCTGCTTCCCAAATGCAGAGGAGAAATAACAATAGCACTATCTTCAGAGTACTGCCTGGCAGGTAAATGAGCTCATTCTAGGAAGAGCCACAAAAAGCACTTGGCTCAGAGTAATGGCACAAAGGAGTGGGGCTCTTGCTGAGCTTGCCTCAGGGACGCTGGTCATCTGGTGAGCCTCATCTACTGTAGCAATTGCCACCCTGCGCTGGGATAATGCGCCTGTGCAGATAACATGTCCTTCTGCACATTCATCAACTTGAGAGTGAAAGCCTCATCTGAGTCACAAGCATGTATGTGCTACCATAGTCTAGTGCATACGAGCCACATTCACACTCCTGCAACGTAAGTTCGTTACACTCTGTATTCAACAGTCAACACGGTGTGCATGCGCCTCTGTGCTCTGTCTTCCCCCCAGTCCTGCTAAACTGCTTCTGCCTACCCTGAGCTCTCCCCTTTGCAGATGTATTTGGGCCTTAGCCTGAGTGGTCCCTTTTACTTGGGATGACCTTCTTCCCAACAGAGTCCATCTTTAGAAATCAGCTCAAATGTGGTCCCTTCAGACAACTTGCTCTGAACATCCCTTCCACTGTCACTGCAGAACAGTGCTTAATCACCCTCATGGGTCCTTGTTCAAACATACCTTTTATCACCTCTCATGCATGGTGCCCAGTAATGATCAGTTCAACCCTCTCTCAACCTCTACCCAACCGAAACTCCATCTCAGTACACCTGTGTCATCTTCAGTTTGACCCTTAGTTAGTGCCAGAGAAAGTTCTAAAAGCAGGTCACCTGGAAGGTACATGCTCTCATGCAGAACCATTCAGTCGAGGACCTGGCCTTTCTTGGTCCATTTTATAATAGCAAAAAGGGTTCCTGTGGTTATAACCATGCTCATTGAACTATAACAAGGCTGGGCACTCTGATAGGGACACTTTCATATCATCCTCAGTGACACATTCTTATATCCTCCCATGGTCCCACAGCTCTACATTGGTATTTATAGAACCTGACAAAAGAACCCAAAATATGAACACTATTAGTGGAGAATTTTTGAAGATCAATTTATGTAACGTGCACTGCCGTATTTGATAATGGTTAAAAGTAAAAAGAGCACATAACATTTATATGGATCTTTGGATTTTTTAGACCATGGGGTCTCTGGAATTCAGAAGTGCTAGAAGCAGCATTGCTGGAGGCCAGGTTGTGCTGACCAAGACCTACGTGCAAAAGGCTAATAGAGTAGGGATCTTGACAGAAAACACATTTAACATTCTGTTGGCCCTGTTTCTCAGGAGAATTCCAACTAATGCAGATTTTGGTAGAAAAAGTGTAATGCTGCTGTAACAAATACCTAAGAATGTGGAAGTGACTTTGGACCTAGGTAATGGGCAGAGGCTGGAGAGCCTTTAGGTGTATTCTAGAAAAAAACAAATGAACAAACAAACAAAACATGAAATGCCTTGAACGAGCTATAGAAATGTGGACATTACAGGCCATTCTGGTGATGTCTCAGGGAAATGAGGAACAGATTATGAGAAACTGTAGGGAAGGTGATTCTTGTCCTAAAGTGACAAAGAACTTGGATGAATTGTGTTCTACTGTATTGCAGAAGGTGTAACATATAAGTGATATTATTGGAAGCTTGGCTGAGATTTCTAAGCAAAACATTGAAGGAGCATCTTGGTTTCACCCTACAGTTTACAGTCAAATATGAGAAGAAAAATACATATGGGGAAAAAATTGCCAAGCAAAAAAGAACCAGAACTTGAGGACTTGAAAAATTATTGGTCTATTCGTATTGCAAAACATGAGAAACCTGTTCTGAAGAGAGCACTGAGGGTGAACAACTGTCTGATGAAGAGTCTGTAAGAGCAACTAATGGATTTGATCAGCCAGCTCTGCCTAGCCAGAAATAGCAGTGGATTGCACTGGTCGAAACACTGCCAGCTTGAACTAAAGGTAACAAAGACAAAATAAAGGCTTTCTGACTTCTGGGTTCTACAGGATGAAACAATAGAGCTATTCAGCTGTGAACCTGCTTTGTCCTTTAAGAAAAGGGAATCGTTCAAAGAAGATTCAGAGATCATTTGGGCTGCCACTCTCACCACTAGCCCAGGGGGCAGGACTGGCCCCTCCTAGATTTCAAAGGATGGGGCCACCTCTTTAGCTTCCATATGCCAGGAAGCTTCCCCGCTCCCACCCCAGTCTCAAGGGCAGGGCAGTTCTGCAGTCCCTGAATAGGACCATAGGGAGATGCTGCTGCCTCAGTGAGCCTTTGGGGCAGAGCATCAGGTCAAAGCGGGAAAGTTTCATGCCTTGTCATCTAGTGAAATTTGCCTTGCCAGATTTGAACTTGCTTGGAAACAATTTCTTTTCTGCCTTCTGATTTATCTTTTTTTTTTTTTTTTTTGGAAAGGGAATATCTACTTTATGCCTATCCCATCGTATTTTGGAAGCACACTTGGGATTCACAGATAAAAGGAAATTTTGCCACAGGATCAATTATACCTCACATCACACCCATATCTGGGACTTAGATGATATTTAGATAAAAGTAAATTTTAGGCTTTAAAGTTGATGCTGGAACAAGTTAACTGGGAGCTGTTGGAATCAAATAAATGTATTTTGTGTATTTGAAGGGCATAAATTTTGGGGGACCAAGGACAAAATGTTGGGGTCTCAATAATCGTGTCCTCCCTAAATTTATGTGTTGAAGCACTAAACCCATAGTATGGCTGTATGTGGGAGTGAAGTCTTTAAGGAAGTAATTAAGGTTAAATGAGGTCATCTGCGTGAGGCCCTGATCTGACAGAATTGGTGTCCTTGTAGGAAGAGACAGAAGACAGCTCATGCTCTCAATCTCTCTCTCCCTGTACCACACAAGGAAAGGCCATGTGAGGACATGGAGAAGGCTTCAACCCAGGAGAGCCCTCACCAGAAACCTAACCAACTGCAACCTGGATCGTTCTCTTTCAAAAATGTGGAGGATAAATTTTTGTTTCTTTAAGTTGCCCACTCTATAGTATTTGGTTATGGTAGCCTGAGGTGCCTGTTAGGGATGTGGTTGCTGCAGCTGTCCTTCTACAAAGTGTAGGGCATGCCCCTGAGTTACCACTGCATGGAACTTACACATGGTTTTGAGTGTGAATGTGGATTATCCGAAAGAGACTTCCAGGGGTACTAGAGCTGTCTACACTACCAGGAACACATCAGTTCCTGATGTTAGGTCTGAAAGTGGGGTATCAACCAGAGAACATAAACTATTAGTACAAGGAGATATTACATATTTTTCTAGGAATAAAAATCCATTGCAACATATGTGGGTTATTTTGCTTAGTCTCATCTATTATTGCAGGAATTTTTATCTATTCTGGAGTCAAAGCATTCACATTAAGTGTGGAGGTGTCTATGAATTACTCGAGCAAGTAGATTTCTGACAGCCTTTTGCAAAGCTGTATTATTCTTACCTGCAGGTAAATTACCAGACTCCAAAAAAATGTATCTTTCTTCAGATCTTCTGCTATACTTTTTCTGACGGGTGGATGGTACCTATTTTTAGATTAAATAGAAAAAAGACATTTTCTTTTTGTTTACACTCAAGCAGCATGAGAGTAAATATTAAAAATAACCAATAATTGGAATATCCCAGTTATTTTCATCATTTGTGAGGACAAGGCTGCTTCGTAATCATTTGAAATGACAGAAACTGTCTTCAAATATCTTTTGCTATATTTCAGTGCTCTGCTGACAGTGCATCTAACCATATCTATTTAACTTTTTAATTATATGTACTTACTTTTGTAATTAAACAATGCAATCTTAGAAAATGGGTTTAACTTTTAATTGCATGGATGAAATATGACAAGTCCAATTACTGCATGTCAAAGCTCTGTTTATTTTTTGTTTTTCTTCTTTTTATCTTTTTCTTTTTAAAGAAAGGGGGCCTATTTCCAATTACAGCTCATAGTCTCCTTATCTGCCTCTTATTTATTATAGCAGGAATATTTTAATGCTTCCACTTTGTTAGAATTGCCTTTTGTCACCAGAGCCTCGAACATAAATGTCAAAGTTCTTCTGCTCTTTTTGCTATTTAATACTGATAGAAAGTAGTGCCCAATGACATCCACATTGATTTTCTCAACTATTACCTAAAAGTTGTGATAACATGTTGTCATAAAATTGTATTTCATCCATTGAACATTGACCTATGAGGCATCTGAGGAAGAAATCTTTTAAATGGTTAGTTTTCACATCACAAAATAGTTCTGTTGCTGGGGGGCCTCCCTCGTTACCTCTGAACTCAGGTAGGGATCGGGTATTCCAGACCCGCCATCCTGGCACCTGACATACTTGCCAAATAACGAGTGCTCTTCCTCCTGGGTGTATAGGGTATCTCCTGAACTCTCTTAGTTCAGTACCATTGGATTGTCTGGGACTCTGGAGAACTCATCATCATCATCACCATCATCTTCATCATCATGATCATCATCATCACCATCATCTTCATCATCATTATCATCACCATCATCATCATCACCATCATCATCACTATCATCATCTTCATCACCATCATCATCATCATCATCATCATCCTTTCTCATTACTTTGGCCACTATAGAGGCTTTTGCCAAGTTGGGTTTAATAAGAAGAATAATTTTCAAAGAGCAATAATGTGTGTCACCTGTAGTCCAGAAACTAGTCATTGGAAGCTGTCATAGCAGTTTTAATATTTGAAGTTATGGGATCTAATGATGATGAGCTGTGTGATAAGGAAATCTGAGTATGTCACATGGAAAAGAAGATACAACCCAGGCTGTGAATAAGCTTGAGAAAGTTTGAGCAAGTACAACTGGTTGACTTTGAAGAAATGTTCACCCAAATGAGGTTTAGGTCTTGCAAGGACTACAAACCAATGTGTAAAATGTCAGGCTGCACCCCCACGTGCAATACAACTAAACAGTGCAACAGAACAGAACATACTGTATGATTTCATT
Source organism: Homo sapiens (assembly GCF_000001405.40). Lineage (NCBI taxonomy): Eukaryota > Metazoa > Chordata > Mammalia > Primates > Hominidae > Homo > Homo sapiens. Next base: position 4,334,801 of record NC_000005.10, on the reverse strand, counting down.
TCGATAAGCTCCTGAAAATGTTAAAACTAAAGTGACAGAGAGCAGATCAGTAGCATCAGGGATTGGGCGTTGACTACAAGGGAACACTTTGGGGTGACGGAAATGTTTTATATCACAATTGTGGTGGCTAAACAATCGTATGTATTTGTCAAAATATATTTTTATTTTCCAAAACTGGTGCCATTTTTATATCTAAATTATACCTCAGTAAAGATAATCAAGACAAAAAAAGATCAAGAATTAACAACAGACGTGTATTTTTTCTACCCAAAAATGGGAGGAAAATTAGTTATTCTTTTTTGCTACTTCTTATTAATTTATCCTATACATACTTCTTTAAACAAAAATACAAAAGAAGAATTAGGAAAATTTATAACAGCAAGTAAATACAAAATGGTATTTCGAGGAAGGGTTTAAAAATATGTTCATGGTGTGACTGTGGGTGTACTTGTTACTTGGGAATTTGTTTTGTACAGAGAGGGTCTCTGGCACAGCCCCTCTCCAGGCCTGTCTTGGTAGGGAAGGGATAGCACCATTCAGGATGCAGAAGAAGCTCCAGTCCACACAGAGGGATGCTCTTGCTTCCCAAGCATATGAGAGATAGCAAAGGTAATTATTTGGTGAGTTCTCTGTCCATATGTGAATTATAGCCCAAGGTACTACAAATTAAGAAATAAAGAACTAACAAAATATAGCTATAATTCTCAGTAAAGCTTTGCAGGCAATTCCTAATGTATTGAATCCTTGAAATAGATAAATAAGACTGACTACGTATTATCATTAAAGCATTTTATGTCATTACAGTTTACATTTTCTGGACATTTACATATTATTTATTTAAATCTCACACCTGGAAATCTGATCATTTCCAGCAGCATTCAGGTTTAACCTTCAGAAACTTTTGGATAAAATAATATTGTTTGATGCTAGCTTTGAGAAGTATAACATGATTCTCATGCTAGCTTTTAATAATGACTTAACATTTCCAAATAGGGATTCATCTTTTTCTATAAGGAACCAATAGGCAAGCATCTTCATAAAAATGTGGAGCTTAGCACATATTTGTGCTATCAATCCAAGTCAATGTAACAACTGCAATTAGTTGTTATATTGTGATTTGTAAATTTAGTATAAGGAAAATAAAATGTCTACTTTCACACCATAAGTACAATATGCTTTATTATTATTGCTAATAACTCCAATATTTTATGTTTGTCATATTGAATTTTAAATCTAATGCTCCCATTATCCGCTCTGTTTAATTTGCTCACATTCTCTGAGAAAAAACAAAAATGAATATGCTAATTATGACATGATTTCTCTGGACCAAATGTTTAGTTCTATGGGGATGAGTTACATTAGGTACTAAAAATCTGTTGTCTTAGTTTGATGCATGAAAAATTAATTAATAATGGGAAAGTTTGCTACAACTCTAACCCAGTAGGATGATTCATCTAACTTCAAACACGTTTTATGTCAAATGTTTCTTTTGACTTTAAACAGTATTAAGTACATCCATGTACTGTGGCAGCTTCGATAGTGTTTCTCACTTAGAAAAAGAAGGCAGAGCACTCAACGTTCAGGTCTAGATATTTACAGGATGTTGCAGAAAATTTGGTTTTTGACTCAATTACAACCCTGTGGAAATGTTAACTTCTTGTAAACTCAAAGGCTGTCAAAATAAAAGAAGAAAAAGAAAAGTAAAAGAAAAGCAAGAAAGGAGCATTTCTTGGTGCCCCTCAACCCTTAATGTTGATTTAAAGACAGAGTATACACCAAATAAATTTTTACCATACACTTTTCTGAATCTTCATATCTATGTTGAAGGACAACCTACCACCTTCAATAGTTTGTTACATTATGTTTAGCCTAGCCTAAAGTTGTCTCCTTAAATAGGTTAAATTCAGCCTAATGCTTTCTTCATATACAGTGAACCGTAGGGGTATAAATAGGTTGTAATTTTCTCTTGTAACAAGTTGCTAAGTCTCAGCCTATCACAACCACTGAATTTCAGCCAATCACAGCAGCTGAGTCGTAGCTGTGTTCAAATAAGGCAAAAGCGGAGCTGTAACTAACCCGCTGTTCCTGTAGCCCATTTTCCTTCTGTTCATAACTGTGTCTGGCCACATGACAGCTGCACTGCCACTCTGAACTGATTCTGGTTCTGGGTGCTGCCCAATTCATGAATCATTCTTTGCTCAATTAAACGTTGTTAAATTTAATTTGCCTGAAGTTTCTCTCTTAACAAATCAACAGAATGTTTCTTTTCAATACTTTTGCCATAGGCTTAAAAACAAAAATTAAGAATAGAATATTTCTGTTCTCTGAAAGATAGCTGTGAATTATGTCTGGAGAAAGCAATAAATTCATGTAGAATAGGTCACCATTTGAGCATGAAGACAGTAGGAAGGAGGAGGGATTGGCTAAATTTGGAGCTGCTTTAGATGCAGAATATTCATTGACCTTGGAGAAGCTCTGAGTGACAGGTCTGAACACACTGATACTTCTTTCTAAGGTCATAAAAACAAGAAAATATTATAGAAAGCAATAATCTGTTTGTGTCCTAATGAAACATGTAAGTGTCCTGACTGAAATGGCATGCCATAAAAAATCATTTCTAATTATTTTAAGTAATATTTAGATCAATTCATTGTAATCTTGTTAGCTTTCATGTTTATGTCTGAATTAGATTACTTTCATGTTTGTTCAAGCTCTTTTGCTTTTTAAAATGTCTCCTTCAAAGACAAATTGAGCCTGGTTAAAATAATCAATGGCTTTTGTGGGTTCAACATATGCAGATGCCAGACCTCAGGGAGGACTTCCGTTTCTTCCAGAGGGACTGTCCTCCACTTGGTGGTGACCCAAGACGGGTGCTGGGCTCACACAGGAGCCTTCCTGCCCTTGCACTGCAGCAGCTGAACCCAGGCGAATGGCAGTCCTTCAAAATGATGTGTGGCTTCTGAGGGGATACTGAGGGAATGGAGTCTGAAGAATTTTCATTGGGGAATGATTTGAGCATCCTTTTAAACTTATGGCTTCACTGTCAGGGTGTTCTCTTCTTCTTCATAAATGCATGCTCACATATAATTAAAATATAAATGGTGAGAATTTGTACATATAACATGGAAATACTGCTTAAAATAATAGGGCATTTTTAGGAAAGTGCTATTATATCCAGCTGTTTTCCTGTGAATTTTTTTTTCCAAATCAAGTGAAAATATAAGAAAACTTCCAAGTTTGAGCTTAATATAAGTTGAATTTTCATTATAATGGCATCACGTATTCACACAAAGAAACGTTTTTAGTATCTTGTTTCCCTTTCAATGAATGTTATTGTGAATAGAATTTGTGGATCAGTATTAGCAGTTATAAAATAATTAAACAATACTGAAAAAAATGAATGCTGACAAATCTTAGTTGCAGAGATAGGCAAGACTCCTCACTTTTTGAAAATGAGGTGAGATGGGAGAAAGGATGTCAGGTACGTTATATTGTTACAGAACAGTGTGTTCTTACATTGCTCTCTCAGTATCTAGGTGAGTGGGTTAGCTTTGGCTCTTCCTTGTGGACCTCTTTGCGAATCTGATTAGTGCTAAGGAATTTCCTCACAGGGAAATATGAACTCACTGTGTAGGTGCCACTGTGTTCTGACAATTTCCTGCGGGGTTCGGGTGGCATACCCTAGCACCTAGACCTTCCTCAGTGTTGAGATACTCAGTCCTGCAACCCAGAGATGTGAGTCCCTGGCCTTGAAGAGCTGACTTTTTTTTTTTTCCAGAAATTGCCCTTGGCTGAAGGGAACATCTCAGGGGTCAGCCTGAATTTCATGACCACCTGGGGTAAAAAGACTCAGCCCCTTAACTCACTTGGGACAACCCTGAAGTTCATGACACTGCCAGAGCCACCATGGGATCACCTGTGGCCTCTCTTGGGGCAATTGAGTCTAACTCTTCCCTCTGCCCTCTGCTCTACTCCCTAAGAATCCCAATTAACAAAATAGAAAGAGATTTGATGTAAGAAATGGGCTCAGGTGATGATGGAGGCTGCCACGTCTCAAAATCTGCAGTTCTTACATTTCTCTCAACTGTAAATGCAATAAATAAATAAATAAATAAAAATTTCCAGTTAGCTAGCTGGAGACCCCAGCAGATGTTTCAGTTTGAGGCCAAGAACAGGAAATATGATGTCCCAGCTTGAAGGCAGGCAGAGGGATTTCCTTGTATTCAGGGGATAGGAAGCTTTTTGTTCTATTCATTTCTTCAACTGATTGCATGAGGCCCACCCACATTGTGGAAGGCAATATGCCTCGCTCAGTTTCTCTTTTTAAAAGTTCAACCTATCCATAAATGCCCTCACAAAAATAAGCAGAATAGTATTTTACCAAATATCTGAACACCCTTTGTCCCGGTCAAGTTGACAGGTAAAATTAACCCTCACCTCTTTTTGCCAGACCATGGCAGCCTGGGATTACCACAGTCCCTTAGGAGGTGACAGCAGTATTTTGCACCTCATATGGTTAATAATGTATTGTTCAGTTCTAGCCATGCTCACTGAGAAAACATGTTCCATGCTTTCCATTTCAACCTGTTCAAGATATTTTATGTTCACCTCTCAAAAAAAGTGAACTAAACTTTGAAACACATTCAAATTTAGATATCACATAGTGATAAATCACAGATTACTGTTTTCAAACTAAAATGATAGGTAATATATTAAGAGACATATTTCACTTCTAGTGTTGTCTAAATAAGAATAACAATGTGTTTTTTATTTTGGTTCTCAAAAAAACACAGACTGCTCAGTTAAATGGTAATTTTAGATAAGCATCACATTTATTTTTAGTATGAGAATGCCCTGTGCAATACTTGGAACACACTTATATTCAAATATGTTTTTTGTTTACCTAAAATTCAAATTTACCTGGATGTCCTCTATTTTTATTTTCCAAACATGGAAACCCTATTTTATTCTTGGAATGCTATTTTAAATGATTTTTCCAAATAATATGTTTTGTCTGTCAGATGGGTAAGAGAGAAGAGATTGAATTTTGAAGAGACTCTTCAGAAAATTGGGGCTCAACTATTAATGAAAACTCAGTTTCAAAGAGATTAATGTAATTATATGAATTGCATGCAGTGAATTCAAGACAAAGAAAATGGACATGAATATTCCTAAAAAGAAGACTGAAAAAAGTTAATAACCAAGATGCTCTGATATATATTTAAATAATTATCCACATAAAGATTATAAAACAATGCAAGTATTATAAACTATCAGACATTTTCTAGTTTGAATAAAATGAAGAGATTATAACATCCCATGACGTGAGGGGGTAATTGAGACTCAGAAGATCTAGGCAGCTCAATAAGAACCACAAAATAATCCAGATTAAAAATAATCAAGATTAAAACAAAAGCCTTTGTTAACTTCTACCTTTGTATTGAAACTAGGCTGGTAATTCTATATCTGTGATATCAATTACATACTTGATTCATCCAAACTTGTATTTATGGTAGTAAATCCATATGCTTATTTTATTTTCTCTCAGTACAAGTAATACATAGATTTAAGATTCTGCTCTATCAGTATTCTGCTTGGATACTTTAAAAATCCAAATTTTTGGTCTATGACCACTGATTCATTTCAGAAGCTTTTATCTGCTGTCTTTCTTGGTGACATTCATTGTTCCCCACAGCAGGTGACCCTTGACACAAATTTAGAAGAAAAAAAAAACCTCAATAAGCATGGAAGGAATCATTCATCCTTAATGCATCTAATTACTACCTAGAAAATATAAGCATTATTATGCAGAAATTATAATGAAAGCCAACCTATGTAATGTTTCCGCTCAGTGATTTCCTAATTATGTTAAGTTAATGTATAAATATTTTTAGCAAGAAATTTGGAAACTATGACATTCTGTGCAAAAACAAATAAGCTGAATCCAGATGGTGCCATCATCACTTTGTACAGGAAAGTGTCGCCTGGCTGCTTTATCGATACTGTGTACCTGTCAGGGTTTCTATATATTTCTTCCAGATTAAAAATAAGAGCTCCAAATGAGAGATCCTTTCTTCCTGATATCAAAATAGGTAAATGAATATATTAAAAGTAATTCAAATGGGCTTGGCATCATGAAAATAAAGGACTGACCTGCTTAATTGTGTAGCTTTCATCTTCCTGTTGAAATATTGCATGACTGCCTGATCAAGAACTTTGTAGTGCTATAGTCTGAGTGTTTGTGCCTCTCTCTGAGTTCCTATGTTGAAATCCCCACCTACAGGGTGATGGTATTAGGATGTGGGGCCTTTGGGAGGGCTCTGCCCTCATGAATGGAATTAGTGACCTTATGAAAGAAGCCCAGAAATTTCTCTTGCCCTTTCCACCTTGTGAAGACACAGCCAGAAGGTCCCATCTATGTGCCAAGAAACTGGCCCACACCAGACATCACATTAGATGATGGCATCGCCTTGAATTTCCAGCCTCCAGAGCTAGGAAAAATGAATTTCTGTGATTCATGAAGCACCCAGTTTATGGTGTTTTGCCATGGCATCCTGAATGAACTAAGACAATATGTGAAAATTATCATAAATTGGTTGTGCCGATTTTTATGAATAAATAAAATAATATAATAAAATAGAAGCTTTCCTGGTGATACTCTTTATCCTTACAGTTTTTCCAAATGGAAGACTTGAAACAATGTGGTAAATAGAGATGATGTCATATTAACCTGAGCATCTTGTTTTTAATGAAAACCAAAATGGCCAGTTTGCTAAAATGAAATTACTTATTATTTTCGTAGAATATTTTTTCTTTATCTCCAACTATAAATACCTTAATGGGAAAAGCCATATGCACACAGCCATATACGGTTTAGCAATGCCCCACAATGCGCATGTCTGACCTCCTCAAGTCATTCCAAGTTTAAAATAAGAGACGTTGTAGGAGGAGTCATTATTTACGAAGTTTCCTATCTTGAACAGTACCCCTGTTAATAAAGTAAGAAACACCAAGGACATTTGCTCCACACACCACTACCCAGCATGGAGCCAACTGTGCTTGGCTTTCGGTGCCTTCAGCCTCTGGGCCAGCTGATGTCCCATTAAGTCTAACAGAAACGTGGAGCCGGTTGACTCTGCAACAGCAGGCCGCCTCTCTCATTTTTCTCAAAAAGCATATTTGTCAATCATTCCATCATTTTTGAATTCTGCCAATATTCTTTGAGCCCCTACCATACATCAGATATTATTGAAGACTTTGGGATCCATCAATGGAAAAATCATGAAAAGATCTCTGGCCACAGTGAGTTTACTTTCTGGAGGGCTCAGATAGCCACCGACAACACGGTAGATAAGCAAATGCTTTCTCATGTTAGGAGTTGGAAGCTTTGTGAAGAAATGGGACACCAGAGTGACTGGGACTGGAGAAGGGATGTACAACAATTTTAAATTGGACGGGTGGTGTGGACCTTGCTGAGAAAGGAAGTGAAGGAGGTGAAGGAATTAATCATGAAGTTATCTGGGGGAGAAACATTTTCATGGAGGAAAGGGTCAGTGCAAAGACCAAAAGGGAAACCACACCTGTTACACTTGAGAAACTGCAAGGGAGAAAATGTGGCTAGAATCTTGTGAGCCAGGGAAAGTCACAGGACACCTGATCATGGGGCCCACAGCAGAGAATCCAAGAGAAAACCACTGCAGAGTTGGAGCGACACAGAATCACATCTGACCCACATTTTACTAGGCTTACTCTGCATACCACACTGATAATAGCCTCCCAAAGGGCAAGTGAGATGTCAGAATAGCAGAGGATGGCTAGAGGGTACAGACAAAGGGAAATGGAGGTTCAGGAGAGGCCATGGCAGCAAGCAGAGGGCAGCAGGTTGAGGGCAGCAGGTGGAGGGAAGCAGGTGGAGGGCAGCAGAGGTGGAGGGCAGCAGGTGGAGGGCAGCAGAGGTGGAGGGCAGTAGAGGTGGAGGGCAGCAGGTGGGTTCTAAGCATATTTTAAGGGTGGGTCCAGCGAGATTTCTTGAAGTTCTGGATGTAGAATATGGAGGAATAGATACAATTTCTAGGGCAGCTGCTGGGATTCAGATGTGGAAGGATGTGAGGATGTTGAGTGTTTGCCATCCTATGTTTCTTGACCCACATTCCTTCGTTCTTAAGAATCTCCTGCTAATCGTGGCCTTTCAATCGCTTTTCCTATACGTTTTAGCAGCTGAGTACTTGCAGGACTCTTCCCTGTTTGATCACGTTCTCCCAAGCCTCTTACCGATCCCTCCAGGACCACTTGCTCCCTTACCTACTTCTTAACTCATCAGTTAGTCTCTTGGACAAGATGCTGTCCTAGCCTTGGTGACGACCACCTCCTGCATCTTACATGCAAAAAGACTTTTATGCTACTGCTTCCATAAACTAGAAAACTCACAAGGATAACTAGATGTATTCTGCATGACATGTGCCTTATATAAAAGAAAATATTTAATTCCAAGGACTTTTCAGAATCTTGTTATAAAATGAAAATGTGTGTTTGACACAATTCTTGGTCCAATATGTTTTCTGACAGTTACTGGTCATGCTATATGGCTTTCTATTGGAAATTCCAAGTGTTATCATTTAACATTACCGATGCCAAAATTGCTGTTGTTTTGTTTTGTTTTGTTTTGAGATGGAGTTTTGCTCCTTTGCCTAGGCTGGAGTGAAGTGGCGCAATCTCGTCTCACTGCAACCTCTGCACCCGGGGCTCAAGCAATTCTCCCACCTCAGCCTCCCGAGTAGTGGGGATTACAGGTGCCCACTACCATGCCCAGCTAATTTTTATATTTTTAGTAGACAGGAGGTTTCATCATGTTGGCCAGGCTGGTCTCGAACTCCTGACCTCAGGTGATCCACCCACCTCAGCTCCCAAAGTACTAGGATTACAGGTGTGACCCACCATGCCCAGCCAAAATTACTGTTACAAAACAATAAAAATAGTGTTTCCTCCAATCAATCAGCCAATTGTTTGATCTACATTATACTAAGAACTCATTTGGCTGGCATTTTCCACTGAAGCTATCTACACAGCACCAAAATCGCTATTATGGGCAATCAACTGAGATAAAAACAATTACTCAAGTTAGTTGTTGGGTTAAGATGTTGAACAGAGAGCAACAACCCACAGTTTTGAAGGTGCATAGCAACAATTTTGTGTTCTCTTTATTCTTTCAAGCAGCAGCAAGGGGAAAAATTCCCAACTGGAACAATGGTATGGGCTGCAATCCCACTGCTGTTGGGCTTCTCATGTTTAAAAAGGTGAGAAGTCTAAACCAAAGATGGGTGAAGTCTCTTCGTCACAGTGCCTCTTCGTGGGTATGTACCTGACAAAGACCCATAGGACCTTGTTTTACTGAGCCTTGGAAACAGAAATCCTTGTTGATGGCTAGGACTTATTTAGCTTTAGTCTTGCTCCATTCCAGCACCTAACTTGGAATTAAGTCCAAAACCTTGCTCTGTGATTCAATTGAGTAAGGAGAGGTTGCCTGTAAGTATGAATTTTGCACCATGTTTTTTTTCTTAGTTTTTAGAATCCTTGTCATTAAACTTGTCTGTTTTAAGAAAATTCCATTTGCATTGACATGGTTCATAGACTATTTTGGAACAAAAGCTCACCCACATGTGTGTCTACTACCAAGATTAAGCTGTTCAAGGCATTACTTTCAAAACTCAGCTTCTAATTTGAGCTGGCCAAAGCGTGGCCTCCTGTAGCATGTACCTTTTACTGTGACCCTTCAGCCCCAAAACAAGCCAAACAAATAAGGTCAGCATGGCTAAGGGGGTTAAATATGGGCACAAATGGTTAAGAAGACTCTCATTGAGAACTACAGTGCTATTGATAAAGTGTACAGCCTATTTCCCTTCAACTTATGAAGAGCTGCAGACCAAAATGCTCTTCTGTCATTGGGCTCTAGTTGTTGCAATTTGTGTATTCTTTTTTTTTAATTTTGTATGTATTTTTTAATTGACGCATTGTAACTGTATATATTTATGGGATAAAATTTAATGTTTTGATACACGTCTATGTTATATAATGATCCAATTAGGGTAATTAGCATATTTAGCATCTCATGCATTTATCATTTATTTGTGAGGAGAATGTTCAAAAGCATTTTTCTAATGATTTTGTAATGTAAAATATTTTACTGTTAATCAAAATCACCCTACTATTCAATAGAACACCAAAAGGCATTCCTCCTGATCAATTGTAACTTTGTACCCTTTGTCCAACCTCTCTCCATCCTGCTTTTCCTTATTTCCGCCCCAATCTGTGGTCCCCACTACTGCCACTTCTACTTCATCAGCTTTTTAAAAAATATTCAGTGTATGTGTGAGATCATGCAGTATTTGTCTTTCTGTGTCTGATTTATTTCACTTAATAGTATGTCCTCTCAGTTCATCCATGTTGTTTCAAATGACAACATTTAACTCTTTTTTATGACTGAATAGTATTCCATTGCAGATATTTACCACATTCTCTATACTGTTATTCATTGTTGAACAATTGGACTGATTCCATATTTGGCTGTTGTAAATAGTGCTTCAAGAAATATGGGAGTGCAGATATTTCTTCAATGTGCTGATTTTCTTTCTCTTGGATATATACCCAGTAGAAAGATTCCTGAATCAAGTGATAGTTCTATTTTTAATTTTTTGAGAAACCTGCAAACTGTTTTCCATAATGACTGTACTAGTTTACACTACCACTAATAGTGCATTAAGTGTTTTGTAGTCTTCACATCCTTGCCAACACTTATTTTCCTTTGTCTTTTTGGTAACAGCCATTCTAACTGGGGGGAGATAATACCTCATTGTGGTTTTCACTTGAATTTCCCTGATAATTAGTGCTATTGAATAATCTTTCATGTACATGTTGGCCATTTGAATGTATTCTTTTGAGAAGTGTCTATGAAGGTCTTTTGCCCACTTATTAATAGGGTTCTTCTTATTTTTTTGTTGAGACATTTAGGTTTCTTATGTATGTTGAGTATTAATCTAGAATGTATAGTTTAATATTGGATGTATAGTTTGCAAATATTTTCTCCCATACCTCTTTACTCCGTTAATAATTTCCTTTGCTCTGTAAGAGCATTTTAGTTTGATAGAATTTCATTTGTACATTTTGCTTTTGTTTGTGCTCTTTAGATCTTATTCAGAAAATATTTGCTCAGCCCAATATTGTGCAGTTTCTCCTTTGTTTTCCTCCAGTAGTTTCATAGTTTTGGAGTTTACCTTTAGGTCTTTCATACATTTTAGGTTTGTTTTTTTTTTTATATGGCCAGAGGTAGGGGTCTAGTCTTATTCTTCTTCATATGAATATCCAATTCTCCTTGATGCATTTATTGAAGAGACTGTTTTTAATGTGTGTTCTTGGAATCTTTATTGAAAATCAGTTGGCTATAGGTGCATAAATGTATTTCTGGCCTCCCTATTCTGTTCTATTTATCTATGTGTCTATTTTTATACCAGTACCATGCTGTTTTGGTTACTATAGCTTTGTGGTATATTTTGAAGTCTGATAGTGTGATGCCTCTGACTTCGTTCTTTTTGTTCTTGACTGTTTTGGTTTTTCATGATCTTTTGTGGTTTCACACAAATTTTTGAAATGTTATCTATTTCTCTGAAGAATGTCATTGAAATTTTGGTAGGGATTACATTGAATCTGTTGATCACTTTGGGTAGTCTGGACATTTTAAGCTTATTACTAAAAATTCATGAAAATGAGACATCCTGCAATTGTTTGTGTCTTCATCAGTTACTTTTTATCAGTGTTTTACAGTTTTCATTGTAGAGATGATTAATCTCTTCAGTTAAATTTATTCCCAGGTATTTTTTTTGTAGCTACTGTGGATAGTATTTTTTTAAATTTCTTTTTTTAGATAGTTCACTATTAAAACGTATATAAAAACCCTATTAATTCTTTGTATGTTGCTTTTGCATCCTGCAACTTTACTGAATTTATTTATTCGTTCTAACAGTTTCTTGGTGGAATCTTTAGAGTTTTCTATATGTAAGATTATGCCGTTTGCAAACAGGGACTATTTGTCGTCCTTCTTTTTAATCTGGATGCCTTTTATTTCTTTCTCTTGTCTTACTGCTCAGGCTAGGACTTTCAGATCTATGTTTAATAAAAGCAGTGAAAGTGGGGATCTTTCTCAAACTAACAATCTTAGAGGAAGAAGTTGGAAGGTGGAAGCTTTTTCAGTATGATATTAGCTGTGGGTTTGCCATATATGACCTTTATTGTGTTGAGGTATATATTTCCTATATGCAATTTGCTGAGAATTTTTATTAAGAAGAAATTTTGAATTTTGTAAGATTCTTTTTTCTGCATCTATTGAAATGATCGTACAATTTTTGTCTTTCTGTTAATGGGGTAGATCATATTTTTTGATTTGTGTAAGTTAAACTGCCTTTCCATCCATGAGAGGAATACCACTTGATCATAGTGAATGATTTTTTTGATGTGCTGTTGGATTCAGTTAGCTAGGATCTCATTTGGGGATGTTTGCATTTATGTTCCTTAGGAATATTGGCCTAGAGTTTTTTGTAGTTGTTGTTGTGTCCTTGTCCAGTTTTAAAAATCAAGGTAATGCTGGTCTCATTAAATGTGTTTGAGAGTATTTTCTACTCTTCTGTCTTCTGGAAATGTTTGAGAAGAACTGGTGTTAGTTTTTCTTTAAATGTTTGATAGAGTTCGCCAGAGAAGCCATCAGGTCCTGGGTTTTTCTTTAATAGGAGACTTTTTTTTTTTGTTTTAACTGATTCAATGTTCTCACTTGTTTGGGTTTGTTCAGATTTTCTATTTATTTATAATTTAATCTTGGTAGGTTGTATGTTTCTAGAAATTTATTCATTTCCTCTAAGTTTATCAAATTTGTTGGCATGTATTTGTTCATAAGTCTTTTACAATCCTTTGTATTTCTGTGGTATACACCTGATAGTTGCAATGGCTTTTTCATGTCTGATTGTATTATTTGAGTCTTCTCTCTTTTTTCTTAGTCTAACTAAAAGTTTGTTGATTTGGCTTATATTTTTCAAAAACCAACTTTGTTTTATTAATCTTTTGAATTGATTTTTTAGTCTCTATTTTGTTTATTTCTGCTCTGAGGCTTACTATTTCTTTTCTTCTACCGAATTTGGATTTAGTTTGTTCTTTTTTTTTTTCCTTCAAGTGCATCATTGCCTTGTTTATTAGAAATATTTCTTCTTTTTTGATTTAGGTGTTTACTGCTATTAACTTTCTTCTTAGAACTACCTTTGCTGCATTGCATAGGTTTTTGTTCTATTTTATTATTATTATTTGCTTTATTTTAAGACAGTTTCAATAATTTTCAGCTACATTACATTTGTGTTAGAAATATGGCTTTGTCCAAGACAACACCAGACACATATTGCCACAATGTGAAAAAAAAAAATCACCTTTTGATTTAAGGCTTTAATTACACTTCCGCTTCTAAACTTTACAATAATAAAAATAATGCCTTATGTTAATGTTCACACTCTCCACACACCAGATAGTCAAGAAGTCAAGAAACTTTGACGTAAGGACAGTATACATTCCTCTCCACTCGTTTTTGAAAAACTGGAGGGAGGGTCACTTTGCACCTGAACTAGTAACTTAGTGGCCTGTATCCAATTTGCAACAGTGATGTGCAATCTTGCCACTAGTGTGCATTTTAATAAGTTACAAAATATGCTAATATGCAAAGTATTAATTGAAATATTCATATCCTATTTTGATATTGATCCAAGAGCAGATATTATGTCTTCTAAGCTATAGGAAAAATGCACTATGCATCACACTGTATATGGGCAATTTGATTTGACAGACTGTATAATGCTATAAAAAGTATGTCGAGGTGTGTGATAATCTGTTTCATTCCTTCAAAATAAATAAAATGCAGATGACTCATCTTTCTCAAACCAACCTCTATGTTTGCAAAGTTTTCTATAAACTGCAAGATTTTTTTCCCTAAAACCTAATTTTGTTTGTGAGTCTGCATATGAAATTCTACATTTTAAATTATTCTATGGAATACTTATGTGCCTTTTACTAAAGGAAAAGATAACTTTCCCCTTCTCAACAAAGAAGAAGAGACAGCAATGAATAGACATTTTCCAAATTGAGAGACTATGGCAGGGGTTGTGTTGTAAGCTGGGGGGATGCACTGTGTCTTATTTAAAGGTGTTTCAAGGGTACATCCATTGGTCCCCTCATAGATATGGAGTGCCTTTGAAAACTGGGAGGAACACCCTTACAAAATATACATTTTTCCATTACTCGTATGCAGTAATCTGATATAATTAGTACTATTTACCGGACGTCAATTTAAGAAAGTCTTATATACTTGAATAGGTTCCATGCAATTATATTCTTTCCTCATGCTCCATAACTGTTTACCTAGTTTAACATACTTTATGTATATTTGTCAGAAGAATATTAATGTTTTACTTTACGATTTCTACCGCTTTCTTAATCACTGCTTTTATTATTTCTCTTTAGTGTAACATCACCTCTGAACATAAGCAATGAAATTGCGTTGGAAGAAAAAGCAAATCCTGTATTGTATCATCGTCTGGGGAGCATGATGGTTTCTGCTGTGTTAATTTACACTAAAATCCATGACCCGGGAGGCTGATTGATTGCCAAGGGCAGAAATCCAGCCCCTGGGCTAGTTTATTTTGTGAACTGTAGCCTCAGATATCGCTGCAAGCCACAATGATATTGATCTGATATACACTAGATGGCTCTTTATGCTCTTTGGGAAATTTATTGTGCCGAGTCGGAACCCCAGCAGCCGGGGAGAAGCCGCTCTTTAAATTGAAGAGGGCTATCACGGTTTGACCCCTGGGCCACTCAGGTTACCGAGTGGCCTGGGCGAGGCTAGGTCGGAGCAGACCCCGGGGACCAGGGCTCATCAGTTTTGAATGTCAAATCCCTTCAGAGGACCTGAGTTATTGCTAATAGGAACTTGCTTGGGTCTACGACATTTGGATGCCCTATAAGTTAAACATCATAACACTTTCTTCATGTCATAGTCCTTTAAATTATGGCCGAGCATTGCACCTCTGCTCCTGTCGCTTAGCATCGGACTGCTGCACCATATGAGGCAACCTGCCCCCAAGGTGGAAGATCAGCACAGCTATTATCAGCCAAAGAGCTACAGCTGCACACAACTCCCCTCACCTATAAATTAGCGGGCTTGTCATGTGAACTCCAATTGCGAGAACATTGTTGCCATCTTGTTTCTGCACAATAGAAACCCACTGGCCTTTGGCAACCCACACAATAAAAGTTAGGATGCAATTCTGGTCTTGATAGCTTTTACTAGTTTTCTTGGGGGAAGCTGTGCTTGTGCTGGGTAAAATATTGGCAGAGGGAGAAACATGACTCTTCATGGGCATCTTACACATGAAATAGAAAAGAAATCATTTTTGTTAGAACAATTTGCAATCATCTCTCCTCTTAGAGAGGACTGTTATGCTTATCATTTCTAATTTCGCTGAAAGATATTATTCCATAACAGACCATTGTCATATTGGTAACAGATGCATTGATCTATCTCAATTGGTTCATTATGATATATTCCAACTTTGGAATTGCTGGAATACTCATGAGCACCTTATTATTTTAGTGCTGGGGACAGGATCCTGACTCCAGAGCTCATATCTCCAGAACAGAGTTTCATGAAGGCAACTTGGCTGCCTGTTAGAAATTTCCTACTACTGGGGACTATAGATATTAAAATCTAGAGCTGCACTGAATTTTCCCTAATGAATAGTTAATTAGGTCTTATTAGAAGCCAGTGTGACCTTCTATATTGAGGAAGATATTCAGAGTGACTTAATGACAGGGTCACAAGCCTGTGACACCAGTGGGGGTGTGTAAAGACAAAACAAACAATGCCAAGTGTGACTGGATATAGGCATGTCCTTAATTGGCTTGTAAGCTGTGATTCTAAAGGTCCTGCAAAAAGTCCTCCTAAAAACATGTTTACTATCACTCTGCCGACTAGGTTTTCTTCTGGACATCTTGGGGAGATGCAAATGCCTTAACTAGATAGAAGGAGAGCTTATAGACAAACACTGAAAATCAGGAAAAACTATATTGAACTGGGTGATGCCATTAGCAGTAATGAGTTATCAGAAGAATAATTCTGAAGGGAAGGGGCTGGGGAAATCTCCCCCGGGAAGGTGCTACGCAGAAGGGAGCTTCTTGCTACGCTGGCACTGAAGGCCTGAGTCCCAGGGGTCTGGCTGGGAAATGATGGAAATCATCTGGTTGAATTTACCTCTGGATGCTTTCATTTATTTATCTGTAAAAGGAAAGTAATAATAAACTTCAAATCGTAGATTTGAGGTTGAAATAGGACAAGAAATGTAAAGGTCTAAGTCTAGTAGAAAGATGTTTCAAGGGTCAGTAAGTACAATCCTGTGTTGGTAACCTCCCACTGGGTGGTGTAAACAACGGAAATTGATTGTCTCACAGTCCTGGAAGCCACAAGTGTGAGATCAAGGCACTGCCAGGGCTGGTTCCTTCAGAGGCCTCTCTCTTTTTCCTGCACACGGCTTCTCCTCCTTGTGTCTTTCCATGTCATCCCTCGGTGCATGTCTGTGTCTTGATCTTTTATTCTTACAAAGACAACTGATACATTGGTTTAGGGTCCACCTTCAAGGCCTCATTCTAACTTAATTACCCCTTTAAAGACCCTATCTCCAAATACAGTCCCATTCTGAGGTACTGGGGTCAGGCGTCAACATATGAATTTTGTGGGGACGCGATTCAGCCCAAAACAAGTCCTTTATGATAAGGTAGTATGGGCTGAAATCATGCTTCATACACAGCCTGCATTTACTACTTTTGTTTTATCTTTCTGATATTACCGTTGGTATATAACTCAACTAGCCCATGTATTTGTAGAAGAAATCGTAAATACACATGGGCCAAAAGAGAAAATGGAACAAACAGCATATATGATTCTACCACTCAGAGAAAAACATTGTCAAACCTTTAGATCGCTCCTTCCCTTGCCATTTATACACACATAGACTTTCAGCAAAATAAAATTATACAATTGAGTAACCCATTTATTTTTGACTTAACAAATTATTAACATTGTTCAGTGCCACTGCAGATAGAGATATATCACAATTTATAATAATGACTGAGGATTTTCATGTTTGGAGAAACCATAATTTACTTATCCAATCTCATAATTTTGAACATATAGAATGTTTATATATTTTGCACCCATCAACAATGCTGCTTGACACACATTTTTTTCTTTTGTCCTTGTGAACATTTTCTGTTATTTCCTTGGGTTATTTATGCGGGGTTTTAACTCCATAAAGACAAGGAGTATGCCTATCCTATAAGCAATCCATTGCCAGCATCTGCACAGTGTCCAGTACGTAGGGGCAGCTCAATAGATGTTTACCAAATGAGTGAATTAAGGTACTTCCTAGATTGGAAAAATCTCAATAAATATATTAGTTGTCTTCAAAACATTCTTGGCATTAAGAATGCAAAAACAATGGAGTATGAAAAACATTTTTATTCAAGAAACACAGTAACATTGTTTCTACCTTGTCTAATTATGACCAATAGCCAGATTAAAGGGTTCTTTGATAAAGAAAATGGCATTCATATAGGTGAGCAGTGTCTCATAAAGGGACACTTTCTTAACTTGTTATTAGAAATTTAGTGGGTTTAGTTTTTATCCTTAACATGTATTAGCAGGGAAGTCTGAGATTTTTACTTCAAATAATCAAAGAAATCTCTCCAAGTCAAAAATGCTAATTACAAATATGAAAATTAGGAATTGATCATGAATAATGCATAAAATCAACTCTTTACTATTTGCTGGATTCTAGCACCTGACACACTCTACAAAAAAATGTTACTAGCCCATAGAACAATGAGGAAGCTGCTGTCCGAACTGTAAGATGGGGAGCTGAAAGCTGTGCTAGTGGGCTCACACACAGGCTGTAGCCTCTGCCTTCCTGGAAGTCCTTAGGTGTGTCCTTGTGGGAGGATGTCCACCCCCTCCTGGTCCCAACTGATTGGATAAGTGCTGGCAACTAACCTAGAGCAAAGATTCACTAAGTTGGCTGGTAAAGTGTGTCTATTTCCCAAATAGAGTCATCCAATCAAAAGTTCACCCAAGAATGCAAGCAAAAATCCCTGAGCCAATGAGGAAGTTATTTGAGATGCTCAGGTCAAAGGACCATGGAGTTAAATCAGAATCAGGAGGTGGGACTGGGGCCCTGAGGAGTAAGGACAAGCTGGAACTCAAAATAACCAGAAACAGAGCCCCAAATGACAAGGTAGCTATGAAGAGAAAATGACAGAGCAGGTGCACAGAGGAAAGCACAGATGTCAGTAGAACTAGGTTATGATCATGAGGAGGCAGGAGCCTTGGTTACCACAGGCTTCTCTGCTTCATGCTCCATTTCAGGACCTGTGTGCTTTTTCACAACATAAGTAGAATGCAAAATCCTTCCTTGTAACCAGAAGAGTCTAAAAGCCAAAGCAAAATGTCTGAAGAATATGCAAGTGGTCCAGCTGAACACCAAACTTAATAATGAAATAACTGTGTGAATGGATAATGGAAAGAGCTATGGTAAGAACCACTCAACAACACTGAGGAACTGTTTTGCACGAGTGCCTGTGTGTGCTTCTTTTATCCATTTACTTGGTTTCAAAGTAGGTAGTGAGCACTAACCATGTGTAATCCCTCTGCCAAAATGCTAGTAAATGTGAAACAGCACCACACCTGCCCTGCAGAAGCTTATATTCCAGAAGGATATGTGAGATGGAAAGAGCCCTGTGGTAGGCTGGGGAGGAGTATCCTAAGGCACCAGGGAAGCACCTAGCTCAGGAGGTACTCAGAGCTGCCAAAGCATAGCTGCAGGTCATAGCCAGGGTATGCCTGCTTCCCAGCCCGACTCTGCAGAATGATGCCAAAGACCCCGTCCTTATCATGTGCATTCACCTATCTGTCTCCCCCGACTTCAAAAGATTATAAAAGCAATGTGCTTTGTTATCTTCTTAGTTATTCCAACTGAGTTTTCTGACTTAACAATCCATTTTCTATTGAATTTCAATTGGAATGACTACACTAAATTTAGTGTGTACATCCAGTTAAATAAGAGCAATGGCTTCTCCTTAAATCTTCATTACGAACCAGTAGATTAAAAGGGCCAAGTTAGTCCCCAGCACCTGTGGTAAATTCAGAAATTACCCCCTGATGATGAGTAATGTGGTAGAAAGCAGCTCCCATGCTTGAGCTACCATGGGTGATATTCAAATCCAACATGTACCAAACTCTGGTTCAATTCAAAAGCAGCTTGAAAGAGTAATGAAGCAGTCATAAAGGTCCCTCAGGAAACATCATCCCTAAGAGCCTTCATTTAAAAATACAGAAGCTCCTTGACCTACAATGGGGTGAAGTCCTGATAAATCCATTGTAAGTTGAAAATGCATTTAATGCGCCTACCTTACCGAACATTATAGCTTTGCCTCACCTACCTTATGCCTGCTCAGAACACCTCTATTAGCCTACAGTTGGCAAAATCAACTGGCAACACAGTCCACTGTAGAGGACCGGTTGTTGACCCTTGTGACTGTCTGGCTGCACTGCAAGAAAGTATAGTACCACTTCCCATTGATGCCATTATTTTCACACCAGCTAAAAGAAAAAAAAAGTAATTTGTATCTTCGTAAGTCAAGGATCATCTGTACTCTATAATACAGGTGTCTTTTATTTACTCATTTTTAAAAATCTAACAGAACTAATTTTGAAACTCTACAAATTTTTGAAATGTTGAAAAGCTTTTTCAATATCTTCCATTTAATATTGTTTTCAGTGAACTATATAATTGAAAACAGAAGTTGGACAGGCAAGTACTCATGGATGTCTCAAACGCAACTTGCTCCCCACAGCAATGGCCTGGATGCTCAATGGGGAGAACAGGCTTTTATGTCTTGTCCTCCCTTAACCTGAGCAGACCTAGTCAATCCCATTTCCACTATGTGGGCACTAGGACATCCTCATATAATTCCCAGGATCTCAGTTTCTGTATTTATAAATGTATTACCTACCCTCTACCATCTAGAATTGAATGAGTCATCACAGGTCAGGCCTCTTGCACACAATGCAGTTCATTGCTGTCCTCCTTTCCAAACTCCCAAGAAATGTGAGCCAAAAAAAAATTTATATCTTGAAGACTTTATAGCAAGTGTTGTGTATACATCCACATGCACTCAAAGTCATGTGGCAAGAGACAAAATATGTTTATCAATTACACACAATTACTCTTCCTTTATTGTACTGACCTCATTGATTTTAGAATCCAGCACAATACTCTCCAGTTAATATTGTCAGAGATGAAAAATATGATGGTGAGGAGGTAGATTGCCTGAGAAATGCACATCCTAAAGAGATACCAATGGTGGCGGAGAGCACTGCCTCGTGCTGAGTCCTTCCAGTACAGACTGAAAAGCTGAGGACCCTGGCACGCCCACAGCTGTGCTGTGTCTGGAAGAACACTCGGAGTTAAAGTAGAAGAGGGCATTTTCAGACAAGAAAGCCCTTTGAGATGAAAAGACTGGAATCTAGGAAGGAAAATTAGTTAACTAAGGTCAGACAGCTAGTTACCAGCAAATCAAGACTAGGAGGAAATTTTCTCATTCCAGCGCAGCATGAGGCTAAGGGAGCCGTCAGTAGTGAAACATGAAGGGCAACTGACATTCCACAGGGAGAAACGGAAGTACTGACGACATGGCTCTGAATCTTCTCTCTTCTTTTCAGCATCTCCACTGATAGTGTCAAGCTGTCCTCATTGTCACTTTTAACACCTTTGCACTTCTGGGTCCAAAGTGGTCAGAATGTTCATGGGGTCCCAGGACCCATGTGAAGCTGTTTTGCCTTGATTGCAGTTACATTGCATTGGTGGACCACAAAGGTGGTAGGCTTTGTACTCGCTCTGCCCTGTGCACCAGAAAGATTGCAAGCAGAAAAGCTAGTTTAGAGGACCAGAAGTTATTTCCAGTGGAAGAAAAGGAAAGCAGGGAAAAGGGAGGTAGTATACAGACAGTGAAAACACAGATTCCACCTCAAGGCAATGGTGTGTATTGAGAACCCTGCAGGACTTTCTCAAATGCACAGATATACACAGAGATATGATTAAACCACGTGCTGCCATGGAAGGGTGGGGGTGGGGCCCGGGGCAGTTACTGAATCACAACCACGACTACCACTGTAGATGAACTGACAGATAGTTGCCAAGAAATTGAGAGTCCAGTTAGTGGGAATCTCCAATCCATCTGACATATCCATTCTCCAAGATCAGTGATTGATATGCTCCTGGGAATTCTCATGCATTTCGAGTGTGGAGCAGATCCTGGAAATGTGTATTTTTAGAAAGCTCCCCAGGGAATTCAATGCACACTTCAGTGAAGAAGTCATTCCCAAATTATGACTCACCTGTAAAATGTTTAGTTTTCACATGCTACTCATATGTAAAATATAAATAACTACCTTAATGATCTTTGCAAGGACCGATGATAAAGCCCTTAGGGTTCCAGGTACATGCTACCACTGGGTGGGATAGGGCGGCAGCTGCCACCTCACCACAGCCATGATCACATAATGAACACAAGTCAAGCCCATGGCATCAGCTGAAAGTTCAGGAAGTGCAGATATAAGCAGAGGCTGAAGGCCCGGCAGCACCACATTCTTACCCCGGCTCTCCTCCTGGAAGGCCTTAAACAACCTCTCCATCTCATTATCATACCCTGACAGCGGTTGGGGCAGGAAATTTGTGGGGTTTAAGCTTGTCCAATCAATGAGGCCATGGAGAGTCACTGAATGAAAAACAAATTGGAAATGCTGATATTCTGGAGACTGAAAAAAAATTAAAAATACAAATTGGACACAGGGTTGAAGAAGAAGGAGACTGGACGGGTGATCAGAAAACATCCGCTCTTTGTGATGGGGTGGAGGACCCAGGAGAGGGTGGGACTTGGGGGTTGAACACAGGCTTTCTTTTTGAAGAGTAGAATTTAATGGGGCACTGGCAACACAGTTCTGAGACGAACAAGGATACAATATGGAGACTTCAGATCTGATTTTCAAGGAGAACTCGAGGCAGAAACTAGATACGTGAGAATCAGCTCCCAATAAATGAGTCTCCAAGCTGAGCTGCTCCCTTAGGTGCATTTTTTTGTTTTTTTTACACAAAAAATTATGTTTTTTCCACAACTGCACCCAGCCTGTTTGCACAGTGAAAGGAAGGAATAACCACTTTCTTTCTTTTGAAGAGGATGGCTCAACTTCGAATTGTCTTATAATTCAAGGATTCAATTACAAAGTGATTTTGTTTTTGAATGTTAATAGGTGCAAGTGATTCTATGGGAGGAGATTCATGTCTCAATATGTAATTAATAGAAACTCTTGAAGGAAGAGCACTGTAAAATAAGAGAAATGTTAGAGAGAAACACGAAATGAGGGCAGGATGATTCACGCTGGCCCCTGACAGATTTGCTTTTTATTGTGCATGGTGTGCCCTGGCTTCTGAGTTGCCTAATTAGGAAGATCACCTGCAGCACTGCAACAATAAGAGACTTTAAACTCACTTCCGCAGAGATTCCCATGGAGAAAACCTGGTTGTGGGGAAGGGTGGTTCTTACAAGGCAGGATTAGGAAACCTGGCTGAGGCTGTCAAAAAAATCCATCCCAAATTCTCTAACCTGGAGAGATTGTTGGGGCAGTCTTGGCTCCACCTCTAGAGTTTCTAACTCACCTTGTCTGGGTGTGGTTAGAGAATCTGCATATCTAAAAATGACCCCAAGTGATGCTGACGCCACTGGTACCTGGACCACACTGAGAACCACCTCCGTAAGGCTCACTTTTCAGGGAAAAATGAAATCTGAATTCTTGCCAGTGAAACAAAGGTTCCTGCTGACCTCACCCATGCAGGGCAAGCTTGGACACCTTTTGCTCTGTGTCTGTCACGTGGAGCCGTGCCTTCTCTCTCCTGCCTGCCCAACACTCAGAGCTCTCAAGACGTGGCCCTTGCTCCCTACAAGGGAAACGGGAAACCTGAAAAATGAACTCAGAGAAAATCATGAGCGAATTCATAATCAACACACATCTCCCACGAATATCTGCATTGTACCAAGAGAGTGGGCCGCACTGAAGTCAACGTGCATTTCTAACGGTGCAATTCCTGGCTGAGGAGCAAAGAGGCTTGGGACCAGGAAGCGTCCTTCTACTTCTCTAGGAAACAACACACACACAAGCCCCTATCATGAAGCCCCAAACGGCGTGCTCATGTGCTTGCCATTTATTAACTTGTATTTGCCTTTCCAATCTTTTAGGAACCTTTGGCTAAAAAGCACATTTTCCTCCTTAATTTAATGGACAATTGTGAGGGTGCTTAAAAGTAATTTTCTGAATAGAACGCTGTGTGTTTAGGCTGATTGTGCCAGTATCATGCCTCTTGAGGATTTGATGAGTCACTTCGCTCCATCAGCACCGATCTCTTCTTCCTGATGGAGCACAGTTTCTGCCTTTCATCAGCTCTGCGCACCGGGCGCTCTTCTGGAGGCAGAACAGGGCTGGAGGTGTGCGGTAAGTGTATCCCATGTACCAGGCACTGTCCTGTCTCCTGTCATGGAGACGGGACAGGCGTCCAAGGTTGCCCTGCATGGGTGAGGTCATCAGGAGCCTTTGTTTCACTGACAAAAATCCACATTTCATTTCACCCTGAAAAGCGGGCCTTATGGAGGTGATTCTCAAAGTGTGGTCCAAGTACCAGCAGCATGAGCATCAGCCAGGGCCATTTTCAGAGGATGTGCACCTGGACTGTCCACGTGAGGACACAGAGTGGCAGAGAAGCCGGCCCAGGGCCACACAGGCAAGTCCCAGGGCCCTAGCCAAGTGACCAGTCCCAATGCTATGCTGCTTCTAACAGACAGAAACCTCCTCTGGCAGCCCAGGCCTATGGCCTCTCAGTCCTGTGACTCAGTATTGAAATCTCTGAAATAAGATCATGTTGCATTTCTTTGGTGGACATATATAAGGCTTCCTTATTTGCCTATATTAACATAATTTACATTTTGGATACAAATTCACATTTCTATCATTACTATTAATTCCTCTGTTCCGTATATGGGATGAGAGTTACCTATATAGAAAAAAATTTTATGAAATATTTTATAAATTTTTATTTAAATTACACTAATGAGCTTTATACTTGTAATTGGCATATTTGCTCTTAAACTCTGAAATGCCAGTGAAACACATTTTTCAGGAAAATATATTTCTAAAACGCTAAAATTACTACACATTAAACCATAAGAAAGCATATTAAGCAAATATTTGGAGTCTGTCTGGAGAAAACCAGAAAGCATGGAAATTAAACCTTTAGGCTTAAAATTTAACATAACTTAAAAGTTCTACATTAGAGTTAGACTAACAGTGTTTTCTCTAGTTGGTTTTTAGAAACTCCTTTAAACCTTGAATGATGAAGGGGGAAAATATCCCCAAAAGAAATAGAGAACTTCAGGATAATCATATTTTTTAAGAAAGATTCACTGTCAAGCTGTACAAAATTCTACATTTCCCCTTCAAGACTGCCCTAATTTAAAGAGAAACATTAATTCTTGGAAAACTCTGCTTTTGAAAATAGTCCCTGAAGTTGAATTATTCAATGAAACATGACTGCATTCACATTTCTTTTTGTAATTAAGATACTTTTTATATTCCCTGACTTTTACTTTGTTTACATTAAAAATTTGCTCCAGAATACAATGGCATTGGAAGAAGCTATTTCAGATGCAGATACTTCATCTTGCCCAAATGAACAGCAGCGTACAGGCAGGTGGGCACAGGTACAAGGGATGATGAGCCCCACAAGGGCCTGGTCATTCGTGAATTCACAACAGGATGTACTACCCGTTTAGAAAGGAAATTTTTCTTCCTTTGCTATGGGAAAATGGGCTCTATTTTCATAACAATAATACAAGGTTTGGGCTCAGAGAATTTTCTAATTAGCTATAAATGGTAAAACAATAACTTTTTTAGCAACAGAAAGATTTCTGATGAAATATGGACCAATCAAAAAACCCTACTCACTATTGAGAGAAGTTTGTGCATAAGTCTTTCATTGGATGATTATATTCTATGTCTATCAGGTTTTCAATGTACAAAAATCTCACTCTTGAAGAATATAAGATTAGATCTCAATTGCTTAAACCTATCCACACATCTAGAAGAAAATATACAAAAAGAAAAGTCAGTTCACCCGAGTTTACCATACAAGGTGAGATATGCGTTAGAAATGGAAAAATTACTACTCGTGTTCTATGTACACGCTGCTCATTGTGAACAGACTTGACTTTCAGCTGATGGCTTTCTGTCAACAAATCGTCAGCCCTTATCTGTTGCTGGCAAAATAACTGTCTTGCTTGATCTTAATTAACCTTGAGATGACATTTCTGGATTTGGGGGCCCATTTCCTCAACCATGCCCATTGCTTACACCTAATTTCAGCTGCGGAGCCTGACTTCTCCCTTGTCTCAAACACTCAGACTGACATCTTAACCCAGCCAGCCAGCTGGCTTCAAACACATGGAGCATTGGCTGCGTCATCTCTCCCTTGTCTCTGGGGCTTTCTCGAGCACCTATGTGTCTGTATCATTATGAGGAAGGACAGTAATTCCAAGCCTCTTGTTGAATAACCAGCCTCCCACAGAGATTCCCAGAGCTCCTTCTGTCCCCACCCCCTGTGACCCTCCCCCTGGCCCACGTTCCCTATGGCCAGCCATGACTTATCAGTCACTGCCAGCCACAATGCATGTGGAACTGAAAACGATGCTAATTTTTATTTGGTCATTAAAGCATCTACCTTGATCTGATTAATACTGTATTGCCTAGCACTGGTTTAATCAACTTTCTTCTTCAGCAACAGACTGAAACCCCTTTAACACTGATGTTCTCCTTACAGGGCAACATTTGCTTAGAAATCTGGGGGCTACGTGAACACAGTCACTCAATTTTCAATTGCTCCTGATTCTTCAGCAGGAACATTTTTCCACTGCCCCCACAGCCTGAGCCATACAACCGTGGCAAGGGGCAGAGATTGATGACTACTTTTTGAGGCTTTACATGAATTTGTTTCCAAATGTTTTTTTTCTTTGTGGTAATATGTTTCATTTATGGGTGACAAAACCCATTTTTGATAATGAACTTCGAGCCTGTGGCTCAATAGAAAATTTAGAAAATATTAGTTTATAGTGATGATGATTTAATCACTTTTGATAAAACTAACCAAATTTTAGATTCAGTTAAAAAAGCAAAGGCCTACAAATCACGTATTGAAATATATCTTACATTTTACCTGTTTGCTTTGAAAACGAGAGTTCAGCTAAAATGTTATGTTTAAATAAAAGCTCCTGTAATAACAAAGACACTATCACAGTGAGAAAAAAAAGACTCCTTTAATAAAGTTGAAATTTTTGCTCTTTGCAACCTCAGTTTTTACATTTAGTGACAAGATTTTTTTTCAGTGTCACACATTGTAAATTAAAAGAATTTTTAAGGGGTGGAACAGCCCATGATGGGGTGCAGACTCCCTTACACCCACTTGTGAGTATGGAACTAGATAATTATTCAGGCCTTCTCAGCATTCTCTCTCGTTGTAAGTGTTATAATTAGGGCTCTCTATTAGAAATGAGGCAGTAAAGTCTCCCTGAAGAATGGCTGAGTTTGTATGCCAAAATATTGGACTATAAGGGCTACTTTTTGTTGGGTTTTTATTATAACATGTGCTACATTAACTCACTCACCTTTAAACACTTTTTTCCCCTCTATTTGGAGGTTGCCCAAACATTTTTAAGTTGTTTCCTCATTTTTACTGATTATAGGAAAACCTCAATCATGTCCCCAAACTCACATTTGAATGATAATAAAAAAAAATCATATTTTACTACTACAGTGTTGGCAGGAGGTTAAAATATCACTTTGAAAAGCACTTATTCAGTTATTTTTATTTTTCAAGAATCACAAGGCAGCCTGGCTGAACTGAGACATGTGGTTGGTTTTAACTTCAATTTGTTTTATTTGAAAAAAAAAAAAAGCACACACACGTTCATTTGGTTCTTCGAGCACACAACTTAAGTAGGTCCATAAAAATAAACATGAGGCAAGCAGCACAGAATTTTCTGGGTCCAAGGCAAAATCTTAAAGGTGAAGAAAAACTCAGAATCTTCAGATACCCAAAAGGTTGTTGGGTGCAGAAGACAGAGTTTGCGTGGACTTCTTTGTTCAGCTCACCTTAGTGGGACCAACTTGCGACCACCAAGGAAGTTTGAATTTTTGTAAATACTGGAATCTACTTCTACTCTAGAAAGGCAATGAAGGAGAGCTGTCTGAGATGGGTCAAGGGAGTCATGTCTGAATTCCTCCTCCTCGGGTTTCTGGGCTCCGTGTGGACAGAGCCATGGGAGCCTCTCTGATCTGGTGGGACTGAGGATGGGCAGCTGTTTCTGAAGCTCTGTAGAATCAATAACAGTCACAAAAAATGAGAATCCATTGCATTTTTGTGTTTTCTGTGACTCTGCACCCATCCAGAGTCCTCTTCAGGTAGGGCCTTCTGGAGATGTTGAATGCAGACAGAAGCCACGTTGAAACAAGCACAGTCAGTGAAACACGGTGAACTTCCACTGTAACCTTTTCTTTCAGTAGCCTTTCTTCTCCAACCCTCGCCTCTTCACCCACCCCAGGCAGATCTCAGCATCCACCCCTGATTGCCGGTCCTCATAGATTTTGCAATCTGAAGTCATAACATTTGTCACAGGATATTTGAAGCACACATCCATGTTCTTGCTGGACTATGGGCTTCTGGGAAGCATGGTCCTTAATAGGGCACATGCTGAGGTCTGTACTCTCTTAATCCATAGCAGACACTCAACACAGGGTTTTAGGGGAAAAACAAATGGGCAAAATTAAGGTTTAAAAACAATGATCCCACTGGTAAAGCTTGTAAATTTTCATAAGCAAATCAAGTAAAAAATCGTAGAGACATAGCATAACCTTATGTCATATTTTAAAAATAGTCCAATGAGCATTTCCATTCCCTGGTATGACAAATCTTGCCTTCTAAGTTTCACATTGTTAACTTTTTGAGGTGTCCTACTTTCAGAAATATTTTCAGTTTAGCAACTCAGTGGTTGAGACTTCTACAGATTTATTTTTTATCAGAATAGTTTTAGAGATTACTGTCATTACCCAGGAGCCACTGTAGGTCAAATGCCATGAGTACGTAAAATCCCTGCAAGAATAACATGTACAGGACTAGAATTCCCAGAACTTGGCATCCATGAAAGAAGGCTGCATCCTTCACTGTTCCCATGGCACCTACGCTAGAGCCTGACACCCAGGACAAGCTCTGCAAATACATGCTAAAGGAGTGCTGTACTGCTGCAGAACTGAGGCTCAGAGAATGCGTTTCCTCTGCAGTTCCCAAGTGAGGCAGGAGCGCTTCCTACTGTCCAGCAACATGACCCAGAGCTCAAGGCCAAGTGATATGAATTCCTGCAAATGTAACTGTCCCCATCAGCCTTTTGGAGCTTTTAGGGGTGCTGAATTAATGTAGTTAGCTCTAAGACTTGCTTATTGTAGTTTCTAAACTTAATTTTACTCTTAAAAATGGTTGTTCATTTCATTTAGACGTTATTCCTAAAGCAGCTTTGCAAAAGTGAGATATTTCAATGACTCTATCAAAGAAATTAGAATTTTTTTTAATATTCATCCCCAAATCTGATAAAATACTAAAAAAAAACCTTTCACCCAAGAAACCCATTTTCATAGATAAGGACAATATACATCAATCCTCAAAGTCTTATTATTCATCAAAATTCTCTTGTTTGGCAAACAGGAAGTTAAGGAATCCCATCCCTTGTAAGATGTTCTAAATGTGTCTACCAGCCGTGAACCCTATGCCCATGGCCAGGGCCATTGTTATCTGCTGTTTCATGTATATGATTGATGGTATGAAGGATAATCTATAGATCAACAAGAAAAGAGCTATAACATATCTCCTAGTATGTGTATGGTTAATAAAACACTTAATAACAAATTTACCAAAAGTCTGCCATAAATTTATATCACAGCCCTACATATAAACATGGCCAGTCCATACGAGTTTCATATTTAGTTATAACAAACAAGAGATAACTATTTTGATTGAATACACACATACAATTCATATGACTCTATGTCCACAAATATAGATTCTAGGGTGATTATTTACTCTTGCATTTTATCTTCTGAGAAATTGGCATGCTTCCCATCAGTAGCGTTGTGTGGCCTTCTGAAGAGGATTTGCATTTTTGCATTTGCCATTCGTTGTAATTTGCAAGCGCCATCCACTTTACACTACTTTAAGACAAACTTTCTGCTTGACGATTCTTGGACTTCACTGCCAGTATAAATTTCAGCTAACATCCTCTGTCTGTGCCAGCCTAAGATGCAAATTCTTCCAGGAGATTTTGTTCTTCCTCCACCGTAGGCCAAAGTTGAGATATGGACTTTTCCTCCCTGTTCCTCTTTGGGCTCTAGGTTCACTTTTGTTGACCATCACACTGAAGCCTTAACTCTGGTCACCTGATTCTATGCAGGTCTCCTCTAAGATCGTCCGCGTTGGCCTTTTCCTCAATAGTGCATAGGATAAAGGCACACCATGCCGATCAACATGACTTCGATCTGATGTAAAATAATACATGTATACCCTCTGTTTTTCATAAGTTAGGTTGAATGTAAACGGAAAGTTATTCAGTGCTGGCCTATATCTCATTAATTCCTTGATAAGTTTAGGTGGATTTGACTTCTCTAGAGTTTTTGCTGAAAATCAGACTCTTATATGACCTTATCCAGTCATATATTACAACTTTTCCCTTTCTGTCACTGTCTGTCTTGCCTATGTTCCTTATGGTGACTACCTAGAAGTCATAGATAATATCAAATATGCCTATGTCTTACAGTACTTGGTACGTTAATACTTTGTGATTAGTAAAACCTTGCTTGGTTTGGTGAATGAGGGAATGGGTAGAAGGAAGGAAGGATGAAAGGATGGATGAGAGATGAAAGTTGAACAGATGGATGAACGGGTAGATGATGGGTAGATGGTGGTGGATGTATGAATGAAAGGATGGTGGATGAAGAGATGGATAGATGACTATGGGTTGGAAGATGGATGGATGATGTATAAATGGATGGATGGATTGATGAATGGATAGATGCTGGATGAATAGATGGATGATGGATGGAGAAGTGAATCAATGGATGGATAAATAGTGAATAGA
Source organism: Homo sapiens (assembly GCF_000001405.40). Lineage (NCBI taxonomy): Eukaryota > Metazoa > Chordata > Mammalia > Primates > Hominidae > Homo > Homo sapiens. Next base: position 4,304,393 of record NC_000005.10, on the reverse strand, counting down.
TAGATGGATGAGGATTAGGTAGAAATAAAGCACTGTTATCTTCCGAAGAGATGTTACACTAATACACATGTAACTGCTACCTGTATTATTCCACTCTTCCCTGAAAAGGGGGAGATGTACTTTGTGCATTCAAAACACTCATTTTCTTTTTGTGTGGGGGGTGAAACAGGACAAATAAATTACATTAGGAGTAAGGATTCAGTCATTTGTCTATTGTAACTCTGGCTTTCAAAAAGACGCTGACAAATAGCTGAAGCAATATTCAGCACTAACTATGGCATTACTCTTTCATCTCTGCTTCTTTTTCTCCTACTTACTATTGATAGAGATGGCTTTTGAGCCCCTTTTCTGTATGAGTTCTATGCCATGTTACACAGTTCCCAACCTCAAGAAATTCACTCTTCAGCTGGAGATATCAGGCATAAATATGAAAGCATTTCAGCACAAGTGGGCAGTATGTGATGAAGGCGTCCGGCCTCATCTTCGACTGATGCCATTGCTAGAATGCCAAGCTGGGAGATGATTCTCCAGACAAGAAAGGCAGAGAAAGAGAAGGCTGAGTGAAAGATGGAAGGAAAAGGAGCAACCTGAAGCACATTTTGGACCTTGAACTACTTCATGTAGTTTAAACATTTTAAACTTAAAGTCACATTTGAAGGAAGATAGTTAGTCATTACTACATTCAGACTCAAAGTCTCATTTTTAAAAAATTATTCTCACATTGGGGCCTACAAAATGGAAATTAAGGTGAGCTATACAGAGCAGGAGGTGCAGTGGAGAGAGTACTTCAGCCTATGGAAAGTCCACATAAAACTCAGAATGTTAACATGACTTCTTTCACCTCAGGTGAATGTATAAATGAAACTTTTTTTTCTTTTTAAGGCTACAAATTCATTAGTATATCCTTGGGAATGACTTATTCAATTCAAAGGATTTTTAATTCTGGTAACTCTAATCTGAACCATTATTTCTAATTTCTTAATATGAAACCAGAAATATTGGTGACCTAATAAGTTTTACAGCAGTGCACACAACCTTCTTTATGGAACTCACACCATTATGTAATATGTTATAAAGCAAGTTGAATGTTGTAAAACTCATTATTTTTTTTCTCTTAGCTAAAGTGCATGATAGCCAAAAACTTAAGTGGAAAGCTATTAAAGTTCCAGAAATCCCAACCTTACATGTTTTTTTTTAAATGTTGAATTTTGCTTTTTTGGTGCTTTCTGTCACTGTTTCTGAGGCTGGGCCTGTTGCAAAGTAGTGTCCCCATGTTTTGGACAGAGCAGGTCTTCCATAGAATTTTCAGGTTTTATAAATTTTTATTTACTTTTTTTACTTTAGTTGGGCAATTATAAACTGAGTGGGGCTATTGGGATGAAAAAAACAAAGAGAATTGGTAAAAATAAACGAAATATTAAACATAAAGATTCATTGCTGATTAGAGACGCATGATTACACTAAACTCCAACCCTTAACTATGTACCCAATTATAGAAAACCTCAACTTGGGACAATGAAAAAAGTATAAGCATTAGGTTGGTGCAAAAGTAATTGTGGTTTTTGCCATTACTTTCAATGGTAAAAACCGCAATTTCTTTTGCTCCAACTTAATATTTTATTAATTGTTGAGGTTTGCTGTCTGTTTGTCAGGGTTCTCGCTGGCATGGCTCTTTTTATAAGTCTAGGGAGCAGTTGATTCCATGGAGCTTAAGAGGTGAATTAAAATCATGCTGTCTTTGACCGAATGGGTGTCTTTGACACAATGTCTGGGTGAATTTAGAACTTACAAATAAGATTGAGTCATAGTAAACCTAGAGAATGAAGGAGAAATATCGTTCAAGACTCACAAATTGACTGCCCTCTGATGACTTCACAGACTTCAATGTTGGGACCATTTCTCGTCCAACAAAAGTAGCAGAGGGCTTTGCAAATTTGTGAAAACATCATCAGTTCTTTCTTTTCTTTTTAAAACTTACTATATTGTTCAGTCTGGTTTTATCACTCACATAATCTCCATAAGTTGGAAGTATGGTTAAAAACTACTCTTTCGGTGCAATTTTTGCAATGGAGAAAAACCCTTAGAATAGAAACATTTTCTGTTGACAAAATTCCAATTGGTGAATTAGGTACCATAGCAGATACTTACAATAAACGTCTGAAAGTGTGTTGGTATCGCAGACATGAGTCAATATGAGAATCTATGAGGACATATTCTTTGATTATTTGACTTTTCTGTTCATGTGATATTTAAAAGGTTTTATATGTATTGTGGCAAAGATGTCTAACAACCTCCAATATCCCTTTTTTACTTTTTTCTTAGTAATTTTACACCCCCTCCCCTTATAGCTGGTCACATGGCTCCTCACAACAGATGCCACATTTCACAGCATCCTTCACAAATAGATGGAGCCATGTGACTCATTCTGACCAATGTATAAGAAAGTGATATATGCATCTTTAATGGCTGGAATTCAGCAGCTATCTTGAGCCATGAAGTATTCTCCAGGCAGGGCCCAGGTCACTTACAACTAAGAGGACCTCACCTGTCTTAAACTGACATCTGTCAGACTTCTTAAATAAGAGAGAGAGAAAAATTACATCTTATCGAACCACCCTAGTTTAGTTTTTTTCCTCTATTACTTACACCTTAATATAATCCTAACTTGTACAGTAGCTGGAGAGTAATAATATTATCTCTTTTCCATGAATCCATTTAGTTAAAGTTAATGAGAGAAAAGATATAAAAATCTCTAGCAAAGTGCCTGACAGACTCAGATCTCTAGACCTGTCAGTTAAATAGCTTATTGAATCCTGACAAAAACATGTCAATTCAATAGAAAGAATCAAAATCATTATTTGACTTACTCAAAAGATAATCAATCTGAAAGGCCCCATTAGAAACAATCTAAATAATCAGTACCTTTTAGTCTTAACTTAGAGAGTTCCAAAATATGCTAACTTTGAGCTAATAAGGGTTAGGATCATTTAGGAAAAGATAGTAATGAGTAGATTTGGTTTGCGTGATGCCCATCTGTGGTGACAAGCTGTTTAGTTGAATGTCTTTACTCCTAGACAAGTTCATGTCTATTCTGCATTGATTAAAACACAGGTGAGGCTATGCCCACCAGAGTGAGGGTGAGATGACAGTCGGCTATGGGCTCAGTGGTCCTCAATGGTCTACCTTTGTTTAAGAAAAATTCCTAATTCTACACAAGTCAAGGGGAAATAAAACACTTTCGGAAGTAGTTGAATAAAAATGTTTAAAAAATGATAGGCATAAGGAGTATAGCTGTAAATAGAAAAGTAAAAATTCCATTTTAATGGCAGTTGTGATATATTCATCTTTTGCTCCACACATGAAGCGGAAGATATTTCCACCCAGAAGAGGGGGAAACAGTATGACTTGGTGATTTATCCTTCCATCTACTCAGCAGGTATTTACTGAGTATATCCTGTGAGGCTGACACTGCAGGGTGTTGTTGGTTCAGTGATAAAACAGATAACACCTCTCTTCTCATGGAATGAACACTTTGGGGAAACAAAGACAATAAAAACAAAATAGGAGAATAGGAGAAAGAAACACATCCAAAACACTGATATCGCTGTTGAACAGGAATAGGGGTATTTTCATCCGTTGGCCATCAGAATTTCTGCTTGCCTTTTTTTAATCTCTTAAAGTGATCCTTAGTTCAGCCAATGTCAGAAGTGACAAGGGCCTGAGTGTTTTTCTGCACCCTGCCTCCACTAAGTGAAAAAACAGCTATGGGCCAAGGCACCGAAGTCCCTAACTTCAGATGCGTAAAGAGGTGAATGGATTGCCCACGTTTCAGAAACAAGAAGCCACGGGGCTACCGTGCGCAATACAGTGGTGTTCCTGCTATACTCTGCTGTCTCAAGACACAAAGAGAATGAAACTTAGAATATTTTCTTTGTAGAAAATTTGGTTTCAAGAATCCCTGTGAGTCCCAGGGTGCGCGCTCAGCCACACCTCTCTCACTATTGAAAGTTTTCAGTGGTATGTTCCCAACACTTCCCAGTTTGAGCTTCTAAAGAACAATCACACCCTCAAGCCTTATGACAATTGAAGGGTTTTCCCAGTGTTTTTGTGAAGAATTTCCTGAGATATCTGTCTCTCATGGAGCAGAGAACTGGGTAGAACATCCTAGAAAATGACCAGTCATAGCTGTGGAGCTTGCCCCGTGAGGTGCATGAAACTGCTTAAGGACCCCGAACGTGTTCTTCATGCATAGAATGAAACACACACATTAAAAATGTCAGCTTAATGTGTTTTCACCAAGTCCACAGACCCATGCGGTTTCCTCTCAACTTGAGATATGGATATTGAATGCAATGATCTGCATTCCAGAATCCTCCTTCATCTAGCATTATTCCTGTACTCTTCCCCTCTGTCATTCTTCTGATTTCTGATCACACAGATTAGGTGTCTTAGTTGGAATTACTGAATGTTTCAGAATCTGGATTCTTCCCCGTCCTTTGTGAGACTTATCCCTTGTTATTTCAAGTGGCAGATGTGGATTCATTTTCAGTGTTGTATAGTACCCCACAGGATGAAATCACCACAATATATGTGTGTGTTCTACTGTTGATGCACATTTGGGTTGCTTCCAGTTTGAGGCTAACATGAATAATGCTGTGGCTATGAATACTCTTACATGTATCTCTTCAATGGAACACATATGTACTCATTTTTTTTCAGATATATACCTCAGAAGGGGATCGCTGGATCACAGGGCCTACATGTACACAGCATTCGTAAGTACCACCACATAAGTTTTCAAAGTGGCTGTGCCAATTTTCACTCTCACTAGCAATATCTGAGAATTTGAGTGGAGTTCTAGCCATGCCCCGTGTTCACAAACACTTGTTTATTGATTTTTTTTTAAATTAAACATTGTACTCATTATGCAATAGTATGTAATTATACCCTCAATTTGCTTTTTCCTGATGACTAATGAGACGTGTCTTTTCATAAGTTTAAGAGACATTTAGAAGACTTCTTGTGCACTGTGACTAAAGTCTCATCCATTTTCAATTATTCTGTCCTCTTCTTATTGAAGTTAAAGAGTTATATATGAAACCTTTATCAAATATATGCATTTAAAATATCTTCTCTCACTCTGTGGCTTGCTTTTTTCCTCTCTTAATAGAATTATTTGATGAACAAAAGCATTTTACATTTATCTGCAATGTTCTTTTTTTTTAATTTTTTTTTTATACTTTAAGTTTTAGGGTACATGTGCACATTGTGCAGGTTAGTTACATATGTATACATGTGCCATGCTGGTGCGCTGCACCCACTAACTCGTCATCTAGCATTAGGTATATCTCCCAATGCTATCCCTCCCCCCTCCCCCCACCCCACCACAGTCCCCAGAGTGTGATATTCCCCTTCCTGTGTCCATGTGATCTCATTGTTCAATTCCCACCTATGAGTGAGAATATGCGGTGTTTGGTTTTTTGTTCTTGCGATAGTTTACTGAGAATGATGATTTCCAATTTCATCCATGTCCCTACAAAGGACATGAACTCATCATTTTTTATGGCTGCATAGTATTCCCAATGTTCTATCTATAAAATAAAGAGATCAATATGTTCTTGCCTTTTAACTCTCCATATATGACAGCAATTAATCTTCTAATCTATATAAAGGATTTTGAGATACTTTTAAGAGAAATGCTAAAAAATAAATGAAGATTCCCTTCACCTGAATCCTGTGCCTGATTCTGCCTTTCTGTGGCTTTTGGCTCTCTGTGGTCTCCATTTCGAATTCTGTCACCATATTTCCTGTGATGTCTCCATTGACTTACCCAGATGTTGTCTTTCCGTTGTCAATGTTTAAATAAATAAGGCTCAGATGGGCTATTTTTCTTTCCTAAAATAATGTAGAATGTGTTTAATGTGTAAGGTAGAGCAAGTGTTATTTTCTGCAATAGCTGCAGGATTCGGAACTACCTCAATTCTCCTTCCAGCACATCTTGTTGTTTGCCTTTTAAGTTATTTATTTACCTACATAAATCATAGCATAGGCATTATTTGTCTCTAGAGTAAGTTTTATCATAAACTCTTAAAAATGGATGTACCACAAGGACAATTTAATGTTTGTTTGGATTTTTTGCAGACTCTCAGCAGGTTCAAGAATCTGGAGGAATTTTTTTTAGAACTTCTCTGAGGTTAAAAGAGAAAGCAACTTTTATAGCTCTGCAAAATAGGATTCCCTGCCTACTGAGAAGCACTCTTAAAACCCTCCTGCAGTTTCCAGAAAACGCTTTATTTAGGTGCTCTTTGCATTTTGAATCCGTTCGTTCTTTGGGAGCATAATTTATTTGCAGAAAACGTATTTTTGCTTTACACTGTGTTTTATACATTGTGTTTTATCGCATTTTACAAGATGTTCTTATATAGACCTTTAATTTCATGCATTCTTATACAAATTAGTCAGTGCTTCTGTATGTGTATATTTTCCAGTTTTTCTTTGTCACGAAAATTCTGTGAAGAAAACTCAAACTTCTGGTGAAAGATATGTGGGTCATCGAGTAAAATGATGACCACGTACTTGACTTCTGTTTTCTAATTGTAGATATAAAAATATATGCAGATTGGGATGATGTTGTGTGGGAAATTTCAGAAATACATTGCTCGGGGGATTTGTCATTGCTTTTCCTTAAGGCTTTTTGTCGCTTGGATGGAAAACCATCCCCTCACTGTTGACATATCCTAAGTTGAGTCCTGATGGGGTTTCTGGAAGCTTCATCAAAAGTTGCAGTTCAAACAATAGAAGCAAAGCGTTACCATTGGTTTCCTCTGAGCAGGATGGAGAGATTCAAAGGACAACATTGATCTTTTGCTTCATATAATTCCCCAGGTTTATTTTTTCTGTGGCGAGTAAAATCCTATTTCATTTTTTAAAAATACAAAAAAGACATAGTAATTCCTTGTAATTATGTAAGAAACCTTGTGCTCCTTGAGCTGTTGGTGGTATTGTAAGTACTTAACACTCTTCAGATTCGGGAGTTATGCTAAGAAGCTATTGGAACTGCATATTTGAAGTGCAATCAAAATACGACCATGACAGTAAGCACACGAAAACTCCACTGAGCACTTCTTTCCATACTGGAAGTTGTTATGAAGTGGCTCTAAGGGTACTGGAAACAGTTATGGAGCTCTCTCAGGATGGCATCGGCCAAGTAGGCCCATGAGAGAGAGGTGACTTTGTGGCTGCAGGATAAACTTCAGTCTTTCCAGTTGAAAGCTAAGGATGTGCTTTCTTCATAGGAGTCGTTGCTATTCTAGAGGAAGGGAAACCTGTCACGTGGGACAAGGCATAGGTGCCGCCCAAAGCGATGAACACGTGGACAGCTCATGGCTGTATCCTACCTGAAAGCATCTCTAGGGATGGCACCCTCTGTCCTCCATGGTCGGGGTGATGACCCAATAGGGTGCTGGCCATGGAGCAGGCTCCACACACACCGTTGACCGGATTTAATAGCATGTCCCCATCAGCACAGCAGCTCTAAGCCAGGCCTTAGGGATCACTGGCAAGTTGATGTAGCAGAGCAACCATGGCCAGTTTATTCTGATGGGGAGGGACGGGACTTCTCACAAAGCTACTTCCTTTTAGTGTCCAAAAGGAGACACAGCTAACTGGATAGGACAAGTCAGTTTTTTTCTGGCATTTCCATGTGACGTTTCCATGTGTCTCTTTGGGCCTGGCTTGAAAAGGCCACTCTCTGCTCACATGAGCCCCGGAGAGACAGAAGACCATCCACCCCGATCCAGGAGCCCCCCGCTCTCACTCAGCGCCCAGCCAGGAGCCCCCCGCTCTCACTCAGCACCCAACCTCACTTGCCTTGCTCAGAACTGACAGGCAGAGCTGACAACGGAAGCTTTGGATTTGGGCCTAGAAGCTGGAATCTGTGTGTAACAAATACACACACACAAACACACACACACACACACACACACACACACACACAACCTTTTCACTTTCACCCCCTCATTCTTGTCAGTGAGAGGCTGGTTTCAAGCCTCGCTGACACACAGCAAAGGTCAGCTCTTGGATAAAAGAGAGGCTCGAATCCCAGCTCTGTCTGCCTGCCAGAAGCTTCTCAACAGTTTTCTCCTCCGAACTGCTGAGAAAGTGACAACCTAGGCTGGTGCTGAAACCCGGGTGATGTTGCATTGAGACACGGTGTAGAGTTCCCTGCGGGGCAGAGAGCTCACCTCCCGGGAGGGGCCAATCCCCCAAGAAGAGCGTCCTCCATGCCTGGGCCCAGGGGATCCACAGCGGCTTGAGCACTGGAGAGAGAGAAATATTTTTCCTCCTTCATATATCAGAGACTTTGGGGCCTTCATAAATAAAGCTCTCTTAAACTCTCTAACACTTCATAATACATAAATCACTCATTGATACAGTTGTGAGTCATTAAAAAAAAAAAAAAAAGGCAGCCATTGTGATGAATTTCCACGATCTGGACTGTAGGGGGTGCAGGAGCTCCACTTCAGCCCCGGCTGGCGGTCTCCGTGGGTCAGACCCCACATTGAATAGGCCTTTATCAGCACAACAGAGCTAGCTTTTCTATGGATCCAGCCCTATAAGAAAGGATCAAATCAGCATGCGTTTTGACAGTGTAAGCTGCAATCTTAAACTCAAAGCTGTGAGTGAGAGCTCAGTTGCCTGCAAGAATTCCCCTCTGCCAAATCTGTGGGATCAGTTCAGTTGATTACAAGAAGACTTCCTTACCCTAGACATGAATGCACAAACTGGCTGCTTTTGTGAAAGGAGACATCGCAGAAAAAACACAGCAGAGAGGCTCTCTTTGTAAAAGAGAGAGATGATAAAAGGTTCTTGGGCATGGATGAGTGCCGCGATCTTAATTAGGTCTGAGAGAGGGGCTAAATTTTTTTTGAGCTCCTGTTTAACATTTTTAAGCCAGGTTGTCTACACCCAGAACCTTCCAGAAGGTCCATGATCAACCTTAATCTTTGCTGGCCAACTCAGATTGTGCAGCTCCATCGTGAGAACTCATCCCTACTTGCCACGGGGAAGTCTCTGAGCAACCTGGACAAAAAGATGGAAGAGCAGAGGGTGGGTTCCTGAACTCACCTATGCCTGAAATAAAGTGGACGTGGGCCTACGTGAGCCTTGGGGAAGTCTGCAGTGGGGGGAGTTTACGTCCAGGAATTGGAAGGTAGGATGGTGGTGCATTTGTGATCTCTGCATAAAAGGTCGCTGATTGCGTGAAACATTTCAGCTCCTATGCAACCCTCTCTTCAGAGATGGCTACTCAGCACATTTGAAGAGCTCGGGCTCCGATGAGTGCTTAAGTCCTCAGAGCACTTAAGAAAATGAAGAAAGGCTTTATCCACTCTTCAGTCTTAAATAATGAGTCAGAAGGGATTATGGTCAAAAAAGAGTGAACGCAAGTGGCAAATTCGTTTGTGGTGACAGAAATAAGAACTTAAGCAAAGATTCTTAACTTATGCTTCTATCAGATTATCAAACTAACTGTGTTTTTAATGAAAAAAAAAAACTGTTCAAAAACGGTCTTTCCACATAGGATAATTGGGGCAGGGGGTTCTGACAGTTGAGAAAATGGGTGTAAATCAGTGTAACTAATATTCAAAGTAGAGCCAGGTGATGATGATATTTCTTCAGCACCAAAGAGGAAGTGCTAGGCTTCTTAGGGATGGGGGCTTTGCTATGAGGGATCGTGTAAAGAGCATACAACAGATTTCTACTCTCACAGATTGTCCTGTATAATCTTCATGGCAAGACCTGTCAATGAAGCTAAGAAAAGACAGTAATAAGAACGCCTTTACCTTCTTCTTATCGTGTCTTTCTCATATGCCTTTGAACATACACTGAAAGAGAGGAAAGCCAAAAATCATTAGAAGGTTTTAGTTTTTGGTCCTGTAGTGACATTTTCCCTCCAGTTTACCATAATAAGATCAGTAACTTCTCACTCAGACATCCAGATTCAATTGAGAGAACCATGACCCCGGACATGTTCTAGATACATAAGACTTCATGGGTACATTCCAATATTTTTAGGGTTCACAATTGTATGTTTTATGGGTGCTAACAGGCAGAAATGGGATTCTCTGCCCAGTGGTCCAGCTCCATCATAGAAAAATGACCCCTTAACTGTGTCCAATCAACAAATTGACACAGAATGAAATGCCTGCACCTGGGAAATTTCCTTTATACTTTTCATAATCTACAGAATCATTGATTCTAAAGGGACTCTCTACATCATGCTGACATTCTTTTCTCAACCTAATGGTTTGTTTTATTATCTGAGAGTTGTCTCAATTGAACACTGTTATTTTAACCCATTCGTGGCCTCTGGGTCCGTCACTGAGTTAGACTTCATCTACCCAGTTGGTAATCAGTGGGTCTGGATCAAGATTTGTTTCTGTCCCTGGGCAAAAGGTGGATGTGAAGCTCTGGCAATCACTGGTCTAGGGGTAGACAGGTGAAGCCAATCCTATCCTGGACAAAGAGAAAAGTACTCATCCTCCTGCTCCTCTATCATGATTCTGGCCACTTTTAAACCCAGAATTCAAATGTAGTTCTATTCCTTTTTGAAGCTGTAAGCCAAGGTGACTTATATTGGGTTGTTTAGAACAGCCCAGTTGGTTCTATTGATTTCCATAGAACAAATTGGTTCTATGGAAATCAATTTTTATATACTTTATACATAAACAGTTCTTTGAAATTTGTTTGCATTCCTGTAAAACTTTTTATACCTTAGGTAACCTAAAGATCCAAAGGTTCTATTCCTATTTCCAAGTGCTGTGACTCCAGTAAGGTGATATGTGTGCTTTTGTTTTCTAAAGTCTTTCAAGATTGAATTGTTATTTTAAACTTCTTTTCTGTATTTCACCTAGTCTGTAAAGAAGAATGTTAATTAAATCAACAAAGGGGGTATTTTGGTAAAGCATTAATAGAAATGTAGTTTCTATTGATTTCTAATATTATTCTAATAAGTTTTAATTGAAATGCGAGTTCACATGCTGCTGGCCATATACCATGACTTAGACAGTAAGATAGTGAACATTTGTAAGATTTACCAATCATTACACTATCCACTGGACATATAATTCGTGAGGTCTAAGCCTCATATGCATTCTTTAAAAGCAGCTGTTCCTATTCTCCTTGAAAAGCAGTTCATAAAAGTTTGCAAATATTTTGCCACTATTTTGCAAATATTTTGCAGAGAGTTTGCAAAAATTACTTGCAACTATTTTGGAACATAGGAGGAGGATAGAGCAGAGGGCAAAAGAGGAGAGAGTCAGTGAGTAAGACAAAGAGGAGGAGGAAGACAATGGGAAAAAGAAACAGCTGCAGCTCAGAGACAGGGTGAAGTAGAAGAAAACATAGAGAATGCAATAATCCTCACGCTGCAAGCATTCTTTTTCAGACCGTTGTTAACTCAAATTATATAGAGTATACTACTGTTATTTTTAATGAGGAGAGAGGTAGACATTTTATCACTGTGAGTGAAAACAAACCAATGGAAACACCTGGAATCTATTGGCAGGTGTGTGTGCTTGGTGGAAATTAACAGAAAAGACTCAGTGTCACCAGTGGCCGATCCACCTTGGAGGTGAACCTGTGAGAATGCTGTGGAATTGCGTGTGCATCTCAAACATGCTGGCCTGAAAGAAACGAATGGAAAAGACCTCCCTATGTGATCTACAGCATGGGGCCAAGATAGGGTGGATGCACACAGGACACAGCATCTCATCAGCTTTCAGTAAGGCCCACGTAGAAATTAACAAACCCAGGACTGGGAGAAAGATCTGAATGTCTGCATTTTCAGGTTTGTTTCTCTTGATGGTTCCTGGAGTATTATGCTGCCCTGACTGAGCAGCCTGCCTGAATACTGTTCTAGTTTCTGGAACTGTTCTAAGGAAGTGCCACACACTGGGTACAATTGAACAATTGGAATGTACTCTCTTGCTCTTCTGAAGGCTGAAGCCCAACATCAAAGTGTCAGTAGGGCCTTGCTGCCTCTGAAGGCTCTGGAGGAGAGCCTGTCTGACACCTCTTCCTTAGCTTCTGGTGGCTACTGACAGTTCCTGCATTGTTTGACTTGAGGATGCATCACTACAATCTCTACCTCATCTTTCCGTGGTACACTTCCCTTGTGTCTGATCTTGCTCGGAAGTGGACCTGCGAGGATGCACGTCTGTGTCTCTTTCCTTTTCTTATAAGGATCCCACTCATAATTGGATTAGGGCCCATCCTAATGTCCTCATCTCAGCTTGATTACATCTGCAAAGATCCTGTTTCCAAATATGTTTAAATTCACAGGAACTTGGGATTATGAAATCAACATATATTTTGAGGGGACACAATTCAATCCAGAACACGTACCTCCTGACTTCAGAAGTAAGCACAATGGCTGCACCATGTCTCACGGACCATCTTCAGGGAGCTGGGCAAAGCTCTCTCAAGGACAACACCCATTACCCCACACTGCCCGCTCCCATGCTCCCTGCTTGCATTGTGGCTCAGAGCTGCATTGTGTCAGCCCCAGAAGGGTCAGCAAAGTCAGGAAAAGTTCTAAATGAAGGAGGAGAAAGAGAGAGAATTGTGTTTCTGGGTATGTAGGCTTGAACTGTGTGTGTGTGTGTGTGTGTGTGTGTGTGTGTGATTTGCTGTAACTTCTGGTTCAAACAAAAATCAACTAAATTATAAGACATTTAAGATTTATGTTACTGAGATAAATCCCTCACTCTTAATATAACACCCTGATAAGAGAAAATAATTGTTTCTACAAAAATGAGGAAAAGCAAAAAACATTTTGATAATGAGTAACCGTTCCTAAAAGATGTAGACCTTTAGTAATGTATGTTGATGAAATTTCCAGAGACAGAAACAAACGTGTTGGAAAAGATAATCAAAGCATCATTACTTATGATAAAACATTTTAATGGCATGACATTCATATCCAATATTAAAGGGTTGGTTAAATAACCTCCATCCACTTTTAGAAGATACTGCTATTTGTGAGCTAAGTGACACTTTCAAAGCACATATCTGTATAGTAGGAAAAGCCCTATGCAGATTACAACAGTATAAAACCTCTACATAAAATCTGGTTAAACACATTTTCAAAAATGTATATCCAGGCCAGGCGCGGTGGCTCACGCCTATAATCCCAGCACTATGGGAGGCCAAGGCGGGCAGATTACTTGAGGTCAGGAGTTCAGGCCTGGAGAACGTGGTGAAACCACGTCTCTACTAAAAATACAAAAATTAGCCGGGCATGGTGGCACGTGCCTGTGGCTGAGGCAGGAGAATCACTTGAGCCTGGGAGGTGGAGGTTGCTGTGAGCTGAGATCGTGCCACTACACTGCAGCCTGGGTGACAGAGTGAGACTCTGTCCAGAAACCAGCTATATCTCCAGAAATAATTGAGTATTTCTCTTGATGATATAACTATAGTTAATTTTAATTTTTATCTGTATGCATTTTTTGTAGCCTCCAGGTATTCCATAAAGAAAACACATTGCCTTATACTGAAAACAGAAATAGTCAGGTGGACCTGATGAAGTGCACAGCAATTTTTAAAAATCCTCAAGTGTTAAGGGGCTTGGCGATGGTGTCAATGGAGAGGATGCAGTGATGCCACGTTGGGAGCAGAGGTGCCCATCAGAGATTTGTTGGCTTCTAAATTCTTAATGAGAAGTGGAAGCAGTTTTCCTGGTGGAAGATTCAAAACCTTTGGCAAGGCAGAAATAAATGTTTTAACCATAACATTGAATTACAGAGAAGACTGAAGCACAAGGAAGATCTTATGTGCCATGACTGTAATAAAAAAGAATAATTAACACTCAGAGAGAAAGCTTCCATCTTAGTTTCTCATGATGCAAAAAGGAACTGAAAGAATTGCTTAACCAACTGTTAAGTCAACCTAAATTGTTTTTAATTATAGACCTCATCTTACGACAACTTTCTAACTTTTTATTTCCAGTGCAGCATAAAGAGGAGAGGAAGATGCTTTCTTTCCATCTGTTTTCATGCTATCAAACAATACGCTTAATGAAAATTACCTTAAAGATTCCAGCTGAATATTCTTCTTTTTGACTTGCAAAAAATAATATTCTTCTTCTGAAATCATCTGTGAGTTTCTAAGGAACATTTGAATTAAATTTGAAAACAAACAGAACAGTCTGATGCTAGAAATGGGAGAGAAAAGTGATATACAACATTTACTTGCCAGTAATCCTAATTGTGAGACATTTTCAAGTCTGCATCCATAGACTGACAGGCATACACAGCAATCATTTTGTGATGGTAAGATGGTGCGTAAGCATTAGGACCACATCCATTCATTCAACACATATATCTTGAGTACCTGAGTTGTGCTAGGCACTGCCCTAGATGTTGGAAGTCCATCATGAACTAACAAAGATCCCTGCCCTTACGTAGATTAAGTTCTGGTCAAGTCAGAGAAAATGGAAATTAATTTATTAATACACCACAGTTTTTTTTTTACTACCTATGATTTGTATTACATTATGTCCAAATACACCTGCAATAGATGAAATATCATGAGGAGGAGGACTTTATTCTCAATCTTCAGAAAATCACAACATTTAGGTAAATAACAAAGAGAAAGAAGGTTAGAGAGAGGACAGAAATACTGCATTTGCAATTCCAAGACACAGAGAGGAAAACAGCACATCAGATTTTTCTTCATCCACATATCCTGCTCACAACCCTACAGGCATCCTCTATTTAAATTTATGTTCCTAGAAAATAACTAATTGTGTTTTCTTTCCTTTTTATTTTCTTTTTTCTTTATTTTTATTTTTATTTTTTTGGAGACAGAGTCTCACACTGTCGCCCAGGCTTGAGTGCCTTGGCACAATCTCAGCTCACTGCAACCTCTGCCTCCCTGGTTCACATGATTCTCTTGCCTCAGCCTCCCGATCAGCTGGGATTACAGGCGCACACCACCACATCCAGCTATTTTTTTTTTGTATTTTTAGTAGAGATGAGGTTTCACCATCTTGGCCAGACTGGTCTTGAACTCCTGACCTCATGATCCTCCCTCCTTGGCCTCCCAAAGTGTTAGGATTACAGGCATGAGCCACCGCACCCTGCTCAATTGTGTTTTCTTAACAAATGAAGTCGATCATGTTATTATGAACCAATAGATACATCTTAGAGAGGCATGTATTCATCACCTGGAAGTACACAGGGAACAGGCTATGAGATAATCACGAAGATCCCAAACTTTTCTTTATTCCCCATCACATCTCCTTTAATATCCATTGGAACCTTCCTACCAACCCATTGGGAAGAGTAGCTGGTTGCTGAATTTAAAAAGTCTTGATTTCCCTACTTAACAGGGAATCACGGCTTTCCATCTGTATTCCCAGGGTCATCTTTGTTTCTTTCGTAGATTTTTAAAATAGGTCCTAGGTCATCTCCCTGCCTTAAATCCCATATCCCCTCTAATCCATTCATGATAGAACATCTTTCTAAGATGTCTGCTTTACAGTTTTAAACACACAGCCTACATCCTTCAGAATGTGATTCACACTCCTTACTATTCCTTTTTTTATGATTTTACTTTAAGTTCTGGGATACACGTTCAGAACGTGCAGGTTCGTTACACAGGTATACATATGCCATGGTGGTTTGCTGCACCTATCAACCTGTCATCTAGGTTTTAAGCCCTGTATGCATTAGGTATTTGTCCTAATGCTCTCCCTCCCCTTGCCCCCCACCCCCTGACAGGCCCCAGTGTGTGATGTTCCCCTCCCTTTGTCCATGTGTTCTCATTGTTCAACTCCCACTTATGAGTGAGAACATGCAGTGTTTGGTTTTCTGTTACTGTGTTAGTTTGCTGAGGATGATGGTTTCGAGCTTCATCCACGTCTCTGTAAAGGACATGAACTCATGCTTTAAGAGCCATTAGGATCTAGACAAGGGTTATAACTGTAGCTTCATCTTTCCATTCACTTTCTTCCTACAACTAAATTTAGTGCCAGTCCCTGAAGGAACCAATCTTCCACTCTATCTGTTCTTGCAAACATATTGTTCTCTACTAAGGATGATTCCCCTCTTTCAGTTAGATGCTATCTGGTTTCAGGGCATCATCTTGGAGATTTCTGGGCTTAGCAACAAGGAAAGTATACTTATGTGGATCTTTTCTACTGTGGACACCTAGAAATGCTGAATACAGTTTCGTTTTTTCTTGATAAATGCCTTAGTAAACTAGCAAAGTAGAAGCATCTCTGGGTAACAAAGAGGGAATTTTTATTGTGATAAGGTGAGCCATGTCCATGGCATCCTGGAGGGATCCAAATGGGGTGTGAAGGTGGAATGTATCCATTAGGAGCTGAGTGCTTGGACCTTAGTGCCCATGAGGCCAAATAGGGATTGAAAATGAGGCCCTTGCTCAGCCAGGCATGGTGGTTCACGCCTGTAATCCCAGCACTTTGGGAGGCCGGGGCGGGAGAATCACGAGGTCAGGAGATCGAGACCATCCTGGCTAACATGGTGAGACCCCGTCTCTACTAAAAATACAAAAAATTAGCCGGGCGTGGTGGCAGGCGCCTGTAGTCCCAGCTACTCAGGAGGCTGAGGCAGGAGAATGGCATGAACCCAGGAGGTGGAGCTTGCAGTGAGCCGAGATCACGCCACTGCACTCCAGCCTGGGCGACAGAGACAGAGACAGACTCTGTCTCAAAAAAAAAAAAAAAGAAAAAAGAAAAAAGAAAAGAAAAGAAAATGAAGCCCTTGCTCAAATTCAGAATATTTGGAAACCTGCACCTCAAACACATATTCAGCCAAATAAAAACCAGATAACCGACCAGTGATACACCCCTGCTGAAATACCAGTTAAAGAATGCAAGGCAGGATGAAAGTAAATTAATGAGTACAGAGTTCATGCATAGACCAATATGAGCAAAGCATTGTGCTAACTAAAGACAAATCTAAATAAACCCTAGGTAGAACAACTCACCATAATCATGACTAAATGAACTGGGTTAAAAAGATGGTTGAATAAAATTAATAAGAGCATATAGAGAAAAATGTATCATAGAGCAACAGTAACTCAATGGCCATGATGAAGAGTCTGTCAATGGCAGGAGGTATTGTGGAACATTTGCTGTGAAGATGAGTCTGGTGCGTGATCCTGAATGAGGCAGCAGGTAGAGGAGCTCCTGGGAGTTCCAGGAGGAGCTTACATTGAAGTGTACTCCTCAATATCCCTACCTAACTCTTAAAGAGAGTGATGAAATTTATCATTTCACCCAATTTGCACATAAGGAGACTCAAATTTGGATTAGCTGAGAGAGTCCCTCAACCACACAATAGGTCAGTGTGGTCTCCTGGCTCCAATTCCTACAGGCCATTTTATGGAAAACAGGAAAGAAGAGGGACTTTTAGACAAGACTGAAAAAGGAATCAAGAAGGGAAACCCACGGGAAAATGATTGGCCAATGTTAAAGTGGAATTAGAAGATAATGTGAGAAGATTTTAAATGGGGCTTGAAGGGTTAACTGAACTTGATCAGCTCGAAAAAAAACCCTCCTGAAGGGATTTTTGCACACCACCATGCAACTTAAAGCAAAGTGTAAAGGGAGAACAGGGACCATACTGTAAGTCTACTTGGCTCAAAGAGGGATCTAATAAATGAGGCTAGAATAATTGGCCACAATGAAATAAGCAAGAGCATGAAGAATTAACACTGGTGTTGGCCTTTAGTGGTCCAAGATCATGGAAGACAGTAGAAATCAAGTGGAAACAACATCCAAATATTTTTTAGAATCAGCTAGAAAAATGAAAATAGCCAAACGGTATATTGATTTAACTGTATGTTTATATTGCAAGACTCTAAAAAGGCAGTGAGTGTTTTACAAAGCAGAAACCCCAAGCCCTGCTTAAAACACATGGCTTTAACTATATATATACACTATATATAATGTATACATAGATATGTATATATATATTATAGTAACTAATATATAGTAACTAATATATAGTTAAAGTCCTGAAAGTAAGCTCTCTCTATATACAGTATATATATATACACATATACATATATAGTTAAGCTATATATATATAGTGTATACATATAGAGAGAGTTTATATATATATATACAAATCTCTCTATATATACATTATATATATAAGCTCTCTCTATATACAGTATATATATAGTGAAGCTATATATATGTAGTGAAGCTATATATATATAGTGAAGCTATATATATATAGTGAAGCTATATATATAGTGAAGCTATATATATATAGTGAAGCTATATATATATAGTGAAGCTATATATATATAGTGAAGCTATATATATATAGTGAAGCTATATATATAGTGAAGCTATATATATATAGTGAAGCTATATATATATAGTGAAGCTATATATATAGTGAAGCTATATATATATAGTGAAGCTATATATATATATAGTGAAGCTATATATATATAGTGAAGCTATATATATAGTGAAGCTATATATATATATAGTGAAGCTATATATATATAGTGAAGCTATATATATATAGTGAAGCTATATATATATATAGTGAAGCTATATATATATAGTGAAGCTATATATATATAGTGAAGCTATATATATATAGTGAAGCTAGGTACATATAGTGAAGCTATATATATACATATAGTGAAGCTATATATATATATATAGTGAAGCTATATATATATATATATAGTGAAGCTATATATATATATATATATATAGTGTATATACATATATAGAGAGAGCTTACTTTCAGGCCTTAAAAATATATATATATACATGTATATCTAAATATATACTATATACACTATATATATACACACACTATATATATACTATATATATACACACTATATATGTATATATACACGTAGAGAGAGAACTTACTTTCAGGACTTAAACTATATATTAGTTAACTAAAAAGCATTGCAGAAAAGAAGTAAGGAAGGGAAGGAGGAAGACAAGGAAAGAGGAGAAAGACAGACTTAAATACAGAGCAATGAGAAGGGAATTCATTCACAAGCTTGCTGGGCTCTAGACAGAAATAGAAAATGTGGAAAACAATTGTATGGTGTGGAATAGATAATATTTTTATAAAGAGGGCCCTTAAAAATCTGCAGCTATCCAAGGCTCTGCCTGAAAGTAAACAATTTGTCTGCAGTGGCAGGAAAACCCAGCAGCACCAGAACCTAAGAACCAGGTCAGGCCATGGTCCAAGTATGGAAAAAGGATTAAGATCTAAAGCCACCAGCTCATGACCTGGTTCTAAACCGCCTCAAAAGGAGTATCTGCTCATCATGAAGCTTCACAACACATTTCAATACACACAAGAAAAATGTGAAGCTGAGAGGTTAGGAAAATCAAACCAAAACAAAAAATATCCTTGCCTAAAGAGAGAAACATTTCACCAGAAAAGGAAAATGACACCATAATGTGAAAAGAATTTTAATAATGTGTGCTGAATTACTCAAGAAATGAAGAGATAAGTGTAACATAAATGTAAAATGCATTTTATAGAGAAAACAATCAATTAAAATTCCTGGAAGTAAAAATAGACCTTAAATTTTTTTAAAATGAAGAAGAAACTTGATATAAAAGAAAAATTATTGCCAGGCACGGTGGCTTACACCTGTAATCCCAGCACATTGGGAGGCTAAGGTGGGTGGATTGCTTGAGCCCAGGGGTTAGGGATCAGCCTGGGCAGCACGGCAAAACCCCTTCTGTACAAAAATTAGCTGGGTGTGGTGGCGGGATCCTGCAGTTCCAGCTATAGCTGAGGAGGAAGAATCATTTGAACCCAGGAGACTGAGGCTGCTCTGAGCTGTAATCACACCACTGCACTCCAGCCTGGGTGACAAAAGCCAGACCCTGCCAAAAAAAAAAAAAAAAAAAAAAAAAAAAAAAAAAAAAAGATAAATTCTTTATTAAACACAATCGCAAAGAGAATTAGTGAATATGAACACATGGATAAGAACACACGACAAAAGGAAAAAGCCAAAAATAGACATTCAGCATATACTTGGTGGTGAGTAGAATAAATAAGTCCACATTAGATATATGTTAAAAAACTACATAAAATAAATTATAAAGGGAATAATCATAGAATATATTAGAGATCTAAAAGAACAACTTCGTAATTACCAACGTAAATAACCACATTGACATTAGGCATTGACTTCACAACATCTGCTGGAAAATCATGTAAAATCTTCAACATGCTGAGGAAAATAATGATGGACCCACTTTTTCATACCCATTTTGTCTATTTTTAAAATGTGGAGGAAAATAAAGATATTTGCAGGCACGCAAAGATGATAAAAGTATGCCACTTATGGACCCTACTAAAGAATTAAGATAGTTACCAAATCATATAATTCATCAAGAACATATTTCAAAAGAAGAAATGAGATAAAAAATGAACAGAGACAAACAAGTAAACTGCCAACATTATGTTAATAATGGAATCAATTATTGATTATAAAAGGATCATTTATTTTTGCCTAAAAATGGAACAAAAAGTGTAGAAATATGCAAAGGAAGAGGTGGTTTTGGAGTAAAATTAAACCATGCTAGGTCCTTGCCTTCTTTAGAAGGACAACACTAATTAATATTTTGGTAAATAACAAAAGTATTGGAAAATTTAAAAATGCACATCATAATTAGATGAATAAACAGATAGCTAGCTTAGAGACACATATATTTGTGATAAAGCAAAACGAATGGATTAGAATTGCATACAAAATTCCTGATCACGTCTTCCTTGAGGAGAAAGGGAGGAGGAGTATTGGAATGGAAAGGGAAGCAGAGAAACACAACCCCATCAGTGATGTCTTATTTAAGTGTAATATGATTTAAGTTTCAAAAGAATCTGAAGATGAAATAAGATGAAATATCACTCAATAATTTTGAATGTTTCCTTTATTACTGGTTCTTTCTGTATTTTTCACAATTTTGAAATAAAATGCTGCAAATGTGTGTATATAAACATACATGTGCATACATGTTATATACCTGCATGTATATGTGTACATGTGTTGCATGTATGCATATAAACATGGGTGTTTATGTACATGTGTGCATATCTGCATACATATGTTGTATACATGCACATATGTGTATGTGTTACATGCATATATACATATATGTTGCACATATACATATTTATATGTATACATATCTGTTTATATACATGTATGTGTATATGTATATGCATTTATATATTTATATACATATGTGTATATATGTTTATATACGTGTATGTGTATACATATGTAAATAAAACCCTAGGAAGATATTTCCATTTGCTCAGTGCTGACTGTGAACCATGCACTTTTCTAAGCACTTTGCCTTTATTATCAAATTCAGCCCTATGACTTTCCTGTGAGAAAGGTGTTGCTATTATCCTCATTTGCCAAAAGTGGAAACTGAGTCACCAGCAGGACACACAATGCACCTGAGGTCCTGCAATTATGAAGTGATAGAGTTGGGATCTGACACCATCTAGTCTGGTTTCTGAGCCTGTACTCCTTCCTATTTCAGGGTTTCTCAACCTCAATCCTGCTGCCATTTTGAGCCAAATGATTGTTGTGAAGAGCTGTTCTGTGTGTCATATGTTTAGCAGTGTCCCTGGACATTATCCACTAGTTGCCAGCAGCATGTCACTGCCCCATTTGTAACAACTAAACATGTCTCCAGATGCCACTAATGTTCCCTGGGGTCAAAATTGCTTCCCGTTGAGAAGGCTACATTACACAATATTGTCTCAACAGTTATCAATCTAAAGAATCTGCACTTATTATAAATAAAGTAGCACAATATAGAAGGGTATAAAAAAGAAAATAATGTGCAATCCTCTGACCTAGAGATAAGCACTTTTAATAATTTGGTGATTACCTTTTGTTCATTTTTATACATATGTCACACAAACAAAGTAACTGTAGAAATAAAATAATTATTTTTCACTGTTTGATGATGAATGATTTTTTATTTTATTTATTTATTTATTTATTTTTGAGACAAGGTCTTGCTGTGTCTTCCAGGCTGGAGTGCAGTGGCAGGATTACAGCTCACTGCAGTCTCAACCTCCTGGGTTTATGCCATTCTCCTACCTCAGTCTCCCAAGTAGTGGGACTACAGGCATGCACCACCAAGCTCAGCTATTTTTTTTTTAATGTTTCTGTAGAGAAAGGGTTTCCCTGTGTCCTCCAGGCTGGTCTGGAACTACTGGGCTCCAGCGATCCACCCAACTTGGCCTCCTCAAATATTAAGATTATAGACATGAGCCACTATGCCTGGCTACTAATGGATAATTTGTATACCATTAGATATTTTGCAGATACTATAATTTTAACAATTCTTTAGCATTCCATTTTATGACTATTAATTAAACTTTCATCATTATTACAATTCAGGTTGTCTCTCATGTTTTATATTATACATTACCTTGAATTAATAATATATTTCTTCTTATATATTATGTATATCATTAAATATTTCTTTAGGAAAAACGACTTAGAAAAATAATTTTTGGGTTAACAGATACTCCTGTTTTAAAAATTTTCTTTGTATGTTTTGACAAATGGCACCCTTGCAATTGTGTTTCTAACTAAAATCCCACTAGAAATGAATCAAATACTAATGATACTAAACCTATGGCAATATGATCTAAATCTTGCTCTGCATATAAAGTAGTAGACCACCGAGGGCAGCTCATTCTAGGTTTTGAGAGCACAGTTTCATAATCGTTTTAGAATTATGTGCCCACAATAAGGAATACCAAAGAGGCTACTGTTATCCTCGACTCTTCTCCTAAGAAATGTTCATATCTAGGACTGAGCCGAAGAAACTTTTCAAGGGGGAGAAGAAAGTAATACAGAGAGAGAAATTCAACACCACAGTTGCATGTTGGCTCATGCCTGTAATTCCAGCACTTTGGGAGGCCTAGGCAGGAGGATCACTTGAGCCTAGGAGTTGGAGACTAGACTCCATAGTGAGACCCCATCTCTGAAACAAATTTTTAAAAATTACCATTCAGTGGTCTGAGGTGGGAGGATTACTTGTACCCTGGAGGTTGAGGCTACAGTGAGCCAAGATCGTGCCACTGTACTCCAGCCTGGACAACAAAGCAAGACCCTGCCTCAAAAAGAAAAAAAAAAGATGCAAAAATATGAAAAGCAAAGATATAAATATAAAATATACGAACTGAAAATAATAAAAATTAAAAAATAGTTTAATACAAGTAAGGGCCCACTCTATAGATATAGGAGGGTGCAAAGCATTTTTATTTAAATATCTGCATCATTTATTGCTTTGTTTAATGTGCAATATTTGTGTGTGTGTGTGTGTGTGTGTGTGTGTGTTTACAGAAGTTTTGTGTAGGTTACTGAATGGCATCTTAACTTAAAAAAAAATCTGAGGCACACAAAGTCATCTTCGAGAAGATCTACCTTAGCTCTGACAATAATTTTTATGAAAATGTATTGTAAGTAGCCACTCCCTGCCCTGGGTGAGTCTGACCAAGTCCGCTTCCCTCTACAGCCCTGGCATGTGGAATGGTCACGGTGGGAAGGAAGGTAGCGTAGGACAAAAAGGTCTTTAGGAAGAGATGGAGATGTCCCTGATTCTGCTAAGGTGAAGATCACCATAGGAAGATAAGTGTGTGTGGCTTGGGTTGATTCAGACTCTTATCTGGGGAGAACAGGAGGCTGGACACCAAAGATGGGCTTGCCA
Organism: Homo sapiens; assembly: GCF_000001405.40. Lineage (NCBI taxonomy): Eukaryota > Metazoa > Chordata > Mammalia > Primates > Hominidae > Homo > Homo sapiens. Next base: position 4,280,617 of record NC_000005.10, on the reverse strand, counting down.
CATAAGAAGGGTAGTGGCAATGGGGATCCAGGCTTGATGTTACGTCCACGTGCTTATGGGGCAATCTGGTTCCCGCATGTTGTGGCTAAAGCTGCAATATTATCTGAACCCACCACTTTGACATGTCAATCGTGTTTTGGGAAGCCTGCACCACACAACCTGGAGGAAAGCATCCCTGGGTCCAGAGCGTAGAGGTCCTTGGGGGTCAGAGCAGGTGACAGAGCCAATAAGCTAGTCACCACCATGATGGACAAAGGCTTAGCGGGTAGACAGTAGATGCAAAGGTGACTCCAAACAGGTGTTCTCAAGCCAATTGCTGCCACTCCACTTTTTTTCTCCACCTCATTTGTGAAAGCAGAAGAGATGGATCTGGCACCAGTGTTCCGGGGAAGTCAGGGGTGGGATGGAGGTCTCAGGAAGGAAGTAATACATTTCTTGGTAATTTGGTAAGGAAAATCTTATGGAACTCTAGACTTGATTGAAGAATTCTGCACCTAATATAGCAAAGTTGTATGTGTGCCTCCCCGTGTGTGTGTGTGTGTGTGTGTGTGTATGTCTGTACACACATGTGAGAATTGCAGAGGTAAACTGTTACCATATGGCTAAGAAGCAAGAAGAAAAGAAAAATCAGGAGATCCATGCAGGTAAATTCCAACCATGAATTTATTGTCAAATATGGACAAGGTTATCTACCGGGATGACATATCAACCTTTGGCTGAGCCAATATTGTGGCACTGCTCCACTATTACTGAAGGGGAGAAAGTTATAGACTTATTAAACTGTTAAGCCTTTGCTTGATTAAGTGCCAGGGTGCAGAGCTTATTTTCTGCTTCTCTGCATTCACAGTCCATCAACCATGATAGCCAAGCACTGGAACAGATTTTGTGGTTCGTTGGGTCGCAGTGATCTATGGTGCCTATGGCAGGAAAGTCACTTCTGAACTCAGAGAAATCCTGAGATGGAGAAGAAAGCCATTAGGATTGGACTGGGTCAAACTTACACACCTGTAAGGTGTATTACATGAAGATTTCATGTGTTAATCCTCATTCTGCTCACCTGGGGAGCACAGGTAGCCCCTCTCTGCTAGGTAGACCTCTAAACACTAATAGTAATGGCTGTGTTCCCCAGTCTGCCATTCATTGTGTTAAACAATACAAGTTCCTTCTCCATATGTGTAAAATGTGTACAAATACATTTATATAAATAAAGGAAATTGATGGAGACAGATTTGAGGGCAGAGGAAGAAGGACGTGTGCTTACCTGTGGTATGTGTTATTCCACACTCACCTCTCCCAGAAAGACTGAAAGGTTATACTCATTGTCCTGTGGTAGAAGCCTGGACTAGGCCATTCCTACATTACTCTAAAGGAATACTTAAGATTGGGTAATTTATGAAGAAAAGAGCTTTAATTGGCTCACAGTTCTTCAGGCTGTTCAGGAAACGTAGCAGCTTCTGCTCTGCCTCTGGGGAGGCCTCAGAAAACTTACAGTCATGGCAGAAGGCGAAGAGGAAACAGACACATCACATGGCCAGAGAAGGAGAAAAAGTGAGAGGGGGGAGGCACCACAGGCTTTTGCATGACCAGATCTAACAAGAATTTGTGGCCGGGCGCGGTGGCTCACGCTTGTAATCCCAGCACTTTGGGAGGCCGAGGAGGGTGGATCACGAGGTCAGGAGATGGAGACCACGGTGAAACCCCGTCTCTACTAAAAATAAAAAAAAATTAGCCGGGCGTGGTGGCGGGCGCCTGTAGTCCCAGCTATTCGGAGAGGCTGAGGCAGGAGCATGGCGTGAACCCGGGAGGCGGAGCTTGCAGTGAGCCGAGACTGCGCCACTGCACTCCAGCCTGGGCGACAGAGCGAGACTCCGTCTCAAAAAAAAAAAAAAAAAAAAAAAAAAAAAAAAGAATTCTCTCCACCCTGAGGACAGTATCAAGGGAGATGGTGCTAAACCATTCATAAGAAATCTGTCCCCATGATCCAGTCACCTCCCACCAGGCCCCACCTCCAACACTGGGGATTACATTTCAATATAAAATTTGGGCAGGGACACACATCCAAAGTACATCGAAGCCCACGCTCAGGAGGAGGATGCCATTAGTCGATGAGAGCTTCGGGACGCCCCCAGAATCGGGGGCTTCTGCCACCCCACCCAGGTGCTAACCCAGTGTGGCTTGTCTTCCCACATGGCACAGGCCATGGCCCCTCACTTTTAGGGACACTCTTCTCTGAATGTCGTCCGATTTGCCTTTTCAAAAATCTACTGTTAGAAATAAAAATGACAGACTGTATAAAAGAAAAGAGAGAGGCACTTCGCACACCCCCCTTTAGGTGCCTTCAGTTTTGCTTGAAGCCCACCTAGGATTGGTGCCCTGCTCTCCTGAAGCAGTGACCCGGGGCTGTAGATTGGGGTTCTTGGTAGGCAAACTCTGAGGTTGTCCCTCACCCGCATGGATGACCCTCCCTGCCTTCCTGGCTGAATTGGTGATGTCGCTTTGCTCTGGTGTAAATGTCCCGCGGTGCCGCTGGAGATGCATGCATCCAGTCAACCCCACTGGCACTCTCAAAGAACCCATCACAGGAGAGCCATCAATGGGTCAAGAGGAACTTTTATATGACTTGCCCCAAATTAAAAAATACCCTTGAAAAGGAAAACATCAAGTAAATGAATATATTTTGTCCATTTAACAAAGTTGTATCAATATACTTTTTAAATTGATGTTGAAATTCTGTATATTATTGAAATGTTTTTAATCCTATTAGATAGATCCATAGCTTCCAAGGGTTACTTCACCTCCCTTGGGGGCTTTTGGCAATGTCTGGGGATATTTTTGATTTTTCATAATGATCACTGAGCTGGTGACGCTTCCAGCACTGGGTGGGCAGAGGCTGGGGAGGCTGCTAAACTTTCTACAGTGAACAAGACAGCACCCATCAGGAAGAATTATCTAGCCCAAAATGCCCATAACGCCCAAGGTGGAGAGACGTGGATGCAGAGGTAGAAAGCTCATGTACATAACTAGGCTGATATTTGTGACAGTATCAAGTATCCAGTTTGATTTCTTCTGACACGAGATGTTCATAACACTCAGACTGGCATAACTTTGCAAAAATGTCCACATGTGTTATCAGTTAATTTCACATTTATCTATTCATGGTTGGATATTCTTTGCTTAAATTTTTCCAAAAATTCCACACAATCTCAGCTATTTTACTCTGTCAGTGTTGAATATCTGAAAGCTCTGCATCACATGAAAAATACCTAAATATTTCGTTTCACTGTTGCTTTTAATTTGAAACCTGGGAAGCACAGCATGAAGGTGTGAGAAGTTGGAGAGCAGCCTTATTAGAGCTGAAGTCCTGCACAGACTGGAAAGGCGGTGACTCACCTACACACACCTTTGCTCGTTAGAGGGAAAGTCACCCACTGAGAACACGACATGGCACAATGCAGGGTGACTTTCATCCCTTCTTCTTTATCTTTCTGTTTTAGACAGTCTCACTCTGTCACCCAGGCTGGAGTGCAGTGGCACAATCTCGTCTCACTGCACTCTCCACCTCCCAGGTTCAAGCAATTCTCCTGCCTCAGCCTCCCAAGTAGCTGGGACTACAGGCGCATGACAGCATGCCTGGCTAATTTTTTTTTTGTATTTTAGTACAGAGGGGTTTCACGTTTTGCCCAGGCTGGTCTCGAACTCCTAAGCTCAGGCAATCCGCCCGCCTTGGCTTCCCGAAGTGCTAGGATTACAGGTGTGAGCCACCGCGCCCGGCTAACCTTCATCTCTTCTGAGCCAGGTGTGTGCGGGTGAAAACAGTTACATTATACACTGTGAAACACCAGGCCCACACATTCCCACAGTAGAATACATAACCAAATGCCAAATGAAACCAATGAAGAATATTGATTGGTCAGTTTTCTTTTTATATTCATTACATGATATCAACTATGAAATGTCTTATGCAGAAGAATTTTTGTCAAATAATCTTATCATCCTTTAAATATAATAGAAAACAAACCGACTCAACAACAGAAGAGAGTGATTTTTCTTACTTATATCCAAGCTAAACTAGTTTCCTCTACTAACAGGAGCTAGCTACACCTTTCAAAAGAAAATATAGAATGCCTAAGCTTTAGAGAAGTTCACATGTACCAAAACGACTGACATTGAAAAAAAATAGAAAATTACCCGAGTGTTTATGAACATAATAACCTAGAATAAAGAATATTAATTGCAGGCCGGATGCAGTGGCTCACGCCTGTAATTGCAGCACTTTGGGAGGCTGAGGCAGGCAGATCACCTGAGGTCAGGAGTTCGAGACCAGCCTGGCCAACATGTTGAAACCCCATCTCTACTAAAAATACAAAAATCACCCGCGTGTGGTGGTGGGTTCCTGTAATCCCAGCTACTCAGGAGGCTGATGTGGGAGAATCGCTTGAACCCGGGAGTAAGAGGTTGCAGTTAGCCGAGATAGTGCCATTGCACTCCAGCCTGGGCGACAGAAAGAGTCAGACTCAGTCTAAAAAAAAAAAAAAAAAAAAAAAGAATATTCATTCCAGTAACCCAGAAAACACACATGGCAGAGAAAAGACAAATTAGAAGTGTTTAGGAAAATTAGCCTTTACGGGAAAAGTGAATTTTTTTGAAAGCACTGTCTCGCCCTTCCAAGAGAACACAGCAGACAAGTTTATGTAAACGGAGGCACCTGAACTTTTTCTTTTCTCTCACTTTACTTAAGCATAGACATCCAATGATGGGGCATGAGCCAAAGTATACCGCATAGGCATAAGGGAAGTGGCAAAATGAATAAGAGAGAAAAAAGCAGAGACACAGAGAGAGACAGACAGGCAGAGAAAGAAAAAAGAGGAGAGGGAAGAGGAATAAGAGGATAAGGAAGAGAGAGAAAGGAAGAAAGAGAAGAAAGGAGAGAGAGACAGAGGCAAGAAAATTTGGGACAAAATAAAATGTTTATGTTAATATGTCATTTTATAACCTTTGTAGGATTTACATTTCCCAGGCCTACTAGGGAATCCTATCAATAATTTGTCCTATAGTACGTGAATTAGAATATGCCACTGGCAGAAGCTACCAATGAAATAAACCGGCAATTCAAAGCCTCACGTTCAGCCGGGTTGCCAGGTGTTTACTGAGTCCCTGCTGTGTGCGGGCACCCTGCTGGGATCATCACAGGACACACAAGTGGCTGCAGACCCTGTCTCTTCCTTCAAGTTATTTGGAACATGATAGGCTCACTACTTGACTGTGGTTTTATCAACAACGAGTCATGGTTTCATTTCTGAAACCCAAGATTACGACGTAGTTTCATTATTTATCTTAAAAATTGAACTTCAAAACATTGAAGACACAATTTTCTAGAAATAATCCACATTCTTACATCTTCCCTTTGGAAAATTAAACAGAAAATTGTTTTTCTGAAGACAACATCTGCTTAAAATCCTTTAATTACCAGTTGACAGAGTGGCTGATCCTAGGAAATTCATTGGACATGGGGTCAAGAGGACCTTGGTCTAACTTAGATTTTTTTTTCCACCTGTGCAACATAACACTGGTCTTCAGGAGTTACTGCCTTGTAAACCTGAGTGTATAGATAGATGATCTTCTGAAAAACCCTTACAACTCCATGAGTGTCTATTTTTCTATCTAGACACACACACACACACACACACACACACACACACACACACATATATATATATATATATATATATATATATCCCTTCTACACTGGCTGGCTGTAATTCCTCCTAAAACCCAGAGTCAGCTGCAAGCCCTCCCAAAGGTGGCTGTGGAGACCCCGAATTGGGAATGGTGAGTATTGGTACATAGATGTACCCCCAAACAAGTGTCAACTCTTGGGACAATGTCTCAATGCTTTTGCCAGAGACTTTGGTGACACATTTGTTAGTGTTTATGCTTTATTTAAAAGAAAAATCACAACTGTACTTTAGTATTGTGTAGCTAATTTGTATGTATCATTGAGGGCCAAACCAGGACCCCCAAGAATAGACCAGGAACGAGGTGACAAACTTTGCATGTGCATTTTGGGGAGGTGGTTTGAATTGTGCACACCGCACACCCATGTCTGTCAGCTCAAAAGCTGATTGTCTGAAACAATGAGAGCATAATGCTATTAATTGCTCTAAGTGGGAGGGCCCATGGGAGCCCGCAGGTAGGAATGTTCTGAAAGCCCTATTACCCTCTGCTCCTGGTCATTTCACCATCACAGAGTACAGGCCCTGCACTTGTCTAGCTTTTGTGACACGTGGCTGATGCTGTCTCTGCTTCAGAGGGAGAGACAGAGAGAGAAACTATAATGAGGCATTTAAGGCTCCATCCATATAATCCCGGTGATTAAAAAATTCTGTCTCTCCACTCCACTGGCTAGGCTTAGTGCAAACAATTTTGGGAAGCTGAACTCATACACTTTGAGAGTGAGACTTTTTCAGATATGCCTGAAGTTATAGTTGGACCAGTTTGGCTGTGATTGCCTAAAAATGAGTCTAAGTTATTATTTTCAGATGTAAGAGATAATATTATATTTCACATTACTTTCCCAAATATTTGTATAAAATAATTCTCAAAGTATCCCATAAGTATTGCTTATAATTTGCTATTTCTCTGTTACATAATATCCGTTAAAGTCATTTAGTAGCCATAGCCTTAAGAAATGCCTTGAGAGTTTTATCATTTAGGGAATATTTAAACAAAGAACAAATGCAAGTGCTAATGCAACAACCGAGCTTAAAGTTGTAATTAAAATAAACTTAGAACTAGTGATTGGATCTATTAAGTTAGACATTGATAGATGGGAGCAGCGGAACCTTACAATTTGGAAAAGGTTAATATAATAAAGAACAAAGTCTTATCAAGGTTTTAGGTATAACTTCTTTGTAATATATACTCTAAAATATTTTTAAACTTAGTAAAATAGTAAAAATACAAATATTTGAAGTAAAGATAAGAAAAGCAGAATCTGATATAAGAATGACTTCATGTATTAGTTGTGAAAGTTTCAAATAACAAAATTCAGGAGAATTTAGCATAAATCTTAAAACAAAATGGCAAATAAAAATATAAATTGGCTGTAAATTGAATATGCGCAATTTTTGTATCTTAATGAATAATAAGCTGTATATAATTTCTTTATAAAAATTAATTTATCTGTATAGATACTAGAGTCAAAGGACCAAATTTCAATCAACATCTCATTAATTTCTTTTTGCATCACACACAAAACAAATGAAAAATAGATCTAGACACAGAAACCCTGAGTGATTTGGCCACATTACAACGTGCTTTCAGTTATCATGTAGTTTTTTAAAAACTTCTACTCACACAGCATCAGTCTTTTGATAAAGTGAGAAGAAAATTATTTCTGGCTGAAAATAAAAACAAGCCAAATATAATGACACACTTCCTGCAACATGAGAATCATGAAACAACCTAGGGTTACTCTATAACCTAAAGTTTTATATAAAAAGGACTACCTCCTATCAATCCCCAACATCATTCTCAGATTAAAAATTATTTATTGTAATTAACTGAAGTACAGAATTAAGGAAAGAGTACTGTGTCCAGTAAAATTTTGATTTTTAATTTAATAAAATTGCCAACTGAAGACAGTTAAGAGTCCAGGAACAACACAGTGGATAAGATTCACGGGGCAGAAGGAAGAGGTGAGAGAGTGACATTTGCATTGCGTGAACGCATGGCAGATGGACAGCCGTGCCCTCTGAGTACTCGGCAGTATCTGTGCATGGGGTGAGGAAACTAAGCACAGAGAAATAAACTATCCAAGAGGAAAACAGAAAATAATACCTAGCCCTTCTAAGGACCCAGGGAATGTATTTATTTCTGTCAGGCAGAATGGAAGGCCTAATGATAAATGAAGTATTGGGTAGAGCACTCAGAAATGCCCTGCCTCAGCAATGAGAAATACTAAGTTCTACACAAAGCACCAAGTCCATTTTAAAAGCAAGACTCAGCTGGGCGTGGTGGCTTACGCCTGTAATCCCAGCACTTTGGGAGGCCGAGGAGAGTGGATCACTTGAAGTCAGGAGTTCAAGACCAAGTGACCAACATGGCGAAACTCTGTCTCTACTAAAAGTACAAAAAAACTTAGCCAAGTGTGGTGGCGGGTGCCTGTAATCCCAGCTACTCAGGAGGCTGAGGCAGGAGAATCGCTTGAACCCAGGAGATGGAGGTTGCAGTGAGCCAAGATTGTGCCACTGCACTCCAGCCTGGGCGACAAGAGCCAGACTCCATCAGAAAAAAAAAAAACAAAAAACAAAACAAGATTCAAAGAGATCAACCTATTTCTAGGTAATTGAGCATCTCAGAATAAGGCTCAATCATTCTTAGAAGAATTGAAAATTATACAAAATTCAACCAGGTAAAATTCAAAAAGATTGGCATCTAAAAGGTACTCATCAAGAATGCAAAGAACAGGGAAATAGGACCCATAATGAAGACAGAAATAAATTAATCTAAACTGACCCAGAACTGATGCATGTGTTAGAATTAGTAATAAACAACACTAAAATAATTGTTGTAATGATATTTCATATGCTCTAAATGTTATGTAGCAACACAGAAGATGCAAAAGTAAAACACTGAAATTGAGTATCTAGGGATAGAAATTGCAAAGTCTCAGAAAAAAAGTACTGTGGATGTGATTAATGGCATGCTGGACATTGCAAGAGAAAATGCTGGTGAAGTTGAATATATAGCAATAAAAAGTATTTAAAATGAGACATAGGGGAAAAATGATTAAATAAGTAAATAGGAACATCTTCTAGCTGTGGGACAAATTCAAATATACCATTATGGTTATATTTGGAGCCTCCAAAGAAAGGGGAGATAGAAAAAAAAACAACCTGAAGAACAATGACCATATATTTTCCAAACCTCATATAACTATAAATCCACAAAAGTATAATTTGATAAAAACCATGATACCCTGGAAATTTAAATGGATACAATCTGTGAATCCACAGAAGTTTAATGAAACATGAGTATAAGAAATATTATGAAAGCTACACTAAAGCATATCATATCACATTTCTCAAAACCAGTATGTATTAGTTATATGTGCTGCATAACAAATTATCATAACTTGTAGTAATGTAAAGAAATTAATATCACAGGTTTGTTTGTGACAGATACTTTTGCTGGGTATAGAATACTTGGTTGACAGTTCTTCCTGTCCCCAGTACTTTAAAGGTGTTGCTCTGCTGTCTTCTCACTGGCATTGCTTCCAATGAAGAACGCTCCTGTCATTCTTATCTTTGTTCCTCTGCACATGGCACATCTTTTTAAAAATACATTTCCTGCGTTGTTTTTATGACTGTTTCAAAAATTATTTTTGGTAGGCAGCCTCTAAAGTGACCCTCAATGCTTCCCCATTCTGCCATTCATATCCTGCACAAACTGCGTCCCTTGAGAGTGGGCTGGACTTATTTACTCACTTCTGAGAAATATAATGTGGCAAAAGGGATGGAATATCATTTCTAAGATTTAATTACAAAATAACTGTGGTTTCTGTCTTGGGTGTCTCTCCTTTACTCTGATGGAAGCCAGGATGTGTTATGAGTTATCAAATGGGGAATCCCAAGTGGGAAGCACCTGATATTTTCAGGCAACTGTTACTGAAGAACCAAAGCTTGCCAATGGCTACTGTGTAACTGAGTTGGGAATTAGATCCAATCCCATTCCATTCTTAAGATTATTGTAGTCTTGGACAACACTGTGAATTTTGCTGCAGGAGTGGGTCCCTCGTGGATAACCTCTGCTAGGGCAGTGCAGAAGGGAAATGTGGGGTCGGAACCCCCACACAGAGTCCCTACTGAGGCACTGCCTAGTGGAGCTGTGAGAAAAGGACCACCATCCTCCAGACCCCAGAATGGTAGACCCATCGACAGCTTGCACCATGCACCTGGAAAAGCTGCAGACTCTCAATGCCAGCCCATGAAAGCAGTCAGGAGGGAGGGTGTACCCTGCAAAGCCACAGGAGTGGAGCGGCCCAAGACCATAGAAATCCACCTCTTGCATCAGCGAGACCTGGTCGTGAGACTTGGAGTTAAAGGAGATCATTTTGGAGCTTTAGAATTTGACTGCCCCACTGGATTTTAGACTTGCATGGGCCCTGTAACTCCTTTGTTTTGGCCAGTTTCCCACATGCAGAATGGCAGTATTTATCAAATACCTGTACCCGCGTTGTATCTACAAAGTGACTAGCTTGCTTTTGATTTTACAGGCTCATAGGCAAAAGGGACATGACTTGTCTCAGATAAAATTTTGGACTGTGTACTTCTGGGTTAATGCTGAAATGAGTTAAGACTTTAGAGGACTATTGAGAAGGCATGATTGATTTTCAAATATGAGGACATGAGATTTGGAGAAACCAGGGTTGGAATGATATGGTTTGGCTCTGTGTTTCCACCAAAATCTCATCTTGAATTGTACTCCCATAATTCCCATGTGTTGTGGGAGGGATCTGGTGGGAGATCACTTGAATCATGGGGGTGGTTTCCCTCATACCATTCTCATGGTACTGAATAGGTCTCACGAGATCTGATGGTTTTATCAGGGGTTTCTGCTTTTGCATCTTCCTCATTTTTTTCTTGCTGCCACCATGTAAGAAGTGTTTTTTGCCTCCCGCCTTGATTCTGAGGCTTCCCCAGCCATGTGGAACTGTAAGTCCAATTAGACCTCCTTTTCTTCCCAGTCTTGGGTATGCCTTTATCAGCAGTGTGAAAACGGACTAATAAGTGATCCTTGATAAAAGTTTCCAAATGTCCCTGTGAAGTGAGAGCAGTGAGAAAAACAGACCAGAGGGATGACAGGGGCCAGAAAAGTCCAAGGCAAAGTCTCTGTTTCCTCTGTAGATGTGCATGGGAATACTGGGGACACTGAAAATTCCCCAATCCTCTGCACATCGGGACATGGCTGAGAGGCAGCTGGTTATCTAGATGAGAAGAGCATTGCTGGGGATGGGGTTAGGAAGCCCCATAACTTTGTGGTTAAGGGTATGAGTTCTAGAGTCCAAAGGTGGTGTCTGAATCTCAGCACCACCTCCTCCTTATTCTGTGTGGCCTTGGGCAAATTATTTAACCCCTGTCTCCATGGCACAAAGAGCATAGTAAAAGTCCTGTCTTCCAGGTGGATGTTGGCTGAGATTGATAACTTGAGTCCAGCTCTTAGAAAGGTGCAAGCACATATGCTTATTCATGAGTAAAGCTATGGTGACCTGAGCCACCATCTCAGCAGGACTGGAGGCCTGGTGCAGTAGAGGACAGCAAGGGAGATGGAAACTAGAGACAGGTCCTGCTCCTCCCACTTCATTCGAGAGACCTGTAAGGTCTTCTGGGAATGGAGAAAATAGGAGGCCTAGAACTCTTTTCCTAAATTAATTTGGTTGAGACCCAAAAGGTCTGAATAATCCACAGTTAGACCAGGTTTTCTGGAGGTGGCTGGATTATACATTTCTGTCTGAATGGGGTGTGGTGTAATAGCACATTGAATTATAGAAGATAGTTTCTGTCTTGCCACTCAGATATGCATAGCTTGGAAACATGAGCCCACTCCAAAAGCCCTGGCAGTGTGTACAGAATCTGAATAGCCATCTCTGTAGGGCTCTTCTACCAGGTTTCTCTGTAGCCATGAACCAGACAATTGATCCTTCTGAGGCTCAGCTTCTGTAAACAGAAATGGGGACATTAGGCCAAAGTCATCTATTAGTGTCTAATCTGGTTTGACTGTGTCCCCACCCAAATCTCATCTTGATTTGTAGCTCCCATAATCCCCATGAGTCATGGGAGGGACCCGGTGGGAGATAATTGAATCACTGGGGTGAGTTTTTTTCATGCTGTTCTCATGATAATGAATAAGTCTTATGAGATCTGATGGTTTTATAAAGGGCAGTTCCCTGGGACATGCTCTCTTGCCTGCTGCCATGTAAGACGTGACTTTACTCCTTGTTTGCCTTCCCCCGTGATTGTGAGACCTCCCCAGTCATGTGTGACTGTGAGTCCATTAAACCTCTTTTTCTTCATAAATTATGTAGTCTCGGATATTTCTTCATATCAGTATAATAATGGACCAATATAGTGTTGTTCCAGCTCTTTCATTCTGGATTTGTCAACTCTTTTATTTGAGTAAAGAACAGTGGGCACAGGTGAACATTTTCCATCAGGTCGGGGCTCTTGGCTGTAGGGAAATCCTCTGGGTGGTGTCCAGCAACATTCTGTGGAGAGCCTCAGCTGCTCAGAATGTGAGCAGCATTCATTTTTGCAGCATCCCTAGCGTATTAGATGAGCTACACCTGGATCCAATGCCTGACCTGCACGATGGTGAGGTGAAGCAGTTACACTTTTCAGTTCACCAGGGTCACAGGAGAAAGAGGGTGGAATCTGGAGAACTCACAAGTGTCCCATTGACCATCTTGTTCTGCAAACAACACAGTGCATTTTCTGTCTATGCCACAAACATCACCTGACACCGTGTATCACCTCTGTACAAATAATAGAGAAGAGATGGTAAATTGAATTTGTCTCATTTAGGAAACATTTTTTTTCCATGGAATACTTGTTTTTCTAATGAGGACTTCTAAAAGTAATTTTCAATTCTGCTATCTCAACTCTAATGCCTTCAACGAAAATCTTCAGGGTTTCACCGACCATGTGCTGAGCCACGGCGCCCACTGCAGAGGCAGAAGTGATGCCCTGTTCAGTGTCTAATGATCTCAGTGTCAACCTGATCCCAAATGAGGAATGATTGATTGTTTATCCTTGGTTTTATCCAATTACACCTAATGCGATTTTCCATGAAGAGAAGGAAAAATTCATTCTTCATTAGTATCCTCAACACATTTGATAATCATTTGTGGTTCACAGGAAAGAGAATATCAGCATTGAAGCAATTTACACATCCAATTATTTGTTAAGTGCCACAGAGCAGGGTGAGAGCAACAGTTTTTGGCAATCTCTATGCCAGCCTTAATTAAAAGCAATGCAAAATATAATATTTTTCAGAAGCAAAACTATCTTCTGAGTTTGGTGAGTAGGATACATCAGATAATGATTTAAGGTAAAAAGCTGTAACTATGGTGTTTCATCAGGAGGGTATGCTTAAGATACTACAAGCACTGAAGAGGGACAGGACTGCTGGGCATGTGTCTCATGGGTATGGCCGGGTTTTATTCCACATGCCAAAAATGCAGAGAAGGGAGCAAAATGGGGAAGCTTTGCCATTGCAGAGAAATTTTGAGCTGAGACTTTGCTACCCAGAGCAAGGATGCCGCATTAGTCTGCTGAGTCTGTTATAACTAAATCTCACAGACTGGAAGGCTCAAAGGACAAATGTTTATGTTGTCACAGCTCTGCAGACTGGAATTTTGGGATCAGGATGCTAGCATGGTCAGGTTCCAGTAAGAACCCCTTCCTGGCTTACAGATAGTCCCCTTCTCACTGTGTCCTCACATGGTGGAGACAGAAAAACGATCTCTTTCTCTTCCTATTCTTACAAAGGCTAGAGGCCTATTAATTGGGGCCTCATTCTTAGGACTCATTTAACTTAACTACATTCCTAAAGATCCTGTCTCCAGATAGAGCTTGAGCATATGAATGTTGTGGGGACACTGTTCAGTCCCTGGCAACGCTTAGCTCATTTTGCATCTCCATCCCCAGGGCTCGTAAATGCTTGCTGAACCCATTGATAATTAGAGTTGTCCACTTTTCCGGGGTTGAAAATACCTTGTTCAGTTGCTTATCTCCAGCATGTTCTTTCAAACATTTTAGATAAACACCTCTATTTCCTGTGTCAATGATTAGGCTAGATCTCTCTAACTCTTTATTTATCTTGAAGAATACACTTTATTTCAAATTAGTGTGGTATTGAAAATCCTTAAACAAAGCTTAACATTTGACCCATCTATTTGTCCATTTAAGACACACCTGTACCTGATGTGAGATAGTCATGGTTCCTGCCTCAGGACTGCCAAGGTGATTAACAGAAAATTAAAAAAAAATAATTTGATGGAATTTGTGCGATAAATTCCAGACTGCTCTGTCAGTTCCTAGGAAAGGCGCAGGGTACAGATATGGATGACATGGGATGCTGGTGCAGGTGTCTAACCCTGGAAGGGAAGGATGGAGGTAGTGAGGGCCTGTTGTTGGGGTGAGAAGGGAAACGGTGGCGTGGACAGGAGGAACTGCAGAAACAATCCTTCCTCCAACTTCCAGGCATCCCAGGGCACAGATTCCCTCCAGGTTCTGAAGGAAATTGAAGGAATTCTGTCAGGAGGAGCTTGTATTTAGAGATTCAGATAACACCTTTCTGAAAATAAGCAGAAGACACTTTAGAATTCAGAAGTTAATGTAGCTAGTCCTTCATGAGTCTCCATTGCTCAGTCATTGATTGAAGGCGCTGAAAATGCAAATGGTGCTGGGCCCATGGTTCCCAGTGAGCTGATTTTTAAGTTACTGAACCAACTAGGATACAAGTTAAAATTATATATTTAAATGCTCCAGATAGATTTGAAATATAGAGCAGTCATTTTCATGCAAGATTTTAGAGGTCGCCATCCCTTTTTCCCATGCATGCTCTGTTTTCTTACAGTCTTTCATCATGTTTTCCCCTGCCCTGGTGCCTCAAGCATCCTCTTCCTTTATCTCTGTTGTGTGGCTTGTCCTTTAGGTTATTTCTTTTGCTTGTTTTTTGTTTGTTTTAAGACAGAGTCTTGCTCTGTCACCCAGGCTGGAGTGCAATGGCACGATCTCAGCTCACTGCAACCTCCGCCTCCCGGGTTCAAGCAGTTCTCCTGCCTCAGCCTCCTGGGTAGTGGGGATTACAGGTGTGTGCCACCACGTCCAGCTAATTTTTGTATTTTTAGTAGAGACGGGGTTTCACCATAGTGGCCAGGCTGGTCTCGAACTCCTGACCTCAGGTGATCCGCCCACCTTGGCCTCTCAAACTGCTGGGATTACAGGCATGAGTCACAGCGCCCGGCCCCTTTAGGTTATTTCTTTCCAGTCTCTGTTTCCTGACCCAGCCCTGCTTCAGCCACATGGGGCCTTTGCCCAGGCTGCCTGTCCAGGTCTGAGTGGCTGCCTGGCATTCCCTGCTAGGCCACTGACTTTGGATTTCCAGGAAGCTCCAACTGAACCTGGGATATCCAAAGATCTGAGCTGCTCCCATCGTGCCTACACGTTGTGTCCCTCTCCACTGCAGATATGCGGTCCTCCCACCTGCTGCCTGGAATTTAGGCTGCACAGGCATCAAATGAGGTAGGGAGCGGCCAGTGATGCTGGGGAATTGCATGAGGGGTAACCACCCTGGATGACAGCATGACAGGGTCAGGAGCCCAGATGTAAATGAAGGTAGTTAAGCACTCAGCACCATGCAGGCTGCTCTGCCAGACAACTAACCTAACCTCTCCCCAAGACTCAATATCTCCATCTGTAAAATGGGTCTCATGCACACTCCATAAGGGGCTGATGGGATTAAATGTCCCATCGTGCCTGAATTGCCAACCTTAGTGCCAGCACCTTCAGAATCTCCTCACGTTGTGTGACCACAGCCCCTTGAAGACACATGTTCCTCCTGACTAGGGAAAATAAAATTAAAGATCGGTTGGTTCATTAGCTGTAAAATGTCATTTGCTTAGTCAAGATATGGGCATTATAAAAAAAAAAGAAAAAAATGTTATGGTCTATAAATATATTATAATCAGTGGTTTTTCTATTCTGATTCTTGTTAAACATCTCATAGTGTAATCTGATGAATCGCTACATCATTTCAGGTTTCCTGTGATTTTGAGTATCCTCAAAAGTGAAGAAGACTAGGTGAAAATTTCTGAATGCTCTAGACTCCTAATATTAGTTGGTGACTTCTGTGATTCGATGGCAATGACTTGGGTTTTCTTTCAATGACATTTCAGTGGGTGTGGGTGGCAGTGCCTGCAGGAGCCCTCATCGCCTCCACTTGGCCAGGCTAGGCATCTGCCATCTCTGCAGAGCTTCACTTCTGTGCCTCTAATAAAGAGGTCCAGGCATCACACCTGGCAGAAGCTGCCCCAAGGATCATTTTCAGGGGCATGCTGGGCTACTGGCGTCTTCTCTTAGGATTTCTAAGCAAGAATCCAAGGGGAGGAGTACGTTCCTCCTATAGAGTTGCTCGTTGGTGTAAATACCTGTGCTCAAACCAGATGGCGGCAGTCAGCCTGAGGAAGGACCCAGCAACATGCCAGAGCCACAGAGCTGGGGTCACCCTGTCCCACATGAGGGTGCCCTTCCTTCCTGGAGCCTGGAACCCATCAGTCCCCTGAAGCGTGTGCTGGTTTGTGTTGGGTTTCTCTGGCTGCCACCCACAGCCTCATGCATGCTGTTGTCACCCAAACTGCTAACCAGGGGTTCCCCAGGGTTTTCTTCTTTATTTGTTGGAAGCATTCTCTAACATTTCCAGACACGTTTACTTCTTTTGCTATCAGTGGAAAACATTTGTTTATGTGCTCTTTTTCTCCAAAATTATTTTCAGTTACACATTCAGACAGGGTAAACTTCTGTGTGACGGGTTTCATCATCCCACTCACCAGTAAACCACACTCATGCTTATCAGGCCCATCAGAGGCATGGACATGACGTCCATACGCACCAGACGGAGGTGGGGGTGACAGCCGTGCAGTCATGTTCTGTCCCCACTGTCATGAGACTGAGTCTTCCATAGTCGGTGACATGCGCTTGCTCAGCACCTAAGACTGAAGGGCATTGATTGTCCCTGTGTCTTTGGAAGATGTGGAGAGAATTCTTTCCAAATATACTTTGCATTGATTGCAGAAGAGAAATTTTGCGCCTTTGTAAGGTGTGACTGCCAATTATAGGATTAAGAACAACCTTGGATGACTGAGTGTTCCAGTGGGGCTGTGCCTCCTCTCCTAACCATTGTAAAAATTCACCTGGGAGTAGGAAAGATGTGATTATTTCTGACTTTCCAGTTTCTTCCTACTCTTTGCTAGACAAGTGATAAGAAACTTCATAAAATTAAAGGAGGAATACAGATGAAGAATAAAGATGCCTGGAGATTGGGGAAATAACAAAGTACCTAATAGACACACTGGCAGGGAGAATATTTGCAGATAGCCCTATTCTAGGGAGCAGGTAACAGAGCCGGCTGGATGAGGTTTTCTAGACCAATGTCTGACAGATAGTTACACAGAGACAGAAAGAGCCAATGTGAGCATGCAGAGTGAGGGGAGGCCCAGAGTCAGGGTGTTCCACAGTGATGCACAGACCACAGCCTGTAGCAGGAGCTGGGGTCTGGGGAGCATACAGGGACCTGAGAACTCCCTGGGAGAGTCCACGATGAGCCACGTATGGACATCCACGGGATGATGTGGGCCCCAGAACATGGGGCCACCTCAAAAAAGGCCGGTGCCTGTTGCTGCTGTTAATTTGATTCTTATTCTCATTTCAGAGCTCAGATGCCCTGAATGGACCATTCAAGTATCTTATTTTACTTGTGGCCCACGTGTCTGCTAGAGGCACCCATGCTTGTCATGCACTTAGAAAAGCCATATATTATGTGAAAGCTGTCAGTTTAAGCAAGCTCGACGAGCACTGCATTTCTTCATGGCCACAATTCTCAAATTTGGGATGAGTAGTAAGTGTCTATCCTTCTGCAATGGAGACAGGTCATGTGAAAGCTACGGTGTCATAGTTTTACTATTTTTCCAGGCCATATTTTTATCTCTAAAAGCCAATATTCTCAAACATTGTGGTAAGTAGAAGGTATCTAAGAGAGCTAATTACAAATAGAGATGCCTATCCCCTCTCTCTCAAGAATCCTGATTCAATAGGGCAGGGTGGGACCAGACAGCTCTATTTTAACAAGTATTTTTTTTTGTCCCTCAAGACCTGAAATACCAGCTTTACAGGGAATAAAAATAAAACTAGGGAAATAGCTGAAACAGTGAAATCATAGTTTCTGTATAACCTGCATGATGAAAATAGCACATAAAATATAAATTTTATAATATACTTATTTAAAGCCACATTCAAATATGACTGTTTTTTCATAGTTATGAGTGTATTTACTTTTTATAGAAAGATAATTACTTCAAAAATGTTTATTACAACAATAAAAGGCAATCATCTGTTTAACCATCACCAACATATCAATGTTTATGGCTGATATGAATTTTCAAACCCTTCAAGAATCTGTAAATAAACCTACCCTGAGCCTGTAGAATGGTTTCTATATTTGCTAAACTACACTAAACTATGTCAATAAGAGAGCTTTCAGATACTTTGAAGATGAAAAAAACAAATTTGGAAAGTTGATGACTGGAAAGACCCCGATACATCTGGACCCATCTAGGAGAAACTAATGAGCTAAGAAAGCTAACAGAATTTAATCATTTCCTGGACTTCAGTGCATACTTCCATGTTTGCTGCTTGAGTTTTGTACAAATAGGTGAATAAATGACGCCAGTCATTGGCAAGTTTCTAAAGAAGAAAGTTATTCAAAGGTTCAGTGCCTGGCCTCGTTCTCTCTCCTTGTCTTCCCTCCAAGACTGCATCCGCCTCCTGGACTGACTCCTCATTCTCTGCCTTCAGCTCACTTCCCCAGGGGATGTATCTGGTTTCCTCTTAACCAGCCTCCAAGTTCTGTCCCTGGATCAACTCTCTTCATGCCACAGCCTCACAACCATCAATCTGGTATTAACTCCCATCAACATCTCTGTTGTCTTCATCTTGGATGTTTCTCGTGAACTCCAGGCCTGGAAGCACCATAGCTTAGCATCTGAAACCCAAGGCTTGCACACCTGGGCTCTATCTGCTTCCTCCAGCTCCCTCTTTCTACTCTATTTGTATCTTCTCTTTATGTCTATTCCAATGTCTAGTCTCCCTGCTGAGTTGCTCACTCCAGACACCCAGGTATCCCCTGTTGAGCTTCTTCTTCCAGAATCTCACCTGTTCCTCCTCCTTCTATAATAATTTGCCTGAAATATTGCTTTAATTTTGAAGGACTGCCTGTCTTGAGTGCACACCTTTTAAAGTCAGCTCTATATTGCTGAAGGAGAGTATATAGATACACACACAAACACACACACACACACATCACATATGTGTATGCATATTACATGTATAATATATAGATATTATACATGTATTATATACACATATTAATATACAATATATAATATACATATATTACATGTATATTAGATAGATATATGTATATTAGATAGATAGATAGAGATATGTAGATATAGATAATTTTAATGCATGTTCAAGCACTTACAGCCCTGCTGAGTAAACTTCCATGGCCCCCTAACATGTAGAGGATGATGATGTGTATTATATTAAAAGGCAAGGCTCTCTACAATTTCTCCTTTCCTATTTTTCATTCTTATCCCATAGCGAATAGCCTTTTAACCGAGTTGTGTTAGTTTGCTAGGGCCATTATAACAAACCATCACAATTGGGCTCAGCACTTCCAGCAGCTCAGGAGGCTGGAAGTCCAAGATCAAGGTGTCAGCAGGGCTGGTTCCCTCTGAGGGCTATGATTGAATGCTCTGTTCCAGGCCTCTCTCCTTGGTTGTCTTCTCCCTGTGTCTCCTCACATGGTCCTCCCTCTGCGTGTGTCTGTGTCCAGATTTCCCCCTCCTATAAAAAACCAGTGGTATCTGATTAGGGCCTGCCCAGATGACCTCGTTTTAACTTGATACCCATCTAAAAATCCTATCTCCAAATAAGAAAACATTCGGAGGCATTGGGGGTTAGGACTTTAACAAATACATTTGGGGAGAACACAGCTCAATGCAGAACATTAAAAATTCAATCCAGATCACTGACAATTCAACCCAGAACTCTGACAATTCAACCCAGAATACCGGCATTTCAACCCAGAATGCTGACTGTCCCGCATTTTCTGCAGGAGCTCTTGGGGGAGCAATTGCCACTCCATGGGAAGCTCCCTCCACGTGGCCCCTGCTTGCCTCCTCTTTGTGGACACACACACACACTACAGTACCTGAGACTTGTCATATTACTTTTATGTCCCCTAGGTAACACACCTGTGACTCTGAATACTCGTGAGTTCTAGGCCCTCCTGGGCCCCACAATTCCCTACTGGGGGGTCTGAAATGGCCACTTCTCCAGACCTCGGGTTCTCACCTGCTGAATGACAACCGTGGATAAGATGATTCTCAACAACTCTTAAAGCCCCAGAATTACAGAAATTTTGAACCATTTTTATCTAAGAATCAGTCTACCGTTCTACTAAAATCACAGTTCTGCCAACTGCATGTCACAGTAGAATTAGTGCACTTAATGAGGATGTTGCTATGAATTTGGAAAAAAAGAAATGATAGAATGAATTACAGGGATAGGTTTCTAGAAAATATAGGAAACCAATGATGCCAATAAAAGTAGAATATTATTTTTGTGACATACACACCAAATATGAGTGCAGGAATTTTTTTTAGAGTGGATGATTTTGGGAGTTTTCTATGGGATGCCACTATTCTCAAATAATGTTTTCTCTGGCTTGTTCTGGCAACCCAAGTGCGGAAATCTCTTCATATAATTTCTGATATTGATAGATGCCTGGTGTTTGCTTTATAAATAGTTTGTAAAGCTGAGCAGTTAAGGAAAATGATATCTAATTTATCTAACCTTGATAACACAGATTCTTAATGGGAATGCATGCAGAACTTTGATCAGCCTAGACACTTTCAAAATGAGCTTTCAGTAGAGTCTGCAGTGAAAACTCATAGGACATCCTAATTTTTGATATCATGGGATGTTTTCCTTTAGATAATTGAAAGCAAAGACAGCACAATAATTGTTAGGCTGATTGTTTCCAGAATATTCTCACATTTATCAATTGCATCTAGATTGGTAGGCAGAAACAATGATTTAAAACTGAAGTTGCTAAGTTGACAGGCAATTTGAGTGTGACAATAAATCAGCATTTATTTAAAAATCAAAATAAAAACAAAAACAAACAACAACTCAAATGAAGGGGGTTTGGGCACTTGGGACTGAAGAGCTTTCCACCTGTGGGGAGGTGGGGTCTGGCCTGCAGCAATTACTGTGCCCACAGCTCCACCTCCACCATGCTGCAGCTTGGGCTCTGGAGGGTGGGGTTCTGGCAGGAGGAGGAGGAGGTAAGAGGAGGCAGGTGTTACTTTGGGGTGAGAGGGTTCCATCAGACTCCATGTTCAAAGAACAGCTGCCTTTTGGAAACTCAGCAAAGGCAGAAAGCATCTTTCTCAGAATCTTACAGTGATTGCTGCTTGGAAAAATGTACTTCAGGTCAGAGAAGACTGAGGGCATTAACCCAAAATAGGAGATTAATGTGTTTAAAGGAGAAATCCCTGCTGCTGCTTCTCCATGTGGTGAACTTCTGAGGGGCTGCCTCAGGACAGCCTGAGGAGAAAGGCTGAGAGGGTTAACTTTTCCTCATTGAATTGCAAACGAATCATCGAGTCAATTCAGCCATCAAAACTGAGCCAGCCACCCTGGATTCAGGCCTAGTAAACCTAAGCTTCCATCATCAGCATCAATGCAGTCATGTGTCACATAAGGAGGGACCGCATATATCAGAGCTGTCTGGTAAGATTATCAGACCACAGGCTGGGTGCAGTGACTCACGACTATAATCCCAGCACCTTGGGAGGTTGAGGCGGATGGATCACAAGGTCAGGAGTTCAAGACCAGCCTGACCAACATGGAGAAACCGTATCTCTACTATAAATACAAAAATTAGCTGGGCGTGATGGCATGCGCCTGTAATTCAAGCTACTCAGGAGGCTGAAGCAGGAGAATCACTTGAATCCTGGAGGTGGAGGTTGCAGGGAGCCAAGATCGTGCCATAGCACTCCAGCGTGGGCAACAGAGTAAGACTCTGTCAAAAAAAAAAAAGAAAGAAAGAAAGAAAGAAAGAAAGAAAGAAAGAAAGAAAGAAAGAAAGAAAGAAAGAAAAAAGAAAAGATTATCAGACCATATTCTTACTGGACCTTTTGTAAGTTT
The DNA here is from genome assembly GCF_000001405.40 of Homo sapiens. Lineage (NCBI taxonomy): Eukaryota > Metazoa > Chordata > Mammalia > Primates > Hominidae > Homo > Homo sapiens. The sequence goes on along the minus strand of NC_000005.10, from coordinate 4,258,562 downwards.
AGATATGTTTAGATACACAGGTACTTAGCATTGTTTTACAATTGCCTATAGCATTCAGTATGGTCATGTGTTGTGCAGGTTTGTAGCCTAGGAGCAGTAGGTTAGACTACATAGCCTAGGTATGTAGCTAGCTAGACAGTCTAGGTTTGTGTGCGTGCACTCTGTGATGCTTGCACAATGACAAAATCGCCTAAGGACACATTTCTCAGAACATGTCCCGGCCATTAAGTGAGAATACTACAGACTACTGGTTTACCAAACTGAAACTGAAAGAAGAATTAATAGTAATACATTGTGTGAAACTTGTGACTCCGGGGCAAAAATTGATCAAAATCATCAAATGAATTCTGCCAAAGGAGAGGTCTGAAATCAAAAAGGGTGTTTCTAATCAAAAACACTTAAATAAGTAGTGGGATGTTTTGCAGCCCAACTGCATCTTCTTTATAACTAACAGAGAAGTTAAAAGTAGAATGAACGTCCCTCTTTTCACTTGGCAGCTTCTGGAAAACATGTTCCTTAGACTGATTTTAGTCCTGGTCTTCACAGGTGTCAGAGTTAAACTGAAATCAGCCATTTCACACCTGTGTTCCTGACTCTTCCCTCATTGTGACAGAGGAGACACATTTACAGCTGTTTCTCCAAGCTCCTTTGCTCTATGTCTGTAACTCCTACTTGGCTTAGGCTTTAGTTGTTTTTATTAAGACAGAAGTGGATAGGGTGGATAGGGTGGATAGAGTGGATACAGTAGAGCGCTAGGGCCTGTTGCCTTTTGAAAACATCAAAAATGTCATAGCCTCTTAAAAGGCAGAAGCCATTTTTGATGGTGTAAAAGGATTAATTAAGCAGGAAAAGAGAGGCAGAGGCGTGGTGGAAGGAGTTGCCGCTTTCCCTGTGTTTACGCTTGGAAACACAGAGAGAGGAAAGAGGCATCATCCCTGCCTAGATTTGCTGAACTCTTCATAGGTTTTGTCACTGAATAAACTTCTGCATCCTCTTTCCTCTTTTTATTTCACTTTCTGTATCTCCCTAAAAGGTCCTTCTGCAATGGAGATAAATTTAACTCATACGAGAGCATTCTGATCATGAATACAGCATACGTTATCGGAACAATATTCCCATTTTTTTCTTTCAATCTGTTTCATTATAAACTAAGTACATGATAAAACAGAGTTAGAATGAATCTTCTTGGAGCCAATTTCCCCAGCATAGGAGCGTTTATTTGCCACCTACTTATCGAATGCTCTTGGACTGCTTAAACACTTGAGTTTGAGTGGAGGTAAACCAAACGTTATAATAACGTGCCCAATAGACACAAAATGATTAACATCCCACAGTTTCTATGTCAGGAGAGTATATGTCTCTTTTCATGATGAGTCTCTTAAATTGATCAATAAAATTCAATTTTGACCTTATCTGGAGCCAGAATGAGCGTGCAGACTGGGTCCAAACTCCCCTGGGCTCCTCATAAGCTGTGTGGAACTGCTCAAGTGACTACCCTGTCTCTATCTCTTTGACTCGATTTCCTCATTGGTAAAATGGGGAGGAAAATAGGCCCTAAGTCACAGAATTGTGATGAGGATCAAATTTGTTAATCGACTTAGAGCTCTGAGAACAGTGACTGGCATAATAAACTTTTTTTGTAAGCTTTACTGTTATTTGTTATTATTATCATTGTTATTTATATTATTATCAGAATCTAACAAGTTTTCTTTAGCTTAGCTTGCCACGAGACAGGGGCATTGCTGAATTCATTTATTTAACAAAGGTTTTTAAAGCACTTATTGTCTCACAGTATTAAAGACAAGACAAGAATAAGCTCAGAAACCCAAGGTAGGATTGAGTTATAGATGAGCACTGCCTAGGACCGGGCTTCAGGGAATCCAGAGTCATTGCAAAGAAGGCCCCAGCAATTCCAATGAGAAGAAGGCTTGCCCAGTTGGGGATCTGCAGGGGAACCCAGAGGCTTTTGGAGGCTGAGGGGGGCATATGCTTGGGATACTATGAGACCTTTCTTCTGGCAGAGCGAGTGGCCAGTGATGCACAGGAGGGGCCCATTTCTTGAAGGCTCAGGGTGAAGGACAGGTTGCTGTGGCTCTGAGCCTACAGGACCTCAGCTGAGTCCACACCCAGAGTATCTCCAAAACCAAGCTCAGAAACAGCTTCACAGAAATACATGAGTGTCATCCAGGAGGGCTGCAAAGGCCAAGTAAGCACAGACCTGGGAATGGATGTGGAGGGAGAGGAACCGGGAGGACATCAAGTAGGATGGCCCTGGAAGGTGCTGGTGTGGATGTAATTCTCCCTGGAGTCGGGGAGAGGACAGCCTAGCTGAGAGTGATGGACAAACAGGCCAAGAGTGGGCCTCTCCCCTAGTGGGTGTGCTTGTATGGTCCCTGCACTGGACGCTGGAGTCTGGGTCATAGGATACAATGGGCTGGCTGGAGCAGGGAGGGGGGTTAGGGTCACTCAGAGATTTCCTTGGACTTGATTCTTAGACAATGGGATCACGCTGGGGTTCACCTGCAGCCCTGTGTGGCCAGGTTTATGCTTTAGAAAGAGATGGGAAGGGAGGGAGAGCAGAGTATGAGATGCCCGTAACACATTTTGGGTTGCATGCCTGCTTTATCCTGCCCTATCTCTGCAAATATGCTCAGGCCTTTGGTGTTCAACAGTGAGGGTCACACTGTTGCTGGGTCGCACTATCTCAACCTCCTTCCACTGTCAAATTTCTTCAAATAAGTCTTTCTTATTTTCTGTCTTGACCTTGAAAAACTGCTTCTGCATCAATTGCTTTCACTAAAAATGCAATCTGTAGTTGTCAGTATGCTCTCAATAATAAGCAGGACCAACCACATTTTTACCGTGTTTGTTTTCTGAAGTGGTTGATGCTCTCTTTTTCTTTGAGTTTTCTTATCACAGAGTTCTCCAAGAGCCCAAGGTACTTCCGCATTCCTTCTCATCCACCCCACGCCTCCTGTGTCGGGGATGTGTGTTCTGCACAGTCTGAGAATGAAAACACAAAAAGCAATGTTCAACCATGTCTCTGAATTGGCTCAACAGGGCCCACCTTCACCCTTTAAAATAAGGAGGACCTGTCTCATCAACTCCCTGGAATCCACATATGCAACCACTCCCTCGGGCAAAATGCCCCTAAACCTTATTCAGTGTGTGTTTTGTTGTTTATTGTGATTGTTTTTTTAAAAATCAAGAAGGGGCCGGTGTGGTGGCTCATGCCTGTAATACCAGCACTTTGAGAGACAGAGGTCGGTGTATCACCTGAGGTCAGAAGTTCAAGATAATCCTGGCCAACATGGTGAAACCCCATCTCTACTAAAAATACAAAAATTAGCCAGGCATGGTGGCAGGCACCTGTTATCGCAGATACTCAGGAGGCTGAGGCAGGAGAATCACTTGAACCCAGGAGGAGGAGGTTGCAGTGAGCTGAGATCGCACCATTGCATTCCGGCCTAGGCAACAAGGAAGAAATTCTGTCTCAAAAAAAAAAAAATCACAAGCATAGGTGAGATGATTACAGCATAACTTGGCAGCATATAAGGAAATCAATGTCTAATGAGTGGTACTTGGGGTAAAGGTTAGGTTGGTGAGCTATCACTGGGTGATTTTAAAGCACGTGCACACACACGCAGCTTACTGGTAGTAACATTCCCCGAGATCTCTCTGATCACAGCGAATGGGCTGGCCTCCACACTCCCCCTACATCTGCTTCTGGCTTCCTTCTCCCCTCACCATCTCCTTCTTTGCTTCACTCCTCAGGCCCCAGATCTCAGTCTATGGGAGCACATTTCCCTTTGTCCACAATACTAACTCCTTTCGAAACCACAGAAGTTTCCAAGACTTAAGCTACCATCTACGCACTAAAGATTCTCAAATCTACTCTGAATTTTGACCAATAAATTACATAGTTGAGCTCAGCAGTTGGAAAATGCCAGCTGGATATTTTCAGTCATCATCAATTAAGTTTAGTCTGGCCCTAAATTCTCACTTCTCGTTTTCTCTCACCAAATGGATTTCCTCACTAGATTTTCCTCTACAGCCCCATTTTCCCATTTCGAAAACTTATCCATTATATCTGTTACCATTGATTTTCACTTCAATTGATGTTTATTTTTCTATTTGTTGGGTATTTTTATTCCTGCTGGGGTAACTGCCTGTTCCTCAGGTCACAACTGTCAAGAAAGAACACCACCATTCACCGTTTGACAAGGTCTTGCCTCCTAAAGTTTATCACACTCCTGTTCTTCCTCTGGTAGACTTCCCATGCAGATTGTCTTACTACTTCCTTCTTCCAGTGCAATTTTGCTGGCTCTGTCACCTTCTCCTCCACTCCCCCCATCCTACAGAGTGTAGCTAGATCAGTGTCTCCATTACACTTTCCTGAACTGCTTTGCAAGCAACTTCGGTGGAGCTCCATCTTCCATAGAAAAATGTGTGCACTGTGTATACATTATCACAGATATGCATACATCAAGCAATATAAAATATAATACTATGCATCCCTTCACTTGTGGCTTTCTGCAATCTGGGGCTCAACCCACGTTATCAACCTTATCATCTGGGGGATTCTTATATGCACCTTTGACTCTGTTAAGTCAGTCTGATCATGATTCTTTTCCCTCTATCTAGAATGTCTTCACCATTTATTTCTGATTAGCTGTCTCCTAATTTTTCTTTAAGGTCTATCCTAAAATGATCTGTCTCTTTGAAGCTCTCCTACTGATGCCAGCTCACAGTGAGGCTAACAACTTGTCTACACCAACTTGTTCTGCTAACTCTTAGTTTCTCATTAGGAAACCCTCCAAAATTTATCCTTTTGGTGAAGATTAGCTGCTCTCAGATAATCTCACTATGAGATTGTGAAGAAAATAAGGCCCAAAATGGTTGATACAGTATATCCCCTAGGCTTGATGAAGCCCAGCTCTTTACTTTTTGAAGTTCTCTAACCACATTTTACATGAAATGTTGACTCCTGGTAGAAGTCACTATATCCTGGAAGCAATTTCTGTTACCTTGAGAATTAGCACCAGGCAATCAAAACTCCTTTGGCCCAATAGCTAAATGTAAATCTCTTTAGGGATTAAGACTCAGACACCATCTTTGAAGGTGAAAACCATAGGATTCTCACTCCCTGCTTATGCAAGAGCAGAACATGTCTCCAAAATATTTTTAGTTCATGTGCCTTGAATATTCTTAATTTTATTAATGTAAACATAACGTCTACATTTTCCTAAATACGGTGTGGACATTGTGTGTACTTCTCAAAATATTTCTGCAAAGTAGTTCAATGAAGTGTTCAAGAGTATTGACTAGGCCACATTATATTAGATGAATAGAGATGAAATAGAAGATGATCCAAGAGAGGGAGACCCTGATTCAGAAAGAAAGTGATGCAGCCATTGTTAACCTCTTGAGAAGGCTCCAAAAGGAGGAACTGAAATGTGATAGTAGCTTTTGAGGTGATAGGACTGTGTAACATGGCTAGGGGTGATTTTTTCAATAGAGGCGATTCTACTGAGAGCTCATTACTGACGTTAATTGTGGTGATTAACATGGTCCTAACTTCACCAAAGTGGAGAAAACATTTTGAGATTTAGCACCTGAATTAGCAAACTGTCTGGTGTTGATGACTGAAATAAATGAAATCTTCCCATGCAATGGACCCTCTGGAGTGTGGTTTTTCAGATTATAACCCTGTACTAGCAAATGGTTCCTTGTATGTAGATTCAAGATGAGAGAACTAGCTTTCCCTATAATGCAGCTTAAAGTAACTAACACACATATAGTTCACTCTCTACACCCAAGCACTGTGGAGTAAATACTGAGGTGGTAGGTGGATGCTCTGTTCTATGGGAGCATTATGGAGGCATTAATTAAAACTCTTGATTGAGCTGCTGAGTGCAAAATTTAAAAGTGGCATTGAGTTATTTGCTACCTTTCTGTGTGTGCAGTTTTTACAAGAAAGTTGAAGTTCACCTAGCAGCACTGGCACGCTGCCTAGATCTCGGTCTTGACTATTTCGTCCAGAGCTTTGAACTGGTTGGGAGACTAATATTATTTGTTTTTGTAAGCCTCTCTTGACCTCCAGAGAAATAGCATGGCAATGATGATGACGACAGATTACTACCTACTGTGCACTTTAAAATCTCTGGTTAAAATCTGTCTCCTTTATGTTTATTTTCATTTTCTCTGAATTTATTTTTTCAAGCAAAGGGCTCTGTTCATATTAATGCATATAAATTATTCTAGCCTTGAATATATATTTACTGGGAGGTCTAACTAAACCAGCAAATATTTATGGAGCAGCTGATAGGCGCAGGACAGTGTGCTAGCTGTCCTGGAGGAGGCTGTGGGATAGGTTATGCAGGTACCCAGAGAAATGTACCTTGAGTAAAATTCCCACCTACTTACCTGGCTCAAACAATAATGTTTCCCTTCATTGGGAAGTGAAATTAACTACCATAAATAAGAATGTCTTTTAAATTAGGGAGACAAAATGTTCTACTAAACACATAGGTCTTGAAAACGATTGGCCAGGCACCTCCTGAAGGTTGTAGAGGAAGCTGAGACCTTTTCAGTGCCAACAAAGAACCCAGAACCCCATAACAAAACAGGACAGGGAAAACATAGGCAAGCATATAGTACTTCACTGAACAAAAGTCATGGAGAAAAATAATACTAGTACGAGGACACCACTGATAGCCTCCAGGATGGGCTCACAGCACCACCTTTCTACCTCTGGGAGAGGGCCATGTTCCTTCTTCAGGAATGGTTTGAAAAACACATGCACTAGAGAACAGAAGGGCATTTCAAATGTCATTGTAACTTCATTTGATGGTAAAGATGGAGTCTTCCCCATGTGGCTTTGCTGTGATGTCTTCCAAGTCCATGAGACACTCTTAACCCAGGGACACCTCATGAGGTATCCCAGACCATGGAAACAGTGATGGAAGAGGTCTTCTCTAATTAAATATACAACATGAGACTTTTTTATTTTTTTGACATGGAGTCTCACTTTGTCGCCCAGGCTGGAGTGCAGTGGCACAATCTCAGCTCACTGCAAGCTCCGCCTCCCAGGTTCATGCCATTCTCCTGCCTCAGCCTCCCGAGTAGCTGGGACTACAGGCGCCTGCCACCACAGCTGGCTTTTTTTTTTTTTTTTTTTGTATTTTTAGTAGAGACAGGGTTTCACCGTGTTAGCCAGGATGGTCTCGATCTCTTGACCTCATGATCCACCTGCCTCGGCCTCCTAAAGTGCTGGGATTACAGGTGTGAGCCACTCCGCCTGGCCGAGCATGAGACTTTTTAAAGGTAAATATAAGTTCATTCCATTCAGGGTGAAACCCCGTCTCTACTATAAATACAAAAATTAGCCTGCCATGATGATGTGCGCCTGTAATCCCAGCTACTCAGGAGGCTGAGGCAGGAGAATCGCTTGAACACGGGAGGTGGAGGTTGCAGTGAGCTGAGGTGGCGGCACTGCACTGAAGCCTGGGCGACAGAACGAGGCTCAGTCTCAAAAACAACAACAAAAACAACAACAAATCATTCCATTCAGTTGTCACAAAACCACCACAGAAATTTAAGAAATAGTATACCTAGTCCCATACTAACCAGTTAGGCAAACTCCAATCCAACACTTACTTTGCATTTTTTCACCTTGCCTGTATTATCTTTTATTCTTTTTTAAACTGTTTATTTCAATAGGTTTTCAGGAAACAACAGTGTTTGGTTACGTGGATTAGTTCCTTAGTGGTGATTTCCGAGATTTTGGTGCACCCATCACCCGAGCAGTGTACACTCTATCCCATGTGCATGTAGTCTTTTATAATGAGCTACGTAAAGTATGAGATGCTCATGGAACTCCGTGCATGCCTTTCCCTCTGGTCACAAGCTGGGCCATATCCCCATTCCTGCATAGTCATCCCTCTGTTGATCCGGGAATGCCTGAAACGGGGTGTAACGTATCTGAGTCTATGTACAATAAACCACAATCACAGCATATTAATATTTTGGTGTAGGTAAGAGACTAGCATTAATTTCAACACCAATTACATGCATTTGTCAGGGCTAGGTGTCTTGCTCATGTTATTGCATCATGCAGTAAAGGATTTAGTTACACTCTTCTCCATATTACACATGAAGACAGTAGAGTTTAAAGTTGTTTTTATAACTGGTTCAAGGCTGTGCCACTGATGTCTAGAAGGCCTCACTCTTGAACACAGGACTGGTTCCAAAATTGTAGCTCTGCTAACTATAACGTAGAACTTCATGAATAGCAATAACAAGTGGATGGTTCTCTCCCAGTGAATGCAAAAACTGTATCATAGTGGCATGAGGTCATCAAAAAAGCTTCATTTACCTAGAAATTTGAGTCCTAGTGCTGTTACACTATTAGATTGTCATTACCCATTTTATTAATCCTAAATGCTTTTAAAATAGGTCTCTTATATATCTATCAGCATTTTATTATTCTCTAATCCTCAGGACATGCAGAACAACAGAATTATAAACATTAGAAATCTGGATTGAATTTTTAAAAATAATGAACAATAAAGTGTGGTGTGTGAGAAGTTATTGTCTTCTTGCCTATTTCTGTATAATTAAGTCATAACTCCACTCTTCATTGTAGGCCTTTGCATTAGTCCATTTTCACACTGCTATAAAGAACTGCCCAAGACTGGGTAATTTTTTAAGAAAAGAAGATTAATTAATTCACAGTTCAACATTGCTGAGGAGGCCTCAGGAAACTTACAATCATGATGGAAGGTAAAGAGGGAGCAAACACATCTTTCTTCACATGGAAACAGGAGAGAGAAGTGCAAGGAAGTGTAGGGAAAACTGCCTTATAAAACCATCAGATCTCGTGAGAATTCACCCACTATGACAAGAAGAGCACAGGGGAAACTGCCCTCATGATCCAATCACCTCCCACCAAGTTCCTCCCTCAACACCTGAGGATTATAGGGATTACAATTTGAGGTGAGATTTGGGTGGGAACACAGCCAAACCATATCAGTCTTTTAGCTGAGTAATTTGGTTTCATGAAAATATGCTTGTAGCTTTCTGAACAGATGACAAAGTTCCCTTTCCTGTTCTCCATTCTATATCCACCTCTCTTCTCTTTAACTGAAGAGAATTCTTTGCAACCAGCCTGTTTTCAAAATTACTTTTCTACTAAGAAGAAATATTTTCTAAATGAATTATATGTTTAATAGAGGAAATATTTAGAATAGTTTCAAGTCAGTCTAGTTTGAGAAACACAAAGGGTATTATGAGTGACTATTTTCAGATAGAAAGGGGTTACATTATCTTCTTTAATATAGATGAACATGTGAGTCATGAAAAGGAATGATTATGCTTTTATAGAGTAATTATTTCAGTGAGTTAAAATTTTATAAAGCAGAAAAAAGCCTATATTTAGTTATTAGAATTATTATTTTTCATTCACTTTTGTAATTTGTAAAAATGATTTAGTTTGTTATTATTCAAATATGAGCACTATTGATATTTTGAACCAGAGAATTCTTGATTGTGGGGTGGCTGTCCTGAGTTTTGTGAGCTGTTGAGTTGCAACCCTGACCTCTATTTATTCAGTGCCACAGCACTCCCCCTCCAGGGGTGAGAGTCGGAAATGTCTGCAGAGGTTGCCTAGTGTCCTCTTGAGGTCAAAATCCGGTCTCTCTCTCACTGGTTGAGAACCATTACATTAGGATAATAATACCGGCTCAGAATATTGAGTATTAACTATACGCCAGTTCTAAACACTTTAAAAAACCAACTCACTTAATAATCAACACAATCTCATGAGGTAGATATTATTATGTTCCCATTTTACAGATAAGGAAATGGAGGCACAGAGAGGTTGGGAATCACAGCTGGTAGACAGTAAAGCAATACTCAAGCCTTGCTGTCCAGTTCCAGGGTCCTCACTCTTCGTCCGTGCCTAATGTTTCCACTCTGACAGCAACAAAATGAAATTTCAGAACACAAGAACTGAACACAGGAGAAAGATCACTAACTGTTATGTAAGATAGGAAAGCAGAGTGTGTACACAGATTTGCATAAAGAAGCATCGGAATGACAAGCCAAAGCCAGTATAATTATTTTCTCTAGTGGGTGGAGGTTGGGGGGGATTAGTATACACTTGAGGTTCTTATTAGTATCATTCTTTATACAGCTTGTCATTTAATTAGAGGATATGCAACAAATCAAAGCAAACAATAATAATTTCTAAAGTTAAAACAAACTGGACCATACAACCCCAATAACATGTCAGATTGACAACACAACCACCCAGAGAAAAGAAGGGCTCCAGATGACATCGGCACACTGTGCACTAACTTTCATCTTCCATGAAACTTATTCTAAGGACAACAAAGAAATCGAAAATATTCTAACTTTACTCATTGGTTTAATTGAATGTATTAACAGTGGTATATGATTTTTAATCTATTTTATATATTTTGGATGAAACAAACAAGCAAATATACAAACACTAGAAGCCATGACTTCAAGTTTAAGGAAAAAGAGATACAAACATAAAATCATAGGCATCAAAAATATGATCATTTTAAACATAATTCAAAATATTAATATGTGTTCATAATTTTTCATGTATTTTTACTATTTCTATACATTGAAAAATCTAGAAGCGATGACTCCTGGTAGTAATGAACATACCTTTCACCCACATGTTGTTTTATAAATATTTCTCCCTACTAACTGGAACCAAGTCTTGTTGAAAGAATAGTGGTTCTAGTTCTGAAGCAGACAGTATACAAAAAGAGCCTGGATGTGTTGTTGGACCCAAAGGGCTAACACCAGCATATCAAAAGGATGCTGGAGCAAGGTTGGTAGGGGAAGCACAAGTCAAACTGGAGTGACTTTGGCATCAAAAGACATAATAAATACAAGTTGTTATAAAAAAAAAATCTTTGAGACCATAGTACATTGAGAAAGAGAGAAAGAAACACATTTGGCCACATTGGGGTTTATTATTACACCAGAACTTTGTTGTAAATTTTTTTTGTTTGTTCTTGTTTTTTTTTTTTTTTTTTTGAGACTGAGTCTTGCTCTGTTGCCTAGGCTGGAGTCCAATGGTACAATCTCGGCTCACAGAAATCTCTGCCTCCTGGGTTCAAGAGATTCTCATGCCTCAGCCTCCTGAGTAGCTGGGATTATAGGTGCCCATTACCATGACCAGCTAATTTTTTTTGTATTTTTAGTAGAGATGGGGTTTCACCATGTTGGCCAGGCTGGTCTTGAACTCCTGACCTCAAATGATCCCCCCGCCTCAGCCTCCCAAAATGCTGGGATTACAGGCGTGAGCCACCATGTCTGGCTGTAAAATTATACAAGTAGAGGAAAAGAACTAAGCATCTATTTTGTCATGTTTGTTTGTTTAGGAAGAGGAAGAGTAGCTCATCTGCAATTGAAGGAAGAAAGTTCTTTATAGAAGAATGCTATCTAATAATTATTTTAATGACAGTCGTAAAAAAAACCACCATTCTGTAAATCCCATAAAAGAGATTGGTGCCAGGTAAAGGCTGTCAATAGATATGAAATCATTATTTGTGGGTTGCTGATGAAAAAAGAAATACATTTAGAATGGAGAGGTTGGTGTGTAATGACTTTAACTAAGCAATCAAAATTAGCATCACTAAAAATGTGACCACATGGCATTGTGTCCCCTGAAGTGGGGCAATGAGAAGCACATGGCTGGTAAAGTGTTACTGACAAAAATATCTGATCTGAAGCTTTTTGAGCTCTTGGCTGTAGCTTGTGGCTTATTGGGAAATACAGGGGAAGAAGCTGATACACAAATCCTATAACTAATTAGGCAGTTTCCTTACTAATGACAGTCAACGAAAAGTATGTCTCCTGGCTCCTCAACAAAATGAATGGACCTGGGCCAACCTGCTTACCTGCTGGTTGCTGACTCACCTGTGACCTGTGCCATGAACACTTACAAGCTACTTCCAACTCTCTCTCTCTACCTACTTATACATTTGGGCTTCAGGTTGATGTTAATATCTATTGTACAAAATCCCACAGGTATTTTATTCAGCAGAAGAGATAAAGCAGTGCACCGACAGTATCTCTGCTGTTCCATGTGACCCAACTCTACATAGGCGATTCCTTTTGGTCGTGAACAGGGGATGGAGCACTGAGGAAGGAGACAGAGATTAGCCTGATGCCCATGTGGGCAGAAGGCTGCCCTGAAGCCTGCCCTGCGTACAGGTTACAAGCTGCAACACCAAGGCCATCCCATACTTTCAGGATGTGATAGAAGTGCCTTGTGGACAGTGATTTGCAATTTTTCCAAAAATGCAAAAGCCAAGACAGAGATGTCTTGAAAAGCTGATTTGGGGTGAAAATTCAACACCCAACGTCTGATTAGCAGTGGAATTTAGATTTAAGTAAAAGGAAACGATGTTTTGCAAAATAGGGGTGCTGTGGGAATTTGACATGACGTGGGAGTAAAAAATTGTGGGTAGAAAACTATAAATAAGTGTCTGGATTCTACAAGGAAAAAAAAGTCAAACAAAGTGGGCCCCACTGAAGACAGGGCAGAGAAGGCTTGGGGAGACGGGAGACATGTGTGGATCCCCCTTTGCACTGGACATGTAATGAGATGCGCCCCTCTTTCAGTCCTCATGAAGTCATCAGTACGCTCAATCACTAATCAAAGGTTTTCACTAATCAACGGTAATCACTAATCAAGGGCTTTAGGGATGAGGCTTCCTGGGAAAACCCAAGGAGGAGAACGAGGTCAGGTTAGAACAGCCGCTTGTTCTGCAAGCACTGCCTGGTAATCCTGCCTCTCTAGTCTCCTAGCGGAGGGAAAGGATCGTGCTGTCATCACATCTGTTTCTTTGCGTATAGTCGCTCTAAGCAAGGACTTGGTGAACAAACAGAACTTTGTTCTTCATGAAGTTGAAAAGTTATGAGACCATGAGCGCAGTGGGCCAGAAAAGGGAGAGAGGGAAGCAGCATTTGAGCTTCAGTGTGTTAATCTGCCCCTGGGTGTCTTCCATAGTTTCATGTACTGTTGAACCCAGGCTGCATTCAGCTGTGTTTTGCATATGCTTGGTGAAAAAGAAAGCAGAGGTGGAAGGAAGGAGGGACAGAAGGAAGGAAGGAAAGGAAAAAGAAGGGAGGAAAGAAGGAACAAAGGAGAGAGGAGAGAAAGACAAAGGAAATGGGAGAAAAGGAGACAAATAGGGAGAAGGAGAGGAAGAAAGAAAGAAAAGTAGGGAGAAGAGGAAGAAAGGATGAGGGGAGAAAAAAAGGGAGGAAGAGAGGAAAGGGGATGGAGGAAAGGACAGATGAAGGAGAGAAAGGAAGAAGAAATGGAGGAAGAGGCAGCAGAATGAGGAGGAAGAGAAAGGGAGGGAGGAGAAGAAAGAGAAGGAAAACGGGGAAAAAAGAAAAGAAAGCCCTGTGCTTTTAACGAGCTCAGATTCTCACATGTTTTCTCTCTAATTCAACATTCACCATGAAAAGAAAAAAATTGACTTTAAAAAATGATTCAAGCTCTAATAAACTGCTTTCATGGTTTATCATATGATAATTTTTTTAGATGGCTAAGATATTGTGGGAAAAGGAAAAACGCTGTCTTTCTTAATGTAATGAATATGTTACCATCTTATTAAAAACATGTAGGCATTATTTTTCATTTCAAAATTTAAAATAACCATAAAATAAAGTTTTATGAACTGTTTCTGTGTTGTGTATATGAAGAAACTACTCACCGGCTTAAAAATTAATCATTGATTTTAAATAAATTTTAAATAAAAATCAAATTTGCTCCCTGCAAATTTAACTAGAGTAAAGTTATATTGCTATAAATTAGTTTTCTATGTAAGAAATAACGAACAAAACCATTCCACATAAGAGAGTGGTGGCTTGTGTGTTTGTTTTAATCAGCCTCTCTCCGTCTTTCTCTCTTTTGCCTACATAATCTTCAGAGGAAAATGTTCGAAGTAAGTGACACTGAAAATGTAAACCTGGTAGCAGCCTCTTCTCCAACTGCAAGACCAATTTCTAAAACCGGTTTGATCATTAAGGGTTGCTTTGTAAACATCTGTCTTTACAAATGGTGTGTGAATAAAGGAAGCTCTCCCAAACCAGCCCAGCTGTGAGCTCCGCGCCCCACGCGAATGTGTCCTGCCGCCCTGGGAGCTCCTTTGGCCAGCTCATCCCTCACCTGGGTTATGGCAGAGGGTTTGGAAAGGGGATTGATGTGGATTGTGCATTTTCTTGGGAGTGTGTTGAGCTGCAGTTGGACAGGTCTGTGTGTGCACTCACATGCAGAGCTGGAAACCAAATGGCTTCTCAGCAAGGGGACAGGGAGCCAAAGAGAAGGACAATTTCCATATATAAATTTCTCCTTTTGATATTGCCCCAGTTTTATTTCTGCATATTGACTTGGCCTTTGTAAACATGATAGAGCTCCGATTGTGTTCTATCCAATTAGCCCAACCTTTGCCTCAGTCATAAAACTTTATGCAAACTACTGCTCGCAAGCTTTGCAGTCCAAGGGAACAATGATAGGCTTATAACTCTTAAAGATGTTTTTGGCAAATAGCTAATACGAGCTCTTTTTTTTTTTCACAAGACCTTCAGCTGATGGAAAAGTAAAAGAAAAAAATACAAGGACTGTAGTCTCATATAGGCGATGATGATGACAGCCCCATTAATAACATGGATCATTAAAATGTATAAAAAGCTATTCTTAATATAGGATATAAAATATATTTCTCAGGCAGAGCTATGAAATTTATAACCTTTTTATTGTCACCAGAGGACTTTCCTACTGCTCTACTCCGCCACTGCCTGCCCTCTATCATAAATCACTGTGTGGTTAATAACCTAGATTACAACTACCAGTTGCATTTACAGAATTAAATATTGACTATGTGAAAATGTTATTACATTTTTACTGATCGGAAGACCACAGAACAGCCCTGCAGGACATGGAGCCGGACAGAGATATCTGTGTAATCTTTGTTAGAAATACAGTTACGGCTGCTCAGTAACAACTGATACCGTTTGGAGCAATGAGGAAGGAAGGGAGAAAACGTAACTCCTTAATTTTACACCAGGCCAAACACATCAGAAGGAGGCCATTATATTGAAGCATTGCACCTTATTTTCAATTTAAGAGTCTCCAGGCCAAATATATGAAGTGATTACCAAACCCGAAATGGTAAAGCAACATGTGGAAAGCTATAGTCTCCGCACGGAAGAAAGCTGATTAAAAATATTGGTAAAACTCAAACAAGAATCATATACCGTATACTATAGAAACAGACAAATTTCAGTTTCTTGTTATTTAGACAGGACCGTAGATCCCCCAGTCTTCAAACATTTGAGAGGCATTTGCTATTCACTCAAAAAACAATCAGAACAAAAACTTTTATCCCTCAAGGAGAAGAGTTTCCATAATCACGTGTGAGTGCTGACCATCTCCAGATGCTCAGGGCATGGTTTCATACTTCATAAAGGGCTGGCAGCCTTCACTTGGGCATTCTATACAATGATGCAACTCGTTTGAAGGCAGTTACAATTTGGCAAAGTCAACTGAAAGAGAACAGAACACACTCTTACACACACGCATGCACAGCACTGAAAATGAGAACTGGATACGCTCAAGATGCAGAATGGGAACCTCACTGAGTTAGGAATTCCAGTTTTCTCTTGGCCTTTTTCCTTAAATCTAGGAAGGAACACTCACTTAGTGAAAGTGAAATGGTAAGACTTAACTGCATTTTCTTGGGACTGTAAGTTTTATACGGCATTATTTTTCTACATTAAGAATACTAAAGTCAGCCGTGTGTGGTAGCTCTTGCCTGTAATCCCAGCACTTTGGGAGGCCCAGGTGGGAGGGTCACCCGAGGTCAGAAGTTCGAGCCTGGCCAACATGATGAAATGCCGTATCTACTAAAACTACAAAAATTAGTTGGGTGTGATGTACCTGTAGTCCCAGTTACGTGGGAGGCTGAGGCAGTAGACTTGCTTAAACCCCGGAGGCGGAGGTTGCAGTGAGCTGAGATTGCGCCCTTGCACTTCAGCTTGGGTAACAAGAGGGAAACTCCGTCTCAAAAAAAAAAGAAAAAGCTAAAGTCAAGTATTCTGGGAAAACCCTTTAAATGGTTGTCGCTGTGAACAACAAATTTTAATAAATAAACATGGAAGGTTTAATGAAATAAATTTACAAAGTTTTCGAATTTACAACCTTGAAGCATTAACGCATATTATTAAATTAAAGAAATCAAATGTATCCTACCAAGAATTAGACAATGATCATTTTATAAAATATTAATGTTCCAAGTAGTTTATAATTTGTTACAAAAAAAACTCAATGACTCTCACTGGAAGACAATTGGTTACATAGTCCCAGAGAAGAAAGGATCATCTCGATGCATTAGAGGTGACAAAGAAGTCAACTTCTTTCAAGAGACTTTATTTGACCATATATACTTAATAGGTTTTCTAAGAACATACAAAACTGCAAAGAAAATACAGACTTCACTCAGTAGTCTGATTTTTAATATAAGCGTTTTTATCTTGAAACTCTGTGTGTTGTAGGATAAATAATAGTGTTAATGTTATAGAAATAAAATGTTTAGTGAAAAGAGAAGTATGATATCAAAAGCCCTGTAATGTAAAATTTGAACTGGAAATATTCTTATGAACTCATGTTCTTCATCCCACCTATTTCAAAAAACATATATCTTCTGGCTCTGTCTATGGAAAAGGTCTAGAAGCAAGGCCAATCCAGTAACAAGGAGCTGACATAGTGCACGCAGGGCTGTGGTCTTCCAACTCCCCACCGGTGTAACGAACACAATCCTTGGGAAATGCCTGATTCGAAGTGTGGGGAAATTAATTTACATGATGAATCTGGAACACCGTTTGTGTGAAAGCAACAAGGAAGCCATCAACAACTAGTGGAGTTGTTTCCAAAAGAACCAAGAGCCATAGGAAGAAGTTCTCTTTGGTCAAAACTGGGACATTTTAAGCATCAGAAAGTGAAGGTATAATTATCCCTTCTCAGCTTGCTGGAAGATTCGCAAAAAGCTTTATGTCTTTGCTAGTTTCTAAAAGTCTAAATGGACCAAAAATCCAAGTTCAACCTTTGCTGCTTCTGGTTTTTATGAGATGTATATGATAGGATAGGATTTTATGTTATTATTTGTGTGTTTGCTGAAAACAGATGCAGCCTGATTCTTCCTGGGCTAAGGCATGTAAGGAAATAGAGGCTCGGGAGAATGGAATGGACAGGTGTCTGTGAAGTGATGCTGGTTGGATGTAAAAATCCCCCTCAGCCTGGCTGAAGAGCGAAAGGAGAAGCATTTGCAGGCTCTGACCCTGCAGGGAGGCCTGGCCCTGGGTTCACATGTGCCTGGAATCACTGTCCTCTTACTTTCCAACGCTGCCTCTTTCATGGTGGTTCTTCCTGCAGCCCCCAAGTGCCCACAGGATACCTGCCCAGCCCAGCTCTCTTGCTGGCCCTCCCAAGCCTCAGGGGCTCTACACAGGCCATATGCTCTCCAGAGTCCAGTCCAGCCCTGGCCACACCCTGTGAGTGATTGTGAAGCAGGAACTGAGGTGAAGCTGGATTCAGAGGTGGAACCCCCAGCCTCAGTTCCTCCCCTCCCACACACTCACAGAGGGAGGGACGGCTTCCAGGTCAGGGGCAGGGTGTAGGTGTCAGTAGATGGGCATGGACCATGCGTGGCCAGTCTGAGTCTACTGCAGACATCCAGCACTCACCTGGGGGCAAGAGGAGAACCTGAAACTCCCGTGCAGCCAGCCTTGCAGTGCCTTTGTTATGGGCAGTAAATCCATATCCATCTGGGTCTACAGCAGACTCAATTCTCACCTCCTCAGAAGAAATAATTTGACGGAGGGGCAGAAGGCAGAAGGAGAGACTGAGGCAAGTTTTGGAGCAGGAGTGAAAGTTTATGAAAAAGCTTTAGAACAGGAATGAGAGGAAATAAAACTACACTTGGAAGAGGGCCAAGTGGGTGATTCGAGAGATCAAGTGCACGGCTTGACCTTTGACTTGGGGCTTCATATGTTGGCACATGTTTCATATGTTGTCATCCTTTTGGGATCCTGCATTCCTTCTCCCCTCGGGTTGGGCTGTCCACATGTGCAGTGGCCTGCCAGCCCTTGGGAGGGGAGCATGGGCTGTGTGTTTATTGGAGCTGTGTGCATGCTTACTTGAGACGTTCTTCCCTTACCAGTATACTATTCCAGCTAAACGCCACTGTTTTGCCTCTTAGTGTGTATGCTTGAGCCCACTCGCCCAACTCCCGAGATCTTATCTGGAAGCTGCTGATCTCCAGCTTCAGCTGTTTTTTATCTGCCAGGAGCCTGCCTTTCCCCGGCATTAGCTCCAACCAATTATTATTTTATTTTATTTTTATTTTTATTGAGACAGAGTCTCATTCTGTCTCTCATGCTAGAGTGCAGTGGCTCACTGCAGCCTCTGCCTCCCAGGTTCAAGTGACCCTCCTGCCTTAGCCTCCCTGGTCGCTGGGATTACAAGTGTGCACCACCACGCCCGGCTAATTTTTGTATTTTTAGTAGAGACAAGGTTTCACCATGTTGGCCAGGCTGGTCTCAAACTCCTGGCCTCAAGTGATCATCCCTCCTCGGCCTCCCAAAGTGTTGGGATTACAGGCATGAGCTACCGCTCCTGGCCTCCAATTATTATTTTAGAGAATGCGTTAATCGCCTGACCAGCACCTGGTGGTCACCTGACATTCCTGCTGTGTTGCAGGGATGAGGGGGAAGCCCTCCCCCGCCCTGCTCATGCCTGACTAGCTACCTACTGTAACATCTTCTCTGCCCTTGTTTTGTCTGCTGGGGACACAGGATGTGCCTGCTTTTGAAATGAAATTGAGACCTTTTGAAACTACATTAATTTTCAGTAGGACAACTACAGAAACTTTCAAGATACACTGTCTTTTGAATAACCTAGACCACTAGAAGCTCAAAATGCCTTAGGGCCATGAAAGCAGAAGGGGAGATTTTATGAAGGACTTTCATTTCAGCAAGCTGTATTTCATTCTGTTTGAATTGCTTCTAATAACTATAGCCCCTCATTTAATTTTGATGATTGTCTTTGTCGAAATTCAGTCAAAATTAAATGTAGGAAAAACCTAAAAGAAATCCTGAATGATAAAAACAAAAACAAAAAGAAAACCCATGAATCAGCCCCTGCCTCTCTGTATCTCTCTGTCATATTTGTATGGAACCACAAAAGATCCCAAACAGCTAAAGGAGTCCTAAGCAAAAAGAACATAGCTGGAGGCGTCACACTACCTGACTTTGAACTGTACTACAAAAGCTGTGGTAACCAAAACAGCATGGTACTGGCATCACATTAGAAACATAGACGAATGGAACAGAATGGTGAATCCAGAAGTTAATCCATACACTTACAGCCAACTCATCTGTGACAAAGTCTCCAAAACATACAATGGGAGAAGGACAGTCTCTGTAGTAAACAGTACTGGAAAAATTGGAGAGCCATATGCAGAAGGAAGCAACTGGATTCCCATCTTTTGTCACATACAAAAATCAACTCAAAATGTATTAAAGACTTAAATGTAAGACCTGAAACTATGAAACTACTGAAAACGACATTGGAGAAACACTACAAGTCATTGGTTTCAGCACAGGCTTTGGGGATGAGACCTAAAACCAGAGACAATAAAAGCAAAAATAGAAAAATAGAAAAAAGCTTCTGTACAGCAAAGGAAGTAATTAACAAAGTGAGAAGACATCTTACAGAATACGATAATATATTTACAAACTATCCATTCAACAAGAGATTATTAACTGGAGTAGATAAGGAACTCAATTCAGTAGCAAAACAGAAACAAAAACACCCAAATAATCTGATTAATACATGGGGAAAAGTCCTGAACAGACATTTCTGAAAAGAAGACATACAAATGGCCAACAGGTATATGAAAAAAAAATGCTCAACATCACTAATCATCAGAGAAATGCAAATCAAAACCACAATGAGATATTAGCTTACTCCACTTAGAATGGCTTTTATCAAAAACATAAGAATAACAAATATTGGCAAGGATACAGAGAAAGGGGACTGCTCACTTACTGTTGGTGGGAATGTACATTAGTACAGCCATTATAAAAAAATTGCATGTCGGGCACGATGGCTCATGCCTGTAATCCCAGCACTCCGGGAGCCCGAGGCAGGTGGATTACTTGAGGTCAGGGGTTCGAGACCAGACTGACCAACATGGCAAAACGCCATCTCTACTAAAATTACCAAATTAGCCGGGTGTGGTGGTGCACGCCTGTAATCCCAGTTACTCGGGAGGCTGAGGCAGGAGAATTGCTTGAACCTGGGAGGTGGAGTTTCCAATGAGCTGGGATTGTGCCATTGCACTCCATCCTGGGCAACAAGAGTGAAACTCCATCTGAAAACAAATTGCACGGAGGATCCTCAGAAAAGTAAAACTGGAGCTACCATATGATCCAGCAATCCCACTGGGGGATATCAGTATGTAACAAAGATAGATGCACTCCATTTTTACGACAGCAGTATTCACAATAGCCAAGATACGGAGTCAACTTGAGCATCATGGGAAATGGATAAAGAAAATGTGTTATATATACACAACGGAAGATTATTCAGCCATAAAAAAGGAATAAAGTCATGCCATTCACAGCAACATGGATAGAACGTAAGGTCTTTATGTTAAGTGAAATAAGCCAGGCACAGAAAGATGAATATTGCACATGCTACTCATATGTGGGAGCTAGAAAAGTGCTTAGGATCTAATATGATACAAACCCTCTGAAAACAAAATTGTAGGAACATTTATCTTAAAGGAGGTGGAAATAGGAAGCAGAGTGTGTTAAATAGTTGATGTAGCCAGATTTGTAGAAAGTTCAACTGAACTCCATGGGAAGTTACCAGAACTGACTTTGGGAAGCTTATAGCCCATCATTCATCTGGACTGGTTTTATTTTACTCTGGATTCAATAAGAAAATGGGAGAATAATCTTATATGAATGGAGATATGTATGTATGTGCATACATCTGTGAAACAGCTGTTTTCCCTTTAAAATCGAGATACTGCCTGCCTGCATAAAGAAGTTTCTTTAAAAGTGGCAATATTTTTGTACCTGTTTTAGCACAGAAAAAAATGTTCATTTCAGAAAATTCCAAATAATGCATTTAATATATAAAATAAGACTTCAATTCAGGCAGAAACTATTTCTGGAGATTAAACTTCTTTTTATTGACCATTAGGATGAAGAAAATGTTAACTTCTTTATATCCATACTGAGAAACTTCAGAATGGAATAATAATCCTCAATTATGATGAAGTCAAATTTCACGTGAGATCAACTAGTGCCAGGCCTTAATATCATGTAAATATAGCATTTGGGCAAAATGTCGGAGCTTTCATTGGGATATTTGCAGTGATTAAAAATACAATTTAAGGCAATAGAGGAATATAGCTCTCATCCATGCCTTAACCTCCCCTTTTACTGCTGAGTCTTCCCTCCTGTGGGGCAGTAATAAAAGAAGAATAGAAAGCTGGAAATCACATACTTTAATGGTAATGTCAGTTATACTCTGTGTATTTAAAAATTGTCCTGAGCGTGGTGGCTCATGCCTGTAATTCCAGCACATTGGGAGGCCAAGGCAGGCGGACCACTTGAGGCCAGGAGTTGGAGACCAGCCTGGCCAACATGGGAAAACCCCATCTCTACTAAAAATACAAAAATTAGCCAGGTGTGATGGCACATGCCTGTAATCCCAGCTACTCAGGAGGCTGAGGCAGGAGAATCGTTTGAACCTTAGAGGTGGAGGTTGCAGTGAGCCAAGATTGCACCACTGCACTCCAGCCTGGGCAATGAAGCGAAACTCTGCCTAAAAAAAAAAAAAAAAAATTGCCCAAGAAGATATCTGCCTTTGTCCTTGACTTCTAAGAAGTGATCTCTGAGAGGCCTGGTAGAAGTGTTTTTGTTTAGGGTGGTAGCTGGCCACACCATATCTGGGTGGGGACTGGCCATGACAAGAACGACAATGAATGTGATTTAGGATGAGGGGTCTGAGTCACTGCTGCAAGGGCTGGAGGCTGGGGACTGAGGTTAGCCACATGGACAACCAATGAATCCATCATGCCTACATAATGGGGTCCCAATGAAAACTCTGGACAGGTAAGTGTCCCTGGCTGGCACGGCTTTGTAAATATTGTCACACCTCAAAGCCAGGAAGGTAGATCACTGTGACTCCCTAAGGAGATGAGAAGTGGAAGCTTCATGGCTGAAATCTTCCTAGATTCTACCATGTGTGCTTCTTCCCTTGATGGGTTTTATTTTATTTTATTTATTTATTTAGTGGTGGAATCTCACTCTGGCTGGAGTGCAGTGGTACGATCTTGGCTCAGGGCATCCTCTGCTTCCTGGGTTCAAGCAACTCTCCTGCCTCAGCCTCACCAGTAGCTGGGATTACAGGCAGTGCCACCACACCCAGCTAATTTTTTTCTTTTTTTGGAGAGATGGGGTTTCACCAAATTGGCCAGGCTGGTCTCGAACTGCTGACCTCAGGTGATCCACCCCCCTCAGCCTCTAAAGTGCAGGGATTACAGGCCTGAGCCACTGCACCCCAGCCCCTTGGTGGATTTTAATCTGCATCCTTTCCCTGCAATAAATCCTAACCGTGAGTATAATAAGTTTCAGTGAGTTCTGTGAGTGTTTCTAGTGAATTATCAAAACTGAGAGTGGTCTTGGGGACCCCAGAACTTGAAATTGTGTCAGAAGTAAGTGTGGAATATTCTCTTAAAATGCATAGTTGTCCTAAAATCTTGCACAGTCTAACTCAAAATTTCTCAAAGAGTGAGTCCTTTAATTTTTATTTTTCTCCTATTTATAACTTAATTTTTATCAAAATAAATAACACGCAGAAGTAGATTATAAAACCAAACAGTCCAGAAAGCCTTATTACAAAATAAGGCATTTCCCTGCCCCCCTTTTCTACCTCTAGTTAGAACTCTGACAACAGTCACTTTCAATATTTTCCCTCTTTTTCTTTGTGATATGTTTCTCTGTATATCTAAATGACATACATTTCTATTATTTAACTTTTCTGTTTTAGACCTTACCTATTAATCTTCTATATGAAATATTAGAATTAATTTTTATATCACACATCCTTTCATTTCTCACTCCACATTCCTTCTGATATATAATTCCAAGGTAATTGTGTTTCAAATTTTGGTAAAATAGCTTTTGGTGCTTATCTTGATGTGTTTCATCTTATCTGCTGCACAGAATATACTATGGTTATATTGCCTTTGTTGAACAACTTTTTCTGCTTTTATTTGAATTATCAGTTACTTTTTCGTGCATATGTTTTATTTTCTATGTACCATTTTGTCAAGGTTTTAAAAAAAATTTAGTCCTATATTTTTCCATTTTTTCTTCTTTGTGACTTCCCACAGAAACCCTCAATTTCCCTGCTTCAACCCACACTGTCTTTTCTCTGGGATGATCCTGCATCATCCAGGGATGCATGTCTGTTTCCCTCCTACATCAGATCCTGTTTCCTGAATCCTGGCCTTCTATTTTCTCGACTTGTATATACACAAGTTTTAGTAGAGTATGCACTCTATGCAGCTTCTGAAGAAGGAGCGCATATGAGTAATATGCTGAGGTCTCAAATTTCTGAAAAGGCCTTTATTTGTTCTTCACCATTGGTTAGTACAGCTAGTATAGCTGGGTATAGAATTCTTGGTAAGGAAGCACTGCACTCAGACCCTCCCTATTCATGCTCATCCTCAGTCCATAAGAATTATTACCAAGCCTTTCCTCCCCTCCTGGAATATTTTAGAATCTTCTCCTCATTTCCAGTGTCCTGAAATTTTAAAACAATGTGCTGTGTCTTAAGGTGGCTTTATTTGTTTAGTTTTGGCGGGGTGTGTGTGTGTCTGTGTGTTTGTCTTTTAAACTTTCATTGTTCTGGGTGGTCAATGGAAGCTTTGACTAAGGAACCTGATGTAATCTGCAGTTTCTTTAATTTTCTTATTTCTTATCATCTATTTCTCTGTTCTCTCCCTTATTAGTAAAATTTGTGAGTTGATCCTCTAATTTTCTCATTTTTCCCCATTTTTCATCTCTTTGTCTTTTGGTCTACCATATGAAAGATTTCCTCAAGTTTGTTTTCTCATTCTATGTATTTTTAAAATTTATACATACATCCATACACACCTATATAATTTATATGCTATATATAAAACAAAAACATATTTATTATATGTATAATTTATGGCAAGTTAAAAAAAGTTCTGGGAAGTTATTTTATGTAATATTTTCATATAAACATATTACATAAAATGTTACATAAAATAACTTCCCAGAACTTTTTCCTACTTCTTAAACATTTACTTTTATAGCATCTAGTTCTCAGCTCATGGATGCAACGTCCTCTGAGTCATCTGCTCTCTGCTTTGTCACTGTTCCCTTCATGTTCCTTTCAAGCCTGTTGATTGTAGTCTCTGACTTTCTTTTAGTGTCTGATGCTTTTTGGCTCTTCCTTCATATTTCAGAAAGGGATGTGGAAAAGTCTTTCCAAGCTCTGGTCTCCACCCAGGCTCCAGCAGGTGGAGCCTGCTGACTGGTGGTTTTCCTACGGGGTGATGGAGGGTGGATGGGTATGTCTCGCTAGTAACACCAATGTCAGGATCTGTGTGTCCTTTCCCCCATTTCAATGTTTTTCCTTAGAAAAAATCTTCAGTATCTTCTAGGGAAGGAAACCTAGCCTTGGGGAACTGATGGGGAAGAGGTCGTGCGTCTCCAAGGTCAGGGATGCAAACTTTCACTTAATCACCAGTTTAGGTACAGTGTCTACCTTCTGCTCTCCTGCTGCCTAGAGAACTATGACCAGTGCCGTCTACTCAAGATCCCAGTGAGTCCCCTCCCTTACACTGCCTGGGCAGCTAACGGTAGACCTTCATGCTTCAACCTCCCATTCCCTCCCTTTTCAATTTCCAGTATTTTGTTATCTTCGTCTTCCCTTCTCTTTGAATTTATGCCTTTTTAGATGACAGAAGAGGAGAGGAAATAAAAGTAAATGCTGTGTTCAATCGATCAAGTTAGCCTTTCCTTTACTTCTACATTCTTTGAGTATATTTATAGTAATTAAGGTTAGTATACATTCAATGTGTTCAAATTTTTTTTGCTGAAAAAAGGAAGAAAGGACAGAAGGATGGAGAAAAAAATGCTGCTATGGCCATTAAATTAAAATCATCCAATCATAGCCTATTTTATATGACATAATGGAAACTGTATATTTTTGTTTGTTTGTTTTAATCAATGAGTAATTTATTGAGGTTGAGTTTCCCCAGATACAAGAGCCTCCCCTTGTTAGTAAACCCTTTTGGGAAATTTTCCAAATGTATTCATGCCCCTGGACTTTATTATCTGATCCCAGATGGATATTAAAAAATGGACCTCTTCCCTTTAGTCCATTCCCCAAAGTTCTCATCTACCCCTGCAAAGACGGCAGACAGGGGCCAGCTCAAACCCTTTGCAAACATGGGCTCCCCTGCCGCCTCCATGACTGATGAGGGCCACTTCCTGATGGACGTGGCTGCAGTCATCTATATTAATTGGGAAGACTGACAGCGGGGACAATATGGACTGTGTTTGCTGTACTGTGATTTGTTTTACAGAGTGTACACAGACATGACCTTACACCCAGGTATTAACTTACATGCTGGGAGAACATGGCTGCTGTTAAATTATGTCAAGTGTTTGATTCAAGTAACACATTACAAGGGATTAAACCCTCTCCCCAAATGCATGCCAAAGCAGCGTCTTCTGTTTATACCATAAAGTTTCATTTCAATACCATAAGTGAAGTTGAAAGAAAGAAACGCAGGATCTCATCAATACCACACACAAACGATAGTACTAAATAGGGATAAGCACACATGTACAAATTAGACAGATATATTTAAAAAAGAAATTTCATGTATTTAGCATTTTAACTAAATAAGATTTGATCTATGTATAAACTATACAGGTGACCTTTATAATGAAGTGCATACTGCTAGCCTTATGGTTTATTTTTTTCAACTACCTAGACTTTTTTTTATAAAGATTTTATGTTTAAAGTAACTTTTACACTTCTTACTTGCAAAACAAATTTGAACTGGATAATGAAGAATGTTGTCTTTCTATTCATGAAAAATGATGAATAATCGTTTTCTGAATAATCATCATGCTGAAAATTTTCTTTTCTTTCTTTTTTTCTTTTTTTCTTAAGAAGAGAGGAGAGGCTTCTAGGAAAGCTATTGAATGCTCAACATATTTTCTAAGATGAACCCCTCTTCTCCACCCAAAGCCCACAAAATAAAGTGTTTAAAAATTGAAACTCAAAGGAATCCTTTTTGTATTAAAAGGGATTATAAGTTTGGCTCTAATAATTTGCCAGGGAAATTTCACAGGTACATTCCAGCTTAACAATGTTTTACTTAATACTTTTGCTTCCTGGAGACCCTCATTAACCCACTTGAAATACACTTCAAGACATAAAGTATTGGGTGATTCATGAATTGATCTCTTTCCAGTTTCAGAGACACTGCTGGTGTAGTTCCATCAAAGAAGTAGGCAGGCAGTGGGGGACCCAAGCAAAGACCCTTTCATTCCATCCACCCAGTGAGCATGGCAGCCTCCTATACTTTAGGAATTACATGAATGTTTGAAGATAGCAGCCCCCACCAGCCGTCTTTCCCTTCCCTCCAAATCAAGGGAGTTTCAGTTATGTTGGAAATCTCTGGACAACTCAGTGGTGGAGATGCAAACCTTCCTAACATTAGGAAGGAAAATACCTGCCAGCCTAGAAGAGAGAACATAATACGGCTTGAAATGAAGCTTTTAAGTCTGACAATTTATGTACAGCCCTAAATCTCCCCTGACCACTTGTTCAACTCATGATGTGGTGTTTAATTTAAGTTGAGTCACAGCTGAATACACAACGTGAAAGCAGCCCGGAGCCCCGCTGGAAAGAAAGCCCTCCCGTGTGCCTGGGCGACTTCCTAGGCAGTTTGTGAATGTGGAGCTCCCTGCATTCTACACAGAGAAGCAGCCAGGGCGAGGGTGGGAAGCGGGGAAAAGTTGAGGAATCCAGTCACTGTCTTATCCTGTGGCAGGACGCATGGAAGCCACACAGAGCAGGCGCTTCCCTGGGTGGCGGTGGTGTGTGGTTGGGAAATTTAGTAGTCCAAGAAATGTTTTAGTTTAATGAAAGGACAAAATGAATAAAATTCTCTGTTTCCCTCTCCCTTTCTGCTGGGATGGAACACTCGGGCCATCTGCCTTCCCCAGTGACAACATGCTGCTTATTCAAATGAGGCCCCCGAGCACAAAGGTGGCTTCAGTGTCCAGTGCAGCTTGCGTCCCCGGCAGGAGCCCACACTTGATTGAAGCTTCGAGACTCTGCATCAGGGGCAGGGGAGAGTTGATGCGCAGAGCACAAAAGCCATACAGTACAGTCTAATGTATGCGTCTTTCCTGCAGAATCCTAATGGTGCTGCACTGAGGGGAATTTACACAAACCTTATAGGAATTAAAAAGAGACATTTATTTCATTCAGAGAATGCAGTGACTTCCAGTGCTTGTGCGGCTAGGAAAGCTCGGCTTTCAAAGGGCCTTTTATTGTGCAGGAAGAAAGCGCAGCTCCAGCGCCGAGGGGACACTTTGGAGGCCGGCTCCGCGTGCCTAGCAACTCCTGGGAGCGCGCTGCTTTTCCCAGTGCCCTGGGCCGGGTCTTTCCGTCCATCCTTAATTGATTGGGTTAATATAAACCCCGGCACGGCCGGCGTTTGTGCGGCCCCCATAATAAGACTGTTGTGGGCTTCTCTCTGCCCTTGTGTCCCCCCATTAAGGAATGTGTCACTCCGCACAGTTCAAAAGTGTGAGCAAGTGAAAAGGGCCACAATCACTTCATTAATGATTTGTAAACAGAGGATCCAGAGCTCCCACCACCTGCGTGGCTCGAGGGGCAGGCAGGGGGGTCTGCGGAGGCTCTGCCTCGAGTCACGGCAGAATTCTTACTGCAGGGTAAATGGGTGCCCCAGCGAACACGCTGAAACCATCCCAAATGGCTTTATGTCGAGAAAGCAGTGTCTTTTCATTTTTGAGAGGGCATTTCCAAGGAGACATGAGATTAGGATTTTTAAAAAATGAAAATAAAAGTAAACCTTACACTCATTCCAGCCTGCAGAGGTTAACATTTTAAAAGACAGATGGCAGAAGGCAGAGCAAAGGGTCCGTACGGAGCAGGGAGCATGCCCGGCGCGTCTGAACAGCAGCAAGCGTGGGAACGAGTCTCATTTGCCGGGTGCAGTCCCCATTCAGGGCTTCACTCCACCCGGGGCCTCTGCGTCAGGTCACCCAAGCTGCCCACTGCAGGCTGCCAGCCTGGCCTGCCCGACCCAGGCCATCACTCTCCAGGGTGAACATGGGGGTTGAAAGGAAACGACTACATTCGTCTGACCATGTGGCTGCTGTGCCCTCCTTGTTGCCTTTTAGCAATGTTTTTTCAATGCTGTTCCTGTAGGCACAGCTACTCCCATGGAACGGCAGAGGGTAGAGGAGCTTTTAATTTTTGTTAGTTGCCAACATGTGGTCTTATGTGTTTACTAAACATGCAAAGCTTATTTCAGTGACCCAGATGTCAAAGGAAACCACTCACTTCCTCCTGGCCTCCTGCCCATCATGGGAAGGCCCTGTTCTCCTAAAGTGCTCCTAGGCCTGCTCACACAAGCATGGAGTAGGGGCTCCTCAAGGGAGTAGATGCTACCCACTTCCCAGAGAAGGCTCTAAGGGACAGAGTGGGGAGGTCAGAGCAGAAGGAGGTGGGGGAGCAGAGGAAGGGCAGGGTTGGCGGGGGGTGCGAGGAAGCAGTGGAAACAGACCTCCCAAGTGGACAAGTGGGATCACATTGTCACCTCCCCTAAGGAATGCAGATGAGTCTGCCCTCTAGCAAGGCATCTTCACCAACAGAGGGACCTGAGTGTGTCCAGGGACAGGCCAGTGGAGAGCACTTCCTTCCGTGTCCTGCGCCCTCTGTACCAGGAGTCACTGAGTAGGAGGTGCCAATGGTTGATTTTCTCCTCTTTGGTCCCTACATGCCCATCCCAGCCACCCGGGCTCCCAGGTTCCTGTTCCTGATGACAGCATCCAGAGAGAAGTGACCTGGGAATTGTAGCCTTGAGAAAGGACAAGAGGCTGCTGCTGTGACCATGGCTGGTCCTGGTGTGTGGCCACCCATCCCCTTTCACAGTCTTGTCCACTCAAGGAACCCAGGTTCCCTGCCACCCATGTCTGGCCTTGTGCCGAGAGCTTTTCTGATGACCCTGTGCAGCCTGCTTCTTCCTGTCCCAGGGCACAGCTGATTCAGGGGGCACACGTCCTGGGTGACAGTGTTTCTAGCTTTCCGGACTCTGTCCTGCTCCCTTCTGTTACAACAACCATTGCAGATCCTCACTTCATGTCCACTCGCTTTGCCTCATAAGTGGCTTTTCACCAGGACTAACTAGGTCATGTGAGAATGCAGTAACGGCCCACTTCTTCTGAAGGTGCACTTAATGCCAGTCATTCTGTTCCGCACAGTTTGACCATAGCAGAGCCACTCCATTGAGCTCATTTCCAAGAGATAACTAACTTAGGCACGTGTATTTGGCTTAGGAGGCCAGGGGATTTAGACTTCTGGTAATGTTGGTACCATGCTTTTAATTCTTTATTTGAAAGTGATATCAAAGTGCTTTGCATACCATTAATTTGAGTTTAATACGTACATTATCTTAATATTTTAGATGTTTAAAATATGCTCCATGTTGGTACTCTCTCAATGAATTTTCTTTAAGTGTGGTGGCTGCAGAGAGAGTCTTCAGCACACACATGCCGTCATGATCTTGTTAGTGGTGAGGAATAGTGTCTGACATCTGCTGAATTCTCACCACTTGCTGGACACCATGATCAGTGCCCTCTGTCATGAGCTTATCCTCCCCAAACCGTGAAAGGTCAAGAGTTACATGCTGCTTGGAGCATTAGAGTGAGTTCTTTTTTTTTTTTTTTTTTTGAGATGGAGTCTCCGTCACCCAGGCTGGAGTGCAGTGGCGCAAACTTGGCTCACTGCAAGCTCCACCTCCCAGGTTCACGCCATTCTCCTGCCTCAGCCTCCTGAGTAGCTGGGACTACAGGCGCCCGCCACCACGCCTGGCTATTTTTTTTGTATTTTTAGTAGAGACGGGGTTTCACTGTGTTAGCCAGGATGGTCTCGATCTCCTGACCTTGTGATCCACCAGCCTTGGCCTCCCAAAGTGCTGGGATTACAGGCGTGAGCCACCGCGCCCAGCCTAGAGTGAGTTCTGAAGTCAGGAGCACGGGACTCCAGACTGGGGAACTCCAGCTCAGATTCTGCCCCTGTCTCTGTGGAAAGGGATGCAGGTGGTCGTTATTCACCTGTCTCCCAGGAAGACCGGAAACCACAGAGAGCCCATGGGTTCATACGCAACCAGGCATCCAGGATGGTTCTCACTCACTGGTTTGTTATTTCTAGGACACAAGCCCCCGGGCCAGGCACTGTAGTCATAAAGACTTTTTAGTCAAATGTCTCGTCCGAGGGGACATGCATTTTAGCTGTGCATCAGAGATCAGCTCCTCTATAAAGTGGGGTAACCTGGGGTTAAGGGCTTGAATTTTAAGCTAGGAGGACTTCTGAGCTATATGCTCTTCAGCAAATGACTTTACTTCCTGATATAGTTTGGATGTCCCTCCAAATCTCATGCTGAGATGTAATCCCCAGTGTTGGTGGTGGGGCCTGGCTGGAGACTCTGGGGGATGGGGGCAGATCCCTCATGGCTTGGTGAAATAGGAACATGAAAGACAAATAGACGTAGTTGCTGGTGAGAAATACATTAAGGGTATTCTTGAGTTTTTACTGAGTTCCGCTAGGTTTCTACCTAAGCTCAGAGACTGAGTCTGCATGTAGAAACGTACATAACCTGAGACCAGCGGTGGTTGTCCTTGTGCCAAGACAGATGAAGAAATGCATTTTCTGCTCAAATTTTATAAGTGTCTGTGTTCTTAAAGGCTATAATCTGCATGGGGAGAAGGTCCCATTACCACTTTTTCTCACTCTTTCTAGAGTAGGAGACAGTGATGTTCAGGGAAAGACACTGAGCTGGAGGTTACTGAAATCAGGACTCAGAGGCAGGCAGGTCTCAGCTGGAGGCAAGACTGAAAGCTTTAGCCGTGTCTCCAATGTGCATGTGATTAAATGTTATTTCATCAATCATCTGACATTTGATATAAAAATACAGAACAGAAAACAAAAATAAAGTGTATTTCTGGAGGCTGTTTGTGATCTCAAAGTCCTTTGATGCTGTAAAGTTCTGATTCCTTACAGTTTTCTGCATATTAACTCTGCACAACCTCTAGACCTTCATTCCTGGGAGGCGAAGGGTTTCTATAGAATGAGCAACGGGCTCCAGCACTGAGAGCCGCCACCTCTGCCCACCTACTCCACTGGGTGGAAGTCCACGAATGGACCTAGGGTGTTTTGTTTACCTGGAATGTCTTTCTTAGGAAGATGACTCTTTCCTCTCCCCTGCAGTTGAGCAAGTATGTCCATTAGGGTGCCCCCTTCCCTACTCATCACTTCCTGTGCAGGGATGGGTGACGTGGCCAAGGCTTGGACCGCTCCCTTGGGCACTGGGACTGAGCCAGGCACATTGCATGTGACCCAGCAGTGGCCATCTGCGGTCCTTGCTAGCACTGGCAGAGTGAGGCTCAGAGAAAGTGCCTCCCTGTCCATGTGAGTTTATGAGCAGGGCAGGTGTGCATTTCTGGCTACACTCAAACAAATGAGTGGAATAAAATGATGAGGCAATGCACATAGGCGGGAAATGAAGAAAGAGATGGAAATAGGAGAGACGTCCAGGCAGGTGCCATTTGAACCCCTGGAAACAGTCCTGAGATAGCTTCCATTCCTGGCTATGAGTCAATACTTGTTTTTTCCTTTTTAAAATTTGTATTTATTTACTTTTTGTATTTACAAAACTGCGAGGCCTTGTACAGCTTACTTGATGTCTCTAAGCATGAATCACCATTAATGTAATTTTTTGAGAATGCACTAGAGTATGTAAAAATTTATTTTCCAAATCTATAACTTTGTAAAATAAACTTGTGGAGTGGAAAACAGAAGAAAGATGAGATTAAAAAAAAAAACAAATGTCTTAAATCACCTATCTAAATGTAGTAAGGACGGAGAAAGTGTGAGATGAAAGTATCATATACACTAATAAGCATGCTATTTATGTTTGCATTTATTAAATGTCTCTTCTTTGAGAAAATACTTCACATCGACAATACTTTATTTACATATTACTTTTAACAGTTTACATAGTCTCTATGGTATTATAGTCATTTATTCAAGTATGTAACTTTCCCTCTTAGTAATTTCTTGGAGGACAGGAATGATATTTTAATCACCTTGGTATGACCCAGCTCTTAGCCTTGCGCAGTGCATTCAACAAGCATTCCTTGAGCCATGCTAGCAAGTGCTAGGGACACAGAGAGAACACGGGCTCCTGCCACTAAGAAGTCTACTCTCCCTGCACTCCTTTGTCAGTTCCATTGCAGAATCGATCTCAGTGTGGATATTATTGAATGAGAAGGAAACTGCTCGTCAAGGACTCCCAAAACATCTAATATGAGGCCATTTCCCCCTGAATTGTTCTTCTCAAGGCAGCTCGTGAATTATTTTAATTGAGTGTGCCATTTCCTTTATATTCCTATGTTTGTTATCCTGGATATTTCAGGTTTAAATTAAATAGCTCAGTGATAGTGCAGGTCCTAGCCATCTGCACAACGAATTCTGAAGCTCACCTCAAACATGAGACCTTGAGTTCCTGTGAGTCCGCATTTGAATTTCATCACAAGAATTGTCTTCTAAGTTAGTCCTTTAACGATTTGCAAATGGTAGTGGTGCCCTTAATTTTAACTCATGTTTTAAATCAGACCTTATGTTATACTCAATTATATCTTAAGGACTTATTTGCCAAAAGTATTTAGAGCTGGAGGGCTTTCACTTCTTGAATATAAAGGATTTGATGTCTATAGTACTTAATAAAGTGGGTACCAATTATTAATATAGTAATACTTTATTAGTTTAACTGAAACCAGAGATATAAATGTTTCAAGATTTAGACTTATAACATTAAAGCCAAATTAAAATAAGTCCAAGAAAAAGTCTGTGAAATTCATTTAGTTGAATTCTACTTTTTTAAAGTAGAACGAGTGATTATTGTTACTCCTGGTGGTTAAAAATAAAAGAAGTGTGCTTAAATTTGAATTTCTGGACTTATTAGACTTTCATTAAATCAAAAAGCCAAAGCCAGCAAAAATTGTTTTGAGTACAAAATGGTGCATTGTACCCATATTATAACCCTCCACTTGGGCCAGTGCCGTCGGGCCCTAGGCTTGGAGCTTGCCAAAGCCTTCAGTTCCCTAGTGGATGGAGAGAAACCATCATTGGAGGATTTCAAATTACAGTGAAAGGAAATTACATGCTCACCTTTCCTTATGTGCAGGCAATTAGCAAACCATATAAATTTAAGTTGGGAGTAAAGGGCTCCAAGTCTTTGAAAAACAAAACTGTTCTTGGTTGTGCAGCCACAGAGCTTGGCAGTGTGTGTCTGCTCAAGCTTCTCCTCACTCCGGTCAGCCCAGGTGACAGTGGTAGGGGAGGGAAAAAAATTAATCAAAACTCTCTTGATTTAATCATTCGATCACCAGTTTCACACATGGACCCAGGCTGACATGTCACAGAAAGGAGCAACAAGAATTCCTGCAAAAATAAAGAAATACAGAAATAAACCCAATATTCAATATCTTAATTTTTTAACATCCTTCCAACAGGCAAATTAAAATTCTCTGTGGGGAGATTATTTCCTAATACATTATTTGAGGCAAATGGAAAATTACAGATTTTTCCATCCAAAATGGGCACTGTGGGGTTGTTTCTGGTGGTTATACAGAATCTCCACCAGGTTCTCTACCCAGTCAGAACCTACTTAAGGGCCTTTTAAAATCACAGACCTGTTAAGAGGCATACCTGAAGAGGTGAAGAGGTGACCACATTTTTTCCCTAGTTGTTTTCTAGTCTTCAACAAGGCAATTTCTTTGTAGATCGTATTTATCCCCTTTTTGGTACCGTAACCTTTTTTGTCTTCGTGAGATGTCTCTTCTCTAGGCCAGGTCCTCCTGTCCCTCCACCCTGCCCCAACTACCAGGGAGGCCAGCACCGTCCCCTGGAGCAGCTCCGATGTGGGGCATCACAATGCCTTCAAGGTTAGGAGAGAAAAATGCAGCTTTGGGTGACCAAAATAAGATTTTAATAAAGAAATATATTTTTTGGCTTCTCAAAATATGTATATTATAAATATTTTCTTATTTTTTAATTTATCTATATAATAAGCACACACCATTTCTTACATTCAGAAACAAAAGTATAACGTGTGTGTGTGTGTGTGTGTGTGTGTGTGTGTGTGTGTGTGTGTGTCTGCAGGAATTAAAGTGCATTGCTTTGGTGCGGAGAGCACCGGGTAGCCTGCCCCGGCCCCCTCGCCTGCTTTGAGGAGAGGAGAGGTGCTCCCTGTGCCAGGATGTGAGTCTCCAGAATCATCCAAATGGCTTGGAGAGGGGAGGAGGGCCGCTATTGGTTCAAGAGCAATGCCGCCCCAGGGAGAGGAGTTCCTGGAGGGGAAGGCTGAGGCTGAGAGTTGGGAGCACCCAAATGGATGGCTCACAGTCGACAGAATGAGGTTGCGCTTGGGGGAGAATCTCCTGGAGTCCCCAGAAACTCCCCTTGGGGGTGCTGGAAAATGCCCGGTCTCTTAGGTGAAATTGGGAGCAGCACCCTCCCAATTGCTGCCTCCACGTGCCCCCTGACAGCCTGAAGAGGAAGTGAGGGCCTGGTGGGACCAACAAAGGGTGAAGCACTAAGGTGTTTTCAGATGAGGCCAAGGGATCTGAGGCCTCCAAATGTTTTCCTGCTACTAGCCCACTTGCAAAATGTAGTCTCTGATCCCCACTCTACACAAAGACGTCTTAAAGCAGCCAGGCTGCCTTTGCAGCAGCGGTGAGGGCTGGAGAATCACTTCCCCGGGCACCGAGGCCTGGACACGGCCCAGGAACAGTTCCTTCCTCATCTCTCTGAGCCTCCAGTTGGCCTCTTCGCTGACCACATTCTTTTTGTCACGCTTTCTTCACTTGAATTCTCTCGCGGGAGATGTCGCAGGGTCCTGTTCCAATGATTCATCTGTTGTATTTTGCATATCAGCAACACGTCTTTGGAGAAGGTAACCTGTGAACTAACGCTGTGTTAGGAGCCACCGGGGTGGCTGCAGTCCAGGTGGATGTGGAAATGTCACTCAGCCTTTCTCAAGTCCGGCCCGGCTTGGAGCAGATTGGCAGCAGGGTCGACATCTCTCAAAGTCTCTGATGGACCCCGAATTTTCCCAAACTGGTTGCCAAGACCCAAGGGGCAGGAGTTAGGCTGGAACCACGCAGAAACCCGCCCTGGGGAACAGGTTTCTCCTTCCTGGGATGAATCCCCTTCCCACGCCCATGACCCATGCGTTCCTGCGGACTCCCCGACCCTGAGTGAAATGGACTCACACTGGCGCTTATTGTCTCTGATCTCCATGCAGATGATCAGACAGTCGGGAACATCATATGGAATCATTTTTGTTCCAAAACAAAACAATAAATGTGCTACAGCTTCTGGAGGTGTGCAGAGGGGTCTTCACTGGAGGCATAGCAGAACCATGGAAATTAGGCTAAGGGCTACTTCTGTTTTGAAACCGAAAGTCTTCTCTCATGAAAATTTATGGTAAATTTTCCAGCCCTGCAAATGAGTACTCTTAAAAACCCTTCCAGACAGACTAATAAAATAGAAGCTCATTCAAAAAAAAAAAAAAAAAAGCTCTCTGCTTTCATGAAAAATGATCTACCATTAAGACTCCTGAGATTCTATGAAAAAGATGAAAAAAAGAGGCTAATAAATTCTGGGGGAAGACTTAGGTGTCAGAGATGTCAAAGCTGAATAAAATGGACAGCTGAGCATGTGAGTAAAGCGAGAGCCTGCAGGAAGAAAGGGAGGGTGGGCACACCAGGCGGGCAGCACCGAGTCCTGATCAAGTGGAGAACTCAGAGTGAGCATGGAATTCACAGCCGCTGGGCACTCCCACCGTGCCAGGGAAAAAGTGCTACTTAATCCATATTAACACAGCCTGAATGAGAACGGCAGCATACTGTTTTAAGGTGAACAAAATCAACCTAAATACTCCTATCCTGTTTAATTACTAATGAACACGTCTTCTTTCTTCACTCGTGAAAAGCATAGGACAGACACAGTTTTGTTTTTTTTTTAAATGGAATCTCGCTCTGTTGCCCAGGCTGGGGTGCGGTGGTGGAATCTCAGCTCACTGCAACCTTCGCCTCCTGGGCTCAAGAGATTCTCCCGCCTCAGGCTTCTGAGTACCTGGGATTATAGGTGCCCATCACCATGGCTGGCTAAGTTTTGTATTTTTAGTAGAGATGGGGTTTCGCCATGTTAGCCAGGCTGGTCTTGAACTCCTGACCTCAAGTGATCTGCGTGCTTAGACTTCCCAAAGTTTTAAGATTACAGACGGGAGACACCGTGCCCGGCTCAGACACAAAATATTTTTAAAGGTCCCTGTGCAAGAGAAATCACACGCACCCATAGTATATGAATATCTAAGCACATAAAATATGTTTTCATAAATATGTATAATATACAGTAAATTATATGCACTACCTTATAACCATATACTCATGGGAAATATATCACATTTTGTCAAGATTCAAAACATATTAGTCATTAAGTGTTGCAATACAAGAAATAACAGTACAACAGATACCAAAGCAAAACAAATGCAAATAGTAATACTAGGGATAGATGAACAGTCACAATAAAGGTCACTGTGCCATATTTTTAAACGGTTTACTTTAATTTCACTTAAGAGAAGGAATTTCCCTTTGAAGTCTTGCCAACAAGAAATGATTTACAGATGAGAAAGGGATATAAAGGAGTAATAATGAGGCCATTATGCCTGATGCTTTGGAGGCAAAGATGCTTATGCTCAACGTATTCTAGCAAGGTGGGGCCACAGCTGGTGCACGGGCTGACTGTGATTGCAGGTTAATTATAGACAATCAATAAGTGTAGACGTGTTTTTGTCTGTACCATGTTGATGTCATATTTCAAATCGATGCTGGTGATATCAGTTGACATTCATGCCAGTCGTTGGTATTTAACTCTCCGCTTAACTTTCTTGGGACAAGGGAACCTCTCACTTTTGGCATCACCTCGTGTGCACAATTGTCAGATAAATCCTGGGGCCCAGGGATCTCTGCAGCTGTGTAGAAATGGGGTATTTTTATTGAATGCTCAACATACTTGCTTTTGTTATTGTTGAATCCAGCTTCACTTGAGTGGGATTACAAAAGTGTTATAAAATGCGGTGCCCTTCCTCCCAGCATCCCAATCATTATTGGATCCCTGATATCCCCCACATCCTGACACCCCCTTGGTTCTCAGAAGTTCATGTCCCTGAGTGCTTCCTTACTGGTGTCCAGAATCAGGTCAGCCTGTGTCCTGTGCATGGTCTCACCACACTTCAGCCCACCTTGGCTCGGCCCTATACCTGGATGCCTCAAGACCCAGAGGAAGAAGCTCCTCACACTGAGGCCACTGGCCCCACGCATTCAAAGAGATGGGGCTTCCTTTCTTTTCAACCCACTTGCAAACACAGGTCAGACGTTTCCCTAATTCCACATGAAACCACTGTCTCCTGCTTTTGCCTCTAGAAAGGCTTTTCTTGTCAATGTATTTTCCACATAAAACTAGGAAAGGTGAGGAAACAGGTACCAGATTCTGATGAAAGTTGTGGCTGTTTTGTGCTGTTAGACAAGTCACACAACGTCTCCGAGCTCACCCATGGACTGAGGAAAATGGGACCTCCCAGTGGAGTTTAATGTGTGCATCATGGAACTGCTGGCTTGATGTTTAATAGAAGTTCAATACACACAATTTCCCTTTTCTTTTCCATTGCCATTAAAAAAATCATTGGTTTGCAGAGTGATTAAAGGAAAAGACTGACGTTAGCAAGTATGCAAGCCAGGGAGCTCCCTGTGCTCTCAGACTGTGCTGCGAGAGTGGGAGTGGCAGCAGCCACCTCAGTAACACCGGTCGCCCCTGCTAAAAAGGATCATGCAAAGATGTTGGGAACCAGAAATCCTACTCCAAGTGATGTACATGTGATGGTTTTAAAACACGTCATAGATCATTTGGCACTTCTCGTTCAAGAGGTGGAGATTAATTTCCACCCCCTTGAGCGTGAACCAGATTCATTGCCTCACTCCTAATACAAAGAATGCCACAGAAGCAGTGGGATGTGCT
The DNA here is from genome assembly GCF_000001405.40 of Homo sapiens. Taxonomy (NCBI): domain Eukaryota; kingdom Metazoa; phylum Chordata; class Mammalia; order Primates; family Hominidae; genus Homo; species Homo sapiens. The sequence goes on along the minus strand of NC_000005.10, from coordinate 4,219,981 downwards.
GTGGTCTAAGTGTCTGTGTACCCCCAAATTCCTACATTGAAATCCTCACCCCCAAAGTGGTAGTATTAGGAGGTGAAACTTTTGGGAGGTGATTAGGTCATGAGGACCGGGCCCTCATGTGTGGGATTGACACTTTTCCAAAGGAGACCCCAGAGAGCTCTCTGCCCCAATCACCATGTGAAGACACAGCGAGAAGATGCCGTCTACCAACAGGAAACACCAGATATTCCAGTGCTATGACTTAGGAATTCCCAGCCTCCAGAATGGAGAGATAACCTTCTATTGTTTAAAAGCCACCTAGTCTATGATATTTGGATATGGAAGTCCAAATAGACTAAGACATGGTGTCACTTCTGAGATCAATATAAGAAGACTGAGGCTTCCATCCTGAGTCTCTCTCTCTCTCTCTGATCACTCCCTCTTGAGGACATCACTTAGCATGTTTCCAGGGCCCTCGGGCAGCCTGTACAGAGGCCCACGTGGTGAGGACCTGGGACTGCCAACAGCCACATGCCTGAGCTGGAAAGGGATTCACCCTCAGTAGAGCCTTCAGATGAGATGCAGCCCTGCTGAAAACTGGAGGGTGACTGTCACCTCCTGAGAGACCTTGAGTCAGAAGCATTCCAGCCAAGACTTTCACAGATTCTTGACCCACAAACTGTGGGGAAAAAAATGCTTCTTAATTTTAGCTGCAATGTTTTGGGATATTTTGTTTTGCAGCAATAGCCAACTAACACCACACTCTATAGAAATGTGTGCCCATGTACACCACAAAGCCTGTATGAGAACGTTCATGGTGGCCACATTTGGAATGTCCCAAACTGCAAGTTATCCATTGTTCATAAACCACAGAATGAATAAATAAGCTGTGGTGCATCCATTTATTCAATACCATAAGCTGGTAAAGATGAACAAACCACAACTATGTACGCCATTATGAATTAATCTCAAAATATAATATTGAGCAAGAGAAATCATAAATGAAAGGGTTTATCCCACTTATTTAATTTATGTAAAGCTCAACAATACAGAAAATTTCCCTGGGCTATTAGAAGTTGAGAAAGAAGTTCGTTAACAACTTTAGACCTAAAGTGCCTAATTTGTAAGATAAGTAGATTAGATTTGCTCTAGTCAGAAGCAGGGGCCAGCAAACCCTCCTGTGAAGGGCTGGAGGGTGATTTTCGTAGGCTGTTGGGGGCATGTGGTCTATGTCATGACTAATCAACTCTCATTGTAGCACAACAGAAGCTAATAATACATAAATGATTGGACCTACATTTCAGTAAAACTTTATTTACAAAACCAACCACAGATCAGATTTGACCTAAGGGCCACAGTTTGCAAAACCCTGGTCTAAAATATAACAATTGTAAAAATTGTGACTATATTAGTGTGAGATACTATTTTAGACCTATACTAAAATAAAAATAAAATGATACTTGCAGCTTTATTTTAATACTTAATAGAATAAACTGGGGGGAGAGAGATTACATTTTCGAAACTATTAAGCACTCCAACTTGGGGTTCAGGCAATGACAAAGCAACCTGGCTCCCTGGTATCAAGGTTTCCAGGACCTTTAATTAGCCAAAATGTATTGTCTTTATTTCTTAGCAAAAGCTGTCTAGAAAGTGTGCCATTCCTACATGTCCCAGCCCCTTTTCAAGTCCACTGTTTGGAGGGGATGTCAGGAGTCTGAGCTGGCCTGGAAGAGGCCCTCTGGGCTTCTGGACCTTGTGTCTGAGTAGATAAGTCGAAGGTTATAGAATCACCCTCCACGAATGATGGATAACAGCAAACACTTTCACTCTTTCCACATTTGCTGAACCTAAATTTCATCTGGTGAAAATATGCATGAGTTGTACAGCCACACAGTTACCCTTGCATAAATAAACATCAGAAGTTTACCAGTACCAACTCCCGAACCGAGTCCAAAACACCCAATCTTCCATTAAAACCAGGAACAGGCCCTGAGCGTTCCCAGCATGAGATGAAAGAAACAATGCCATACTTGTCACCAATGCATTAGAATGTGGTTCACCCGAGACCAATAAGAGTGGCTGCAGATAGCTGTGCGCACATGTGCAGAATCTGTCCAAAGAAGGGCTTGTAGTACCACACACTTGGTGGCAGAGGAGGGTACACAAGGCCACTTCCCCTTACACACTACAGGTTGTTGAAGTTTATCCGAACAAATAACTCACAATTCAAAATTCCAGTGGCTAAAAATGAATGAAGCTGACTCTTCCATAACTTTATGATCTCAGTTTTAAGACACTCAGAATATGACATGTTTGGATTTGAAATGTAGTTTAGAATTCATGTCCAAAGAAAATGGCCATAAAAAAATTAAGACTCCTCAGGCACTTGGCAGGGGGCAAAGAAATAAGAATGGCTTTGGTCACTACCTGACCACATGCGAATGCAACTGTCCTTAGCTCTCTCCTCCAGGGAGGCATCTATACTTGGTAAAATGCCAGGATAAAGGTTAACTTAATTTTGATTTCATTATCACTGGATGACTTCAAAAAAGTCACAGTACAATGGAGTACTGAGCCAAGTCATTTACTGCGTGCACAGAAAGACGTCTGTCATACCGTAGGCCAAGCAAGTGAACACAAAAGAAATTTCTAATCTCTTAAGTTAAGCCACAAGAATATTCAAAGCCAGAATATGCTGTGTCTAGTTAATATACAGGAGAAGATTACCAGCCAGAAACCAAACACCTCTCTGTCTAATGTTCCCAGCTGACTTTGAAGGGGAAACCACTCCTTAAGTAAGTAAATCAGTTATGGTGTTGGTTGGGGTAGGGGAGTGCGTAGGCAAATACAGAACACAGACAAAAATCTGGCATTCTCCTACATGTCCCCACATTGTATGGTCAGGTAGTCAGGATGGCAAGTGTGGTTTTGAAAATAAGCTTGATCCTGTGTTGTTCCAAATATCTGCCAATGGCCAAAAGTGTTTCAAAATTATCTTTAGGCTCTGAAAGCAAGTGACACTTTTATGTCAACAGGGGTTTAGATACTGATAGAATAATCAGGATTACTTTGTAATGGATGTTTGTGTAACTCCAAAGTGGATCTCTGTCTACACCATGAGGAAGTTGTAGTTACTCTCTGAATGCACCCACTCATGCCTCAGCCTGGCCCCTACGTACGATGGCTCCTCAGGCTAGGTCTTGCAGTCCACCTCCCCTAGAACACAGACGACGGATTCCAGTTCAGAGACACCTGCACAAGCTCAGCCAAATGTATTTTATTTCTCAAGAATTTGAAAAAAGGAACAGAGTCACCAGGTTATAGGAGGAAGGAATTTGGAGCTCAGACAGCTAATGGTGGTACCCCAGGGAGAAGGGAGGGATGTGCCATGGCTTCTGCCATTCTGAAAGCTTCAGTCTTCACACCTTCATCCAGTATGCTTTCATTTAATTGCAATGAGAGGGGGCAGAATTGAGGGGATTTCTGTGAGGTAGCTAGTTTTGTGCAACACAAGGAGATTTAGGCAATCCTCTCTGCCAGCGCCTGGCCTCAACAGCCAACCCCAGGCTGTGTGACTCATTATAGTCTCCAAAATACAAGAGTCTCCTCATACAATTATGTCCCCAAAGAGTTGGAACAGACCTTCTCTCCTACAACAAGGGAAATGTGGCAGGTTCACACCTCCTCCCACTTGCCCACCCCCTGCTGCTTGTGCACAAGGACCACACACATGAAGCTTTACCACGGGGTTCAAGCAATTTCTGAAAGAAATTCCAATAGGAAAGAAACAAAGCTTGATGTTCCAGTCACTTAGCCTTTGTTAACAATGATACATCATTTACCGGCTGTGCCCACTGATTTTTACCTAACTCAACAGATCCAAGCCAGGAGTACCCTTCTCACAGAGATGTCCTCCTACATCCAGGACTAGGCTGTGTCAGATGGAAACCCTGGGTTAGCCTGCTCCATGCACCCCACAGCCACCATCATGGCCTTCCTCCACCCTTCACTATGCTTTTGAACCTCAGGGGTAGAAATGGTGCCTTTTATCTCTGGGACTTACTTGCTGATTAGGTCGTGAGAGGTTCTCTATATTGTTGAATAGATCTTAGTGGGAATTAATTAATTAATTAAAATTAATTAAATCTAGCCTTTAAAAACTCAGACTATTAAATGACAATGAGAACCACAGGCACCCTGACTAGCCAGCACCATAGGCACCCCGACCTGCAAGCACAGACAAAAGGGATGATGAAAGGAGGATTCCAACATGAGAGAATGTAGAGAAAGCATCCAGAGAGTGGCAATGGTGAATCCATGATGCCAGTGTTACCTGTGTGATGGTGCAACTCACCACCAAAGGCATTGCCTCCCACATGGCCTTGGCCTAACTCTGGTTAAATTCATTTAAGTAAAATGGATACAGTCATCTGTGGTTAGGATACAAGCTGATGGGTAAAAAGTGAAGTGGGTAAAATTGTAAATTAATAAAATTAATAATGAAAAAAGGAAGGAAAGAGGAAGAGAAAAGGAAGAAAGAAAGAAAGAGAAAAGAAAGAAGGAAAGAAAGAAGAAAAAGAAAGAAAGAAAAAAGAAAGAAAGAAAAGAAGAAATAGAAGAAGAGGAAGCAGGAGGAGGAGGAGAAGGAGAAGGAGAGAAGGAAGGAAGGAAGGAGAAAGAAAAGAAAGAAGACAGAAAGAAAGAAAGAGAAAGTAAGAAAGACAAAGAAAGAGAAAAAAAAAGAAAAGGAAAGAAAGAGAGAGAGAAAGAAAGAGAAAAGAAAAATATAACAGAAGGTTGAGAAAAACACAATGGCCATTTTGACCCACTGTTTAGCAAATGACCTTGAACCATATTGGAGAAAGCCATTGGAGGAGGAAGGTTGGGGTGGGTTTGGAGAGTACATCTCATCAGAAGCAGGGTCCCTTTTTGTTTTTTGAGGAACATCTTCTAGAAGCAGCGGAGCTTCTTTTTGTAGGTCATTTCTAAGGAAACTGAGATTGTTACTCTTCTGTGAATTTATCACAATTTCATGTTTCAATAGGCAGAATTCATATATCAAAAAAATTAAGCCGCAGTCCACAAAGATTAGTTACTGCTGCCACCAGGCAATATCTAATAGCATTGGTTCCTCAAGAAAGATCAAATCAGACTGTGTAAGTGGCACAAAAGTTTTCTGGGGATCTCTCAGTAAAAGTTGTACTTGGGGAACCAAACCTCCTGCATCTGAAAAGACCATATGGACTATATGCGTGCTCAAGGATTTCATGTACATATAGTACACATGTGGACATAATGTTTGTCAAGATGGTGAAGAGGACATTTGACTTTGTGCAAACCACCCAGCGTGTGGTAAGGCCATGTGTCACATTTGTTAAAAAAAGCTGCTCAAGCATCATATATCGGTATTGCACATGTGAATTTGATGATGGCATCCAGTCCAGGAGAGAGGCCAGCAACTGTCAATATAAATATTGAGAACCATGTTTAACTGAACAGTCGTTAACATAACAGACACAACCTCTACACTTGAGATAGTGCTTTGTTCCTGAATTTATGTCCACAGTCTGTGGGCGGTGTTTTTCACGGGCAGCCCTGGACTGGTGCCCTATCCTTTGCTCCCGTCTGGTATCATGAGTAGCCTCTGAACCGGATCCACCATTAGTGGCAAAAGTACTAAGCAAAGTGCATTGGATAGACAGAGTGTCAATCTGAACTTAAGTTGGACCTGAGAGAAGCTTTCATGTTTTCATCTTGGCATTTGTGTTTGTAGAAAATGCACCTGTTGTGTGTATTTGCTACAGGAGAGATACAGTGGGGCTGACCTACAGGGTCCCAAGGCCCTTAAGGCCACTGCCTGAGCAATGGGAGGCATCTTTTCAACAGTCATTTGCATAACGTGTGACATAAGTCACCTCACTTTCCAAGGTATTAATGCATTCATAAATATTTAAATGCTACTCATTGTGGCCTTGTTAAGACATAGGAACTTTCAAACTCAGTATGCTTTATTGACATTTTTGCGTATTCATTCCCATAATGTAACCATTTCTTTAAAAATACACCATTTCCTTTTCCTTCTCCCCCTCTTCTTTCTCCTCCTCCTCTGTCTTCTTCATGATAGATGGTAGATGTTCTCCTTCCAAAGATGAGGACCCAGAGAATTGGATGTACTGTCTCAGAGACAAGCAGGGAAGTATCTCTTTGTGCAAAAGCAATGTGCCAGCCTCTATAGGGAGCAAGGGGAAGTCCATGGGGAGAAGACAAAAACACCCCGCCATCTCCCCATTTAACAAAGACAAAACGTTTGTCTAAGACGGGCAACATCAAAAGGCATCCGATAACAAATCAGGCTAATGATCTGATAGGAAAAGCCCTAAATCCGAAGTCACCATTGTGCTCTCCTCGCCCGTCCCCATCAGGCCCCTTACTTAAGTCATTTTGACCTCCAGCTGTTGAAGCTTTGCACGAGGTGCCTCAGAGAAAGGCATTTGTCATTCTATTTGTTCAAAGACTCTACAAAAAGCTTCTGTTCCTTGGTTTTTCCTTTTCCAGAAGAAGGAGGAGAAGTCAGAGGAGAAGGGGGAGGAAGAGGAGAAGAAGGAGGAGGAGGAGGAAGAAGAAAAGGAAAGGAAGAAAAAGAAAAAAAAAAGGCTAGGCAGAGTTAAATAGATTAATCACTTTTGCAGTGTAGAGACTGGCGAGAAGAAAGTTGGAATTTGGTCTTTATCCCACTTCTGAGTGACTGAGCTGGAGCCTTTCAAATGTATATTTCCCTTTAATGACTTAATCACCTAATTAGCTGACTGGCAGCAGCAGTGGGTAAATGCATGCTGGGCTCCCCTCTAATTCCACTTACCTTTAAGTGATTACTGGAGGATTCTAGTGAGAAGAGCAGCCCCTTGGACTTTAAGATTCCTGAGATAAAACCCAGGAGGAAGAAAAACCAAAATAAACCCTTTCAGCAGGAAATGTGAAGTGACTTTTGTTTTAAATCCCCTCTTTGAAACCTAATGCTGACTGGGGGTCACGCGCATTCACAGTCTCTGTCATGGGCTTTTCAGGTTTCCTCCCTACTACATATTCGTTTGTATGTCTTTGATAGCTTGTTGTTATTTTTAAAGATTTTATCATTGCTTTCCTTAGCCTTTCCCAAATAAACCACTCCTTGCAAGTGTTACAAAAAGCACGATTTTGTGGGATAAGAAATGAGAATTAGCAAGCAGATCATTTCACCTGTGAACTCTTCCATGTGGGGGAGTAGGAGAGAAAAGAGGTTTCTTCTGAACATAGGGGAACAACATAAGGTGAAGGCTCAAAGACCGTCTGCAAATAGGAAGCAGCCCACAGAATGAATGCCAAGGCCTCCCAGGATGTGTGGGAGGAGAAAGATTGGCTTGGCGAGCACACACCTCTCATGTCCCTGGGGTGTCTCCATGTCCCAGCAGGTCTCCAGCATAGACAGGCACTCACACTCACAAAATGCCTTCAAGCAAGTGTGGTGGATGAGCCCTGATTCCGTCTCACTCCCTCCTGACCACCATGGAGAGGCAGGCACCTAGAGAGGAAGCTGGTGCTAGGGCTGTGTTGGGGCTTAGCGCATGGCCATGGGATAGAGAAAGAGGGCAACACATAGATCCAGCTTCCTCCTCAACTTCCTGAGGTTGCGGGCATCACCCCAGTGAATACCAATGAGTGTTTGGTCTATGGGAGAGTACGGGCCGTTTTTTTGCTCACTTTCTTGGGATAAGCACAGTGTCTCAAGCTCTCCAGGCTATACTCTGCTGTTTCCATACCTTGCATTTCAAAGGAGCTTCCCTGAAGAAGAGTGGCCTCTGCCTCCTTCATAGAGTTGTTCCAAGAAAGTCCCAGCGTGGAGTGGAGAGAGGCCCTCACGGCCATGCTCTCCCCACAACACTCTCTTCCAGCTGTGAAGACGAGAAACACATCTATGGGGTGGGGGGGTGGGGGGGATTCAGGCTCAGGGGGGTGGTGCCCAGAATGAGTCTGAGCTCCAAATATCCTAAGAGTAAATTTGATGAAGACACTCAGCCCGGAAGAGGGGCTGACAAGTGTCTATAAATATGCGGAAAATGCTGAAGTGGACAATAGTTAACATAAGAGAAAAGTGTTTCACATGTGAAAAAGAGATTTAGTTCTCTTTCTGCTTTGCAGGGTGTTGGGCAGATACTTTAATGACTCAAGGACCAAGACACTCAAGGAACAAGACTTATTGGTCAAGAAAGCCATTCCACCATGGACAAAGCCATTCCTAACAGGATCACCATGAAATGGTTAAACTAAGAATTTTCATTATCACTAAAAAATTCATTGACACCTTTACTCAAGTGAGCATTGAAAAGAAAGCCAAAATCATCAACTTTTAAGCAAAAAACTCAGATGGAACCCATCTGTAAAATAATAAAATAAAATAACTTCTGTTTTCTAAAAGGTCAATGATCAGCAATAATGCAAACACAGCTAAAGCGAACTTTTGGGACTGTTATGAATGTATTCTAGTTGCACATATAAATATGTAATTTATAAAACAGAATATGAAATATTTGACTAAATTCTTTTTGATGCTTCAAATATCAGGCAAGGGAAGAACCCATCTTTTTTAAAAATTGCAAAATTATAGTGATTTTCACTCAATTTTAGCTAGAAAATTTCTAGCTTTGTAATAAATAGCTACAGAAGATTAGATGTTGACTATCTCATCTTCCAGAGAGAACTATGGGAATGACTTATTTTGTTAAACACACACACACACATGCATCACAACTCTTTATAGTTCTGAAATTAACTTAGATCCATGGGACAAGAGTGAAACCTCAGCGTTACTTAGCAAAACTCAAAGAATTTAGCCTCACCTCTAGCTGACAGGTCATTGCAGGTTTCATGTCCTCTCCAGCCTCCAAATCCTTCCCTGACATCACAGCGGCCCTTGTCCCCGCTGATGAGTTTGCCTTGAATTAAAAGGAGCCTATGTGATACGATGTCACTCAAATTGCTTTCTTTACCCCTTAAAATATCTCCCATCAAGAATAGAAATGTCTCCTGGGTAGGAGAATTCCAAATAATTTGTGTAGATACTCTACCCTGGAGGGGTTGGATCCTAACTCCCCACTTCATGGTGGACTACGCATAGTGATTTCCTTCCACAGAGTACAACATGAATAGGGGTTAGAGTGAGAAGGAGTAGCTTTTTTTTTTTTTTTTTTTGAAGCAGAGTCCTGCTGCGTCACCCAGGCTGGAGTGCAGTGGTGCAATCTCGGCTCACTGCAAGCTCTGCCTCCCAGGTTCACACCATTCTCCTGCCTCAGCCTCCTGAGTAGCTGGGACTACAGGCCACCGCCACCACGCCTGGCTAATTTTTTTTGTATTTTTAGTAGAGACGGGATTTCTATTAAAGAGATCGAGCCAGGATGGTCTCGATCTCCTGACCTTGTGATCCACCCGACTCTGCCTCCCACAGTGCTGCGATTACAGGTGTGAGCCACTGCGCCCAGCCAGAGAAGGAGTAGCTTTATAGTGGCAAGCACTACCTCAGCCAGATGATCAAGGTGAACATCAACAGTGGCGAGTCATGCTAATTGCATGCAGTCTTAATGTGATAAGATGAAACTAGCACTTCACTTCTGAGATCTTCCTCCCAGGAACCCATAGCCCCAGCCAAATCATGAGTAAAATATCAGACAAGTCCCAACTGAGAGACAATTTACGAAATACTTGACAAGGAGTCCTCAAAACAACCAAGGTCATCAAAAAACAAGTCTGAGAAACTGGCATAGCCAAGACAAGCCTAAGGAGACAAGATGGTTAAATGTAATATGATATTCTGGATGGGACTCTGGAAAAGAGAAAGGACTTTGGGAAAAAAACCAAGGAAGTCCAAATGAAGTGTTGACCTTGGATAGTAATAATGTACCCATGCTGGGTCATTTAATTATAGCAAATACACACAGGTCATTCAGCCATACAGAAAACCAAGTGAGGGGCTTACTGAGGGTTCTTCCTTCTGCCAGCTCCCATGTTCACTTCTTGCACCAGTTATTGCTAACCAATGGAAATGCTGCAAAAATGTTTGTTTCTACCTGTCCCTACTTTCCCTTCTTTCTGTTCTCTCCTGTAAGCCTTAAAACCTCAACAAAGATGACTCAAACTCTTTTGCAGATTCCAACCTTAAAATTTAACCATCTGCTTGGCAACCAATACTCAGAAAACAAACCTATCCCTGCAACTCAAATATATCCCCAACACCACTCAGTAGGCAGCCTTCCCACAATGCCTCTCCTAACTCTGTTCCTGGTCCTGCAAAGCTGAGAGGCCCAGCACCATCTTGGCCTCCCATTCTTCCTCATCCACATGGGCGTCAGTGGAGCCGTGGAGACACCGCCGGCCTTCCTGTCTAGTCTGCGCCTTCCTCCTATCCCCCCACACCATCACTTCTCAGGCTCTCACTTATAGGACTGTAAGGTGCTAATTCAGCTCACTCTAGGCCATTTGGAACCCTACTGCCAAATCACTGCCCTAACACTGAGCTGTAGCATGGCTCCTTCCTGTTCCACAAACATGTCCATTCCTTTATATTTCCTACACCACTAAATGCCCACTCACAGATGATGTGAAGACTAACTGGCCGGCAGCCATCATCCTTCTCCCCAGACCCTGCCTTCTCACCTCTCCACTGGGGTACAGTGACTGTCCCGCAGCCATCATCCTTCCCCCCGACCCTGCCTTCTCACCTCTCCACTGGGGTGCAGTGGGACACTCACCATCTACACATGCATCCATCGTCTATCATGAGAGGTCCCTCCTCCCTCTCAGCTGGGAGAGCCCTGTGCTCCTCCAAGGCAGAGTGAAGCTTCTCGTGTTTCCAGAGACTGTGATCCCTCAGCCCTTAAGACTCCATTAACACACTGTGTGCCTCTCAGGACCCTCAGTCCTCTTTTTGTAGAGCATCATGTTGTTCATGTTTTATCTTTCCTATTAATGGTCTTAAAATCAGGAGTCATATATATCTCATCTTCCTTGATCCACGAGGGCCTCTGGGCAGGTGTTTGATGCATCTGTACTCACATCTGTGTTAATGTGTATCCCGTCAAGCACAGGAGCTGCTTGCTGTCCATATCAGTATCTGACGGCAACAGGGTCACACAAATGCATCTCTGTGCATGTGTGTGTGTATGTGTGTGCCTGTGTTTGTGTGTGTGCTGTGTTTGTGTGTGCATGTGTGTTTGTGTGTGTGTCTGTGTGTGTGTGCATTTGTGTTTGTGTGTGTGCATGTGTGTTTGTGTGTGTGCATGTGTGTTTGTGTTTATGTGTTTGTGTGTTCCTGGGCATACTCCCTTGCAGCAATAAAAATGTCATCTTAGCAGATGAGTAAGTGATAGAAGATACTGTTTTCTTATAATCTGCTAATTATTTAGAAATTGAACACTGTCTGAATCTAGGATGCAAGAGAGGTTTTGAAACGGGGTCTTCATAGGTGGCTACACATGCTGCTGAGGACATCTTAACACCAGGCAAGGGCTAAGATGAGGAGTCCTGGGGTTGCCACATAATTCAAACTGAGAGAGAAGTTGTCATCAATCAGCCTAATGGAATCACATGGCACCACCTGGAATTTATCTGCAGATGTGGGTATAGTGTCGTCGCTTTTGTCTCTATGTGGAGCAATCACTGTGTCCCTTTGGCTTCCATTCACTTTGGGGAGGACATTTTCATTCCTGAGTTCTATATGATATCATGAATTGGTTGAAAAGAGTGTGCAGCTGTGCGTGCTTTAAGATGAAAATGTATCTGAACGGATTAAGGTAACATACGGTGGTGCTTGGGAAGTGAGAGCATCGCAGATTTAAATGAAATCTCTGTATTGATAGCTAGAAGGAAATACCTGTAAAAGTTCTCATTTTCCCGAGACTTGGAGGAGGCTTGGATAGCCCAGGGAGGCTAAATGAAGTTTTTCTCTCTGTGAGGTGCTAGGGGTGACACCACCAAAACCTGCTGCCTTTGTTTCCTATTGAAGATCTTCGGAGCAGGAATGACCACACTTGTTTGGAGGGTCTAATATCCGATGTGAAACAAGAGGCGCATCTATTGTGCTTGTCACCAGTGGCTCTATTAGACACATTCAATGCTTTTCCAGAGCTACATGGTGCGTGATGTAATGCCATTTTCTCCATGACCGCAGGAAAGGGAAATCAGGTAATTAAATGTGAGAAATCAGAGGCCGGGCTGGGGAGCGCTTTCTGCTTAGTGGGCTTTCCCGATGCAGCTGCTCAGCTGTGGCAGCCCTGGCGGACGGGGCGCACTGCACAAAGGCCGGACGCACCGCCGAGCACACAGGGTGCCGTGTCAGGATCCAGCAGGCCAGCCATGTCCTGCTCAAGTGTCACCGCTTCCCATCAACTTGAAAGCTCCGGCGGGTGGGACCTCTGTCACGGGACATGCTTCCTGCTCGGGGCTCCATTGTCTGGGGGCAGTTGTAGTAGGCCGGGAGGCGGTGCTGGGCGCCCCAAAGTGTACAACAAAGAGGGCAGGAAGGAGGTGGGGGAGACAGAGGGAGGGCAAAGAAACGCTCCTTGAGCAAGTGAGTCATTTCAGATGAGTTCGCTCAGTGCTTTGGGGGTAATCGTTTTAATGACGTTTTGCCTCTGTCAATGGTCTTTGGTATATCAGCTCTGTATTCCCAGATGAAAATAATCTGGAAACTGCTTAAAGTGTTAAAAGCACTGGCCCCGGGGATTTAGACCTTCAAACTTGATGTATAAAAATAAATCATACACTGAACTTCAAGAATTCTGAAAAACTGGGGGAACTGGACCTGTCCAGAGAGGAACCCACAGGGAGGTCGAGAAGGCAGGTGTTGCCCAGAGACCAAAATGAATCTTCCGGTTTCAACAAACAGTTTATGAATGGTCCGGCACCTGTTTTGCTGGGCTGGGTTGGGTTTTAATATAAATAACTATGTTTGACATTTCAATTTAGTTCTTACAGCTTTTAATACATTTTTATACTGTACTTTTCTGCAGATAATTTACTTCCCAGTGTTTCTAATAAGAACTATGATGGGAAAGAATGTTCTCATTGATGTGTAAATTTTGTTAACACTATAATTTGCATAATCGTATTCTGCCAATGCTGTTGTTTTTAAGTTGGTATTTTTAAATTGTAAAAGTGATCAACTATATCTCCTTAAAAAGGCCATTACATCAGAACAGACATGTCTTAGTCATTTTTATTTTCAAATCAATTGCCCTACATCAAAATAGTGAAAAATAAAGGGAGTCATAGGATATTGAATTGGTTAAGTTTGAAAATATTTGCATTTAAGGGATTACAGCAAAATTTTATGTGAATTTGGTTTCACCGTCATGGAATCATACTCTGCCTTACTCTCCTTAAAGAACTACTGAGTAAGGAAAGGTCTGTAATTATTTCGTGTGGAGCCACAGCCACTGTGGTGCTAGATTCCATTTTCCCAGCAACAACAGATTTAAAGAGGCTCCAGGCCTCTTCTTTCCTCTGCTCTCAATGTGTTCTTAGATCTTTACATAACAGGTCCCTGGGGTGCATCCCTGGGGCCCTGGGCTAGCCTTGCCTTGGCATTCCTGTGCTCTGCACTTACCTAGGCACTTGATCACATCCTGTCCTGTGTCTATACAACTGCATCCCCTTCTAGCCAGTGTGATCCTTAAGGTTAGAGATAGAGATCTTCTGCCTCAGGGCCCAGCTCACCAAGTCTCCGCAGTGTTTGTGGACAAAGGTGGTTACTGCTTTACCATTGCTCATGTGACTACAGAAGGATATCCTCTTTCTAAACCCTGAGAATAGACAGGAAGAGTCAACACAGGAGAGTTATTTGGGGACTCCCAGTTTCGGAGGTCGCATTTTAAACCTGGACTGTCCCTCATACATTAACTTTTAATTTACTGCATTGGAGAAATTAAAGATAAGTTGTTTAGCATAATTCCTTCAAAGCCAGCTTTGTTTTCTTTTGCTGTAACATCTTACAGGGTGGAGGTTTCGAGGCTGTGGCTCTCCCAGGCAGGGTCAGTATGGCTCCAGAGTCTGGTTTCAGCTGCCTCTCTACCACCTGTCCACAGGCACACATCTTTGAGTGGAAATCCACTGTGGAATGTTTGAATTCAAAGCGACCAAGTAGTGACTATTTTTAAAAGACAAACAGACCTGCTTTCTGATATTGTTAATACAAGATGTCAGTTGGGAGCTCCATTTTAAGGGTTGAATACAATTACTTGTTCCTGTTTGACTTGACACATCACAGCTGGGAGCCGAATTTGGTGGAGAAAACCAAATTTCACGTAGTCCTGCCTGACATGAAGTCAAAACAGTTTGTTTATGAAATCTGTTTGAAATGTGCAGTTCTTGTTTTCACTTGTTGTACATCGGAAGCCGAGGTTCACATGGCTTAGCTCAGAAAACCAAATAACAGAGAAAGTGGAGCAGAAAGCAGATATTGTGAAACCTCCAAAGGAATTCTGAATATGTATAATCTCCCAAACTCTTTTGCAAAACTGCCAGAAAATGATGTAATTTTATGCTCTTCCATGGAAACATGAAGCATTATGGGTTGCAAACCCATAGGTTTATATTTAGAATGGCGGCCAAATATGATATCTTTAATCATGCTGTAATTGTTTTCTTCCATTTTTATTAAAATGCTGTTTCGAATGTAGGAACGCTGTGAACAGCTGGCTGGATAAAGATTTATAAGAGAAGCAACCACTACATGCTATGTAGGGCACTGCTTTTTTTTTTCTTTTTTTTTTTTTTTTTTTGAGGTGGGAGTGAATTTAGTTGTTCTCAATATAGAATAATAAAATCACAACTGTGCCTACGGTGATGAGAGGAAGACAGGGCTTTTATTCTGCAGCTTTAGCCTTGAAATATTTCTTAAAAATAGGTTTTCTATCTCACTACCTATTTGGAAAGAGATTGAAGCTGAAAACCTTATGAAACCCACTGTGGTCTCAGAGCAGTTGAACTAGCACTTGGTGAAAATCAGCCTGGAACAGATCCAATCACCTGCTGTGTAATAAAAGGGTATAGGATCATGAGGGCACTTCTGGCCTTGGCTGAAGATGCTTTCCACTCACACATCATTCTCCCCTGAACTTGTGTCCCATGCAGCCATGAGGACAGAAACAAAAGCATTGCTGGTAACGACTGAAAGGAGTGCAGGCCACCTGCATGATGCAGGGGAACGTGGAGTCAACAGCAGGAATTAAAACAAGGAGGGGGGTGGTGTTGGAACTTGTAAGTGAAGCCTTGTGTTTAGTGTCTGTGCCAATAACGCCGTGTTTTCTTACTTGGAACACAGCAAAACAAATGGGCAAAAGAACAAGAGACCAGATCTCCCTCAGTCTGAAGAAACATCGTGAGAAACATGGAAATTGTAAAATGGTGGACAGGTGTCTGTACTAAGAACAAAGGTAAACTTGTTCAGCGTATCCTGGACTGTGATTTTCCTTCGCAAGCTTGCCAACCCTCCCACATCTGCACGTGTCCAGCATGGTGTACTGGGATTAGCACAGCTAGACAAGTGCTCAGAGGGCTGTGAATGGGGTGCACATGGTAGGGAATATTGTTGGTCGGCAGTGCATGGGGAAAGCAGCAGTGATGGCAAACGGCTTGATTTATTCATCCAGGACAGTCATGCCTGTTTTATAGGCCTATTAAAGAAAGACAAAAACAAGAAGCTTAGATGTTGACTCAACTTATTTGGATGTAGGGAAAATGGAATACTTTAGGAATAATTCATGGTTATAAAATCCAAAATCAAATATCTGTTACTAATCTGCATGCTAAGAGATATCTTAGTAGCTAATGGCAATTTAGATATCTCATATATTCACTTTTTATTTTAATAACTTTATAGTTTTATAAGGAGGTCAGATATGGCCTGAACAAGCAATGGAATGTATGAATATAATAAATGATTGAGGGAAAATAAATACATGGGACCTAATAAGAATTTTTTATATTTTCAAAAAAATGTTCTGTGGATGACAATCTCCATCACTTGGAAGATAAAATTTAAACTTAAAATGCACATTTTTCAAGGTTCAACTTGATTGAGGATATTTGAAAGAAAACTTACTGAACATGCTCACTGATGGAATAAGAAAGAAAGAGTTCTATTTAAACAGCTAGCAAAATAAAACTTCTTATAGTCCCCTCCTCTGCAAGGTCTCTTCCCAAACATTTCAAATATAACTTATTATTTCCAGTGGATAAAAACAACCTAAAAATCAAATATTACTTAAAAAAGAAAAACATAACATCACAATGTTGAAGAATTTACAATGGGAGCAAGGCGTCAATGATGTAATGTACCTGAAAGTCACTGTCAAGGCTGAACATCAGAGGAAGACCATCCCACCTCCCACGTCCTTTACCTCTCATCCAGGCTGGCTGTGCTCTGGGAGTCATTTCTTCAATGCCTCTTTGATTGTCCCCTTTTCACTTTACCCATGTGGCCGCTGCTTCAGGTTGAAGCTTCAGTTCTGTTGCCTCTCCCTTAAAGTGACCACCCATCCACATTTTCACAGGACTGAGTGCTGTTTACAGGAAGACATTGAAGACGACTGTCATTAGGAGATTCCCAAGCAGACAGGGACAGCTGGGCACCCTGTGAGTCTGCCTCTGGTCTATCTTCCTTCCATCTGCCCTCTTCATTTTGGCCTTTATAGGGTGCCCTGTGCAAATCTGATTTCACCACCTTCTGCTGGATGGAGAAGCTCCAGGTGGACATCTGACATGAGATCAGGTGGGGCTGGAATGTGGCTGGGGCCCCGCGCTTGCTTCTGGGCAAGTTTTCCAATGTCCTGAGCCTCCAGAACAACTTTGTGTAGTGCAATCTTTGTGTTCTGTATGTCTATTCCAAAGATCCCAGTGGCCTCTCACCACCCCCACCCAGACTGGAAACTCCCTCAGGGCACAGTGCAGGGGGTTTTTAGGTGTCTCATGCCTTAGCTCCCTTCTGGACATAAAAGACACTCCACACTTGCTCAGGACTTTGATGTCCATACGATTCAGTTTGCACTGCCACGCAGGGATGCTCCAAAGTCCCCATAGGACTTGCGATGCCGTTGAGGGACAGGCTGGACCAACCGAGAGCTCCCAAAGGCCCTGCCCTGGAGCTATGAAATGCAAAGGTTTCCACCAAGAAAGACTTGCCAGGAAGCGAAGGGGCTTCTGCAACTTCCACTTGCACAACTCCTTTCCAGGCACTGGAAAGGTGACTCAGAAATGTCTACTTTAGCATAGACTTTTATGAAGTTAGGAAATGCAATTATTGTTGTCCTGTTTATCTTTACATATACCAGCCCACAATGTGTAAGCTTCAGGGCACTCAAAGCCTGGCCTCCTCACCAATTAGGGTGGGGTTTGTTCTCACAGGAAATCCAGGAATTTTTTTGTTTTTTTTTTTGATATGGGGTCTTGCTCTGTCGCCCAGGCCGGAGTGCAGTGGCGCGATCTCGGCTCACTGCAAGCTCCGCCTCCCGGGTTCACTCCATTCTCCTGCCTCAGCCTCCCGAGAAGCTGGGACTACAGGCGCCCGCCATCACGCCCGGCTTATTTTTTTGTATTTTTTAGTAGAGATGGGATTTCACCGTGTTAGCCGGGATGGTCTCAATCTCCTGACCTCGTGATCTGCCCGCCTCGGCCTCCCAAGGTGCTGGGATTACAGGCGTGAGCCACCGCGCCCGGCCTAGGAATTTCTTATGATCAGTAGAATTTAAAAACTACTGCAGAAGCTACCCCTATGTGTACTTTTCCTAGGTGTGGGGGTGTGTGGGGTTTGTCCCTGTTCAGGTACACAAGGTACAAAATGGTAAGGAGCCCTGGCCAGTCCCTGACCAAATTTTTCTTCCCTTGAATGATGAGCTGAGCTGAACAGTAAAGCTAAATAGCTCGGATTCTGTGTGTAAGGCCCACCTAATCTTCCTTTCCACTCTGAGTCTGGAAAACTGCATCACATTTTGGTCTTCTGCAGAGGCAGGACACCTGTCTCTCTTACTCCAAACAGAAACAGGCAACACGGTGCCGAATGCACACACCAGAGCCCACCTCTCCACCTGGCAGCTGCCACAGACAACTGCCTCACATTACGGCTTCTCCCACTGATCAGCACTCTCACTGCTGTATCAGCTCCCTCTAGATGTTGAATTGGTTTTAAGTGTAGATATCAGTTCCAAAATTCAGACAAAGCCAAATCAAAACAATTTTGTGTGTGTGTGTGTGTGTGTGTGTGTGTGTGTGTGTGTGTGTGTGTAGCTTCCAAAAGAAAAGCCTCAGGCATATACAGTGATCATTTTACCCATCAGTGCTCAGAGAACATGCTGTGGTGAGCTTGTAAACCAATTCTCCTGGGTGTGCAGGCTGCAGGGGTCTAAAGGGCAGTGTCCACCAATTTCTCTGGTGTAAACCCCCCTTTCATGGTTGATTTCAAGCTGCCAGTGGTTTAACAACAGTCTTGCGAATTCCCAAACATTTACCAATCAGCTCTCATCATCAAAAACTTGATCAGCTCTCAGCTGGGATGGTGTGGCACCCTCCTGAATTTGCCACCCAAATATTAGTGGAGGGAAGCACTCTTCTTGTCTCTGTCCATCTCTTCTCCTTGTAGAGGACGACAAGCTGGCTTTTACACAGGCTTTCTTCAGCTCCAGGAGGGGTGACTGCTGTCTTGTGTCTGTATTTTTCATGTTTACTCATTTACTATAAAAGATATTACAAAGGATACAGATGAACAGCCAGATGAAAGAGATGCACAGGGAAAGGTATGAGGAAGAGGGCACGGAGCTTCCATGCCTTCTCTGGGCACAGCCCCCACCAGACACCTTCATGTGTTCAGCAATCCAGAAGTTCCTTGAGCCCTGTCCTTGGGTTTTATGGAGGCTTCATTCCATAGGTATGGTTGATGATGACATTGGCCATTGATGTTTAACTCAGCTTTCCTCTCCTCTCCCAGGGGTTGGAGAGAGATGGGTTGAAACTTTCAACCCTCTCACATGCCTTGGTCTTTTTGGTGACTTGCCTACCCTGAAGCTCTCTAGGGGACTTTAGCCACCAGTCACCTTGTTAGTATACAAAAGACGCTCTTATCACTGGAGGGATTCCAAGGGTTTCAGGAGCTGTGTGCCAGGAACCAGAGACAGAGACCAAATATATATTTCTTATTATATCACAATGTCACAATCACCCTCTACAATTTGGGTGCCTAACTGACCATTGGACCATTTTCTGGCTTCATGACATCTTTTCACACTCTTGAGGTAGATTAAGCGAAGGGTTTCAGTTCTCCGCCCCTTCCTTGCCGTGACCTTTTGCATCTGTTTTCATCTGCATCTTCATCTTCATTTCTAGCACTCTGACTACTTGTTTTCCATCTGCTCAGAGCCAGTATGTCTCTTTTAGAATAAAGACTTGCACTGCAAATGTTTCACGCTTGCTGCCCATGCATCTACGTGGTTAAAGTTATGTCTGGAGTCTACGATTTCTAAAATAAGGTTCAGAAAATATTGATAAGCTGGAGTCTTTTGAATTCTTCAAATTCAAATTTGTTAGCAATAAAATAATTCTAATTTAAAATTATGCACGGATGGCATTAGGATTCAGAAACTATGCAAGTCTTATGTGGGGAGAATGTTTAGGATGCTTCAACTGATAAGCTGTTCACTTTCATTAGAGTCTATGATGTAAATTTAACTAAAAGAAGAAACGAGACCAGTCCTCTGGCTTGTTTGTATGTTTGTTTTTATAAGTAGAGCATGACAGGCTGCTTTCCTTTGGAACTGGTATCTACTTTGTGTCTAATATATTAATCTAACTTTAATAGTGAGTTTCAATTATCCATATGAATCTACAGCACACACACACACACACACGTATATAATATGCATAAGAAAATAAGTTTCTCTCTCATTCCTCACTTGTATCATTCCATTTCTTCTCCTCCCCACTATGCTTCTGACTCATCACTGAAATCAATCCAGATAAACAATAAACATCTTAAAATATTCGTCAGAGCCACTTGTCGCTGACCCAGAAGCTTGGAGAAGAATTAAAAAAAAAAATGAAATTCTCTTTTGAAGGTTGTACTGCTGTTTTCCGGAAGAAAAATCATTCTTCGAAACTTCAGCAATGTGGTCGTGTTCGAAGACCCTCTGCGGGCCGCTGAGGCCCCGGGGAGACCGCACATCTGCACAGCCACAGGCATCTACTGGCTCCACTTGGTTCCTCGGCTGGATCCATCCTCAGCCGTCCTCGGGCTACTTTGGAATCACCGTTCACATGTTTTGAATTGGTTGCAAAGAACCTAATGGATAGTCAAAAACAATTCCTGGGCCCACATTGTCTTCACCATCAGGGCTAATTAGCATTGAAAGAGACCTTGTGAGCTGGGCCTGGGAAGCCATTGCGGATGTATTGCCCACTTGTTTTTATATCACACATGTGAGAGATACCGCCCTTGATGTGGTAATGGGAAAAAAAGTGTGACGATCTTTGTATTTGACTTTTTAATTTTTTTTGAAGCGAATTCATGTGACTAAATGCTTGTGTCTGAAAACCCAGAACATGCAACTTCCCTCTCCTCCCACAGTGCCTCTTGCATCTGGTAGGGGAGAGCATGAGGAAAGAAGAGATGCTGCACTCATTTTCTTTCTATACCAAGTGCACGCTGCCCAGCAGACCCAGGGAGAGGAGCCAGGGCGAGCGCATGTGGCTTCTGACAGCAAGGAGCGGGACCACCCCCACCCCAG
The DNA here is from genome assembly GCF_000001405.40 of Homo sapiens. Taxonomy (NCBI): domain Eukaryota; kingdom Metazoa; phylum Chordata; class Mammalia; order Primates; family Hominidae; genus Homo; species Homo sapiens. The sequence goes on along the minus strand of NC_000005.10, from coordinate 4,199,204 downwards.
CATTGTTAGCTGGGAGCAAACAGCCCTCAAGGGCCTTCTAGGGAGAGCATTGTGTTTTATCCAGAAACACACACTCACAGTGAAACTCACTATCCCTTGTTGGGAAATGTGTTCTGCTGGTATGGAAGCTTCTTAAAGAAATAAGAAACACCATTTTATTCAAAAACGCAAATGGTCATCATCATGTGACTTTTTTCTGGAAGAATGAGTATGCGCATTTGCATGTGGCCACATTTACCTTCTTATTTTGTAACTCAATTAATTTACAGATGTCAATAAAGTCAGATCTTGGAGTGCAGAATCGCCTCATCTGAAGGGGAGATCCCCGCCCTGAAAGCAGAGAAGCCTGTCTGTCAGCTACACCGTGGTCAGGAAACACCTTCCTCTGTTTTCAGGCATCAGATTCGTCCATGCAGGTATCTAAAGTGGAAGAGTTTACACAGGCTTTGCTGTGGAGTGAGGTCTCAGGGCCAGGAGCCCACTTAATTGTTAACTTGTTGCCTACACGCGGCATCTGTTGACACTGGTAATGTAATTGCAGTGATAATCAGCTCACTGACTTAGTATCTAAGGAATAATCAGTCAGGACATCACATTTGTCTTGCTTTACTCGACAGCCCGTCTTCTACCCTGTAGACAATATCAGTACAGACCATTGTTTCAGAGAAATGAAGCAGCATAAACCTTGCCACCCTTTCCCTCCCTCCTCCCAGCCCCATCGTCCCTTTTCCTTCCAATGAGTAGGAAATAAATAAATAAATAAATAAAACCAATTTGCTCCATCTGACTGTTACTGGACAAAGGTAATTTTCAATAGGGCTGTAGACAATGCGTCTGCAGAACCTGCATGCTCTCCAACTCAAGTAGGGCCTTCCATCTGCACCCACTGACAGGTCCAACTCCCCCTATGATGAAAGCAAGGGCAGAAGCAGCAGAGGCTCAACGTAAATTTTAGTTTTAAGAGGGACGGGGCTGAAACTGACAGTAGAGGAACTTTGTTGCTCTGGGTCAGCTGCCAGATGCCTTCTATTTTCCCTGAAGAACTCAGCTGCAGAAATATATAATGAAAGCTCTCTTTGCAGGGGTGAAGGGTCATGTTTATGGCAGGCAGCCCCATTCATAGTTGAGCATCTTTCCTATGATAAACAAGAGTTGGACAAGAGAAAGCAAAGTTCAGTCAAATCATGTAGAAAACATTATTTGGCATTTCTTATTTTTCTCTTCCCTCTCTGCAACTTCATCTGTGCTGATTTCTCATTCGTTGATGTGGAAGTTCAATCCCCCCAACACCCAGGTGCCTCATGACCCATGGGGGGGTGACAGCTCCTGGACAAGCCCCAGGGGACATTGACACAGGGACCTGCCAACATCACCAGCCCACACACTTTAGTGCCTGGCATTCTCTCCTGGGCGTTTTGACCTGGTGGCTTCAAGAGTATGGAATCTGTTTTTATAAAGTGTAAAATCTACTTTTTATAACAGTCATTAGTATGGAAATCAAGTTTATTTAATCAAACTCTGATTCAAACCAAGAGTTTGTCACTGTTTTCTTTTTTGTAATTCGTTCTTTGTCCCTGTCACAGAAACACACACAAACATACACACCCACAGAGAGAGAGAGAGAGAGAGAAATGAAGGTATAATATAAGCCCCTTATCCTTCAGATTATTAATTGTCCAAGTTGGCCATGTACTCACAACAAAAGAGAAACTGAAAGACACATTGCTATTTGTCTGTTTCCAACCCAGTTGCAGAGTGATGGAGGTGCTGCTTCACAGCTAATCAGAATTCTGAATCCTGCCAGCCTGACAGCTGGTCCCTTTCTGCTAATTTACAAACATGGGGAACTTTTTTTGGTGCTATTTTCTATTTGTTCCTATGAACAAGGAAACATTTTGGCAGCATTCAAATGTAAGCAGGAAACCACAGATACAGATGTAACTGTGGCTGTAGATATGGATGTAGCTGTAGCATGGTGTGTGTGTGTGTGTGTGTGTGTGTGCGCGTGCACGCGCATTGACGGAAGGATATTATTTAAAATGGCAATAGATGGCTTAAATCCCTATCACTGGTATGGCATGAACAGTGCCATAAACACTGTTACATGTCTGAAATGTTGTCATCACTTTCTTAAAGTAAAACTCTGAAGGTCCCCTTCACAAAGCAGAATGAAGCAGACCACCTGGGGCCTGGGAGTTGTGCCGGGGGTGGGGAAAGAGTGGAATGAGTGAGGCTCAGGCCCACACAGATCCCCGGAGACTGAGACCAAGAGGAGCTCCTCTGACGCGGAAGCGCATCCCACCGTCCAGTCCAGGGATGTGTCCCGCCCTTCACAGTGGGAGGCAGTCCACCTCTTAAAGGGGCCAGTCAAGCCAGGTTACCCTAAGTATTTTTGAACGTACAACCAAAGACACATGAAGCCTGGTTTCTCTACCAATAGGATGACTCTGCTCCTCTTAAAGGGAAAACAAACAGTGACAACAGATGAAGCTATATTATTATGTTATGTTATGTTATATTCTCAACACATCTCCTCTTCCATGTTGTTATCACCACAGAATACATTTGAAACATAAATTAAAGCTTGAGTGATTTTCAGAAGGCTTTGAGATTCCTAATGAACTTTGAGATTGACTTTGGGTGGGGGAGCGACTGAAATGAATGACTATTTTAAATTCCTGCAATATTTATCAACGTTTTGTAGATTAAGTGCATCTTCCCCATTCAGACTATTTTGCCCCGATGAAGTAGAAGCACTCAATGTGATATTTAATAACTTAAAGCAGAGTATCCATGAGATGTGTTACGTCCTCTCCTTTCAACGCTTTAAACATAGGAAAATTTGCATAAGACTTTCTGCAACCAGCATTTTTCTTTCAAAATGTGGCAACCAAATGCTGATCTTAAAAAAATACAAAAGAGCAGATAATTTTTACTGATTTATCAGAGGTTTGCACAGTTTTCAGAGGAGGATGGCCTTAGCAATGCTGGGGGAAAATGACACCTACCTCACAGAGCCAGGGAATGCCACCCGCTGTGAGTCTTCAGAGAGACCAGTGAACCCGTTGCCAAACAGGCGGCTTATTTCAAGACCTTCAGCACCTAAAAAATTCCTTAAAAAAAAAAAAAAAAAGACTGGGCCGGGCGCGGTGGCTCACGCCTGTAATCCCAGCACTTTGGGAGGCGGAGACGGGCAGATCACGAGGTCAGGAGATCGAGACCATCCTGGCTAACACGGTGAAACCCCGTCTCTACTAAAAATACAAAAAATTAGCCGGGCGTGGTGGCGGGCGCCTGTAGTCCCAGCTACTCGGGAGGCTGAGGCAGGAGAATGGCGTGAACCCGGGAGGTGGAGCTTGCAGTGAGCCGAGATCGCGCTACTGCACTCCAGCCCCGGCGACAGAGCAAGACTCAGTCTCAAAAAAAAAAAAAAAAAAAGACTGTATACTAGGCTTCACAAATACAGATACAAAATAAATATTAAGCAAATACTAGGAACAATGGCAAAAAATAAGCTCCCAATTCTTTGCTTAATTGCCTGCCTTTGTGTAACGTATCCTTTAGCCAAAGTGCCAAATGCATGTGAAATTATTCCGAAGGCAGTATTATGGACAAGGGATATTGGTAAGGTGTCTATTAAGAAAGTTGTTTTTCGGGAGGCTGAGGCAGGAGAATGGCGTGAACCCGGGAGGTGGAGCTTGCAGTGAGCCGAGATCACGCCACTGCACTCCAGCCTGGGCGACAGAGCGAGACTCCGTTTCAAAAAACGAAAAACAAAACAAAACAAAAAAGAAACTTGCTTTTATATACACACCACACATAAATATTTTAAGAGTAATAAGATTAAAAGTCTTTTAGCTAAAAAAGCAATTACAATACGTTTAAAAAGTGGACAGGCAGTTACAATGTAATTAGAACCATTAGTAGCATTGGATCACTACTGCTGTTATTATAGCAAAAGGAATTTTCTAAAGTCCTTAGGTTTCTAAATAAATGTTTTGATTGTAAGTTGGCAATTAATCTGGCCACTTGTTCTCATTTTCATTTTTATATTTTTGGCTTTTGTTTCTAGTCCAGTGGGTACCACTGTGGCTCCTGGAAGGGTAGGGGCAGGAGGAGAATGCATTCCTTTTTCCATGTTGTCATTAAATGATTAGACGTGTCACATGGGATCAAGGCAGCACAGGGTACAAAGAAGAGACCTTTCTGCATTTCAGAATGCTGGAGGAGCAGGTTTAAACTGCAGTGAAGAACTGGCCCTTTGAGGTCTCTGGAAGGCTGGGGAGTGACTGCAGTGAGGGCTTAAACAGGCAGGAGGATTCTAGGGCAATGGCTCTGGGTTCCACCCACCACTGTAGCAGAAAGCAAAAGTCCTGCTCGCCCTTCCCCCTCCTTTCTCTTTTTTTTTTTTAATTCTTTTTCTCCTTTCCCTTCTTTCTGTCGTTTTCCTCCTCCTCTTTCTGTTTTTTCTCCCTCTTCTTTTATAATCAATTTTGTTATTGGACATCTGCATATTATATATGTATATGTGTATGTGTATATATATATCTGCAAAAGTTTTGTGCAAAAACTGAAGCACTTACACACACATAAGCACCTCTGAAACCACAACTCCAGAGCAACTTTAGAGAAAACTAGGACCCTTCAAGGCTGAAGATTAATCTGATTCTCTTTAGACATGGAGAACCTGTGACAATAGCCTCAATGAGCAGTTGAGTTACATAAGATTCTAAGGTTCTGACACGGGGTTACTGATTTCTTTCAAGCCATAAAAGAAGTCATGGTCTTCATTCACTCACATCTGAGTCTCACTCTCATCTGTAAAATACGGAAGAAGTAGGAATATCACTTACTCCCAAGGATCACCATGTGTCACTCACTCTTCAGCAGCATTTGCTGACAGCTTCCTATTGATTACGTCCTGTGTCGCAGGCACTCTGATGGGCATGATGTGGTTTAGTGCCATGCATTAAAGTAAATTGCATGGAGCCAGGACGGGTGCAAACAAGCAGTGGCTTGTTAATGTTCTTTGAAGATTCAGTTCTTGCCTATCTTCATTTCTACTCACCTGTGAGAAACAAAACAACTTGGATAAAACATGGAAACGATACCACCTTCTTTTTAGCAGAATTTAACTTATCCGTCTTAGTTTTCAATGTCTCCTGGCTATGTTGTGATAGTCAACTGGATAACTGGTGTATCAGCCTCTATTATAGAGTTTAGACTGACATCGAATCTGAATGCAAACTGTTCTGAATAAAGTCAAATCACCTGTTAGATTTTGAGTGGAATTGTTGAACATCTAGTCAACCCCACGTGTAAAGATTAAAGACTTTTAAGGGTAAGACCATACTAGAAATCATTACTCAATGTATGAACAAAGACTTTTTCAGGGCATTTAGACTGTAATGAGTTTGGTTATTTAATCACATTTATAAGTATAAATTTTAAAAAAACACACACACAAAGAAAACTGCACCCTTGTTAGTCTAGATTTGTGACCAGTTTTGGGTGGGGCTATGGGCTACTGAGGCTTTGACGACTTGGACGAAGAGGAAAAAACGAGGACGCTGAAATCCATGAGAGAGTCATTCTTTTACCATCTTCACAAATAACACCAAAATCCAAGAAGATTGAATTAATTAAGTTCTTTTATTTGAATCAGCCAGCAATACGCAGTCTATTGCCATAGAGGAGAACTTAATTTCAGGGTCTGTAGTTCAGGATAATGGGAGCAACCAGAATACACCCACTGACAATATGCTCGAACAAAAGCAGAAGTTAGAGTTGAGGACCTCATGGCTCACTGTACAAAATGCTGAGATCTTTGCTGCTGCAACTCTACAGACACACACTTGCCTCCGCAGGCTTGGCTAGAATGAAAGACCAATTAAACGTGCTCACAGAAGAAGTGGCTGTGGTTCAGAGCGCTCTACACTCATACCAAGTAGGGCAGATGACGCTGCAATCCAGGTCCTTCTCCTCACCCGCTGTGTGGTTCTGTGCAAGGATCCACCCTCCCTGAGCCTCAGTGGAGTCCCGGGAAAAATAGACATTGGTCACTGCCTAGGTCCAGGGTGTGTTGTACATGAAATTAAATCACTTACATCCCCACCACAGTGCCTAGCTGCCTGTTTATTTCCCTTCTTTTCCCTGTGTTCTGCAAGGCTCGGCCAGTCTGTTTTTCTACAGTTCTACCTTGACTATTCTCTTAAAGCAGCTTAATAATATTTTCTATCATTCAATGCCGGGAATTTTACTCAAAAGGAACCTTGAGGATTACTTTGGGTGGTTAGAGAGACTAATAAACTGCTTGGCAGGTGGTTGAATGCTGTGGTGAGCTAATGTCTCAAAAGTTTTTCAATGGGATGAAAATAATTCCCAGGAATATTCATAATGTTTAAAATAGGCATGGGCAATAATTGGGCCTATAGAAATTGTATCTGGCTCTCTGATTATACAATTTGATTACAAATTCTGACATCTCAATAATAAACAAGACTTGATGTTATTAAAAGTATATATTTTTTCTTAAATATCTACAATTTCCTTCTCTTTTCACTTCTTGGCAATAAAATTTAGGTAATGAGAATGCTCTTGTAAAAAGGGCTGGCTGGGACTATTGGATAGTAAAAATTTTTTCAGACTCATTACAAAAATGAAAGGCATTTTGCTTTAACGTTTATTGAGGTCTTTATTTTTTTAAATTTTTTGGGGAAGTACAACAGACTCTTTAGGCAAACAAACAAAACAAAAGATCAATTTTCTATTAAAATATGTCTAAAACAATTGCACCAACAGGGCTCTGAGACCAGAGGTTTCCTTGTGTCCCTGTGCTGAGTGGTGTTTGGTTAAAGAGCTTTCACGGACGGCATCAGTGAGGTCTGGAGAAGGCCTTGAGCATTACTTAGAGCAGCCTCTCATTTTCTACACGAAGAAAGGGAGCCCACAGAAGGGAGCGGCCGAACCCCAAACTTTCAGCGAAGGAGATGGCAGAGAGGATAAGCTGGCGAAGACAGGATTCACCATTCAGCGTGTTTCTGGTGGATGTGCACGGCCACCTGCAGATCAGGGAGTCCGTTGTTTAAACCCACACTCAATGGCTGTCTTCTGGGCCAGGTGCAGTGCCATGGGCGACACAAATGGAAGGGTGCGCTTGCTGCCCCTTCTGCAAAACTGCCCTGCCTCCGACCTGTTTGTCTTGGTCTACATAGTCACCCCATCTCTGCGGCAGCTGGCAGCTGGGGTCTCCCTGTCTGGTCCCATCGCCTCCCCTGGTCCTCCGCAGGCTTGAGTCTGGAAGCGCTGCTCACATCCCTCCCCTCCCCGTGCTGCCCCCAGCCCGCACCTGGGCTCCTCTGCTTCTTGCTCTGGGCTCCCTCCTCAGAAAGGCCCTGCACATGGTGGTGTCTGGATTAATTCGTGAAGTTGTCAAGTATTTAAGGAAATGCTGGTTCCTAGATGATGTTACAATAGAAGTCTTTTTCACATAAGGAAATATTGTCTTCACGGTATAAAAATGACTCCATTTAGAGTATAATTGGTTTTAGAGTATGAGTAGTGGATTATCAACACATCCAGGAGCACATGCAGAATTCACAGAAATAGACACTGGAGCTGCCAAGGAAACGTGTGTGTGTGTGTGTGTTTGTGTGTGTGTGTTTAACTGGCTTTCTTCATGTTTCCAGACATTTTATTCTTGGGTCCAGCCAGTGATGGATACCAAATGCCAGCTAATCCAGGTTTTTTTTCTTAAGAAAGCACACTATTTGCTCAACTTTATTATGCAAATACTTTTCTTCCGAATTATAATGGGAAGATGGTCTTTCCTTGTAATTCCAGCTCTCAGAATGTAATAAGCATGTACAGCTCTGTATTCAGAAATGAGATTAAGCAAGAGTATGATCTGCTAGCAAGAAGTGTGTGTGAAATTCCTTCTTCTTCCATCTTCTGTTCATACCCCTGTGGCCAGCGCTGCCTGCAGGGTGCACTGGGAGCCATGTTTCCCACCTGCGGGTGGGGGATGGCCCTTTGTTCCTGTGTCTCACAGTCAGACTGGCTGGACTCAGCTATGTTCTCACTGACCCACTGAAAACAAGTATATATATATACATTTATATGTCAATATATATATAAATTTATATATAAATATATATAAATATATATAAATGTATATATAAATATATATAAATATATAAAAATATATAAATACATATAAATATATATAAATACATATGAATACATATAAATACATATAAATATATATAAATATATATAAATATATATGAATACATATAAATACATATAAATATATATAAATACATATAAATACATATAAATATATATAAATATATATAAATACATATCAATATAGAAATACATATAAATACATATAAATATATATAAATACATATAAATATATATAAATACATATAAATATATATAAACATATAAAAATATATAAATATATAAATATATATAAATATATAAATATATATGTACAAATATATAAATATATAAATATATATAAATATATAAATATATATATACAAATATATATAAATATATAAATATATATAAATATATAAATATATATATACAGATATATATAAATATATAAATGTATGTAAATATATAAATATATATATACAAATATATATAAATATATTTATATATAAATATGTATAAATATATATAAATATATTTATATATAAATATGTATAAATATATATAAATATATTTATATATAAATATGTATAAATATATATAAATATATATATAAGTATATATAAATATATTTATAAGTATATATAAATATATATAAATATATATATAAATATATATAAATATATATATAAATATATATAAATATATATATAAATATATATATAAATATATATAAATATATATATAAATATATATATAAATATATATAAATATATATAAATATATATATAAATATATATAAATATATATATAAATATATATAAATATATATAAATATATAAATATATATATAAATATATATAAATATATATATAAATATATATAAATATATATAAATATATAAATATATATATAAATATATATAAATATATATAAATATATATATAAGTATATATAAATATATAAAAATATATATAAATATATATAAATATATATAAATATATATATAAAGATATATATAAATATATATAAATATATATATAAATAAATATAAATATATATAAATATATAAATATGTATATATAAAGTATATATATAAATATATATATACACTATATACATATAAAGTATATACATATACAGTATATACATATAAAGTATATACATATAAAGTATATATATATACAGTATATACATATAAAGTATATATATACAGTATATACATATAAAGTATATATATACAGTATATACATATAAAGTATATATATATACAGTATATACATATAAAGTATATATATATAAAGTATATATATATATACACACTAAGGGCTTGGATTTATTTTAATACTATTTTTAATGGTAAGGACTTAATCACCATCTTTGGCCTGGCATTACATTTGATAGCAATGAATCTCTTTCTACCTTAGAGGCTGTTTTTTTTGTTTGTTTTGTCTTGGTTTTTGTTTTTGCTGCCTTGGAAACCCCTGCAGAGGCCGGCTCCACAGTGTAGCAGAGTCCTGAGTGGGAGTGAACACAGAAGCCTGTGGGTGACTTGGGGACTTGCTTCTCATTTCCAGTGTAGATGCACATCACCTTAGTATCATGCAGACTTCCTGGATTGCAAATGTGGAGCTCTGGTTGATGGGAACCGAGTTTATGTTACATGTTCATGGTTTTCAAAGCTCATTCAATGAGGAAACATTTTCTTGGAGACAGAAGTACAGCAAAACTTTGACCTTGATTGGAAAATCACTTTAAAAACTGGAAACCTTCTTGTCAGGATAATACCTTTTAAAATTGTTTCTTCCCAGGTTTCCATCCACCCCTAACAAAAACTCACAATACATCCTGCTGCTGACTCACAGGCAGCAAGTAGGCAAATCCCTGGGATGAGAAGAGACCAAAAAGTTAAAAAATAAGGTTAAACAAAAGTAAGTATCTTCAAATAGAGGCCCCGGATTTGGGGAAGAGCAAGCTCCTCCATCCAGCTCCCTGACTGTCCATGAGGGTTCCCCGGTGGGGGTCAGGGGATGAGGGGCAGTTCTGTCTGTCGCCCACATGTTCTGTGCACTGGGTCCTGATGGACAGCCCCACCTCCACCACCCTGGCCTCTCACCTGGTTCTTAGCCCAGTGAACAGTGCCAGCATTCCCCAGGCAGAGCAGCAGGAGTGCCTGAGGGGAGCAGTAGGGAGCATTTGCACAGAAAATTGACCAGCCTTGCTACTTCCACTTTCTCATCCCCGCTGACTGACCTGGGCCAACCAAGCTGTGCTCCCATCAACCTGCCTGCAAGTTTCTGTTGCCTTCCTTTTGCCAGCAGGATGAAGTCCATTCTCATTTTTCAGTCCAACATCAAACAGATGTTTCACCTTCTTATCCGTCTCCCTGTCTCAGTACCTAGAAACCTCACACCCTTTTGCAAATCCAGGGCCTGGAGTATCCCAGTTCTCCTCAGACAGTGTCACTGTGCTTCGATGAGGTCCTAGGGCATGCAGACACATGGCCTGGGTCTTTGGCATGCAACCCTTGAAGCAGCAGCTCCCTTGTGGCTTCACGGACGGGTGGGCTGGTGCCCCTCTGCTCCCTGCAGATGGGCTGCCTTGGTCTCTTCTGCTCCTGGACAGACACTCTCTTCACAGTTAGAGCATATGAGTTTGAACATCACTCTGTCCCTAATTCACAGCGTATTTTCTAAATGTTCCTTTCAAGCTTGTATTTGTGGCCTTTAGGATTTGACTTGTTTGTTTGTTTGTTTTCACTCAATTGCTTTTCTCAACCAATTTAATCACATTGAAGGTCCCTGTGCACCTAATCCCAGATTCTGTGTTTGTCTTCCAGGCTGAGACCTGCTTTTCCAAATGCCTGCTAGGCATCTTGACTGTGGGTCCTTGTATGGCCTTTCTAAATTCATAGTCTCCTTTCCTTCATGTCTTTCCTTTCTATATTCTTTATTTCTGATATAACATATTAACCTTCCAGATACACGTGCTCAAAACCTTGTGGGCATCCTTGACTCCCCTTCCTCCTCCTCTCCCAAAGTCCCCCACATTGATCCAGCCCTGCATTGTTTCCGGCCTATCTCACGGCAACCCTGGGGCCTCCCTCCCTGGCCATGGAAATCGCTTCCTAGTAACATTCCTGACTGAGGTCTCTCCTTGTTCTCCTCCATCCTGCACACATTTGGGCAATTAACTTTCCCAACTTTCTTAAAATACATACATGACTGTGTCATATCAGATAGAACCAACATTGGCTGCCTGTTTCTTTCCTAAGAAATTGAGATATGTTGCTTCACTCAGCATCAAAAACCCAGGGACCACCATCTTTCCCACTGTACCTCCATTGCTCCAAATCATGGTTGGTGCCCAGGAGGCTGAGCTGCTCTGGGCTCTTCATCTTCCTCAACTTGCTGCTTCCAGAGTTCTACTCCCACAGTCACTTCTACTTAACGGGGATGCAGTGTCAGCACTTGCATGGCTCACACTTTATGTGCAGGGACAGGGAAGATGGAGGAGACACCTGGAATGTGGGCAGTCACTGTTCTGGTTTATCCAACCACTACTTGTCAGCGAGGTGCCAAACACTCTGCCCGTATGACCCCAAGTAATCCTTGCAACAGTCTTGCAAAGTAGGCATTCTTATTGTTAGTTTCCCAGTGAGAAAACCATGTTTTAGATAGACTGAATACCAAACACAAGGTCACAGAGCCATGAAAGTTACGCAGATGAAGCCATGTGAAATGATTTGACTGTGTCCTCACCCAAATCTCATCTTGAATTCCCACGTGTTGTGGGTGGGACCCAGTGGGAGGTAATTGAATCATGGGGGCAAGTCTTTCCCATGCTGTTCTCGTGATAGTGAATAAGTCTCACAAGATATGATGATTGTGAAAAGAGGAGTTCCCCTGAACAGGCTTTCTCATTTTAACCTGATGCCATCCATGTAAGACCTTACTTGCTCCTCATTGCCTTCCTCCATGATTGTGAGGCTTCCCCAGCCATGTGGAACTGTAAGTCCAATTAAATTTCTTTCTTTTATAAATTGCCCAGTCTCAAGTATGTCTTTATCAGCAGCATGAAAATGGACAAATACACCATGGAAATCACTTAATAGGGAAGAATTTCTATCAAATCTGTGTAGAATGGAAGGATCCATGCAATTTGCAATGTATATTGAGATGATATTATTTGATTCTGGAAAAAGAAACTTTATTATATATTCTTAGAGTAGAATTGATTACCTAACTGAAAGTGAAAGAAGACATTGAAATAGGAGAGAGACTGAGTAAACTCTGAAGTGACGGGCAGACAACGTCTCGTATGCAACTCTCACATAGAGAAGATGAGTGCGTAACCTGGCTCTTCCACTTCTTTAGTCTCAGACCACTCCTTCTGAGGGGCCCACAGCAGGTGCATTTCCCTGGTCATCTAAGGTCAGCCTTTGTGTCCCAGTTTCTCATAAAAATCAGAGCTTACACTAACTCTTCATGCTCCTGACTAATCTTCAGCTTCCACAACGCTGACCACTCAGCATGTGGCAAGCATCTTTCCTGCCTAATCTCCATGCACACTGAACCTGCATGTCCCTCTGCTTCACTGATGATTTCTTCTGGGTCTTAGTCCCCCTAACATCTCCCTCATTTCTTGTCCTCCTTGCCACCCCACACCTCATCCTCCCCCAGGACTCTGTACCTGTTGGAGACAGCAAGTTGCTACATCTGCTAGTACTGTTTCTAGAAGGCCCAGATGCACGTTTTCAAGTTCCTACTGGGTATTTTCAAGCAATGACACCAGAAATGCCAGACAACCTATCTACGCAGGAGCCTGCTCTGTCCCCTGTATTTAGGATCTGAGTATAAAAACAAACAAACAACACATCCTCTTTGTCTCCCAACATCCACATTTCAGAGCCAAATCTCCAGCCAGATTGCATTTCTTATAACTGCTTATACAGCTTTCATTTTCCAAGACTCCGTGCTTAGAAGGTATGGACATCTCTGGCTGCTCTCCCCACCTCCAGCTCCTGCTCTGCCATGAAGAAACTGCCTGCCCTCAGCAAGCCTTTGCTCATTCAGCTCCCAGAGCCTCCTGCTCATTTCCTCCTGAGATGTATGTAGTTCACTTGAATTTTATGTTCACATGTGTGTCTCCAACACTACACTATGGATGTCTTGAAAAAAGTTGCTTTGTTTTATGTGTCTGTATATTTTGATTTACTCTATAATTCACTGTCTAGAATTTAAAAGATGCTCAATCCTGGTTGGATCACTTTTATTAATTGCATTAGTTGCAATGAATGCAGTATCAAATGAAATCAAGGCAAATGCACTTTTTTTATAAAGATAAATTTTCACCAGGCTTTTTAAAAATTTCTCGATTGTGTTTCAGAATCAGAACGTATATGTACAAATTTGTCAAAAAGGTATATTGCATAATGCTGAGGTTTGGGGTATGATTGAACCTGTCACCCAGGTAGTGATCACAGAACCAATAGGTAGTTTTCAGCCCTCCTCTCATCCTTGTTTGCCTGTCCTGGTAGTCCCCCATGTCTGTTGTTTCTATCTTTATGTTCATGTGTACCCAGTGTTTAGTTCCTACTTGTGAGAACATGACATATTCAGTTTTCTGTTTCTGCGTTATTTTGCTTAGGATAATGGCTTCCAGCTGCATCCATATTGCTGCAAATGGCATGATTTCATTCTTTTTCATGGCTGCATTGTATTCCATGGTGTACATGTACCACAATTTGTTTATCCAATTCACCATTGATGGGCACCTAGGTTGATTCCATGTCTTTGCTGTTGTAAACAGTGCTACAATGAACATATCGGTGCATGTGTCTTTTTGGTAGAACAATTTATTTTCCTTTGGTATATATTTAGTAATGGATTGCTAAGTCAAAGATCTTAGATCTTTGAGAAATCTCCAACTGTTCTCCATATTGGCTGGACTAATTTATATTTCTATCAACAGTGTGTAAGCACTCCTTTTTCTCTGTAACCTCACCAACATCCGTAATGTTTTGACTTTTTAACAAAAGCCATTCTGACTTGTGTGAGATGGTATCCATTGTGGTTCTAATTTCCATTTTTCTGACAATTAATGATGACAATAATTTTTTTTCATATTTTTGTGAGCCATTTGTATGCCTTCTTCTGAGAAGTGTCTGTTCGGTATCTTGGCCCACCTTTTAATGGGGTGGTTTGGTTTTTTTGCTTGTTGATTTAAGTTTCTGATAGATTCCGGATATTGGAACTTTGCTGGATGCATAGTTTGCAAATATTTTCTCACATTCTGTAGGTTGTCTGTTCATTCCCTTGATAGTTTCTTTTGCTGTGCAGATGTCCTTTAGTTTAATTCATTCCCACTTGTCAATTTTAGTTTTTCTTGTAATTGCTTTTGATGATTTACCTATAAATTATTCACCAAGGCTAATATCAAAAGGCTATTTTCTAAATTTTCTTTGAAGATTTTTATACTTTGAAGTTTTCTATTTAAGTCTTTAACCCATATTGAGTTAATTTTTGCTGCATATGACTAGCCAGTTATTCCAGAACCATTTATTCAATAGCAATCAAAAAGAAAACCCCTGGACCAGATGGATTCACAGCCAAGCTCTATCAGACATACAAAAAAGAACTGGTACAAGTTCTACTTAAACTATTCCAAAAATTTGAGGAGGAGGGATTCCTCTCTAACTCATTCTATGAAGCCATTATCATCCTGATAGAAAAATGTGGCGGAGAGACAACAAAAATGAAAACTTTAGGCCAAAATCATTGATGAACATAGATGCAAAAATCCTCAAAAAAATACTAGCAAACCAAATCCAGCAGCATAGAAAAAAATAATTCACCATGATTAAGTCAGCTTATCCCTGGAATGCAAGGTTGGTTCAACATATACAAGTAAATAATTGTGATTCACAACATAAACAGAATTAAAAATACAAATTACCTGATCATCTCAATAGATGCAGAAAAAGCTTTTGATAAAATCCAACATTCCTTCATGATAAAACTCTCAACAAACTAGGCATCAAAATAACATACCTCAAAATAATAAGAGTCATCTATGACAAATCTACAGCCAACATCACACTGAATGAAAAATAAAAAAGGTGAAAGCATTCCCCTTGGGAACTGGAACAAGACAAAGCTGTACACTCTCACCACTCGTATTCAACATAGTTTTGGAAGTCTTAGCTAGAACAGTCAGGTAAGAGAAAGAAATAAAAGGTATTCAAACAAGAAAAGAAGAATCAAGCTATCACTCTTTATTGATGATATGATTCTACACCTAGAAAACCTTAAAGATTCCACCAAAAGACTCCAGCCTTCTTAACAGACAATTTGATGAGTAGGGTGCTCATCAGAATACCATGTATACATGAGGAAGTAGAAGAAATTCAAGAAACTTAATAGGAAGATGTTAGAAACATTAGTAATAATTTCATAGATGGATATAAATAAAATAAATTTAAAAATTATGAATATCCTTAACTTCAAATTATTGGAAGAAATTATAACATTTCTCCCCAAAGAACCAAACCATATTGAAGATGGAACATTTTGCATTAATTTGTGTTTTTAAAATTATAATAGAGAAAAAGTAAAATAAAGCATTTATGTGTAAAGTACCTTTGCAAAATGATAGTTTAATAATTTTGTATCTGTGGATAAGGTACTCAATGCTTGTCTACTTCTCAAGCTAGTCTGTTATAAGACAGATGACCTTCAAATTTCAAAAGGGTCAGTACAATGGGATAGCTCCAGCTCTTTATTTTATTTCAAAATGGAGAAATACACAAGTGGTATTACAATTTTTGGTAATCACAAGAGAAGCTGAATTAAGCCTAACACGGGGTTAATTAATTTAAAAGTGTTGAATTGCATCAATGAATTATGCAATGTTGAGATAAAGTATTTATAGAACTTGGTTTCATCAGTTTCACTAGGAAGTTCAGGGACGAATGACACAGAATAGTGAATCTACTGGTACAAGAATATGTGCATGGTTCAGAGAACCTATTTATCATAGAAGAGACTCATTCAACATATACAAGTTACACAGTTTTATATATTTTATTGCCACTGTTAAATTGCTACAAAATTTAAAAATACATTTGGAATAAAGGATAAGGAAATCACCTTGGTAAACAAAAAATAAACAGTGAACATATAATTTATACAAGGGTGTGGCTGCAGTCTCCTCTTTATACTGAGGAATTTTTGAGAGGGTAAAAGGAGAACCTCAGAGTCTTCCTCCTGCCAGGTAAGTGATGACCAACCCCGTGACTAAAGCAGAGGGCCCAGTGCTCGAAGGGATCACTACCTCTGCAATCACTTCTTCAGGAAGTATTTACTGAATAGTGATTAAGCATCCAACATTAAATTAGGTACCACGGGCAGACAAATAAAAAAATTCATCTCTATCCTAAGGCTCCTGGTGAGGAATGAATGAAGGAATCATAAAGAAATAACATCTTCAGAATTATCATGTGGAAAGCTTAAAATTGGGAATCAGACAAATTTGGAATCTCATCCAACTGGCATTGAACTGCAGTTCCTAAAACCTGCTTAGTGTTTTTCCCATGGCAGACATGAGGGGCCTCCACCTCAGTGGTTCAAAGTGGCTCGGGGCTGTCAAGTAGCCACGGTGCCATCTGGGTCAGAGACAACACCACCTGTGCGAGGTCCCAGGAAGGATGTGGTGGAGTTATAGGGAGGCTCAGGCAGCCCAAGTGCAGCTCCCGGGGCTCAATCTTAGCCAATATTTATGACCCTGGGGAAGGTACAGTTGATCGCTGAGACTCAGTGTTTAGATCAGTAAAATGGGAAGAGAATCTCACATCTGACATGTGTGGAAACAGAGACCAGGGCTCCAGCCCAGCATGTTTTACCTGCACTCAGAAATGTGAGATTCTTCCTATGCCCCATACTACTGAACAAATTTTATAATGTGAGAAAGTAAAAAAAGTACTGAAGACCCAATAGTATGTCATACAATAAAATATGATATACGGGTTAATGGTACAACTGTACAGTCTGATTGCCAGAAGAAATAAGGCCCAGTATTTGATCGATCAGTAGGTGACGAGTTTGCAATAATCTATTGTGAATTTCAAAATAGCTAGAGGAAAATAATTTGAATGTTTCTATCATAAAGACAGACAATTTTTAATGTATTTGTAATGGATATGAAATAGATATCTCAATTACACTTACTTGATCTTTGCAAATTGTGTGAATGTATTGTTATCACATGTACCTTGAAAATACATGCATCTATTGTATATCAATAAAAACAAAATTAAAAGCATATATAATATGCAATATGCAACACATAATACAAACAGTTTGTTATAAATGGTTGAAGACTGGCTTATTTCATTCAACATAACGTCCTCAAGTTCATCATGCTGTAGCATGTGCCAGAGTTCCTTCTGTTTTAAGGCTGGAAATACTAAACTGTGTGTATCTACCACATTTTGTTTATCCCTTTATCCATGGATGGTCACTGGGCCGCTTCACCATTTGACTTGTGAATAACGCCACTGTGGACATGTATGTCCAAATAGCTGAGTCCTCATGAATTCGTTTTAATTTCACTTCATTTTAGTTACTTTAAATGTAAGCAGTCACATGTGGCTAGTGACTGCTGTATTTGACAGTGCTCTCAAAGGTTTGGCTGGACATGGCTCTTTGAGCTCCTACTTTGGCAACTCCCATCTCAAAGAAGACAGTGAAGAAGGGAAGGGTAAGGATAGCCTAGCATCTTTATGCTGGTCTCTTCTCCCATTAATTTGGTAGATTACATTTTGAGCTGTACTGAAACACTGAGAAAAAATAAAAATTGTCATTGTGGGAGTATACAGTGTTGCCACTAGTGTAGGGAAATGCACTTTTGTTTTTAACTGTCATTCTAGCCAAATCCTCAGAAACCTTGGCTCTTGTGCCTGTCCTGTTTCTATTGAATGAAATGCCTGCAACTGCTCTACCATTAGGATCAATATCCCGGCCATTATATTGGCAAAAGAGGCAGCAAATCACATTTACGTGGATTGTCAGACTCATTATTATAAGCAGATGGCAGCTCATGCACTACAATGCAGGCCGGAAAAGACTGACATTATTTCAAATTAAAATCTATAATGCTAATACACATCTCGGAGGCTTTGTGCAGGCTCGAGTGCATTAATCTTCTGAATGATTTGCTGATGTGCATGCTGCTCTAGCTGTTTTCACATGAGTGGATCTAAAAGGAGGGCTTTTAACTGAGAATGGTTAACATTTATTCATACAGATTGATAAAAGCTAACATGCAATTTTCTTTACTAGTAGCTCCCTAATAGGAATTAATGGGACATTTTAAAGAGAAATTCCAAGTTCAGAAGAACCAGAAAGAGGTACTGCAAAAGAAGAGAAGCAATGTCATGGTCCTCTGCTTAGTACAACTTCATCAGATCTTTATATTTATTTAAAGCAGTGAGGCTGGTCTTTCTTCAGTCAGATGTGAATGGAAAGTGCTGGAAAGTGCTACTCTTAGAAGCAGAGCCATGGTTTAAGAAGGTTTTTCATCAATGATTCTGGAATGTATGCTTTCAAATTGAAAAACGAAAGGTGAATAAAAGTATTTATAAAAAGATTGTTTACAGTCTTGTAACTTTTCTATGAAAAGCAATGTTTCATGCTTTCAAAGATCCCATTTATTGAACAATATAAATTAGTTGTTTCCTTTTTTCTTAGAATGTGCTATGTAAATTTCAGTCATAAGGTATCTGAACAGAGGAAAGTTTAATGATTTTTTTTTGTATTATTGTTTGGATTTTCCAGTTGTTTCTTCAATGTGTTTTAGGATTTATAATACATTTAAAGTATATGTAGAAAGATCATAGTAAACAGAATGGTCAGGTAGAAAAACTTTTATATAGATATATAGATATATATATTTATATATAGATATAGCTATATAGAGAGAGATATACATGTATAAGGAGATGGCTTAGTTGGCATAAAACACCTTCAATTTTAATTCATTTATAAGTAAAAATATTTTTTTCCATTAGACTAAAAACTATATTTTAGACACAATAAGAACTTTTTTTGTAGTACAGAAAAGGGTCCTGAAAAATGAAAATAGAAATCAGTGTAAGATATACTTCCTCAACTGGGATAGTAAGGAGATGGTGGAGTTATGGGCTTGAAGTGGCACTTGCTTTAAAAAGATTCCATTTTTGATTTTTTTTCTTACCAGACCGGTCAGAACCAAAGCTTCAATCCACTGGGAGAGTTTGTTCAGTGATGCTCATAAGATAAACTAGCTTGTCTACATTCCCATTAACAGGGTTAATTATACTTATACAGTCATTCAACAAGACCAAGTGAGATAATGTCTTGTTTACCCAATAATCCAAATTTTGGCAAGTCAGTTACCTACAGCACAGATACAAAACATCAGAGAAGTAACATGGCCTTAGAGCTACAGGAGAACAGCTTTAACCAAGTTCCTTCATGTAGTTTTGCAAAAATAACAATTGTGAAATTTCACAAAATGAAGAACTTTAGGGATCATTTAACTAAACCCTCTAATTTTACAAATGAGAAAACTGAAGCCCTGAGATGCTACACATAGTACTGGGCAACATATACTGTAATGGTGTATTAGTCTGTTCTCATCTGCTAATAAAGACATATCTGAGACTGGGTAATTTATAAAAGAAAGAGGTTTAATTTACTCACACTTTTGCAGGGCTAGGGAAACATCAGGAAACTTACAATCATGGTGAAGGGGAAGCAAACACGTCCTTCTTCACATGGCAGCAGCAAGGAGAAGGCAGAGCAAAAGGAGGAAAACCCCTTATAAATCATCAGATCTCCTGAGCAGTCACTCATTGTCAAGAGAACAGCATGGTGGTAACCACTCCCTTGATTCAATTACCTCCCACCAGGTCGCACCCACTACCTGTGGGGATTTTGGGAACTACACTTTAAGATGAAATTTAGGTGGGGACACAGCCAAACCACATCAAATGGTTTGGATTCATGAAACAGCTATATTGGTCATCTCAAAACTTCTAAGGGCATCTCTATGCATCCCTGCAGGTATGGGAGCTTGGTGCTGAGATAAGAAAAGAACATGGCTATGAGATTTTGCAGAATGTGCTGAGCAGAATTCCAGCCCCAAGATTTCCTCTCCCTGGTGTTCATACTCTGTATATTCCCTTCTCTTCCAGTGTAGGCAGGACTGTGAATATGACGGGATGCCACTGCCATTGTCCTAGCTTCTTGGGGATGCCGTAACAAAGTACCTTAGACTGGCGTGGGGGAAGGGGGGTAGCTAAACAACAGAATTCTTTTCTCACAGTTTTGGAGGCCAGAAGTCTGAGGTTAAGGTGTCAGCAGGATTGATTCCTTCCAGGCTGAGGGGAAGAATCTGCCCCAGACCTCTCTCCCAGCTTCTGGTGGTTGTTGGCAAACTTTGGTGTTCTTTGGCTTATAGAAGCATGATCTTCAGCCCTGCCTTCCTCTTCCCATGGCATCCTCCCTGTGTGTGTGCCTCTGAGTTCACATTTCCCCTTTTATGAAAACACCAGCATATTTGTTTAGAGCCCACACAAATGACACCATCTTAACCTAGCCGCCCCTGTAAAGGCCCTTTTACCAAATAAGGTCTCAACAACAAGTACTGGAAATTGAGGTTGAACATATCATTTTTGGGAAACACAGCTCAAAGCATCACACCCATGATTAGGTTGCATTTTATGGCAAAGGCAAAAAGATTCTACAGACATAATTAAAGTCTCAGATCTGTTGAATTTTGGCTTTCCAAAAGGTAAATTATCCTGGCAGGCCAACCTTCATCAGGTGAGCCCTTAGAAAGAAGGTCAGGAGGTGAGAGACTCCAAGCAGTAGAAATGCTCTCCTGTTGGCCTTAGAACAGACTACCATGTTGTGCAGAGGTTGAGTGGCCAGGAAGGGTGCATGGCTTCTGCAAGCTGAGGGACTCAGTCCTACAGCTGCAAGGAAATGATTCTGCAATCACCAACACACTTGAAAGAAGACCCCACACCTCAGATGAGATAACAGCCCTGGCCAGCACCTGAGTTGCAGCCTTTCAGATCCTGGCAGAGGACCCAGCTAAGCTGTGTGCACACACCTGAACACACAAATGAGATAATACATGTGTGCAGTTGTGAGCCATCCATGTGTGGTAATTTGTTATGCAACCATAGATCACACATACTGAGAACATCTGCTCTGAACTACATTCTTGTGTCTCCCCTCTCCACTTTCATTGCTGAAGTTCTAACCCCCAATATGATAGTATTAATAAGTGGGGCCTTTGGGAGGTGACCAGATCATGAGGGTAGAGTCACTATGATGGGATTTGTGCCCTTGTAAAAAAGATGCCATAGGCCTTGCTTCTCTTTCTCTGTTCTTTGCCATGTGAAGATACAGCAAGAAAATGGCCATCTGCAAACCAGAAAGCAGACCCTCTCAAGACGCTGGGTCTACTGGGGTCTGGTTCTTCAATTCCCAGCCTCCAGAATGGTGAGACATAAATGTTGTTGTTTAAGCCACTCAGTGTATGATGTTTTTGTTATAGCAGTCCAAGTTGACTAATACAGAAATTGGTACCAGGAATTGGGGTGCTATTGTAAAAGAAATACTTAAAAATGTGGAAGCTGCTTTAGAACTGGGTAATGGATAGAGAGGCTGGAACAGTTGGAAAGTATATGCAAGAAAAGGCCCAGATTGCTGTGAAGGGGTTTTTAGATGTGGCTCTGCTAAGGACTCAGAGAGAGAAAAAAAAAAAGTTATAGAGAAAGCTTCTGTGTTTCTGGAGAATGCATAAGGAATCATCAACACAATGTTGAGAGAAATGTAGATGCCAAAGGCCATTCTGATGAGGTCTCAGACAGAAATGAGGAAACTGAAGGAAAGGCCACCCTTAATATACAGTGACACAGAGCTCAACTAAATTGTGTTCATCTTCTAATGTTTTGTGGGAGGTAGAACTTGAGTGCAATGAAATTCAATATTTAGCTGAGGTGATTTCTAAGCAAAGCGTAGAAGGAGTGGCTTGATTCTTTCTGAATGTGGGAAGACAGAAAAGAACTGAAGATAGAATTGTTAAGCAAAAAGGAACCAGAACTTAAAGATTTGAAAAATTCTCAGCCCGGTCATACTATAAAAAATGAGGAAGACAGCTAGCTCAGAAGAGGTCTTTAAGGGTGGGATGTAACAACCTTGACAAGGATTTCAGTATTGGTGTGAACCATGGATATAATAGTCATCTAATAGATGCCGGGAATAGAGATGGGATTATCCCAGCAGAAACATGGACAGCTGGGAGTGAGAAAACAGAAAACACTGTATGAAATGAAAGAAGGCCGAAAATGAGTGCTATCCCTCAAGATAAAGGAAGAAGGATCCCAGTGTTGAATTAGAGATCATCAGGGCCACTGCCTATGTTGTAACAGGGTAGACTCAGGCCCTTTTCTCCAACAGAAGATGTGGGATTGGGGTCACCCAAGTCCTGGGGTCAGGGCAAAGGACTGAAAGGGCAACCCTGCCTGGCAGAGCTCCAGCATGGACAAAGCCCAGAAAGAGAGCCAGAAGGCCTTGGGGTGGAGAGTACCCTGCTGAGCCTTGGGAGGGATGCTGCCACCCCACTGGGCTTAGGAAGCAGAAAATTGAGCCAAGGAGGATTTTTCTTGAATATTAATATCTAATGAAATTTGCCTTTCTAGGTATTGGACTTGCTTGATACCTGCCACTCCTTCTTTTTCTCGCTTTTGAAATGGGAATATATATCCCATGCCTGGTCCTTCATTACTTTATGAAAGGCCTCTGATTTCACAGGTTCACAGCTGAAGAAAAATTTTGCATTAGGAAGAAATTCCCAAGTCAAGTTTAGATGACATTCAGATGAGACTTTGGAGCTTAGACTTTGGTGTTAATGTTGAAATGAGTTCAGACTTTTGGGGCTATTGACATGGAAGGAATATATTTTGCATGTGAGAAGGACATGAGTTTTGGGGAAGGCCATGAGCAGAATGCTGTGAACTGAATTTCAACACTAAATGAAAAAGAAAATGATGTGTGTGAAAATTATTTGTGTTCTAAGGTATTGTGAGTTGTAGATTTGTCATTTGATTCCCACCTGTGCATAAAGTCTGTACATGATGTGTATTAAATAAACATCTTTAAAATAAAAGCCTTTCTATTAAAGGACATAGAAACAATCCAATTACTTGATATATTTGGACTATATAAACACATGAAACAGGGTCAGAATAGAAGACACTCTGTACTGCCCATGAGATGCTTCCGTGCAATGCTCAACTGGGCCATTTTGCCCTGAAAAGTTAAGGCTTCGTCTTTTATCTTTTTCTACTCCATTTTCTCATCAAACTAGATTATTTCTGACTTTATAGAGCCCCTAGCTTACTCCAGAGACATGCATGGCACTTTTTTTTTTTTTTTTGAGACAGAGTCTCACTCTCTTACCCAGGCCATAGTACAGTGGTCTGACCCCAACTCACTGCAACCTCCACCTCCAGGGTTCAAGTGATTCTCCTGCCTCAGCCTCCTGAGTAGCTGGGACTACAGGAGTGTGCCACCACGTGTGGCTAATTTTTGTATTTTTAGCAGAGACTGGGTTTTGCCATTGTTGGCCAGGGTGGTCTCAAACTCCTGACCTCAAGTGATCCGCCTGCCTTGGCCTTCCAAATTGCTGGAATAACAGGTGTGCACCACTGTGCCTGGCCATGCACCACTGTGCCCGACCATGCATGGTACTTTTTCCAGGCCTGTATTTGTGTTTGAGCCACCGGAATCTTGCTAGTCCAGTTGTTTAGGCTGATGCTCAGGGGACTCTGTGGAGACTGTTAGAGCAGGAATGGGGATGGGATGGGCATTCCCAGACACAGAGAGAAAGACCTACATGAAACTTGTGTTGATGATTCAGGTCTTCCAGGGCCTCAGGCCCATCATAACATGCTGTTATTGCTCTCATCTTGAGTTCTCTTCTGTGAAGTTTTGCCCCCATCTTTCCCTTGGAAGCATTTTTGTTAAAGTCAAAAATGATCTTCACATTGTGAAATCCAATGGTCAAGTCTCAGATTTCATTTTCTCTGACCCATGAGCACCATTTAACATGGTTAGTCAATTGCTGTTCCTCAGAAGCTCTGAATTTATGAGGTCCTGAAACCCATCCTGCCCTGCTTTCCTTTCTAACTTACTGGCTCCTCCTTCTCAGGGGGAGAAACAACTTATTTTCTGTTTCCTTCTTATATGCCCAACCTCTTAAAGTCAGTGAGCCTCAGAACTCAATCTTTTAAACTTTCTCTGTCTACATCTTTCCCTGTTATATTATCCAGTCTCATGACTTCCAATATCATCTCTGCCCCAACAACTCCAAGTTTCTCTCCCTAGCCCCGTCTTTCTGCTGAGGCTTTTACTTCATGGAGAATTTTATGTGGATCAAGTCCTTTAATCGTGATGCAACTCTTAAGCTAGGTAATGTTATCACCTTATTTTGCAGATGAGAAAACTGAGGCACAGGGAATACGAAAGCTAAATTCGGAGTAAAATCCCGATGGCAGGATTGGTCTTCTTAACTGCTGTGCTGAGTTATCCCCAAATGGCCAGTGAATGTCTTAGGAGAGACAAAGACCCATGCTTTCAAATCCTTCACTAGTGGTTTTCCTCTTTTCTTACACTACCGCTCACACATTGATCTTGTTCATTCAACAAATAATTATCAACCTCTTCACATAGGTTACATATGGGCTTGCATTTAAACTAAACTTTGTAGTGTAAGGATGATTTCAGTATACTTTCTCGTATGATTTTCCCAACAAATCTATAGGTAGCTGGGACAGGAATTTGTGTTACTATCTCAGTTTTCCAGATAATATCTCAATATACTTAATACTCTTAGAGATTTCCTCCCACAAACTGGAAGTGCCCAAAGATCCCTTTCTAAGCCACCCTCTGTTTCCCTAAGGATGCCTCGTATCTCTCTCCAGTTCACCATGATGGCCCACCCCACTATCTTGCTAACCTCATCAAAGACCCCTTAGTTCTCCCCTTGCTTTGCACACTCTACACAGTGCCCAAACGTGGAGGTCCACTTTTTGGACAGCCACCCTCAACCTTGTTCAGCACTTTTCCATTAGAGAGGCTTCATCAACCTCTCACACAGCGGGGTGTCAGCTCTGTCTCAGCGTCCCAGGCAGACACCCCAATCCCCAGCTTTCCCAGGAGTGCGCAGAGAAAGAAAACCAAACCCCACGTGACATCTGCAATTCACAGGCAGAGTCAGGTTAGAATTGAAGCCATCTGAGCATGCATTTACCCACGGGGGGTTTTCCCTGTCCCTTCTGCCTGCACAGCCCTTGAGCCACGCTGATGTCAGATGTTGCTCTGCTATGTAAGTCATTCCTTTCAGCCTTTTAACGTAGGTAGCCAAAATATTATTCCGTTTTTATTTTTAGAGCCAGAGCAGGCACAATCAATTTAATTTCAATGCTCTGATCATAAACCTCCATGTTAATATTGCCCCTTTAAATCAAGTGTTTATGAGACCTATAAGCACCACCTGGAAATTCTACCTTAAGGTCCTAAAGTCATTTAGCTACAAATTAGTGAACATTCTCTTGCCCATACTTCCTTAGTATGGATTTGATTATTTCTAATTATCATAAATGCCTCTCTACATTCCAGACATGTACTGTTACAGTCCCTCCATCAGCCGAATGGTTTATGTTCACGTTCAGAATCAAGGAGTAGAGTTTCAAGTCACCCACGTGTTCCCAGCCCAGGGGTGAGGCATTTAACTACCTTAAAACCTCTTATTGTGCAGGAGAGAAAGACCACAAGCATTTCCTCCTTTTTCCAGTTGTGAACGGTAAGATTCCGTCAGAAGTTGTCTTTTTCTGTCTGGAGTGAAGTGCCAACCTCACATAATACAAAGTGAGACTTCTTTGTGATTATTTTGGAAGGTGGCTCTTTATATGCGCATATATTAGAAAATCGTATGAACTGTGTTTCCAAACGCAATTGTGTGTTCTTCCTACCTTAGGAGATCACGGGAGTTGATTCCTGCTGGACTCTGAGGATTCTGAGTGGCCCAAGGAGCCAGGTCCCACACCAGTCACTGCTCCGGTGGCTGAAGCGGACAGGGCTGGCTCTGCTTCAATCCCCAACAGGACTCCTGACGCTTCCCTACCTCCCCGGCTGTCCTGGTCTTCACCGCAGCTCATCTTGCAGGCCGAGCACTTGCAGATATTGCTACTCAGTGCTTTCAAAAGGTGCAGACTGTGAAGTCTAGTTAGGCAGGAGCCGGCGGCAGGCCCACCCCTCTGACTCGGCCCTGACCTTTACGCCACGAAGGTCACTGCGTCCTTCCAGAGTGAAGAGAACCTGACGGAGGCAAGGCCCGGGCCACAGGCTTCCAGGCATGCTTTCCTCTCTGTATTTTCACAAACTAGAGACACTTTCCCTCTGCTCCTCATTTCCTTCAAAAATACTGACGTATTTCCTGGTTTAATTTGACAAACATTTCTGCTGGAATTGCTTGTTTTAGGTTCAGGAATACAAGGCCATTGAAAGGGGATGCACTTCCTGACCCCCGTCTCATTCCTTCCAGGCACCTCTCAGCGCATGTTGTCCAGGCAAACTTCAACACCAGCGATTTCAGGGATCAGCAATACAAGGATAGATTTCTCACTTTGCGTTTCTCTTCTTCATCTTAAAAATTCAGGTTAAATCATCTGACTATAATTAAATGAACATCATCCATAATAAGAAACCAAAGGAGAATGAAACAAAGTCATTCAAAGGAGGTGGGCTTTGATGATTTGAACTTCCCATGTGGATTTCAATGCTTTCACCCTTAGTTCTCTTAAGCTCAAAAGTGACGAACTAGGGAAAAAAAATTATATTGTATAAATAATTGGAAACTAGGCTTTCAGTACATTATTTATTAATTTATAATAAATTAATTATAAATATGACTAATAATAAATTAATAAAAGAGTAAACTTTTATTTGATTCTTAATCATTAGTATGATTTTTAATATTAATATCAATCTGATTATTAATGACTTTTAAGTGGCTTGCTGTAGATCAAGAAAATTCAATATTATTTTCTAAGGATTTTAGCTGTAGATTTAATGGATCATCACTTTTCATTCAAAAACAAGCAAAAAACAAAAGCGGGACAGATGTTTGTGGGACTACACTAAACATTTTGGATACTTTAAGACAGAGGTGGGGCCCCAACTGGCCCCAGGGCACCTAATTCTGGAGAGTCTTGGGTCCCGCAGCACAGTTGCAGTAGTCCTGCTCCCCAGAAGAACCGAGCCGCCAACAGACATGGCACAAAGAGCTCCAAGAATAGGCAGCAATGGTTTCTGAACACAGCACAGGAGCCTTTTGACAGGCAATGCAAATAGCACCTACACATTTTCCCTCACTCCTGTCCCAAGACCCAAGCCTCTAGCCACTTTAGCAACTCACACATCTTTTCCTGCAGCCAACACACTTCTAAGAACAATTTTCATGCTGGCACAGGCTACGTATGAGAAGGCCAGGCATTCCTCTCCCATCCCCACTTCTCATTGACTGCAGCCTCCCTAAGCACCAGGTCAGAGGCCAGAATTCCAGCTCCTCCTAGACCATCCTCTGTCTTCCCTTCAGCCGCTGAACTCACTGGTCAGCAGGTTTAGTTCCATCACTTCATGTCTCAGATATGTCACCTTTTCTCCACTGCCACAGAGAAGAGCTACCTCCAACCTGCTCCTTGACCTCCGAATTCTCCTCTTTACCATCCATCCTGTTGTGTCCCTAGAGCACTCTTTCTACAGAGAAAATCAACTCAAGTTCTCCACTGGCTGAAAACTAACTTTAAGCAACTGTCCACCCACCTGTGGAATAAAATGCACCTTCTCTTCTGGGGAATCACAACAGCTGCTCCTTAGAATCACTTGGAAGGTCTGAGACTATTTTGATGCCTAGGCTACATCTGAGATCAATTAAACATGAATAACTGGGGGTGAGATCCAGGCATTGGAATTTTCTCCTACCCTGGTGATTCCAGAAGGCAGCAAGATCTTGCAAATGATCCTGCTTCCTCCACCTGGCTGATGCGGTGGCGAGATGAGCTTCTCTGCGGGGAAGTGCACCTTGCTTGGCCTGTGTGTCTTCCCTGGCTCTTCTCCTATCTCAATTCAAGGGCACCAGAAAATCATTCATCTTACTGACTTGTTGATTGATTCACTTATTCACTTAAATTTTAAAGGATCTCAGATGCTTAAGATTGGATCATATGCAACTCATGTTTATGGCAAGCTATCATTGGCCTATACTGTCTGGATCCTATTAAGTAATTAATTATTTTTAATGATATACAGCTGCTGGGCACTGTGGCTCACACCTGTAATCCCAGCACTTTCAGAGGATAAGGTGGCCAGATCACAAGGTCAGGAGTTTGAGACCAGCCTGGCCAACATGGTGAATCCCCGTCTCTACTAAAAATACAAATGTTAGCTGGGCATGGTGGTGGGCGCCTGTAATCCCAGCTACTTGGGAGGCCGAGGCAGGAGAATTGTTTGCACCTGGGAGACAGAGGTTGCAGTGAGCCTATATCAGTCCACTGCACTCTATCCTGAGTGACAGGGTGAGACTCCATCTCAAAAAAAAAAAAATTAGCAGAATGTGGTGACACACACCTGTAATCCCAGCTACTGGGGAGGCTGAGGCACAAGAATCACTTGAAGCTGGGAGGCAGAGGTTGCAGTGAGCTGAGATTGCACCACTGCACTCCAGCCTGGGTGAAAGAGTGAGACTCTGTCTCAAAAATAAAATAAAGTAAAATAAAATAAAATAATAAACAAAATGATATACAGTCAGCCCTCCCTATCTGCAGGTTCCACATCAGCAGATTCAACCAACCACAGATCAAAATATATTGAAAATAATAATTTGGCAACAAAAAGTTACAAATAAAAATACAGTACAGTATAGCAACTCTTTGTATAGCATTACATTGTACTAAGCATTACAAGTAATCTAGAGATAATTTAAAATATACAGGAGGATGTGTGTGGGTTATATGCAAATACTATGCCGCTTTATATTTTAAAAACTTGAGCATCTGGGGATTTTGTTATCCGTGGGGTGTGCTCCTATAGCCAATCTCCTACAGATACTGAGGGAGGGCTGTAACTAGTTCTCATGAACCCACCCTCAAAAAACAAGTGTGACCTTAATAATAACATGCATGTAACAACATGTTCCACTCCATCGCTTCCTTTCGTCTCCTCTCACCCCTAATAAAAATCATCTTTTATTCTGTGTTCTTTATTCTCTTGCTTTTCTTTACTTACGATTTTATTGCATCCATATGTATATCTAAAATTATATACATTTATAATTTTAGCCATTTAAATGATCAAAAATTAGTTGTTGAATGAGTCTTTATTGCTGTGTTAGTCAGGGATGAGAGAGAGAGAGAGGGATTTCAATGAATTGGCTCATGAGGTTGTGGGGGCTGGCGAGTTTAAAATCTGTAGGGCAGGTGAGCAGGCTAAAAAGTCAGAGAAAAGTTGATGTGGCAGTCTTGAGTCAATTTCATAGCGTGCAGCCTGGGAAGTCACGTGGGAATTCTATATTGCAGTCTGCAGGAGAATCCTTTCTGCTTCACAACCTCAATCTTTGCTCTTAAGGCTGTCGACTGATTAGACAAGGCCCACTCATGTGATGAGGGGTAATCTGCTTTACTCAAAGTGTACTTATTTAAATGTTACACACTTCTAAAAAGTATCCTCATAGCAACATCTAGACTCGTATTTGACCAAATGATTTAGGCACCATAACCTTGTTAATTAGGCACATAAAATGAACTGTCAAAGAATGTGTTGGGCTTTAGATTTACCCACCTTGTTGTGCCACTGTGTTCATTGGTTTGTCTGCTGTCGCATATTTCATTAGGTGAATATACCCCAGTTTACTTGTCCACTCTCAAGTTGATGGGCATTCAAGGCGGGCTGTAGGTTTCTGCCACTGAAAAAGTGTTGGCACGAACATTACTGCACACTCCTCCCTTAGGAAGTGTTCCTTGGATATACTCCTAAGGAAGGGGGCATGTGACCATTCAACCTGAAGAAACTACGCCAAACTCCTTTCCAAAAAGTAGCCCTCATTGCCACAAATATTGGCATCTTACATTCAAGAGCTTCTCTTCATCTACATCTTCTTGGAGGCTTCCAAAAGACTTCTTGGAGGCTTTTTAATTTTTATCAATAATATGTTTAAGATGGTGTTTCATCAAAGTCTTGGTTTATACTTTTCTGTCACTAATAATGTTAAACTTTCTTTGAAGTGCTTAGTGTCCATTTACTTTCTGCTTCTGTGAAATGTCTGTTTATATATTTTGTGCCTTTTAGATTGGATTGTTTGTGTTTTTCTTCTGAATTTGTAGGCTTTCGTTATATATTCTTAATTCCAAAATCTACTGGTTGCATATATTGTGAATAACTTCTTAAAGTTTGTAATTTTTTACACTGTACTTAAGGCATCTTTTGATAGACAAAAGTTTTAAAATTTAAATATGGTCAAGCTTACTAACGTTTTCTTTCATAGTTAATATTTTTGTGTATTATTCAAGAAATATTTTGTGGCACCAAGTTCGAAAATATATTAACATTTATTTTCTACTGAGTTTTAGTTTCTATTTTTGTTACTTAACTTATTAACCTGTTTGGAGATAATTTTTGTATATGGTATGATGTAGGTATTAAAATATACATTATATATGCATGCTTTATAGAAAATTATTTTTTCAGCTTTATTTATTGAATATTTGTCTCTTTTTTCCACTCATCTGTCAAGCCATCTGTGTCATACATCAAAGTTCTATGCTTGTACGGTTCTGTTTCGGAAATCTTTATTTTATTGTATCGAGAAATTTGTGCTTGTTGTGTTTGTTGAGAATGTCTCACTATGCCATACAAACAAGAGAAATAAATACATACACCAATAGGAATAACTAGCAAATATAGATGGGTTGTAAGTAGTTACCTGTGTGATAGAGTTTTACTTAGATAGACTATAAACGTGTGTTGGAAATAAGTTTGAAAAAGGATGGGGATATTAAAAGTAATGCTAATAAAAATAAAGGATTAAAACAACCCAGTTAAAATTAGTAACTATAAAACATGGGTCTGTCACCTACAGAATTACAGCTATATTGCACATTCTTTGGTGACACCTGTTTGGACTCTGTGCATCTTCTGCCCAGATACAAATATTGCTACTCAGCAGGAAAAAGTGAGTTGCAGCTGTGTCCAATACACTTGCTTCTGCATTTTCTCATGAAGCAAGTGTCTACGATTCGAGGCTGCTTGCCTATGCTGAGAATCCTTTCTCATCTTCAGCCTGGTTCTTATAACCACACTGTTACACTGGCACTGGGAAAGACTAATGTCAGGAACCGAAGGAGATCTTGTGTAACAGTGCATCTAGATTTTCACATGTGGTCCTCCCATTCTGCCTTCTGCTTGCAAACCACTCTAGGTGCTTAAATTTCCAATATATACCCTCTTATGTATTGCTCAATATTTGTGAGTTCTTCAAAAACTGTGTGATTCTTATTTGTTTTGTGAGTCTCTATGGCTCCATGGAAAATCGAATGCTTGCCTGGTAGTGTACTAGGATGTGGCAACTGCATCAGAGTAATTTCTTACCTTGATATAATGTCTACCTCTGCACTAGCACCACACACTTTTAAGCATTGTAGTTTTGTAATGATAACGGCTTAATGTTTAGTAAGCTAACCTCACTCCAGAGTCTTCTTCAGATATTCATGGTCATGTACTCTTTCAAGTACATTTTAAAAATCATCTAGATTAATTCTCATTATTGATAAATGTAGTACAACTCTATGTATTTCTGTATTGTTGAACATCTCTTAACAAAGCTTTGTGTTTTCTTCTGTATACTTATTTGGGCATTTTAAGACTTTGATACTATTTAATGATGTGTTTCTTTTAGTTAAAATTTCTAATCATTTGCCACTGGGACACAAAAATTAGATGACTTTTGTATATTAAGCTTACATCTAGCAATCTTAGTAATGTCTACTGTTCTTTCCCATAATTTTTCTGGATATTAAAAAAAATTTCAAAATATAAACAGTTATTATTTTAAAATAATAAAAGTTTGCTACATTCTAGTGAGTATTTCATTCTTATATTTTCTTTTGTTTTTGTCATATTTTACTGGTGAGGACCTTTCATACAAATTTGAGTGTAAGTAGTGATATTGAGTATAAATTATTCTAATTTTAAAGTAAATGCTGTTAATGTTCCCCAATTTTTGTTAACTTTCTCTGTATTTTAATAGATATATTATTTCAGATAACATAAGTTTGCTTTATTTCCTAAATTATTGAGTGTTGTTGTTGTTATCTTAACATAAATGTGTATTGCTTATGCTATTTCTGTAACTATTGAGATGTTCATATAATTTCCTCTTTCATTCCGTCAGTTATAACTTATTTTACAAATTGCAATTATTTATTATTATATTAAGCAATCCTTGCATCTTAGAATAAATCTTTCTTTTTTCCTTCCTTCCTTCCTTCCCTGCCTTCCTTCCTTCCTTCTTTCCATCCTTCCTTCCTTCTTTTCTTTCTTTTCTTTTTCTTTCTTCTTTAAAAAATCTGGGCAGGTAAAGAAATGCTTGTCAACCACAATATTTAATTATTTTTATTACATGCATATAGTATATTTTTCACTTTAAATTAACTCACATTTTCTTATTATTCTATTCTTTTCATAATGGAGCCCCCAAGAGATAGAACTTACACCAGATTATGCTTTATGATGCCCTAGGTAAATTCAAACTCTGTTAATCTCTATTTTACCCATAGAGTTATGATTGTTTCTGCACTTGGATTTTGCGATGATTGTGAGATAGTGTAGCCAGGCAGGTTTAATATATAATGCATGTTATGTTATTACAACATACAGATAAAAAACAACTATTTATTTTATTGCAGAAGTCATTTTAGCCACTAATTTTTTTTTATTTGTGAATCTAGGGAACCTAGATGTTTTTGTGTTTTATAATAATTTAACTCTGAATTTCTTGATTTACTATAAGGAATATGGCAGCAACTTCATAATATTATCAAATATTTAGGTATTTTAAGAAATTTATCAAAAATACTTTATTATTTAGAAGTTTGACTTAAAATACTACCTATATGTTCACAAGTAGCTGAGAAATTTTCCTTAAAAATAACAAAATATTGGCCGGGCAAGGTGGTTCATGCCTGTAATCCCAGCACTTCAGGAGGCCGAGGAGGGCAGATCACCTGAGGTCAAGGGTTAGAGATCAGCCTGCCCAACATGGTGAAACTCCATCTCTACTAAGAATACAAAAATTAGCTGGACGCAGTGATGAAGGCCTGTAATCCCAGCTACTCAGGAGGCTGAGGCTGGAGAATAGCTTGAACCTGGAAGGCGGAGGTTGCAGTGAGCCGAGATTGCGCCACTGCACTCCAGACTGGGCGACAGAGAGAGACTCCGTCTTAAAAAAAAAAAAAAAGAGTTTTCTATGCCTAAAATTGTCCTTAAAAAATATTCTTTCCAGAATAGTATTGTGACATTATCTCTTAATAGTAAACTAATTGCAGAGTTGTCCAATATCTCTAGATTTTCTTTACATATAATTACAGTGATACAGGATTTTTCCTCTTAATTATACAAATGTCAATGTTGTTACAGTTGTTACATGTGATGAAGAAACTTATTTCTTAAATCCCTGATTTCCCCCCATCTCTCACATGTGTTTGCCCAATCAGCCTAACTCTAAATAAGATTTGTGAAGTGGGGAACAGCCAGTGATGTGCTGGGGGGTGTTTTACAGGCTGCTCTCTGGAAACAAGAAAACAAAACCAATTCTTAGTGTTTGCTAATTTATCTGGCATATGTAGTCCTACCATGACCGTGCCCAAGCCACCAATGTGCCAAAACTAGCAAAGAGTTGCAAAGATGTGTACAGTAATTTTTTAGAAGATGATTGGATCCAGATCCAGGAGACTTTTTTTTCTCAAGAAAAGGAAAAGGAAACTATAATTGCTTCCTTGTCTCAATAGCTTGCCCATGCTCTTGAGTGAGAAGACAAGCTCTGGACATTTTTGTATATCTTGTAGCATGTTTCATTACACAAAATTCTGCAACAAGTTATTTCTACCCAATACTTGTTCACCAATACCTAAAGTGGTTGCCAAATACATTTAAGCTCTCTAAATTAAATCAGTGCAGCTCTATCCTCTCACTGTGCTTCAAGATGTATGTGCATCTGTTTTTAAAATTTTATTCTAAGCATGACACTATGAAGTCTTCTTGCAGTCACTGGAGCATGCATGGCTGACTTGAGAAATCACACTTTAGAAAGCAAAGTTTCTCGGAATCACTGAATCAGTATCCTTCAGAAGGGAAAGTTTAGGGTCTAACGGTGGCTCCCAGGGCAACTTCCTACACAGGCATGGGCCAGTAACACATTGTTTAGAAGAAAGAGTGTAATCCTCTATTTTGTGCTTTGAGGGTCTAAAATTAGAGTTGCTTGAGAACCCTAAGGCACGAATTTCTATGGTGCAAAGAAAATGGCTGTCCGAGGTCCTGGAGTGGACGGTTTTGGGATTCCATCTTTACTCAAGGCCCTTGGGCTGCCTGTGGGTGGGTGGGTGGGTGGGTGGAAATTAATGAACTTAGGGCTAAGATGCAGCCGCCAGAGCCCAACATGGGCCAATTGTGTGTCTACTTTAACCAAGAGGGAGAAGTATTGATCCTGTTCGATCAGTAACCATGACAATGTACATGGGCCTTGCATCCCAGAGCTCTCAGAATGGCTGTGCGCTAGGTTGCTCAGAACCCACTTTAAAGAGAAACATAAGAAGGCATAAAGAGTAAAAATCACAAATGAGTTAATGGCACCTCAGTGCTCTCTCTCTGGGTGTGAGTACCCGATTCTCTTTGATTTTTGCCTAAACCTCCAGAGCTCTTAGAAATTTGGGATGACAGAAAGTCAGAAGAGAGAGGTGCTGGACCCACTGTAAAAATGTAGAGGGAGCCCCAGCATTTAATGAGAAAGAATGTAACCCTTATGACATTTTATGAAGCAGTTCATGATAATTACACATGACAATTTTGTAGTGCTTAAAATGGGCAAATACTACTAAACATGGCTTAATGAACAAGAACGTGTTACATAGACTGTGACTTTCCTAGACTTATGCTTTAGAATAATGTATTTTTCTATCCACAATTAATGCTGAAAAATCCATGACACTCAAGCTCCAATGGTGACCAACGCTGCAAATAAGCTGCAAGGCAGAGCTGGCAACAGACAGGTATTCCGCATGAAGGCCTTTGAGTTTCCTCTTCCCCGACTTTGAGTTTGGTTGGTGCATGGATGGAAAGCCTTCTCCTCATCAGGATTGTTTGTAACAGAATATTCATCCAATGCTGCCTAAGAATAGACCCAAACGATGATATAAAAGATGGCTGTGGCTCTGATTAATCAATTAATTAAAAATGATTCAGAAAGCACAAAGGGAGAATTAAATTAAGAGTGTGAAGGAGTGATAGACCCAGAGCATTAATTATATTGTCATTGAGCTTTTCAAAGAGCAGAATTTTAGAATAGACTTTGTTTGGAGCATAGAGTTATCTTATGCAGAATGCTTTTGCTTAATAAAAATTATTTTTTAATTAATTTATTTAATTTATAGTCTCCTTACATGCTCCTTCTCTTTAAAAAAGATTAAAAGTCAATATTTACCCCCCAAAACAGCCTTATCCATTTTCTTTCCCATATTGTCCTGACCACATGAAGGCCAACATTAAGTCAGGCCATGGCTCACTGTCACCTTCAGCAGAGTCAGATCTAGACAAAACAGCTAACAGGAAGAAAAGCAGAGAAACAGACTGTCCAAGTGGACTGTGACCAGACAATTGTGACAACAAACAGTCCAGATTTTCACCTTTAATTTCTGTCTCTGTAGGCATGCATATGTCACACCTCTTTGGTTATTCTGGCAAAGTTCTTCCACTTTGAATAAATTCCAAAGATTTTAAAAATATAAATCCCAATCTTGAGGAAAAGTACAGTATAAACTCAACATACCAATAAATACTTATAATCCTTTGAAATGAATACTGAAATAGATTTTTCCCTCTCTGGTTCCCAGTCCTTTCCTCACAAAACATGGCCTGGAAGATATTTGTTGATATCTGCACCTAGTAGAATCTTTATCTTTTAATTATGTAACTTCTCACCCACCCACCTAACCATGTAGAGGAGTGAGACATGGCTCTTATCTACAGTGTTAGATTGTTGTGTTACATGAGTTCAAAGTACATCTTATAATGAATGAGATTTATGTTACCCTATTGTACATTAAGGTAGGCTTCTAGATTGAATTTTCTATATTGCTTTGCCTCAGACAGAGAACTTTGAGGGGATGAAGCCTTCATTTCCAGTAGCACTGAGTTCATAACCCTTTACCATAGTGCAGAAAAAAGACAAAATCTTGGATCCCTGAGGACAAGAAATAAGAAGATTCCATTTTCTTCTGTGACTGTGTGATGCTGCTCCTGCCTCTTCCTGTGATGTGATGGCAGCCACAAATGGCAGGTTTTTTTTGTTTGTTTTTTGTTTTCAGAAGGCAGGTCACTTGTACCACAATGTAATTCAAACTTTTAAAAGTATGCACGCTCTCTGGTGAAGACAGCCGTAGCTGAAACGTGTTCAGCACTTGCTTCCAGCTCCTGAGAAGGAGGGAATGTGCCTTTATAGCATTTCTGCAAGCACAGTTTGTTTTCCATGACCTTCTTTACTTCTTCTCTTTTCCAAGGTGAGCACTAACTAATCAGACAAAAGAATACATGCAGATGATAAGCTCTACAAAATTCTCAAATTATACTGGATTCCCTACTCTCTCTATGCATGGGGATATTGGGTTGAGACATGCTCTAAGGGAAGATCAATTGGAAGATGTTTGGGGACAGCTGCCAGGCTTCCTGGATTATGCCATAGAGGCTGTGTTGCTCGGCAGGACAAGTTCAGGAAGGGTCAAAAGCTCAAGGGTTAGTGTTTATGCCAATGTCACATTAACAAGAGGGCATTCCCTCAGGGGAGACCAGTTGTTTCTCCCCAGGACTAGTTGGGAGATGCACTTGCCTTTTAGGGAACAAGTGAAGCCATAAGTGACTAGTATCCCTGGTTTGGGGAGGAGCTAACATGGACACACATCAGACAACACATTCTCTCCCCAGTCCCATTGCAGAGGACAGAGCCTGTTCCTCCTTCCACAGCCAAAGGGGCTAAGTAAGGAGAGGTGCTCTGTCGCTATCTCATGGGACACAAGAAGCAGTTGGGGGGCTGAGGCCCTTCCCTAGGAGGGCTGTAGAAGTAATAAGGACCTGCCAAAAGGGAATAAGCAAAGACTATTTATTCAGAGCTTGCTGAAGCAAGGGAGTCAGCCTCCCTCCCTTGTGTTTGCCAGACACTCAAAGGCAGGCAGAGGAGTGGGAAGGCCTCACAGTGAAAAAAGGAAAGGCTCTTGGCATGCCCTGACTGGAGGCTGCTGGCCTGGGGAAGCTGCACCTGCTGCTCACAACAAGTGGGGCATCTTATGAGATTGGCTAGGGGAGCATATTTTGGGTTCCTTTTGTTGGTGCTGAGCTGGAAGTAGGTTCAAAAAATAGAGAAGTTGGCCACTCTTGACTGAGTCCTGGCCACTCTAGGCTGAGGGCTGCAAAGGTTGTGCAGAATTTTGTCTTTGAATAGAGTCTGGCCATTGTTTGTTTGTATATTGTCCCCATTTGCAGCTGAAGTCTTCCCAATGATGTGACTTTTCTGCTTAAATTAACCACGTACTGTGACTTGAATAACTTTTCTTTACCTACATAAATTGAAATTAAATAAACATTCAGTAAACAATTTCTATTTGACTTTGATATAAGTAGAAAGATCTTTAATACTGCAAACAGGGCAACATCTCAGGAAAATAATGTTCAGGGCTAGTTGTGTTGTGAGGGTGTTGTCTATTGGGGAAGAAGAATTCTGAAGCTGAGCATATTGAGATACAGTAATCTATGGGTCTCCAGTATTCCTATTGAACTTGCATAAGACAACTACTAAGAGAGAGGAGATGTATTATGAACATAAAACTAAATAATTTAAGATAGTAAGAACTGGTTTTGAGTTTCTGGATGGTTTTGGTGGCCTGTGTCACCAGTTAACCTCATGGTATAAAGAAGAATGATGGGTCAATGATCCAATGATGGAAAAAGTAGGAAACCTCTTTTCTCAGAGATTTGATGCTCAGAAAGAAAAAAAATATGGTCTCCACAGGAGCAGAAGAAAAAACCTTGTCATCCAGGGATCTAGAATATCGGTTAGCTTGAGGAAGTAGAGAAAAAGCACTGTACCTGAAAAAGAGATGTGTCTGATTTCCTATCCTGGGTCAGAAATTCCACAAGGCCCAGCAAGACAGTTCCTGGTAAGCACAGCATTAGCTGGGGTAGGCAGTTGGGCTGCCCCATCACAAGGCAGATATGACATTGATGTAGGGTTACAGGCTGGGGTGAGGGTAACAGAAAAAAAATAGAAGAAAGCATTTGTTTCTTATACATAAAGAAGTTAAGGAGTGACAGAGTGGGTACAGTGGAGTACATAGACCAGCAAAACATCCAGAAATCTATGCCCCTAGGTCTCATGGCAAGAGCAATGGTCGCCATTTTCCATACTGTCTCTCTCATTTGTTGCTGAAGCAAACTGGAAACTTCTACTGGAATGAACTTGAAAGTGAACAAAAGGATGGGTAAGAAACAAGATTTACTCTGTAATTCCCACAAAGTGGAGAGGTATTTGGAAATAAACATCCATTCTCCACCATACATTATTTGTTTTGACTTGAATACTTGCTTAAAATTGTGTTAACAACTGACAAACCGTGACCACACCTGTCATCTCTCATGACTCCCACAGTGGCCCTACATTGTAGAGGGGACCGTGGATGAAATGTGAAATGCCTCTTTATAAAGCAAGAAAGTGGCAGTATCCAGATTTGACCAGACGTGACCACAAATATTCTGTTTCTGAGACCAGTGCTCCTTTGACTAAAGATTGTGCAATTCAGTCCTGCTTCCTCAGGGATTCGCAGGCACTCTAACAGGAAGAGGACAAAGAGAATTATTATGTTATGTCACATTTATACATTTTACCTAGGTGTCCTGCATTCCTGATGCAAAAATGGCTTGCGAATACTTTCCAAGTGAAAACAAAAAAAGGTATCTACGGTGGAAGTTCTTCAGCAATTTCAACAGCCAAGCCTTGGAAATCAAGGACAGTATGTTTATCAGAAAATAAAGGTGAGGTTTTTTTTTCTTTTTCTTTTTTAGTATAATCCATTGACACTTGAATATTCTTATGTTCTTCTCTCTTTAAAGTTTAACATTAAGAACAACGATTAAAAGTATTATATTACACCCATTACATTTTAAGATTTTTCAATGACTGAAGTATTTTGGAGCTCGTTTTGTAAATTAAATATATTCTTTCTGGAAGTTGGTGTGTCAAAGAAAATAAAGGCAAAAAAAAAAAAAAAAAAAGAGAGACACATTAAAACCACAAGGGAACAACATGATTAAGACTGAAACATAGTGCAAATTTCATAGAATGCCTATATCACACATGACATCTACATGAATACCAAGTCACTTCTGTTTTGATTCATGTTGGTTCAATATGTACCAAACAAGTTAGTAACGCTTGGGATATTGTTTTAAAGTGGGAACAGAACAATGAATTTCAGTGAATGCCAGTTCTGTGGTATTTGATGATAATTGTGCATGTCCCTGTCTGCTTATGAAAAATTAGATAATTTCATCCAGGCTATCAGTAAATTTTCTTCTTCTACAATGCAACTGAAATGTCCCTGCCACTCTGTTCTCACAACCCATGAGAACCCTTGACTGGAATGGTTAGATGTCTTGAAACCTTGTAGAGTTCTCTGATTTGATAAGAACAAGAGTCATTGCATTCAAATCCCCAACTGGGTTTCAGGGTGCTTTACCAGAACCCCTTCACAATGTTTTCAACTCAGCAAGCAGAGACTTTCTATTTTGTTTCACATCTTCTTTACATTTTGTGCAGAATTAGGATTAAGAAGAGACTTCTTTGTTAAATACACGATGCAAGGTCAGTGTGTCTATCACACTGGCATTTAAGTGTCAGAACACACTTTATATTAAAATTCTAGACAACCAAGTAGAATAGCTTAGTGACAATATGTTTCCATGATGTGTCCTCTTTTTTCATTGAGTCTTTTATATTTAAAAAATATTTATTGGCTGGGCGCGGCGGCTCACGCCTGTAATCCCAGCACTCTGGGAGGTCGATGAAGGTGAATCACGAGGTCAGGAGATTGAGACCATCCTGACTAACACGGTGAAATCCCGTCTTTACTAAAAATACAAAAAAAAAAAAAATTAGCCAGGCATGGTGGTGGGCACCTGTAGTCCCAGCTACTCCGGAGGCTGAGGCAGGAGAATGGTGTGAACCCGGGAGGCGGAGCTTGCAGTAAGCTGAGATAGTGCCACTGCACTCCAGCCTGGGCGACAGAGCAAGACTCCGTCTCAAAAAAAAAAAAAAAAAAAAAAAAAATTGCGGTTTGCTGTGTTCCAGGCACTGTCTTAGGTGCTATGGATATAGCAGTCAATTATAATCAATGTGTTAGGCTTCTGCTTCCACTTGCAATGTAGAAAGGAGTAAAGAGTTCTGCTTCTGACTTAATAAGAGGAAGAAGCCAGGTGATCTATGCAGTCATATTTTTATCCAGGCCACAAGAGAGCTGATGTAACCAGGCAACCAAGGAAACAGAATACCAAAGAGAAAGAAATCCCTCCAAGTAGAGGCAAGCAAATGAACACTTGCACCAGGAAAGGGTGCAGGAGAAACAAGTGGCCCTATTAGAAGTAGATGTCAAGAAATTAGATAGCTTAAGAAAAATTCCTACAGATCCAGTGATGCACACTATGTTAGTTTGGAATAGCTGTGGGCTTCAGAAACAGGCAGAGTTCATACTCACATGTAACCATATTTCCCTGGGCTTCAATCATGGGCTCATAAGAAAAGTTAGGTGCAGGAAAGAATTGAGCGAGCAGCACAGACTTGCAGGAATTACTGGAGGCTGCTGGAGGATGAGCACAGAACTAAACCGGCTTCCCCAGATATTTTCTCCTACAAAGCAAGGCTTAAGTCACTAAGGTTGCACCAAACCCTCCTGCTTCCAGGACGTGAACAAAGGTCCACTTTTCCTTGTGGAAGGTATAAGCAAATATACCAGAGCAAAGAAGGAGCAATAATCAGTCTTGGGCCCTGCATCCTACACCAATACCAAGCACAGGACTACTACTGTTAGCAGGAGAAGCAGAAAACTCTTTCCCAAGAACAAGTGAAGGCACAAGTAAGATGTTAACTTCCATGGGAAATAGGTACAGCTGTGCTGAAAAAGCCACCCTCCACCCCCACCAAGGCTCAAGTGCATGAGGCCCACGTAAAACAGAAACTGGACTCAGCAAAGAGATACTCCTGTCCCCATCATAAGCCTAACACCAGGTATCAATCAAGAGCTGTTTGCCACTTTGAGAGGGGTGAGAACATGGATAGACCCCCACTCTCCACCCCACAGCAATGAAGTCCAGGACTGTCTGGATGCTAAGAGAGGAATCACTGAGTAAAACTATTTGTCACCTAATCTTCCACTGCAAGCTCAAAGTAACTACAACCTACTGCCAGTAGAATTCAAAACCTATGAGGCATCAAAGATAATGAAAAACACAACAAAACCTCACTCAGCTCAGCTCCTGGAAGATTGACTCAGCACCTTACACTGAGCCTGCCAGAAGAGACATGCCTGTTCCCAGCAACATATGAGTGACCACAGTCTCCATTCTTTCTTTTTCTAAACACAACATCTGCCATTGAATAAAATATATATATATAATTATATATATATATTAATTATATACAATATTATATATATTTTACATGGTCTATCTATCTATCTATCTATCTATCTATCTATCTATCTATCTAGGGCTTATATAAAGGGAAGAAAGCAACCCAAGGTCCAGAGATAAAGCAATTGAGAAACCAGAGTCAAACATCATGGGAGTAAAAACTATCATGCAGAGATGTTATAATAACTATAAATATTTAAAAAACTCCAGAAAGAAGGTGACAACATGTATAAGGAGATGGAAAATTTTACAGAGATAGAAACAATACAAATAAGTAAATTGACATGCTAGAAATAAAAGAAATCAGACATAAAGAGATTATTTGATGGCTTTATTAGTAAATTAGGAACAACTTAGGAAAATAAATATAGGTTAAAAGAAATTATACAAACCAATAGAGAAAAGAGAAAAAGAAAAGGTTAAAAAGAAGCCTAATATAATAAACTGTCAGACAATTTTAGCAGTCTAAAAGATGACAATTAAAAATGCAGAATGAGAAAAGGGAATGAAACAGGAGTGAGAGTGACCAAGAATTTTCCAAAATCAATGAAAGACATCAAACTACAAACCCAAGAAGCTCAGAGAACTCCAAGGAGGATTAAATACAATTATTTTAGAAAGCACTTAGACACCACCCGATCTACT
Organism: Homo sapiens; assembly: GCF_000001405.40. Taxonomy (NCBI): domain Eukaryota; kingdom Metazoa; phylum Chordata; class Mammalia; order Primates; family Hominidae; genus Homo; species Homo sapiens. The sequence goes on along the minus strand of NC_000005.10, from coordinate 4,156,281 downwards.
GAAATCCAAAAACAAAGAAAAATAAAAAATGATGAAGACAGAAAGAAAACATATTACACAGAATAACAAAGACATACACAGCAACACAGTTTTCATCAGAAAATGCAAGATAAGAAAGAGGCAATAGAATGGCATCTTTAAAGTACTAAAAGACTTTTGAAAAAAAAATGGATTTATTTACCCAGAGGAAAATATCTCTTACAAATTAAGATTAAAAAATAAAATAAAATGAAAACCAAGAGAATTCAAGGCTGGCAGATATGTATCATAAAAAATGATAAAGATAGTTCATCAGGCAGAGAAATATCGACACCAGATATGAATTCAAATCTCTAGAAAAAATCACCAAAAATGCTAAATATGAATGTCAATGTACAATACGTATTTTTTTCAGAGAGAATTTACTTTATACAGTAAAAATATTAATTACATATTATAGATTTAAAGCATAAATAAAGCTATGACAAAATTGTACAAAGTATAGGAGTTAAGAATTGGAAGTATACCATTGTAAGAGTCTTACACTCTCTCTCTATATATATATAAACCATATATGTGTGTGTGTGTGTGTGTGTGTGTGTGTGTATTTGTATGTATGTATATATATATATATATGGTTAAAATATGATTTAGAGCAGATTGTTATAAGTCAAATATGTGTTTTACAAATTATATGGCAGGCTGGGTGTGGTGGCTCATGCCTGTAATCCCAGCACTTTGGGAGGCAGAGGCCGGCAGATCACCTGAGGTCAGGAGTTCGAGACCAGCCTAGCCAACACAGTGAAACCCTGTCTCTACTAAAAATATAAAAATTAGCAGGGCATGGTGGCACATGCCTGTAATTCCAGCTAGTCGGGAGGCTGAGGTAGGAGAATTGCTTGAACCTGGGAGGCAGAGGTTGCAGTGAGCTGAGATCGTGCCACTGCACTCCAGCCTGGGAGACAGGGTGAGACTCCATCTCAAAAAATAAAAACAAAAAAATAAAAAATTATAGGGAAACCAGTAAAATAGAAAGTTATAACAAATGAGCTAGTAAGCCAATAGTAAAAATTAAAATACAATAAGAAGAGAATGAAGCAGTGAGCAGGAAGCCAGGAGATAAGGCAAAGGCCTGGCGTAGCTATGACGGCATGAGCAGAGAGAGGGACAAGGGAGATCTGCATGTGGGCCGCCTGCAAGAGTGCCTAGGATGGGAGGCTGAGCAAGATTCGCTGGCCTTCAAGCTGCTACTGGGACTGCAGCATTGTTCCAGTTTGTGGAGGAGCAAACAGTGTATCTGAGCTCTAGCCCTAATGTCTGGCACAGGGACTGAGATGCTGTCTTCATGGGGAGTATCAGCTGAGCACAGCAGGATGCCTGGGCATCAGTGTCCAGGATGGCTGGCTGAAGTTACGGGACAGCTCAACTCCATGTCTCTAAAGAAGTGTTTGGGAACATTCTGGTAGAACAATTACTATTGTTACAACTTGGATTCAGGAGGCAAATACAACCTTAGCTTTCACAACCAATCAATCACTTAAATCATACCCTTCAGTTGAAATTGTCCAAGATCCTAGAGAATTTACAAAGTCCAGTCCAGAAGCAGGCCGCTTTTATATCTACAGTCAAGCAGAGGTAGCACTGGAATCTGATCTGTATGCGTCACCTTTGCTTGAAGTGACCAGGCCCCATTGTTGTAACAGTGTTAGGCTGTGCCATCCAAAAGGCAGGCAGTCTGCTCCTAAGCCTGGCTCACTGGTCCAGGTTGCTGCTCAATCCATCCAGTTTCTTTGATGTGGGGATGCTCCCTTGTATCTGTCCTCAGTGTGGGGGCTCTGTTTTCACCACCTCTTTACCCCATTGGTGAGGAAGGAATTTCCACCCTCTAGTTATGGAGATGGTAGAATACATGACTGGACAGGTGAGGTAGACCACACTTTAGTAGTTACTTATGCTCACAGTCTGAGGGAGGAGGACATCACACACCAGATGGGGCCACATGGAGACTGCATGTGGGAACAGAGTGAACAAACAGCATCTGTGGGAAGCTTTAAGAAGGTGGACTGGCCCCTGGTTCCCATGTGTCTTAGTCCATTTGGCCAGTGGTAACAAAATGCCATAAACTGGGTGGCTTGTAAACAACAAACATTTGTTTCTCACCGTTCTGGGGGCTGCAAAGTTCAAGATCCAGGCACTGGCAGATTCAATGTCTGGCAAGGGCACTCTTCCTGGTGGACAGATGGTGCCTTCTCACTGTGTTCTCCTGTGGTGGAAGGGGCTCTCTTAGCTCTCCGGGGCCTCTTTTCTAAGAGACCTAATATCATTTAAAAAAATTGAGAACATGACATTTATTGAAGGGAAATTCCCAATAAATTTGTACATTTCTTGAGACAAAGCACTTTGAAATCATTCCCTCCACCCATAATAAAGTAAAACTCTAAGGGGATATAAAATGGATGCTTTCTTTTATAACGAACCAGACAATGACCTAATTTTTACTGTTTTCTATTGTCAGAAAGTTGAATTGCATGAGGTCCCTCTCCATTTCATCACCTACCAAGGCCAATCCTCCTAACACCATCAACTTGGGGGTGAGGATTTCAACACATGAAGTTGGGGAGAAACACACATTCAGACCATCACACTGGAGGAAGATGTCATTGGCTTGTTGGAATCATTCTGTGGGTGGGCAAGAATGTGAGACCCACCACTCAAGGATAAACAGGAATGTACCTGGTGCCCTTGATAAGGAGGGTTGTTGGGCAAGAAGACTTTATCTACTGAAGCAAATGGGGAAGATAACTTGTTGTTAGAAATAGTGATATCAGTTGTATCAGGTTTCAAGCTGGCTCATAATATTGGCCTTTAATTTTCACCCTCACACTACAGGCTCCCAAGGTTTCAGGAGTCACAGCCCACCCCAGGGACATTGAGTTAGGAGTAAGTCTTACATTTGCCATCTTAGTGACACAGAGTTAGCATCTCCCTTCCTTCTCTTTGCCAATTACAACTTAAGTCTTGGGCAGAGATTCTTCTAAAATTTAAAAACCAAATTAAATTTAAAAAATTCAAAATTTAAAAAACAAATTCTGATGATATTCTCTTCCTTAAATCATGTGACTCTGTCCATTATTCTCAGTAAGTTTAGGGTGCCGTCCGCTCATCCTTCTTGCCTCACCATCATCAACCCCCTTACCTGAAAAGCCCTCAAGTGATACCAAGAGGTGCACACCTCTCCTCTGATGTTGCCAGATCCAAAGACTAAATGAAGATTTCTGGCATCTCTCACTAGAGAAGAGAAATAATAAAAATGTAACCACAGCAGGTCATCTCATTACAAAAGATTCCCACTTACTAATGAATAAATAGTATCATCAAGAGAGGAAGTGGCTGGGCACGGCGGCTCACACCTGTAATCCCAGCACTTTGGGAGGCTGAGGATCACGAGGTTAGGAGTTTGAGACCAGCCTGGCCAATATGGGGAAACCCCATCTCTACTAAAAATACAAAAATTAGCTGAGCATGGTGGCATGTGCCTGTAGTCCCAGCTACTCGGGAGTGTGAGGCAGAAGAATCACTTGAACCCAGGAGGCAGAGGTTGCAGTATTGCATCACTGCACTCCAGCGTGGGCAACAGAGCCAGACTCCATCTCCCCACAAAAAAAAAAAAAAAAAAAAAAGGAAAAGGCATTTGCAATATCATCTGCTGTTAAAAGTTAAAGCCCCTGCAAGTTTTTTATTTTTCTACTATTGCAGCAAGTTTTGATATTTTTCTACTATTGCACCTGTCAGTGCAATAATTTACACATGCATAACTCATACAATATTATTGTTCTGTAAATTACCAGCTATGCATTACTGTGTAACATCTCATGCAAAAAAAAAAAAATCTTCATTTCAAACAACTCACTCATTTGCTTAGGAGTTTGGGCCTGGCAATTTGGTGTGGGCTTTGCTGGAGAATTTTGTTTTGATTTCACCTGAAGTGACATATCTGGTGTCTCACCTGAGACAAGTCACATCTCTGGTGTCTCACCTGAATCAAGGTGGCCTATGATGGCCTCACTCACCTGTCCAGGGTTGCTATTGCTTTTTAATTCACCAGCAGAATAGCTGGCGAATTCTCCAGCAGAATAGCCTGGGTTCTTTCTGGGGTGGCTTAATTAACAGAGCAAAAGATTTCAGGACTCTAACTTCCTATGTATAGCATTTACATAACATAATTTCCAAGATTCTAGAGGTCCAGACTAGATTCAAGGGTTGGTAAGATAGAGAGGCTCTACTTCTTCATGGGAGAAGCCAAATACTTGGGTGATACTTCATTTACTATGCTGAATGTCTAGAAATGAAGTTTTACAATGAGTAGGTAAAGAGTTATCTCATCCAAAGATGCAGTAGATATTCTAATGTAGTTGTTTAACTGGATATCCATAATCCATGAGCTCATTTCAAACTCAACAGTTTTTTTAAATTAAATGTTGATCTCTTCAAATATTTAACATAATATCTTAATAAATAAATCACTTTTGTCCTTATTCCACAAAGGGACCTATCACAGTTTTCTAGCTGGTTATGCTTTCATTTTTGTATTGCCCATTTCACAAGTACCTAAGTGCTTCATAAGCCAGAATAGAGTTAAACTCAGATTGATAGAAGCCCAACAACACCATTAAATCTTGGAGCCACATGGCCCCTTTCAGTAAGAGAGAACAGGACATTGTAGCTTTGAAAACTATGGATTCTGAGCCTGACACGTCTAATGAATCTGAAATTCATTAATGATCTTGATGTCATTCAACTACCATTTCTACTTCCTTATTGAAATGGGATGTAATGATGATAACATTACTGGTTGTTTGGAGGTTTAAATAAGATATTTATAAATAATCTCTCAACATATCAGGATTCTTTATTTCAGATGTTCTGATACTTCTGATAAACTCATACTGCAAGTCTACTTGTTTTGGAGGACTCTTCTCCTTAAGGGGGATTATTTTTATAACTGAAATTCTAAATCCCTTCTAATTCTCCTGATTTTACTTTAATCTCAGGAACAGATTTTGCCCCTGGAAGTAGAGTCTGATTGAAAGCACTACCAGGAAGATCCCTGAATTAGGAAGGGCTCCTGCTCTCCCTTCACCCCAAGTTGCAAAAATGATGGTGCTCTCAACCACCACCTAGAACTCAGGCTAAATTTGCTAAATAGAAGCAAATTTATGTGAATATATATTTATATATAATGTGAATATATGTAATATATGAGATACACACACACACACAAGTGTCCCTCAATATCCAAGGGACATTAGGTCTAGGATCTCCCACCTGTACCAAAATTCATGAATGCTCAAGTCCTTTATATAAAATGGTATAGTATTTGCACATAACCTGTTCATATCTTCCTACATACAGGTGCTTCAAATAATCTCTAGAGTACTTATAATACTGGAACCCATGGATATAGGGGGCTAACTGTGCATGTGTGTATACATATATATATATGTGTGTGTGTGTATGTGCATATATGTGTATATATATAGTGTGTGTATACTATATATATGTTTTAGAATTCTCCAGAAAAATGTAACTAATAGAAGATATAGATAAATAGATATTTAGAGATGTAGATAGATAGATAGATAGATAGATAGATAGATAGATAGACAGATCAGGAGAGAGTTAGCACTCATGATTCTGGAATCTGAGAAGTCCCAAGACAGGCCATCTGCAAACTGGAGAACCAAGGATGCCAGTGGTGTGGCTGAGTCCAAGTCTTAGGGCCCCAGGACCAGGAATGCTGATGGCATAACTCTCAGTCTGAGGCCTAAGGGCCTGAGAGGCTTCTGGTTCTAGTCCTAGAATCTGGAGGCTGAAGAACATGGAGTTTTGATGTCCAAGGGCAAGAGAAGATGGTTTCCCAGCTCCACAAGAGAGAGCAAAGTTTCCTCTCCTCCCCTCTGCCTTTTTGTTCTATTCCGGCCCTCAGCTGATTCATGGTGCCCACCCACCTTCGATGAGGGCAGATCTTCCTTACTCAGTGCACTGATTCAAATGCTAATCTCTTCTGGAAACGTCCACCTCTGGGACACAGCCAGAGACAATGCATTCCCAGATATCCAGATGTCTGGGTATTTCTTAACCCTTTCAATGTGACACCTAAAATCAACCATTACTGTATATGGCTACCATTTGTTTATCTGAAATTCAGAGAAGATATTAGCCTTAGAACTTTCTCAAATGTATTTTACTTGATTTTCCTTAGTCTGTCATTTGTTATCTCTCAAGCCTGTGTGAAAATCTGCTTCTTGCTTCTTACTTGATGCATGAAACTGGGATATTCATGAGTCAATTGAAAATCACTCATCCAAAGATATTTTTTTTTGTGGTCATACAATAGTGAACTTTGAGGGAAGAATAAATGTAATCCAAAAATAATTGGTACTAAAAATTGGTTAATTATCATAAAATGTAAGTAGTATATCAACCATATCTGCAACTTTATCTGTTGCATGCAATTTTATTTATGTAGAAAAACTATAAAAAAAGAATTAGACATCACACATAATCTCATCACCCCATGAAAACCATCTTAAAAATGTTGTGTATATCTCTCTAGGCATGTTTTCTATCCTCATTCTTTGCACATAATTGAACAATCAGAAATGAAGTCTAGAACAATTTTATTCCCCTTACAAATTACAATAGATGTGACAGAGTTATCAACCAAGCATCACTTTCTTTTTTTTGGGGAAACTCTTGTCCCCATAGCCAAGCTCTGGGCCAAGTATTTGAGGACCTGTCATTTACAGCCAGGCCTCTAGAAAGCTGCATTTTCAAGTCAGCAAATCATTTTTTTCCTTTCTGAAGAATAAGTGGCAAATTCATTTTGGTCTTGCATTTGGAAAATATTTTTGTTTGTTTGCTTATTCATCTATTACTAGGTGGTCTTACCTTTTGCTCCTAGGAGACATGATGAATCTGGCAGAATTTACTCAAAGATTCCAGTAGCACAAACCTAGATTATCTCCCCTGCTCTACGTCTGAGAAGAAGAAAGCCAGATTCAGTGTTTATAAACCATGCTTTATATTATTATTATTATTATTTTTTTAATCTTTTTTTTTCTTTTTTTATTATTATTATTATACTTTAAGTTTTAGGGTACATGTGCACATTGTGCAGGTTAGTTACATATGTATACATGTGCCATGCTGGTGCGCTGCACCCACTAACGTGTCATCTAGCATTAGGTATATCTCCCAATGCTATCCCTCCCCCCTCCCCCGACCCCACCACAGTCCCCAGAGTGTGATATTCCCCTTCCTGTGTCCATGTGATCTCATTGTTCAATTCCCACCTATGAGTGAGAATATGCGGTGTTTGTTTTTTTGTTCTTGCGATAATTTACTGAGAATGATGATTTCCAATTTCATCCATGTCCCTACAAAGGACATGAACTCATCATTTTTTATGGCTGCATAGTATTCCATGGTGTATATGTGCCACATTTTCTTAATCCAGTCTATCATTGTTGGACATTTGGGTTGGTTCCAAGTCTTTGCTATTGTGAATAGTGCCGCAATAAACATACGTGTGCATGTGTCTTTATAGCAGCATGATTTATAGTCCTTTGGGTATATACTCAGTAATGGGATGGCTGGGTCAAATGGTATTTCTAGTTCTAGATCCCTGAGGAATCGCCACACTGACTTCCACAATAAACCATGCTTTATATTATACCAAATAAACTTTTCAGTTAATTTTTTACCCACCTCTCTTTCTGTGAACAAACCTATAATGTATGTGATGCTGAGGAAATTTCTCAGATTCCTATCAAAAACTCACTATTACAAATATAGTAACTGGATTCTATCAAAAATATAGTAAAGGCCTAATTTTCATTACTTAAAGTGATGATGGACAAAATGAGTTTTAGGGATGACCATTTGCACTCAAGTTTGAAGGTGCTGAATGGGTGATCCATGCTGCCATACCTGGGCCTCTCCTGTGTTACACAGCTACACAGATTGAGGCTCCCTTGTGTGTAGTAAACAGGGCTGTGGACAAAGGTTTCCTTGCAAAGCTGAAGGGAGCATGGAATGAAGTGAAAAGTTCAAAGTGTGATGGATGAGCCGTCCCTGCTGAAGGTCACGCGGTTGCCAGCAAACTGAGGAGGACCATGGAGAATTAGCCACTTAAAATGTATGAACCAAAGTGGTAAAAAATTAGAATGACTTTGCTTTTTGAGTTCAGTTCCCAGGCTTCTATGGGGGCACCAGGTAGTTATTATTGGCCTGTGTGCTGGGGATGACAAGGACACACATCCCCCCAGAGCGATGTGAGCTCAGGCGAGAGGCTACGGGACGCATAGCTCCCCACAAGTTTTCTGTTGTCATTACTGTTGTCAGTATTGGTGTAACCAGAGCAAAAAACCAAACAAACAAAACCTAAAATGGCAAAATGGCAAATGGCAAAGAGAATCAGACAACATGCTGAAAAAGCCAAAAATGGTGATGATAATCTGGTCAGTGCCGGTGGCTTGGCAGTCAAAACATGCCATTCAGGATTTTTAAAAAGTGGATTATGATTGTGGATATGAGGATTCCTTTTGGAATAGGAAATCACCCAGATTCTGTATTAATTTGCGTATGTGCAATATGGGGCAAGTGTGGAATGGGAGCAGGTCTTCAGGGGTATGTGGAACTCCCGGGATTTTCACCTAGACCCTCCCCAAAGCATGATTACAAGATGTTCAGGATCTTCAACCACAGAGGGGAGGGTGGGAACTGTTGGAGACAGAGGCCTGACAGACATAGTTTATAATTATGCGGGGAGAACTGTCGTTAAAATACAAAAACAAAAATCCAAGGAAGAGTTGGTTTAGTGAAAGGATGATATTAATTTCTAACCAATGGGAAAGTGAGTAATAATGGCTCGGATGCAGAAGTAATTGCGTCTATGCATCGAGATGACACGGTCCTCATGAAGTAATTCCTCAACTTTTCTGAACTATTTTGATTGTAACAATTGCCCCCATATGCAGAACCAAGTGGAGGATTTCATGTGTGGAATACTCATGCTGAAGAAAACTAATAAGGAATGTTTGCAACTCAGCTGAAAGTTGGTTTTAATCGTTGACTGTCGTTGATTCTACGTTTAGCCCTTCCTGTCCAGCAAAGCCGCTGGTCTATGAAATGCTCTTTACCTTGAGTAATTCCAGTGAGGCCGAAAGATGTCCATAGTGTCCCATGAAAATTAGCTTGAGAAAAAAAGTTGCATCAAGAAATAACTGGAAAGCAATTGCAAGGGAGAATGCAAAGGAATCAGGAGTGAAGAGGAGAAACATGAATGGGAAGAGGTGCCCAGAAGAGACCAAGCCCCTGGTCTTTGAGTCACCGGCATTTCCTGTCGTACCTCGCAGTGGGCAGGTATTCTGTGTGTGCTCATCACACTGAAATGTGAGGAAGGACAAAATGTCAGTGGCTTCTCCCAGCTTCACAGGGTCTGTGGGTGGTGTGTAAAGTCCACCGTTACAAGTAAATGCCAGGTCATGAAGAGTGAGGCTGGACGTAAACTCTGGTTGTGACTTTTTCAGAGCTTCCACGTTCTTTCTGCAGGTCTGGAGCCACATGGACAGTTGTCACTGGGACTGTTTGAGTTCATGGTTTGCACTGCTTGAGCCAAGCAGGCACTACATATAAACAGAATTTCAGCATTTGAACTTCTCCTCTGTACCAGAAAAAACTTTTGTATGGTTCAAAAGACAACCTGGTTACAAACTGAGTGTAATTTTTATACAGGGAATACTGTATATATACAGGGAATAATATAATTAACACCACCGAAGTTTCTTGGAAATAGTAGGCACACTATGTTTACTAATATCTTCAAATTATCTTGTTCACTATAATATTTAAATTATAAATAATCATAACTAGCATGATTTTATATGTGCTATACACTTCCTAAAATATTTTGAGTACAAAATAATTATTTAAGAAATTTTCAATGATATTGGATATGTCATCCAATGACTTATAACACATGCATAACCATATTAAAATTTAGCATCCAATTTAAATGGTAATAAATTGAAGCAATGGAGGTGACAAATAAAAGACAAGGCACTCTCAGATGCTCAGGCAGAGTGTGGAACAGCCATCTCACAGGCGGTCACATAACCCTCACAGAGGACTGTAGACATAAACATCAGCTTGCAAATATGGCTGGTGGGCCATTTTCTGGGATTGGCCAAGTTCCCACTTAAAACAATAGAGCTGTTCATGCTTGCAATACCTGTGTAACATGATCTCTTTACCCATTTCCTTCTATATATTGATAACCTTATAATTAAAACAGCCATCCTGCAGTTTCAAGGTAAAGTAGGATGGAATCTTATTAGGATAAACCTCACTGAGTCACTGAAGAGTTTCACTGGCCCTAACATAAAGCAAAGGGGAAATTCGCAATGTGTGTATCTCAGGCATATGGTCACAACATGGGGACTGGGGAGGCCAAGGAAAGAAAGGATGAAAGACTGAGAACAATTTCAAATACCAAGAGAAATCCTTTTGGCTAAGAATAATGTACCTTCTGTGTCTTTCAAAAATTTCCATAACAGATGGACTGCTGGGCCTCCCTCCCCACAGAAAGTTAAAAACAGTAGGGCCGATTTCAATTATGCATTTGGATTTTGAGAAAATGGAGGAATCAGTCCTAACATTTCTAGCGTTAAATGAACAATGAAAGTAAGTCATCAGCTGAGATAAATTCAGCATTCCACATGCACACAAGAGTGTAGCACACAGAGCACAGTTAGTAAGTTATGCAGTCAGCATTGTCCATGTACACGAGAGCATGGCACACGGTACACACTTAGTAAGCTGTGCAGTCAGCATTCCATGTGCACACAAAACTGTGGCACACAGAACACACACAGTAAGCTGTGCCATCAGAATTCCACATGCACACAAGAGCGTGGCACACAGAACACACATAGTAAGCTGTGCAGTCAGCATTGTGCATACGCATGAGAGCATGGCACACAGTAGGCACTTAGTAAGCTGTGCGGTCAGCATTCCATGTACAAGCAAGAGCACGGCACATGGAACACAGTAAACTGTGCAGTCATCATTGTGCATGCACACAAGCGCGTGGCACACAGAACACACTTAGTACTCTGTGCAGTCAGCATTCCATGTGCACGCGAGAGTGTGGCAAACATAACACACAGAGTAAGTTGTGCCATCAGCATTCCACATGCACACAAGAGCGTCACACACAGAACACAGGTAGTAAGCTGTGCAGTCAGCATTCCACGTGCAGGCAAGAGTGTGGCACACAGAACATACGTAGTAAGCTGTGCGGTCAGCACTCTGCATGCACACAAGAGCACGGCACACAGAACACACGTAGTAAGCTGTGCAGTCATCATTGTGCACGCACATGAGAGCGTGGCACAAAGAACACATGTAGTAAGCTGTGCAGTCAGCATTCCACGTGCACACGAGAGCAGAGCACACAGTACACACTTAGTAAGCTGTGCCATCGGCATTGTGCATGTGCATGAGAGCACCGCACGTAGGACGCCCTTAGTAAGCTGTGCGGTCAGCATTCCACGTGCACATGAGAGCACAGCCCACAGAGCATACATAGTAAGCTATGCAGTCAGCATTCCACATGCACAGGAGAGTGGGGCACACAGAACACGTATAGTAAGCTATGCAGTCAGCATTCCGCATGCACACAAGTGTGTGGCATACCGAACACACTTAGTAAGCTGTGCCGTCAGAATTCCGCATGCATGTGAGAGCACGGAACACAGAACACACGTAGTAAGCTGTGCAGTCAGCATTCCATGCGCACACTAGAGCATGCCACACAGAACACACTTAGCTGTGTGGTCCACATTCCACGTGCACACGAGAGCACGGAACACAGAACACTTAGTAACTGTGCGGTCAGCATTCTGCATGCACACAAGAGCACGGCACACAGGACACAGTAAACTGTGCAGTTGGCATTCCAGGTGCACGCAAGAGCACGGCACACAGAACACATGTAGTAAGCTGTGCTTCTATGAATGTTGCTTGCATAGAATATCACGGCTTTGAGAGGACTTGGAAATGTATTTCTTCACTACAGTCACCTTTTCTTTCTTTTTTTTTTTTTTTTTTTTTTGTTTGAGACGGAGTCTTGCTCTGTCTCCCAGGCTGGAGTGCAGTGGCGCGATCTAGGCTCACTGCAAGCTCCGCCTCCCGGGTTGACGCCATTCTCCTGCCTCAGCCTCCGGAGTAGCTGAGACTACAGGCGCCTGCAACCACGCCAGGCTAATTTTTTGTATTTTTTTAGTAGAGACGGGGTTTCACCGTGTTAGCCAGGACGGTCTCGATCTCCTGACCTCGTGATCCGCCCGCCTCGGCCTCCCAAAGTGCTGGGATTACAGGCGTGAGCCACGGCGCCCGGCCTTCTTTTTCATTTTATGTAGTGTAATTGTGAGAATTGCAAGAAGTTGTAGGTGGATCTTTATAACTTACAGCTGAGCTTAGAAAGTCTGAGACACACTCTGGTCTCCTTCCCGCTCTCTCAGCATGAAGCAGATCAAAACTCAGCTCCTTGTGGGATGCGAGTGTGTTAACATTGGTTCAATTTTACAAATCTTTCTCCTTCTTTTTCCATCAAAAAGAAAGTGCCTTCCAATTAAGTCCACCTGACTGACCGAGTCTGCAACACATTTTCGGCAGGAGGAGCTGTCTTTTCAAGGAGGTTGTGCACTTTCCTTCTTTCCTTTCCTCTTCTTTTTTAATCTCAGTGGAGAAAATGAACATCACATGGTGGAGAACGGTCCATCACAACTCTGGTCTGCGGACGCCTCCCTTGCCCTGACACCCACGTAAGTTATTAAGTGCTTCCCTGCCTGCCAGGGTTGCAGGCGTAATTTTCACTGCGTTTCTGACTATCCTTTTCCAGATGCCGGTCGGAAGGCGCCGGGTAGGGGAGCCCACCTGCTCTCTCTGAACACTCATGGATTAGAATGCCATTGAGGAAACTCAGGACCCCTGAAGAATAAAGACAAGGCAAGAAGAAAAAAAAAATGAGTTTAATGTTTGGGGCAATTCTTTTCAGAATTATTTAGCTTGTGATCTTTATAAGTGTTTGGCAGTGGGGAGGAGCAGGGGAGTACTAGGCCGGGAGGCCGAGGCCGAGGTCTGTCTCCAAGGCCAGTACCACGTTTCAGGGCCTCTAGTGACCCTGGATCCTGGCCTGATGGCTACATAAGAAAGACAGTGCCCACATCAGGACAAACAGGGAACAGGAAATTTAGAAATGCGTATTAGGCTATCAACAGATCAGGTTTCTTTCTTCTTTTACTTAGCTCTCCCTTTCCCGGTTTTTGTTGCTTGTTGTTTTTCAAATTTTAATGCATCTCTTTTTCTTAAGACACTTGGGAAAATGTTTGATACAATGTCATTAATTCTGAGTGGTGGTGTTTATATCATTCTTTGAACTTTTCTGTACTTTATATTCTCCGAGTAAAAAAAGAAATTAAGTTAAATAATGCACCTGAAGGTGATTTAAAAACTGCAAGCAACCTGCAAAGGTAGAACCATTTGGCACAGGAAGAAGCGGAAAAGGAGGGTTTCTCCAAATCCCAGTCTGTTCAAAGAATCTAAGCACTAATCTCCCATAACCACCCCTGAAAAAAAAAATTCACCAGGTCTCAAATCCAAAGTTTAGGAAACATAAATCCTTGGGTTAAGAGGCTTGAAATAAGGAATTTCTGCATCTCATTGTAATGCAACCTCTCTTTTCTCATGTTGCTGCTGGTTGGCTTGCTACACGTACCTACTTAGATTGTCCTCTACTTTCATTATTTCTGAGAAACTTTTCTCAGTTCCAAAAATCATCTGTTTGGGAAATGACCTTGATGATATGCAGAATTCTATGATGAAAAGGGTGGCAATGGGCATGATTAATATGGCAGAGATAGTGGGATATCAGATAGCAATTACCTCTCTGTTCTAGTATTAAGTGTCCAAAAATTTAGAAAAACAATTCTTAATTTTTTACTGAATTCGGCACCCTCTTACCTCCAGTCACCCACACACAAAGTCACCTGAGGCTCACCAAACAACCTGAAGCGCAAGTCTGCAGCATATTAAGGGATAACCCAGGAAGAAGAATCCCTTTTATTAGGGACTCTTTTCTTTGTATACAATTTTAAGTTCTCTTTTCTTTGTATAAAATTTTATTTTAAGTTCTGGGGTGCATGTGCAGGATGTACAGGTTTGTTACAAAGGTAAACGTGTGCCGTGGTGGTCTGCTTCACCTATCGACCCTTCACCTAGGTATTAAGCCCAGCATGCATTAGCTACTTTTCCTGATGCTCTCTCTCCCCCTACCCCATCCCCAACAGGCCTCAGTGTGTGTTGTTCTCCTCCCTGTGCCCATATGTTCTCTCTGTTCAGCTTCTGCTTATAAGTGAAAACATGGCGGTGTTTGGTTTTCTGTTCCTGCATTTGTTTGCTGAGGATAATGGCTTCTAGCTCCATCCATGTGCCTGCAAAGGTCATAATCTCCTTCCTTTTTATGGCTGCATAGTATTCCATGGTGTATATATACCACATTCTCTTTATCCAGTCTGCCATTGGTGGGCATTTGAGTAGATTCCATGTCTTTGCTATTGTGAATAGTGCTGCAATGAATACACGTGTGCATGTATCTTTATAATATAATTATTTATATTCCTTTGGGTATATATCCAGTATTGGGATTGCTGGGTCAAATGGTATTTTTGGTTCTAGGTTTTTGAGGAATCACCACACTGTCTTCCACAATGGTTGAAATAATTTACTTTCCCACCAACAGTGTAAAAGCATTCCTATTATTCTGAAGCCTCGCCAGCATCTGTTGTTTCATGACTTTTTAATAATCGCCATTCTGATGGGCATGAGATGTGGTTTTGTGGTTTTGATTTGCATTTCTATAATGATCAGTGATGTTAACCTTTTTTCATATGTTTGTTGGCTGCATAAATGTCTTCTTTTGAGAAGTGTCTGTTTGTGTCCTTTGCTCACTTTTTAATGGGGTGGTTTGTTTTTTCTTGTAAATTTGTTTAAATTCCTTGTAGACTCTGGATATTAGACCTTTATCAGATGAATATATTGCAAAAATCTTCTCCCATACTGTAGGTTGTCTGTTCACTCTGATGATCCTTTCTTTTGCTGTGCAGAAGCTCTTTAGTTTAATCAGATCTCATTTGTCAATTTTTGCTTTTGTTGCAATTGCTTTTGATGTCTTCATCATGAAATCTTTGCCTGTTCCTATGTCCTGAATGGTATTGCCTACATTTTCTTCTACTGTTTTTATAGTTTTGGGTTTTACATGTAACTCTTTATTTTTAATTTTGCATAAGGTGTAAGTTATTTTTTGATATAGTTTGGCTGTGTCCCCACCCAAATTTCATCTTGAATTACAGTTTCCATAATCCCCACATGTCATGGGAGGGACCAGGTGGAGATAATTGAATCATGGGTGTGGTTTTCCCCATGCTGTTCTAGTGATGTTGAGTTAGTTCTCAAAAGAGCTGATGGTTTTATAAGAGGCCTCCCCACTCGCTGGTCACTCATTCTCTCTCTTGCCACCCTGTGAAGAGGTGCCTTCTACCATGATTGTAAGTTTCCTGAGGCCCCCCCAGCCATGCGGAACCGTGAGTCAATTAAACCTCTTTCCATTATAAATTACCCAGTCTCAGGTGTGCCTTAATTGGAAAAATGGGTCCAGTTTCAATTTTCTGCATATGGCTAGCCAGTTCTCCCAGCACCATTTATTAAATAGTAAATCCTTTTCCCATTGTTTATTTTTGCCAGGTTTGTCAAAGATTAGATGGTTGTAGATGTGCATTCTTCTTTCTGAGTTCTCTGTTCTGTTCCATTTGTCTATGTGTCTGTTCTTGTACCAGCACCATCCTGTTTTGTTTACTGTAGCCTTGTAGTATGTAGTTTGAAGTCTGATAGTGTGATGCCTTCTGCTTCGTTCTTCTGGCTTAGGACTGTCTTGGCTATTCAGGTTTTTTGTTGTTGTTGTTCCATATGAATTTTAAAACAGATCTTTCTAATTCTGTGAAGGAGGCAAATGTTAGTTTAACGGGAATAGAATTGACTTTATAAATTACTTTGAGCAGTATGGCCATTTTAACAACATTGATTCTTCTTATCCATGAGCATGGAATGTTGTTCCATTTGTTTGCATCCTCTCTGATTTCCTTGAGCAGTAGTTTGTAGTTCTCCTTGAAGATGTCCTTCACTTCCCTTGTTAGCTGTATCCCTAGGTATTTGATACTCTTTGTAGCAATTGTGAATGGGAGTTCATTCATGATTTGGTTCTCTGCTTTTCTATTGTTGACGTACAGGAATGCTTGTAATTTTTGCATATTGATTTTGTATTCTGACACTTTGCTGAAGTTGCTTACCAGCTTAAGAAGCTTTCGGGCTGAGATGATGGGGTTTTCTAGATACAAGATTATGTGATCTGAAAACAGACAATTTGACTTCCTCTCTTCCTGTTTGAATACCTTTATTTCTTTCTCTTGTCTGATTGCTCTGGCCAGAACTTTCAAAACTATGTTGACTAGGAATGGTTAGAAAGGGCATCCTTGTTGGTCTTTTGGCTAAGATCAGGTGTAGGACCTGTTCTTATCAGTTTATTATAATCACTTCTGAGATCACCCAGGAGGAATGTACTGTGCAGAGCTTTGCCACTTTCTTCCTGTGTGTCCTTGCTCATGTTATTTAACCTCTCCATGCTCAGTCTTCTGACAATTGGGTATAATAATAGCACTGACTTTATAGGATAATCCTAAGTATTGAATAAAAGAGTAAACCATAGTCATCAGGTGCAGTAATTTGAAGTAACCATTAAATCAATTTAGTTGTGTTTTGGTGGTAGTTGTTAGAAATCTGAAACAAAGCATCCCTCCATTTTGAAACTCTGTTTACAAGACAGTATATAAAAGATGACCTGTACAATGAAACATTATTCAGCCTTAAGAAGAAGGAAATCCTGCCCTTTGTGACAACATGAATGAACCTGGGGACATCAGGTTATGTGAAATAAGCCAGGCCCAAAAGACAAATACTGCATGTTCTCACTCATGGGTGGACTCTAAAAAAGTCAGGCTCAAAGAAGTAGGAAGTAGGCAGTGGTCATCAGGGCAGGAGGGCGAGGTGGCATTGAGAAGATGCAGGTCAAAGGGCAGTGGGCTTCAGAGAGATGGGTGGAATCCGTTCTGGAGATCCATCACGTACCCGGGTGACCATGTGAATAATAACATATACTTGAACATTGCGAAGAGACGGTACCTTAAGTGTTCTCATCACACACACAAAAAATGATTAAGTATTAAGTCATGAATATGTTAATTAGCTTGATTCGATCATTTCCTAAGGTATATATATTTCAAAACATCATGTTATACATCATAAATACATACAATTTTTATGTCAATTAAACCTTAATAAAGCTGACAAAGAAAATAAAATAATATGACCCTAACAAGATAAAGAAGGGAACAAAAAGTAAGGGGAGAAAGGAGGAGGGGAAGTAGAACGGGAGGGAGGCTTAGAAAAACAGCCGACGTCAATGTACATAACCGAATTAAGAAGAAATGAAGGTGGCCGGATGCGGTGGCTCATGACTGTAATCCCAGCACTTTGAGAGGCTGAGGCGGGTGGATCACCTGAGGTCAGGAGTTCAAGACCAGCCTGGCTAACATGGCAAAAACCAATCTCTACTAAAAATACAAAAAATTAGCCGGGCGTGGTGGCAGGCACCTGTAATTCCAGCTACTTAGGAAGCTGAGGCAGGAGAATTGCTTGAACCTGGGAGGCAGAGGTTGCAGTGAGCTGTGATCACACCATTGAACTGCAGCCTGGGTGACAGAGCAAGACTCTGTCTCAAAAAGAAAAAAATAATGAAATGAAGATATGCATGTCCCATGGCCCAGGTGTTCTGACTCTGGGCACGACAGGAGAGTCAGGAGTAAAGATGCTCCCCTGGTTTCATGTCTAGTGTCTGAGGGTCAGCAGGACAGCCTTCCCGAGGCAGGGCTGATGTGCAGTGCAAGCTTCAGCTCAGGGAATTCAGAAAGTCACACTCTTTTTATTTTAACCATGGGAGGAAACTTTCACTTATTAATACCAAGAAAACAGTTGAAAACGTTTAAACGGCTGAAATTCAAAACCTTTTGTCGCCTATCAAAAGCAGCCGTGGAGTGCTCAGACAGCAAACTTGACCTGGTGCCAAGGAGAGAAGTGTCTGAGACCTTTTTTTTTTATTCAAATTGGGCTTGAGAAGACATTCCTGCCCAACACATTTGGACATGAGTAATACGAAAAATCAGTGTGTAACTGTTCAGAGAAATATTTAAACATTATGTGATTACTAGGCAGTCGCTTAATTTGATGGAATGAGAAAATTAGTGGCCAACATTCTACAAACGTAGACTGACCTCATCATATTTTAGGACTTTTGTAAAGCTAAATAGAATACACAGCAGATAAAACAGATTCTCTGCTGTCTGGCAGCTGAAAATCTTCTTAGGGAGGCAGAAGTCAGCGCGGGTGACACTGCAGAGTATTGTGTATTACGATAAAGATACTTTCAAATTGTTGCCACAGGAGAGAAAAGGGTGAACATTTTCTTTTGCCTGTAGTGACCTGGAAGGAATTCCTGAAGAACACTGAATATCAACTAGACAGCAAATATTGGATATAATGAGTAAATAATTCCCCTGACATTTTTTCTGTTCCTCTTTACCCTGGAAATTGGATAGGGTTGAGAAATTGAATTACAGTGTAAAAGTCTTTGGAGTTAGAGAAGAAATCTGTGATGTGAGAAGTAAACACTCTCTAAGAGAGTTTTAAAAACGCAACACGTAGGGGGCGGTGATGTGGTACCCTGCAGCAAAGATCCCAGGAATCTGCATGTGGAATCCTCACACCTTCAGCATCTTCCATAACTTTTTTCCAGTGGACAAGGACATCCCAGATGCAGGAGATGGTCCAATCAGCAGTAGGAGAGAAATTATTTTGCTTATGGTGGTGCATTGGCTTTGCTGTGGCTGGAGTTATCAATTTAGGTAGGAAAATGGTCTGTGCTGTTCTAAAATAATTTTGTAGATTGTATTCTCTCAGCTTACTAAGAACTCATAGAGCTGTGATAGTGTTTATCATGTTAAACCTGTTGAATCAGGCATAGGTTTGCCTTACAGAACATAAACAGACTGATCAATAAGCCTGTCACCATGAACCTTATCCCTGAGAGTGGATGCAGACCCATGGTGCCCAGCTATGGAGCCTGTCTTGGTGCTTTACACAAATGGTTTAGCCTAAACCATCAGAAATGTGTAAAATGCACTACCTCCAATTAAGTAATACCTTAAAAAGTGATATCTTAGGTTCTCTTCCTTTCTTTTTTTTATTTTTCCAGTTCCATAACAGGCACAACAAAACTGCAGTTTCTATCAAAGGGGTGGATGGTAATTGAAAACTTGACCTCCAATCTCTCTGCAAAAATGGGCTACTCCATTCTCTCTGCAAAAGTGGGCAAAATCAGCCCATTGGTTGAGGTTGCAATGAGCCAAGATAATGCCACTGCTCTCCAGCCTTGGCAAAAGAGTGAGATCCTGTCTCAAAAAATAAATACACAAAATAAAAATAAAAAATAAAATAAGCTGCATTCACATAAGGCATGCACATACACACACGGATGCACACACACGTGCATTCTGGCTCTCATCACCCCACCCCAACATACACAAACACATGCGCACACTGTGCCAAGGCATATATAGATACCTTGGTAGTTAGCTCATCACCAACTTATCTTACAGTGTTACTGGATTGATGGGGATCACTTACTATTACCTCTTATCCTCAAGTAATGGGCACCAGAAATAAAACTACCACCTTAAACTTCGTGAAGTTATTGCTGGTGCAAAGGGGGTTTTGTCTCATGTGTAAACATCTGGCCATACTGGCTGTGGTTGGATATGGGACAGGGAAGGTGGCTTTGGGGTTCCTGCCTGCATCTCAGCCTCACCCACCACGCCCACCCTCAACCTGGGCCCAGCAGAGGAGGAGCACTGCACATCCTTTGACCCACAGGTGACTGGAGCATGGCTTTCCAAGGACCCTCTGGCCAACCCCCACGCTGCACAGATTCAGGCCTGCTCATCTCTTAAGACCAGCCAGCTCAGGCTTCAAGTGTTTCTGGAAGCATCCCTTCCCTTTCTCCCTCCCAGATCAGGGTGTTGATACCTGACTGATTTTCATGAGCTAGAGCTATGCTGGGTAAGCCCTGTGCACGTGTACTTTCCTCCCATGGAGACCCCACCAAACGCTCTATTGCCAGTCCCACTATACAGATGAGGACATTGAGGGGAAGAGGCATTAAGCTACCTGGGCAGAGCCCTGTGGCCGGCAGCTGGGAGAACCTGGATCCCTGCCACAACACTGTCTCCAGGGCTCACACTCCCAACGTCCCAACATGCCCCTGGCGGGTTTCTCCGAGGGGGATGTGGGCAACATCTGGCTTTCCTCACTGTGGTATTGTGTTGCAATCTCCTGCAGGGGTCATCTGGAGAGATGAGCTGGTTTATGGGGCAGCAGCTCCATACCTGGCTCACAATTGGCATTTGTTCAGCATCTGTGACATCATTCACTCTGTCTTGGGTCATGGGTCACCATTTCCTTCACCTCTCAGGTACATCTGCGTTTCGGTGTGCATTCTACCATTTATTTATTTTTATGTTTTTTTTTCCCCCAACTTTTATGTTTGGGGATACATGTGGAGGATGTGCAGGTTTGTTACATAGGTAAATGTGTGACATGGTGGTTCGCTGCATGGTTCATCCCATAACCCAGGTATTAATCCCAGCATCCACTAGCTATTCACCCTGATTCTCCCCCTCCTTCCATTTCCCACCCTCTGACAGGTCCCAGTGTGTGATGTTCCCTGCCATGTGTCCATGTGTTCTCAATGTTCAGCTCCCACTTATAAGTAAGAACATGTGGTGTTGGGGCTTCTGTTCCTGCATTAGTTTGCTAAGGATAATGGCCTCCAGCTCCATCCACGTTTCTGCAAAGATATGACCTTGTTCTTTTTATGGCTGCGTTGTATTCCATGGTGCATATGTATCGCATTTTCTTTATCTAGTCTATCATTGATGGGCATTTAGGTTGATTCTATGTCTCTACTATTGTGAATAGTGCTGCAATTAATATATGTGTGCATGTGTCTTTGTAATGGAATGATTTGTATTCCTTTAGGTATATACACAATAATGGGATTGCTGTGTCAAATAACTCTGTTTTTAGGTGTTTGAAGAATCACCACACTGTTTTCCACAATGGTTGAACTAATTTACACTCCAACCACAGTGTATAAGTGTTCCTTTTTCTCTGCAACCTCAGCAGCATTTATTATGTCTTGACTTTTTAATAGCCATTCGGACTGGTGTGAGATTGTATCTCATTGTGGTTTTGTTTTGCAATTCTTTAATGATCAGTGATGCTGAATTTTTTATTCATCTGTTCATTGCCCACATGTATGTCTTCTTTTGAAAAGTGTCTGTTCATGTCCTTTATCCACATATTAAGGAGATGTTTGTTTTTTTTTTTTTGTAAATATGCTTAAGTTTCTTAAAGATGCTGGATATTAGACCTTTGTCAGATGCATAGCTTGCAAAAATTTTCTCTTATTTTGTGGGTTGTCTGCTTATTCTGTTGATAGTTTCTTCTACTGTGCAGAAGCTCTTTAGTTTAATTAGATCCTGTTTGTCAATTTCAAGATATACGGATGGGCAAAGATTTCATGACAAAGATGCCAAAAGCAATGGCATTCCACCATTTAAATGCTTTTTTCTCACTGTAGAGGAAAAGACAAGAGGAATTAAAGATTAGAGCAAATTCTTACTTGAAAACCCAAGTTGCAGTATGACATGCATGTATAAAAAAGATGTTTAAGAAAAGCCCAAACCCGGTGTCAGTATATTACCCAAGTTATTTATGAAGCCTGTTAAAACATGTGCCTTACCTAACACACCAGTGACCAACTGGAAAGGAGCTGATAGCCTCCGCCATTCGCTACTCTCTGAGAACGGTTTTCTCTTCCCTTGAAGCCAGTGCACACATGGGCAGAAGGACACTGAGGGAGGACGTGACTGTTGCACTGAGTCGCTTGGCAGGATATCCTGCAGAATCCCTGTGGGTGGAGGCCCATGGAGGACCTTTATTTCTGCTGGATCCACACATGCCTATACCTATGTGGATTTTCCTCTTCATCATTTATCTCCTGTCACCCTTGTCATGCCATCATGTTAAAATCTGAAATGATGATTATCGCTTCCCATAAATACAAAAATATATATTCTCACATGATGTGTCCCATAGATGGTGCGAGGGCTGTTATTAAGATGTATTGTCTTGGAGAAGCCACATGTTCTTGGGCACTACAGAGCCTGCACATTAGTATCCAGACTAAACATTTTTGGTCCTGAATGATTTTTTTCCCCTCTAATTCTTTTCCCCCTTTAATTGGCTTTTATGCCAAAGCTCTTCTTTTCCTCTCTTGCGTGGAGGACAGGACCACACAAAATGCTAAAGACTTCCCTCTAGCTTTGTTAAATGATTATATTAATTGGTCACTTGACAAAGTTGCATTTTTAAATTCAAGCAAATTCTTTACAAAAGAAAATACCATAAATCTTATAGCTTTCAACAGATGATTAACTAAGCTATTGTAAACATTTCTTACCATCAGATACACCTTTTTACCCACAAAATCATTATCACAATACATAGACTTTTATGCTTCTCAAGAAATTAGATTGTATATACAAATATGACAGGCGAAGGCATTTTCAAGTTATCTGGTTTGTTTAATCAGTATAAATACGCCAAAGGGATTGAGCCAAACTTCAAGATTTTGTTTGTGTTCTGCCCTCAATTTTTCAACTAATGAAATAATATCTGCAAACATTTTAACACATATCTGTCTCCAAGGCAGAAGATAATAGCAAGTTCCCCTTTTGCTTAAAGTTGTGTCCAAACATTGCACGAGACCTGTGGACAGCTCTCCTTCTCAACTGTGCAAAGGCCAAGGACGCATGTCAGGGCCCTAGGGCAGAACCTCCACTGCACAGCAGCAGTCAAGCCGTGAACCCCAATATGCCCACTCCACTCTGGGGTGTCTCCTGCCTGCTGTCACAGAGATTAACTCCTTGGAAACCATGGGGTCTACGTGAACATGATTTCTAGCTCAGAATCTCCGGTCCCAACAACTACGCCAACTCCTGTGGCATCACCGGGATGGAACTAAAGAGGCTTGCATATTGAATAAGAGCAGTCATGGGACAAGAAATGTCAAAGCCAACACCTTCACAGGCACCATGACAAGTAGAGTCGCAATCTGTGTGTGTCAAGCAGATTGTGTCTTTGGTCATAATTGGTCAAGGAAAAAAGGGAACTAAAATAACTTCCTAAGTTCTCAGAGCATAGCTCCTTCCAGGTGTGGAATCACAGCCTGGCTCTCTGGAGTCCAACAGCCTATGTTCAATCTCACTTTACCCTTACTAACCAGGCCATTTAGGACACTTCTCCGTGTCTCGTGTCCTCAAAGGGCTGGGGGGTATTAAGTGAGATCCCTTTTATCCAGCAGGCTTTGCTGTTGCTGTCATGTTATGAGTGGTAGTTTTATCTCTGTTCAAGTGTCCCCTCCCCAGTGCCTGTTCTGCCCACTCATGCATATGCCCTGGGTAGTCTGTGGAGTTTGAATGACATCCCACAGGTCTGTAAGGAACATTCAGTGAGATACTCTTGTTCATGACTTCCTGCCACCCTGAGTAGGTAGCATTGCCAATCTGTGGCACGTTGGTTTGCTGTATATGTTGTAATATTTCTGAGTTACGGATTTTTATATTTATCCCAAAACACCGGAATTAAGCGAACAGGTTGAATTAATGATGTTTTAGATTCCAGAGAGTATAGTAGCATGAACTAAATCATCAAATACTACTTTTATTTGAATGGTTTTGTTATAATAGGTCTCCAGTCTTGTAAAGATTTTTCTGAGGAGCTAGGACAACATCATTCCATCTCCTCTTTTAGTGTCTTTGCCAAGAATGTTGGCTGGAATGCTTTATGCTTATGATAGTTTATCACATTGCTGACTGATTTGCTAGTTTCCTCTAAAACGATTTCCTTGTTTATTAGTATATGCAACCATGATATATCATAGTCTTTGCGCTTAATTCTAAAAACCTTATTTGACTATTTTTTTTCCAATTTTCGTCAGTTAGAGCTTAATTCTATATAGGGCTTTACAATTGAATAAAAGCATTGTAATGATATGCAATTCGGACCAATGTTCCAATAGTCACTTATGGGTACATGGAGTCATTTTAGTGGTAGATTTAGTAAGAATAGACTTTTACCTAGGAAGTATTTTCTCAAAATACACACTCAACCTCATAGAAATCTTGTTTTTTTAAATACATTCTGAATGTAGCAAGAATCTAATGTTTTGTCAAATTTCTATAATAATACCTCCATTTTACAAAGGAAAATTCATTACATGTACAAAATGACACACGAAGCTATCGAAAAATAAAATTTATCATGAAAATGGGGTCGTCTAAAGAGAGAAAGGATTGTTTTGAGGAAGGCTTTTACAGAAGTTAAAACACTGGTACAGTGAACTAGAGAGAGCTATGTAAGTTTATTAACCATCATCAGAATTTTTCACTAAAAATCAATTAAATTATGGTCATAAATTCAGATAGTTAATTTTATCTTTAAATCAGTGAATAACCAAACATGTCAAACTCCATTAGCTGAGATTTTAGGTGAAGTCATTTATGTGTGCATATATTTATGCACTATTGTGCTTACTATATTTATGAATTTTTCTGGTTGATTTATCTAGAAGTCATAATGAAAAAAAGTTTAAGAAGAAATTGTGTATTTTCGAAAGGATAATTTAGGGGAGGCAATACATAAAATAGATGTGTATGATCAACTCACCAATTAAATGATGTTATGGGAATTCAAAGAAGAGAGACATTCACATCTTCCAGAGAGTCAGACAATTCTTCATGTAAGTGATGCCCCTTATGCTGGTTTTCAAAGACGGGAAAGTGGGAGGAGAGGCAATAACAGCTCAAACCTTAAGTCACTGGAGAGGAATGTCTTTCTTTTCCCTGGAGGGGGTGAGAGGAAGCCTGTGAAAGAGCAAGAGACTGAAGTCCAGCAATTCTGGGTTTAAGACTTAGTTCTGTCACTCGCCAGCCTGTGGGTCCTTGGGCAGGTCATTTTATTTCTCTGCACGTCTGGTTTCTCATCATGAAACCAGGGGTCTGGTGTCTGGGACTCCCCAGCTCTTCAATGTGATGTTTCTAAGGAATCTTTTAAAGAGCAGGCCAGGTTTGGGGGACTCAGCCAGCCTCCCTGGCTCCCATCACAGACGAGGGGACATTTGCCCCTAGGGGATGGGAGCCTCCCAACAAATTTCCCCAAAGCAGCAATGGGAACCAGAGGAGACAGATACACTCAGGGAGGATGGGCTCCATCACCTTCCTCTTCACTTTCCTGATAAAACATAAATTCTGGTTTTTACCCTGACGGAGATTATTTGTTCATCTTTCTCCTGGTAGCTCACCCCAGGGGCTCTAGAATGTCTCACTAGAAATTCTTGCCACTGATTTGAGATCCCTAAAAGCATTTTCTGAAATACTTTGAACCCAGCTAGACCATTGAGTTTTCTCTTTTAGGGATGCATCTTTAAAATATGAAGAAAAACGTATTTTTAAATGTTTAAGTTAGGGTCTTCAGGATACGGGTGTGCACGTTTGTGTGTATGTTTTTGTGTATGTGAATGTATAAAGTGTATCCCTGCAATTTGACACACCTGTGAAGGCTGCTGTTTAAAAGGGCCTGCTTTCTCCTATTGACCAAAAGGCAGCATTAACAGGAGTAGGTCCTGAGAAATATACACAAAGGATCATTAAAATAATAACACATATGGGACAAAATACACAGAATTCAATGAAGCAAATATCTTTTGCCAAAACCCCAGAGTTAAAAATAATAGTTATTGTTATTTGAGTTGGTACAAAAGAAAGACAACTCAGAGGGAGTGAAAAGAAAGAGCTGAAAGCCGGGCATGGGGTCTCATGCCTGTGATCCCAGCACTGTAGGGGGCTGAGGTGGGTCAATCGCTTGAGCCCAAGAGTTTGAGACCTACCTGGGGAACATGGAGGAACCCCATCTCTGCAATGTATTTTTTAAATACAAAAATTAGCTGGACATGGTGGTGTGCACCTGTAGTCCCAGCTACTGGGGAGGCTGATGGGGGAGGATCACTTGAGCCTGGGAGGTAGAAGTTGCAGTGAGTTGAGATCATGCCACTGCACTCCAGCCTGGCGGACAGAGTGAGTCCCATTCTCAAAAAAAAAGAAAAAAATAAAGAAAGAGCGGAAATCGGAGCCAATAGCAAAGGGTAGGGGAACAACTGTGGACAGCTGTGGATGCACAGAAGCAAACATCTCTTTCAAAATCAGACACAGACCACGGGGACATAGCATTTTCCGTGTTGTTAAAGCTACATAGTTATTTTAATCACTAAAAATAACGACACATCTACTACAAAGCCAACGAAATGGAAATCTACTAAACTGGTGAAAGTGCATTGTCAAGAGAAAAGTAACTTGCCAAGAGCTAGAAAGAAAGGAAGGCACAGGAGATAGTGCACCTGCGTCCCACGTGTGGGACCCTCTCTGGAAACTGGGAAGGCAGTCCACAAATGCTGGAGCCCCAGTCTGAAATCTCTTTCCACCTTCTGACCTGGTCCTGGGTTGGCCTTCTTTCAAGGCAGCATTGCTCAGCCCTGGCACTCTTAACTTTGGAGGCCAGGAAATGCTGATCAGCGGAGAGCTGTTCCACGGGCAGCAGGGGCTCAGGGGTCTCCCCTGTATCCCTCCCCAATGTAGCAACCAAAACATCCCCAGATGCCGCCAAATGTCCCCTAGTGCTAGGGTGGAGGTCACCACGCTGAGAACAGCTGCTTCACACTCCTCTGGCTGGGAGCCGAGGTACCGGCTCATGGCCCGGATGCCTCATCGCAGTCACCTAAGGATATTCCCGGAGTCAAACAGGGCCACTGTTAAGCATGAGGCCAAGTCTATAAACTGGAAGTTATAAAGACCTTGTTTAACAAAACAACTGGAAAAATTGCAACATATTGCCAGGTAATTTTTCCTTCCAAGTGCATATATAGCCACAATTAGATTCAATGAATTTAAATAAATTCAATTTGATCCTTTGAAATAATAAAAAAATACATATTTCTTGGGTTAACAACTTGAAAATTATTTCTGTTGTGCAGAGAACAAATTCAAGTATTCCTTTTAAAATAAGATATTTCAAAGTGGTGAAAGAGAAGCGCCACGCTCTGTGTTTGTCCTCATGTGGTTGATGCATCACGGTCTGTATTGTGGGCCCTGCTAATGTTGAGTTAAACCAAAAGATTTCTCCACGGGGAACACGGTCCACACCCACCATGTGGTTGTTCCTGTGTTGTTGGTAATTCTTTCCAGCGCTGGGGATGTGTGAGGGGTCAGAGCTGTAAACCAAGCAGCCACTCTCAGCCTCCAGGGTTAATTTTCTTGCTGAAATCTGCCTTCATATAAGATGGATTAGAGTCATTGAGATAAACCTCTTTATTTCATCTTAATCACCAATTCTCTTCTCATCGTTTTCATTAATCTATCATTTAGTTGCTTTTTAACAGACATGTTTATTTCTGTGTATTTTAACATCAGGCTACCAAGCTAACATCTTCATTGTTTTATTAATATTTCCAAGGTATTTTAAAGTGGAACTTAGCAGACACATCTGACTGGCTCCCCGTTCTGGCTGGGTTCCTATTACTAAGAGAAGACTAGAGCCCTACCAGGAAGGGTTGGGTGGGAACTGGGCAAATGTCTACAATCTGAGTTATTGCCACTGGATGGGGTGACCACTCGTTACTCTTGAAGACATGCTTTCCTTTTAGTTTTAAAGAAACTCAAATGCGGCACAATAATCCCAATGAACAACAGTGTTAGCTGCTACATTATGTGCACTTCTTTAAGCATTCACATACATCATCTTACAGCCCAAGAGTCTGGCGTTGCCTTTGTCTATGTTTTTCAAAACAAATAAACGGAGACTTAGAGAAGTTAACAGCATTCACATCCAGGACAAGATCAGACTTCCCCTCTCCTACCTTACATTGCTCTGTCCTTTGTAGTTGATGATGGATAAGGACCCCCAAAATATATAAAACGGTAATTTTTAAATTTTTGAATCAAGCTGTTCTTTACTATTTATGATGAGTTAATTGTAAAAGCTATAGAAATACATTTTTATCTATAAATCATTATGACCTGTAGATTTAGCACACTTTACATTTTGAATTCTTTAAATGCTTACTAACTCCCAACAAAGGGGGTCCTTCATTGTGGTGGTAGAGCCATCAGTTGTGAAAACTATAATAACAGAAAGGATCTCACCATATAATTTCTAAAAACTGACCACCTGGGCATGGTGGCTCACGTCTGTAATCACAGCACTTTGGGAGGCTGAGGCAGGCAGATCACGAGGTCAGGAGATCAAGACCATCCTGGCTAACATGGTAAAACACCGTCTCTACTAAAAATACAAGAAATTAGCCAGGCGTGGTGGCACGCGCCTGTAGTTCCAGATACTTGGGAGGCTGAGGCCGGAGAATCACTTGAACCAGGAGGCAGAGGTTGCAGTGAGCCGAGATCACACCAGTACACTCCAGACTGGGAGACAGAGAGTGAGTCTAAGAAAAACAAAAAACAAACAAAAAAAAAACCTGACACCTGTTTCTGATCTTAGATGCCATATTGGCCAAATATAACATTTCTCTTACTGTTTTTTCAGTTTTTAGGATCCTACTCTCAGTTACATAAAATCGGAGTGAAATCACAGCCTGGATATGGCTGGGGGACAGGTCCACCCTCAGCACCTGTCCAGGGTCCAGGCACGTGAACTAGGAACATGGACATCTGCAAAGTGCTTCCTCTTTGGTGGCAGCGGCTCCACCTCCACCCTGCAGATGCCCTCTGAGCTCTTCCTTGAGTTGCCAGCACCTTGGATCTCACTCCTGCTTTTCGTCTCATTCTAAACTTAACAAGGCTGGAGTCTATGTTCTTGTGAAAGTCTGTGCTGACCTGGGCTGCCCTTTTAACTAAGCCTGGACAGTAAGAATCATCTGAGGGGTGGAATTGTCTCACTGTGGGATCAAGCTAACCATGCATGCCACAGCCTGCATTCCCTGTCCACCACAGTGCACCATGAGATGCTGTGTCCAAGGCCTGCTGCAACCAAGAGGCACCAGGACGGCAGTGGCTACTCCTTTTTCCTGCCTCATGCCCTTTGACTAGAACTTTCTGGAAGCCGGGAAGTGTGTCTGTCTTGCTCTCCACTCCCTGCTCAGTGCTTTCCACTCTTCCTGACACAGAGTGGGCCCTTAATAAATAATTACTGAATCAATAAGTGAATGAAAGAGTGAAAACTAAATCCTATTACAGAAAAAAAAGGGCTATGTCAGGCAAAAAACAGTCTAAATTAAAAATGACAGGATTCCCCAAATCAGCAAATGATTACTAATGAAGACAATACAGAGTCATACACAATCTTTAATTGGGATAAATGTCATGTTAAACAGTATCCAGCTTTGCTAAAACTTTCTTATTCCATTTGACAATCTTAAGTATGTTTGGATCTTCACAATTCTTTGATTTTGACCAGTGATTTCATCCACAGGTTCTCAGGTCATTGTAATATTATACATGCAACCTAGAAAACTATGTACTAGTGTAAGACATCCCAGGCTACTTTTATCAATTTCTATTATATATCAAGCTTCAATTACTTCATATCAGTATGTTCCCCACATTTTATCACAAATGATTTCCAACAAACCACAAAGTTCAAGAAAATTTAACAACACCAATATACCCATCACCTATATTCTACCAATAACGTTTTCCTATGTTTGTGTTACACGTAGCTACCCATCTATCCATTCATCCTTCATTCTTTTACTCTCATACATTTCACACTAGATTGTAAAATTCCATGTTCGGAGGTTGATACTTGTTTTTATTCAGATATAAAATTGATATTCAATGAAAAACAAAAATCCTAAGTGTTAGCTCACTGAGTTTTGGCAAATGCACACCTTTATAACCTAAACTAAAGATACAGAACATTATACAACCTTAGAACCACAGAAAGTTCACCAGGTAACCCCATCCCACATTCCCCAGGATAATCTCTATTCTGCTTTGGGTTTCGGGGGAGGTTATTTTTTTAAACCATCGATTAGATTTGCTTGATTTTGAACTTTATATACGTGGAATCTTACATTTAGTACTTTTTTGTGTAAAGTTATTTCACTCAGCCTGAAGTTTCCCTAAGCCTGAGGTACCAATGATCTGTTGCCTGTATTAGGAGCTCATTGCTTTTCATAGCTGAGTAATATTCCATTGCTTGACTGACCCACCATTGATTCATTTTCCTGTTGATGGGCACTGCCTGTTTCTTGTGTTTTGCTTTTATAAATAAAGCTGCTGTGAACATTTATCTATGACTATTTGTAGACATGTTTTCATCTCTCTTGAGTAAATGCCTACAATTAGAATTGCTGAACTATGAGATCAGTGTATGTGTAATTTAATAAGAAACTGCCAACAGTTTACACAGTGGTTGTGACCTTGTAAACTCCCCCCCCAACAATATCTAAGATGTACAATTGCTCCTCATCCTCAGCAACATTTGATGTTTTCATGTTTTTAATTTGAGCCATTTAGTGAGCGTGGGGTGGTGCTCTGGTGTTAGTTTGCATGTCACTGATGGCTAAGGTGGCTGAGCACTTTTCCATGTGCTTAATGACCATTTTTATATCTTCTTATGCAAAGTGTCCTTTATCATCTTTTGCCCAGTTTTATTAGATTGTCTATTTATTATGAGTTGCAGGAGGTTAGTTTTCTCAAATACATATTTGAAGCGTAATGGTCTCAGCAGGTTACTACTCAGAAAGAGGTTTTGGAGAATTTTGTTTTCAGAACATCTTTCCCTAGCAGCGTGTCTTCCTTTGTTCATCTTTTTATTATTTAAAACATGGGCTACATATTTTGTGTGGTGGTTGTTTTATTGGTTTCAAAAGCTGCAAGTCATTTTATGTGTGAGTTTCCTGACAAAATTCTTAAAGTTTTTGATCTAAATTTTCTTATCGTTCTTTACACACAAACCCTCTTTTTCATCTTTTGCACGTTATGAAATATGCGTTTATCAGAGAGTCCACTGTGCACACTCATTGTGTTTTTTTCTCTCTCCTCCCCTTTTTAGAAATTGCCACATCATATATCAGAATTATGCTTCTGAAAGCCTTGATACCTGTTCATCCTCTTCTGAGACTTTCAGAATTGCATGCGGTGTGATGTGAGGAGTGGCTCATCTCATCCTGCTGGTGACCCCCTCTGGGGTCACTGTAAACTCCATGGTGACACAGCAGCTTTCCCCAGGATTTCTGTCTCTACTACTCCAGCCCACAGCCAGTTCCTGTTACTCAGCATTAATTCCAGAGTAACAGTTGCCTTTGATTCTCTCTCCATATTCTGGGAGATAAAATTGTCAGCAGAGCAAGTTTGAAATATATCAGATACAGTATCGTAGCTGAATGAGGCTTCCAGCAGATGCCTTGAAATGAGAATCTCCCGTCAGAACTGTGTCTTTTCTCTCTGTCATGCTCGTGATCTGTGCCACAAATGTGCATAGCTCATTTCTTCAGTCTTGCAAGCATGGTCTGTTATACTCCTCCACCACAATGTGGTTTTTCTCTCTCCCCTTTTATCTTCAGACAAGTCCTCCAGGTTGTAGCTTCCCCACAGGTTTTAGGGAATTTCCAGGCAATTATATACCTTCTTTGACATACAGAGCTTATGCTGCCCCATTTCTAGGAGATCTGTTCTTTTTACTTAACAACTGCATTAGAGCATTCCCACAAATAATTCATCTGAGTCTCGTGATAGTTAATAAATCAGAGTTACCTCCATGTGTGAAAGCCTTGAGCCCCTTTGCTGGTGGCTCAAATTCTGTGTTCTGCCATGAGACCCACAGGTGTGGGTCTCTCAGCCTGACTGGCTTGCACCGGAGTTCCAGGCCCTTCCTTGTGTGTCCTATGGAAGGTGTGATATAGCTTCTCATTCAGAAAGTTCAAGTCTCTAGGAGAAGCTTCCCATACCTGTCATAGGATTCAAACATCCATGTCAGTTCTCTGAACTTCTGAACATCACATTCCTAGGCACTTCTGTCTAGAAAGTCACCTGGGCTTGAGGATCACGGGCTGAGTTGCTTGCAGCTCTATGCAGAGCACCCAGTGTCTCTGTGCCTCCTGCTCAGTCCTGAGACTGAGCACTGCCTTGTATAGGCTCATGGCTTGGCTGTCATCAGGCCATGTTTGCAGAAACTTTGTATGCGCTATGAAAAAAATTAGATATTTGACAGAAATTGTATATAAGTTTAAACAAATAAACACCTGCCTAATGTAAGTGTTTTGAAAACTAAAAGAACATACACAACTTAAATGGTAATATATATGCATATGTATACATATGTGTGTGTATATCGTGTGTGTGTGTGTGTGTGTATATATATATATTTGGAAATATAATAAGACTGTGTCTTCAAAACACTTTAAGGTATTTGAGCATCTTCTCCACCTAGGCTTCCTCCTGCTCTGGAGGTTGACAGTAACTCTAAGCCAGACAACAACGATTGTTGAGACTCAGTCTAGAAAACCTACTCCAAGGATAGCACTCTGGTGCTACGGTGCCTCAAGCTATGCTAGAGACTGATGCAAAAGGAGACATCAGCAATAGTGATCCTGTCTCTTTTTTTACAATTTTATATTTTATTAGTCATGGATACCTTACAACTATTTTAATTTCTAAAAATTGCATTAAAATAGTGTTTATCTTGATTATTGACTTTTTTTAATGCCCCTTAAATTTTGCGTTTCTTCTGCATCTTCTTAGTCCTGGCCCAGTAAATATTCTAGATATGTTTAATGTTCAAATAGTCCACAATACATATGGAAATTAGAGCATGGCGTTTATCCTCTCTCTAAGTAACCGACAGCTACAAATCTTCATTTTTCCAATATTCCTTGCCTTAACTCAGGTATTCCTGCTTAACATTTTTAAGGTTGTCATTCTGGTGATGAAGGCTGAAAACCAATGATCCTGACGTCAAAGCAAAATTATGAAATACTTTAGTAAAAATTAGGGAAATGTGGAGGTGTATACCACATCAATGGACTCAGGGATCCCCAGGAATGGAAAGTGGAGATAGTGATCAAGGTGAGAAGTGGGTGGCAAGACTCTGTCCGGGCACATCTCCCAGGCCCTCATTCATTGCCAAGGACAGCAGACCACATTCTGCTCTCCAAGGCAGATACCCTCATCCATTATTTCCTGATGACACACACTTTACCAAAAGGATTTTCTGCATTATAACATTTTAATGTTGTCACTTTAGGAGAATATTTTGTCTTTATAGAAGAAAAGGTCAAACCTGGAAAGTTTTAGATCGCTTTGATAGAAATCAATATGGTGAAGGGCACATTTTCTACACAATATTTTTGAATGTTTTATTTATTGGATGTTCAGCTGTACAAATTAGACACATGGGATCTAACACAATTGGAATCCAAGGGTGTGATTTTTATAGAATGTCTGCACCACCAACACCACTGCCATCAAAATGAACTTGTCTTAAAAAGTCTTGCCACAAATGTGTAATTAGACCAAGGAAATAAAAAGTGGCTTTAACTAGCTTACGGTAAACAAAAAGAGACTATGACTAATTAACCATAATCATACTGAAACTGATGGCTTTACATCTTTCACTTGTGATATTCGAGTTTTGTTGGTTTTCAATACTGTGTAAAATATACTTTGGAAAACAGGGTTTCATAAAACTACTAAGCAAAACAATGACAAATATTGAAGTGGAACTGCTCCTGGTGATTATAAAAAACTTGATTTTGGGGTGCCTGTCTTTATATAGAATCATGGCTGAAGATATTTTTTCCTGCATTTTTAATAAAATCAAGGAAGAGCAGACATGATTTTATGAATTTCCATTTTTAAAGAATTGTTGGCCGGGGCAGTGGCTCACACCTGTAATCCCAGCACTTTGGGAGGCCGAGGCGGGTGGATCACTTGAGGTTGGGAGTGTGAGACCAGCTTGACCAACATGGAGAATCCCCGTCTCTACTAAAAATACAAAATTAGCCTGGCATGGTTACGCATGCCTATAATCCCAGCTACTCGGGAGGCTGAGGCAGGAGAATCTCTTGCACCCCTGAGCCGGAGGTTGCGGTGAGCCGAGATCGTGCTATTGCACTCCAAACTGGGCAACAAGAGTGAAACTCCCTTGTTTTTTCTTTGTCTGTTTGTTTTTGTTTTTTATTTGTTTGTTTGTTTTAAAGAATTGTTAGGCAACATGTTCTTTCATCCAGCAATAACAGATGGAAGTTGGTGCTTGTAAGGTAGAAGGTGAGAGGCCACCTCCAACCTCACAGGGAGGACATTTGCACGCCTCCTTTCCTCTCTTCCAGGGGCTCTGTCTCCACTGGTCACTGGCTGTGTGACTTCGTCATTCTCAGCCAAAGTCCCCTTCTGTCAACTGGGTAGATAATGCCGTCTTCATAGGACTCAGGACAGTGACTGGAGATGATGTTCTCAACGTGCTGTGAGGGAGAAGTGCACACAATTCCTTCCCGTTAAGATAGCCACAGGGTGTCCCGGACCTCTTATAGACTCCCCAATAGTTGTTAGTCACAGAGGTTGGATTTAGGTGACCAAATAAACCTAAATTAAAAGCCAGGCAATTGCAGTGAAAGACATTGGCTTGGCGATTGCTTTACCCTAAATTGTTTCTCCATAACCACCAAGGCCACAGAACCAGTAGCACCTCGCTTTTCCCAGTGTGCTTTCTTTCCGGTAGTCTTCAGAAAGGAAGACTCTCAGTACATGTTAAACGAAGCACAGCTACACTTCGCACACTTGCTCATCATCGTCATAATTTACAACACAGATTTTGTTGCTGGTTACTGATTTTTTTCAACTTTTAAGTTCAGGGGTACATGTGAAGGTTTGTCACATGGGCAAATTTGAGTCATGGGGGTTTGTTGTACAGATTATTTCATCACCCAGGTGTTAAGCCTAGTACTCATTTGTTATTTTTCCTGATCCTCTCCCTCCCCACCATCCACCCTCTGGTAGACCTCAATGTCTGTTTTTCCCCTGTAGGTGTCCATGAGTTCTCATCATTTAGCTCCCACTTATAAGTGAGAACATGTGATATTTGCTTTTGTGTTCCTTTGTTAGTCTGCTGAGGATAATGGCCTCCAGCTCCATCCATGTTCCTGCAAAGAACATGATTTCCTTCTTGTTTATGGCTGCATAGTATTCCATGGTATACATGTACCACATCTTCTCTATCCAGTCTACAACTGATGTGCATTTAGGTTGATTCCATGTCTTTGCTATTGTGAATAGTGCTACAGTGATCATGCACGTGCATACATCTTTATGATAGAACAATTTATATTTCTTTGGGTATATACCTAGTAATGATATTGCTGGTTCAAATAGTAGTTCTGTTTCCAGGTGTTTGAGGAATCACCACACTGTTTTCCACAATGGTTGAACTAATTTCCACTCCCACAAACAGTTTATAAGCATTCCTTTTTCTCTGCAACCTCACCAGCACCTATTATGTTTTGACTTTTAAATAATAGTCATTCTGATTGGTGTGAGATGATATCTCATTGTGATTTTGATTTTCATTTCTTTAATGACCACCAACATTGAGCTTTTTTCATACACTTGTTGGCCACATGTATATCTTCCTTTGAAAAGTGTCTGATCATGTCCTTTACTCATTTTAATTATTATTTTTTTTGGAAATTTGTCACTAATTTTTAAGAAGCACTTTTTAGTCCATGCGAAGTGGCTCATGCCTGTAATCCCAGCACTTTGGGGGCCAAGGCAGGATGATGGCTTGAGCCCAGGAGTTTAAGACCAGCCTTGGCAACATAGTGGGGCCCCATATCTACAAAATTTAAAAAAGATAGCCATGTGTGATGGCTTACACCTGTAGTCACTGCTTTTCAGGAAGTTGGGATGGGACTATATCTTGAGCCCAGGTGTTTGAAGCTGCAATGATCTGTGATGGGGTCACTGCACCCCAGCCTGGGCAACAGAACAAGAGCCTTTCTCAAAAAACAAAAGATGAAAAAAGAAAAAACAAGAATAGAAAAAGAAGAAGGAAGGAAGAAAGGAAGAAAGGGAGGGAGGAAGGAAAAAAGAAAGAAAAGCAAGGAAGGAAGGAAAGAAGGAAAGAAGGAAAGAAAAAGAAAGAAAGAGAAAGAAAGAAAGAAAGAAGGAAAGAGAAAGAAAGAAAACTGGCTAAGTTAACTTCATCTCACGGTTTTAGACACCATGTTGTTGCTCAGCAAGGTTGGAAAGGGAAAACAGCCCCTTTGCAAGACTGGACCCTATCCAGGTGCAACACCAGTGTTGTCTCTGCTCCTGGGGGTGGGGGTATTGTTGCATGGTGGGCTTTGGACTGAGCTGGTGCTGCTGTCCTCCTAGACATTTGAATTTGAGGGTGAAGCTGTGTTCCAACTCCCATTTGTGGATGACACTGTAAGACGGATGCTTGGAACCAGGGACAGTGGTGCTCCACCCGGAGCTCGTGAGAACCGACGTGCAAGTCCAGTGGGTATCCCTGCTCCCCTTCTCCTATCTTCCTGCCTGGCTCCCATGTGCTATGGCAGGACTTCTTCCACAGCACCTCCTACTGTCTGCTCCTTAGGTCTGGAGGCAAAGGTCATCACACATCCAAGACTGTGTTTTCCGTCTCTCATTCGCAAGAGAATGATAAAGGATACAAATGTACAAGCCATAGGGTCACCTAGAGACAGTGTACATGAACCAGCTGGCAAGGAGCTGGCACATCATGGGCACTCAGGGCATTGTGGCTTTGACTTGCCAGAAATCCCAGGCAGTGCAGTGTCAATAGACTCCCCCTTAGGTGAGAAAAGAAGCTTGGAGAATTTCCATGTCTTGTCCCAGAAAATATAGAGCAAGACACACTTCAGACTAGTTTTATCTGTCTCTCTCCAAAACTCACATACCCCCACTGAGCTCTCCATTGTACAAAAATCAATTCACAGTGGCAGCAGGCAGAGGGAGGAGAATTGCCTGTTCATGCTTGGTCTCAAGGTAGAAATAATATATTGTTTTTTCTATCTGAAATGGAATACTACAGTGATATTAGTATTTGAGTACCTACTATGTGCCCAGCTTTTTCAGGTATTTTTCAATATACTTCACCCTCCACAGAAGTCCCTGTGGGGGGATATTGTGACACATTTAAAGACGAAAAATGAGGGCAGAGAGAGGTTAAATAGCTGTTGGATTTTACACAGCTGCAAAGTGGTCACTCTGGTCTTTAAACCCAAGGTCAGCCTGGCTCCTGACAGGGAGTTCTATCCACTTTCCCCTGTTTCCTTCCTGCAGATAAGACCAATTACCCAACAATGTTTTATTTTTCACCAATTTAGGAAGGGCAATTATTAAAAATGCATTGTGATTGGGAAGATAGACATCAGAAACGAAGGATAATTCCTAAAGTTAAAATGCTTACCCTGACCAGAAATCTATTTTTCTTGTGGTAGAGTTGACAGTCTCTTTTGAGGATGGCCCTGCTGATCTTACAAGCACCATGAGCTCCCATCGCACTGGCCAAAGAGAAGAACACAGTTCCACAAAGAAACTAAAAGGGAGTGTCTTCCATAACCCAAGGATAGGAGGGAGAAGGGCGAATGCACCCACATTTGGCAAAACCAGACTTCAATAGAAGAAACCCAACTCACCTGAGAGTCAGACAAATAAAAGAGAAAAAAATATGCAGCTTGGTCACAGTAGACTGAACCAATGATTAAATGTGTTCTAACTCAGAAATTCTCCTTGATTAACATGCAAGGTCTTTTGGATTTTGTCTTGCTTTACATTTGTGACTGTCACAGGAAAACAGCATCTTGAAGATGGCACTTGCAAAGTGGCAGGACACGCAGAGATGCTGAGTAAGTGCCTTTGTTTCTTTTGAAGGGGTCTGCTTGAATGGAGGGTGTTGTGGTTGTCTGTCCTCATGTAGAAAGCCTTTGGTGAGCAGCATCATTCCCCACCGAGGAGCATTGGAGAGTCATCACAGAGATGTGTCTGCGAGGCGATTTCAGTGAAACATGGGGCCAGGCCTCAAAGGAGTTCCATTAGAGGATTTGTAATTAACATGTGGCAGAAGGTTCCAAAAATGGAATTTCATGCATAATTGCAGTGTTTATTACTGTTGATAATCACCCTTACACAACATTAAATGTAACATGCAGATAATTTGGAGACCGAAAGGGTTAATAAAATTACTCTTGGAATGTAGCAGCGGGGTCTGTAGGTAAAAATAACAGCGATGTTATAATAAGTGGGAATGTGTGTTCTTGTCCCAAAAGGTTTTTACACATACTTATTTTTAAGCATTTGATAGTTACAGGGAAAATGTCAGGAAGACATTTTCAGAATTGCTAAAGGGCAGAGTCCTCAAAAGGACAGCTTTGTTGTACTGTTGTTGTTTTCCTTTTACAGGTAATAAAGCATAATTCCTATCACCAAAAATGAGTCCCTTGACCTGTGCTAGCACCCATGCACGGAATAGGTCAAATACATAAAACACACAATTTTATTCCATTCTATTTTCCTTCATTTTGCCTTTTTTCGAGATTTAATTGAATTACGAGACATCTCTCCTTGCCAGCATACATGTTTCTTTCCTCTAATGGACATGTAGTGGTCATCTAGAGTGAAAATACATTCTAACTTATTTAATTCTGTTTTGATCTACAGTTATTGTTTTCCTCTTCTTTTTTTGTTTTTCTTGGCTGTTATGAATAATGCAACAATGAGTGTCCTTGTAATGACAGCTTTGTATGTGTGTCAGAGCTCATATAAGAAAGATTCTGGGGGCTGGGACATCTGAGTCACACACCATGCTCACATTATCCTTTGATAGTTATTGCCCAATTCTGCACTAGTGCATTTCCATGCGGTTTCCTCAGCAGTACGCAGCAGTGCTCACACTCCCACATCCTCATCACCTATGGCTAGGGCTGTGTGAACTCCTGTTCAGATGAGGGCATGGGCATTTATCTTGCTACCGTGTTCAAGTTGCCTATCTTAGCTCATCACTGGTGAGGTTGTGCATCTTTTTCAATAATTATCACCAATGTATGTGTCTTCTTCTGCACTTTGCCCATTTTATTTCTTGCTTGTTTTTCTATGTTTCTATTTTTTTTCTCTGATTTACCAGTCCTTTATTTGGGGATCTTAGTCACATTTGTTGTGGATTTGTTCTCACCGGGTATGGTGTATCTTTTATCTTAGAGAATGGCTTCCTTAATTTCCATGTGTTGCTTTTCATGGTAATACCAGGGTAGCTAGGAAAACGCTTCATATGTCAAGATCTGCACCCCTGAAATGCCAACAGGAAGTAAAAGCTTCGAAGCAGATAGCAGAGCGAGGCTTCCTATCAGAAG
The DNA here is from genome assembly GCF_000001405.40 of Homo sapiens. Taxonomy (NCBI): domain Eukaryota; kingdom Metazoa; phylum Chordata; class Mammalia; order Primates; family Hominidae; genus Homo; species Homo sapiens. The sequence goes on along the minus strand of NC_000005.10, from coordinate 4,116,515 downwards.
CCCCTGCACGGCCCGTGTGCCCCTAAACGCCCACCTGCTCTGAACGCAGCACCCTACGTTTCTCTGGCGTCAGGAATGCGTCTGTAGACGCAGGTTCAAGGAACCCTCAGGAGACCCAAGCGCTGCCACCCAGTCTAAGAAAGTACAATAGTAACCTTCAGGAATTCCTCACTCTCACTACATTGTCTACACATTAGGAAATTTGGAAGTGAATTTCAAGAGTACAATTTTGGGGTAATGCACAGAGGTTAGGGATATTATATGTTTTGCTTGATAAGAGACATAAATTTTAGTAGTTACATGAAATGTTTTCCAAGCTCAATTTTAATAACATTAGATTCAGAAAAGGATCACGAGGGATAATAGCTAATTTCCCTTCTTGGTTTCCACCGAACACGTAACAGGACACTGTTCACTCATGTTACCAGCACTCACGAGCAGTCGGCTCATGAGCACCGACTCATTAGGTCGGTGGTGCAACTGCTGTCGTGACAGCAAAATTCATTCCGCATTTGCTCTGTGGAGGGACCGTGCTTGTTGTTGTGAGGGATGAGAGATGAATAGGCTTGTCTTCGAGGACAATAGTCTAAGTTTCAGTCATTTCAATGTGCCTGCCATTTTAAAGTTTAATGGACTGTTCTCATACATTATCTTATTTTTATCAACAAAGCTAACTTTATTCCAAAGAAAATCAAAATAAAATTTAGCATCAGGATTCTAGGAAATGTGAAACCCAGACATAATTTTAGGGTTCTGGTTTTATTGTAGAAATTCAGGGATGTTAGTCATTGTGTGGCTAAAGCCACAGCCTTGGTGACAAGTTGAAAATGTGCGGTCTCCACATGGCCCACGTTTGCAGGGTCTGGGAGTGGCTTTTGTGGCTCTGAGCACTGGAAGCCTCAGGCTCATTCTGCTGAAACTGCCACGGAGAGCTGGAATTGAAGCTGATAGAGACGGTCCCGGACTTGAGATGGTTTGACTTTTGCTTTTTGACTTTACAATCCTGCAAAAGTGATATGATTTAGTGGAAACTGTATTTGAATCTCCTAATTTTAATTCAAAATTCTTTTGAAAAAAAATTCTTCTGGAGAGAGGAGCTCTCGCTTTGCTTCCCAGGCTGGTCTTGAACTCCTGGCTTCAAGTGATTCTCCTGCATTGATCTCCCGAAGTGCTGAGATTACAAACATGAGCCACTATGCCAAGCCCAAAATTCTTTATAATAATTTTGTTATAAAATAGGCTTGTGCTAGATGATTTTGCCCAAGCATAGGCAATGTAAGTGTTCTGAGCACGTTTAAGGTAGGCCGGGCTAAGCTAGGATGTTCTGTAGGTCAGGTGTATTAAGCGCATTTTCAACTTTGGTATTTTCAACTTAGATGGGCTTTTTGGGAGGCACCCCCATCAGAGGTCACACACTGGCACACATATCGTCAGTCCAGGAGCAGCTGAATCTAAGGATGCAGACTCCAAGAGCCACACTTGCTCAGTTCCTCAGACTTCAAGTTTTCCACTCACTTTCACTAACAGCATTTAAATCTACTTGAAGCAGAGGATGCCCCATCTCCCCAGGTGACTGGTTCACTAGAGTATGCTTGAGTGTTTCTTGGTGTGTGAGTGTGGCAGTGCGTGTCCGTGCACACAGAAGTGTGGCAGTGTATAAGGTGTGTAAGCCTATGCATGTGTGTGTCTGCATATGTGAGACACTGTGTGATTTTGTCATCCTGTACATGTGTATCAGTGTGTGACAGTGTGTATGGTGTGCAAGCCTGTGCACGTGTGTGCCTGCATGTGTAAGTGAGACACTGTGATTCTGTCATCCTGTACATGTGTATCAGTGTGTGACAGTGTGTGACCTCTGTCTGTGCCACCATGCACTCACACAAGGCTGGTGACATCATGTCTGCGAGAGCTGTAAACTACAGCCTTACTAAACTTGTGGCTTGGGCCTGCAGGTTACGGTCTCGTGAAAATGCTCTTGGATTTGACCTCACAACTATAATTTGTTTTAGGGGAGCAATTATTTTTTGCCAGCCATAATTAAGCTACAGGACTAATTGTTACAAATGACAAAATGATCTCTGTCTCTGCTAACTTACACCCTGTCTTATAAACCTGAGTATCAATAATTAAAAAAAAAATGGATAGAATATAAAAAAAGCACTTTGGAAAATAAATAAAGCAGAAATTAAAGAATCTTGAACTCCAGAAAAGTTGAACTGCACATGTATTGAAAAATTCTTATTGAACCAGGAAGGAAAATGTGATCATAGAGTCACACAGTGGAGTTATCCTGTAGCATGCCGCTCACAGGGAATGAGTGGCTCACTGCTCAAGAGTGAGACATCAGCTGAGGCCACACGCAGATTTTAATTATCGCAGGTTTTTAAGTTGGGGGCTCATCACGCTGACTCGGCGTATTTTCATCTTAAGGAGTATGGGTAATCTTAGGCCCAACTCTATGTATCAATAATAGAGGTCCTCCAATGAATACAAGTAGCCAAAACATTCCTCATTGCGTGCTTAACCTGATTTGCATTTATAAAAGAGAAAATACAAAAGCAAAAACAAAAGCAAATCCAAAGCAAAACGAAAATGTTTAATAATGCGTTTTTTTTTTTTTTTTTTTTTTGAGGCAGAGTTTCACTGTTGTCACCCAGGCTGCAGTGCAGTGGCGTGATCTCGGCTCACTGCAACCTCCATCTTCGGGGCTCAAGTGATTCTCCAGCCTCAGCCTCCCAAGTAGCTGGGATTACAGGTGCCTATAAGTCGCTTTTTTAGGTCTTAAAAACAGTTGTCTGTGGCTAGTTAAGCTACCCGTTGGTCCCATCTGTCAGCTTCCTGTTCTTTATTGCTCCATTTTTTATCTCAGAGCCCCAGGCACCGAGTCAACTTTGGATCCCTGCCCTTGCATCCTCTTTGGGACAGGCACCTCTTTGATCTCAGGTACGCGGACCCTGACAATCACCTGCCCCTGAGAGTCATGCTCCTGACGTTAGCGTCTCTGGTTCCCTCTTCCTTGATCCAGCACTGCTGTTTTCTTCTCTTAGCAGGAGCAATATCAGCTCCCTCTAGCTCTTTCTCAACTTCTCAATTATTGTCAAAATAATTTCTTAATTCTTCAAGAGCCAAGGGAAAGAAATCTCCAACTTAAGATTACTAAATTGATATTTCAAGTACTCTGAAGTATCTGCATTCAGGTTTATTAAGGTTAAACAGTTTTGTTAAAGAATAGTATATAAACATGCTTCTCACTTTTTGTCATTTTTTGTAACTTTGGAGCTCATTCTAAAACCAGTGCTCAAAAGACAGATTAAAAAAAAAAATCAGAACTCCTCTAGACCAGGATTGCCCCCTGGAAATATTGTAAGAACTGCAAATGGGAGCTACTTATGCCATTTAAATTTTTCTTGCAGCCACATGAAAAGATAAAAAAGTAAAAGGGTGAAAGTAAGTTTAAAAATGCATTATTTACTAATGCATTATAACCCAATCTAACATATCACCATTCACATATAATCAAGATAGAGCCCTTCTTTCTACTAAGCCTTGAAGTCCATTGTGTATTTCACATGTATAGCACACCTCAGTTGGACCGGCCACCTTTCAAGGGCTCAAGAGCAGTGTGTGGCTAATGGCTACTGCATTGCTCAGCACAGATCTCCAAGGGTCAGCAAAATTTTTCTGTAAAACCCAGATAGTAAATTCTTCAGGCTCCGTTGGCTATATGATCTCTAATCTGTAATATAGCTACTGAACTCTTTTGTATAGTGAAAGCAGACAAATGCAATGTGTAAATGAATAGACATGGCTGTGTTCCAACAAAGGTTTATTTACCGGAGGCTGAGGCGGGCGGATCACGAGGTCAGGAGATTGAGACTATCCTGGCTAACACGGTGAAACCCCGTCTCTACTAAAACAAATACAAAAAATTAGCCAGGCATGGTGGCGGGCGCCTGTAGTCCCGGCTACTCAGGAGGCTGAGGCAGGAGAATGGTGTGAACCCAGGAGGCAGAGCTTGCAGTGAGCCGAGATCACGCCACTGCACTCCAGCCTGGGCGACAGAGCAAGACTCCGTCTCAAAAAAAAAAAAAAAAAAAAAAAAAATGTATTTACAAAATCAGGTGACAGGCTGGATTTGGATAACAGCATGTAGTCAGGCCATTCCCTGACACTTTGTGGAGGCCAGCACAATCTATGGACCAATAACTTAGTAATATAAAATAAAAATATTTCATTTACATTTTTCCAGCTTCAGTAACAATAGCTTTTTGGATTAAACTGTGTCCCACCAAATTCACGTGTGGCAGCTATAACACTAAATGTGGTGGTGTTTGGAGATGGGGCCTCTGGGAGGTCATTAAGTCATGGGGGACACAGCAAGAAGGCAGGCCATCTGCAAGCCAGGAAGGGGGCCCTCACCAGAACCCAACCCTGCTGGCACCCTGATCTTGGCCTCAAGAACTATGGAAAAGAAATCTGTGTTGTTTAAACCACCCAGCCCCTGTGACTTTCTTATGGCAGCCCAAGCTGACTAATATAAATAATATGGCTCTAAAAAGGCAGTATATATGCTTAGTATTAAAATTCTATATTTAGCCTGGGGGCAGTTGCTCATGCCTGTAATCCCAGCACTTTGGGAGGCCGAGGCGCACGGATCACTTGAGGTCAGGAGTTCGAGACCAGCTTGGTCAGCATGGCAAAACCACATCTCTACGAAAAATACAAAAAGTTAGCTAGGCAGGGGGTGGCTTGTGCTTGGAGTCTCAGCTACTTGGGAGGCTGAGGCAGGAGAATCGCTTGAACTTGAGAGGCAGAGGTTGCAGTGAGCCAACGTCTCGCCACTGCACTCCAGCCTGGGTGTTACAGTGAGATTCCATCTAAAAATAAATAAATAAAATAAAATAAATTGATTAAAACACAATTCCATACTTAAACCTAAAATATTCAGTTTTAAAAAACTCTTTAAAAATTAAGATACCTACAGTGTCTTATCCCAATACATTTTCTTCCCTAAATATCAACTATTTTTTTTTTTTACCTCTTAATTACACTGAGAAATACAATTTAAAAAGCAGTCAACAGGGTCCACACAATTGCTGACAAGTGATTTGAACTAAGGTCATCTTTGGTTTTGCCGCCCTAAGAATTACACTAACAACCGACTCCCAGTTTCTTGTTTCTGTTTTATGTCTTATAAACCTAAGTCCCAAAATATGCAGTATTCTCTGCAGCATGTGGGATGGACATGGTGAACACATTGTGCCGATCGTATCGCAGCTCTGGGCAGAACCATCTACGCGTTTTTTCAGCAACATCAGAGGGATACTTTTCCTCCTTCGTGAACTTTTAGCCTTCCTTTATACTATGAACATTTGTTTAACGCAATGATTATATTTCTTTCACGTTATTTTTTTGTGCAGTGTAGTGGTGCTAAGTTGCTTGTAGTTAATTTTGAGTGCTCAACCTGTTGCTTTTTTATTTATATTTCTTCTAATAAATACCTTGCTTTAATATTTTTCTCACGTGTTAATACTTAACACATTGTAAATATAAACTAGATCAATGCTATATTTCAACTTGTGAGTACCAGTTTATCTTTTTATCATTCCCTCCACCTTCCTTCATAGCATTCTTCTCTCCCCTCCCACATCTAATCCTGCAGAGCCAGAAAGGAATCCTGGACCAGATTTTCCCTTTCTGTTTGGAAAGGATCCTTCCTTCTCAGATATTTCCAGGATCCTGTCAGTTAACATGACATGCTTCCAAAGGCACAATCATCCCATTGGCTTGTTTTGGATTGGACATTCAATCTTATCACAAGAGTGTATTTTTCAACTTGATCTCACCTTTTCAACTTCAAAGTTGCAGGCAGTGCAATGCATGTAGTTCTCTTGCTATTTCAGGGGAACTTTGATAAGCTGTAAAGTGATATGTGGCTGCAATTTAATCACTTAAAAATTTAATAAAAACTAAAGGAAAGGAATATTATTTTTTCTTTGAATATGTCAACAGGGAACATATTTCATGGTGTTTTAAACTTTAGTAGATATTTTGATAGGAATGCTTAATTTATCTGACACAGGTATCATATTCATTATTTTCATTCTGTAATGCAGCCTAAATTTCAAACTCATATGTGCTTTCAATATACTGACTCACCCTTTTTAAGGAATAGCTCCTTGACTCAACTTTAAAAGCAAACTCCTTCCGGAACTTCTCTCTTCCTGTGCCCTAAACCCCTCAACATTGATTTATTTTTATTATAGCCAGACATTAAGCTACATGTGATCATTATGTTCTTTTCATGGGACCAAATCTTTCCTTGAATATGAACAGCTCTTAGAACAATGGGTAGTTAATAAATAGTCCCCATTTACTTGCAGAGACAATTCTACCAGTAGGGCTGAATTTCAGTATATTTAACCTACTTTGACTGAGGCAGGTTCTGAATCAAGGCTTGAGAGACTGGGAACACTGGATAAAAGGAAAGAAATCCAGGTGCATCTCCTTATTTTGCAATAACATTGACTTGCCAGGAAGGTTTGACAATTTCTCCAGTTCACATGTTGTGACTTAGTCTTATAACCAGGGACCAAGGTTCACCTTACAGGGTCAAACCTCAGTGATTTTGCTTTATACTACAAGACCAAGACACCAAGACACCATTCCAACTGCCCAGTCTTCCTTTTGTAGACATAATCCTTTTATCTTTAAAATGTTTTTCCCTGTTTATTTACCAGGCATGCTCTTTAAGGCCTTTGAACATTTTCAATTGACCTAATAGACATTTGGAAGCATGGTTTTAAATCCCCCAGTGAGTTACGAATTTGTTTACAATGAATCCCAGTTTCATTGCATTGAAGCAAAAGCAAAAGTCTGGAAAGTTTCTGCTCTTTGAAAGTGATCACGTGCTGTTCACATCCTCTCCCATGAGGGCTTTCTGTAGATGTTTCATAGGTGTGTTAAAGAAAAAACATATTTTATATTTTTCAGAAACTAAATTGCTAGTTACATCTATAATTCAACTTCTTTATTCAAGTAATTCTATAATTAATAAATAACTTGGCATCCTCAGTTAATGATCAATCTCTGTGAGAGTCTGAGGGAAATGAATTAGAATGTGCAGGACAAGGTCAGCACGGACTCCCTGTGGACCACAGCATCTCAGCCTAATGGCCAACCCCAGGTAGCCCTAATCACTGGGTGCTGAGCTAAGTGCTCTGCAGAGATAAGCCATTTCCATCCTCTCAGCAGTCCTATGAGGAGGTTCCTGGTACGGGTTGAAATCCGAAATTCATGGGTTGAAGTCCTAAGCCCCAGTACCTCAGGATGTGACCTTACCTGGAAATAAGGGCCTTGCACATGTCATTAGTGAAGATGGGACCACATTGGAATAGAGGTGGCCTGAATCCCACATGAATATATCCCCATTAAAAGGGTGTCAATTTGAGCAAAGACATGCTCACAGGGAAAAAGTCATGTGAGCAGGAGAAAAGAGATAAGGAGAACGAGCTGACAAGCCCAGGAACTCCAGGATCCTGGTATCAGCAAGGCACCCAAAGGCCAGCCACTGTGCTCAGAACCATCAACCCTGCTGACACCTTGGCCACAGACTTCTGGCTTCCAGAACTGTGAGATGTTGCATTTCTGTTGCTTAAGATACCCAGTTTATGATACTATATTACAGCAGTCCTGACAAACTAGTACAGCTCTCATCATTACCCCATTTTCACCAATAAAATGAGGCTTGGTTTTATTGTTTGATTTGTCCAGTGTGTCTCAGCTAATAAAGGTGGTGCTCAGCTGCAGAGCACAAGCTCTTACCACAACATCATGATGGCCCTTGGCATTGACCTGGTGAGCCTCTCTCAGTGCTGGGGCAGGGGAGCCCAGCCAGTCTGATAGGCTTGATGTCCCCTGCTTGGAGGAGCACACAACCAACCACTGTCCTCCTGAACACCACCTTTCAGGGTCACTGGTCTACAGCAGTGGCTCATTGTCTCCTATCCCTTCCATTGTGCTCACATGGCCTTTTCCCTGGGAGCAAGTCTTTGCTCAAATAAATCCCCTTTTATGAGGACACATTCTTGTTGGATTCAGGCCTCCTCTACTCCACTGTGGTCCCATCGTCACTGATTACATCTTCAAGGCCCTTATTTCCAGGTAAGATCACATCTTCAGGTACTGGGGGTTAGGACTTCACCACATGAATTTTGGATTTCATCCCATACCGGGAGCCTCCTCCTAGGACTGCTGAGAGGATGAAAGTGCCTCATCTCTACAGAGCACCCAGTTAACCCAGCACCCACTGATGAGTGAGGGCTACCTGGGTGTCCTCCATCATGCTGAGATGCTGTGGCCCACCGGGAGTCTGTGCAGTAGCTGTTTTTATGTCCATGTTCTTTCTGCTTTCTATGTCTTGATCCTATATGACTTGTCAAACAAAAGATCAGGGCTATTCTTCACAGGGAATTACACCTTTTATAAATAAAAGAGCCATGTCTAATCTAATAATTTTGCATGTTAAATTAGATTTCATCTTAAGTTAAAATTGTTACCTCTGTTTTCTTTTTTTCCTGATATATCTTTACATATCTCCTGTTTTCAGTAACTGCCTGAAATTTTTAGGTGAGTGTGATACATTTTATTTTTAGCCCCAGTTCATCATCTCCCTAAGCATCTGTTCTCTTGAAATGGCCTCTTCATGGATGAAGTGTCACTTGCTGCATCTTAGTTGGGTGCTTGGCCATATCATTTATTTTGGCCAACGGAAAAATAATTGGCCTTGAGAGTGTGCTAACTGCAAGCACAGGCCCAAAAAGGCTTCTGCTGTCTCTACCTGTCCCCTCAGGCCTGTCCCCCTGACCCTCTGACCTGCAGTGAGGACCAGAGCTGCTCCAGCCAAGACCAGCCTGGAATAACTGACCACTGGCCAGGTACCAACCTGTGTGTGCTAAGACACAGTTCTTGTTTTAAGCTACTGAGATGTGGGGTGGTTGGCTCAACAGTGGGTCTCTTTCTAGAATTTTGTTCAGAGGGTTTTTTTTTAACCTATAGTAAGTTTTTTTTTTTTCAGAGAAAGTGACAATAAATATATGTATACCCACAGATACTGTGTCATTTCATTTTATCCAGCATTTTCTCTTTTTCATGTTTTTCAACTGTTTTCCTTAATTTTCTACCGTTTGCCGGATAAACTAAGTTTTATTGCGAAGAACTCTAGTAATTTAAAAGATACATTTTACTAGTGGTTACTTAGTTTCCTTTTAAAATTATTTTGATTCGTCTCATTAATTAACAAATTACATAATAAGTTAAAAGTGAAGTAATATTTGGATTTCTATGTGAATTTACCATTTCAAAAATTATTTTCTAATCCATTCCTGTTCACTATCTTCTCTTTTTAAGTATTACCTAGGATAATAGAACACAAATATCATAATATCATGTTTGCTGAATATGTAAACTGCCTCAGAAAATGTGTGATAACATTTTAAACTACACTTATGACACCTCGTCACATTTGAGAGTTTGTTTAATGAAATAAATTCATATCCTACTTTCACACATTATCTTCCAGATTCTTACATTCTTAATTGAATTATTTTCTAGGTCACCTTCATTCATGGTAAAATTTTTATTCCTTCCAACAATTTTTGTAACTTTTTCCTAAATACTTATTGAAATTAAAGAAAAGATTCAGGATATAACTTTATTTATTTATTTATTTATTTATTTACTTACTTACTTACTTATTTGAGATGGAGTCTAGCTCTGTCACCCAGGCTGAAGTGCAATGGCATGATCTTGGCTCACTGAAACCTCTGCCTCCCATATTCAAGCGATTCTCCTGCCTCAGCCTCCCAAGTAGCTGGGATTACAGGTGCCTGCCACCATGCCTGGCTAATTTTTTGTATTTGTAATAGAGACAGAGTTTCACCATGTTGGTCAGGCTGGTCTCAAACTCCTGACCTCGGGAGATCTGCCCGCCTCAGCCTCCCAAAGTTCTGGGATTACAGGCATGAGCCACAGTGCCTGGCCTCAGGATACAACTTTAAATTAATTTTTGTGTAGCCCATAATTTGATCTGAGCTCTCTAAACATTTTTTTTCCAATTATTTTATGAGTTAGCTCTAATTCTTGTAGGCTTCTAAGCATGTTTTTCTATGCTTGTTTCTTCCTAGCAGTGCTTACAATTAGCAGGTGGATCTTGATCCTCTAACGTCTGTAACCATTGTCTTCCCTGTCATAATTTCCAATTCTATTATTTCCCTCTACTGGTTGGATTTTGCCTTCAACATCTGTGACTTTATTCTCTGCTAAATATTCACTCTATTCTTTATCCACTGTCATCATTGATTTTTTATTTTTGTTTTCAGCAGTTCTTGTTTCATCTCTCCTCGTACCCTGATATTCCTCCCCACCTCCTCTCCTGTTCTCTCTTCTCTCTATCTGGCTTTTTCAGAAGATGTAAAATAATTTCATACACAGTTTTGTCATTCTCCTAGAACATGCTTTCCAGAGGCTTGTCCATTGAGTCTTGGAGGATGATATACGATGTTTGTTGAGCTCACATTATATGCCAATTACTGTGCTGAGTAGTTCAGGGAGATTATGTCAAATGGTGCAATAAAAGAACGAGTCTTATCTTCATCTTTTATATTGGGACACACACTGGATCTTTCCTTTATTTATCCTCCTGCAAATGGTGACCTGCTCACACCTTCTGATGTGTGTTCTGCCTGGGACAGGCCCCCATACCACTTTGATCTTGGTTCTGGAAAAATTTCTCTTTTGGATATCTGATTATTATTCTTAACCATCAGCCTTAATTTTAACTTCCAACAGGATTTCAACTGGCCTGAAATACGGTGTTGTCCTCTTTCAGCTTCTTCCTAACAAAGGATGGTTCCCCTCCACTCCAGCTCTTTCTGATGCTGGGACCCTGCCCCACTGCTCCTGCCTGGGAGGATGCCTCCCAGCCACACATTGCCTCTGTGACATTCCTGCCTGTGTCTGGGAGGCTCCTGTCTACCTGAGCCAAGGGAAGGTCACATTGAGGAAGAAAAGGCTGGGCAGATGGCATCCCCGCAGGAACCAGCTCACAGGAAAAACTAGCTGCTGAACTTTGTGGTTGAGACTAACTTCCTGGCCCTGACCAGGGGCCACATGCTGGGTGAGGGACACATATTTTTTACCTTCTTCTTGAGGCAGGCAGCCTTGCTCCATTTCTACTTGACAGTGTGGGGAGACCAGCTCGATAGGCTGAAAAACGGCCCCCCAAATATACTCATTTTTCTAAACCCTGGAATCTGTGAATGTTATTTTATATGGCAAAAAAGGGGTGTTTTGTGGATGTAATTAAGTTAGGATTCTGAGATGGGAAGATTAGACTGCATGATCTGGGTGGCCATAAATCCATCACATGTGTCCTGAGAGAGGACAGAGGAGACCTGGCCCAGACTCACAAACAGGGCCATATGGAGACAGGGCAGAGAGCTTTGGAGATATTAGTCTTGAAGACTGCACTGATGCAACCACAAGCCAGGAATGATTAACAGCCACCAAGAACTGGAGGGGACAAGGAGTAGATCCTTCCCTAGAGCCTTTGGAGGGGCACAGCCCTGACAACACCTGGATTTGGGGCTTTCAGCCTCCTGAACGAAGAGACAATCCATTTCTGTCATCTTAAGAACCACTCAGGTTGTGGTTATAGGTATAGCAGTCACGGAAGCGGAAACAACCAACATATTTGTTATCAATTCCGAAACATTCACAAATTTCCTTGGATTCTCTTCCCAAATTATGATGACATATGGAATAAAGGACACGTCAGCCTTCCACAAAGACCCCATTAGCTTCTCTGGACTCTTCCTGGGAGACCCTTTTCCCAAACTTGGGATGCTTTTGCTTCTAAAGCAGCGCCTGCATCCTTTCCATGGTGGTGTGGCGAAGACTTGGGGGTGCCCTTGGGCAATGAAAGTCCCTTTTTTAAAGACAGCTGAAGTGCCTGGCTGTACAGCCCCTTATCCCACCCTGCCCAGGCATAAAAACCCAGTCCTCAGCCTTGAACATGGTCAATATCCCAATCTCCTTTGGGACCAAGCGCCTGGGTAAGCACTGAGGCCACATCTTCCTTGGTTTCTTCTTTCTAACCCTGTTTCCCTCACTCCTTTATGAGGTCTGGTTTCCCCTGGGAACATTTGCTCACCAGTCATTTGCAGACAGATTTTTATCTCAGGTGTTTGTATTTTTTTGGAAGGGATGGTGCTCAACATATGACAAGTAGATTGTCAACAATAATTTGTAATAATGATATGTTTAATGTGTCTTCACATGCACCTTAATGAGTACTTGAGAAGTTTTATAGCAAGAGGGCCAAACAGACTATTTAAAAATCTCCCTCACTTTAAGATTTCAAGGACACGAATAAGTTACAATCAGACAAGAATAATGTGAGGGAGTTGGGAGCCATCAGCTCCTCGTTCTGGAATCCTACCTATTCAGTGTGTCTTGGAGATGCTCCAGTGTCTTCAGTCTATAATAAGTCGAGATCCCACTGCTGTCTGCCGCTGACAAACGCAGGGTTATGTCTGGTTCAGTGCATGTCCTCCCAATTTTTAGAAAGGACGTGCACTCAAATAGGAGTTACTTTATCTGCAACATTTCTCAGAACCATTCTATGGAGCCCTGCCCGTGAGGCTATTAACTTTTCTCACTTGTCGAGCAGTCTAGAAACATACAGGTCAGGTTGTTTTCTTACTGTGGGAAATCTCCAGCTTGTCTTTGAAACTACAAGATAGCCAGAGACAGCAGAAACCACTGAAAGCAAGGGAATGCTGACATGTTCCCAACACATTCGATCACATTCAGACTTGTAAATGGATTATTTTTTGTTTTCAAGTTGTCTTTGGGAAAATTGAATTTTTACTTGGATTATTCCTGCAGTAATTAGGATTCTTACCGACAGTTGTAGTGAATGGTGAACCCTCCACAGCTGCAGCCTGGGTCCCTCTTGCTTCTCTGTGCCGCTTGGCAAGCTGCAGGGCTGTCCTGGACCTCGGAGGGTCTTTTTGGGCCTCTCCCTCAGGGTTGGCTCCAATCTTCTTCTCTCTGATCTTGGATTTCCAACCCTTCTTACCTCATTCTAAATCCAAAAGTTCTGGAATTTTGCTCAGTTGTTTTTTATGTTGTGACATGTATTCTACAATAAATCCTTATTTATTAGATACTCAACCTGATGAATGAATGAATGGAAAGTGACAAATGAATATTAAGCACAAAACAGCAGTATAATTTAAACATGGCATGGCTCAGTATATATGTATGTGTGTCTACATATATACAAGATCTCTGTCTTTGTTAAAAACAGACTGTCTGCCCTCCCTGTCTTCTCACGGACAGTGGCTGTCCCCAGCACACCCTGCGTTGCAGTTGACTCTCCCAGGTGGTGGAGTGCGTTTCTGCTCACGCTTTCAGGAGTTCTCCCCTGGGGAGGAGGCTGCTCTCCTGTCTTCTGTCCAGCAAGCTTGCCTTTGTGGGCCTCTTGCTGACAGCAGGTGCACAGCGGAGACACAGGGCACGTCCAGCCTGCACTGTGGAAGGTGGTGTTCACTGCTAGGGTGCCCGGCCAATTGCAGAAAGCAGCTGTCTTGTCACCTGGGCCAGGGCAGGCAGGTGAGGAGTCAGGTGGAGTCCTCTGTGCAGATGAGAGGGTTCAATGGCCCAGGCTCTCGTGCCCACACACCTTCTTCCCTGAAATCTGTTAAGAACTCTGGTTAGAGTGTGAATTCTTTTTATTTTTACTCTCTCTAAAGTTTCCAACTCAATGACTTATCCATGCGAATGATTAAGACCTGTTTGCTGGTCGCTGGTTAGAAATACCCTAGGTTGGTTGCCTTTGACACAGCTCTCCTGACATAGGGAACACGCCCCTGAGGCCTCCAGAAGATAAATTCAGATGATGAGGATCCAGTCCTGGAGCAAGAATGAAAGTGGTTAGAGCTATTTATGACGAAGAAAAACAATGGAAAGTGATTCAGTAACTATATTTAAAAGGTGGGCCGGATGCGGTGGCTCACGCCTGTAATCCTAGCACTTTGGGAGGCCAAGGCGGGCAGATCATGAGGTCAGGAGATTGAGACCATCTTGGCTAACATGGTGAAACCCCGTCTCTACTAAAAATACAAAAATTAGCCAGGCGTGGTGACGTGTGCCTGTAGTCCCAGCTACTTGGGAGGTTGAGAGGCAAGAGAATGGCTTGAACCCAGAAGGTAGAGGTTGCAGTGAGCCAAAGAGAATGGCTTGAACCCAGAAGGTAGAGGTTGCAGTGAGCCATAGAGAATGGCTTGAACCCAGAAGGTACTGCACTCCAGCCTGGGTGACAGAGCAAGACTTGGTCAAAAAAAAAAAAAAAATTAAAATGTGAACCTTCTGCATGGGATTGTGGCCAGCTAGTGTTCTTACATTTTACTAAAGCAGAACGAAAGGAAATGGGCTTAAATGACAGCATGCAGAATTAAGGTTAGATATGGGGAATGCCTCTCTGACATTGAGTTATGACTCAGTAGCTAGGTTATCAGGGAAGAGAATATTCTTTGAAGATTTTAACATATACATATCCCTTGATGCAATGCACACATCGTGACCTGGTTGATTTTAAAGTAAAACCTTACATATCACAACCCATTTTCCCATATAAGTCAATTTTACAGTGACAGGTGGAATTGAGTGGGTCACCAGATGGTGCTTCATTTGGAAATGAGAGTCAGTGGTCAAAGGATCTTCTGGATGGCCTGGCGCAAGTGTGCCTGCCTGCATCTTCATTTCAGTCGTTGCCACTTGTCTCAAGGACTGTGGGTCCTCTCTCAGGCCACCTGGAAGGCCCAGGGGCAGCACTTGCCGAAATAATTTCTAGGACTGCAGGAGCCCATTGAGGCAAGAGGCAGCTGTCCGTGAGTCAGATGGCCAGGGTGGCAGATTGCATTTTGATGGCTGCATAATGCAAATCTCAAATGCAAAGGGCTTTGTGTATAGCAATCCGCATGGGAGTGAAATACGGTCGTGTATCTTTCCGATCTGGAATTTCCACCGCCTGTGTTACAGGGAAGCAGAGTATGCCGAGACAGAGTGAAAGCGCGTTTTGACTTGTGGAGTGGTTCGGAGCAGCCCTGGCGGCAGATAGTAGAGCCAACTGAAGAGCCCACGACTGTTTTTTCCAATTTAACTCAAATAAAACTTTTTGCTTATTCTGCTTTAAGATGTAGTTACTTCATTTTTTTTTCCTTTCTATTCACCATCAAGAAATAGAAAACAAGCTAGTTTTAATTAATTTTCAGAATGCTTGCAAATATACTCCAGAGAGCTACAGCGTAACAGATGTTAATTTGGTGACCGTTGGCTACTCCTGTGAGCCCTGGAAGTGTTTCCCCTCGTCCCGTTGCTCTCCTGTTGGCTTCTTATCACTGACAGCGGAGAAAGACTGATGGGCCTTGGCGCCCACTTGAAATCCCCCCATCGACCGACCCTTTCGTAGTACGAATTCAGCAGCAAACAGATATTGTTCGCACATCCTGCCAGCTTCATGGAGTGGCCTGAAAAGGTGCTGACAGACACTGGACTGAGACCGGGAGATTCCTTCACACGTGAATTTGCTGGCTTTTTGAGACCTGAATCACCTCGATTGTGTGGAGTGGCCACTTCTGGATGCGATTTTCAGTGAACAGAAATAATCCCAAATAAATGTGGTATGTTTTGTTTGTTTGCTTGCTTTTGTTTGCTTTACTTTATAAAGGTTTACAGAGGAAGTAAAATAATATCTTAGAAATATGGGGAAGTCTAGGCTGGTGGCCATGAACAAAGAAAATGAAATGAACCTTCCCTATCACAGATTGAAAAAGCAGGCAGAGGGTTAGGCTGAGAATTCCACTCTAAACCCAGTCCAAATATGGGCGGCTTTTATCTAAAGATCTCTGAATTTGAAAGGTAAAATATCCTGGCATTTACCCCGCCCACACATCTTGAAGTGAGTCCGGAAGGAAAAAGATAACATGAGAGTAAATGGCCTGACTTCATTCTCCTGCCATTTAGCTTAAAAGCATTTCCCATTTTTGGGCAATTTAGCAACTATTTTAGGCTATTAAAGTTACAAACATGTGAACAATGAATCTCAAGTCTTATTATCCAAATTGCCTTTGGATAAGTTTAGCAGTAAAGCCTTCTGCAGAAATCAGAAAAGTAAGATCGTAATTAAAACGATTAAAATTATAAATTTATTTTGCTTTCCCTTAAAGGGTTCCTAAGCACAGTGTTATAGAATTTCACTCATTTGACAGCTATACATTTTGGGGACAAAAAATGAGCTTTTAAGTTAACAGTGTCATATCTGGCCCTCTGCGTTTTCCAAAATGAACTCTTTAAAACATTAAAATCTGTGTCTTTCTATGTGTTTGTTTTTTAAATGGTGAATTTGTTCTTGAAACATTCTGAATCAGAATTCGGAAGTTGTATGACTCTGGGGAAACTTCACTGGCTCAGTTGGAAAGGTTGAGGGTTTTGAATGAGATTGTGGAGAAGCACTGAGGCTGTACGGGGATCCTAGAGGCAGGAGGTTGGTGGGGAGTTAGACACGTGTAGATAGGAGTTCAGAATTAACAATTCCCTGCTATGTGGTCTTGGGAAAGCTACTTAATTTCACCAAGACAGAATTTTTCTGTGTAATACGGATATCAGTATCTGTCTTGCAAAATTGTAAGGTTCATACTATAGATAATGTATATAAAGATTTTGAACACAGAGGATGACGTTACATCTGAGCCTGCCTGGGCATGAGGTCTAATGGAAGCATAGACTCTCCTTTGTCTGAAATGACCCAAAACTCAGCTTTGCAGTTGAGGATGGGGGTGTGTGCAGCTCGGCAGCAGCTGCTCCCTGCCTGTTGCTGGCTGCATCCTCAGAGCTGCTGACAGGTGGCATTGGGGCCCCGTGGTGGTCCGCATGGTCGTTCAAAGTCACAAAACACATGGACGCCTGTGAAAATTTTCATCCCTTTCTGCTACTCTAATCAGTGTTCGATATTACTTGTATATATAGAAAGGCACATGTGCAATCTATGTGGAATGGCTTTGGTGACTAATATAACGACAGATAAGAGAGAAACTCTTGCAGGTGCTTAAGGCACTTTGTCTTTTTTTTGTTGTTTTTTTCTCATTTTTTTGAGAAGGAGTCTCACTGTCACCCCAGGCTGGAGTGCAGTGGCGAGATCTCGACTCACTGCAACCTCCGCCTTCCAGGTTCAAGCGATTATCCTGCCTCAGCCTCCTGAGTAGCTGGGATTACAGGCATGTGCCACCATACCCGGCTAATTTTTGTATTTTTAGTAGAGACAGGGTTTCACCATGTTGGTCATGCTGGTCTCGAACTCCTGACCTCAAGTGATCCACCCTCCTCAGCCTCCCAAAGTGCTGGGATTATGGGAAAGAGCCACCGCGCCCAGCCTAGGCACTTTGTCTTGATCTATCTCAAAGTCCACTAGCCAGCATTCACTTGTTTTAGTGACGTTGTCACTCTCATTATCTCTGTTTCTATATTAGTTTGCTGGGGCTTCCATAACAAGGTGCCACAGATGGTGGCTTAAACAGCAGGTTTGCCTGTCCTCACAGTGCCGGAGGCAGGAAGTCCTGCCAGCAGGATTGGTTGCATATGAACTCTGGAGGCCCCTCTCCTTGGCTCCTAGACAGCCATCTTCTCCCTGTGACTTCATAGGGCCTTCTCCAATATCTGTCTGTGTCCTAATCTCTTCTTCTTATAAGGGCACCTGTCGTAGAAAATTAGGGCTTGCCCATATGATTTCATTTGAACTTAATCACATATTGAAAGACCCTATTTCTAAATACAGTCACATTCTGGGTTATCGGGGATGAGGACTGTCAACACAGGAGGGTGGGAGGAGGCGAAACTCAGCCCGGAACAATTACTGATCTGCAACGCTGGCTCTCACACGTTGGCATGTGTGCATTTGGGTCCCCGACTTGCTTGCTGGACCCTACCTGTCCTCAGAGTTTCTGATTCAACAGATTTGCTTGGGGCTGAATAAACGTGCATGTCAAATTCCAGGTGATACTGATGCTACTGGCCTGGGTGCCACAGTTTGAGAAGCACAGATTCAAAACACAGCAACACTGTGGAGAAGGAAGGCCCCATCAGTGGTCCATGTGACTGGCAGAGACCCGAACTTGAGCCCACAGAGCGTGTTGCTGAGAAAGGCCTCCTCTTGCATATCTAGAGAGCCTCCTGACTCTCTTGCTGTGCTTCTCAACATAAGCAAAAAACAACTTTATTTCATTCTTAAATGAAAACAACCACTCAGCATTAAAAAGAGCAATCTAATAGACCTTGGAAATATCTCACCTGGTAATGAACATAAAGTTATTGAAAAGCAGAAAGAATATGCTCCGGAAATCCAGAGCCTAGGAAGCAGAGGCTGCAAAGACAATGGTCTTTACTATCACTGTGCCCAAACCCAGAGCTGGGAAATCAGCAGGCACCAGGTAACGAAGATTAATGACATTTGAGAGCATTCATCATTTTCTTTCTTACCTTCTTCTAGGCCCTTGCCCACAGAATCTTTCATTTTTATTGAATTTGTGATGCTCTTTTGGAAAGGAGCATCACACATGGGTTCCATGAAGGACCAGGCAGAAAGCTGGGGTTAGAGATCTTTCCACAACCCCTGGGAGAGTGACATTTTCAGGGTTGAAGGACTCTGAGGAGAGTTGGACATTATTCCCCTGTCAAAGTAAATTCAATAAAAATATTTGGTAATAATTTTATGATAAAATGGCATTTGTCCTTCATAAGAGGATAATGAAAGTATTTATCTATATGATTATTTTCTAACCACTCTTAAGCTAGGATGTTGGTTGACTTTAATCACTCATCTATTCAAGTGTGTCTCTCAGGATAAGAATGATGCCCGGAAAATGGGTGGCAGAGAAGAAACTGTTCACATGGAATAACAGCCCCAGCACACGGCTTGGAATGTTTCCTTAAATATCCACTTAGAAGGCAAATTTTATGCACACATATTGGGAGTTATGTTTGCTTTACCCAAAAAAATGAATGAGTCATTTATCCTGTGACATCCCTGGAGGCCAGAGTGCATCCTGTTCTTTAATTAGATCTACGCTAAAAAATGTAGGTCAACTACATAAGACCATCCAGAAAAGGCCAAACATGAATACGAAATTTAAAAATGAGGGCCGAGTGCAGCATCTCACACCTGTAATCCCAGCACCTTGGGAGGTCGAGGCAGGAGGATCACTTGAGGTCAGGAGTTCAAGACCAGCCTGGACAATATGGTGAAAACCATCTCTACTAAAAATACAAAAATTAGCTGGGCATGGTGGCACGCACCTGTAGTCCCAGCTACTGGGGAGGCTGAGGCAGGAGAATCACTTGAACCCAGGAGGCGGAGGTTGCAGTGAGCCGAGATCGTGCCACTGCACCGCAGCCTGGGTGACAGAGTGAGACTCCATCTCAAATAAATAAATAAATAAATAAATAAATAAATAAATAAAGCAGTTATCCACATTCATCAAACAAACAGGGGTTCCTAGAGTGAACCTGCTGCTGAGGAGAACACCTTGTCCAAATGACAAAATTCATTCACCCTCTCCAATGAATCCCCTTTCCAGACTCAGGCTCTCCTGCGGCCACAGGCTCTTGGGGGAATCACGCTTATCAATTGTTGAGCTGCTGACATCTGTAAGCCTGGCAGAGCAAGGAAAGCTTACAATCGGGTCAGTCTTTCCTATAATAAACAATCTGTTTTTGTGCTTTTGATTAAAATTTAATAAAAAAATATTTCAGCGAGACGAAGACTTGTGAAAAGCAGGTGAGGAAAGATCAACATTTACTCTGCACAAAACTAATCCTTCCTTCTCTCCCTTCTCGTATTCCCTATTCATCTGGATGAGTTGGGCATCCTAGGAAACGCCAGCTGGCCCCCGACAGGAGGGCGTCTTTTCTCTCCGCATCCAAGCCCTGAAGGAATCTAAAACTTGATCTGGGAACTCCCACCTCCACAGCTCACCTACTGAAACCAGAGTCCTTTTTCCAGCAGCTGCAAAGATACACATTCCATTCCGGCTGAGGGCGGCGGGTGTCTTAGCATCTACTGTGCAGAAATCCACCTCTGTGAAATTCAGAAAGCAGAATTCCACAATGACAAGGCTGAGCCCACAAAAACCACCACATTGGACCCAAGGAAATCCTCGTGTGAGTGAGCGACTCAGGCCACACGGTGGGGCAGGCAGGAGGAGCTCCACGGTGGAGCTCCTGAGCTCTCCATCACTATGGGTGTGTGCCACAAACAGCCACGAAGGCATGGGTATGCATTCCAGGAAGCGAAAGGGTGCCAGGCACATGCTCTCAACCACTTCAGATTATGGGATTTATCCAGAGCAGAGGTCAAAAACTTGGTGGTTGAATGCAGTGTGTAATTGTGAACAACAGAAGGCACTAGAAAAATGGTGTTTTCCAAGAAAAGACTTCAAAAGTCCAACTCATCTGCTTTTCTGCTACTAAAAATGAAGTTCATTAAATAACACAACACATAGCATTGCATGCATGCATATGTTTCACATACGTGTGTGTGTGTATATTTGTGTGCGTAAATATATATATTTTCCTTAACTTGGAAAATGTGCCATGATTAGAAATGTAAAAAAAGATGGGAAGATAAAATGTGGAAATAACAGAATCAAGAAGTAGTCATTCAGACAGAGAAGAGAGATTGCTGAAGGAGAGAGAGGACGAGACAGAGGGAGGGAGGGAGGGAAAGAAAAGAAAGAAAGAATGAATGAACAAATGAATAAAGAAAAAGGCAAAAGAAAGAAAGGGAGAGAGAAGAAAGAAAGAAAGAAAGAAAGAAAGAAAGAAAGAAAGAAAAGAAAAGAAAAGAAAAGAAAAGAAAAGAAAAGGAAAGAAAGAAAGTTCCCTTAAATTATAGTGGCAGTGAATATATCAATGTGTTTCTGAGGGTGTATCATAAAAAATCAAGCCAGGAAACAGATCTCAGAAACTGATGACATGCACATATGTGTGTGTGTGTGTATATATGTATGTGTGTATATACATATATATGTATACACATATGTATACAAATATATGTATACATATATATGTATACACATATGTATACAAATATATGTATACATATATACACACATATGTGTATACATATGTATATACACACATACACATATATAGGACATATATGTGTGTGTGTGTGTGTGTGTGTATATATATATATATATATATGACCACATCTACCAAGTGTGAATTCCATCTTCTAAAAGTTGGGTATGAAACCCGGTAGATCAGAACTAAGCCCAGCTCTAGAGTGCCCCCTCCCCACATCAACAGGCTGTTTCCTCCTCTGCCTCTGACCCCTTGCAGGAAGACCATGCTCCTGGTGGTGTGTGGATTCTCTGGCATGGGTGAGGCTCTCCAGCCAGGTGGCCCCTCTGTGGCCTCTGGCCTTTGCTGTGGTGCAGCCCTCCCTCCTGGTTTTGGGGACAGCCTCTGCCTCGACCACATGTGCACAGACAACAGGGTCCCTGCAGGGTCTTGCACGTCTGTTGATAGAGTTCACTCAGTGTGAATGGACATTCTTGTCCATCCTTCCAGGAGACATGGGGACTTCGTGAGTGGCCCACCTGCTGTGCCAGGTGCAGGGGCTCTGAGTCTCCCAGCGGGCCTCAGCCAGTGCTCTCTCCGCCTCTACTGCTGCAGCTCGCCAGTACCCTCTCTGCAATGGACACGCTGAACAGGCCTACTCAGGACAGGGAGGCCACTGGCAACAAGTCATGAGTACTTCTCAGCTCTCCTCTCTCTCCGGGCCCCAGTCTTTGACCAGACAGGCTGCCGTCTCCTCTCTGGACACCACACTGTATCCCTTCCCACTCTGTGCCTCATTGTGTGAACGCCAGGCTTCTAGAAATTCCATCAGTGAGCAACTGATTCCAGCATCCGGAGCCTCCCCTCGATTCCAGGTGGGGCCCGCCATGCTCCGGAGGTGAGGAGGCTGTGGAGGAGGAACTCCTTACGGCCTCTAGATGACATGCTCGCCTACTCTTCATGGGGGTCTCTGCCCTGCCGGCCCAAGAAATTCTCCTGTAAACTTACTGGACTTGGGTGCTGGCTCTCCCAATTTCCTTCTCCATGTTCTCTCCACATTCCTTCCCAACCATCAGTTCAGTTTACTGTTTTCTATCACAGAGCACACAATGAGCAGATGCACCCACATCACTCTCAGCTGTGGTCACCTCACTACTCCGAGTCTAACTACAGGAAACGAGGGCATGAAATCTACCTCCACCCCCACTCTCCCTCCCCCACCCCTCTATTCTGCCTACAGAAGAAATGCGGTTGGAGAGGGCAATTTGGTGCTGATCTCTTACCAATTTTAAGTCTTACCATGTGTGCACAGAGAGAAAGAAAAATAGTATTGGTGGATAAAAAGTAATGTAAAGTCAGAGGCAAAATTTCCCCTATTGATTGTGGTGGTGGTTACATAATTGTATGTGTTTTTGAAAACTCACAGAACTATACACCAGAAGAATAAATGTTAGTGTTTGTAAACAAAAAAGTGAAAAACAAAGGAAGGGGTGGGTTACGGGGATGGTGAGGAAGGATGGGAGAAAACACCACTGACAAATTCAAATAGGCTTCGGGAATGACATGAACTTCTGGCCTCGATCTCCTAACTTTGAGTTCCGAGGAACATCCTAGCCTTAGCAACGTTGGACAGAACTTATTTCTAAAGACGTTGAGGAAGGGAGATTCCATCTTTTCCTATGGTAACCCATTCCAGCCTCAGGAAGTTCTTTGTATCCTAAATTATTACCGTATGATGCAGTTTAAGTCCATTTCCTTCATGTCTCGTTTCTGCCCACTGACGACAGAAAGCAGCTGGTCACGTCCTCAGAGTGACGCTCGTTCTTACTCCTGAACGTCTCTTCCAGGCTGGTTGTCAACCATCTCATCATTAAACTAAATACAGGCAGTTTCTATAACCTTCTGCAATTCTTGCGCTGGCTCATTAATCATTCCTCATGTTCCATGCACGAAATCGAGCCCAGGGCTTTAGGAAAAGCCTGAGTGTCAGTCGTAAGAGCCGGACATTGTGCGTTCGTGATTCCACATGCTTTTCTATGCAAGCTGATACCTTGCGTTTGTTACATCACAGAAACACCAGATGGTTGATACACTCACTGTTGGATTTCTCTAACATCTACCGCCTCTAGAATCTATATTTAAATAGATCATTGGCATTTGCAGAACTGACATCTGTAGTTTAGGGTAGCCTGTGCTCCCCAATCTGTAGCATGTAACTTAAAAAGCAGATGATAGTAAGCACGGTGTAAGATTGTTGTGATATCAATTGAGAACATGTAGTAATGGTTCTCAGCTGAGCTCAAAGTACACACAGAGGCCCCTAGACAATAAATAACTATATCAAGGAGTTCTCTCATTTGAGGAGTGTGAAACTCTGGAGATGTATTCCTTTAGAATGCATTAAGTCCACTGCATAAGGCTTTGTTTCCAGTAATAATATAATTATATTCTTTATGAAAATATAGTGTGTGAATGTGTGTTTGTATATGTCAGTATGTATGTGTGTGAACATGCATGCTATTTGTGAGTGTCTTCGTGTATGCAAGTGTATATATGTACAAGTGTGTGTGAGAGTGCCTGTGTGGTGTTGTGTGTCTGTGTTCACACACGTGCATGGTGCATTAGGAGGAAAACACTGTTCACATATTGAATTGGCAGGAGTTTCCACCCATAATCGTGACGTTGATGTCAATGAGGTCTACTTGATTCAGGTGCTTCTTTGTAACAAGAACTGCCAGCACTTAGTTTTTTGGAATACTTTTCTTGACGGTCTTGTCTTCCATCTATTCCACAAACGCCACTGGACTACTCTCCGTGGAAGACCCCAGAAATCAGGCTGTCAAGAACAGATAGTGCTTGTCTTCAAGGACTTGCTGTCTGATGGGGTTAGAATAGCATGGAGCCATGGCATGGTGAGATGTTATGTGGGAAGGTGCATGGGAGACTGCGACACCTGGAGGAAGGATTGCAGGAGAACTTTAAGGAGGACCAGCAGGTGGTCATCTGGAGACCGGGCAGCAAGTAGTCCTCTGGGAAGGGGTTCAGCAAGTCAGAGAGAGGTCAGAATTGAGGTTAGAAACACATGCTCAGTTTAGATACTCAAGAGTCCTATCCTCTAGCCCCATCGAGGTCATCTAGACCGTCCCCTGAAGGTGAGGGGTCCACCGGAGGCTATTATCAATGTAGGGGTGCTACTGCAATTGAGAAATGTCCCTGTTGATCCTGTGGGAAAAGACCAGATGTGCAAGGCTGGAGTCAGTGAGCCTAGTCGGGAGGCTGGAACCATAAGCCATATGAAAAGGCTGGGGGGACCCTGATCTCAGGCAGTGAAGGCAGTGGAGACAAGGAGACACATGTGGACAGCCCTTGGCAACTGGATCAGGAGTCTTTAATTGGGGGCCTATAAAAGAGTTAGAGGGGTACAGGCTGTGCATTGATGTTGGCAGCACTGAGTCCAAGGTGCCTATGTGCCTATGTGGAAAGGAATAACCCCTGGACAGCTGACCGATCAGTTGAAGGCGAAGCATGGAAGGACCTTCTGTTCTCTCCACACTTTTGCCGCTGCCTTGACCACAGGGACCCTGGCTGTTCTATCCCAGGTTCTTGCACCTCTCACACATCCCACTTCTTCACTTCCACAATGTCCAGTACACCAGATGTCCACACATTTCATAGTGCACACCAGATATGTGCCCAAACCAGCTCTCCATGCCCAAAATATATTCCATGGCATTATTCTTTTGGCATCTTGGCTTTTTAAAATTTCTATTTTTATTTCAATAGTTTTGGGGGTACAGGTGGTTTTTGGTTACATGGATACCTTCTTTAGTGGTGATTTTTGAGACTTTGGTCCACTCGTCACCCAAGCAGTTACACTGTACCCAATATGTAGTTGTTTATCCCTCACCCCTCCCACACTTGCCCCTGAGGCCCCAGAGTTCATTGCATCATTCTTATGCCTTTGCATCCTCACGCTTAGCTCCCACTTATAAGTGAGAATATACGATATTTGGTTTTTCATTCCTGAGTTACTTCACTTGGAATAATGGCCTCCAGCTCCACCCAACTTGCTGGAAAAGACATTATTTTGTTCTGTTTTATGGCTAAGTAGTATTCCATGGTGCATATACGCCGTATTTTCTTTGTCCACTCATTGGTTGATGGGCACTTAGGTTGGTTCCATCTTGTGCAATTGAGAATTGTGCTGCTATCCACATGCATATGCAAGTGTCTTTTTCATAGAATGACTTATTTTCCTTTGAACAGATACTCAGTAGTGGGATTGCTGGATAGAACAGCAGTTCTACTTTCAGTTCTTTAAGAAATCTCCATACGCTTTTTCATAGTGGTTGTACAAGTTTACATTCCCACCGGTGTGTAAAAGTGTTCCCATTTCACCATGTTCATGCCAACATCTATGGTTTTGTCAACTTTGCACCCTGACTTTTCATCCTGGTGTTTATTAACTTTTTTTTATTATACTTTAAGTTCTGGGATACATGCACAGAACGTGCAGTTTTGTTACATAGGTATACACGTGCCATGGTGGTTTACTGCACCCATCAACCTGTCACCTACATTAGGTATTTCTCCTAATGCTTTCCCTCCCCTAGCCCCCGACTCCCCGACAGGCCCCGGTGTGTGATGTTCCCCTCCCTGTGTCCATGTGTTCTCATTGTTCAACTCCCACTTATGAGTGGGAACATGTGGTGTTTAGTTTTCTGTTCTTGTGTTAGTTTGCTGAGAATAATGGTTTCCAGCTCCATCCATGTCTCTGCAAAGGACATGAACTCATATTTTAAATACACTTTACATATTAATTCTGAAACGTAAACACTACCAATCTACCTAGTGAGCTCTTTTTTGGAAAATGGAAGTATTTGAAGAAGTTTTCTAAATTGAATGATAGGAAAACAGAGGTGTTTGAATAACCAAATTTGGAGCAAATTGACAATGAACTTCCACCACTTGGAGTGAGATGAGGCCCAGGCCACTGTGGAGCCCAGTGTTTGCAGGCGAGGCCCTCCCAGGGAGGAGGGGCAGCTGCTCCCCTGTCCCAGCACTGGACTCAGGCTGACTGCTCCCACTTCATACAGACAGCTGCTTGGGAAACTCAAGCAGGCTTTTAAAACATAAGGCCTTAAGTCGACAACAACAACAAAAAGTATACTTGATAATGTCTTGACCCGTCTGCAAAAATAATTTCAATATAGCTTATGGCATTGACTCAAACCAACTCTGTGCTAGAAGTGTGATGTTTACTGTCAGCAAAACACATACTAACATGCAGTATCTTTCCCAACACAGTGAAGCAGTCATATATTTTGCAAGTCTTTTCTCTAAGAAACTGCTAGAACTGGCCAAGCGCAGTAGCTCATGCCCTGTAATGTCAACATTTTGGGAGGCCAAGACTGGAGGATCACTGGAGGCCAGGAGTTTGAGACCAGCCTGGGCCACAAAGTAAAACCCCATTTCTATAAAAAAATGGAAAAAAAAAAAAGCTAGGCTTGGTGGCACACACCTGTAATCCCAGCTATTCCAGAGGCTGAGCTGGGAGGTTGAGGCTGCAGTGAGCCATGATCGTGACACTGTACCCCAGCCCTGGTGACAGAGGGAGACCCTCTCTCAAAAAGAAAGAAAGAAAGAGGAAAGAAAGAAAGAAAGAAAGAAAGAAAGAAAGAAAGAAAGAAAGAGAAAAGAAAGAAAAAGAAAGAAGGAAAGAAGGAAAGAAAGAAAGGAAAAGAAAGGAAAGAAAGAAAAAGAAAGAAGGAAAGAAGGAAAGAAAGAAAGAAAAAAAGAAAGAGAAAGAAAGAAAGAAGGAAAAGAAAGAAAGAAAGAAAAAGAAAGAAAGAAAGAGAAAGAAAGAAAAGAAAGGAAGAAAGAAAAAGACCCTTGTGAAACCCTTAGCCAAGTGTTACTCAGTGGAAACCAGTAGTTCTGTTCTACTTCTGTCCACATCCTCTTTCACACCCCTGTTCTGTGTAACCTGAATACCTTCTGTTTCTCAGCCATTTGTCATCCACATCAGTGGCTCTTCCTCCTGTTAATGATGAGATTCCTATGGTCCAGAGTCACCAGTCTCTCAGGGTCCCAGCTCACCCAACATTAACTTTGTATGTGCAGCTTTTTGAAAACACAGCTCTCTCTATAGCTAAGGGTAATTTGCTTCTGCGAGTGTTGGTTGCAGAGCTTCTCAGCAAGTTCCAACAAAGGCAAGGGTGTCTTCCTTCTTGCAGGGAAGCCTTGCAGGGCATGTGCCTGTTACTCCAGGCTAGAGATGCCTCCTTTTCTGCTGACATGCTTTTTGCCCTGCTGGGTTTTCACTAAGCTTTTCCTTCTGAGTGAGGCTTTACAGCCCCCTGGATGTCAGAGAGGAAGTAAATGTTTCCAGATTCAGTATCATTGGGGAATGTCTCTCTTGCAGAACAGATATATTTGGTTCTATGATACTTCCTTTGGATTCAACCTCAAACACCACACTTGTCCCTGACCTCACCTTTGCCTCTCTGATATGTGTAGCCTGAGCTCTTACCAACAGAAGGACTCCACTTTTTCCCCACTGACGTATAGAGATGGATAGCTCACATTGACTCAAAGAGAGGAGGTTTATCAAACATGAAGGTGGCCCATAGAGCAGGATTGCCACCTTGAATCTGGTGACAGAGAAGTGAATCTCTGTTTTGATCTCCTTGGGTGGAAGAGGGGCCCTGGGCTGGGAGCTCAGCCCTCAGTAGGCCCTTAATTTTCTCATCTCTCTGATTAAAGAAGGACATTAAATAATTTTCCTCAGTGTCTATCTAGAAACACTACCTACAAATGTGTCAATGTGATCTCTCACCTGTCCAGCATTACTCATTATCCAGTCCTTACCTAGGACATGGAGTCCTAGTGGAGTCTCATTGAAGGAAACCTTGCTGTCTTCCAGGCAGCAGGGTCCCAATTCCTGACAGGACTTGGAGCCCATCAGAGGCACAGTGTGCCTACAAAGAGGAGAAACAGACTGTGTGAGGGACCTCTTTCTGAAAAGTGCCGTGAGCCTCAGAACCCTCACGTCACCTTAGGGAAGTGGAGACCACTCAAAAGAAGAAGTCAAACTGCACTCAGGACTACCATGGCCAATGGAGCTTGAACCACATTTCCCAAGTCTGTTAAAAAGGTAATGCATCATGTCTTCTAACCTCCGTTCCATCCCTTCCGCTCCTTATTTTTAGAGGGCTTCTATGAATCAGGTGTTGCACCAAGCAACTCACATAGACTATTTTATTTAGCCCTGGAAACAACTATATGGGATAATTATTATGATTATTGTTATATCGTTACCATACCTATTTTCAGAATTGAGATTTGAGGCCAGACTCCTGAGGCCAGAGCCCATGCAGAAAAAATTTATCATGAGAGCAAGTTGTTCCCATATGCAAATCCCTTCAAAACATTAGCATGTACATTTTCCCAGAAATTGATGCCAGAAAACATTTTTAGTTTCTGAATCCATTGAAAATACGAAAATGATGATTCTATTTTGGTTCTAATAGGAAACTGGCACTTCGGAAGAATAAAGGGAATTCCGAAGATGGTGGACAGCTTGAAACAGTCTTAAAACAGCCGAGAAGAGCTCCAATCCATGTTGGTGGCTCGTGCTCACGCCCCCACGTGTGGAACAAACTGGCAAGCAGATCTGCTGTGCTCACAGCCACCCAGGGAAGCCCTGGAGACACCTGGCATCTCTCAGCCACCTGAAAATAAATGCCAATACACAGGAAAGGATGGAAAAAGTTGCATAGAGGACATTTTTAAGGGCAGAGGGTTTTTTTAGACCTTTACAACATGATCAATTAAAGCACAATCATTCGACCCCTCTAGCCTTCACTCACTTCATATTTCCCCTGCCTTGTCAAGCTCCAGCCAGAGAAGCCTCCTTTATACAAAGAAGGAAACACATACACACACGAACACACACACACGCCCAAACACACATACACACACTTGCACAAACACACATGCACACACACATGCACACACGCACAAACACAAAACCATACACACATACACACATTCACACAAACATGCACAAACACGTGCACAAATACACACACACACACACAGACACACGAAAAGGACAAGTCTCCTGATGCTTGTCCAGCGTGCCTCCTCACCCCGGGCATGCAGTTCCCAGACATGCTGGCTGAGGTCCTGGAACACATACCCAGCCACCCAACCATCAGAATTCACACTCCCAGGCCAAGAGAGACTCCAGAGAGTGCTGACATGCATCACTACCAGGGACCCTACAGGACTTAGGTCCAAGGTCCTGGACAAGCACTTCATAATATTTAGTGACTTTTGAGTTGTGCAATTTCTTATATTGAAAATTGATAATATTAACATTTAGTTATCACTTACAAATGGCAATATTGTTGTATTTTGGGAAATAAACAACAGAAAGCTCTTTCTTCCTAGCATCTTTGACTTAACATCAGTCACTCATCTGGCATTTTGGGGGCCTTATTTTCTTCCTTTAAGCTCTGCTTTACAAGATCAGCATTTCTTACAGTTAAGTGAGGTCCTGATAGTGTGGTATGCTCAGCTCCTGACAAGGTGAGAATAGTGTTTGCCCCTACCCACTGTCCTTAAAGATTCTACCCTGTACACCAAACATGAAAAAAGATAATAACCCCATATATAATACAACAACTATGATGATAATCAAAGCAGCATCTGCCGTTTATCCTGTGCTTCTCAGATGCCAGGAACTCCGCTAAGAGTTTACGTTTATTATTTCATTTAATCCTTTACAATGAACCTGCACCACAGATATTATCATCTCAAGTTTAAGGATCAACAAGATTGAAAGATGGAGTGGTTTAATGACTTGTCCAATATCACTTGATACAGTAAATGCTGAGGTCAAAATTCAAACCAAGTGTTCCCTCCTATGGTACATCCCCCAGTAAAACATGGAGGCTAGTCCTGGGCCAGGTGAGCAGGCTTCATCGGGTGACAGTGTCTGTACCCAAGATAGCATCAGCAGACGAAGCCCTGCACTTGTCAAAGCCAGAGCAGGGCCGGACACCCAATGGGTTGAACCACTGAGGGGCTTGAGGGACAGCTGGGAAAAGAGAAAAATCTGTATTTTGAAGGTGAACCTGGGAGGATTTCTACTCAGCGAGCAGGTTACAGGAAGTTCTCATCTGGTTCCACAGCCCTTGAGAGAAGTAGAGAAGGAGCAGGTAACAACAGCTCAACTCCTGAAGAATAGGCATGGAGGCAGCCCCTTTCTCAAAAGGAAATTGACAGCCAACAATGCTCTGACTGTCTAAACCCATCCAGATCACACACGCACGTGCATCAGGGGGATCCCTTCCATTAGGAAGTGAGTTGGTAAATGAAAAGTTTTTGTGCAAAAAAGTGATTTTGTGAAAGAAATTATGTGACCGATTTATTAAAGATATACCTCTTTTAGTTAAAACATTGAGTGTGTCTTCCACAGCAGTAGAAAATATTGATAAAATAGAAAACACTAAAAATCATGCTTGGAAGATTGATAATTTTTCCAAAGAGATCAACAAGTAGAAAGAACAGGGTCTAGAGACCTGGGCTTCGGTCCTGATTCTGCGCTTTCCAACTGGCTTCAGCAAATTATTTTATATCCCTGAGCCCATGTTTTGTGTGTTTATGATCATGCCTAGGAGCATTAATGGTCAACCAAGATGGATTGGGATTCATGAATTATTCATTATAGATAAAAGCAAAGCAAAGCAAACTAAAACATCAACAATAAAACAGCGAATATCTCCCCCATTGAGTACATGCTCTTTGTAAATAAACGTTGCCAATGGCTTAGTTAACTTAATATGCTAATTCAACTTCCACTAAAGAAAACTCAAAATTTTCTTTATTTGAGCCATTTTAACATGAGGTAAACTATCATTTTAAAAAATATTTATACCATCTGGATCATGACACCTAGACAAAGAGTAACCATGTTCCAGCAGAGAACATTCCTGAGTAAGGGTAACACTCACTGCTCTCAGAAGAACATCAGGAATTACAAAATTCTGACCCCTTTGATCCGACTTTATCCTTAGAGAAGCAGCAGTGAGTTGATGGCCTTGCTTGACTGCTGTTCTTCATAAGGGAATGGTAGGGTCCTCCCTACCCCAACTCTACGAAGTCTTTCCCATCATAATTTCTAAAAACTTAATGATCTGAATACACATAAGACTTTAAGACACAAATTGTGTCCTTGCTACAATGTAGGGTATCCTTTTTCTGAACTATCCTACCTCCGAGCAAGAAACACGTGCTCACAGTGCGGGAGGAGCCCGCCACTCCCAAGCCCGCTTCACTGATCTCCATTCTATTGATTCATTCACGAAAACCATGTGTTGCAAGAAAACCTGTCAGAATCAAAGCTGGACTGTCAGGATTGTGGGATATAGATTTGCTGGGTTTTCATGTCCTATTAGAGGGTGATGAGAAAAAAAGCACATCACCTCAATGTTAGTTTTACAAGACAGATTAGATATCTAAATATAGATATCTATAATTGGGCAAAGGATCCATTGAAAATGCCCTGTGGAGTGGTCCACATTGGAGAAACTCTGCCCTTTTATCTGGGTTTTGAAAGCTCATGTCCACTCCACACAGGTAATGGATTTGTTATCTGTGTGCTTCTCCTTGAAGGCCCACAGCCCATCAAAAAGGACATCTGTCAGAAAACGCAAAGTGGGAAATGAGAGGCAGGTGGTGCTCAGGTCACTTTATACAAAATCAGGAGGGAGAAGCTGGGTGCGGTGGCTCATGCCTGTAATCCTAGGACTTTGGGAGGCCAAGGCGGGCAGATTGCCTGAGCTCAGGAGTTCGAGACAAGCCTTGGCAACATGGTGAAACCCTGTCTCTACTAAAATACAAAAAGTTATCCAGGTGTGGCAGTGCGTGCATGTAGCTACCCCTAGCTACTCAGGAGGCTGAGGCAGGAGAATTGCTTGAACCCAAGAGGTGGAGGTTGCAGTGAGCCGATATTGCACCATTGCACTGCACTCCAGCCTGAGCAACAGAGCAAGACGCCTTAAAAAAAAAAAATCAGGAGGGAATGACTGAAGCGTATTGTGCAAAAACATGATTCCCATTATGAACTCAGAAACCACAGGACAGGCCCAGGCATACAAGGAGGACATGAAGACTCACAGCGTGACTTGGGCAGATGGGCTGGGGTTGATACGCTCTGTATCACTCATAGGGTAAGGCAAGGCCACACTCAGATGTGTGGGAGGCCCCTTAGCGAGGGGCTATGGCCCTTTCCAGAATGGTTGCAAGTCTGGGGATTTTCTCAGCCTAAGGGAACACACTTCCTGGGAATGACTGAGAGAAAGTGTGCCTCCTGGGACATCAGCCTGCAGGGCGTTTCTCCCTGACTCTCACTGTACCCACCTAATGGCACCTCCACTGCAGAGGGACTTGTGCCTTCCAGGTGTTCAGGACCCCAGAAAAAGCCTGTCAGGGTGCCACACTCAGCCTCCAGGTGACAATCGCTTGTTGGCGTTCAAGGTGTCTACCCCGGGAAAGCGTGAGAGGAGGAATGGAGCACCGGCCAGCCTGAGTGGTTGCAATCCAGTTGCAATCCACCCACCTCTGCACAATCCAAGATCCTTGTGAGCCCAAGTCTCATGCTGAGAGCCCGCTGGGAGCCCTCCTGGGAGCTGGGACCCTTTCTTCAATGCAGCCCTCACTCCTGCATCACAGCCTTTGCACGTAGCTCTAAAATACTGAACCACAAAATCAGGGAGCCACCGCATGGGTCCCTTTCTCCCAGGAAAGTTCCGTGGCCCCTTGAAGAGTATAAGAGTGTTCTCCCTACCTGCAAGCAGCATTGGAACTCTGTCTTCCAAGAGGATGGGAGTCAGGGAGCCTCATGGTACCCCCACAAGAGCGCCTGCCCCTCTACCTAGACAGCAGGGCTCTTGGCCAAGAACAGAGAGAAACCTTGAGTCACTCATCCCTAAACAAAGGATATCCATTCCACGGAGCTTACTAATTTAAATAGCACATTAATTCTTTTTAAAAAATGTAATAAATAAGAAAAACGCTGCCAAGCCAAGCACTCACAGCCTTTTTTAGTCAACTATACATCATCTAATAATTTAAGCCAATTGTTAGAGAACAATTGGATAGCTCTGAGGTGACTAATACTTCTTTTTCATAAGCTAGAAAGAAAGACACAATGACCTTAAACACATGAATCTTAGCAATATCCAGCTTGTGGTTTGGACAACAGCTATACTGGGCTGAATGTTGACCAACTAACTGCTCTCATAAACTTACCTTCATCATTGATCTCCTCTGCACATATGTTCCCACGAGGATTGGCTCTTGAGTAGAAATTTTAGTTTTGAATGCCGGTGCTCTTGCTCTACTGAACATGAGACAGTCATTGAGTAGAGTGTGTTTGGAAACAGTAGCATGATTTTTTCTTTGGTAGAAGCATACCTTGGAAGAAAACAGTACATAGATTACATCGTAAAGAGTAGGGGCCATCGAAATAGCCCTGCAGTTTTAAGATGAGAACAACTTTCAAAGTCCTGCTAGTCACCAAAAGAGTTTCTGCAGTTAAACTTGAATATACAGATAGCAGTAGAGAAAATGACAGCATGTGGCTCTACACAATGCAATTTATAAAATCCTCTTTCAAAGGGGATCAAAGAGAGAGCTGAAAATAGTCTATCACATCCATGTTTCTTCCCACACTGAAGGAATCAGATATACTGTTGGATAAAGGCAGAGGAGAGGAGTGATATTCTATGAACGAGGCAGCCGTCTTCTCAGATAATTCATGGGAAACTTTAGTTGCGGGGGAAACATAGATTATTAAGAGGTCAAGCATATTGTACTTTGTAGTCTTTTATACTCCATAATAAAACTTTATGATAAGGAAAGTATATGGTTTCCTACGTGAATTTTTTCTCTCTGTTTTTTGTTATGAAGACAGAGTCTGGGGCTTTGAAGTAAATCAGCATGATCATTTAACCCACCGAGTTTATGTTAAATAACTTCAACCGTTGTACATACTTCTTATTTATTTTGAATTACCATACCAAAAAAAACCCCCAAATAACTATAAACCAATCTGCTTCATTTTGTATCAGTTTTTAATAATCTCTAGGAAAATTAGCGATTTTATAAATCAGCACTTTTTTATTGTTGAAGCATACTTTGTTTCCTTATTTTCTATTTAGCTGGTGGTACCTATAAAACTGACGGGCTCCTGGTATTCTGAAACTATTATTTTAACGGCACAGACTGAAATAATGCCCAAATGTTTCCAATTCTAAATAAGTGCTTAAATTGAGGTAAGTTCTTCAAATAAGATACAAATTATATTTTCAGGATTTTGTTTTCCTGCCTAGATTGGCAAAGCAACTTAATTTAGCTGTAGGTAAAAGTAAAATCATTGCTGATTTTTTTCCACATAGTAAGAAGTTCATGTTGAACACACATTGCTACGTTTAATTTAGCCCCTAAGAAGTCACCAGAGCCTTTGGGGGTCCTGGAGGAGGGATAGAAAATAAATGAAAATCCCACAGTGCTGTGGGCCAAAGACTTCCAGGAAAAGAGCCCATAACAGCGCGTGTCCAGGGCTTCCCAGGACCGCCCCCAAGACCCTCTCAGCAGGAAGGCAGGCATGAGGTCCTGCAAGGGAGAGCGCTGCAGTGGGTCAGAGGAGCACTGCAACCAGGAGGTGCCCTTGTTTGTTATTTGCAGTGTTCACTTGTGTTGTATTATATTGCATCACATTGTGTTGTATTAATATTGATTAATTAATTCTAGATTTCTCCTGTATTCATTAATATGTGACTGTATATATTAGGTGCCTGTTGCCTGGGTGTCATGTGGCTCTGGGATCAAGTGCATGCTCAACTCTCAAATCGGGCATAACATTTCCTGCCATGAGGGAAGCAAGACAAGTCAAAGCTCTGTCCTTCAAGGTTCCCTGAGCCTTGTCAGCTGAGCTCCAGCACCACACATCCCCCAACTCCTAGTCCCCAAACAGGCAACAGAGCTGGCCTTCTGAGGTCATCATGCTCCTTTCCTCCTCTCCTGCCTCCCCCCATCCATGTTCCTAGCAGCTGCCTGGGCTTGTACACCTCATACTCTACGTGGAAGGTCCTCGACGCCCAGCAGTTATGAGAATTCTCTCTACGCCTTCTCAGAACTACAGTGCAATTTCTCTGATTTGGGAACCAAATCAGTCAGTTCATCATGTTCTCTCTGAGTGTGCCTGTGTGTGCACAGCTTCGCCTGTGTGCCTGTGTGCATGTGCATACATGTGTCCATGTATGTGCATGCATGTTTCTGTGCATGTGTGTGCTTATGTGTGCCTTGTGCAGGTGTGCATGTGCACCTGTGTGGGTGCCTCTGTGTGTGCATCTATATGTGTACATTTGTGCATGTGTGTGTATTTCTGTGCATGTGTCTGCGTGCATGTGTGTGTGTGCACATGAACATGCATGTGCAGTGTGTGCTTGTGTGTGCCTTGTACAGGTGTGCAGTTGTGCATACATGTGTCTGCATATGTGGGACTGTGCAGGTTTGCATGTGTATGTACACATTGTGTGTGCTTGTGCGTGCCTTGTGCATGTGTGCATGTCTGCATGTGTGCACATATGTTCATACATGTGTGTGTCTGAATGTGTGGAATGGTGTGTGGGTGTGCACGTTTGTGTGCTTGTGTGTGCCTTGTGAAGGTGTGCATGTGTGCCTGTGTGTTCATGTGTAGGATGTTGTGTGTGTGCCTGTGTGTATATGAGTGCATGTTTATGTGCATGTTTGTGCCTGTGTGTGTGCATGTGTGTGCACATGTGTGGCTATGTGCATATGTGTGCGTGTGTGTTCACTTGTGTGGCTATGTGCCTATGTGCATATGTGTGCATGTGTGTGCACATGTGTGGCTATGTGCCTATGTGTGTGCACATGTGTGGCTATGTGCCTATGTGCATATATGTGCATGTGTTTGGCGAAGAGGTGCAGATATGCTTCTAATGGTACAAAGGAAATAAAACTTCACTCAGACTGAAGCTGCCTTTCTTTGTGATTAAACAGTCTTAATTTACCTTTAAGGTTTGATTATTATGGCTGGATCTGGATTTATTTGCAGAATGCATTGCCTTTATCAGATTAAACTGTGACACTTTGCAGTGACAAACTGGCCCAGGACAAAAGGGCAGGGAATTCTCCATGTAACGACTTGGAAATGCTAATCTCTAAACCTGCAATAAATATCTGTACCCAGGACAGGGAGAGGAAAGGGTGAATGAGGATAAGAGAGAAAACAAAAGTCACTTACAAGGGCAACCCTGTCTCCTGCAAGTCAGTGAGTCATGCCTGTTTGGTCAGGTCACTTCACTAGCTTACTTTGGTTTTTTAACAGATTTTCAGAGAGAGATTTATGGCATAAAGAGTGGTTGTTTTAGGGCTAATTGTACATTTCATTGTTTGAGAAGCAATTGTTGAGCCTCTTCTGTGTGTCAAAAATGTTCTGGGGTTTGGGAGATCATCAGTGAGAACAAATTCAATTCAATATAAGTCATTAGCTCATTAAGTTTTCACTCTGGTGGGGAGGGACTGGATATAGACAAATAGGAAAATTATAATATGTAATTATCAGGTGATGAGAGTGACAGAAAATAAGAAGGCGTGGGAGGAGGACAGAGCTGCTAGGGTAGAAGCCTTTCATTTAAGCAGATCACCAAGGAAATCCTCACCATAAAGACAGCATTTAGCAAAGGCTTGTGGCGGTGAATAAATATTTGGGGGAGGATGATGCCGAGCAAATGGAAGCAGAAGCACCAGGCTCTGAGGTGAGAATGTGGAAGCCACCAAGGAACAGAGGGAGAAGGGGGTCAGGGAAAGAGGCTGAGAGGTCACAGAGCGACCTAGTGGATTCTACAGGGACTTGTAGCCCCCTGGGAGTGCCTAGAGTTCTGAGTGAGATGAAGCATTATTTTAAGATTTTGAGCAGAGAAAAAACATAATTTGATTTACACTTAAAGTGATCATTTTTTCTTCTGTGTTAAAAGTTGACAGTAAAACATTGTACTAGAAAACAGAAAAAGGAAACATGAGTCTATCTAAAATCACACCATATTCCTGAACAGGATTTCTCAATGTCACAAACGTCAGTTCTCCACAAGTTAATTTGCAAGTTCAATGTAATTTCAAGTTTAATAGTAGAAGGGCAGTAGTATTAAAATACAGTCATGCACTGCATAACGATATTTTGGTCAACGATGGACTGCATATACAACAGTGGTCCCATAAGATTATAGTACTGTGTTTTTACTGCTTTTTTTTACATTTAATATGTCTAGATACACAAATATTGACTGCCATGTCGAAACTGCCTATAGCATTCAATACAGTCACATGCTGCACAGCTTTGTAGCCCAGGAGCAATAGGTTGGACCGTATAGCCTAGGTTTGTGGTAGGCTAGACCATCTAGGTTTCTGTAATACACTCTATGATCTTTTCACAGCAAAAAAATTGCCTAATAACACATTTCTTAGAATGTATCCTTGTCGTTCAGTAATGCATGACTGTGCAGTTTAGCATATTAATGAAAACGGAGTGACTATTGCTCATGGCTAGATAAACACACGAAGGAAACAGAATAGAATATCCAGAAATAGACACAATTGAAAGCAGATACTTAATATATGATAAAGATGGCATTTTAAGTCAATGGGAACAAACGGACTTTTTAATAAGTGATGTTAGAATAATGAGATAGGCAATCAGATGAAAAGGTAAAGTCGAATCCATTTATCTCATCCTATATCAGAATACGCTCTAAATTCAACATTTAGATATTTACAATAAAAATAAAACTATATGGATGGTATATAATAAAAGATTTGCAGAAACATTATATATGTGTATATATGTATGCTAGAAAAAGAAATAATAAACTAGAAAAAAATTTGCAACTCATATCATGACAAAAAGTTAATACCTCTAATATCTAAAGAACTTCTAACAGTATAGAAAAAATTCCAGTGACAAAATAAGCTAGATATATGAATAGACAGATCATAGTAAAAAAAATGCAGATAGTGCTTAATCATATGAAAAGACATTAATTTCCCTCATAATTAGAGAAACATAAATCAAAACTACAGGGGATATCTCTTCTCACTATCAGATTGGCAAATGCCCAAAAGTTTGACAACAAATTCTGTTGCTGAGGCTCTCTGGAAATAGGTACTTTTTCCCTTATTGCTAGTTGAAAGGCCCCATTATATAGCTCCTGTAAAAGAAAATTTGATGTCATCCAGAAAAATTACACGGACATCTCATCCAGCAGCCTTGGGCCAGGCCTTTCCAGGTTGACTATTTGGAGCTCAACGTCTCAGAGCCCTGTTCATAGTTTTGCGTGGTTAACCTTAAAATTACCCAGTAGCTGTTGATTTTCCAGCCTCTATCTGACCTGACACACAGGTTGTAGGCTGACATTCAGGTGAATATTCGAGGGGACCCCATGTGGATTTCCGAGGCTCTGTCTCTATGTTGCTCCCTTTTTTTAGTGATTTGATCTGCAAATTTCAAATACCTCCATCTTCTTGGGTTCTAATTTTTCTCACCTCAGCTCAGTGAGACTACTGTGTCCTGCTTATGTTTTCATTTTACATCATTACCTGAAAAGTGCCCCCTAAAATAAAGACCCATCTTGTTTTTTCCCGTTTCTCAGGAGTTATGCTCCTCTGCTGCTTGGTATCCAATGTCTAACAACAGTTGTTTTATGAATAGGTGATTGATAGATAATAGACACATGGAGAGACTGACAGCTAGATAGAGGGTTGATAGATACATGTTGATTAATGAACAGTTACACACAAGCCCATTAATTCATCTGCTTATATTAAAGAGCAAACATTGAACAGATGAATCATATGGTTTAAACAAGTTTGTTCTGAAGAAGGACATCGGGAAGATGGCAGAAGAAGACGTGCCAGGCCTCACGTCCCCCTACAGAAAGTTTAACTAGCAACTATCCACAGACAAAAACACCTTAGTTAAAATACTTAAACTTGGGAATAAGTTTATGGTCTATAGAATGGAAAAAAATCTGCATGGAAAAGGTAAGAGAAATAGAGTCTCACTTTCACTGAGTCACTTCTCTCCCTCCCCCAAGTCAGCACAGAGCCTCATGCAGAAGATTCCCAGAAAACAGACCTGGAGAAGGACCTCCAGCTTCCCTAGCCTTCTAAGGCACTTCCCAGGAAGCTCACCTCATCTCTCCTCAAGGGGAACATAGGAGAAAATGGCAGATGGATCACCTGGGGTCAGGAGGAAAGAAAGCAAGGAGGCAGAGCCCACAGTGACCAGCATGAAAATCTTGCTGGTAGCTCTCTATACCTGCCACTGGTGGTGCCCAATCAGAGATACAAGCTAACAGCACAACTCACCGCAAAGGGGCTGGTCACTCCCAGAAACGGAGACAGGTGCTACCTGGTTTGAATCCCTAGATGACTGGTTTCCAGGACCAGCCTTATTCCTTACCCGTGGGCCCTACCCAGGGAGGGAGAAAACTGCCACAGCAAACTTTAGCAAAGAAGTAGGACAAGATGCTCTATAACTGGGAATTGAACAGCATACCATGCAACTTCAAAGCCCACCCAATGTTTCACCCAGGCAGGAAGGAAAAGCCCAACTGTGCTTTTCTACTGAGCATAGCAGATAATTCCACCCATTCTAATCAGTAACTCAACCTAACCTCAGGCCCTGCCTCCAACTTTGTTCAACTGCCAAACTTAAGTAGTGGTACCTCCTGGCCAGAGAATATACCCTGTGACCCAACTCAATCTGGGGCAATTGTAGTGACCATCCAGCAGCACAGCCTGATTCCAGAGCTCAGCCAATGGTCTTGCCAGGTAGCAGAGCCAAGCCGGCTGTCCCATCCAAACTCAGAGCCAAGCAGCAGCCCAGCCATTTAGAGAACCCCTGAAAGAAAGCTCGTTGTCCAGGGTTATTTTATTTGTATTTACATTTCTTTCTTTATTTATTTTTGAGACAGGGTCTGGCTCTGTCACCCAGACTGGAATGCAATGGTATCATCTTGGCTCACTGCAATCACCACCTGGGCCCAAGCCATCATCCCACCTCAGCCTTCTAAGTATCTGGGACTACAGGCATGCACCACCACACCCAGCTAATTTTTTGTAGAGATGGGGTTTCGCCATCTTGCCCAGGCTGGTCTTGAACTCCTGAGCTCAAGCAATCCTCCTGCCTTGGCCTCTGTCCAGGATTATTACCAGCTAAACCAAGTAATGGAGGTCTATGCCTGATGAAGAACACCTGTAAAAGCTGGAAAATGTGGCTGTCTTCTCAAATGGGCAGATACCAGCACAAAGATACAAAGATTGTAAAGACTCAGAACTCATGATACTTCCAGAAGAAACTAAATAAGCTCCAACAATGAACACAAAATAATAAAACTAAAGGAAATTTGGAAAACAATGCATAAACAAAACAAGTTTAATGAATGAATAGAAACAATAAAAAATAAAAATTTTAGCAATGATGAATACAATGACTGAACTGAAAATTGCAAAAGAAAGCCTCAACAGCCGGCTTCATAAAGCTAAGGAAGAATTCAGTTGGCTAGAGGACAGGACCTTTAACATTATCCAATCAGAAGAACAAAAAGTAAATAAATAAAAAGCATGAAGAAAGCCTATGAGAATTATGGGACACCATCAACAGAACTAACATGCACATGATAGAAATTTAAGAAGAAGGTAGTGAAAAAGAGTCAGAAAGCATATGTAAAATGATAATGGTTGAAAATCTTCCTAATCTGAGGAAAGATGCCAACATCCAGGTACAGGAAGTTGAGAGATCTCCAGTAAAATTTAACTCAAAGAAGAGTTCACCAGAAACTATCCAAAATCAAAGACAAAGAAAAAAATTCTGAGAGTCATGAGAGATAAGAAACATACCACATATAAAGGAGTCCCCACATGACTATCAGGTGATTTCTCAACAGAAACCCTTCAGGCCAGGAGGGAGAGGGATGATATATTCAAAGAGGTGAAAAAAAAAAAAAGAAAAAGAAAACCAAAAAATGACCAACCAAGAATACTTCATTCTGCAAAGCTGTATTTCCAAAATGAGAGAGAAATATAAACTTTGGCAGACAAACAAAAGGTAAGGAAGTTTATACCATTAGATTTGCCTTACAGACACAGCTGAAAGGGAGTTTTCTTAAGCTGAAACACGAAGCCACTAATTAATATCCTAAAAGCTACAAAAGCACAAAACTTCATGATATAAGTAATATAGAGCCATATTCCGGAAACTCTAGGACTGCAACAGTGGTGTATAAAGCAATTTTAGCTCTAGTACAAGGGTTAAATTACAGAACTACTAACTACACCTATAGCTGAAATAGTCAGGAAATGCATAGTAGAAAGTGATGTAAATTCTGGTATCAAAAAGTTAAATAAGGGCCAGGTGCAGTGGCTCATGCCTGGAATCCCAGCACTTTGGGAGGCTGAGGAAGGCAGATCACCTGAGGTCAGGAGTTTGAGACCAGCCTGGACAGCATGGTGAAACCCTAGCTCTACTAAAAATACAAAAAGTTAGCTGGGCATGGTGGTGTATGCCTGTAATCCCAGTTACTCAAGAGGCTGAGGCAGGAGAATCGCTTGAACCTGGGAGGTGGATGTTGCAGTGAGCCGAAATCTGTCCACTGCCCTGGGAGACAGAGTGAGACTCTGTCTCAAGAAAAAAAAAATAGTAAAATAAGGGTGAAATAAAAGTATAGAATTGTATGCAATCATAATGATGAGCTTGAAATTGACTGTTGTAATATGTTCTATGTAACCTTATGATAACCACAAAGCAAAAATGTATAGTAGATGCGTGCACGCGTGCACACACACACGGACAGACAGACACACATACAATATAATAGAAAGAATGGAAACATACCTCTATAGAAAATCATCAAACCACAGTGAAAAACAGCAAGAGAGGGAGAAAGACAAAATATGTACAAAAAATGACAGTAGAAATTTCTGACCTATTAATAATTATCTTAAATGCAAATGGATTCAATTATCCAATAAAAAGACATATAGTAACAGAATGGATGAAAAAGACCCAGCTATATACTCCTTACAAGATAATCACCTTGCTTTTCAGGATACACAGAGGCTAAAAGTGAGGAGATGAAAAACGATTTCACAGAAATAGAAATCAAAAGAGTGTAAGTGTGGCTATATTTATATCGGATAAAAGAGACTTAAAGTCAAAAACCTTAAAAAGAGGTAAAGAA
Source organism: Homo sapiens (assembly GCF_000001405.40). Classification (NCBI taxonomy): domain Eukaryota; kingdom Metazoa; phylum Chordata; class Mammalia; order Primates; family Hominidae; genus Homo; species Homo sapiens. Next base: position 4,074,003 of record NC_000005.10, on the reverse strand, counting down.
GGAAATTATACAAAGATAATGGTGCCAATTTATCAAGAGGCTCTTATAATTATAAATCAATATGCACCCTACATGGGATATATAAAGCAAATATGAAAGAGTCTGAAGGTAGTGAGCAATACAGTAATAGTAGGGGACTTCAAAAGCACATCCTCTATAATGGATAGATCATCCAGACAGAAAACTAATAGGGAAACACTGAACTTGAACAATACTTTAGACCAAATTGACTTAAGAGACACACATAGAATATTCTATCCAACAATAACAGAATATGATAACTTACTAAGCACACAACTAGAACAGTTTCTAGAATAGATCACTATTGTGATCTCTGGTTAAGCCACAAAACCAGTCTTAGCAAATTTAAGAAGATGGAAATCATATCCATGATCTTTTCTGACAACAATGGTATGAAACAAAAAATCAATAACAGAAAAAAATTCAGAAAATTAACAAGTACATAGAAATTAAACAACTGGATCCTGAACAATCAATAAGCCAAAAGAAATTAAAAAGAAAATGTAAAAATATCATGAGACAAATGAAAATGAAAACACACACACCATAAAAGCTCACACTTATGAGATGTAGCAAAACAGTTTTAAGAGGAACATTTACAGCAATAAACAATTATATAAAAAAAGAAAGATCTCAAACAAACACTAGACTTCAAAGAAATGAAAAATGAACAAACTAAGCCCAGTGTCAACAGAATGAAAGAAATAATAAAGATCCAAGTAGAAATAAGTGAAATAAAGGCCATAAAAAAATGATTGAAAAGATCAATAAGACCAAAAATTGTTTTTTAAAAGATAAGCAACATTGACAAACCTTTAGTTAGACTAAGAAAAAAGGAGAGAAGACTCAAATAAAATTAAAAGAATGAAAGAGGAGACATTATGACTGATACCAGTGAACTACAGAAAATCATGAGACTATTAGGACCAGGTATGTTTATGTCAAAAAATTGGATAACCTAGAATAAATGAATAAATTTCTAGAAACATATAACCTATCAAGAGTGAATAATTAAAAATAAAAAATCTGAAGACACCAATAGCTAGTAAGGAGATTAAATCAGTAATAAGTTTTCCATCTAAAAAAAGCCCAGGCTTTTGAGGTGGCTCAGGACTGTAATCCCATCACTTTGGGAGGCTGAGGCGGGCAGATCACGAGGTCAGGAGATCCAGACCATTCTGGCTAACACGGTGAAATACCGTGTCTACTAAAAGTACAAAAAATTAACTGGGAGTGGTGGCATGTGCCTGCAGTTTCAGCTACTCGGGTGGCTGAGGCAGGAGAATCAGTTGAACTCGGGAGGGGGAGGTTGCAGTGAGTGAGATCGCACCATTGCACTCCAGCCTGGGCAACAGAGGGAGACTCCATCTCAAAAAAAAAAGAAAAAAAGAAAAAAGCCCAGGCTTTGATGGCCTCATGTTGAATTGTATCAAATATTTAAAGAACTTATTCCAATCCATCAGAAGCTTCCAAAAAGTCAAAAAGGAGGAAATACTTCCGAACATTTTTTATGAGGCCCACATTACACTGACACCAAATCAGAAAAAGACATCACAAGGAAAGAAAAGCTGTAGGTTAATATCCTTGATTAACATAGATGCAAAAGTCTTCAACAAAATACCAGCAAGCCAAGTTCAACAACACAGCAAAAGGATCATTAGCCATGATCCAGTGGAATTTATTCCTGAGATGCAAGGATGGTTCAAATTATGCAAATCATTAAGAGGATTTAAGACAAAAATTATGATCATCTCCTTAGGTACAGAAAAAGAATTAGATAAAATTCAACATCATTTCATTATAAAAACACTCAATGAATTAAGTATAGAAACAATGTATCTCAACATGATAAAGGCCATATATGATAAACTCACAGAGAACATCATACTCAGTCGGTAAAACATTGCAACTCTTTTCTCTAAGATCTAAAACAAAATCTACCACCTCTATTTAACATAATACTGGAAGTCTTTGCCAGAGCAATTAGGCAAAAGAAAGAAATAAAAAGAAATAAAAGTCATCCAAAGAAAAAAAGTTTTTTTAATGAAATTGTCACTTTTTGCTGATGACATAATTTCATATGTAGAAAACACTAAAGATTTCATCCAACATCGTTTTAACTAATAAACAAATACAGTAAAGTTACAGTAACTTTGGGTGCACATGAGATTTTTGATACAAGCACACAATGTGTAAAAATCAAATCAGGGCAATTAGGTTATCCATTGCCTTAAATATTCATTATTTCATTGTGATGGGAACATTCAAAATCCTCTCTTCTAGCTTTTGGAAAATATATAATAAATTATTTAACTATAGTTGCCTTATTGTGCTATTGAACACTATGACTTTTTATAAGGACAAAGAAGCTTCTTTAATAAATAATTTGTTCTATGCACAAGCATTATTAAAGATGCTTCTTTGTCCTTTTAAAAGGAGGAAATTTGAACATGCACTTACACACACACACACACACACACACACACTCACAGAATGCGATGTAAGAATGAAGGCAGAGATTGCAGTGATGCTTCTACAAGCTAAAAATCACCAAAGATTGTCAGCAAAACACCAGAAGCCGGGGGAAAGACATGGAACAGAATTTACCTCACAGTCTCAGAAGGAACCAAGCCTGCAGACACCTTGACCTCCAACTTCCAGCCTCCAGACCTGTGAGATGATACATTTCTGTTAAGCTGCCCCGGCTGTGGTACATTGTTAGAGTAGCTCTAGTTCCTACACCCATGCTGAGGGTGCACTTCCCAAGACCCTGTTTGTAAAGGTAACAACAGCTGTGTTATGTGGGCTCCCCAGGTCCAGAGCTCAGTCAGGAACGCACGGGCAGGTGCTTCATTTGGGAAATGACCTCAGGAAGGCCCAGGAGAGGATTGTGGAAATGAGACAGGGAAGGGAACAGCTGAGACAAGGTGTATTTTTAAGGATGTTACCTCTAAAACCTAGGACTCAGTCCTGCCAGGTATTGTGAGACAGAGGAATGAACCTCACAGTGGTCACGACCAAATATAAGTGGAGCTTGGATGCTCACCACCTGATTCTAGTCAGTTGCCCTCCTTCAGGCCTGCTGCACAGGACTTCACAGTCTTTAGGCAAAGGCTTGTTGTGGGTTTCAGGATAAAGCTTTGTGTTCTGTGGACAGCAATGACAACTGTTAGGGCACTGTCAGTGTAGGGACCTATATGTTAAGACATATAAATTTTGATGTTATCAATGCATGTAAAATATAGAAGGATGTTTGGCAAGCAGCATCTAGGATATTTTGCAATTTCTTCCTCTGCATAAGCATGGGTTCTGCAATGTGCTTCTAACAAATCCAATATGGCAAAGATGCCCGGCTATCACTGCTGTGATTTTGTTACGTTATATGGTAAAAGTGAAGGATTTTGTAGATACAATCAAGGTCCTACTGTGGTTTGAACATTTGAAACCCTGTAAAATCCGTGTGGAAACTCAATCCCTATCATGGTAGGATTCTAGTGGTGGCATCTTTAGGGACGTGATTGAGTCACCAGGGCTCTGCCAGGTGAATGGGATTAACTAACGAAAAGTCTTAGAAAGGAGGCTTGAATGAGCTGCCTGGGCATTCTATCTTTTGTGCCCTGTGCAGGCACCTAGATAGCACCATCAGTGAGGAGGCCCTCACCAGACACTAAACCTGCCAGCGCCTTGGTCTTGGACCTCCCAGCCTCCAGAACTGTGAGAAACAAATGCGTCTTCTTTGGAAATTACCTAGTCTAAGGTATTTTTTTACAGCAGCCCAAAGAGATTAAAACAGATCCCCAATCCATTGACTTTAAGTTCATCAAACTGTATTCACCTAGGTGGACCTGGCAGCTTCTGTTAGTTCTTTAAAAGCAGGTTTAGAAGAAAGGAATTTAAAGCAGCAGAGACTCTCTCCTTTGCTGGCTTTGAAGAGTCAAGCTGGCATGAATTCTGCAATAAAAAGAAAATGAATCCTGCCAGTAACCTGTGGGCCTTGGAAGTGGGTCCTACCCCCATTAAGTCTCCAGATAAGGACACAGTCCAGCCAGCACTTGGATGTCAGTGTTGTGAGACCTTAGCAGACAACCTGGCAAAGCCATCCCCAGACCTGCAGAAACAGTGAGATAGTGAAGTTTATGATGACTTGTTACATTTACAGGCAACTAATAAAGATACATTATTTTGATATTAGGTGATACTGATTGCCATATATGGAAGTCAGGAGGAAGGAAAATGGGACACAAGAAAAGGGAAAAATGGTGCATTTTTGCATTCATGTAGTATTACACATATGCTTAAATAAGCATTAAATTTTAAAGAAAAATTGGAAAATATATATTTAAAACCTTAACTGGGTTCTCCTGAGAGATGCATCAAATGAGACTTATTTATGAATACACTTTAACAATGTAAATTTTTATTCACTGAAAATGAACAAACATAGAGTATGATTACTCAAATAAATAGAGAAGCTAGGTGCTCACATGCTTGTATATTCCAATACACATCATGTCCGGGTCATGGAGTCTGCGGGCACTGCCCTTTGTTTGCAGTGGTGCTGCAGCTGAGCCCCACCACAGGGATGATGTGTGTCTTCTGGGAATGGGGTTGTATTTTGGTTTGGCCATATTCATTTTTGCTTCTGCAAGTAAAAACCAGAGTGCCAGAACAATACAGGGTGCAGCTATGAAGTAGAATAAAAGCTGCACAATGGCCAGTCTTACGGAAGAACGTGAGGGAATAAAGAACACGTCAGCCTCTGCATTTTAGAACCCAAACTGTGTGCTGCCAAAACAGGCAGCTGAACATCGTTGGGATCCTTCTCTCCTCCACAAGCATCCTCGAAATTGACCAGGTGTTCATGAAGCTAATCTAGGAAGATATATCAGGTGGAATAAATAACAGGTAGAGAAGGGAGAGAGGAAGTGTTGCAAACAGAGTGAATGCGGGCGTTATGCTGGCAGGGCCCGGGGCCCCTGGAGGTGATCCATTACCCCACAAGCATTATCGTTTGTTATCAAGCTTTCACCGAGCAGCTGGGGAAGGAGAAATATTTGCAGCGTCGTTTCTCAGCCAACCTTAGGTCCTGTCAGATCAAATTTGCTTTTACCCCGTGTTTGAGTTTATGAACATTTTCAAAATAGAAGAGAGGTGATCAGCTTCACACAGTGTGTTTTAAGAAAATTGAATCTAGTAATTTTGATTAGGTAACTGCAAAATCAATCAATGAGGCCAATTTTTCATCTAAATTGCCCTGCTAGTGTTCTCTTTAGCCGCGTCTACACTCGCATGACAAAGCCAGTCATTGGAGATGAGTCTTTTGCCTTCAGAGACGATTTTTAGAAAATACTTACCACTTTTACACAGTGGAATTTATTCACTTTAGCTCTGTCTCCCCTGTGCTGACATCCAAAATCTCATCAGAACTAAGACCCTGCTTCAAGGCTCCAGGACACTGAGGGGTCATTAGGTTATTGCTCCCTGACATGCCTATAAACCAAAACTTCATGGCCAGATAAAAATGAACACATACCCTGTGTATCCAATTTGCCACAATGTTGAACACATGACCCTGGCTTGGGTCGGTGCTGATGCTGGCACGCTAATGCACTTCACCCCACTGTACGCCCGGTCTTCATCAGGTGCAAGTTCGAACTTGTACATTTTGAAACATGGCTCTACAATCAAGTATTTCTCCATTATAAATGAGGTGAGAGCTCTCTGTTTGCCTGTCACTTGCTTTTTGACCAATTCCCGGGACAGGAGGAATGTGTGTATCCTGGACTTTAATAAAACCCAGACACCATTGCCCCTTCAGTTTAAATTTTTAAGCTGGCCAAGAATCCCAGCTACGGACAGTATGTGTGTTTTGATCTTTTTAAAAGACATGCATGTTGAAGTTGATGAAGACAAAACGAGCTTTCATAAACTAGAAGCTACACTTTAAGAAGCTAAGGTGGTTATTTTTTGGTCTCCCCTGGCTTCTGTTGGAGGAGCACGCTTCTGCCGACCAAGGCAGGAATGAGGTCGCAAGTATTTCATCTTTAAAAACATCATGACAGATGACTTTCTTTACCTTATTTTTCAATTATAGGGTCCTGGGGAAATGTTTGGCTTTTTAAAGGGTTTTGTGCAGATGTGGTATTTTTCTTAATATTTTTTCAATCAATTTTCAATCTCCGCTTCACATTATCACAGGGATCTCCATGTGATATGTGTGAGGAAAATATAACTTAAGCCTATTGCTGCATATTTTCATTTTGCTAGCTCAGATGATCAGAGAAAAAGATTGTAAAAAAGCAAATGCTGAAAATCAAATGGAAATGTAGATCATCAATATTCACAGTGATTACATAACATAACTCAAGAAAATATGGTGGCTTAGATTGACTCTTTGCGATCTTCTCTAATAGATCTCTCAGCTTTCTAATACTTAAACCATAAAGGGAAAAAATTTCTTCCTCGTTTTCCAATGACTTTCTGATATTTTATTTTTCACAATTTGTTATTATTGCTGGTTGGCTTAAGTCACCTCCCTAATTGGGGTTGATCCCTCAAAATCCTATGTTTCCATAGAGCTCATAGGTTTCCTTATCCTTCAAGCCTCTAGCAAGCCAAGTCATCCATTTTTCTTCTGGGGCTGCTGGGAAGGATAACAGCTCTTGTCATCCATCAGGGTCCCTTGCACACCTGGCTTCCCCGCTGGTTCTCGCTGTGTGGAGGGGCCAGTCATCCTCTAACAAGATGATTTATAAAGGAAAACATTCCTGCTGAAGAAAACTTTAACAGATAGAAAACAAGAAAAGAGTTTAGAAAATCTGTGAGTGAAGGTTTATAAATTGTCAAGGGTGACTTATTTGTTTCCTTAGTGTTGAAATGACTGGGTATATCTGGCCACTGGTAAATGATATTGAGCTTGAATGCAGCAATTAATGTTTTCTCTACAGGAGATCAAAGAAATGGTTGCCTATTGATGAGAATTTATATCTTATTTTTAGCAGCAAGGTACCATAATTAAAATACATTTTTGTTTGCTAACAAAGTAATCCAAAAGAAATTCACTATTAAACATCATTAATTATTCAAAATCAACGCAGGTTGTTAAGTGCCAAAATCAACAATAGGTTTGCTAAGTGCCTGCTGTATGCCAGTTGGCATGCTTAGTGTTTTTAAACATTGTCTTGTAGAAGGCAGAGTGAATTATGAAACATACATCAACAAAACAGATATTTTAGTGCACTCAGCCCTTATTTATGTATAGATGTAGACTAGTTTCTCCTTTCCACTTACATCATTAACAGCAATTTATTCTTTACTATGAAATGAAGGTCAATAATAAATATTTAAGAGGGATTGTATCTGGTGTCATCAGACTTTTTGTCTTTCTTCTCCTATATGCACCACGAGCGTTTCCTAGAAGGCAGCCCAGGGTAATGCGTGATTGAGTTAGGATGGTCTTTGTATAACAGGTTAAATGGTGAGGATATTCATAGGTCAAATGTTTTGAAGCTGAATTCATTTTAAGGCAACATACTGGTTGTTGAGAGGTCCCAAGGTCAGGCAAAAGTACCTTAATCATATAACTAACAGGGGATTAAAAAGAAAGAAAGAAACAGTACCATGACGAAAAGCAGTGAACGTGTCCACTCTCCCAGCTTCTCGTGGAGATTGATGGTCCAGGAAGGGAACTGCTTTATGTTATCTTGGCCCTGTCAGTGTCTACGTCCCCCTTCTCATACCACATGCCTCAGGCCTGGGGAGGAGACTGGTTTGGAAGGATCTTGAACTTGTCAAAACCATTTTTTCTCATCAGTAGCTGCACTGGTGTGTCAAATGCGAGGCATAGGCCTCACTGTAAAGGGTTGCCCACACTCGACCCACTCACAGTTTGCATGGAAACATTCCCCTGTGCCCCTGAGTGATTCCAAATCTCTGCCAGGAGAGCCACGCTGTCTAGAAGCAAGCCTGTAACCATCTGAGGAGCCTGCAGAGGCCACCAGGGGTGCATTCTTTGGCTCCGTGCTCAGTGTCTCTCTGACAGCAGTTTTCTTGCCTGTGCAGAGCTCAGGGCAAAGTGCTAGACTTCTGTTCCACTGAGCAGTCCTCCTCCTCCTATTTACAGTAAACTTGACTTATTTTCTTAAACACATGAAGACTTGACCTGATTTCTCCAGCACCTTTCATCCCCTTTTTGTCGTCTCAGACTCCTTGCTCCTCACCACTCTTCAGGCTCCACAGTTTGGTTTTAACAGAGCTCAGTTTGGTTCATGAGTATCCCGTGCCATTGCATTTCACTTCCAGGCATACATTCTTACCAGAGGTGGGCGATGTCACCCTCACTCATGGTATTGTTAACGTCAAGTGAAAGACGAAGTCTACATACCAAGTTGTTGAAATTCGTAGAACCATAATGAAGGAGACATGAGGAATGTGTCAAGAATCCTCTTTGAACTTTATTTTATGCCTCTTAACATAAGTCAGAATATCACAAAGAACAAAACTCATAGTCAAGGAGCCCTGTCGTACCTCCTGGCTGGAGCAGAAATTACCCGCATTTGATTTACTCTCTCTGTATTTAGATACTGCTCTATTTTCAAATAGGCAGTAGTTCATGCATCATGGGCTGCCAAGGCCTCAGCGGGGCAAATTCAAGAACATAGCTTGGAAGAGCCAGACTCAGAAATGCCGTAGTCATATTCCAGCCTCTCTCTTCACTGCTTTGGTTTCAGCATGGCCAGATGCAGACTTTTCTTTAGAGGTACCAAGAAAATGCCTGGCCCCATCCTCTGACCTCACAGCCCTCTTTGCTCTGATTATGATGAAGAGAAGTGCACAAGGCTAGTATTGTATCTGCCATCAATTACCTGGATGACCCTTCATTTTATTATCTGAAAAACTGGGACAATAAGAATACTTTTCCCACGGAGTTTCCATGAGATAGTAAATGTCAACATGACAAAGAAGTGTGGGGTCAACAACTGTCTTTGTTGCCATTATTACTTCTACGTGTGTGGTTAGTAAGACTTTAGAAAACACACTCCAAAATCATCACACCTTCAGATGGGTACATCTACAGGAAGTCCAGCTTTGAAGACACAGCCATGGGTGCAGACACATTCATAAAAGAGAAGTTATGCTGCATGTCCAACAAAGCTTCACTAGGTAAGTCTCATCCCCAAATGGTCATCAATCATAGCAGTTACCTCTTTTAATCTCCACTGTGTCCTAAGCACTCTGGCACATCTTGTGAGATCTTTAAGCCATGCCCACCACCTCAGCCACAGACACAGTGAAGCCCAACTCTATGAATACCACACTGAGCTACTACCATGGGGTTTGGGCACAAACTCTTGAGTCTTCTCTAAATTTACAAGGAGAGTAACCTTGTGTACCTGCCCTGAAATTCTAAGTCAATGCCAAATAGAAAACTATAATACATGCTTATGAAGGCACTAAAATGTATTTTGCACATTGAACCTCTCTTGTCAACCTAGCTGGAAAGTCAATAGCTGCAGAGCCGTGGCAACAGAAAGATCATTCTGGTAGATCACAGCACTTGGATGACCATATGGTATCAATTCAAGTAAAGAACACTGACGAGCCCTCAAGAAAAAAAATCACATGGGCTCTCTAAAGAAATGACCATTATCACCGTCATACAGATCGTGATTAGAGTGGGAAAGCAAAGCCGTCTGTTGAGGTGCTGCCAATTCACTGCTCATGGGAACTGCGATAGAGACTTCAGTCTGTAGCGTAGGTCTAGACACAGCTTTGTAAAGTTCCAGTTGCTGTCTAAGAGTTGGTCTCATGATGGGGTAAAAACTCTCCCAGTGTCTCCATCTCCAGCGGCTCCACTGCTCAGGGGTGTGCACACTGTAGCATGTGGCTGGCTACCCCCCAAGGGTTTGCCATCACTTTTGTGCTTTTGTTGACTGTGACATGTGACAGGCCTCTGCCTGCAGGTGCACCTCTTAATGGTTGAGCTCTCTTCTGCACAGTCCTACTGAGTGCTGGACTATAGGAGCTGAAGCATCTCCTCTATGCCACTCTTGCTTTCTTTTGTGTGTCAAGAAGAGCAGTTCCTTGTATGGCTGGCATCTGTCCCCAGAGTGTTCTTGCTGGAGTGGTTGGCAGATGACTTCACTGCCCAAGTGCTTTCGGCATGGCCATTCACAGTGGTCTGTGGCGGACCGCCCTTCCTCTCCATGTGGCCCTCTTGGGTTGGCCAAGGGTCCTTCAGCGAGGCAGTACCTGGTGGACATGTTCTCCTGGTCATTTCTTTCTGTGGATCACTACGGGAAAATTCCATCCATGGCTTCCCTCACACTGAAGCTACAAACTGTTGTTTTGAAAGTAAACAAACCAAAAAAATGAATAGTAAATACAAACTATTCCTTTGCTTGTTGGTTTGTTTTTGAATTTGTGCTCTGAGGAGAAAAATGTTCCTGGAAGCAGCATGAATGATGAAGAAGGGGCAAAATGAGTCAAAAAACATTCTCTAACCCTCCCACCCACTCCCATGCTTGTTTAGGGCATTCTTGCACTGCTATAAAGAAATACCTGAGGATGGGTAATGGATAAGAAAAGAGTTTGATTGGCTTATTGTTGTGCAGGTTGTACAGGAAGCAGAGTGCTGGTATCTGCTTCTGCAGAGCCTCAGGAATCTTCAAGTCATGACAGGAGGCAAAGTGGGAGCAGGCAGGTCACATGTCAAAGTCAGGAGCAAGAAACAGAGTGAGGCAGAGGTGCCACACACTTTTAAATGTCCAGATCTTTTGTGAACTCAAAATGAGAACTCAATTATCACCAAAGGGATGGCCCAAACCATTCATGAAGGATCAGCCCCCATGATCCATATACTTCCACTCAGGCTCCACCTTCAAGACTGGGGATGAAAATTCCACTTGAGATTTGGTGGGAATAAATAGCCACACTCTATCACCTGTTTAGTGCTTCCAGTGGGGGTTGTGGTTTTGGTTTCGCCTTAATTTTGCACCCCTGAACCAAACATAGTGCCAATCACAAATAAAGTGTTCACTGTATGTAAAACAGAAGTATTATTATTTCATCCAGTATAATTTGTTAATTTTTTTCATGTGTAAATTATTTTCTGGTGGTAATATTCACTTTGGAAGTTCCACCAACATATGCAAGGGAATGCGATGTTTTTGGTGTATAAATTGCCAACCAACTTAAACCTAAAGTACTCAACTTACTAAAGTTCAACTTAGACATTGGGAACGGCAACTTCTTAAGACAAGATAAAGAAATGATGGGAAAGGAAGATGAGACTCACAAGAAAGTTGCATTTTGTGACTCCAGTGGCCTCTCTCCTTGTGCATAACTGCAGGCTGCGCATTTGAGATATTGTTTAACCCTTTCAGCCATGCTGTTGCCAAGGAGGTCCCATCTTCACTTTCAGATGAGAAAAGGTGCTGACATTAAGTAATCTAACTTGTGGGGCATGTGCTAAGTGGCACAGCCCAATTCCAAAACACACCTCATCATTGCTGGCTTTTCAAGGAATGTATAAAATATAACAAATATGTGTCTAAGAATGGATTCCCACTTCTAGCTGAAATCCAGTACTGACCAGGATATATTTAACAACAGTAATCTAATATAAATAGCACCAAAAACTATGCTGAACATCAATACATTGCAGAAACTTAAGAAACAGCTTCCATTAGCAACAGAGGCACTCTGGGGTGCAAGCTAGAAGGGACGGTGTTAGAGAAAGAGAGGAGCAAAATGAGCACAATTCGAAGAGGATTCTGTTGCAGTCCTGGAACATTTGTTCATTTAACAGACACTTGTGGAGTATAATCGAGTGCAAGCCACATTATTAACACGGAGGATACATCAATTAGCGATGAAGACAGAAATCTCTGTCCACAATAATCTTACATTCTAGTGGGGAAGATGGAGGTGAAACAAGATCTATAAATAATGATCTATTCATTTCGTGCATTAGGCTACTCAAGCTGCCATAACAAAATACCATCAATTGGGTGGCTGAAACCACAGAAATTTATTTTCTCACATTTCTGGAGGCTAAAAGTCCAAGATCAATGTATCATCAGAGTTTGGGTGCTGACGAGGTCCCTCCTTTTGGCTTGCAGATAGCCGTCTTCTCCATCTGTCATCACTTCGGTGTGTACGTGTAGAGACAGGGAGCTCTCTGGGGTCCCTTCTTATCAGGACCTTACCTAATCTGATAGAACTGGTGCTCTTATAAGATCAGAACATTTAACCTTAATTACTTATGACCTAATTCAACCTTAACTACTTCCTTGGAGGCCTTATCTCTCTATATAGCCATACTGGGGATGAGGGCTTCAACATATTAAATCTGGGGGAACATAAACATTCAGTCCATAACATTCACTAATTGTAAAAATTTGAACAGGAGTTGATTAGAATCTAGGGACTGTCAAGTAGAGAAAATTGTTGAGTAGAGAAGATTGATGTTTTAGACAGATGACTTAATGGGCATGTTAGCTATTTATCTTCTTTTTTTTATTGTAATTACTGTATAAAGTTATCAGAAAACAAAATCCCATCACCTATGCCCCTTATTTTTGCATGTTTATTATAAAAGTCTCAAAATCTCAAGGTCGAACTATAGCTTCATATCTTTTGTAAAATATTACTTGATCATCTTGTCACATCAAACCAAGACCATATGAGAAATTCTTTCTTGAGTTTGCTTCCAGGAGAAAATAACGTTTTGAGGAAACATTTGGCATTGCTGTCTTTTGTTAGAATAAGACAACGACATATCCCAATGTCTTTTTTTAAAAAAAACCAGCTCTGAAATAGTAAGAGAAAGTCCTTTACCCAATGCTAAAACCTGAGTAACTCTAGGGATGAGAAAAATCTCATTCTTTTGCTTAACATCTCGAATACAAGCCCCACTAGCAGTAGAAAGAGGATTGAAGCCATGGCCAAACTTCTTGGTGTATTTGCTTTTACATTTACCTTTTACTTATGGCAAGTGATACCTCTTTTGCTTTATTAAGTTGTGAATGCTAATCCATACATCACCCTAATCTTTTGGCAAACAGGTAAAAAACAAATCAAAGTTTTGCAATAATCCATGTATTCATCCTTCATCCATCATCTTTCCATTTCTCTAAATTTCTATGCATGGAGCAGAACACAGTTTCTCCTCTCTGCCTCTCCTCCCTTGGCCTGCACACACACACACACACACACACACACACCCCTGCACCTGCCGAGATAAGGTAAATGTGAGCACCTTTGGAAAGATGCAGGAAAGAGCTGGAGACCACACCAGGAGCCTGGCATTCCTCCTGGTGTTTGCTGTTCTGAAACAGACCTGGTTAGCTTATTGCAGTCACTAAAAGTAGGATCTGTTTAGGCTTCAGGAGTTATGTTTGTCTTATAGAGACTGTGTCCTGGGGCAGGGCTGGGACAAGTGCTATTCCTCAGCTGCCTGCCCTTTCTCAGAGGACTGGGAATCTCTCTTCAAAAGGGAAATGCAGAAATCCACCTGAAACCAAACAACTGACTTCCTGTTCACAGGCAAGATGGAGTCGGGCTTACTCTTAGGAGCATTGGATTGGGAGCTTAGGAAGGACAGACCTGTGGGGGAGGAGTGACGTCCCATGTAACTCCCCAGCACTCAGTCTCAGGCTCTGCAATGGAGCTGGGCTGCCAGTCCCCAGATTGTCTAGGATTTAGGCTTCATTTTTCCAAGATGAACATGCCTTCTCATTTTTCTAACATCTAGAGCACAGGTAAGGACTTGCATGATGATGTCCACGTAAACAAAAATGGTAAGAAGCATAAAATCCATACAATCTATAGGGAGAGAGAAGCCACATCTCCAAGGGAGCAGGTAACTAATATTCAAGACAAAGATCACTGGATGTGGTACCTGGAGTCAGCTAAGTCCACAGTGACCAACCTGTCCTCTTGTCCATCAGCACAGTGTCCAACCTGTCCTCTTGTCCATCAGCACAGCTCTTCCCTCCTGGGAGAGACTAGAAGACACTCAGCTCCTTCCAGCTCTCAGCTTCAGCGGTCTTGTTCAGAGATGCCCTCTCTCTGTAGAACAGCAGCAGCAACAACAAGGAGAACAAATGATAGAGAAGAAGAAGAGAAAGCAGGAGGAAGAAGAGGAGGAGGAGAAAAAAAGAAAAGAAAAAAAGGAGTCCAGGAGACCATGATTAAAATGTTAAAAAATTAATAAAATTATACGGGTTTTAAAAGAAAGCATGTTTGGAATTTATTTATTTTACAATTTTAGGGTGGAATAGGCTCTTCTCAGTAAAGCATAAAACCTAGAAGCCAACTTAGTCATGTCAACCTGGAAAATCCTCTGTAGAAAACAATCACAAAAACAAAATCGAATGACCAACAAATAACTCGGAAATGCATTTGTAACATACATGTCAGAAAAATGAGTATTCTGCAAGATCACTTAGCACAGAGAGCTTTCAGCTAGGGACTTACTCTGTTCCAGGCTTTGTGAACAATTTAAATATGTGATAGAAACAAAAATTGATATCGAGTCCTGAATCCAGGTAAACATTGAATGAAGTCCAAGGATTGTGGTAATCACAGTTTCACAAAATAAACTAACAGTTATAATTCTTGGGAAAAAAATTACCTAGTATCAAAATAATAATATTTTAAATATAACAATACAGAACTAAAATCCCTGAGCATTAAAGGAAAGGCAGTAAGGTGGAGATGGGAAATAACCTTGGTGAGAAGTTGCAGGGTGCTATTATCCTTATCTTGCTCAGGTTGTTAACAGGCACTGTGCTCCGTGCTGGATCAGTTGGGAACTGCAAGCACAGTTCTTGGAGGGTGAATCACAACCCATAGCGTCACTGCCCATATTTTACTAAAGCCAGCTGGTGATCGGCAGGCCAGCAGTGCCTGACTGCCAAGAGCCCCGCACTTGGATACTCTTTGTTGTGTCTGGAGCCATCATGGGCGGGTTCCCGCCTGGTTCCTCCAGGCCTGGAAGCTCCACTTTCCTGTATCCCTGGGTATCTGTGTCTTTCTGGTCTGTGCCTCCCTCCTGCCTGGCAGGGGTGGTTACAGGGAAATCCCAACCTTCCTGGAACCACCTTCACTGGGTTCCTAAGAGAGGTCTGCAGAAGCCTGCACTCTGAGTGCCACACAGCCTTGCCTCTGTTCTGGGTCCACAGTTTATTCTTGTTCTGAAACCTGGCCATGCTTATACACAAATCAAAAAGAAAAAGATATGGCCAGGCACGGTATAGCACACACCTGTAATCTCAGCACTTTGGGAGGCCAAAGCAGGAGGGTCTTTTGAGGTCAGGAGTTCCAGACCAGCCTGGGCAACATAATGAGACCCCATCTATAAAAATAATAATAATAAAATTTATCTTGTTAATTTTTAAGTGAACCTTGTAGGAAAAACTTTTCCTAAGTGAATAAACTAAGTAAAATTCAACAAGACTCCTACAGCTAGCAAATCATATCTGGGGGTAAGTATGCAGATCTTTTTATTTCCTGTTCAACATCTCTCTTCCCTTGGTTAGGTCATGCAGAGAGGCATGTTCTATATCATCAGCCCTCTACTAGATTTGTCTGCTGGATGGGACCAGCCAGGCCCACTCATTTCTACTTGTGTATTAAAAGTTATCTGTGGATGCTTTTGTTTTCCTTTTCTAATAAAAGAATAGAGTTTAGAATATGTTCTATAATCTAGGAAACATTTATTATCTATTAAGCGAAAAAACATTGATGCCATCACTGTCCTCACAAACTAAAGTCATTGGGAAAACATAATGGAAATGCAATAGCTATAGATTCTCTTCAAGTTAAGTTTTAGGAGCATAACTATTACTAAATAAAATTGGTGACATTCCAATTGATCTAAGTTGTTTTACTTACAAATTCATAACTAAATATTAACTATAGTTCAGAACTTAATTTTCATCATTATAATAGATGACAACTTATAGTAATAAATAGTTTAGATATCTTAATATCTAAATTTAATAACTTAGATAATTGCTCATAATTGAAAGTTTTGTTTGCTTGTTTTTCTAAACTCTAGCGTATTCCTAGACAAGACGTCGTAAACCAACTCATTGTCTCTGTCCATTGCCTATCTACCACATGAGGTGTAGGTACTCATCATGCCCAGGGTATGACTTCAACTTGGAAAACACCAGCAGGATGGACTCATTAGATCTTTAAGAGGAAGTACATGTAGCCAGAGAAGTGATAAGAAAGCAGAAACCAGCTATTGTAAAAAGGGTTCAGTTCTTGATTTAATTCCCAGCTTGGTCGCTGTTGGTTTATAGAAGAGTTACTGATTTGTGTACATTAATTTTGTATCTGGAAACTTTGTTGAATTATTTTATCCGTTCAAGAAGCTTTCTGGAGGAGACTTTGGGGTTTTCTAGGTAAACAATCATATCATCAGCTAAGTATGACAATTTGACTTCCTCTTTACCAATCTGGATGCCCTTTATTTCTTTGTCTTCTCTGATTGCTCTACCTTAGACCTCCAGTACCATGTGAAAAAAAGCGGTGAGAGTGGGCATCTTTATCTTGTTTCAGTTCTCATGGGGAATGCTTTCAACTTTTTCCCATTCAGTACTATGTTGGCTGTGGGTTTGTCATAGATGGCTTTTATTACATTGAGGTATGTCCCTTGTCTGCCAATTTTGCTGAGAGTTTCAATCATAAAGAGATGCTGGATTTTGTTGAATGCTTTTTCTGCATCTGTTGAGATGATAATGTGATTTTTATTTTTAATTCTGTTTATGTGGTGTATCACATTTATTGACTTGCATATGTTAAACCATCTCTGCATTCCTGTTATGAAACCCACTTGATTGTGGTGGATTATCTTTTTGATATGTTGTTGGATTTGGTGAGCTAGTATTTTGTTGAGGATTTTTGCATCTATGTTAATCAGGGATATTGGTCTGTAGTTTTCTTTTTTAATTATGTCCTTTCTTGGCTTTGGTATTAGAGTGATACTGGCTTCATAGAATGATTTATGAAGGATTCCCTCTTTATTTTGTAGAATAGTGTCAATAGGATTGGTACCAATTCTTTGAATATCTGGTAGAATTCAGCTGTCCATCTGTCTGGTCCTGGATTTTTTTTTGTTGGTAACTTTTTAATTACCATTTCTATCTTGCTGCTTATTATCGGTCTGTTTAGTGTATCTAATTCTTCCTGATTTCAGATAGGAGGGTTGTATCTTTCCAGGTATTTATCCATCTCCTCTAGGTTTTCTAGTTTATGCATGTAAAGATGTTCATAGTAGCCTTGAATGACCTTTTGTATTTCTGTGGTGTCAGTTGTAATATCTCCTGTTTCATTTCCAATTGAACTTATTGGGATTTTCTCTCTTCTTTTCTTGGTTAATCTTGCTAATGGCCTATCAATTTTATTTATCTTTTCAAAGAGACAGCTTGCTTTTTGTTTCATTTATCTTTTGTATTTTTTTTCTCAATTGTATTTAATTCTACTCTGATCTTGGTTATTTCCTTTCTTCTAGGTTTGGGTTTGGTAACTGAGGAGGTAAAAGACCTCTGCAAGAAAAACTACAAAACACTGCTGAAATAAATCATAGATGACACAAACAAATGAAAACATAAACATATCCCATGCTCATGGATGGGTAGAATCAATATTGTGAAAATGACCATACTGCCGAAAGCAATCTACAAATTCAATGCAATTTCCATCAAAATACCACCATCATTCTTCAAAAAACTAGAAAAAGCAATCCTAAAATTCTTATGGAACCAAAAGGAGCCCACATAGCCAAAGCAAGACTAAGAAAAAATAACAAATATTGAGGCATCACATTACCTGATTTCAAACTATGCTATAAGGCAATAGTCACCAAAACAGCATGGTACTAGTATAAAAATAGGCCCATAGACCAATGGAACAGAATAGAGAATCCAGAAATAAACCCAAATACTTATAGCCAACTGACTTCAACAAAGCAAACAAAAACATGAAGTGGGGAAAGGACATCCTATTCAACAAATGGTTCTGGACTAATTGGTAAGTCACACATAGAAGAATGAAACTGGATTCTCATCTGTCACGTTATACAAAAATCAACTCAAGATGGATCAAAGACTTAAATCTAAGACCTGAAACTATAAAAATTCTAATTCTAGAAAACAACATTGGGAAAACCCTTTTAGACTTTGGCTTAGGAAAGAATTTTGTAACTAAGAACTGAAAAGCAAATGCAATTAGAAACAAAGATAAATAGCTAGGACTTAATTAAACTAAAGAGCTTTTGCATGGCAAAAGAACAATCAGCAGAGTAAACAGACAATCCACAGAGTAAGGGAAAATATTCACAATCTATACATTTGACAGAGGACTAATATCCAAAATATACAACAAAGTCAAACAAATTAACAAGAAAAAAAAATAATCAGAACAAAAAGGGGGCTAAGGACATGAATAGACAATTCTCAAAAGAAAATATACAAATGGCCAACAAACATATTAAAAATGCTTAACAACACTAGTGATCAGGGAAATGCAAATCAAAACCACAATGTGATACACCTTATTCCTGTAAGAACGACCATAATCAAAATATCAAAAAATAATAGATGTTGGCATGGATAAGGTGAACAAGGAACACTTCTACACTGCTGGTAGGAATGTAAACCAATACAACTACTATAGAAAACAGTGTGGAGATTCCTTAAAGAACCACAAGTAGAACTACCATTTGATCCCAATACTGGATAGCTACACAGAAGTAAAAAAAAAAATCATTGTGCAAAAAATACTAGCACATGCTTGTTTATAGCAGCACAATTTGCAGTGGCAAAAATGCGAAACCAACCCACACTCCCATCAATCAATGAGTGGATAAAAAAACTGTGATACACACACACACAAACGCACACATATATATTATATATATATTATATATATTTATATATATATTATATAATATATATATTTGAATACTCCTGAGCCATAAAAAGGAATGAATTAATGTCATTTGCAGCAACCTGGATGAGATTGGAGATTATTATTCTAAGTGAAGTAACACTAGAATGGAAAACCAAACATTGTATGTTCTCACTCATAAGTGGGAGCTAAGCTATGAGGATGCCAAGGAATAAGAATGACACAATGGACTTTGGGGACTCAGGGGGAAAGGGTGGGAAAGGGGTGAGAGATAAAAGACTACAAACTGGTTGCAGTGAATACTGCTCGGGTGATGGATGCACCAAAATCTCACAAATAATCATGAAATAACTTACTCATGTATCCAAACACCACCTGTTCCCCAATAACCCATGGAAATAAAACAAAATAACCTATGGAAATAAAAGAAAAGCAGAAACCAAACCAATCTTCCCCTTCCTCAGAGAGAAATAAAGGTATTTTGACTGACATTGTTCATTCTCCCACCCATTTTTATCTTTTGTTTTTCAAAATGGGTTTATAAGAAGAACGTGGAGGAGGAAGAGGAGAAGGACAAGGGGAAATTATGAATGTATTCCATGAACCTTTCTGTCTGAGAAGTTTCTTAACCTTTGCAGTGACATTCAACTGTAGTAGTTTCATACTTCAGTATCCACAGTGTCCTTGTGGAAGGCATTTCCCATTCCAAGAGGCCAAGAGTACACACAGTGTTTGCATGGAGACCTGGCATAGCAAGCACAGGCTAATATACTGTTTCTCTTATCAACATATTCCAGTCTCTGGCACCATGGAAAGGGTGCCAAATTCCCACAGGTCACCTTACTCGTATTCACTGGAGCTGTCTCTCCCACTAAACCTAATGCATTTGTAGGTCTGCACAGCTTGTAGCCAGAGCCAAAGAAATTTACTGTAAAGAAATTTGTGCAAAGTTGCCTTTGTTCTAGGAATCTTTGATTCTCTAAGCAACTTGAGTGATTCTGATGGGAGTGAAATGGTCATGATTAGTTTTTACTCCTTTCTGAGTGTCCAAAAAGCAAAGCAAAGCTCTTCCACTGACAACTGTTCAATTGCTTCTCACTCATTTACCTCCCTCTTCTCTCCACGTACCTCCTCCTCCTACTCATTATCCTCCTCTTCCTTTTTCTCCCTCTCATGCCAAAAGCAATGGATAAAAAGCTACCCCTTATTAAATACAAATGAAACAACTAAAGAAGGTACTCAAATTTCTGTCTTTAGCCAGTTTCACTTAACTCAATAATATATGTACATATTTTACGTAGGGTTTGTCAGAAAAGCGGCACCACCTGTTTTTTAATTATTCATTTTTTCCATAGTTAAAATGGTTACTACAAAGAGAAATTTCCCCAAAGTTATTATTAGCTAATGAAATAAAATAACAAAACAATGTATATAAAAAAAATTCAGAAATTCTGGTTGGAAGAGATTGTTTACAATATGTGTTGATTTGTTAACTTAAAACAAATGTATAAATTAAGAAGAAAAGTAGGGGAGGCTTTATTTGAGTGAAGGGTTACAGTCCGCAAGGTGGCCCTCCCATGGGCTGGGAAGCACAGCCTCCGGTCACAACCAGACACAGGCATGTGGAAGGAGTAGAGGCTGGGGTAGAAGCTTTATGCTGAATAGGTTGGCTAAACATTCATATTTAACAGGTGACAGGAGGAGCTATGAATATTCATGAAGGAAGTCCTGACACATATGTGTTGAGCAAACATGCATGTAACATTATGAGTCATGTTCACTTCGGGTGGAGAAGTAACATTTAAATATATTACAGTTAGGCCCTACACATCAAAAGGTCTATTCAGGACATGAAGGCACGCAAGTGCTCAATCTCTGTAAATGGGCCAGAACCAGTCCCTGGCCAGTGGTCTTCTTATCAGGAGGAAGTTATTGAAATCAGTCTCTTGTCCAGTGAATGCTGCAGTTAATGGCTGGTGGAGCAGGGGCAAGGGGTCAGTCAGTCAGTGTCGGGTGGAGCTGCAAATTGTTTTAATCTTGCTAATCCCAAGGCTAGTTCTTGTTTAGCTGCTAGAGAAAAAGAAAAACTTGGGCCATTAGAGCAACATTTATTCTTCAAGGGTAGGCCTGCAAAACTTAACCCTTGCCTGGCATGGCCTTAAGTCCTGCTGATAATTTGGTATCTTATTGCTGCAAAGAGTCTGCTCTGTCAGTCTGAGGATCTCAGTTTTAACATTAATGATGGTCAGTTGTTGTGTCAAAACCATACAAGGTAGGGGGTATAACAATGTGTGTCTGACCTCCCATCCTGTCATGGCAGAAACAAAGTTGTAAGGTTTTTCTGGAGTTGCCCTGGCCTAGTGGGGTTCTCCTCAGTTGGCGGGGGGGATTGTGGGGCTTAGGATTTTATTTTTAGTTTACAGATCCCACAAAACAAAATGACTCCGAAACACTAGGAAAATAAATGAAATTCCAATTTTAATGGGCAGGGTTTTGAAAGATGGCTATTGATTTATTAAGATGAACTGAGAAAGAAAATTACATTAAAAACACAAAATCACTTATATTTTAGCATTTTCCTGATTTAAAACATTTTATGGTAAAAATACATGCAACTTCTGAGAGCAGAATGTTCTTCTCAGATATGCAATTATTGTTAGAAATGTCCCTTGGAGTAAGGGGATGGGATTGAGATTACAGCTGTTTTATAAACACTCCTTTCTGTAATAATTGGCTGAAAGAGAAAGGTGAACTTTGGCTCAGGTAGAGGGAGGAGCTGGTGCTTCCCATGGTCTTCATTGTCTCCTTAATTCCACGGAAGACAGAAAAGGGCCACTCATTACTCACACAAAGTAATAGGTGGAAAGCCAGACTCAACTATGGCACAGAGTAAATCTATTTTCCTTTCTTTTCTCCAAAACTTCTACTTAAAGTATGGCGAAATTGCAGAGAAATTCATGACATCTAAAGTCTTTTCTAGTTAGTGAGAGATTTTGTTTCTTTTTCTTTTTCTCTTTTTTTCTTCTTTTTGAGAGAGAATTTTGCTCTGTCACTGAGGTTGGAGTGCAATGGCGCAATCTCGGCTCACCGCAACCTCCGCCTCCTGGGTTCAAGCAATTCTTCTGCATCAGCCTCCCAGGTAGTTGGGATTACAGGCATGTGCCACCACACCTGTCTAATTTTTGTATTTTTAGTAGAGATAGGGGTTCACCATGTTGGCCAGGCTGGTCTCAAACTCCTGATGTCAGGCGATCTGCCCACCTCAGCCTCCCAAAGTGCTGGGATTACAGGCATGAGCCACCGTGCCCGGCCCAGTGAGAGATTTTAAGTGGACAAAGAGAGTGTCACTTTTTAGTCTTCACCCTGACTGACTGGTGGGTGCGTGTATCCTGGCCAAGAACAAACTCCTCCCAAAGAAAGGCCAGTTCACTTCTATACTTTGAAACTCACTAACATTAAATGGAGCACTGGAATAAAGTGCAAGATTAGCATGGTTGCTTATAAAGAGACTAATAAATCAACCTTAACGTTTAAGAGCTAATATTGCATTCCTGCATTTGGCTCAGTAGTTCACAGAATGAAATGTACCTATTGATCTCGAGATCAACTTCACGTCATTTCATTTAAAAATGTGTGTGTGTATAAATCTGCACATATCTATGCATTAAGAAACAGGGATACACAGGCAAACATACATGCGGCCATATGTCTAGGCAGCATCTATTTATATATTCCTCACTTCCCTGCATTGGAACATTCATTTCTTAAAGTGATCCTTCGAGAACTTTCAGTTTAATTGCTCTCTCCAGCAAAGGGTGTTATACAGTCTGAAGTGGCAGGTGGGTAATAAGCTAATAAAACACATTCTCCAGTCTTCAAGTTTAAAAGCTTTATACAAAATGAAGTAACTGCTTTTATTTTGTATTATGACATTTGTTTTTGAGTGGACAGTTTGGACTTCCATATCGACAGAGGCCTGACCTAAGGCAACCTCATTTGACAGACATGAATGACAAGACCTCAAGAAGCCAGGCAGGCCTGGGGATTTACTGCCGTGGTTAGACCGTTATTTCTCTAAAGACTCACCTAATCTTACAGTAGAAGAAATGCATTTCTTGGGTCACAAGGGAATAGCCTCATTGAAAGAGGGTAGCTCTTGTATTAAAATGGTACAAACTTTCAGGTGTTAAAGGCCTGAATAATATCTCAAGTGCTGCTAATTAAATTCCCCCTCTAAAAGATTCCAGAGTTTTCTGTGATTGGTCTTCAGATGAACAATTGGGACACTAATGTTGAATGTCTTTGACACTCCCTCCGGTAAGCATTGTCAATAAAGTCCTGTTCACAGTATTACTTCAACCTGGTGTCTCAAGACATTCTCTTCATCTTGTAAGCTGTATTTATCCCTCCTTATGGAATTGAGCCAGTCAGGATCAATTATACAGAGAATGCAAATAAATTAAATGGCGGGGTTGAAGATGCACTCACTGTTAATCTTTATTTCCTTCCACTAAGAGATGCGTTTGCAATGAAATGTTGCAAGGAAAGAGAAGAGCAGAGAAAGAAGGGACAGACATGGGAGGGCCAAATGGTGAGGCTGGGGACAAGGCCTCTGCTCCTCTAGAACTTGAAGAGAGGGCAGGAAGCTGCGGTTGCCTGTCTGCAGAGCCCTGCACCTGCTGAAACCTGGATGTAGGAACAGGAACAAGGTACAGCTTGTCACAGTCGCTGATGGGATGTCAGCCACCCCGGAATGCAGGGCTGCCTTCCTCCCAGTCTCCTCTCTGGCATCTCTTTAGAAGTGTGAGATGTGAATTTTTGGTCACCAACTAAACCCGAGGATCCATGAGGTTGTTGAGATGTGTAAGATGGTAGTCTGGTTGCACTGTGATTTTCTTATTTTAGGGACTCTCCACACATTCGAAGGTGACTACTTTATGATTACATTCACATGCAATGCTTTAAAAACCCCTCTTGATTCTCTCTGGATTCACCTTTTCCTAGGGGTGGCAGGTTAAGCCAACCCTGCAGCTAGCACAAAGACCACTAGGATGCCCAGAAAATGAATGCTCCATCCTGCTTTAAAAGTGGCCATTTTGAAGCTTTTTACTGAAGTTGTAGGATCATCAGAGAGGAATAATCCACTCTTGAAATTACATAAATTAATTGCCATAAGAACGTATGTTGGACATAAGGCTGCATATCCCAGGAGTGGTATTTGACATCTCATACTTGCTTTAAACTGCTTTAAAAAGTAGACATAATTTCTAGCTTTCCTGTGTTTACTGAAACAATCCCAGGGAAGTCTGATTTCTGGAGTGCATTGGCTAGTTACATAAGGTTGAAGGCTGTCTCCTTGATTGGCACTTCTATACAAAAAATAGCCATTTTCTTTGCAAAACAATCCTGAGAAGTCTCACAGCTAGGATGTACGATGCTGAGGCTATTTTTGGAAGCAAAAAATAGTGGAAGAGTGACTAACTCCATATGTATCATCATGGCTTGCATTAAGGGAGACCTGAGCCCAGGTGCCTTGACATCGAGTATGGCACATGACACACTTGGCATATGCTAATGGCCTGGGTTTATAGGCCACAGCTGAAATCCATACCTTAGCACACCCTTCATTATTTTACCATGATCACAGTATTTAACAAAACTAGATGATAGAACCCATTGTAACAGCAGATATTGGTACTTTTCAATATATTAAGATGGGAGGAAAAAACAAAACAAAACTATGACATCTTTGAAATGCCAGCGATATTTACATTTGAAAACAGTGTGTCCTGTAGCTGCTTCCCACAGCACAGCAGCTAACAGCAAATGAATTCCAGGCCATTCGGAGCTCCTTTGATTGACAGTGTAAAGGCTTTGGAACCGTTATAATGTCAGAAAAGACAGTGTCTTCCCTCCCCTCTCCACACACAGTTTAGGGTTTTGTCAGATTTCTCATAATTAACCCTGATATTTGACGTTTAATATCGTGGCCATTCACGATCACGTTCAGTTACTAGTATCAGGCAGACAAGCATTCAGGATTTATGCAAATTTTTCAAGGATACTGCCAGACACTTTTCAAAATTTAGAATGGACTGGCAAAAAAAAAAAGGCTTAGATTAATTTTTTTTGAGTCATTTTCTGATTTCAGAAGGAGTCTAATGTGCTCTGTAACCAACATAGTGTGACATGAGTATCTTCAAGTGTTCACTCCTATCATGCTATTCTACACAAAAATTTCAAGAAACTGGGGATAATTCTCCAAAACAATAGAACTAATCTTCTAAACTCTATAACAGTGCAGCAAAGAAAGTGTTACGGTGAGAGAGAAAATTCCAGTTCTAAAATGTTTTGATGGTCTATCTCCAAGTTACAGATTCAGAACCTATGGAGCAACAATATCTGTCCACTGATTTGTTTAACCTTTAGTTAAGTACAGACTTACTAAAAATAAATCAAGGCGCTGTAACTGTGTTAGATTGCTTGCCCCATACACACAGCAAGTCAGTACGCTGAGACATCAGGTTGCAGCAGAGAAAGAGGTTTAATCATAGGGCCACCAAAGGATGAAATGAGAGGAAACTCCAAATTCATCTCCCCAAGGAATGTGGAGTTAGGGGGCTTAGGGGTTTTGAAGTGCGCCAGAGTGTAGAGATGTTGACTGGTTGAAGAGTGCAGGACGAAATCGTGGGACAAGGAGAGAATTTAGTTGCCTACTCATTCTGATCCCATTCTTCGGTGGGGGCTCTGCAAACTGGTTGCTGGAATTTCAGGTCAGAAACACAGCTTAGATGATCCTTAAACAAAAGCCTTATGATTCTAACGTCAGAGATCCTTTCTATAGGGGATCCAAATGGTGGGTATCTAGTGCTTTGTGACTTTTAGCAACAAGAAAGAGGGTAAAAGTGTAGCCTCTTTAAAGCTTAATTATAACTATATTTCTGACCAGAACCCACCATGCAACTCTTTCTTTTTAAATTAACGTTTTGTTTTTATTTTTTGTGGGTAGACAGTAGATGTCTATATTTATGGGTTATATGAGATAATTTGATACATGCATACAATGAGTAATAATCACATCACGATAAATGTGGTGTCCGCCACTCAAACGTTTATCCTTTGTGTTAAAGACAATTCAATTATACTCTCTTAGTTATTTTTAAAAGTACAATTAAATTATATTTTTACTATAGTCACCCTTTTGTGTTGTTGATTTTCTGTCTGAAAGATCTGTCTAGTGCTAAAAGTGGGGTGTTGAAGTCTTCAGCTGTTATTGTGTTGGGGTCAATCTCTCTCTTTCATAATATTTTCTTTATACATCTGGGTGCTCCAATGTTGGGTGCATATATATTTGCATTTGTTATATCCTCTTATTAAGTTGACCCCTTTATTATTATATAATGACTTTTTAAAAAATCTTTTATAGGTTTTTGTCTCGAAATTTATTTTGTCTGATGTACGTATAGCTGTTTTGGCTCTTTTTTAGTTTCCATTGATATGGGATATCTTTTTCCATCCTTTATTTCCTTTCTATGTGTGTCTTTATAGGTGAGGTGTGTTTTCTGTAGCCAACAGATAATCAGATCTTTTTTTTTTTTGTCAATTTAGCCTCTCTATGTCTTCTTATTGCAGAGTTTAGTTTATTTACATTCAACATTATTATTGGTAAGTGAGGATTTACTCCTGTCATTTTGTTGCTTGTTTTCTGGTTGTTTTGTGGGCTTCTCTTCCTTCTTTCCTTCCTTTGTCTTCTTTTTAGTGAAAGTGATTTTCTCTGGTGGTATGATTTAATTTCCCGCTTTTTATTTTTCATGTATCCATTTTATTTTTTTTAATTTGAAGTTAACATGAGGCTTGCAATTACTGTCTTATAACCCATTATTTTAAGCTGATAACAAGTTAACACTACTTGCACAAACAAACTAACAAGCAAGAAGAAAACTAATAAAAACCATACTGTTGTCTCCCCACAACTTAACTTTTTGTTTTTTCTATTTATAACTTATTGTACTGTCTATGTCTTGAAAATTTGCTGTAGTTTTTTTTTATTGGTTTATCTTTTAGTTTTTTTTCTACTTTAGATAAGGGTATTTTACAGAGCACAGTTACAGTGTTATAATATTTTGTCTTTTTCTGTGTACTTCCTACTGCCAGTGATGCTTGTACCTTCAGACGATGTCTCATTGCTCTTTAACATCCTTTTCTTTCTGATTGAAGTACTCTCTTTAGCATTTCTTGTAGGACAGTTCTGGTGTTGATGAAATCTCCCAGCTTTAGTTTGTCTAGGAAAGTCTTCATTTCCACTTCATGTTTGAAGGATATTTTCACAGGATATACTATTCTAGGGTAAAAGCTTTTTTTTTTTTCTTCAGCACTTTAAATTAATGTTGTGCCACTCTCTCCCCACCTATAAGATTTCCACTGAAAAGTCTGTTGCCAGACATATTGAAGCTCCATTGGATATTATTTGTTTATTTTTTTCTCACTGCTTTTAGGATCCTTTCCATATTAGTCTGTTGTTGCACTATTATAAAGGAATACCTGAGACTGGACAATTTATAAAGAAAAGATGATGAATTGGCTCATGGTTCTGCAGGCGACGCAGACAGCATGGCAGCTTCTGCTTCTGGGGAGGCCTCAGGAAGCTTCCAGTCATGGCAGAAGGCAAATTGGGGAATAGGGAACTTCACATGGCTGGATCAGAAGGAAGAGAGAGATGGGGAAGATGCTACACATTGTTAAACAACCAGATCTCACAAGAACTTACTCACTGTTGTGACATAGTACCAAGGGAATAGTACTAGACCATTCATCAGAACTCCAACCCCATGATCCAATCACCTCCCACCAGGCCACCCTTCCAGTACTGGGTATTACGTTTCAACGTGAGATTTAGGTGGGGACACAGATGGGAACCATATCACTATCTTTATCCTTGACCTTTGGGAGTTTGATTTTTGAATGCCTTGAAGTAGTCATCTCTTGGTTAAATCTGCTTGGCGTTCTATAACCTTCTTGTATTTGGTTATTGATATCTTTCTCCAGGTTTGGGAAGTTCTGTTATTCTCCCTTTGAATAAAATGTCTACCCCTATCTCTTTCTCTACCTCCTCTTTAGGGCTAATACCTCTTAGATTTGCACTTTTGAAGCTATTTTCAAATCTTGTAAGCATGCTTCATTCTTTTCTATTCTTTTATTTTGTCTCCTCTGACTGTGTATTTTCAAATAGTCTGTTTTCAAGCTCACTATTTCTTTCTTTTGCTTGATCAGTTCTGCTATTTAGAGACTCCGATGCATTCTTCAGTGTGTCAATTGCATTTTTCATCTCCAGAATTTGTTTGATTCTTTTAAATTATTTTAATCATTTTGTTAAGGTTATCTGATAGAGTTCTGAATTCCTTCTCTGTGATATTCTGAATTTCTTTGAGTTTCTTCAAAAAGCTATTTTAAATTCTCTGTCTGAAAGGCCACATATCTCTGATTTTCCAGAATTGTTCCCTGGTGCTTTATTTAGCTAGCTTGGTGAGGGCATATTTTTTTGGATGATCTTGAACTTTGTTGATCTTGAACATTGTTTCTGGACAATGAAGAGTTAAGTATTTTTTGTAGTCTTCACAGTCTGGGCTGTTTTGAGCCTGTCCTTCTCAAGAGAGCTTTTCAGGTAAATTTAAGGACTTCAGTGTTGTGATCCAAGCCATATCCGCATTAGGACGCACCCAATTCCTGCAACGCTGTGGTTCTTGCAGACTTGTAGAGATATTGCCTTAGCAGTCTTGGATAAGATCTGGAAGAATTACCTGGATCACCAGGCAGAGACTCTTGTTCCCTTCCTTTATTGTCTAAAAAAAATGGAGTCTCTCTGTCTGTGCTGAGCTGCCTGGGGCTGTGGCTGTGGTAACACAAGTAACCCTATGGCCGCCACCACTGGGACTGCGCTGGTTCAGACCTGAAGCCAGAGTAGTATTGGATCTCACCCAACACCTGCTGTAACCACTGCCTGGCTAGTGCCTACATTCACTGAAGGCCCTAGAGCTCTATAATGAGCAGGTGGGGAGGCCAGCCAGGCTTGAGTTCTTCCCTTCAGGACAGCTAGTTTCCCCAGGCCCTGGACAGGTGCAGAGATGCTGTCTGGGAGATAGAGGCTGGAGTCAAAAACCTTAGAAATCTATCTAGTGTTTTAATCTACTGTGGCTGAGCTGACCCTCAAATCACAAGACGTAGTCCTTCTTCTTCTTTCCATAGGCAGAGGAGACTTACCTCATGGCAACCAGTACCACAAGCCCATGAAAATACTGCCAGGCCACTGCCAACATTTACTTAAGGCCCAAGGACTTTTTAGTCAGCTTGTGTTGAATGCCACCAGGCCTAGAACTCATCCTTCAGGGCAATGGGCCCCTCTCTCGCCCAGGGTAGGTCTAGTAATGCCATCCAATAGCTAAGGCCTGGATTTTTAGACCCCAAGATCCTGCTTGGTGCTCTACCCCCACTGTGGCTAAGCTGGCCTCTAAGGTGCGAGACAAAATCCCTTTTACTTTTCGCTCCACTTTTATCAAGCAGAAGGAGTCTTTCACTGTAACCACCACAGCTGGGAATGTTCTGGGTCTCACTGAAACCAGGAAGTCTCAGAGTTTCATGCAAGAACCAGAGCATGTAGTACCTGGTTACCACTGCTGGTTATTCAGGGCCCAATGTCTCTTTAGTTAGCAAAGTAATAAATTATGCCAGGACAAGTTCCTTCTCTTCAAAGGAGCAGGTTCCCTTCTGGCCCAGGGTGTGTCTAGAAATGTCACCCAGGAGCTAGGGCCTGGAATGGGGGCCTCCCAACTCCGATTGGTGCCTTATACTATTGTGGCTGAGCTGGTACCCAAGAGGCAAGACAAAGTCCTCTTTACTCTTCCATTTCCTCTCCCCAAGTGGAAGGAAGGAGTCTTTTGGAACCATGAGCTATGTTGCCTGAAGTTGAAGGAACGGTGGCAAAAGCACTCTCTTAGCTGACCCAGCTGGTGTCTCAGTAAGTTTTATGCCTACAAGTCCACCGGCTCTGAGCCCAGCTCAGCGCTAGGTCTTACATTGCTTGTGGTTTAGACTGCCTTTGAAGGTTATTTAGGGCCCCAGAACCCTTCAGTCCACACTGGTAAAGCTTGCTGGACTCAAGTTCCCACCACTGGGATGAGTGATTTCCCTCTGGGTAGGGCTGGCCAGAATGTTCTCTCCATGGGTGGGTGTCAGCTGAATTCAACACAGTTTTGCTTCACACTGTGACAACACAGCACTGAGTTCAATGAAAACTCTCACATTCCCTGTGCTCTCCCTTTCCCAAACACACAGACTGTCTCTCTCTGTGCCACAGGACTACTGCTGAGGGACAGGGAAGGGGTGGCATGGGCAAGTAAACACTGTCTTTTCTACCATCATCAGTGCCTCTATCAGCGATATGAACTTAACAGCAGGTATTGTGAGTGCTCACCTGATTTTTGGTTCTTATAAAGGTGCTTTTTTTGTGTGTGTATAGTTGTTGCATTTGGTATTCCTGGAGTGGGAGAATGATTGGTAGGGTCTTCTTTTCTGCCATCTTGCTCCACCCCTTCTGCTGGCATGCAAGTCTCATCAGCCCTTTGGAACTGTGGAGCAAGTCTCATCAGCACTGTGGAGACAGTGTCAGCCATGTCCTCAAGAATCTTGCATGTGTGTCCAGTAAGGCTGTGGGATGCAATTTTTACAGATGTCAGCACATTTCATTGGCTGGCCACCTTAATTGCTTTGCATTATTTAATGGCTTTGGATTTCACCACTGTTCCTTATGTGTGTCAGGGACAAGAGTAGTACTCAATGTCTAATAATAATAGCTGCCATTGAGTGGTCATCACTGTGTATCTTAGGTAATGTCTGGAGGCTTTGTGTGTATTATATTATTTTATTAGTCTTAATCCTTAAAACATGTCATTATCTAGTTGAGTCCATTGAGATTTTGACAAACTAAGCTGCTCACCTAAGCAAGGCAACACCCCCATGGCCCACGTTTAAATCTGTGCCATGTTGCCAGCATCATCATGCATCATGGAAGCTGGGTCAGCTTGCTGTTATTTTGCAAGTAGATGCAGACTTTATTTGGGTAACCACATACTAATTAATTATGTCTTATAACACGGTTATTTTTCTGTTTTAAAGTCTACTGTTAGGGGGCAGAGTGACCTCAGTTCACAAATTCCACAAGATTCACAAAATAAGGTGTATAAAGAATATAATGGATCCTCTTCAGTCCCATGGATATTATAATCATTCAATGAGACCGGATGATTTAACAGTGAATCAGTCAGAAATCACTAAGCAGGTAGGATTATTTTACACTCCTGTCAAAGGTCACTACTTAGAAGAAGAAGCTGGGATATAAACACTAAATCAAGGGCTTGCCAACAACCAGTTACAGGAAGCAAACACCCAGTTACAGGAAGCAAACAACCAGTTACAGGAAGCAAACAACCAGTTACAGGAAGCAAACACCCAGTTACAGGAAGCAAACACCCACACCCAATGGCTGGCCTTATGATGACATAGCTTTCCTGTTGTGTGAACTGCCTGCCATGGCACTGGCTGCTGTGGACGAGGGCGCTCATATAGAGACTTGGAAATCTCCATGCCAAAATTTTTTCAGATTTCTAGTGGCAATGATTCTTCTTTTCATGCCAGGCAGGCATGGCAACACTTTTATTTAAGATACAAGTGCCTTTCTATTTTCTGTTTTAATCTTTCTCTTTCTCTTCAGTCACTTAAGCTTAGTTTTCCTTGGCAGGTATAAGCAGCTTCAAATTCTTTCTAGTCTCTAATGGGCAAAGGGGTTCTATCAGCCCCTGTACACTTCTAGATTCTCAGCGACTTCATTTCTTTCTTTCTTTCTTTTTTTGAGACGGAGTCCAGCTGTCGCCCAGGCTGGAGTGCAGTGGTGCAATCTCAGCTTACTGCAAGCTCCACCTCCCGGGTTCACACCATTCTCCTGCTTCAACCTCCCGAGTAGCTGAGACTACAGTCTCCTGCCACCACGCCTGGCTAATATTTTGTATTTTATAGTGGAGACGGTGTTTCACTGTGTTAGCCAGGAGGTCTCGATCTCCTGACCTTGTGATCTGCCCGCCTCGGCCTCCCAAAGTGCTGGGATTACAGGCATGAGCCACCGCGCCAGGCCCATTTCAGTTTTAAAATACACGTATAATTTTCTCATTGCCATGCCCATGTAGGCAAATGATGACATCACAAATGAGTCCAGTTTTTGCCATTGGTCTGCTGAGGGGCTGAGGATGTGAGCAGTGCTGACCCTACCCTGCGTCACAGGTAATACTCCTGCAGATGGCATTACTTGGTTCATTTTTTTCTTCCTCCCTCTGCCCTTCCTCTCTTCCTTCCTTCCCTTCTGTTGGTACATATTAGGCTCCTATTAAGCACAAAAAAGGATTCAAAGCTATGTCCAAGACCCCAGTATGGGGGCAAAAGACCATATGAAAAAAATTACTGTAGAAAATTGAATGAGGCCAACGCTTTAGGTTTAAAGCATTTCACCTAGGGATGGCAGATGAGGCAAGGGTACAACCGGAGTTCAATTCCAGAAGGTTTAAAAGCAGGTGAAGGTTCTGAGCTCAAGCACCAAGAGAGGGGCTATCTATGAAATGCTTTGGGCCAAATAGTACTCATGTTCAAGAACAGACATTAACTCCAGAGGCAGTGGGCATGAGGTAAGAACGAGGCCCCAGAAAGGCCTTTAGGCTGTGATTCAAATGTTCTGAGGTTAGGCCAGACCCCAGCACATGCCCACTGTGGCTGCTAATAGAGTGGGCATAGTGAACAACTGACCCCGGGAAGGAGAACTTGGGCAAAAAGAAACTTTACTGTGGGTGGTGACCAGATGGCTGAGAGGATGCTTATTCTATCAGCAAAATTGGAAACTCCAGAGATGGAATTTCTGTCTGTAAATAGTGGCATATAGATGGTCTAACATATTTTGAACTGTATCTATAAGTAGAATATCTGAGAAATCCATGCAGCTGCCAGGAGGAAATGAATGGTCAAACCAAGGAAAACATATTCCAAGTTGCAGATGAACTTCTCAAGTTCCTAATGGACACCCGAAAAGAGATGAAGTCTATAAGAAGAATCAGTACACAGAGGAGAAAGAGATTAAGGACATACCTGTGATGAGTGAACATGAATCAGCAAAACCTCTAGAAACTGGGTTGTCTGAGAAGAGAACAGAGGAGAAGGGAGCAGTCCAGGAAGGAGAAGGAATCTAACCCACCCACTGAGCAGCCTCTGTGCCTGCTCCCAGTCTGCTCCAATGCCCATTCTTTGATTTAATCCTTAAAACAATTCACAATAAGCAAATGTTTCTGGAGTTTTTAAAATTATTAAAAAAGGCCCCGAGATGTTCAGAGAGTCGCCTAAGGTGTGACTTACACTGTCAAAGCCATGATAGTTTCACAGTTTCAAAGGAAGAGAGAGATGGTTGATGTCAACGTTATCAAGATGTTAAGAAAGTTGCCAAGTCAGCCAAGCTGTGCCTAGTTGTACAAAGTGAACTTGAAGAGATTTCCAGAGCAGATGCCAATTGTCAATGCAAATAGAGAGCAAGACAGAAAAAAAAAAAAAAAAAAAGAGAGAAAAGAGAGAAGAGAAAACCAAAATTGCGAACCCTTCTGTCTGGAGTCTCGCATAAGATGATTTGATTGTCTCAGATGCTCTGTCCTGCCAACCTGAATGGGTCCATTTCACAAAAGGGAGGTTGGGGATCAGAGGGACAAAACACCTGCTTAATCCCAGGACTGAGAAGTCTTGAGTTGGACTCACACATTGCTGCATGAGCTCTGCAGACCTGGGGTTCTGATGGTTAGGATGAGCCACTTGGCTCATAGATGATAGGTGAGCCATTCTAAAATCATAAAAACAAAAATCAATTCAATGAACTTAGTGAATTCATCTTACTCAGTCTGTCTTATTAAGTCTCAATGCCCCCAGGTCCTTTGCAAAAACAATGCTCATTTTGACTGCACCCTCCAGAAAAAAAGTTGCAGGAGAACTTTTATTTTGTTTCCAAGCCCACTGAAGGTAAGTTTTCTGTTTTGTATCTCAATACCTTTAACCCAAAAAGGAGTTCCCATTTCATTCCTCCTACATGAATTCTCCTCTCTCCCTCTCACCAGCGCCATCCTCTGCCCACACCCTCCATCCCAAGGCACACAGGGAGCCTCTTCAACAGCTTCTCGCTGGAGCTAGGCCCTGCCCAATGTCTGGCCCAGGGACAACCTCCGTGGCACCCTTTACAGAAAGCTTTTGTCAGGGTGATGGGATGCCCTCTGCTCAGAGCAGTGTGGTTTGGTTTCTTCTGCAGTTTTGCCAGTTGCAAAATGAAGGTGACCTCGGGGTAATCTGTGGTTCCTCTGTGTGCCTCATGGGGGTGACATTTGGTGGGCTGTGTCTGATTGGGCAGCACCCAATCAGAAGGGCACCACCATGGAGGAGCACAGCCCCTTATCAGAACACGTTTAGCAAAACATTTTCGTTTTTCTGTCTCATAACCATCTGGACTGTTATCAAATCTGCTTTGTGAAGGTTAAATAAGTAACTATAAGACCAGTATTTGCAGCAAGCAGGCCGTGATCCCCATCAGTGGTTGGCTTACTCCTCACTGCAGTTGTGTTTGTCATTTCCTCAGTGTGTTAGGGTTACAGCCTGCAATTTCCACCAATCATGCTCATTATTTAAATGAGACAAATGGGCTGTTGTCAAGGAAGGTGATTGGAGTGACATTATTATTCTGACCTAGTGTAAATGTCATGACCTGTCTTGGGTTTCCAGCGGCAAAAGAAAAGCGTCAAGCCATCGAGGTGACGGCAGCCTCTCCATAAATCAAGCGTTCCAGACGTTATGATAACTTTTATTAAAGAGCAAATGGATTTCTTGACATGAAGCTTTTATACATTTGAGACGGCAAATGTAAATGGAACTGCTTTCCCCCAAAGAGATAAAACCGGTTCAGCTCATGTGAGGAGAGAAGGGAAATGATACTCAATTTACTGAACTTGGGCAATTTCTGTTATGAATGTGTAATGATTTGAAAAGTCACAAATAGCGAAGATGTAGCAAGTGCACCTACATTTTATTCCCACAAGGGTCTGTAGGGCCAATAATTGCTGACACACTGACTATGTCAGTGCTATACACAAAATTTAACATGCATAATATGTCATTTTACTTTAAATCATGAGTACTATATTTCATATCATAAATAGGCTAAAATAATTAGGTGGTAAAGACATGATCAATTCGATTGCATCTACTCTGTTCAACTGTCTGTCCACATGCTTGCCAAACTTCCATTAGCATTACCTGTTATGCACTAGGTTTTCTGTTTTTATTTCCTGGTCCATGTTGTTTTCTTTGTCATATTCATTTAGATGTATGAAATGAATCATATCTCTAAAAATAACTTGTCACTTCGAAAACCTATAATAATCTGTTTTCATTTTGCAATGTTTGACCATAAGCTCTTGATGGTTCAGGAAATACATCAGAAAAGATTCAAGCAAGTCCTGAGAAATTAGAATTTATACAACAATGAATATGTAGAGTAGAAAAGGTAATGTTTGAAAGCTATAAAATCTCTGCATAGAATAAAAATCCAGAGAATGTTGTAATTTTAGAAATATGTAAAGTATAAGTTTATCCCTATAAAGAGGGACAAATGTATGATCTGGACCATGGAAGGGATGCCATTTCACTTTTCCATTTCTCTAGGGTTCTGTAAAGGTCACAGGCTTTACTTTCATAGATACAAGATTGGGACAAAACAGAAAAGACAGATCCTAGGTTATATTTTACAACACTTCAAGGACCAGAGAGGCAGAATCTACACACAAGATCTCTGGTAAACACCAGAAGGCATGTGTCCTTGTTCAGGGTTGCAACTATCTCCTTGGGCATCCAGAGGTGAGGCTCTGCTTTCATTGGGTAGTCTTGAGTGATGACAAAGGAAAAATGACCAGAGGGCTTGTCTAGTGTTAAACAGCTGTAAGACAGTTGAGAGTTATGGGAAATTTCTCTACAGTTTGAGAAAATAGAAAGCCATCAGAGGTTGGTGTTAGCAAGAACCCTGTGCACATGGAGTTCTAAGTTCCAATTTTATGGCCGAGAATACTCTGGGGGATTTAGAATCACAGACCACTTGCTTTCATCAAGTAGCAATAGACTGGGAGAGGTTAAAGGAATTGTCCTGTCACACAGCTGGAGAGAGAGGCAGAGGAGATAACTAATTAAATTTTCGAATAATCAGTTGAGATTTCTATTTGCTTTATCTTTTTTCACTTTTAACTTGTCTAATATTCACATATAATCTACAACTTGCCATGGCAGCTTGCCTCTAGAAGAGGGCATCTAAAAAGTTCTTACAGTGCCAAGGAACAGTTGAGGATTTAGAACACATGGAACTTTTGCAAGGATAGGATGCCTCTGAGACTGAACTTTGAGAATAAACTTCCCCAAGAGCAAATTAAAAATGTTATAATCTATCCAGTGTAACTGAAATGCTTCTTTTAGCACAGTGGCCTCATCAGAACCAAGACGACCAACCTTCTCCAGAGAATGGACTTCTGTTGGGAGACTCTCCTCTTTCTACAAACAAAATGGCCAGCTTGTTGAGAATTTTTAGTACCATTTGCAGAGCTCTCCATAATGTGATACAGACTCTGGCCTGAAGAAAGCACAAAATAAACATGAACAAATCATAACTGTGCTTCAGTAGGATCACCGAGAGCCAAGATACAGATTTGTGAGATAACTACAAGTATGTATTTCTGTATATTCCACTTTATGAAATAACTCTTGCATAATCTTTGTGACAGACACTTTTTATTTTCTATGCCACAAGTGTGTCTCCTGCTTTGTTCTCTGAGGATGATGTCTGGAAAGTCTAACCTTAATGTGTCTCCCAGAGAATCTGTGCAAGATGGTGCGGAGGTTGGAATTAAGCGGAAACCACGCCCTTTACTTGTTCTGAATAACGTCCCACCTTCCTTTCCCTGAACCAATTATTTTTGGCTCTGAGAAAACATTGACTATACCTTGCTGTCAGATTCAGATATTTGTTCTCAAAATTGGTATAACTGGTGAGGGAAATGGATGAGGAAAGGAGAGGGTAATTAACTGAAAGCCGTGAGTTCCATTCACTTTTCTCTTTCACTTTCAGAGTGTGCTTTTCTTGGAGGGGATGCTCATTTCGCTTGCTCCTCCTCTTATCTCTTGCAAACTTTCAGCTGCCTGTGTTGGTTGAACGTGGGTGGTTTTAGTACCTGGAGGCAGCATGGGATTGTGTGTTGGTGAGTGGGCACCCAAGGGAGAGGAGTTAACAGGAGGAAACTGAGATAAAAAGCAAGGTCTCCTGAAAATACAAAAGATGCAGTCATTCTTAACTTAGGCAACTTTACCCCAGAATGTTTGAAATTAAACATGCTTCATTTTTACCAGAAGCATGAATTTTCCTCCAAAGAACTACATCTGTTTTGTATGAAAATTTTCAAAAATAACTCAAAAGTTAATGACTTTGACCATTTTTTTTGTGTAAACTAATAAACCTGTACTTTGATTTAAAAAAAAAATCGATTCTCCTTGTCCTGGGTCCCAGTAAGACTTTTTTTTACGTTTATCATTGTCTATTTTCACTTTAACTGACATTGAAGAGAAATATGCCCCACTCACTGCTTGCTTGATCCCTAAGGTTTCCTGGCTTGGATGGAGAAGTGAGGACAGGAGATTTCCTCCCCCAAACCCCAACCCCTGCATCCTCCTTGCGTTTATATTGGATCCAAGAATCTACCTGTAACTTATAATATATACACCTGTCCCAGAGAAGTTGAGAGAGTAGACCCCCTCCCAGGGATCTGGTGCTGTAGACACAAGAGTGAATGGAGGAATCACAACTCCTCACCCGTTCTGTGCATTTTCAGTCAGTTCTAGGTATAAGTGAAGACATTACCTTGGCAATGCAGAAGCATCCTTCTCAGAGGTACGAGTGAACAAAAATGACCTTCTGTCCCCAACTCTTGCTTGGCTTAATCTCCCACCATTCACTCAATGGTCTTCCATACCTGTCTGCTGGTCCTCAGTGGTGAAAGAGCTTTTTCTGCCTCCAAGAAATTGCTATCTGAAATAGCATCCCTCGCAAATCTCTATCTTTATTACTTATTTATTTATTTTTCCTACAGCATATGAAATTATTGACTGACATATTTTCTATTTAATTAGATATTACCTGAATGTGAACTATTCAGGGTTCCTGGGTCTCCATAGCCTAGAAGATTGGCTAGCAGAGACTAGCCCCTGGGAAAATGTGTGTTGGGTGAATGAATGATTAATTCTGGGTTGGACAGTGTTGACTTTTAGGTCCCCATAAAGCATTCCCTTCCTTGACAGGATAGTTAACATGCCACTGCTGGGATTCCCCCTCTGCTCACCCATTCTGTGCAGCTTTTCCATGAATGCCTCAACATAACTATGGCTCTTTTAGTATCTATGCTTGCTAAATCCCACATCTATATCTTCTGTGTGTGTGCTATTGAATGTTTTTCTTCTTCTTATTGGTCAATTTCCCTAAGCTTTTGCATGCTTAGTATTTTTAAATATATTTTATATTCTATCATGTAAAGAGTTTGAATTCTGTAAACTTCTTATGAATTTTGTTGAATTTTTTTATACAGTTACATTTCTGGGAAATAACATTGATCATGTGGAACCTGAGCTTTAGGTTATCCATAAAGAATTAAGAGTGAACATCCCTAGAATGTGTGTCTTTCTTCAATTAACAACAACAACAATCAATGCCTTTTGCTTTTTAAAAGTAAGGATATAGGAATATAAGAAAATTCCTATATTCCTTTAAAAATTAAATCTTTTGGCTGGACACAGTGGCTCACGCCTGTAATCCCAGCATTTTGGGAGGCCAAGGCAGGCAGGTCAAAAGGTCAGGAAATCAAAACCATCCTGGCTAACATGGTGAAACCCCATCTCTACTAAAAATACAAAAAATTAGCTGGGCATGGTGGTCTCAGCTACTTGGGAGGCTAAGGCAGTAGAATCACTTGAACCTGGGAGGTGGAGGTTGCAGTGAGCCAAGGTTGTGTCACTGCACTACAGCCTGGGCAACAGAGCAAGATTCCATCTCAAAAAACAAAAACAAAAACAAACAAAATTTAAATATTCTAAAAACATTGGAAAACTGCAATAATAGCAATCTTCCAATGCTTTTGGAAGATTGCTTACAATAACAGCAAACACTATCGACTTTCTACTCATTAAACCTCTTCACTCAGAGGTCTTGTAAATGAAGCTTGTTCTAACCTTGGACATTCCCTGCCTGAGGGTTTTCTCTGCAGGTCCTAGGGCAGGCTGAAATTACCACGGAATTAACATTTGTAGGAGCAGCTCTCTCCAAAAATAAAAGAGAGTTGGGGGATAAACCCCCAGATTCTTCTGGAACCTGTACTTCCCAGTCTCCCAGAAGCCCTGGTGGAGTTGGGTCCTTCTCCTCACTCCTCCTCCCAGTGCATCCTGGAAGCACCACCCAGGCCATTGTCTCTCACTCAGCCTTGGGAGGAGCCAACCTCAGATGATAGTCAAGGATCCTTGTGGCTTTGTTTAGTCTTCTCCTCATCCACACCTCTCCTGTCTAAATCATTCACATGCTTTAAAGATTTAAGTCAAATGCTGATTTATTCATTAAATTTTCATTATAACTCAAAAACATGTGACAATCCTGACAAACTTAACTTGTGCTCATCAAAATCATCCTGACAGTCTATCTGTAACTCTCTGTTGACATTAGCATTTCTCTTTAAAATTCATCTTTATTGATGTTCATAAGAGATATTGGCCTGAAGTTTTCTTTTTTTGTTGTATCTCTCCAGGTTTTGGTATCAGGATGATGCTGGACTCATAAAATGAATTAGGGAGGAGTCCCTCCTTTTCAATTGTTTTTCCATCTATCCATCTGACAAAGGTCTAATATCCAGAATCTACAAGGAACTCAAACAAATTTACAAGAAAAAAAACCATTAAAAAGTGGTCAAAAATATGAACAGACACTTCTCAAAATAAGACATTTATACAACCACCAAACATATGAAGGAAAAGCTCAACATCATTGATCATTAGAGAAATGCAAATCAAAACCACAATGAGATACATCACATCAGTCAGAATGGCCCTTATTAAAAAGTCAAGAAACATCAGATGCTGGCAAGATTGTGCAGAAATAGGAATGCTTTTACACTGTTGGTTGGAATGTAAATCACTTCAATCATTGTGGAAGATGGTGTGGCGAGTCCTCAAAAATCTAGAACCACAAATACCATCTGACTCAGCAATCCCATTACTGGATATATACCTAAAGGAATATAAATCATTCTATTACAAAGATACATGCACACATATGTTCATTGAAGCACTATTCACAATAGCAAGGACATGGAATCAATCCAAATACCCATCAATGATAGACTAGATAAAGAAAATGTGGTACATATATATCATGGAATACTATGCAGATATAAAAAGGATGTCCATTGCAGGGACATGGATGAAGCTGGAAGCCGTTATACTCAGCAAACTAAAGCAGGAACAGGAAATCAAACACTGCGTGTTCTCACTTGTAAGTGAGAGTTGAACAACGAGATCACATGGACGCAGGGAGAGGAACAACACACACTGGTACCTGTCAGGGGATGGGGTGGGGGAAAGGAGAGTATTAGAAAAAAATAGCTAATTCATGCTGGTCTCAATACCTCGGTGATGGGTTGATAGGTGCAGCAAACCACTGTGGCATACAAACTGCACATCTTGAAAATGTACCCAGAACTTTAAAAAAAAAAGTATTAATTCTTCATTAAATTTGACATAATTTACCATTTAAAAAAATCTTCTTCATGTATCATCATCTGTATTCAATAATACACGAAACTAAAGCAAATAACACACCTACAACTCTTTTGCATAACCTCTTTATACTGAGAGGTTGGTCCATACTTAAGATCTGTGAACATATTTGAAAGATGTGTCATCAATTCTCCATTTGTTTTTTTCCTTGTATTTTATTTTTCTAACTCGTTTTGAGATATTCATAAGACCTGAGACTCTTTATCTTTGAGAAAATTTTAATGGAGCATATAATTAACATATAAGACATTATGTTTTAATAAAATTAATCTTACTAAAAAATATTTTTCATTGTTAAATGCCAAATCTCTCGATATATTTTCTTCACTGACCTGTCATATCATATGCTGCTTTCATTGTGGTTTTGAAATAATTATTATAATATTTTTAGAATAGTTTTTTTCTCCTAATATTGGGCATGAAAAAGTAATGACAAGGCCTGCAAATTGAATTATTTCACCAATTGGTTTATTCATTGGGCACAGATCTATCAGGAATGAACTCCAGACTCCCAGGGGTCTGATGATGTACACACAGTAGTGAATGGAGGAAACCCAGCTCTTGTCCTCACAGAGCCTACATTTGGGGTCCTCCACTCCTGAGTCTGTCCAAAACATAGGATTTTACCTTGGATTTTTATGACAAATACTTTAGTCCAATTTTGATGATGGAAGAATTGAAAAGAAAATATAAGAAAATTGCATAATTATCAACAAAAGCAAATGTTCAAGTCTCCGTATCCCCCATCTCTTGTTCAAATAACATTTGTTAATAAGTCAGAAGCAGAGCAATCATCAGTTTACCATGGTGAGGTCTACATCTATGTTCCCATCTGATAAGAGAAACAAGAGAGGAAGAGAAGCCAGCTTGAGACTGCACTAGATATATGAATGAAATGGTATCAGGGCAGCCCTGATGGCATAACTGGGGAGGGTTCTTCGTTTTTACTGTCTTTTTCTTTAATCTTTTTATTTATAGACATGACTGCTTAGAGGAACCAGATGATCTGAGATGGTACCAGAGCTTGTTAAACCCTGACCATATGCTACAGGATGTTAAGACCCCAAAAAACTGGCAAACATGGGAAAAGGAGACCCCTACTTGCCTTCACATCATTAACATATAATTATAATGCTAAAATTCCCTACCCTGAAGGAAAATCTCTACCATTTTGTGTATGTGATATATAAAGACAAATGTTTATAAGTTGAGCCTGTGGTCTAGAGTCCCACCCTACACAGGCTAACATTCCTCTCCCACTCTGCATCTAGTCCTTAAAAACCCCATGCCTTCCATTAGTCAGAAGAAAGGTAAACTTAGAATGAAAAATCGTCTCAGTTCTCTAGCCAGTGAATAAAAAGCTGATTGCCTTTTCCCAGTGAAATGTTCTTTCTGTACAAACAATACAGAATGGGGAAAAAATCTCAGTTTACCGG
The DNA here is from genome assembly GCF_000001405.40 of Homo sapiens. Taxonomy (NCBI): domain Eukaryota; kingdom Metazoa; phylum Chordata; class Mammalia; order Primates; family Hominidae; genus Homo; species Homo sapiens. Next base: position 4,031,656 of record NC_000005.10, on the reverse strand, counting down.
GGTCAAAATTATCTTAGAACAGGAGAGTATTATTTTGATTGGAGATGGATGGGATTTCTGGGTGCCTTATTTTGTGTGTTTTGAATGTTTTATTTAGTACAGTCAGGAGCTAAGGATTGCACTATATCTCAAAAAGTCACATTCAGACCAAGGGTGACACATTGTGCTTAGATAGTTCCATGCTCATTTTCTCTATGAAAGAGTTTGCTTTTCTTTTGAGTTCTTACCTTCTGAATGGCAATACGTAGCCTTTTGGAAACAAAGCACTTAAGGAAAAAGTTACATATGTGTGAGAGGTCTAAGTTCAGGGAGACTTGCCACACTTAATACATTTTTCATTCCACAATCTCCTTAGACTCCTGCAATCAAGGTATGACCAGGGCTACTGCTGATAAAGCACAGGGGTTATAAGGAAGAAATAAATATGCTAAAGGCAATAAAAATGAAAAGAGATGAGAGAAAAAGAAAGTAGGTGTGTTAGAAAGAGAGAGGCAGGGAGACTCCAGAAGGGTAAGGAGAGAAAGAAAAGGAAAAGGTCTAGACTATAAATAACCATGTGATGAGGACTCCCAGCAGTTAGGATTAGCTTTGACTATGAGTAACAGAGACCCATAAAAACTCAAGCAAAACCAATATTTTAAGATTCCTTACAGGTGGAGTGAGCAAACTGTGCCCACTCAAATCCAGCCTCCAGCCTGTTTTTGAAAATAAAGTTTTACTGGATTCCAGCTTCACCCATTTATTTACATATTATCCATGGATGCTTTTTCATTACTGCAGTTGCATCAGGTAATTGTGAAGGAGACATCCCAGTCTGCAAGCCAAAATATCTGCTCTCTGGCCCTTTGCAGAAATACTTTGCCGATCTCTGCTTTACACCAAAATTTGGATGGTAGAAACCCACAGCAAGTATCATGAACTCAAGCTATTCTGCTCTTTCATGCCCCAGGGGTGGGCCCTCCGCATGTTCCATAGGTCTTTTCCTCACCAGAATCACAGTTGTTTTCTTTTTCTTTCTTTTTCTTTTTCTCTTTTTTTCTCTTTCTCTTTTTTCTTTTTCTTTTTCCTTTTCTTTTCCTTTCCTTTTCTTTTCCTTTCTTTTCTTTTCCTTTTTCTGAGATGGATTCTCACTCTGCCACCTAGGCTGGAGTGCAGTGGCACTCTCAGCTCACTGCAACCTCCATTTCCTGAGTTTAAGTGATTCTCCTGCCTCAGCCTCCCAAGTAGCTTGGATTACAGGCACGTGCCACCATACCTAATTTTTGTATTTTTGTATTTTTAATAGAGATGGAGTTTTATCATGTTACCCAGGCTGGTCTCAAACTCCCAAACTCAGATGATCCTCCCACCTCAGCCTCCCAAAGTGCTAGGATTACAGGCGTGAGCCACCACACCCAGCCAAGAATCACATCTCAAAAGAAAAGCTGGAAGCCAGTGGCAAGAAGGTGCAGGGGCCACCTCTTTAAAAGGACATTTCCCAAGAGATAGCACAGAGAATTTGCAATTACAGTCGTCTCTAAAACTTATTTACATCATCACATCTAACTTTAAGGGAGCTGAGAAATTCCCTTACCCCAGGTGAGTCTGACCCCAGAGAGACTAGAACCAGAAGAGGCAAACACATGGTGTTAGGCAGGGATGTTGGGGAGTGAGCTTATGTTATCTTGAACAACATTTTCAGAGCACTGCCTGATATGTCTATTGAGATGCCTGTAGTTGTTGACTTGAGTCTATAAAAATAAGAAAAGTCTAAGCTTAGTAGAATAAACCACCAAATAAATATCCTCCCATTTGCCACCTGAAGTACCTTGAGAGTAATGTTCTAGTCCTGCCCTTAACACAGTTATAACAGATTATACGTTTTCCCATTTCTTTCCAATTTTTCTTGGAGGAAAATCTGTCACAGAAATACTTGAACATTAGGACAAATTTCAGACTGTAATTTATAGAATCTTGCATACCATTTAGCTAGCAGGTCACGGCTGTTCTGTTATAAATGTTGGAAGCTTCCATTATATACTGTAAATGTGTAGAAAGAAAATTTTAAAACGTAAATTATGAGCACTCTTAAAAATATATAATACTTTACAGACAGTCATGCCTTGCCAGGCTGTCATGATGGCTCATGTAAATATGAACTTAATGTCTTTTTAAAGTGCTATTTTGTCTTCCCAGCTGACTGGGACATCTCTAAAGAAAGTCAATGTTTTAAAATTGTGTTTAGGAAACCGAAAGCAACTTTGAGTCAACAGACTTGTGAGAATGATGCCTGGCTATCTATAGGGAAATAGCCATTGGCATGAGTAAATTTGATGTCCAGGATAGCACTGCAGCCAGGGGTATGGGGAACCTGGTGTAACAAATGCCTTCTCACTCCCAGTCCACTGACTCCTGTGCAGAAGGGCCGACATCTTTGGCATCAACATGAACCTTGCTGATTGGAATCAGTTGTCTCTATGACTACTAGAATTTTAATTCATTCACTGCACTGTAGCTTAGGTCTCTGACTAAGCTATTATTTTAGCCCCCAGGTGCTTTGCTTTGTGTATTTATTCCTGTGTCAAGGTTACAACTGACCATAAAACCCAAATATTTAGATAGGAATGTCCTTTACTCCCCCCACTGGAAAACCTGACCCTGTTGATTGTGAATAAGCAATGTCCTTCTGATTATCTAGTCCAGGAATCAGAATAATTGAGGGCACAGACACTACCTTGCCACGGTGACCCTGAAATGTGATCAGTGACTTCAGGAGTGCAAGCAGATTTTAATAGGTTTATGTGGGTGTGTGCACACTGCCTTCTCAGTAACTCCAAATACACACATATGCTGTTAGGCTACACCTGTCCCTCAAGTTGTCTTAAAAATGCAGCATCACTCTTTATTTCATTGACTTCACTGGCTGAGGCTATAAGAGCAGAAAAAGGATGATGTGGTACCTCGTTCCTGGGTCCTGCAATTGGTGTGAAACTATATTATCCTCTCAGGCCTAATCCTGTCTTGGGAGCCTGTTAAGACCAACCAATGAAAGCTGATATGTACCTGGGAGAAGCTGCCCTGGAGGAAGGAATCCAACTCCTGCTTAGCCAATAACAGAGCAAACACTTCTGCCCTCCTAGCATGCTTCAGCACTAAGAGGTCAAGTACCAAGTGACAATTATTTTAGACAAACTTCCTTGTTTCCCTGAGATCTTGGATTCTGCACTAGCTTTCTGTTCTCAATTAAAATAGCAAGCTGTCGAATTTTGTATAAACTTCCCCAGAGGGAGGGTGGAGGGCTTCACCATCTCCCTGAGAACTAAAATCCCCATTAATTTGCTGGTCCTGAGAGGCTCCAGGGAGGGGGTGGGGGGGCTGCCATCTATTCTTCTTCCATCCTGGTTCTCAGGCTCTCAGCAGCCTTTACAATCAGACACTTGTGACCCAATTGCTTATTCTCTTAATTGAAGATGAGTTTGTTTTCACATTTCTTCTCTTGGGGTCAAGGCTCAGGGTCCCGCTGTCTTGAAAGGGGCTTCCAGCTCCTCCATGCCCCTTCTTGCTCCTTCTTCCGGATACTAGAATACCCCCTTTCCTTCCCACTCACTGGAAGACAGGCTTCAACCTTATTTCAAATAATCAGAGAAAAAGTGTTTATTTTGAATTGCATGGGACTTAATCTTTAAGTTTTGAGGCAGTGACTTTTATTCCTGCATTGGTGCATAGTTTATTAAGAATGCTTCACAGGATGCAAAGACAGATTTTTGACAAAAAAATAATAAATAAAAAGAATAAAATGTGACTGCGTGGAACAATGTCAAAAAGGTGGAAAATAATCCTGCTGCCTAGGACTCCAAACCCACAGGCACAGCTGCTCTGACAGTCCATTACAAGAAGTGAGAAATGCGGTGTTCTGAAGTCGGATCAGTAAACACAGCAATCAAATGAGAGTTAAGTTTTTAATAAATCTCTATCCCTTCCTGAACACTCCACCCTGAGACGGGAGCAAATTAAAGAGGCCTGGATGCTTACAATTCCTGAGAAGTGAGTCACAGAATCGTGTTTTTGAGTCAAGATGGGGCTAGAATCATCATGGAGCAAAGCAAGGGTGGCAGGTCCATGGCCCACGGCTGAAGGGCCAGGGGACAGCTCTGCTCCCGGAATTGTTTCTGAGTTTGCAAGTGCTGTTTCAGAGCCGAAGCCAGCGTGATAAAGTGCTGCTCTTTCACCAGAAAGAATGTTTGCTTACTATTTCATCATCCCCTAGAGGGGCGCAGAAAGAAAATAAGCACATCAGTTGTCATTATGACAGGATAAAAATGGAGCCCTCATATTTCAATAACACAATGCGAGGAGCAGCCCATGGAGTGATGAGTTATGGACTCTCCCTCTCACTCCCGACTGTAAGTTAATATTATCTCCCCAGGATAATTAGAGTGGAGTTCAATTTCTGACCCTGAATTGCCGTGTGGGCCACACCATGGGTTTGACACAGCGTTTTACACATTTATCTTTCCCCCGAACGCGCTAAATCTGCATGGCGGTGGTGATTCATCTTGCTGCGCCCCTTCCAGCGGGTACCATTCTTCTTGCATGGATTGGCGGGTCCCTGGGGGCCCCTTGAGCGCAGTTTGGGCAGGTCTATTACACTGTGTTTTTCTGCCAATTTACGTTCCTCTTTGTGTTAGGTTATTGTGGTCACCTCTGAAGTTGGGTCAACCGAACACTTCCCCCACAGGCCCCTTGTGGCCAACTATGGCCGTTCCCACTGCCTGTGACCCACAAACTCACAAGGAAATCCAGGGACCCCATGATGTGCACTGGGAGTAGCAAGTGAGCTGAGACGTGTTCATCTTCGGGAAACTTCTGTAGTGGCCTCCTTGAATGTTCACTGTCACTGTTTCCTCCTGGTAAAGCAAAAAGAACCCCACCACAGCAGCCTGCCACTAGTGAGGATTTTTCTTTTAGGGGGCAGAGGGAAAGGGAGCTGAGAAGGATAAATAACAGGCGACTGTGTTAGCAAAGCCATCAAACAGAAAGGCATGGCATCAAACAGATTCCTATTTGAAAGCCATGCATAGACAGTCTTGTACCACATAGCCACGTTTCAGTCAACAATGGACCCCCATGGATGATCCTGATCCCCTGATGATGATGGAGCTGTGACTTCCCCTGACGGTCTTCCAGTGGGACAAGATGTGGAGGTGTAAGGAAGTGACATTCATGATCCTGACCAGTGCAGGCCTAGGTCAAGGTTTGTGTATGTATCTCAATTTTAACAACAAAACAATTAATTAATCAATTAAAAAATAAAAATAGAAAAAAGCTCATATAATAATGATACAGAGAAAGAAAATATTTTTGTACAGCCCTACAATGTGTTTGTGCTTTAAGCTAAGGGTTACTACCAAGAGTTGAAAAGTTAAAAAAAAAAAACAACTAAGAAGGTTATAAAGTAGGAAAAAAAATCCAGTCAGCTAAGGTTAATTTATTATTGAATAAAACAATTAAATAAACAGAATGTAGCCTAAGTGTCCGGTGTTTCTGAAGTCCACTGTAGTGTAATCGTGTCCTGGGCCTTCACATTCAGTCACCACTCACTGACTCACCCAGAGCTTCTTGCAGTCCTGAAAGCTTCATTCCTGGTAAGTACCCTATTCAGGCGTCCCATATTTTTATCTTTTGTATCATATTTTACTGTATCTTTTCTATGTTTAGATGTACAAATACTCACCACTGAGTTACAATTGCTCGCAGTGTTCCATAGAGCCGCATGCTGTACAGGTTTGTAACCTGGGAGCAAGAGGCCACACACATAGCCAAGGTGGGCAGTAGGCTACTCCGTCTAGGTTTGTGTAAATACTCTCTGTGATGCTTATACGCAAATGAGGTCCTCTATAAACAAAGTTCTAAGAATGTAGCCCTTTCATTAAGAAACACACGACTGTATTACAACTTAGGATTTGCAAGAGCTAAAGAAATGAAAACTTTGAGTCTAAGTATCTTACATCATTTTATTGTATTTGTCCCAAAATGTGTTTTTACCACTCTTGGTCTGATAGCTGTAATACTGGGGCTTGATCCTTATGGCTTTTGGGGATACCAGGAGGTCTCAGCCTCCTGGGGCATAGAAGGAAAAAAAGGGGCTGAGAGGCACCTCGGCAGCCTGCAGACATGGCACTGGCTCCTGAGACCCCGAAGGCCAGGCCAGGCTCTCCAGGACTGAGGCTTCTCTTAGCACGTTTCCTGCCAAGGCCACGTGGCACTGCAGGAACGGTTCACACCTGGGTTTCCTTCCTGCAGGTGATCCTGGTGCACACTTCCGATACCTGATATTTAGACCAAACGCAATGGTTTACAGCAACAAATGTAACTAAATTTCATTCTGGACTTTTGTCCACCAATGAGGTAGATGTCAGGGAGATGCTAGGAAAGCCTGGAGGCTGGCTCTCCTGTGGGGCCTGACAGGCCTGGGCTTGAATCTTGGACAACAGCATCCGCAGCCACCGGTCATCAGTGGCTCAGGGGGATGGTGCCTGGGAAGCCCGGGATGCAGGCCTGCCCCACAGTAAGTGCGCAGCTCGCATGTGCAGCTGTCCTTGTTATTCCTGTGGAGTCATCTCTTTATTCTGGGGTCTCTTTCACCCCATTGCACTCTGGACTTTCCTATCACTCAGATTATTGGGATACTTCATATGATTTACCCACGAGCACCTGTAAGCATGATGACTGATAATTCCAGGATAATTTGGAAGAGTCCACACTTGACTTAGTGTTAGATTTCCTCTCATAATCCCCATCAATATTTAAAAACAATTATTTATTTGCTAGGATTGTTTTTTGTATAAATTATAGTGGAGGATGTTGTCAAGCTGATGGCCCTTTAGGAAGCTCCTGGGATCCTTGTTTCACTCTTGAACTCCCTTCCTGGGTCTCTGATGCAAGTCCCGGTTGCAGGGGGAGATTGGGGTGTGCAGACACGCACAAGCTGTTGGTGTTGTGAGAGGATGGCCTACGTGATGTAGGAGGTTACTGTGTTCTTCCTTTGCACAGTGACAGTACATAACACAGGAGTGGCTGAAAAAAGACAAGGGGCAGAGAGGAGATGGAAAAGAATGATATTTTTTCTTGTATCTGAGGGATGACCTCTTTAAGTTTCCTCTCTTTGGGAAGACAGGGAAGACCAAGAAAGAAGCCTGGTTTCTCCCTCTTTTGCTCCTCTTCACATATTTTATAGATAGCAAGTCATGCCCACACCAGCAAGACAAAGGCAGCAACTGCAACCCCAGAGCCTGACTTTGGAGACAAAGTCTCCTTCCACAGGCTCAACGGGATCCTGGGAAAAGTTGCCAATGGCTCCCAAGTGGCAATCACTGGCCCAGTGTAAATTCTATTTGTTAATGGGCAGTAAATACACACAGGAAACATAGCCATTGACCAAGAGGCTCTAAGATTGCTAAAATCTGGTCACCACATGGTCAATACAGTACAAGTCTCTGATAGCCAAGTGCTGATTCTCAAATTTGTGTCCAAAGTGCTTCACAAAATCATGTCCAAGTATCAGAAGTCATTCTCTCACTTGGAAAGCAAAATAACTAAGTGAAAATGTTTGTATCTAACTATTTCTGGAAACAGGGTTAAAAACAGAGGCATCTCCTAAAGCTTTCCCCTGAGAATCTTTTCTTTGTGATATTACACTGAGTATCAAACTATTTTGACATGGATAGGATAAAAGACCTTAGTAAGCACATTGCAAGTTGCAGGTGAAATACTGTAAGTACTGATGACAGCAGTGACAGATGAGTGAAGGCAAAGAATCTTTCAGACCTAAAAAAAAAATGCCTGGTTGATTTGACATAAGCATGGGAGAGTTTAACTTTGCAAGAAAAAGGGGCCAGGTTGTGCTTCTGAGCCTGCAGAAACTCCATGCATAGAAATGAGATGCGTGTTCCAGCTGCCCCTCTGATGGGCCTTCCATTTCCATTTGTCTTCTAGTCATCGTATGATGTGAGCGTGGCGCGGAGCCCTTTCTTCCTCTCGGAGTAGCGGGAGCCTCCACGCGCGTCCTGCTCCTCTGCAAGATCTGAGCTACCTTTTTCCTCTCTCTGCAGCATTCTCAAGACAATTGGACATTTTCTTTGTGAAATCCATTGTCCAGGTGTTAGCCTGCTGCCGCTTTGACCAAAAATGCAAATTTTAAAAACTTTTTTTTAGTTTCGTGAAGAGCAACATCTGTTTTCATTCTAAAGCTGTACTCATATTCCATCCCATAAGCTGTCCCCGGGGTTCGATTCAGCTGTACTTTGAGTCCTCGCTCAGCACATTTCCTTTCTGAATCAATAATATCATATTTGTACTTTTTAACATGAAACAGAAGACTTTTTTCTTCTCGCTCATGTGTTGCTGTGGCTTACGTGGGCAGCCAGGCGGGGTGAGCGGCCAAACCGCCTTCTGGGAATGGGGATATCTTGGACCCGCAAGGGTCCTTCACGTGAGGGCCAGGAGGAGTGATCCCAGCTTGCAGGGCCCCGGGGAGCCTGCACCACACTTATGCAACTGGGACCATCTGGGCTTGCTCTGTCTGGTGAACTCTGGACCAGAAGCCAGTGTGGCTCTTGGCCACCAGTGTCTTCCGTGGGGCGAGCAATCCTGGGAGCAGTGACAGTGACGCCGAGGACATTTCTTGTGGAATTCAGCCTGATAGCAGCAAAAACGGGGCCTCAGCGACGACCCCGGCCCCTCACCAGCCTTCCTACCTTGTCCATAGGTTACTTCTAGACCTTACAAAACCAGGGGGAGCCTTTAAGAAGGGAAAAGAAATAGAAGAGCAGAAAGAAAATAGGGAAGATGGAAATCAGGGAGTCCAGCAGGGAGAAGGAAGCTCAGAAGGGTGTTGGTTGCCCTGCGGGGGGTGAGGCCTATTCAGAGAAATTGATGCTTGCTGCTCAGATGCTATGGAAAAAACCAGGAACCCCAAAGGACCAGAGGCTTGCAGTGTCACACTTCCCCTAAGTGACTGATGAGTGGAGGCTTTCCTGCTGTGTGAGACAGGTGCTTCCCCACGGGTGGGGTGCGGCACGGAGGATTAGCAGTGAAATTAATATGGAAAAGGGCACCCTGCTGCCCACAAACCCCCTTCCTCTTCCCCACGTGCACAACTGTACTCCCGCACGGCCACGTCGCCCACCCCACTCTGCCCAGGCCCCGGGATTAGCTGTGCTGGTGGCTGCGTCTTGGCTGTCTGCAGGCCCACAAGGGCAGCGCTGGTCCCTCTGAACCTGGCCCCAGATGTTTCCTGCATCAACTTCTCAGCTGGTTTCTCTCCTGTCCACCTGCTGGATGGCCACACCCAGGACACCCTGGAAGCCACATGGTGGAGGTGGCGGGGCTGCTAACTTGGTCTCCAGAGACTGCAGCGACAACTGCCTCCGCACCTAGCCCCAGATGGGGTTTATGTGTGTGAGAAATGAAGCCTCACACAGCTGAGCCTCCGATCTGTCATGGCGGCTAGCGTTACCGTAATTAACACGGGGTAGCCTGATGTGCTTCCTTCCCATAGATATGTCCCCAGGGAGCTCTCATTTATGAAAAAGCAATGGTATTTTGAAGACTTCTTTTGATAATTCATTTTAAGTTAATTGTGTCTCTGGTACTAAGTAAGGTAACCAAAGGAAAATAAAAGCTATAAAAATTATTGACCAAATTAGCAGAATTTATACTTCTACTCTCAACTAAATTTTGTTAAAAGTTTGATTTTCTTTTATCCTTGTCTCTCATCTTTCAAAATAGAAAATATGCTTAATCTATTGCAGAACTATACAATATCAGTTTTGTATCAATTTAAAAAGACACAAAACAATGTGTATAGCTTGGAAGCACACAGACAAGCTGACAATTTGAATAACATATCTGAGGAGGAGAACCACCAACCTCAGGATGGTGTGTCATCAGAGGAGAAAGGTAGGGGGCTTGCATATGGAGCCAAGTACGAACGTGAAGTGAGGGTTTAAACTTCTTTTTCTTTTCAGAGACAAGAACTCACTCTGTTGCTAAGGCCGACCTTGAACTCCGGGGCTCAAGGGATCCTCCCATCTCAGTCTCTCAAGTAGCTTGGACTATAGGCTGGCAACACCATGCCAGGCAAAACGTGGGTTTAAACTTTGATGTCTAAAAATAAAAAATGTCCACAGCAGCATTATTCACAATAACCAAAAGGTGGAAGCAATCCAGTGACTTACAGATAGATGAACGGACATAGAAAACGTGGAATACACTTATGGTGAGATACTATTCGGCCTTAGAAAAGGAGGGAATTCTGATGCATGATACATCACGGCCGTAGCTTGAGGACATTGCCTCGAGTGAAACAAGTCCGTCACAAAAGGGCAGACGCCATAGGATGTTACTCATGAGGTACTTAGAATAGTCAAGTTCAGAGAAAGTGGTTGCAGGCACTGAGGGGAGATGGGTGCAGAATTTCAGTTTTGCAAAATGAAAAACGTTCTGGAGATAGATGGTGGGGATGGCTGCACACAATACGAATGGAACTTGACACCACAGAAGTGTACATTTAAATCTCTAAGATGGTAAATGTTGTATGTATTTTACCGCAATCAAAAATAGAATGAACTAATCAAATATTTCAGATCGTTACCATCTATGATACATGGGGTGTCACAAATGTCCTATTAGTTTCTATAATTTATCCCACGTTGGAAGGGAAGAAACAGAATTCACACGTGATGAGAACTCAGAAAAAAATTCAGATCCTTCCCTACAAAGCCGGTGGTTATCTCAACCAAATGCCAGCTCCTCCCTGGCCTGGGTCCCACTGAGAATGCTCTCAGGGCTACCCAGTTCCCTGTCACTCCGTCCGGTGGCAATGACCTGTCTGTGGGTCTCCTCTTTCCCCATCAAGAACAGCAGTGTTGCTTTGTTCATCCTGATGTCCCTTTATGTCCTTAGCCTGCTGCCTGTACACAGAAAGGGCTCTCAGAAAAGCCCATAGACTGACTAGTTAATCAGTCAATGAATAATTCTATTCTATTATCTAAACTCAAATTCTGGCCTCTCACAATGGACAAAAACCCCTTCTTAGAAACCGATGAATCACAGGCTTTTCCAGTCTGTGCTTTTGTTTTCAATTTGTTTTGTTTTGTTCTTGCAAGTCCCAAGTGACAAGGACGTTTCCAAGCTACTTCCTGGGTGGATTTATGATCAAATACAGAGCCGGTGGGCTCAGGGCATACTGAAGCAAAGCCTTCTCTTCTCCTACTGTACATGGGCAGGCTCTTGGATGCCCTTTTCCAGAATGGAGCTGCTTCAGAAGCCAGGAGAACCTGTTCATTTTCCCGGGCAGCTCCAAGAGTGAGCCTTCTAATCTCCTCTCCATCCTGCCCACTTCGATGCTGGGCAGAAAGGGCTGGGCCTTGATCTCCCAGAGGCACCATGTTCGGAACAACCCTTAGAGCCCTTCGCCTGAGTCCCCCAGGAGTCTGGGGACCCCTGCATTGACATGCAGCTCCTAACATCTGCAGTGATTGCCCATCCTTTGTTCCATGGACTCTTTGCTTTTCCTCTCCTGCTGATCCCCATGGATGACACAGCCTCACGTTGTCCAAGTGCTACAGGCAAGATCCAGTCTAGCCTTTCAGATTTGTTTCATTACCGAGTGATTGATCACTGTTTTTGTGCAACATGTTGGTTTCTCTGCTACTTCCAGTTACTAAACTAGATATTTATTTGCGCTCGTACAGCTTTGCACTTTCAACTTTCCTACATCTTTGGACATAATTAATTCAAGAAAAACTAGAAGGCACCTCAAAATTAAGCACAGATATGGCAAACCAGCCTGAACTGAAGCTGTCGTGGGGGTGACTGGCATGCAGGGTACATTCTTAATGTGCTTTCCACGGGACAAAGTGAACCTTGGGGCACAAAAAGACTTTGCTTATCTCCAAAGTTAGTAAAGACTGCGAAAGTTGAGGAGATGCTTTGCAAAAACAGTAACCTGAATGTTAAAATGCGTACCGATTCATAACATTCCTTGTTTGGAAGCATCGGGGCATGTTGGGGCATGTCCTTCTCCTTACGCCTCAAGAGCAAATCACACAAACTCCACGGAAGGGACTGACTCAAGTTGTTAGACATGGATGTGCAATTGGTCTACAGTCAGAACTTCCTGGAAACTTTATCTAAAATGTAGGCCTAAGGTCTTACAGGTAATTTTTAATTTTTTTCTTTCCAGAATTGCCCATGTTCTTTCTTCTGGTCTGGATTAAAGATTGAATTATTGAAGGATTCAGAGGGAGGCTGTTCCAGAAGCCGGAAGGATTAGATCTCACCAAAAAATCTGCTTTGGTGCAATTCCCAGAAAGATTTTAGAGCCTGAAGAGGTTTATAAAGTTGGCTGAATTTGGAATAAACATCTCCAAAATGTTGGGCCTGTTTCCAAACTGAAATGAAATTTGAGGTCCACCCATTTCACTAGTTATTAAGATAAAGAGAAATCCCCTGCTGAAACTGGATTACACAATTGGTAGTTCTTGCCATTGTTGAAACAGATCTACCCACACATTTCACGCCTGTCTTCTTTTCTAAATCCAGCTGCTGGAGAAGAAACAAAAACCTTCCTCCTTCTCCTGACAATTTGTTTGGTGTTGTCACCACTGAGAGGGCCAATGTTTGTTAATACTAATATGGAAAATTGAATATTTGTTTAGAGAAGGCACAGGACTCTAATAGGAGAAATGGGCTTTTCCTAGTAGGGTGTGACTGGCAGGACCTAGAAATCAGGTGAGACCTGGCATTGGGCATATCAGTATCCTTTCTGACTTTAGATTCAAATGTATGGTAATGAGATGTGTTAGCAAAACAAATGAGAACAATGAGACATTACAATGAGCTACAAATAATCTTTCTTTAAGATAGGGAAGAACATGAAGTTCTGCCTTCCAATTCCACCTGCCAGGGCCAAGTGCATGTCCATATGGCTTCTGACCTCTTCTTTTCTTAGGCTAAAATAGGCGCCCGCGATCACCAGCATTCACTAAAACACAACATGCAATGAACGGCCTTTGGAGTTTGCATTTAAAATCCTAACGAACTCTAAGAGGTGATGGAGGGAAGCTTAGTGTTTTTTCTGGCCCACCCACTGATGTGGCCACCAATTTTTCCAGCACCTCCTGGGTGAATGGGTAGCTCATGCTCTGAGCTCCTCGCCAGCATAGGGGCTGCCTTTCTTGTGATGGTGTCCTGTAACCATGCTGCTGTACGAGAAAAGGTCACAATCAGTGGGTAATCCAACTCTGGTCTTCCTGTCAAACACAGGGAATACTTTTAAGATAACTGGGCCTCTACATAAATACAATCGTCTGAAGGGAAAGGAGCCACTGTTTCTGTGAGAGGAGAGTTTCTTGGTTTTTTTCCCTCTTTGTCTTCCCCCTTCTCTGTTTATTTCAGATGAATGGAGTTGATGCAATCACACAACCCAGATTTTAAGCATGGCCAGCTGTGGGCCATAAAGAGCTTTTTGTGTTTTATTTTATTTCACTGTTTGGTGACAACACATTTTCATCTAGATTTAGCTCTAGTCTGAGAGCAAACAATTTAAGGGAGTACAATTAAAAAAAACTGATAAAACTTGAATAAGTAAAGACTATCCAATTAACAAACAGTAACAGTTTGGGAAATTCCAAATGCAGAAAACACAGAACTGATGCAGGTGAGAAACGTCTGTCTTGATGTTTTTGTTCACTTCTTTGTTGTACCTAAAATATAAATTTTCTTATTTAAAGATTGAAAAAGAATAAAATAACCATAGTTCTAAAGTAAATCAAACCATAACATTTGTAATTAAACCCCCCTAATTTAAATATGAATTATTATTAATTCAAGAGGTGTTAATGTCAATCAAATGGGTCATAAAACCCAGCTCCTGCAATACGGCTAGATAGAAGTCAGTTGATTAAAACAAGTACAAATCAAGAAAAGAAGAAACTACTAGCAGAACTAGGAACTGAAAGTAAATATTTGAAAGCATAATTTTGCAAATTCGGTGGTATGGTTACTATCTTACCAATCAGGCAGAACCCTTCAAATGCTATACTTGGTTCTATAGACTATTTAGGAAATTACCAATCTTTAAATCATTCCATTTCACACCATAAAGCCATTCTTTGTTTCCCCCATTGTACTCACTGATTGCCTGGTTTGGTTGATTTTATGGCCTCTAGGTGAAAATGCAGGCTCCCCTGCTCTGCTCCTCTCTGCTCTCTGCTGTACCTATGCTCAGTGGCCATACTTAGGGAGGGCCTCTATTTGTTTCCCTGGTGTTCCTGGATGGCAGGGGCCTCTTCACACATATCTTCAGCATCTTCCACCACATCCGGTTCAGTATTTGTATTAGTCTGCTCTCAGGATGCTAATAAAGATATACCCAAGACTGGGTAATTTATAAAGGAAAGAGGTTTAATTGACTCATAGTTTCACAGCGGTGGGGAGGCCTCACAATCACGGTGGAAGTGAAGGAGGAGCAGTCACATCTCACATGGCAGCAGGCAAGAGAGCATGTGCAAGGGAACTGCCCTTCATAAAACCATAAGATCTTGTGAGACTTATTCACTATCAAGAGAACAGCATGGGAAAGAATCCATGCCCGTAATTCAATTCCTTCCCCCCTGGTTCCTCCTATGACATGTGGGAATTATGGGAGCTACAATTCAAGATGAGATTTGGGTGGGGACACAGTCAAACCATATCAGTATTCAACTCCCAGGGCAGGCTCAATCAAGAAACAACAGTGTTCTGCTGGGGCTGAGGGCACTTATGGAGAAATGACTCCTACCCACAGTTAAGGGGGACAGCCAACCCCTCTGCCCACCTGGCCTGCACTAGGGTTGAGTGGCTGTCATAGCCATGGGACTACATGGCCACAGTGGTGCAAGGTAAGGGATAAGGGTAATTCTCTTGGCTCATGTGACTACAGAGACTTTTAAAAGTCCAGTTTATTTGTTAATCTTTCTTCTCTCAAAACACCCAGGAAATGGGAGGAATTAAGATTTTTCTTTTCTTTTGAGACGGAGTTTCACTCTTGTTGCCCAGGTTATAGTGCAAGGGTGTGATCTCTGCTCACTGCAACCTCTGCCTCCTGGGTTCAAGCAATTCTCCTGCCTCAGCCTCCCAAGTAGCTGGGATTAGAGGCATATGCCACTACACCCAGCTAATTTTGTATTTTTAGTAGAAGTAGGGTTTCACCATGTTAGTCAGGCTGCTCTCAAACTCTTGACCTCAAGTGATCCGCCCGCCTCAGCCTCCCAAAGTGTTGGGATTAGAGCCACTGCACCCGGCCAGAATTAAGATTCTTGAAATAGGATTTGCACCAATGGTCATCAGAGACCACCTACCATCCATCTCATTATGTACATCACTTATTGCAGCCACAGAAACCACAAACTGCAGGAAACTTGTGGAGTGTTCCAGGGAGGGAGTTAGGGAAAACTACACATAAGGCTTGAGAGCTAGAGTTACTCAAAGGACATCTTGGCAGAAAAATGGGCAGAATCTGGAAGCAGGCTGCTGCTGGAGCTGTCGCTGGTCTTGTTTTAAGAAAACTTAAGTCTATACAGAGTTATTTGTAGGTGAGCCTGTCTGTGGTCTTATCACAGAACACTGGGTCAGGATATACAGGTGTTAAGGAGCTTGAGCTCAGATTGTCTGTAATTGGTTTTATGGATCTATTTTCAAACTAACAGTGCTATTTTGAAAGGTTGCAGTTTCTGTTTCAATTTCCAGCTCTCCCTTCACAGTCAAACTTTCAGCAGTAGGGCTATTTTTCACTTCGTCACATCAGATTTTTGTTTCTCACTATAAATTTGAGTTGCTAATAGGTCACAGTACCCTCTCAGAGAGGACTGCCACAAAGTGCTTCTAAATTCGCACTCCCCCGTGAATCTATATCTCCCTGTGGCCCTAGTTTGATCTGTCCACGTTGGAAACGCCAAGGGTACCCGGTCAGGTCAGTTGTTCTTCAGGCAGGATCTGGGATTGTTTTTGTGAGCACAGGGAGGTGTTGCTGGCAATGATTCAAAAGACTTCCCGAACAACTCCAACCTCAAAATGCGTACCATCATTCTGAGTACCTTATAGAAGAATTCTATTTCTGTGTTGACCACCAACCCTGCGTCTCTATTATATTGATTTGTAGAAAAATATATGATTTGATTTATCCTGAGTATTCAACATTCTGCCTTAAGTATAGAGGTGATTAAAATGTGATCCTAGAGATTGAAACCAAAATTATGACTTAGGAACATAGGTTATACACATATATATATGTGTGTGTGTGTGTGTGTGTGTGTGTGTGTATGTATATATATGTGTATATATCAGGTATATATATATCTCTCTCTCATATATATATATATCTCAGGTATGTATATATATCTCAGATATATATATATATCTCAGATATATATATATATCTCAGATATATATATCTGAGATATGTATATATGCATATCTGAGAGAGATATATATATATGAGATATATATATGAGATATATATATGCCAAATCAGAATCTAGTATCACATTTTCTAAACTCCTAACTTGTTATACACAGATTGGCCTTACCTCTATTAGTCAGACAAATTAATATAAATTTACCTATCAATTAAACTCATCTGATTGATAGTTCATATCCTGGTTAGAAAGATATATAAAATCCAGATTCTGCTGATATGGTAATATAGGTTGGCAACACAGACATTATCATCTTTCTTAAAATCTTACCTCCGCAAAATAAACAGACAGAGAAAGCAGCTCTCCAGGAGCGCTTCCCCCCTTTGGGAAGCAAATTCACAATGCTTTGCCAGTTCTTCAAATGTTACCCCTCAAAGAAAACCAGCTCTGCAGCTGCCTCCCTTTTAGAATCAATACCCCAGTTATTCCAGGGACATATTTTTAAGGCACATTTATTTTATTGATTGTCTCAACTCCTCATAACTGAGAACCATCTGTGGAAGTCTTGCTAACAATGGTTTGCTGAGTCTGTAACACAATAGGACTTTTAAGGATGGTTAGTATGCAGAAACGATGCCAGACCAAGGAAAAATGAAGAGATTTAAAGTCAAACGGACCCTATCAGTCGTCTATTGATAAACTGATTCTACTCCGAGAAAGTGCAGTATTGTCCAGATCTGCCCAAGTCTCTCTTAGCATTTAATGAGGGTTTAGTTTGTTCTGGTTAGCCACCATGGCTTAGTGCCTGAGTTGAAAGAAGATTTTGAGTCCTTGTCTACCATCAGAGTCAGGGGAGTGTAAAACCTTCAGAAAACAGAGACTTCCTTCCTCTGGAAATACCACGTATGAGTAGCATGGGCTGCCATCAATTATCAAGACTTATGCAGAATTGATCTAAATAATCAAGCTATCTCTTGATTTTACACTTCACCAAGTGACTGGTATTGTCATATTTCAGAAAATTGAATTCAGCTTTATGAAACATATGTTTAAAAGCTGTACACTTTCAATAATTATGCTATAACATCCCTGTTTTTATGCAAAGCTAACTAGATATTGTCATATTAAAATAGCAAATCCAATTCATTTCTTATGAAACACATGTTTAAAAAAAATAAAAGGAACACTTTAATTATTTCAGGAGTGTTCAGGCCAGCTCGCCAGCCGACTGGATATCGCATTTGTTTAAAACTCAATCATGCAAAATGAAGACTCGATTTGAAAAATTTTAATAAAGATAACCAGCCTATCATGATATCATTTGAATGCTAATCGGCATTCCCATTCAGTGGAGGGAGAGCAGTGTCAACTTCGCTGGAGGCTCTTTATTCCGCAATAAAAACATTTACATTCTAATGATTTTATTAAAGTGCTGGAGCTGTCAGCAGCCCCAGATGACTCCCTGCCAACTCTATCAGTTATCAACTCATATTGCCTTTATCAAAACCACCCAGTGGTGGGCCCACCGCCACAATGAGATGTCTGCTGCTCACAGAGCTGGTATTTAATCATTTCTTCTCCAGTATTGTTCTGCTTACAGAGCATAAATAAGAGCTTCAAATAACCCCAGAGTGCTCCTGACAATGAAACAAAGTGCCGGCCCGATTTATCTTTCTCACATTCTTCAGGAGCCCTTCTCTCCTACACCCACCCCACCTTTTATTTTGTTGTTGTTGCCGGAACTTAATATTTTTTTTTATTCACTACCCCTATCATCATTCAACAGCTTTGAATTTCTTCTTCACCCTGAACATCAGGGCTCAGGAGAGAGCGTGGCAGAGAGGTGACCCCGTTGGTGGCGGGGAAGTGATAGGACGGGCCCCAGGGACCGCAGGAGTGGGAGCGCTGCCCCAGCTGAGCCAGGACGGGGACCTGGAGGGAGGGAGGGGGCTGCTGTCTTTGTCTCTGTCACACAGTACTGACCATCGGGTGGGAGAGAGGATGAGGAGATGAGCGGGATCCCGGGCTCTGTCTGCGTCCACTGCCTGCCACCGAAAAGGCCACCAAATGTGTGTGCTCACGGCAGAGCATCAGGCTTTTTTTCCTTTCCTTCTGCTGCTCTGGTTTAAATTGGTAGCATTCAATTTGGAAAATGAATCAGTAGGGAAAACATGTTTGGATTCATTGAAAAAATATCCTTCCTTCCCTGCCTTTTTACCTTTCCAGAATAAAAGCAAGAAACTGAAGAAAAGCAAGAAGACCTTTCTAGGAAAATGTGAAACTGGAAATCTCTATGACAGTCACACAGAACCATCCCCTTTCTTTGGCATAATTTGGAAACAAATTATTTCAGATTAGTGGAAGTTTGTCAATATTGTGTAGTATATTACCTTTTTTTTTCTTTTAACTTCTAGGAATTTTCATGGAAATTTTCCTAAATTTTATGACGTATTTCTCTTCTGCGAATCAGTTCTGAAGAGTGGGGTTCAGTGGGTTGCTCCCTGTGGCCCATTGCCTGGTATTTGGTGGGCACATGATGATATAAAATGGTAATGAAATGGCTGCTTGGATGTTGAATTTAATTTAACCTCACCCATTGGATTTCCTTGACGCATCCTCTTGAAATTGCCTTGGTGACGCCGCAATACGGAACAATCCAGAGGAGGTTTCTGCTGAGTTCCACGGGGACTTCTACTCCCAACCAGGTGGACTTACTCCTCCTAAGGAATTGCAATCTATTTGCTAACTGCTGAAAACCCCCTTAACAAAACTCTCTAGGACTGTGTAAAATTGAGCCAGAAGGTTACAGAGTATTCCTCCTCCAGAACCCTCTGCCTCAAGGCAATTGTGCTTCGACTCAGCAGAGGGGAGCCTTCTGTCTCCAGGACACCTGGAGTCCTGCTCCTCCTCACCATACCTGGACCAGCTGACTCTGCTCACCGCCTGGCTCTCACCTGTGCCTGGGCCTGACCCACGGTGTCTGAACACACCTGTTCTGTTTTCCAAGGGACTGACCTCTGCACCAGCTAGGAACCAGACTCAGCCAGCCGTCAACCATGCTCCTGCACATCCCAGTTCTCCTGGGCAGGTGGCCAGCTGGCATGTGACACCTGGGCCTAGGACAGGAGGTCTCAGCACTCTGTAGCCTCTGACCCTCCTGAACAGAGCAAAGAGCGATCCAAGGAGAACCATGTGGCTTTCAGTCTCCGTAGAAAGTACCGAGGGGACAGAAGAACCTACTCCTTCCATGATTGACCCAGGTATCCATGGTGAGGAGACAGAGCCATGTGCAGCTTCTCCACAGCAAATCTTCATTTCACTCCACCTAGGAAGCACAGCCTTGGGAGAAGTAAAACCTCCAAAATCGTAAGTTGGCCTACTGAAGTGGCAATTTTCTTTCCAATAAAACATTAGAAGTATTATTTAATCTTAAAATATTCACAAATATTTTACAGATACTTCTGCCATGCACTTAATCTCTACATTAAATGAGGGTTGCTGGAAAAGTAGGAAAAAACCAAAAGGATCCTGGGAGGCTGATTGCCAGCAGAGCCATTGAAAAGATTGAAACAATTGTTTTGTGCCTCATCTTTACCAAAATATTTAAAATAAATATGAACCTCTGTCAAGCTGTCAAGGAGAGGTGGACTGGTGGCTGAAAGGCCCTGCTCTACATATTAAGAGGCTATGGGATGTAGCGGTGCAGGTGGCAGCTCCTGAGGCCATGGAGGGGCCTCCGATGCCAGGCCGGCCCGTGGGCAATAGCCCTGCTCTGCTGACCTCGGCTCCCAAGCTCCTGAAAGCGAGAGGGTAAAACCCACAGGAGTATTGACACCCAGTCAGGTTAATAGGAAGGGATGTAAATGATCTTTGACAATACAAGTCCTTATAAAACTAAAACAAATTGGGTTTGCCAAAACAACCCCCGGCTTCCCCGCCGGCTCCCCGCCCCCAAACGCAGGGCTGGATCTGAAAGCCACCCACTCTGCATTCCAGGGCAGGCTTCCCTCAGATGGGCCTCGGTCCCAGCAGTTAACTTCAGCCTCTGCCAGTGGGGAACAGGGAGGGTGCCTGAGTGGCTGCACCGAGAGCCCCGAAGCCTCAGTTCACCTCCTCCCTGCGTCCCCGTTCATGCTGAACTCCACTTTCCCTCAAAAGTCTATTACAGACGGGGCGCAGTGGCTCACGCCTGTAATCCCAGCACTTTGGGAGGCCAAGGCGGGCAGATCACTTGAGGTTAGGAATTTGAGACCAGCCTGGCCAACATGGTAAAACCCTGTTTCTACTAAATACAAAAAAAAAAAAAAAAAATTTCCCAGGCATGGTGGTATGCACCTGTAATCTCAGCTACCTGGAAGACTGAGGCAGGAGAATCACCTGAACCCAGGAGGCGGAGGTTGCAATGAGCCAAGATCACCCCACTGCACTCCAGCCTGGTGACAGAGCGAGACGCTATCCCTCGCCCGAAAAAAAAAGCCCATTATGGAGACCAAGGGGACCCACTGTCGCCTGGGAGGGGCCCACGCAGGACCTGATGCCCTGGCTCTCCCCTGACATAGGGTGTCACCTCGAATGGTTTAGGGTTCCTGCTTCTGGGGACCTCTCACAGCCCTGTGCTGTGGGGTTCAAGGCCAGCCTGGAGGCAGAGCGCAGGGTGAAGGGAACGCTACTCTCCCCCAAGGTGCTGTACTGACATCTCACCTTCACACTCTGGTTCTGAGTTATCTGGAGGAGATCCGTTTCTTTTTTCTGGCACAGATTTCCTGTGGACAAGACAGAAGGAAGCCCTCCAAATCTGGGAGACACTAGGGTGCCGTATACCTCTGTGCAGACAGGGAAAGCCACAGCTTGCCACAGGGTTGACGGGAAATGTGAGAGCGTTCAGGGACCAACACGGACTGCGATCAGCTACACAGGGGACCGTGATTACAAGGTCCAACTTCACCAAGTGAAGATAACCATGGGGCAACCCACAGCCACATACAGGGAGCATCTGCAGTTGCCCAAGCCAACCCTCCAGAGTTTGAGAAACAGCTCATTGTTTTCTGGCCTCCTAGTATTTTGGCATCTTTCCTCAAATGTCACTTCTTTTCTTTGTGGCTCAACTTTGAGTCTGGCCTTTCATTACTTATAAAAAACACATATTGCTTTGCATATTGTCAAGACAAAAGATAAATACCTATCCCTAGTCAATCTGTTATTTATACAGTTCCTTCAAGAAGTCAGATATCAGATCACACTGAAAACAGATTAGCAAACTTGTGCTGAGAGAGTATTTGAATATTATAGTATTATGCATTTATATATCCTTTTTTCAAAGTTTTAAGAAATGTACAGGCTAAGACTATTCTTCTTAGACTGCCTAGAGCTGTGGGAGGGAAAATGTAGCATGGGGTGGTTCAGACTTCAGACGATTTTGAAACAAGGGCCCGTGATGACTTCGCAATGGACTTAAATGTATACCACAATAACTAATTATTTTTTCAAAGAAATTTATCTGGTCATTAAAAAATTAAAGTCAAAGCAATTCTGTGTTGATACAATCATATTAGATACATGCATATTAGAGTAAAGAGCTCCATAGAAACATATGATTCAAACAGTACAGAAAAGTAATGCTGGCTCTGCAGTCTTCTTTGTATAACTCTATCCCTATCTATCTATCTATGTATCTATCTATCTATCTATCTATCTATCTATCTATCTACCTACCTATGTATCATCTGTCTACCTATCTACATACCATGCATCAACCTCTCTGTCTCTATTATCTCTCTCTTTTTCTATCTATCTATCTATCTATCTATCTTTCTACCTACCTGTATATCCATGCATCCATCTCTCTGTCTCCTATCTATCTATGTATCTATGTATCTATGTATCTATCTATCTATCTATCTATCTATCTATCTATCTATCTATCTATCATGTATCTACCTACCTGTGTATATCCATGCATCCATCTCTGTCTCTATTATCCACCTCCCTCTCTCTCTCTCTCTACTTACCTACCTACCTATGTATCATCTATCGACCTACCTGTATATCCATGCATCCATCTCCCTGTCTCTTATCTATCTATCTACCTACCTGATATATCCATGCATCCATCTCTGTCTCTATTATCCATCTCTCTCTCTCTTTCTCTCTCTACTTACCTACCTAACTATGTATCATCTATTGACCTACCTGTATATCCATGCATCCATCTCTCTGTCTCTATTATCTATCAATCTATCTATCATCTACCTATCTACCTCTATATCCATTCATCCCTTATCTACTACCTATCTGTCCATCATTTCTGCCTATCATCTATTTATCTATCATCTACTTTATTTATCATGTATTTTTTAACTGAGTGACACAAAACCACCTATTGCACCTCTCTATGTGCTGAACATAAAACACAAATTCTCTTTGAAGACCATGGTGTAGCCTGGGATTGCAGATGAGAAGGTTGAAGTCAGGAACCTCATGAAATTCAAGCGTAGATTCCATTTACCCACTGAGGGGGAGAATTTGAATAACATTGACTAATACCTTAGTCTCCGATGATATCTGACTAACATGAATAGTAATTATTCAAAAATCAAAGAATTATTATCAGGTTTAACAGCTACTAGATAATCACACCTTTTTTCCAGGCCAGACTTCAGACCCCGTGGAAGGTGTATGTGGAGTTCAGGAGATGGAGAGGGAGGAGTGTGTGTGAAAGTGATGGGAGGTGCCTGAACTGCAAGGAGGGCAAAGTTGAGGCATCTTCCTTTACAGTCCCCATTCTGTAGAAAAAGCCAACAGCACAGAGAGGCCCCAGTCTCAGGAGTGCTCTGAGCATCAGCCAGACACTAGCTCCTAAAGCCCTCTTGCGTTCCTCTGATGTTAATAAGCCATAACTCTCTTTTAGGATGAAGAATCTGAGGGGTGAAGAGAAAAATCCCTGCAGCTAGCCGGTACCTGGCAGATCCGGAGTCACCAGAGGCCCTGGGACCGGGGCCTGCCCTCCTGCCCTGCTCTGCAAAGGACTGGTGGCTCTGGGGAGGGAAGCCACTTGCTCACCTCACTGGTCCCCTGCAGACCCCGAAGCAGCCACAGCCACCTTCATCCTTGCCTCATTCTGAGGTTTGTCTTTCAGTTCTCTAACACACTGATGCGCTTTACTGCTGGAGCTGCCTACAATATGACAAAAAGCCCTGTGCAGTTTTCCTTCAAATGTTTTGCGTTTAATGTGATACACACATTGAAGGAATTGTATGAATGATGTTTATTAATGTCATTCTGTATGCTTTCAACAGTTATTTAACGAGCAACTATAATGTGCCAAGAACAGATTTAGGTGATGAAGACATGGCAGAAGAGAGAACAGATGACATTTCCCCCCTTCTTGCAACTTGTAGTCTCATTGTGGGCAGAGAAGGTCTTCAAACAAATACGTGTGTGTGTGTGTGTAAGTTAATGTGATGAGATATACTGTACTATAGTATATATAAAGTGTCACATTAATACAACATTATAGCTAATCTAATCTAAAGTATTATAGTGCCTGGTAGAAGTAAGTAGTGTGAATAAAATCAGAGCAACATGACAGAGATATCCACTCTAAGTCCAGAGACAAAGAAGGTAAGAGGTTTCTGATGATAATCTCCATGGAAAAAGTGAGAAATATTTGAGATAGATCTTTAGCAATTCTAAGTAATAGGCCTTGTACCAATCAGCGTTCTCCAGAGAAATAAAACCTCTAGGAAATGCTTATATGTATACATAGGTATGGATATAAATATAGATCTTTTTTCTCTTTCTTAAGGCAGAGAGACAGAGAGAGAGACTTAAAAAAAATTGGCTCATACAATTTGTAGGACCTGGCAAGTCTAAAATCTGTACAGCGGGTCAGCAAGGTGGAAACTCAGGTAGGGTTTCTATATTACAGCCTTGAAGAAAAATTCCTTCCTCTCCAGGGAAAATCAATTCTCCTTTTAAGGCCTTCAGCTGATTGGGTAAGGCCCACCCACATAATAAGAGTAACCTCCTTTCCTTCAAGTCCATTGATTGTAGATGTTAACCAGTCTTCAAAATACCTTCTGACTCCATATACACTAGTGTTTGATTAAATAACTCTTTACTATAGCCCAACCAGGTTGACACAAAATTTAAACATTTAATTATCGCAAACCCCTAACACAGAACCCAGCTACCCTGGGATTTCCAATAGGCCGATATACATTAGCCCATCACGATTGACAAGGATGGGTACAATATCCAGGTTCTCAGGTGTGTGCTGCAGTGCAAGTCCATGGCCAGAAGAGATGTGGGAAAGCATTTGAAGCAAATGGCCATTTTGTTCATAGAGTGAAAAAAAGGAATTAAAAGTTTTCCATGAGTGTGTAAAGAGGGGAGCGTTTGGGCCTACACCTAATCTACAATTTCTGTGTGTTGATGAAAATCTCCAAAATTCAGTAAGTTCTACTGTTGTTAGCCGTAATTCTAGAGACATCGGGGGTTTCATCCTGATTTGTGGATTCATACAACTATATTGGTAATTAGTATTCTCTAATAATCTTTCCATCTCTCACCATGACCTCGCATCTCTGATCAAAACACTCAAGAACAACGCATCCTGAAGACTTTATTTAAAAACAGTCTCCGAGTCCCAGAATAGGCTGGCCATACTTTCAGTCCCACCCTTCCCTGGAGGGATAACTCTATCTAAGGTGTCAAGTGTCAAGTGATGTCACCTTGGGGAGATTTGCAAACTTGCATCAATGACTTAGGGGAATATGGGAAACTCTGTTCCTCTAGCTTGGGCCTGGAGTTTGGGGACTTATGGATCAAATGTAATTTGGGCTCTAAAGGCCAATCTGGAAACACAGAGTGGAGACGAACTAACAGCACTAAATGAAAATTTACAAGTGGAGCGAGCTACACTGTTCCTATATTTTAATTTCACTGAATATTTGGCATTTACCAGTCATGTGCAGAGCATGTGTTTGCCCCTGGAAATGGGATCGTGAGCAAGACCGCAAGGCCCCAGCTATCTTGCAGGTAATATCATAGGTGGGGATAGAGACAGTAAACTGTTGAACAAAAATTGTTTCATTACAATGCTCATGTGTTGCCAACAAGAAACCCATGCAGTCCGTGGACAACGCTGCAAAGATAAAATACTTTAGGATGTGAACATTGAGTTGCCTCCAACTCAATGCTCCAACTCCTTGCTCCCTCAGCAAGGAGAAAGGTGGGGGTGGGGACTGTGCTCAGCATGAGAGAGCAAAGAGGTGTTTGTGCAAACAGACAAACAAACCAGCAAAACCCAGCAACACCTCTGATGGCTGCATTTGGACACATGCCACCCCAGGTTAAGACATGTCACATAGCATTTTCCCTTTGTTCTCGGGGCTTTAAGTAAAGTGGGTTTGGATTCATATTCATTCGAGACGTCGCCATTGAAATTAGATGTGGGCAGATCAGAACACAGTCAGGGAGGATGGACTTGGGATGTGTGTCAAGAGGACAATTGCTAAAACACTGAGAGAGCCTTTATCCTGAAGGGTGGGAGGCAGCACGGTGCTCTAAATAGGATGCAGGTGTTTCCATGACAGCACTTCGCGGTGGAGGGATGGAGACTTCTGTAGACTCAGGCTGCAAGGCACGTCACCTCTAACACCAGGCCACAGAGAGTCTCCTGAAGAGGGGGCCAGTGGGACGACACCACTCTGCACGGAGCCAGGTCTCCTTTCCGTGACATCATCCTAGGCCGAGAGACGAGACGACAAGACTGTTTCACCCCGAGCCTTTGGTCTATGTAAACACCCAAAACAGACAGAAAGAGGGATTGTTGCCATCTGATGCAATTTTAAGTTTCTGCCACTCCAGGGGGAAGAAGATTCAAGATAGATATTAGAGGGACTACAAACTTCTGGAGAAAGTTCAATTCTGTCATGGACTTGAGCCCATGGATTGCCGTTTGTCCCTGCTATACAGACCAGCTACACGGACCAACACATGCACGTTAGTGTTGGAGATTCCTTTAGGGATTGGGTGCTTGAAGAGGAGCTTCAGCCCTGTTGGAGCTTTGGTAAGACCACGCCATCTAAGGTCAAATGGAGGGAGTAGTTGGTCCCCAGAAATCCCCCAAGCAGCTCTTTGATCATGAGCCTGTCCCCCTGGAGAGGGGAAAGGTGCCACCTGGGCTCAAGATTCAGGCTCATTTTCTCACTAGTGATTCCCACCTCTTCCCTCTCTCCTCCCCATCCCTCTCCTGCTCCAAGAGTGACCGACCTGACCTTTATCTGAGTGTCTTACCCCCTCCTCACCCAAGGCAGCATTCTCAACGCTCTGTGCAGTTTTCTGACTCTTTGGACTTAGAGCTGCTGCTGGAAACTTCTTGTAGGGAAACAGAAGGAGTGAAAGTGACCTCCTGAAAGTTTGACTGGGCTTGCAACCCTCTTCCCAGCTTGCTTTCCAATGCACAGATTATTTATTCTTCTAATTTGTAATGTTACTGGCAACATGTTGCCTTTGACCTTTCAAGTAAACGTCACCAAAAACCAACCCTATTTCTAATCAGCCACTGGTGAAGGCATTCGCTTCCTGCTTTCTCCCCACAAGGCTTTGAGATTCTGTGGGATCTGTCCTCTCACTTCATGGTGGACAAGCCCACCCAACCCTTGGTCCATCCCTGTTGGCAAACAGAGACCTGCAGGGGCTCCGCACAAACGGAGCCTTTCGGACACAGAAGCTGCCACTCGGGCCCATTCCTCCCTACCTGCTATTCAAATGAAGACATTGGTTTAGAGGAACACGTTTTTATAATGTGAAGTAAATGTCAAAATGAAAAAAAAAAAGTCTTGTGCACATGAATAATAGAGAGGAAGCTTCAAAACCAGCATAAATCATTATTTTGGCAGGTAATTTTTTATATCTTTCTGTGGAATCTTTTTTCTATTGATAAATTTATCAGTATAAAATATAGACTATTTTGATGAAATGAATACATATGAATTTAAAACAAGGTACAATTATGGAACCACAGCATTACACAAGCAATTCCAGGAGTGAGTTTAAGATGGCATCCCTTCTTTCGATTTATAGGAGTTTATTACTTTTGCAAAAAAAAATTACTTTAGGGCTTATATACTCTGAATATCTTAAGCTGGATGGTAATTTCATGTGGACAAAAAAGAAACCAGTTGCAGTGTTTTGAAGCACAGACTGATGTTTCTAGGCTTGCAAATCAGCAACAAAAATGAGCATGTTCCTCATGCATGGAGCAAAACATGAAACCCCAGGGAGCGGGCCCGTGGGGAGGAGGTACCTGCCCTTTTTCTTCTTATCCCCCCTATTTCTAAAAACGCCTTCTCGTGGACTCCTGTCGGTGAAGAAATTTTGAAATTCCCTGACTCGAAAATCACAGCAACTATGTGGTCGTTCTGATTTTCGTCATACATTATTGTGCCCAGTGCTGTGTGTTAGCATGTGAGCCCGTGCATGCATGAGCATGGTATGTGTGCAGGTGCATGTGTGCAGGGGTCTGTGCATGTGTTCATGTGTGTACCCATGTGTAATGTGTGTGCACGGAAGCCCATGTGTGCATGTGCAGTGTGTGTGCAGGGGTTGTGCATGTGATCATGTGGGTACCCATGTGTAATGCGTGTGCACGGAAGCCCATGTGTGCATGTGCAGTGTGTGTGCAGGGGTTGTGCATGTGATCATGTGTGTACACATGTGTAATGTGTGTGCATGGAAGCCCATGTGTGCATGTGCAGTGTGTGTGCAGGGGTTGTGCATGTGATCATGCGTGTACACATGTGTAATGTGTGTGCACGGAAGCCCATGTGTGCATGTGCAGTGTGCGTGCAGGTGTTTGTGCATGTGATCATGCGTGTGCACATGTGTAATGTGTGTGCATGGAAGCCCATGTGTGCATGTGCAGTGTGTGTGCAGGGGTTTGTGCATGTGATCATGCATGTGCACATGTGTAATGTGTGTGCATGGAAGACCTTGTGTGCATGTGCAGTGTGCGTGCAGGGGTTTGTGCATGTGATCATGCGTGTGCACATGTGTAATGTGTGTGCATGGAAGCCCATGTGTGCATGTGCAGTGTGTGTGCAGGGGTTTGTGCATGTGATCATGCATGTGCACATGTGTAATGTGTGTGCATGGAAGACCTTGTGTGCATGTGCATGTTCTGTGGACAGGAGTTTGTGCATGTAAGTACACACATGTGTGGTGCATGCATGTGAGCTCATGTGTGCACATGTATGGCTTGTACCAGTGCACACATGTGGATGGGTGTACACACACATGTGTGCCCATACGTGTATCCATGTGCATGCCTGTGGTGTGTACTTATGTGCATGTTTGTGTCTTGCCTCCACCTTAGCTGTGCTCCACTACAGAGCTGTGCTTCTCTACAGAGCTCCCAGAGAAATCTTTCTAGAAAGCAAATCTAATCATGTCAAACCCCATTAGGACAGCTCCAGTGACCCCATCACTGCCAGCATGAAGTCCTCACTCCTTGTCACAGCAAACAGACCCACTGTGCATCCATTGCTCTGTGAGCAGCAGCCACCACTCTTGACTGCAATGAAGTGAGAGTTGACTGACTATGGGCTGGGCGTTTCAGCTCTTTGACCTCATGACGCCATGTGTTTTCTCAAAGATTACAGAAGCACTGTGCTTCTCAATTCTGTATCCAGAGCTCAGCTGTGGCAAATGGCCTTGTTTCACCAACTTTACCATATTGTTTCTGGCTGTACAGGCACGGCCCTATTCCAGAATCATCCTTCCACCGGCTGCTCCGGGCAAGAGTTCTTCAGCCATGCTAGTGCCGCATGGTCCCCACGTGGGCTCCAGCACAGAAGCCGTCCTGCAGAAAGCACATTACGTTGCATCAGACCCTATTCCATTATTGATTGGGTGGTAATCATGCATTGGTAACATGTTTTATTTCCGTTCTGTGTCCCAACTGACATATGGCTGGCAATTAATAAATAATGGGATGAATCACTATGAAATGAAATTTGAAGTACTAAATTAAAATCAAAGTGTTCGGTGACTAAATCAAGTACCAGGTAAGGGAGAGTTCAATAATACTGAAGCACAAAGCCCACCTTCTGGGCTGGTGTCCAGAATGAGTGGAGCTGCTGTCGTCTCTGTGAGTGACCCATTCTGACATTTTTTCCAGAAGCAGATCCATATAAACTGTGGCTCAGTTATGTGGTTCAGGGAAGCCTCTGATTCCCCCAGCCTCAGTATTGTCATCTGCACAACATGCATAATGACATCACCTGGCACATAGGGCTGTTATGAGCATTCAGCAATTGACAGCATAAGTTCCTGGAGCAGGGACTGGCTCAGAATGAGCCCTCAGAAGGGGCTCTTACTTTAGGATCTCTCAGCCTACACCTATGGGAGGAGTTTAGAAATGTGATTCTCTAAAGGCACAAGGAGGTTAAACATGAAATACCAGGAATGAGAGCAACTGTGTAGAGTCTTGGAAGGGAATGGAGCTGGAGGTCAGTGCCGTGCACAGGATGGTCAGGCAGCAGAATTCGGGAATCTCACCACTTCCATCCTGTTTTTATTTGTCTTCTTTAACTTTCGCCTACCTCACTTCTGTATAATGAGGATACATGTATTCCTGACTAATCTGAGATGTCATCATTAGGCCTCGATAAGCTTCTAACTTTTATTTAAAATATTTGGTATTTAGGGCTTAAAACTGTTTCTGTGTGTATGATAGACTCGGAGAACAGAAAACGGATGGTTAATTCAATTAAAGCCTAACACAACGTGGACCCCCAAACAAGCCTGCATGGACCCTTCCCCCAGCTGTACTCCCTGGCGCTCTCAGAAGGCTGTGATGAGCTGACATAAATGCATGGGAAGCAAAGTGGTGGGGGCCACCAGCACCGGGGAAGGGAGAAAGGGCAAAACGTCTCCCTAGGATGATTTACAGCTTGAGGACCCGGGCTGCACTGCAGTAATAGATGGGGCCCCGTGGTAGAAAATGCCAAGCCCGGAATGGGCAGGTCATGCAGCTCAAAGTCAGAACAATAGATGGCTAATTCATTTAACAGATCGGACACCTAGGGACCACAAATGACATCTTAAAAGACCGAGAAATGCCCGGTGGGTCCAGTGGGAAAACTCGGGGCTGCAGGAGAAAGCAGCCTGCTCTTCGTGGCTCAGGAGACTGATTTGCATTCGTGGGAAGACAGGCAAGAACAAATTAGCTAATGGAAGAGGGGGAAGCAGAGCCAGTGGAATTCACTATAGTGTGAAAGATTCTTGATCCACAGTGTTGCATTGACTACCAATACGTAGATCCATGCCACCATAACCCTCCATGGTTTTCAGCAAAATTTCTGGTGACCCCTACAATATAAGCTACATTAAAATGGACACAAAGCATTTCTTTAGGTATTTTTTCAGCCACTCAGCCACTGTTGTCTGGTGTCTAGAGCCCCCACTCTCATGACTAAAAGCAGTAAACTGATGGTGATATTCATGGTCAGTAGGTTTGACTTTGTAAAAACTTTGAAATGTCTGGAAAGTTGAGATGTTCCTGATTTATTAATTCTCTCCCTCATCATTTACCATCTTTATAAGTCTTTTTTGTTTGTTTGTTTTTTAATTTGCTGCCACCTATTTTTTGGAAGAGATTCAACATGCCTGCCGCAAGAATGATTCATTTCAGCAACATTTTACACACTAAACAACGGATTAGCAGTGTAGTATTTGTCACCTTTGGTAGTGTGTTATTTCATGACAACCTCTCCCATCAGAATTTCCAGCCTCCACTCTCTGACCACAATGTTTTGTCCTCCAGCAGAGTCCACTAGTTGTGCCATGGTTGACTTGACTGCTTTGAAGATGGCCACTGTTTAGACCTAGTATTCTCTCTCCATCAGCCTCTTCCTCCCCTCATTTTCATCCTTTACAATGTGGAGTCTAAGGCACAGTGACCAAAGCATGCTCTTGCAACTCTCTCTTTCTTGGTGGTCCTCCTTTGGCAACCACAACCTTAATAGAACCCACTGCTCTGCTCTGTGGTGACATTTGTCTTCCTGAGCCTGGCGGAGTGCGGTGAGACAGGCCCTCACATGCCTAAGTAGGTTGCTGCCCTGGGAATCAATCTCAAGTGTCACCTGCACTTCCTCCCTTTCTGGCGTCCCCTCCCCGTCCATAGCATCACTCTCCTGGCCACAGTTGCTAGATCATTTCCACCAGCAATCCAAGGTGCTCAAGTAGCTCCCATCTTAACACAGAACAAATCACCAAAGAGCCTCGGCAACTGCTTCTGTGCTTCTGCCCCTGCCTGTCCTGGGTGAGCTCCTGCCATGTTCCTCGCTCCTTTCATGGACACTTCATCTCAGCCCCACCTGTCGGGCTCTGTGGTTTCGGTGGATCTGCACTATAAGAGTCTCCAAGTCCATTCATGTTTCCCAGCTTCGGAGAGTGAGCTCCAGGCTTCCCATTTCATCCAGGTTCATAGAGGTGTGCACATTGTTGCTCAGCGCTTCCACCTTGAGCCCCTCTGGTGCTTGGGTTTCCAAGACAACACCTGGATGCTCCAGAATCGAGCTCCTCCTCCCTTCCCGGAACTCTGAATCCCCAAGCATCTCCCAAATCAATCCTGGGCCCAGGAATCCCAGACAAATGCAATTTTTAATCTCACAGGACAAACCATAAACACTGAGGTGTTCATAGTACTTACTTCTTTAAAGGCTATTGTGAGATGTACCTCAGATATCTCCAATTTTTTAAATGAGTTTCTTGTTTCTCTGGAAAAAAGCCTTTTCCCACATATCCTTAAAAAAGTTGCCAAATACAACTTAGTAAAAGGAAGGCAGTCTTGGTTAAGAAAATGTGCGTTAAAGCATACTATAAGTGAGAAGTGTCATCATTATTGTTGAATTTAGCAGTTTAGAGGTAACTTTCTACTCCAGAGAGAAGACCCAAGATGATACAACCACCATCAGAGAAATTCCTGACTTCAGGATTCACCCCACCCTGGCATCAGAGCAGTTGTGAAATGGTATTCTCATTTTGAGATAAGTATTCCTTTCAGTACCTACACTGGATAATTAAGAAGCTTCCCCATATAATAAACAAAAACAAACGAAACATACTTCTCTCTCTTTTTTTGAGAGGAAGTCTGCCTCTGTTGCCCAGGCTGGAGTGCAATGGCATGATCTCAGCTCACTGCAACTTCCACCTCCTGGACTCAAGCAAGTCTCCTGCCTCAGCCTCCTGAGTAGCTGGGATTACAGACGAACACCACCACCCCCGGCTAATTTTTTGTATTTTTAGTAGAGACGAGATTTCACCATGTTGGCCAGGATCATCTCGAACTCCTAACCTCAGGTGATCCACCTGCCTCAGCCTCCCAAAATGCTGGGATTATAAGAGTGAGCCACTGTGCCTGGCCTAAGTGAAACATATGTCTTAAGTCATTTTAAACATTTTCGTAGCTAGATAAATCTTCATTTTTGAAATCACTCTCGTTAAATTTTGGCAATGGTAGTTCTCAACCTAAGGATGATTCTTAGTTTCAGGGGTAACAGTGTTAGAGAACACTGAGGGTCCATCAGTGCCCCTTCTGGTTGCTGTGAGTCCTTGGGGAGGACAGGCTACTCTCCACACTTCCTCTATGCCACCAGGGCAACCTAGAGCAGGGCTATGTCACTGTGCCAGTCAGTGCCTGATGATGGCTGAGTGGAGTAGACAAGCCCCTCCTTTCTCTCTGAGGGCTCCCAGAGACTCAGCTCCGATGGTTCCATCAGACCAGGGTGTGAGCTCTCATCTCAAGTCAGCTCTTGATTCAATATCACAGTGCTTATTCCAATTATTTAGACAATGAAAGATTCATATTAGAGTAAACAAGTGTGAATACACATGTCTTAATTCTTAAGAAATGAAAGCTAAGCAGATGGTTTATCAAGAGATTCAGTAATATTTTTAAAAGATATTTTATCTGTAGAACTCTGTTTGAAAATCATATTTTCAATGAAGACTAAGCTCAGTTTTACTTAAGTTATTATGATTAAAATTGTGTCTCATTACATTTCCAAAAACAAGTGACTTTGACATAGAGATGTGGTAGCTTCAAGCATCACTGTAATTACCTTGGCTACAGTGAACAGAGGGGGCGTCTTCATGGGGAGACTGTTGTGGGGCCTGAGTCTTCTTTCTTCAGCCTCCCAGTGACTCCTCAGTTCCTACAAATGTGTTGACAGAACTCTCCAGCTAGAGGGACTCTGAGGGCTTGTGAAGTACAACTGTTTCACAATAAACAGAAGACCCCACAGCAACACACAGGCCTTGTGGTTGAACCTTCCAGCAAGGTGCAGCGCCACTAACAGGAGCATGACTGCTTAGCGTGCCTCCGTCCTGGGAAAGCCTTCACACAGGCAAAGAAGGTCAATCCATCAAGGAAAGGTGGGCTCCCACAGACTGCCCAGGCAAGAGTGATCAGAAGAAACCAGGGAAATCCTGTTACCACATGAAAATGTAGCTAAGCCACAACTGCATCTACTTTTACTCTGAAACTCTAGGACCAAGCAGGAGGCACACTCTGCCATCCTGGTTGCAATGCACGCTATTGTATGCATGCTCAGGTGTTATCTAAATACAACCTCATTAGAAGTGTGATGCCAGCACAACACTAGCATCCTCTCAAGGTGCTGCTTGTGGAGCTTGGAGATCTGAACCAGGAAGGCAATATTTTTGGTCTATTTTTGTGATCTATGAATATAACTGTGAAGACAATACAGCTCTCTTAATTTTTGTTACAAATGCTAACTTGTTGAAATAGTCATCCATGAATAATTCTTGGAGCTACTGCTTTTTCCTGCCCATTGAACTTGACCCCGCCATCCATAGGAAGCAGTATAAATTTTTAAAATTTCCTAGGAGTTGGACACTTTAATGAACTACTCACAGCAGTGTCCTGTCAGTGGCCAGTGTATCAGAGCAGGCGAGGGGAAATTTATCTCGCTGGCACAATATGTAGTGTTGCTTGTCACCAGGGCATGGACTAATTTAACCCTGCAGTTTCCCGAATTAACAAGGCTTGTCTTCAAACCTTGGGACATGGGGTGCTCTGTTCCGATATTATTTTATTGTCTGCCTCCCTGTCCTCCCTTGGGACGCACGTGATTTAATCCACCTGGAGCCTTGGTAACCAAGCTGTGCCCTCCCGACCTTTGTGACTGATGTTTCATATTTCATGCTGGAGCGGGTGTTTCCCTGCTCACATGACACCCCTCTGCCTACTGGCCAACCTACCCCCCTCTTTTTTTTTAAGAAGGAAGAATAAACCTTTGACAAGTGAACTCTTTGTCATGGAAGCTCTAACACAGTCCGTTCCAGGGGGCAGTCATTCAATCTGTCAGGCCCTAAATGTGGATAGATCATTGGCTGATGTTCGGGCCAAGCACTGGGACACTCAAAATTTCACCCACAGATACAACTATTCTACGGGAATAGGACATACTTCTTTAGGTGTTAAATCACCCTTGGTATAATCATTTTTCTGCCAATGCTGAGAATGAATGGAAATAAAATACTCAATCAGCATCCTGTAATTATGCCCTGGATTCCATGGAGGTTGGTACTTATCTCTCTAGGTGTATGGTGCTTTAAAATTTTGTTTTTTAAATGGAACAAAACCAAAGACTAGAAAGAAGCAAAAGAAATAAGAGGGGAGAAGAAGAATTTACATACTGAGCATTAGTCTAGAAGGCAGCCTGGGGTCACGTGGCCATTGCCTTGCTCTGCCGTCCTGCGTGTCTTATCAGATTCCACATCGAACTCCCCTCCCCCATCTGACGCTGCACAATGCTGCTGATAAAATGGAAGCAAATTCCTTCTATTAGTGACTGACAGCAATTTGAGTGAAATGAAGTTGTACTGTGATATTGTTATATATACAAGGTGCAAATAACCTAGTTTGAATAATCACAGGCTGTGTCCTTTTAAATGATTTTTCTCCCCATTTAAAGGAAAGCTTTTGATGTGATAATATTAATTCCCTCCGTGCTGGAAGGAAGAGGAAAAAAAACTCAGAGAAGCGGAAATTAAATGAGTAATGCAATGTCAGTCAATCTTTTAAGCCAAGGCCTTATTAACTGCTAATCATTTTGTCATTTTGTCGCTCAAAGTAATAAATTTGATAGGAAAGGACTGGAATGTCTTCTGTGTACTTTTATTAGCTTTAAACAGAAACAGTTGTGGAGATATTACATTATCAGGATGTGTGGCATTTAAGTGGCTTCTGTTCAGTGTATCACCATGTTTCTCCCTCACCAATGTCTGATTGCCATAATTTTGAATCGTCTGGCTGTCTTAAAATAAAAAATAAAAAAATTCCACCCAGACCTTGCCCAGAGTTTCATCCCTGGTATTTTATCAGTATGATATACCAGATGCTTGATGACACCCTGTGTGTCAGAGGCAGATGCTCTGGTCCTGATGGAGGTCGGGGACACGGAAACACGGCTCCCCAGGAATCTGCGCTGAAGGCTTATTTCTAACATCACTTTAAAAACCATTGACTTCGGACAATCTGAAGTGTATCAGCAGCCTTTTCTATGTGGAGGCCCATGACAGCGTGGCAGCTTTGTGGAAGGGATGTCAGATCGTTTTATCGCAGGAAGCTATCCAAGAGAGCATCAGGTGCTGTTTCCTCCTGACAGGTGAGTGACAAAGCATGTTGCTGGGTCCACACCCCCTCTGCACACAGTGTGCTGATAAACGTGTGTAGGTCAGTGTCCCTGGCTGATTCCATGCTGCTCAAGAACTTAGATCTCTCTGTCATCCCAAATTGGAAATGAGATTGCTAAGGCTCGGTTGCTGCTGATGTGGTTAGAATAGAATGGGTCCATAACAAACCTGTGGGCCTCATCCGAGGGCACGTGGTCAGCCAGGCACTTCCCTGGGGAAGGGGACACCAAGGAGCCGGATGAAGGTCCAAGGTTGAGCTGAAGGTGAAAGACCCCATCCTGACCGGGCCTGGCAGGGTGACCCACAGGAAACAAAGAGCTCATTACAAACCCACCCTCAACCCACACTTCTGGGACCGTGTGTGCAGTGGATTTCTGTTGTTTTCTGGAACCATGTGTGCAGTGGATTTCTGTCGTTTTCTAGGTGAGGCGGCACTCATGACCTGGCTGGAGTTTTATAAGTGGAAAAGCCATTGCTGGGCACATACATCCAGGGTCAGCCTGATCCTTGCCTGCAGCTGGTGGAGTTCATGAACTCTGGAGGGAAGGTGCCCAGGCAGGCTGAGGGCTGCAGGTGAGCAGTTACTACCTTGCTTCTTTCTCTCTTTTGCTTTTGTCCTGCAATCAGCCTCATCCTTGTCCCCACAAAACCAAAGGACTCTTTCTGCTTGCAAGACTGAGGAGTTTTCCATAGCTCATTGCACAATGAGTCTTCTATGAGAACTATTTCCTGAGGAAGTTCTAGTGGCTTTTGTGAAAGAAGCAAGTCTGGGTTTGATGTTTGAGTTGGCAAAATGTTACTAGTTTGTGATAAGAAGATGTGGGACATATTTGGAGATCTTTTTTTTTTCTCTCTCTCTCTAGAGAGTTTATTCAAAGGAGCAAAAATGTTCTTTAAATCTTTATATTCATAGTCTTTTCAAGGGTGAGTAGGTTTTGCCAATAGTGTTAAATAGCTTCAGCCTTCACTGGTCATGTTATAATCATTCAAAAAACATAAATGGATTTTCACTGGTGAAAAATGCTGAATGGCTACTCATGAAGACAATACACAGAAAATATCTCATGAAATGCTAAATAAAGTCAAGTCGCCACGCGTTCCGCTTTTTCCCAACAGATGTGGTGGAGGCCTTTCGCCATCTTCCCCTTGATTTCTTCAGTCGCTTGTTTAATAATCTTGCAGATGCAGCTGGCCCAGCTGTGACAGTGGGCAGGGCATAGCCATGAAGCCACTCTCCCTCCTGAAGCACAGACACTGCCTGTGGCGTTGGCTGGACACCTCCCCATCCTCTGTGGGGATTTCCTGGAAGAAGAAACAGATTATCTCGGAGTAGAAGATTCTCCTCCTGGTGTTGCTGACTTGGTG
This sequence comes from Homo sapiens, assembly GCF_000001405.40. Lineage (NCBI taxonomy): Eukaryota > Metazoa > Chordata > Mammalia > Primates > Hominidae > Homo > Homo sapiens. The sequence goes on along the minus strand of NC_000005.10, from coordinate 3,994,124 downwards.
GACAGAATGAAAGGAAAGGAACAGCAGACTGAACATCCAGTTCCTACTGGAGCACCGCGGTTTCCTGGCTCTGCTCCCGTCCTCTCCGCTGTCGCCTGCACCCTGACAGAGAAGCCCATAGTAGGCATCTGGCAAAGATGTACCAGGGGTCAAGCAGCAGAGACTGAAATACAGAATCCTCTTCTCTTCTACCCTTGGAGCCCTGGGGGTGCACTACTTTGCTTTCAGGCAGAGCCCACATAAACGTCCCAAAGGTGGCAAAGAAGAGCAGAGTTCTTTTAGAAGATTTGAAACAAAATAAAACTCTGACCACCTGGCTGTGCCTGGCTGCACAGCCCTAACCCTACCTGTGTGCTTCCTCAGACACTGTGAGGAAGGGGTGTGTCTAACTCTGTGAAAGGCTTGTGGCCCTGGAATGCCTGGCTGCACTCTGAGGAGTGAGTCCTTGAGGCCCAGTGACTTGTACACCTCCCTGTCCTCAGGTTGCACTTCTCATCGCATCCAGGACACCCAAATTCTGTGCTGCCCAGTATCCCACAGCCCAGCCCCACTCACTTTCTTTAATAAGGACCAGCTTTCTTCATAGTGGGGCAGGAGTGACATTTTTTCTGGAAATGTCTCTCACTGCACCCCCTCCTCGCCAATAGGCAGATAATTCACTGGTATTAAAAATATCTTCATTGATCTCATTCATAGCATGTGACTCCACCATGTATTTACATAATAAAAGCATTCAAGGCACACAAACTCTCTTTTCAGTGGCTTAGAAAACATTCAAAGCATAGAAATACATTTTTAAACATCAATAGGCACAAATATTCTCATAATTTATTTTTATGAATTGAAACTGAGGCAAAATACAGCAAAAGAGGACTCCTAACCAATTTACTATTTTACTGGGGAGATTTTGTGTATATGTGTGTGTGGTAGGCATGTTTATGTGCAAGTGTATGCTTTATCTGAGTTAACGTACTGTAAAAATATGATGTAGTGTTTTTGCAGATTTCTTTAAAACAATGATAAACCTACTGAATGCACAGGCCCTTTAAAACAACTGTGGTGGGAGCCAGTGCCTGGTGCAGCCTGTCTTCAGGGAGCTTGACCACGTCTTGTAACCTCAGTGTCGGCTTCTGCACCTGAAATTGGGGTGACAATCTTCAGTCTCCCCCACCAGGAGTTACAAAGAAAGAATTCAAAAGTGAAGGCCCAGACCATTGCACTCATGCCAGGCAGTGCTTTCATTTGCTGTCCACAGCGTGTGACCACACCTTCGGCACAGAGCTGGGTCGAAGGAGGACGTTGGGCTGGCAGCCACCAAGAGAGGTGGTTCTCAGGCTGGGGCTGCATATTAGTGCTTCACCCAGGGCAGTGGATGCAAGTGAGACCACCTCTAGTAACTGGGTACTAGAGAGGCTGGGTGGGGGTGTCCTGAGGGCGTGTCTGTGTCTCTGAGGGATGCATGTGACACTTAAAGAATACTCCTCTGGGCTGGGCATGGTGGCTCGTTCCTGGAATCCTAGCATTTTGGGAGGCCGAGGCAGGTGAATTGTCTGAGCTCAGGAGTTTGAGACCAGCCTGGGTAATACAGTGAAACCCCATCTCCACTAAAATACAAACAAATTAGCTGGGCATGGTGGCATGCACCTGCAGTCCCAGCAAATCAGGAGGCTGAGGCAGGAAAATTGATAGAATCCGGGAGGCGGAGGTTGCAGTGAGCTGAGATCATGCCACTGCACTCCAGCCTGGGTGACAGACCAAGGCTCCATCTCTAAAATAAAATAAAACAAAATAAAATAATACTCCTCTGGTCCCTCAGAAATGCTGACACTTTCCCAATAGTGGGCTTGCTCTGTTTCTGAGGACCCTGCCCAAAAATGTCACCTTCTTATGGACAGAAGGATGAAGGTACAAAATACGTACTATTGCACAGAAAACCAGGAGGGCCTTCGCTCTGTGGCTGCACCATGGCCTACCTCTGAAAGCAGAGTACACCAATCAATGTGCATCAAACTGTTTATAAAACAAAAAGCTGTGACTATCATGAACCAGTTCCATCACACCCTAAATAGGTTTTCAGATGGATGGTCATACGGGTGAAGTCATCCTGTCAATACAGCCATTTAACTTGAGTTCAATTTATTTATTTCTTCCATGAATGAGCAGTCAAGCTAGTTATATGGATTTAAATAAATAAATCTGATGCTGAGTCACTCTTGCATGTATTTATTTGTGTGTTGATTGATTGATTGATGGTGGGACTGTGGCAGCTATAATCCTAGTAAGGTTTCCTGCGGTGCAATAGTGTAGACAAATCACAAACCCCCAAACTTGAATGTCCTTCTCACTGACGACAAAACCATAGACAACTCATTCCAAGCAGGATAACATCAGGGCCAGGTTTTGGAAAACACACTCATTATTCCTTCCAGCAAAAGTAATCACTAACGGGATTGATCCCTGCCCCCGCCCCATCTATGAGAGAAATCGCAAGTCGCATGCAACCCCAGCTCTCCACACACCCCACTGCTGCCTCACTCCACAAACCCATTCTTGTCTAGAACCTGCAGCCAGTCTCCTTAGCAGCACTTATGTGACTCAAGTGGTCTGAAATAAATTATTATCCAATTAACCCATTCCAAATTGTAGTAGATATTTAATAAGAGAAATCATGAGAAAAATATCATCCAATGTAAACACAAACTATATGCACATCTTAATTATTGCAAGTTACAAAATGCATAAGGGAGATACATATTTTTCCTGTGACCACCATTATTCATTCTCAAATTATTTGCAAAACAGCAGTAGCAATTTGCATTTAAATGATATGTTTCTTATGAGGAGCTCAACATGCTGTGGATGTATTTACTCACACACAACCAGACACACACACACTCAAATTATAGCTATTAATACTGTTGTAATATAAGAGAAAATAGATTTTCTTTATGGAACATGCTGACAGCGATTATTACCATCATTCACATTTTAAATGGTGGGGTTCTTGGACCCTGAGAAATAAGATGATTTGCCTAAATCCACATTCCATTTCCCTGGTACAACTGGAAATGAAAATAGGACTCGGGTTTCACTGTTGGGAGCGTTAGTTGCTTTCAACTCTGGAAACACTCTGAGTTGAGGGAGTTTGGCTGTTTGATCCACACACCAGCAGACAAGCTGCCTCCCAATGGTTGTGGGTTTGAGAAAAACACACACCTATCTCTGTTCACATCACTCTCCCTGAATCTCTCAGTAACAGTAGAGCCCAGTTCCTTCTACAAGTACTGAAACCCTCGGCGGTTATTTGTTTTAAGGATCAATGAGCATTTATTTCTTCCACTAATTTTCCCTCTTTTGCAGTGCATACAAATACTGAATGTTGAAAGCCATGGAAATAAGCCTAATGTATCAAAAGCTGCCTCCTCTAGCTGACAATGTTTATCCATGAAGTGTCATTTCTAGTCCTGAAACCCAGGCATAAAGTTCAGGTGTTAATAGGGAGCTATTGTTCTTTTAAACTATTGAGACCCAAATACCACCTGCTCTTTGCCACCCCTTCCCTGGGCAGTCAGGGTGCTGCCCGTGGGTCTGATGACCAGATACCAGCTCCTTGGAGGCTCCAGTGCTAGTAAGGAAGAAACAGAAGCAACTGCTCAGGTGCACCTGCACTCGGCACCAGTCCGTCCTGAGAATGTCCCCACTAAGTCAGAGTATTTCATTAGCTTCTACCTTTGTTATGGGCTAGGTTAAGGGGAAAGAGGTGCTGTAACTGCACAGGGAGCTTTGAGATGTTGTGACCTTCAAGCTTCACGATTTATTGGCGTAATATTGCATAGGGAACTATCATGGAGACATAACATATTCATTAAACTCGTCATCCTGCCTCACTTCTGAGACTAACAGATCAAAATTTATATATTCACATTAGAATTTTGTTACTAGTATATTCAAATGTCATTTTGGAGAGAGTGTGATTTTCCATAATGGAAAGCAATGGTCTGATCAGGAGACTCGAGTTGACCAAACCATCTCAAACCCTCATTTTCAAACATCTAACCAATCCCTCCCACTGATACACTTCAGATAAGAGGGCATTGGAGCATGCATAAGGGGAAGTCTGCTGGCAATGACTTTAGATTGTGACTCAGAATTTTCACACATTTTCATATCGTTTAACAGGTTATAACAGCATGTTCATCTTCGTTGCATTGGGAGCAGCTAAGCTTCCTATGTGACTTTGATCTGAATCTCCAGAGAAGCAGAGCCCCACAGAGTGTAGGAGATTCCTTAGTATATGATGCATGCTAGATATGCGTATAAAAAGTGGATGTTCACCTGCAATCCCAGCACTTTGGGAGGCTGAGGCAGGTGGATCACAAAGTCAGGAGTTCGAGACCAGCCTGGCCAATATGGTGAAATTCCATCTCTATTAAAAATACAAAAAAATTAGCCAGGTGTGGTGGCGCATGGCTGTAATCCCAGATACTCAGGAAGCTGAGGCAGGAGAATTGCTTGAACTCGGGAGGCGGAGGTTGCAGTGAGCCAAGATCGCGCCACTGCACTCTAGCCTGGGCGAAAAGCCAGACTCTGTCTCAAAATAAATAAATACATAAATAAGTGTATGTTTTTCCTTAGGAAAAGAGTTTTCTCAGCTGGGTGTGGTGGCTCACGTCTGTAATCCCAGCACTTTGGGAGGCCAAGGTGGGTGGATCACTTGAGGTCAGGAGTTTGAGACCAGCCTGGCCAACATGGTGAAACCCCAATACTACCGAAAATACAAAAATTAGCCACGAGTGGTGGTGGGTGCCTGTAGTCCCAGCTACTTGGGAGGCTGAGGCAGGCGAATCACTTGAACCCAGGAGGCAGAGGTTGCAGTGAGCCGAGATCACGCCACTGCACTTCAGCCTGCGCAACAGTGACTCTGTCTCAGAAAAAAAAAAAAAAAATAGTTTTCTCCCTTCAGCACATCACACAAATGGAACCTACACTCCAAGCCTAAGCCTACATGGGGAGGTGCCCTGGGGTATGCATGGATTTGCAAGTAGCAATCAGCCATTGTTTACACTCCATGTCTCATTTGCAAGGTAAGCCAATAACATAATGCAGAGTGAGGAAGACATGGTCAAAATCCTCACTGGCTCTCCCAGTTTGTTATAAAATAATAAAATAAGCTTTATTAGCCAATCTTTGAATTAACAGCAAAATATATAAAAGATTGCTAGACTCCTCTTAACCTCAGAATCATTTTCTCATAACTTCTCAAGGAAGAAGAGAGGGTAAAATATGACTTTAATGAAAGCTCTCATACTCATTCTGTCCTTACCGGTGGGCCTGGTAATAGACCACTCATTTGTAATATTTTTACCTTAAAGGCCACTTAGGCATGGTGGAGGAACAAGTGATAAAGTACTTAACCACACACATTTGGTATCAGACTAACATTGCTCAAATTAATCCTAAATGTCTACTGCTCGTCTCTCCTGTGAAGTCAATAAGATTTAATTAATTATCAGGACCATATTCTCAGTGACATCTTCTAAGTGACTCTGACTTTGTTTCAGACTACTCTAAAAAGTTTTTTCTGATTCCTTGCTTTTGTTGGAGGGTTTCTAATTCCTCTGTCCATATCCTATGAATACTAGTGACAATCACAGTGGCAGGTTTTCTCTTTCATATGGGTTTGGAAAGCCTACTTTCAGACCTGGTCACCTGGCCCCCATGCCTGTGCAGCTTCAGGTGACAGGGGCACTGGGATGGGGATGTTTGTGACTTCATTAAAACCTGACATGGAAATAAGACAGATGTCAGGGTGACCGGCCGAACTGCACTGTGGAGTCCCCTTGAGTGTCCTAGGACAGAGCATCTTTCTCCGCAATAAAAGAACCAAGGAAAAGAGAAATACTCCTAGCACCTTAGCATCTGAGCATCTCTGAGTGGTGGTTAGAAATGGGCTAGTTAACATTAGAGGCTCCTCCTGGCCAGGACAAGTTGCTGGAGAGGATAAGGGGTTCACACATGACAGCAAGCACATTTGAATATTGATCTTTGAAAGTCCATTACCTCTCTGCTGAACACTGCGGACATCACAGATTGATGTCTCTTTAAACTGTGTCTGAGAGTCAGCCACTGGGGGAATCCGGCTATTGACTCCTGATGCTTGAGAAGTCCTGCCAAGGAAGAGAGAGGGCTTTCGGGATCCATCACCTCTTCCCTTCTTCCATCTGCCCTTCCATGTGTCCAGTCCCTCCCCCTCACCTTCTGTCAAACCACTCATCCCTTCTCAAGATTTTTTATCCTGACAAATTATAAATATTCTTTTCTGTAAGATAGGTGAATTACTCTCCCTTGATATTTGTGGATGCAGCTTGAAGCAGGCTCTTGTATGAAGAGCAAAGGTTGATAAAGTGTCTTCTTAATGCAATATTTGTTTGGCTCATGAAGTAAAAACATTATCATATAATGACAAGAAAAATAATGTTACTGTTTTTGAATTTTATTGTAGATCTAATTTATTATCTGGTTATTTTGATAGATTAGAAAGGTCAGAAGAACATTATAGTGTAAAAAAGAAGGGAGAATTTTAGTCTTTGACTAACACTTTAATAGGTAAGAAATGGGGAAAATGATTCTAAGTTTATGGAAGGTGCTGCAGTTGCAGTAAGGCGTTTTGAGCTCACCTGATCACTGAAAGACTCCGTATCTGTTTGAGAAGAAACAGGAGGCAGTTGGAGAAACACAGTTCCTGATGAAGGGGTTGGGATTTGGGGAACTGCTCACCCTCTCCACCAGCATGTCTGGTGTTCTGGCAATACATTGGAAATGAAATTTTTATCAACAGTTGCTTCTTTAATTAAGAGTTCTTCCAAGTCTTTCCCATTGATTCATGCCATTACCTTATTGATGGGACTGCTATGCTGAGAAGGTCCATTTTGTTGAGTGACCACATGTTACTGCATGTTTCTGGATGACAGGGAACAGGCTTAGGAGGATCAGTGGGAGCAGTGTTCTGGATCCAAGTCATAACTCACGGATTTTAATTGAGGAGTGATTTGATGATAAATACATTGGAATCCTGTGTTAGTCATGGTTCTCTAGAGTGACAGAACTAATAGGATATATGTGGAAGGGAGTTTATTAAGGAGAATTAACTCACACGATCACAAGGTGAAGTGCCACATAGGCCGTCTGCAAGGTGAGGAAGAAAGAAGCCATTCCAAGACCCAAAACCTCAAAAGTAGACAAGCTGATAGTGCAGCGTTCAGTCTGTGGCTGAAGGCCTGAGAGCCCCTGGCAAACCCCTGGTGTAAGTCCAAGAGTCCAAAAGCAGAAGAAATTGGAGTCTGATGTTCGAGGGCAGGAAATACTTAGCACGGGAGAAAGATGGAGGCCAGGAGACTCAGCAAGTCTGATCATTCCACCTTCTTCTGCCTGCTTTATTCTAGCCACCCTGGCAGCTGATCAAATGATACCCACCCAGATTGAGGGTGGGTCTGACTCCCCAGTCCACTGACTCAAATGTTGATTTTCTTAGCAACACCCTCACAGACACACCCAGGAACAATACTTTGCACCCTTCAATCCAATCAAGTTGACACTCAGTATTAACCTTCATAAATCCTAAGGAAACAAACTAACATGTTGGTTTTTAAATGATGACTGAGGTAAACAACGAATAACAAACTTCTAAAACCCAATTTAGTATTAGCTAACCAGAGCATGAATCTTAACATAGAAGTAGTTCTAACTTTCAACGAGCAATGATGGCCCTTTCACTTGAGTGATATATGGAAAATATATATTTTTAAAATAAACTAGATATTCATCTCATCACCTAAATAAATTTAATTAAATTATAAAGATGTATGTAAAAATTAAATCACACATGCAAAATAGTCATGGAGTAAGACAAGAACAAATCTGGAGGCATCACATTACTAGACTTCTAACAATTTTACAAGTCTATAGTCAATAAAACAGTATGGAATTGGCATACAAATAGGTACATAGACCAATGGAGCAGAATAGAGAACCCAAAAATAAAACTGAATACTAACAGCCAACTGAACTTCAACACAGGAAAAAATAAATAAATAAAGTGGGAAAAGGACACCCTATTCAACAAATGGTGCTGGGATAATTGGCAAGCCACGTGTAGGAGAATGAAACTGGATCCTCATTTCTCAGCTTATGAAAAACCAACTCAAGATGGATCAAAGACTTAAATCAAAGACCTGAAACCATAAAAATCCTAGAAGGTAACATCAGAAAAACCCTTCTAGACATTGGCTTAGGCAAAGATGTTGTGACCAAGAACCCAAAAGCAAATGCCTCAATCCTTCTTTTGAGGCTTGTGGCTTCTTCTTACATGAAGCTCCTGGGATCTGCTTCAATTCAATCAGGTAATAAGGGCAAAGGATCACATTATGTCAATATTTGAACCCAGCCAGTCTGTAAATTCCTATTTCTAAAGTGAACCATAATAATTTTCAACTTGTTTATAAAGCACACTGTGTATTTACTACTTTAGGAAGAATTATTGGAGTTTTAAGATGTTAACTAAGTATTACCCAAACCAGTTTTTTTTTTTTGTAAAATTCATGTGCATGGATAGCATGAATAAAAAACTAAAAGAGAGATAAACAATTTGAAAATGACTTCATAACTCTTATAAACTTGGCAAAATATAGTCATAGTATTCTCAATGCATATAAAATTAAAGATTTGAGCTACAAGTTAAGTGTGTCCAAAACTCAAAAGCAATTCAAATGTATACTTTTTAAATTGTGATATTAAAATAACCTTTTCTAGGCCCTTTACACCCACCAGGTCCTAGTAAATCAGAGGACAGATGGTGAGAACACTTAATAAGGAGCACCATTCACTCACCTCTCTCATAGGGCAGGAGTTCCGATAGATCATTAACCTGCATGATCATTAACCTGAATGTGCACAGTTCCCGTTCATAGGAAAAACCTTATTATTCACATTTTTGCATGAGGAAACAGACTTAGAGACATTAAGGAACTCAGATCCCAAGGTCTCCAGAACAAATCCCCAGCCTCCTGTGCCCCTTGTCCTTCACTGCCTGGGGCCACAGCTTGTCCTGTGCAGTTTTTTCTCCCTCCCTTCTTGAGGAAAGGTAAATTTGGGCTGATCTTACAATGAAACTTTTCCACAAAATTAAACTACTTCTACAGAAATTATTTATTTAACCTCCAACACATTTTGAGCACATCTTGATAAACTATAGATTATGTAAGAACAAATAGATTCTCATGCTGTCTTCACCAGGAGAAGCAACACCATATTGAAGTGGCCATGGAGTCACTAAATACAAGCAAAATGGAATCAAGGCATGGAAAACCAAATACAGTCTTCTCAGTGCATATTAAATATTTTGAAAACTATTTGTGAGGCTATTATAAAACATTAAAATAACATTAAATGCCACAAATGGCACAGTTTTATTTAGAAGATATAAGCATTAGATTAAAATAATCACTCAAATTTATGACATTAATTCAGTATCCAACAGTGGCAACTTCAGTGAAAAGAAAATCTGTTAAATATTTTAGAATTTTATAGACAAAATAATTAGTTAATTAGAGAGTGCACAGTCCTCCTGGTTTTCCTTAAACTTGACTAATTTAGCACTGGAAGTTTCATGTCCGAGCAAAGCGATATAGGAAGTCACCTTAGTTGATTGTGAGATAAATCTGAAAGACAAGTTAGATGCTCTTGTAAAAGACAGAGAGAGAGATTGTGTGTGTGTGTGTGTGTGTGTGTGTGTGTGTGTGTTTGTTGAGACTATCAGACACTCTTTGGAGAATGTGGTCTTTGCTCTGAATGGTGAAGAAAAATTAGACAAAGAGCTTAAGCTTGAGGAAGAAGGGGAATCAAGAACGAAGCACTACAAAAGTTCCAATTTTCCTCCACCTCAAGAGGACCACGCCATGCTTCACTCATTCCGGAAACATAAGCTTCTGTCCTCAGGATGCATAATTAAATTAACATCGGGACCATCTTTGCTTGGCACTGAAGGATCACACAGATGAGAAAGAAGTAATCCTCATTGTCTAAGGGTTTGTGATCTCTTTTAGTGAGTGGAGTGGTATGCCCTTTGCAAAGAGAAAGCTCTGTGTACCGATAATGTTAGCAGAAAGCATGAGTGCTTTGTTTCGAAGCACTCAATGGAGCACATCACTGCAGCCCGCAAGTCAAGGGTCATGAACAGCTCTTCCTGAAAGGGGCTTGAGTGACAGATACATAGAGGTTACCCAGGTCAAAAGTGGGGTGTGAAGATGGGAGGCTTTCTAACAGAAGAATTATCCGAGCAGAAAAGCTGTGGAAGGAAGCTATGGACTAGGAGGAAGAGCATGTGTGGATGCAGATTAGTGGTGGGAAGGGACCAGGAACAGGCAGCTCTCTCTTGCCAGGTGGCCTCAGTTGTGTTACTTAGAGAACAGTATGTGAATGTTTGAAAATATCACCAGTGAGACAGAAGGAGACATAGACACAGAATGTGTAAGGACGCTATAAAAGCTGATCAGTTCAGGCCGGGCGTGGTGGCTCACGCCTCTAATTCCAGCACTTAGGGAGTCTGAGGCGGGCGGATCACGAGGTCAGGAGATCAAGACCATCCTGGACAACATGGTGAAACCCCGTCTCTACTAAAACTACAAAAATTAGCTGGGTGTAATGGCGTGTGCCTGTAATACCAGCTACTTGGGAGGCTGAGCCAGGAGAATTGCTTGAACCAGGGAGGCGGAGGTTGCAGTGAGCCGAGATCATGCCACTGCAGCCTGGAGACAGAGTAAGACTTCGTCTGAAAAAAAAAAAAAAAAAAGCTGATAAGCTCCAAGTGGCCCCAGCTGGCCACTGCCACGTGTGGATAGAGCCTCCTTTTTGGCTGAGGAACTGCCTCCAGCTTTGCTAGACAAACTGCATGGACAAAATTAAATTCAGAGTGTGGTGTATATTGAGCATAGATGACACTCATGGCCAGAAGGCCCATTCTATGATGGGTGATTAGAGAGGAGGAAAAATAATGCTTTCTCAAACATGGAGGTCAGTGAAGCTGAGTAGGGATAATAGATGGAAAAAGTGCAATTCAAGTACCTACGTCTTCAGCAAAGGTGGGGCCTTTCAAACAACAAGAGGGCAACTGCGTGGGAGTTGACCAGGTCCAGACTGTGCATTTCAGACTCCTTTAAAAACATGTTTTGACCTGTAAATTACATTATCTATGGTCTATAGAGAGTAATTAGATTTAATTACAGCTCATTACATGATGCTCCTGAAGGTGTCCTTTAGAATGGTGATTTTCCAACAGGATTCTGCACTTTCCCCCAAATTTTTAGAGGCAAAAAAAAAGCCCCCAAAAATAACGTAAGGAATTCCTGTGAAAGTCTTGCTTATGATTACTGGATTTTTTTGGCTCCAACTTATTTAAAATTTCTAAGATGGTATAATGATATATTGATATTTATTTAAGATGCAAAATCTGTGACAAAATTTAATAATTCTTTATTTTTAAATTTCATTTGTCCCTTAGATATCAACTGCTCTACAAACTCATTCTGCCACTATATATTATCAAAACAAAAGCAAATTGATAAAAATCCAAGCCAAACAAGTTATTGTTTTGTCTTTGCTAAATAGAGTTATCTTGGGTATGAGTTGCTATTTTATACCAAAAACCTGTCAAAGGCAAGACTTTAATATTTCAAATCTCATTTAAGGAATTTGTAAATGGGTACAACTCTCTCTTCCATTATACATAATTATGAGGTTATTTCTTTAATACCTCAGTGTCATTAGGACACATACCTTAAATGATTGAAATAGATTTGTATCTATATACTTCAATGATTATAAAATCTGAAATCCAGCTTTTAAAGCTTTAAGATGAAAATAACCATAAATATTTAACTTTTTAGAATGTATCAAAACATTTTGAAATTTAAGATTTATGGAAAACTAGACATGGGAGACTCTAGTTGTTTTGTCTTAGCAAATGAAGATGTCTTTTCTTGAGATAAAAGCTTCAAATGCCCGGCAAATCAATGTTTTAAGGATTTTTGGGCTTCTAAGACCTCTTACAAATAAACATTTTAGCAAGCTAACTTAAAATGGATTAAAAACACATGGTCAAATTGTCCTTGAAACACAAAGGACTTATTTTGTAAAGGATAATACATTTAGCAAAATGCATTTAAAATTTGACAGACCCCTCTTCACACTGGAATGTGCATGAGACTTTGAAGCATTCAAACTGTAACTGGTTTCTTAGACTCAACATCCAAGACTTCATAAAACAAATTCATGAATTGGTGAAGATCATGAGATAAAATCAGGCTCCTTTCTGGAAGAATGTGTCCCAGAACCTTTCGTATCAGGTGGTCTACAATGAGTGTTTATACGTAATACATTTCTCAGAGAGATTTTTGGAGGAGAAAACGTTAATGCCAGTGATTTTCATCCCACCTGTAATTTTTTAGAAAAATAATTTCATGGATGATGGAAAATGTCATCCTAATAGATGAAATAGTTTGTAGCATTGTCTGTCCAGGAAAATTGCCAAGAATTCAATATTGGCCAAAACACCGTACAAGGCATCATGAGATTAGAAATTTTTAAAAAATCTCTAGAATGTGAAAACTTAATTTAGAAACAGACACATATTTAGAGAAAAGACCAAAGCTCAGGACCCCAAGAAAGCCTTTTTGCTGATCTATATTTTGCCTTTCCCTCATGTCTGTCATTCACCTCCTGTTTTCAGCTGTTGTCAACAACGTGTACACATCCTAAGCCTCTACACCAACATCATTTAATTCCTCACCAGCTCAGACAGAGAAAGAGAAAGGCTAGACTAGTTATGAATTTTTAATGAAATTACTGCAAAGCAAATTTCAATTATCACACCCAGCTCTAATGATCACTTAGCGTATTCAGGCTTTATTGGCTTGCTCTCCCTCTCTCAAGCTTCTTAATTCTAATAATTTGACATAATGTGAAAGGTTTCATGTGTCTTTATTAATGATATAGACTTAGTAATTTACTTTATTCATAGACATGAATACTTTTAGTATGTTAGCTCTGTTGGCAAACATAAAATTTACATGTATTTTTTTTTCTGAAAAGTCTGAACCCACCTCTTTTCCTCCCCTCTATCCCAACAGAGGAGGAGGACAAAAGATCATGATGCAATTAGATTGCTTCTCTACCCAAGAAACAAGGAAAAATGTTGTAGGAAACCAACCACCATCTGCAAGCCAAAAATCACGGAAAATAAGGTAGCAATGTGTAAGTAATCAGATAGGAATGAGTAAGGTAGAAATGTGTAGTGCACATTAGTCACATTTTAGAAAGCCATCAATCGCAACTTAGTTTTTTAAACAGTGTGTGTGTGTTATGTATTCAACATAAAACAGCCTACTACCTTAGATTTATTTCACAAATTAGGATGCATCTGCACATTTCAATACTATGAGTATACAGGTGCTGATCTTAGCACACTAGAGCATCCAGTTATAACGACATGCAAAGGCATCAGGATTCGGTGAAGCCATTAACCTAAGTAAGAAGAGGAGATGCTCATTTTCAACAGTTGTTTTTAAATAGCGTTACATTTCTGGGGTTTTTCTTTTGGTATTTGTTTTTGTTTTTGAAATTCCCACTCTCTTTTCCTACAGTGTGTACTATTTAACATGTGGTTAGACCCACCGTCTTGAGGTCGGAGGCTTCTTTCAGCAGTGTAGGTGTTCGTTCTAGCTGCAGCAGTGTGACAGCGGTAGGTTTGCAAAGTGTCTGAGTTGAGTGCACATCAGAAGAATGAGTTAAGCCCATGTACACGAGTTTCCTGTTCCTTGCCTTCATTTTGCTGTGTAACAGGTGTTTGGCCTGAATTTCTGAATAACATTATTCTTTTGGAAATAGCTGACTTCTGACTTTTTTCTTCTTAAAAAGTAACATAAAATGTACATACAATTTGAATCACTTTATCACATTCAAAGATAATGTAATAAAATTTAAGAAATTGATCCAGTTCCCTAGATGTTTAACGGCATGATTGACAGCATTTATATTATAAATTTAATCACTTTTTTTAAGAATTGCAGTTTTAGAGACACAGGTTTAGATTCCAAATTCTCCAACAGAAGAGTCTCCTATTCAAAATTATAATTCATAGAAACCAAAGAAATGCTTGATAAGAATATAACAATATAAAAAATAATACACTGATGGAAACAACTCAGTTTGACATAATATAATGAAAATAAAAATGTAGAGTCGGTAATTGTTCTGACTAGGGCTTCCAGTATATGTTGAACAGAAGTGGTGAGAGTGGGAATAGTTGTTCTTTTTCTGATCTTAGAAAAAAAGGTTTCAATTTGTACTGTAGAGTATGATGTTTGCTGTGGGATAGTCATATATGGTCTTTATTGTGTTGAGGAATATTTCTTCTATACCTAATTGGTTTTTGACATAGGTGCCAAGAACACACAATAGAGAAAGGACAGCTTTTTAAATACATGGTACTGGAGAAACTGGATATTTGCATGCAGAAGAATAAAAATGAACCCTTAATTCATCTCTTATACAAGAATCAACTTAATGTGGATTAAAGACTTTAACATAAGACATAAAATTCTAAAACTACCAGAGGAAAACATAAGAAAAAGACTCCATGATGTTGATCTGGGCAGTGATTTCTTGAATATGACCCCAGAAGCCCAGGCAACAAAAGCAAAAATAGTCAAATGGGATTGCATCAAACAAAAGCTTCTGCCCAGCAAAGGAAACAATGAACAAAATGAAGAAACAATCCATATATTGGGAGAAAATATTTGCATGTCTTTTATTAGATAAGGGGCTAATATTCAAAACATACAAGGAAGTCAAACTACTCAATAAGAAAACAAATAACCTTACTTAAAATATGGGCAAATGAACTGAATAGACATTTTTTAAAAGAAGACATACAAATTGCCAACCTATATTTGAAAAAATCCTCAACTTATCTAGCCATCAGAGAAATGCAAATCTAAACCACAATGTGATACCATCCCATTGTGTTAGATTGGTTATTATTAAAAAGATGAAAGGTAAGTGTTGGTGAGAATGTGGAAAAAAAGGGAACAATTATACATTGTTGGTGGTATTATAAATTAGTACAGCCATTTTGGAAAACACTATGAAGTTTCCTCAAAAAAAACAGAAATAGAATTACCATGCAATCCAGCAATCCCACTTCTGGGTAGATATCCAAAGAAATTGAAATTGGTATGTTGAAGAGGTGTCTGCACTCTCCTGTTCATTGCAGCAGTATTGACAATAAGCAAATATATAAAAACAGCTGAAGTGCCAATCAGTGAAGGAATAGATTTTTTAAATGTGGAATATATACAAATTAGGATACTATTTAGCCCTTGAAAAGTAGGACATTTTGTCTTTTAAGACAACATGGATGAACCTAGAGGACATTATTCTATTGAAAATAAGCCAGGCATTACAGAAAGACAGATACCGTATGAGCTCACTTATATGAAACCTAAAATAAAGGAAAACTAGAAGTACAGGGTAGGATGATGGCTACCAAAGGCAGGAGGTCTGGTAATGGGGTGGTGGGCAGCAGGGAGGTGAGGTAGACATGGAAAAGAGAGACTTTGGTCAAAGGGTACAAAGATTCAGGTACACAGGAAGAATACATTCTGGTGATCTATCACATGGAATGGAGACTATAGTTAATAATAATGTTCCAAATACTTCCAAATAGCTAAAAGAGAGGATTTTAAATGTTTTCAACAAAACAAAATGATAAATATTTAAGTTGATGAGTACGTTAATTAGCTTGATTTGATTATTCTGCAACGTATACATGCATTGACACATAACATTGTACCTTGTAAATATATATAATTATAATTTGTCAATTAAAAATAAAATAATACTTTAGAAAGTATCTTTCAAAATGTAGAGTGGGGAGGTGAGGTCAACAAGTGAGAGTACCCTGGGCACCTCAAATGTCATAGTAACAGTAGATACTACCTTATTCTTTAAGACAACAGAAAACAAAAGAAAACAAAAACAAAACCAACCTGTAGGCATCCTTTAGCTTAATAGCTATGATTTTAATAGGGTCTAAAATGGCCAAAAATTTGAGTATAAAAAAATAAGTCCTCAAAGAAGGTAATAGATCAAATTATCAGTTATAAAAACAAATATAAAGGAATTAACCACATTAAAAAATAAATTAAGCTAAACTAAAAGTGTTTAAAAAAGAGAAGCCTAAAACTGAAAAACTTAGGAGTTAAAAATATGATGGGTAATAAATATATTAGCAAACACAGTAGCAATATCAATGCCAGAAAAAGTGGAATTCAAATTAAATAATAACTACATGGTATAAAGATAATAGTTCATATTGATAAAATTTAATGTACAATAATGATCAACTTCTCATCAAACTTTATAGGTAAATTATATTAAAAATGCACAAAAAAATTTTGAAATAAAAGAAACTACTCTTCATGTATCAATTCTTTTATACTTCAAGAAATAGATGACGTGATATCATATATATACAGCTCTAGATAACGAAAGGAATATGTGTATACATATATATGTGTATATGTTGATTTATGGATTGTCTTTTCTGTTCCATTAACCTAAGTGTCTACCCTTATGAAAATAAGACTTGATTGCAGTAGCTTTATACTTAGTCATAAAATTAAAGTTTAAATTATCCAATTATAGTCATCAATTTTAATAATTTTGATTATTTTAGGGCATTTTAATTTTTGTATACATTTTTCAAATCGGTAAAATATCTACAGAAATCTGCTGAGATTTTCATTGAGACTACATAGAAATGATTGGCAAATTTTGGGGAACATTGTCATTTAAAAAATTGAGTTTTCTTATATAAGAAAATAATTTATCTCTCTACTTATTCATATCTTTAGTCTGAGTAAGATTATTAATTTCCAATATATAGACATTGCACATATATGGTTAACTTTATGTTTAAAGCTATTATAGTTTGATGCTACTGTAAATTTTATTCCTTTGTTAATTTTATTTTCTAATTGTTCATTGCTGGAACATAGACAAACAAGTGATTGTTTTATATTGACCTTGTAGTCTATTATGTTGCTTAATTCACTCATTAATTCAATGTAACTTTTATATAACTACCTTAGGATTTTTTAAATGTTTATAATCATTTTGTCTACAAATAAAGCAAGCTTTATTTATTTCTCTTCAATTTGCCTGATTTTATTTCTTTTTCTTTTCCTATTGCATTGGCTTAGACATCCATTAGAATGTTGCATATAAAAATTGAAAAGCGGGCCTTCTTCCTTCTTTCAGGGACTTTAGAGAAGTGTACCCAATATTTTATTTTGGTATTATGTTTGCTGTTACAATTTCGTACATTTCTTTTATTAGCTTAAGGATTTCTCTTCTATTTTCATTTTATGGAGAGTCTTTATCACATGTGAAATTTAAATTTTTCGCAAGCCTTTTCTATATTTATTCTGATAGCCATCCAATACGGTGAGCTACATTGTTTTATTTTAAACTGGTAAACCACATTCACGTTTCTGAGCTCTGTTCTACTTCACTTAATTGAAGATCATGCTGATCATTTCAAAATTTGTAAGTAAGCTGTTTTTGGTCTGGGGGTCTTGGAACAGCTTCTATTTTAAGAGTAGTTTCATCCTGCTATTAACATATGAACCATCTTTGATCTCTTTCATGTTCAACAAAGTCTTTCTAAGATGGCTAATTATTATAATAAGGCTTTCTTATTTTTAAAAATGTTCTGCTTACAGTTCCTCAGTAGTTCCTTTTTCAGCCTAGTGGATTTTTCTGCCTACTCATTCAAAGATTAAAAATCATCAGTAGAGTCATTGAGACTTTTATGATGATAACAGCAGCTCTCACTCTACAAGCTGCCTTCTTTATGTTGAACTACCCAGGATGTCCCCACTAACTCAGCTTGACTGAATCTCTCTCTCCATCTTAGTGACACCTCTCTCCTCAGCAATCCAAAAGGAGCCTTAGATAGAAAACTGAGGAAATTGTAGGGTTCACATTAGATATTTCTTTCTCTCAAAGTATTGTGCTGCTATTATCCAAAGTCTAAAAATAGATTTTTATTTTTTTTAGTTTTTAAACTTTTGTTCAGAAAGTTGGCAATTAATATGTCAGTAATTCCAACATGACTGGAAGCAGAATACCCTAAATTGACTGATTATTATTTTTTTTATGTTAAACTAACCTTGCATTCCAGTGATAAACTTCACATGGTTATGGTCTATTATACTTTCACTTTGTGATTATCAATTGAATAGTATATTTTTAGGAGTTTTGCATTTTTATGTATGCAAATCTATAAAGTCTAAATCATATGAACTACTTATATGGTTTTCTTAAAATTTTTCCTCAGATTTTGGAATCAGTGTTAGGTGTTTCTTAAAAAATGAGGTGAGAAACGTAACCACTTATTCAATTCTGCAAAAAAATAATGCAACATTTTTGTTATATTTTCCTCAAGTGGTTGATAGAATTCACTGTATAGGCCATCTGGACCTGCAGTTTTACATAGGGGATGTGTGTTTGTATAAGTTGTTAATGTCATATCTATATGAATATATAGATATATATATATATATATGAATATATATATGAATATATAGCTATTTAGATTATCTATTTCTTCTTGAGTCAGTTTATGTCAGTTGTGTTGTATAAGAAATGTGTTCATGTTTCTAAGTTTTAAACTTTATTGGCATAAACCTATTTATTATATGGTTTTATTGTTTTTTGAATAATGGCAGCAACTGTGGTGTATCTCTTCTTCTATTTCTAAAAGTTTATTTTGTTTCTCTTTCTCTCTCTATATATATAGTACATCTGTATCTTTCTGTATCATGTTTTTCTCTATTTGTCTTGCTAAATGTTCATCATTTTAATGATGATTTCAAAGAACTAATTTTGCCTTTGTTTTTTTTTTCTGTTTGTGGTCATCTGTTTTAATAGCTTTTCTCTTATATTTCTAATTTTCTTCTTCTTTGTAGTTTAAATATGATTCATTGTTTAAGAAGCTCTTTCATCTTTTGAAAAATAAACATAAACATATTTTCTTCTCTAACATAAGCACTTAACATATAAAACTAAACATTGAACACTGCGGTAGCAGAAATCCTACACATTTTCATATGTTTTATTTTCATTATCATTTAGTTTGAAATATTTAATGTATCTTATAATTTCTTCTTTAACTAATGTGTTAATGGTAATATCCTAGATATTTCATTATTAATCATACTAACAGAATTCTATTGTGGCCAGAGAATGTGCAGCACAGTATATAAATCACGTGAAATATATAGAGACCCATTTTTATGGTACAACATATAGTTTATCTTGATGACATTTCAAGTTTATTTAAGACAAAATGTCTATTTTGTTACCGCTGTATATAGCGTTCTAAATTTGTCAGTGAAGTGTAGATAGTTGGTAGTATTCCTCAGTTTGCCTGTGTGCTTACTGATCCTCTGCTCAGAGTCGTATAAACTACTGAGCAAAGGGTATTAAACATCAACATGAATTTATCTACAGTTCTCTTTAGTTCTGTTACTTTTGCTTTATGTCCACGAAAGCTTACTGCTATGTACATTTATAACTGTTAGTTCCATCTAACAATTTGATGCATTTATTATTATAGAATGCTTCTCTTCATCTCTGATATTATCTCTTGTCTTCAAGTTTCTCTGATATTAAATATATTTACAGTGACATTCTTATGGATGTAGCTGGATGATGTACTAAATTATATCTCTTATCGACAACAAACAATTGTGTTCTTATATTTTTAGTCATGTTTGACAATCTCTGTTTTTCAACTGTACATGTTTATTTCTTTTATAATTAATAAAATAATTTATATTGCTCGGTTTATGTTTATCATCTTACTATTGGCTTTCTGGCCTCTTTTGGATTATTGCAATATTTATTATAATTTTCTTTTAATTTCTCTATTGAATATGTAGGTACAAATGTTCATATTTTCTGTGGTTGCTTTTCAATCTACTATATACATTCTTAACTTATTTCTCTCTACATAGAGATACTGGGTACCCATTCAAATACAATATAATAAATTTGCAAATCTAAAATATCTTCATTCCTATCTTTTATGCTAATGTTATGTCTTTTATATGGAAATTCATAAAAATACAATATTATTTTTGTCTTAAAATTTGTACTCAAATGTTTTTAAAGGACAGTCTTTCATGTTCACCCACAAAATTATTATTAGTTGTACTCTTTTTTTCTGAAGATCTGTGTTTCCATCTGTTTTCATTTTCTTTTAGCCTGAAGAACTTTCTTTAGCCATCTTTGTAGTGCAGATCTACTGGTGACATAATCTCTCATCTATTGCTTACGTAAAAAACTTTTATTTTACCTCAGTATATGAATATTTTGACTCAACAGAGGCTCATATGATCTTTTTTACTTTTTCTTCCAGAACTTTAAGGATTTATCTTAGAATTTTAATGTGACTTATTTTTCATGACAGGTCAAACATCATCTGTTTTATTGTTCCCCTGCAGACAATATGTCTTTTCTTTTTCCTGACTACTTTTAAGTACTTCAATTTATTATTTTTCTTTTTATATGGAAATTTGAATATTTTGTGTTTAGGTTTGTTTCCCATTTTATTTATTTTTCCTGTCATTCATATATTTCTTGGTTGTTTAGGTTGATATTTTCAACCAAATTTGGATAAATTTGATTATTTTAAATTTGTTCGTGTTCCAATTTCTTTCTTTTCTTCCATTGCATGCATAATTTCACATATTTTAGAAAGACTGGTAATTTTCACAGATCACTAAGACATTTATTATTTCTTTTCATATTTTTTTCTCTCTGCTTTTCATCTTAGAAAATTTATGTTGTTCTATATTCAAATTTATTACCTTTTCTTACGCAGATTTCAATGTTTTGTTGTCTTTCCAGTGAGTAATTTCTGTAAACTTTTTATTTTATAATAGTTTTATATTTGTTAAAAAATAATTACAAAGATTGTACAGGGAGTTCTCATAGACCTTATAACCAGTTTCTTCTGTTATTAACATCTTACATGAGTCTGGAATATTTATCACAATTAGTGAACAAATACTGATGTATTACAAACTAAAGACTTTACTTAATCATATAATTTGAGCTGTTATCTTTTATTCTGTTCCAGCCTGCCATTCAGGATACCACGTGACATTTAGTTGTTGTGTCCCCTCTAGTTGTGATAATTTCTCAGACTTTCTTTACTTTTGATGACCCTAAAAATTTTTAGAAACATTGGCATATTGCTACGTGACTGGCATTTGGCTAATTGTTTTTCTCATGATTAGATGAAGTTATGGGTTTCAAGGAAAAAATACAAAGGGAAATGGACATTTTGATCACATTATATCAAGGGTATAAACTACCACATGACTTAAAACTGCTAACATTAACACTGACTATCTTGCTGATGTAATGTTTCTTGAGTTTTTCCACTGTAAATTTAGTCTTTTCTCCCCCTTTTATATGGTACTTTTTGGAAGGACATCATTATGTGTTGCTTACACTTAATGGTTGAGGACTTATGCTGTTGTGCTTCGTTGCCTTCAGAATAAAATATCTATATACACTATTTGGAATTATTTTGCATAGGTTTTTTATTATATCATATTTATTAGTGTGTTTAGTCACATAATAGTTTTGATTTGTGGATATTTATTTTATACTTTAAATTTTAATCCAAGGCAATCTCTTTTTTTTTCTCTCAAATGGTTCTGCTTTTGATTGTGGGCTGTTGTCAGTCTGCTCTGTGTCACTTTGACATAATTCTATCAATATTGTCTATTTTTTTCTTCCTCACTTTCGAACACTGCAAGATATATGATGATCCAAGTTTATCTTGTATATTTCTCGTCTGACTCCTAAAACCAGTTATTTTTCTAAATAATTCTTTTTTTTTTCGTTGAAAAATGGTTTCAGAAAGCAAAATTTGGGACCAGTCTTGGTGGCTTATACCTGTAATCCCAGCACTTTGGGAGGTTGAGGTGAAAGGATTGCTTAAGCCCAGAAGTTCCAGACCAGCTTGGGCAACATAGTAACATCTTGTTTCTATTAAAATCAAAACAAAAGAAAACAATATTTGGGTGTTAGGTTTTTTTTTTGTTGTTGTTACTGCTAGGGTGTCATGGTTTCTAGGCCCTGCCCTCTTGGCTGGTAGAGCAAAGAGATATATGAGCATATGGTAACTGTGATGGTTAATATAGAGTGTCAACTTGATTGTATTGAAGGATACAAAGTATTGATCCTGGATGTGGCTGTGAGGATGTTGCCAAAGGAGATTAACATTTGAGTCAGTGAGCTGGGAAAGGCAGACCTACCCTTAAACTGGGTGGGCACAATCTAATCAGCTGCCAGCAAGGTTAGAATATAAGCAGACCAAAACGTGTGAAAAGAGAGACTGGCCTAGCCTCCCAGGCTACATCTTTCTCCTCAACTGGATGCTTCCCATCCTTGATCATCCAACTCCAAGTTCTTCAGTTTTGAGACTCAGACTGGATTTCCTTGCTCATCAAGCTTGCAGACAGCTTATTGTGGGAACTTGTGATTGTGTAAGTTAAATTCATTCATATATATATGTATGTATTATATATATGTGTGTGTGTGTATATATATATGTATATATATGTATGTATATATGTATATATGTATGTATATATATGTACATATATATGTATATATGTACATATATATGTATATATGTACATATATATGTATATATATGTATGTGTATATATATATGTGTGTGTGTATATATATATATATACACACACACACATATATATGCCAAATATATCTTATTAGTTCTGTCCCTCTAGAGAATCCTAGTACAATAACCTGTTTATATATGTATATATAATATATATCTGTGAATATTTCTATATCTGTTCTTATCTGTGTATACTAAGTTAAATATGTGTTCATACAGATATCTTTTATTCTAATTTATATTTTATAGATAATTCTTGCATTCTCTCCTTCCTTGTCTGTAACTTCTCACTCCAAAAATAAGAAACATGGGGCCCATCCTTCACCATCAATTTACTTATTCAACACCATTGTACATGTATAGTTTCATTCTTGGAATTGTTAGCATATATACCAGAGGGAAATAACTTTATCAATGAGAGAACAGTGCTTGTATACAGTTCTTTTTTGCCTTTAGTCTTGCAAACCCCTTTCATTTCCAAAGTTACTTACCACCTTTTTGCCCGCCTCCCCCAACTCCAGTGAATCTGTTTCATACCTTTATAATGCAGTTTGATAACATTTTGCATTCCAATGTGGAAATTCTCAACCTCCTAAATATTTTTTAATTGAATACATTAAGGTTTATTCTTTGTGTTGTAAAGGTCAGTGGATTTTGACAAATGAACAGTGTAATGTATCTACCATTGCAGTGTCATGCAGAATAGGTCCACTGCCCTAAAATATCCCTAGGGCATACTGATCTGGCCAGTAACCCTAGGTCTGTTATCTCCTGGAGCCCTTGTCAGCCACTGATCACTATACTATCTCTAATAGTGCCTATTTCAGAGTGTCATATACACTTGATCACATAGTATGTGACCTTATCTAGTTGGCATTTTTCACTTAGCAATATGCATTAAAGATTTATTCATGGATTTCTGTGGCTTGTTAGTTTAATTGCTTTTACCACTGAATATTGTACTAAATGAATACACCTGAAATTGGTCGTTCATTCCGTTGAAAGACATTGTGGCTGCTACCAGCTTTTAGCAATTATGACAAAATGTCTCTAAACATTAGTATGTTGGTTTTTGTGTGGGTATACAATTCTAGCCTAGTGATTGTTTTCCCCACACTTTAAATATTTTGCATCATTTTTGTTTGCATGGTTTCTTACAAGAAGTTTGCTGTAATTTCTAGTTTTGTCCCTCTATAGGTGTATGTGAATTTCTTGTTTCACATCAGCTTCTTTCAAGATTTTCTTTTTTGTTTGCTTTCTGCAGTTTGAATATGGTTTCCCTAGGGACTTGTGGACTTGTGTGTGTGTGTGTGTGTGTGTGTGTGTGTGTGTGTGTGTGTGTGCATTTGTTACTTATACTGTTTGATGTTCTCTAGGCTTTTCCCCTTTGGTTTTTATCGTGTGTGTGTGTGCACACACATGTTGGTGTGTGCATGAAAGCCAGACATACTGTATCAGGTATAAAGACAGGAAAAGAGCCTTCAATGTGTACTTATGTTAATCTGGCTAGAAGTTGGTTATTTTCCATGTATGCTAGAGGTATAAGTGCCATCACACCTATTTCTGCCTCCCCTCTTGATTTTGGACTTGCCTAAGTACTCCTTCTTGGAGGAAATCTGTGTCTTGCAGCTCTTTCCGTGTAATACATTCAATATGCTGGAGCTCTGTCATGGTGGTGATAAGGTGTGGAGGAGAAAATATTCTATATTCTTCTAATTCAGTCTCAATATGTAACTGGTCTGTATCTTAAGGCTGTGACTTTCACAAGGGTGTAACTACCCCCACCCCTGCCTCCTACTGTCTCCCCTGGCTACAGCTTTCCAAAGCCATTTCCTTGAATCCTTGACCCTTAGTAACTATATATGTTTCCTTGGGTGAGACTGGAGGGCTACATGGGAATAGAAGAGAAGCACTGTGCTTCTCTCCAATAGGATAAAAGTCTCTGGAGTATTCTTTTTTCCTGGAGTATAGGCCTGTGCTATGGTGAAGGCTTTGAGTATATTTCACTATGATTAATCTGCCCCTCTACCAACCAGGGGATCTTTCTCAGATCTTCACCATCAGGATCTGGTGAATTTCCTGGAAGTAAAGTGCATAAAATTGTGGGCAGCCCCCTATGATTTCGGACTCTGGGAGTTGTTTGTTCTAAATCTGGCCCATGTTCATCCTCCAACAATTCACCAAAATTAACAGTTTTTGCATCTGTGACTTCTGCTTCAGGTTAGCAGATCTGAGATTTGTCTTTCTGGATGAGCCTCTCTTTGTAGACTTTAAGGTGTCACTTTCACCTGCAGCCTCAGGTTTTTGATGGGTCTAAGAATATTCACTGATTTTCAGTTTTTCTATTTCTTTCTTTGTACGTATGGAAATAATGACTTCCAAGTCCTTTATGTGTAAGAACTGAAACTGGAAGTCCTTCCAATGACATATTTTAAATTTAAGATGTTTATTTTCAGCTCTACAATTTCTATTTGTTTCATAGCTTTTATTATCTATTGAGATTCCCACCAGGCATAGTGGTTCATGCATGTAATCCCAGGGCTTTGGGAGGCCGAGGCGGGCAGATCACTTGAGGTCAGGAGTTCCAGGCCAGACTGGCTAACAAGCTGAAACCCTGTCTCTACTAAACATACAAAAATTAGTTGGGTATGGTGATGTGCAACTGTAATCCCAGCTACTTGGGAGGCT
Source organism: Homo sapiens (assembly GCF_000001405.40). Taxonomy (NCBI): domain Eukaryota; kingdom Metazoa; phylum Chordata; class Mammalia; order Primates; family Hominidae; genus Homo; species Homo sapiens. The sequence continues at coordinate 3,968,596 of NC_000005.10, read as the reverse complement.
GAGGCAGGAGAATTGCTTGAACCTAGGAGGTGGAGGTTGCAGTAAGCCAAGATGGTGCCATTGCACTTCAGTCTGGGCGAGACTCCATCTCAAAAAAAGGCAGGGTGGTGGGGAGATTCCCCTTCCCTTTAGTCATTAAGTTTTTGAATATATTCATAATTCCTTCTTTAAAATCCTCGTCTCCTAACATTCCAACATCTGGGTCATATTTTAGTTTGTAACTGTTAACTCCTTTTTTTCTGGATTATAAATACTTTTCTCCTTCTTCACATGTCTAGTGATTTTTATTGTTATTTTATGCTAGACATTGTGCATGATATGTTGTAGGAAATAGGCACCAGATTATTTTCTGCTGTAGGGAATAGGCACCAGATTATTTTCTGCTAATAAGCATCAGTTTTGTTCTGGAAGGCACTACTTTACTGGGGAATCGTTCTTGTCAGGCTTGGCTTTATTTCCTTAAGGGTGGTTTTATTCAGTAGATCAGACAAAGAGAGTCATGCAATCATTCAGATAAATGACAAAAGGACTTTTTATGATATTTCTGTAATGAACATGAACACAGATACTATTAGTCTGTTTTCATACTGCTGTAAAGAACTGTCCACGAGTGGGTAATTTATAAAGGGAAGAGGTTTAACTGACTCACAGTTCAGCATGGCTGGGGAGGTCTTAGGAAACTTACAATCATGACAGAAGGTGAAGGGAAGTAAGTTACCTTCTTCACAAGGTGGCGGAAAGGAGAAATGCTGAGCAAAGGGGGAAGGGCCCCTTACAAAACCATCAGATCTCATGAGAACTTGCTCACTATCACGAGAACAGCTTGGGAGAAACCAGCCTCATGATCCAATTTCCTTCACCTAGTCTCTCCCTTGACAATGTAGGGATTATGGGGATTACAATTCAAGATGAGATTTGGGTGGGGACATAAAGCCTAACCATATCACAAATATTAGCATTTCGTTATTGTATTGAAATCATTCAAAAGTAAAAGAAAAAAAGTTTTTTTCAAAAAAAAAGTAGGTGTTACATAAAATCTACTGGATCACTCATACATTACCAGTGGGACTGTAAAGCAGCACAGCCACCCTGGAAAGAGTGTGGCATCTCCTTAAAAAAGTATACATGCAGTTATCAGGCAACCCAGCAATTGCATTTCTGGAATGTATTCTGGAAAAACAAAAACTAATGTTCACACAACTAATGTTCACAAATTTTATTCCCTATAGACAAATATTGGGAAACAAATCAGAAGCCCATTAATAGGTTAAGGGCTAAACAACCTGGGGTACACCAATGCCATGGAATACTCCTCGGTAATAAGGATATCGGATATCTGCAGCAACCTGGAGGGAGCTGCAGAGATTACGCTGAGTCAGAAGAGCCAACCCAAGAGAATGTAGGATTCCATTCACATAACATTCATGAAATGGCAAAGTTATAGAAATGGAAAACAGATTTGTCATAGCCAGGGGCTAAGAAGGGGGTGTGAGAGGAAGGGAAGTGGTGCGACTATCACAGTAGTGGTGACGGAAGTGCTCTGTGTCATGCTCAAGGTCAATATGCTGATTGTGGGATTGCACTCGGGTCTTGCAAGGCCTTAGCATTGGGAGGATAAGAGAAAAGATTATATGACATTTCTCTGTTTGACTTATTGTAATTGCACATAAATCTATGATCATTTCCAAATAAAAAGTTTACAAAATAAAAGCCATTAAAATTATTTTTGCTTATCACATTGATACAATTTAAAAATATAGCACAATAGCCAGCTTTTGTGACTATGAGCAATATACTCTCTTACTTGAAACTATAGGACTGAATTAGAACATTATGGAGAGCAATCTGGGAATATGTACCATGAAGATTTTACTCTGGAATACTATCATAGAAAAATAACTTATAAAAATAATCAAAGAAGAACACTGACATTTAGGTTGGGGGATCCTAAAAGATATTTAAAATAGTCAGTATCTAACATTAAGTTTAAAATGAGGGGTATAAATCTGCTTGTATATTATTATAAGAATTTCAATAAATAAATAGAAACATATATTCTTATGATATTTTACCAAAATTACTAACCTCAGAAAATTATTATTCATGTTAAATGAGATGTTGTGTGCAAAGAATTTAATATATAAAAAGCTTCAATTTCTCAGTAAATGCCAGCTCTTTTTATTGTTAAAAAAATTAAAAAGAAAAACATTAAAATATCATAAACCAAATAGTAAAATTAAAGTTCCTTTCAAGATTTCTTAACAAAATGAGTAATTTTAAAACCAATTTGAAAATTAATTTTAAAGGAAAATTATAAGCAGGGATATGCTTTCCAGTGGAAACCTATCAACATAAAAGCAACACAATATGTTTTTACTATATTTGTTAAGAAATACATAGAGCTTCCAGCAAGTTTTGGCCTTTCTAAAAAATTTTACAGACATTATTTAGAAACAAAGTACCAAATTATTTAAATAAAAAACATATTTTCTTTTCTTCAACTTACAACATTGTGTAAATGAATATATTTTTATCCAAAACATTTGCTTGTGTTTTTCTATGTTTCGGGATAATTGTGAAGTTAATGCCTCCTGAATTATTTCATTGAATTTCTTGCTGGGTTTATTACAAATTGAATTTGTTATTGTTTTAAATGTTCTGAATTGCAGTTTCCTCATTTTTTCCATTATTGAAAATAATACATAATAGGTTTACATTTTCATCTTTAATATGATGAGAGTTAAAATGTTAGCATAAGCATTAAACCAGCTCATTAGAAAATATTTTAAAAATCAAATTCAATCATTAACTTTTTTTTACCATTTAGCTACCACCTTCTTTCTTTATTTAAAAGGGTACTTTGAACTAACTAGCCTCATAGTATAATTTGTGTTGTGCATAAAATCTGACCTTTCAAAAACATTTTTAAAATTTCTAGACCACTATAAGAAATTTCTCAATTCTAAGGCTCTAATTGTCTTACAGGTGTGGACAGTTGGCTGTGCCATGCGCTGAGAGTCTGCAGTGGGGCAGTTCCCATAAATGAAAATGAAAAGGTTCGAAGAAGGCTTGCTTAAGAAGGTGTGTGCCAAATTTACCCACCATTTATTTCACCTTCTAAGGCATGCATTTTTTGAGGACACAGGCCTGCATTATCGTCCTCTGAGCCAACCTGCTTGCATGCCGTTGAAAGTCTGCTCAGATTCAGAGGTGGAAGTGGAAGAACGCTTTGCCCAGAGCATCCCAGGTTATCTGAGGGTCATGTCAGTGGTTCTCTCCTGGGGGAGATTTTGTCCCTGTGGGAACACTTGGCAATGTCTGAGCATTTTTGATTGTCATGACTAAATGGAGGGGTGTCACTGGCATCCTAAGGGTAGGGACACAATTCTGAGGCAGACCCCAAAGCAAAGAATCATCTAGTCAATATTACAATAGTGCCGAGGTAGTGTAATTCTACACAAATGCCACCCTGCTAGGAACATCTTTTTTTGAGACGGAGTCTTGCTCTGTCACAATCTCGGCTCACTGCAACCTCCACCTGCCAGATTCAAGTGATTCTCCTGCCTCAGCCTCCCAAGTAGCTGGGACTACAGGCACACACCATCACACCTGGCTATTTTTTTTTTGTATTTTACAAAAAATACAAAATTTTAGTAGAGACCAGGTTTCACCCTGTTGGGCAGGGTGGTCTTCAACCCCTGACCTCAGGTGATCCACTGGCCTCGGCCTCCCAAAGTGCTGGGATTACATGGGTGAGCCACCATGCCTGGCCTCATTTTTGTTTTTGACAAAGAAATAAGCCTTCAAATATTTCTGACATGGCTGGGCACGGTGGCTCACACCTGTAATCCTAACATTTTGGGGGGCCGAGGTGGGTAGATCATTTGAGTTCAGGAGTTGGAGAGAAGCCTGAGCAACATAGCAAAACCCTGTTTCTGCAAAAAATGCAAAAATTAGCTGGGCACGGTGGTGTGTTCCTCGAGTCCCAGCTACATGGGTGTCTTGGATAGGAAGATCACTTGAGCCCAGGAAGCTCCTTTGAGGCTGAAGTAAATGGAGATTGTGCCATGGCACTCTAGCCTGGGAGGCCCATTGGGACTAATCTCTTATATCCAAAGTGTCACAGGGACCCTATCTCAATTAAAAATATATGTATATTTTCCCACAAAACCTCTGAATCAGTCATTCCATGGAAATCCAGCTCCAGAGAAAATATGACGTTTCAATAACGTATGTGTATACCTCAAAGTTTCTTTTCTTTTAGATCATTACACACACACACAAGCCATCATTAAAAATGGTAACCAATATTCATGGAGACTTTACTCTGTATTGCAGGCTTTTCATGGCCATTCTATGAAAAGCAATAGTTCTTCCTTCAACTGATTATGAAACAGCACTGGGGAGGCTCAACTGGTCACCCACAAGGACCACGGCTAGCAACACCGGGCAAAGCTTCAACTACAAGTGGGTTAATGGCACAGTTAGTGCCCTTCAACACTACCCACTCCCTCCAGCACCTAAAAAATGTAAATCTGCAGAATATATGGGTAAAATAACAAGAAAACTTCAAAAAATTGACATCTTGAATTTTCTTATTAATGTAAGATTTATTTTATTTCATTGTAGTTTATATGTGACTGAAGAACTTGGCATGCTTCCTGTCATTTACCAACATTGCTTTTGTCTTGTATGTTCTTTTTTTCTTCCCCTAGCCATAATGACTTTTCTTGCAAAGCTGGCAATTTTGTTGTGGTTTTGGTTCTACATCAAGATAACATAAAAGGCAACATGACATTTTTCAAAATTTCTTTGCAAGGGTATTTCACCATATTTCTTTCTACAGCTCAATTATCTTACTTGTTCAATGAACGCATGAGTCTTTCCTCAGAGCATGGTTTTTCATGTTTTTGTACATGCTCATCTTTGCTCAATATCTTTTAAAAAACTGAGCTCTTTTGGATGAATCTATCTTGCTGCTTATTGTAAAATCCAGATGGACAGGGAATAGACATTCCCCATCTTGATGTCTCTAGCACCTTCCCTGAGTTTATGACTCAGTGACAGAACCTGGAGGAAGAACATGGCAGGTTGGAGATGTGTGGTCCAGGTTCTCCATGAAGCCAAACGTGGGTCCTGGGACACTGCAGGTAGAGGAGATTAGTCCCGACGGGCCACTCCCAACCATTCCTTATACTACCCTAGGTCTTCAAAGGTAATGCACATACACTTACATTATTGAAGATGAATGCCACCCTGGTTGTGCTAAGCACAAGGAAACAGGCATCAGGCATTTTTTTTTACCACCCCAATAAACAACATAAACCCTTCTCCCTCAAAATCCAAAGGGGGCAGCTCTGAGAAGCAGGCATGCTGAGCACGGAGCTGGGTCTCTTCTTCTTTCAAAGGGTGACAGGGGCGATTCAGAATCACGAAAGTGATGAGGATGCTGTGAAAGAGAACCCCACTATTGCCTGCCCCGAAGAATATCTGCAAGAGACATGTACATTTCTTCAAGGGGCAAAGAACTTAAGTTTCCACTTCTCTATCTGTTTTGATTTTAAATATTCTAGGAGGCATTTCTAACTTGAAATCCACGAATCCGTCTGATTTTCCCAACCCTGAAGTTCCTGAAGTGGTACTCTCTTTCATTAGAAGATTTTCGGTGGATAGATAAGGAAAAAAAAAAATAGAAAAAGAAAAGAAAGCAACACTATCATGATTGGAAAGAGGTTGGGGGTTCTTTAAAAATAGTGGTGTGCGGGGAGGAAGGGGGTGAGGTTGGCGTCTGAGACTCTGCGGGTCTGAAATCAAGCCTGCTCTGGTCCGATTGAGACCGGCTCACAAATCCAGGGGCTGGTAATCTGATCATCTTCTTTCTGGTTTCCATGCTGTGTTTTCTTCAGAGCCCCTTCTCCTGGTTCCAGCCTGTGACAGTGTGATAAGACACAAGAAATTTAGTCATCATGGCTGCAGTAAAGGAGCTCAGGGAAGGGATTACGATGTCCCATCACCCTCACATTAGCCACGGGCAGGAGCACTCTGGTGATTACAGAACCCAACACCAAATGCTTTCCTCCCCCTTTTCCTGCTTGGTGATATTTCCTTCCTGTTTTATTTACGTCTTCATTTCATAGAAAGAAACATTTGAAAGATTAGCTCAGAAATAGTCATCGTCACAATCAGCTCCTAAATCTGCGTGCGCGGCTCTCAGAAGAGGTACGTTCAGACGCGGCTGCACTTCTCCCACCATGGGCTGGACAGCGCCAGGAGTGCGATCGGAGCCTCATCTGCTGCTCCGTCTTTCTTAGGAAATGCACACAGTATAGCTGAGCAAGCCAATACGCAATACAGACAGGGTGCCGGGGAACTGCAGTTTAGGAAAAATACAATGCGTCGCGGAGGCAAAGCGGGCATGGTTGCGTCCTCTCTCTGTCACCTGGATGCTGTAGTGGTTTTTTTTCTTTCTGCCAAGAGGCCTTCTCTTGCAACAGTCGGTGCATGCTGGCCCAGGGTGGTTCTGGGGTGAAAGCTGGACACAGTGCAGAGATGCTGCCCACCATGCCCCTCTCTAGGAAGCCTCTGCTCTGCAGTTCTTTGGCTGAAACCCTTCATTCACAGAGCACCGTGTATAACCACAGCAGTTAAAAACAAAGCAAAGAAGAAAACTCGCTAACCATCATTTTAAAACAAATACATTTCTTTTGGACAATTTTTAAATATGTGGAAAAGACTAACAATTTTTCTCTATAAAGAGGAAAAGTGACATAATATCCAGGTGATAGGTAGGGAGGGAAGATGAAATACAGGCACATGGCTTTACATAATGCCAACGGGATGCCGTGACTTTTAAATAGTTTCAAATAGAACCACGAATCTAAAATAAATAAGCAAATGATAGTCTGAAGGATCTATTTTAAACACATAGAAGGCAGCATTGTCTGAGGGTCTCCTCAATTCATGGTCATGCACTAGAACAGCCAGACGCCAGGTCTGCTGCTCTGCGATGTCTAGCCTTGGGCTCAATGTTGCATCTGTAACAGTGACAGTGATGTCTCCCTCAGAATGCTTTAGGAGGGTTTTATCAAGCAAGAGCGTACGGTTCAAGCTCCGGTAATGTAGCCCATGCTCAGTAAGGCCAGTGTGACCATAGCACCACCATGGCCGTAGCGAGGGTGGGTGAACACAAGTAGGCAAACAACGGACAGTAAAACAGGGTGGAAAATGCAGGTGGGGGGTGGATCTATTGGACCAATTCTGAAATGAACTTGGTGCAGGGCTGACATTGGCCTTCTGCTTACTCTCTCTCTCTCTCTCTCTCTCTGTCTTCTCTCTTTTTTCTCTCTCTGTTACATAAATGAGAAAATTCACGTATTTCCAGCTCTTCCAGGTAAAGGCACTCTGCTTGCCACTCAGGCCTTGCTATCCATTGCAGTCATGATGCCCATCTGGTCACTGATGGTTGAGCTCTGCCATTGTTAGATTCTGTTGTTTCCACGGATACTTGGGACTCCAGGTCAGCCCATGACACTGCAGCCCTGTCCTACAGGTGAGAGCCACCATGCATTCTTTAAAGGGAGGGCCCTCTGAGTCTCGTCAAGGAGTCTTAATTGGGTGGCCTGTTGCTTGGTCTCCTGTGATAAGCCCATTTACCATCCCTGCCACTCTGAACCTTCTGACCCTTGCCTCAGTGCTCTGGCTGGGCACATTCAGCTTCTCAACTTCATTGACTCCAGGCCATATTTAAATCCAAGCTTCTAGCAGCTAGGCAGGCAGTACATTAAGATTCTTCTTGAGTCCTAGCCATTATTTGTTTCCCAAGTAATAGGACTGCTCTCATGTCAATGAACTCCTTTCCTATCCAGATTTAAATTCTCATCTCCCTAGTCCAACACCCTCAAAATCCATCTCCAGCATGCTCTCCCAGGTCCTGCTCAGGCAAATTAGAAGAAATCTGTAGTTCTTTTGATAGAGAGCTTTATCTTTCCAGAGCAGAAAAAAAAAAAGAGAATATCTTGCACCCCTTTGTGGTGATATGGATGTAGTTATTGGTCTGGAAGAAAGTGTCAAAGGTCAGGTCGCACGGGAAACAACCACTGAGACTGAGACACAGATTCAGGCTGTTTATGAGGGAGTGCTCTGAGGAGCAGCATCTATATGAGGCGAGAACTGAATGAGGGAAGGTTAGTGGGATGCATATAGCCTCTGCCATCACGGCTGTTGCCCAGGTGGCAAGTGGGCTCATCTCTGTCTGTGCACTGTTCATTCTAAATTCCTCCCACGTTGACAGTACCTCTGCTGGCACCACGTCCTTCTTAGGCTATGGATGCTGTACTTGTCCACTTACTGTCAGGGCAGAGCAGGAGGGCAGTAGGGGGTACACAGTGGGTCACCTTCGTACCAAACACATTTCCCAGCACCTGTTATTCAGAAATAGCCTTACCTCTTTGTGGACAGTAAGCCTTCCCTTCCCTGTTGTCCATCCGTGCAAGGAATCTGAAGTGACGGAAAAGACAGCCAGGACTTCCAACTTAGCAGCTTTCCCCCTGGGTCCCCTGGTAGAAATCATTCCCCTTTGGGAACCGTCACCACTAGATCCACAGAGCCTCCAGGGACAGCAGATGGAGAGAAACACAGCTCCCGGAGGAAGTACAGTGAGAGGAGACTTGTGACGCCTGTCTTTGGTCCCCAGGACTCCACCTTTGTCCTTCCTCATGGGGCTCTGGCCTTTCCTCCAGCTGGTAGATGAGGACAGTGATGGCTGCTCAGGTCTGAGACATGGGCCAGGGGTCATCAAGACTTCCTGTTGGCGTGGCTGTCCTCAGCCCCCTGACCTTTCACTTTGTAATTTTTTGGTGATAGAGATTGGATACTATCCATGTTGATTGTCTGTTTTCTTGGCTTCTGGGAACACAGTGCTCAGGATCCTGGGAGGCAGGTTCATGGTGGACACGTGTTCCAGTCACCGTGCCAGCCTTTCTCCTGCAGACCAGGGGTTGGCAGTGGACTTGGCTCCTGTTGTTTCAAGAGTCCCTTCTCCACACCACCACTATCAGGAAGTCCCATTTCAGACAGCATTTTCTACTTTGAGATCCTGCCTTCAGTACACGGGTATCACTGAGGGTTGTGACACTGCCATGCCTTTCTAAAAGTCTATTTCTTGACATTTCAGGACATAGAACATCTTCCAAACACTCCCAGAGCACTCTGTCCTAGCCAGCTCCCTTTCCCAGGACTGGAGGTTTCTTCCTCCACCACTCCATCATTTTCCATGGCAGGTTTAGCATTTCCACTCTGCCAGTGTGGGTCACTGCTTCCTCCCAAGAGCCAATTTAGCAGCGCCTTGCCAGAATTTTAATTCCTGTGTGATGAGTGACTCCCATGTGGGGAAGATCTAATAAACGCTAATCTACCTTTATATTCTGTCCTCTTTTATGGAACCCTGAGGACACAGTCCCACACCTAGTTCCCTGCATCCTGCTGCTACGTATTTTCCAAGACCTGTAGCTTCCTTGCAGGCTGAGTAGTTCTCTGGGCAGAAGGCACTGACAACTCTTGTTATTGGTCTGATGACGGGGAGGGGAGAAGAGCGTAAATCTTAAAAAGGGTGCACATGATTTTCTAGGGCAGTAGCCTCTGCATTAGTTTTAAGCACTCAGTGTTTAAATATTTAATATTTGCATATTTAATAATATACACTATTAATTAGAGTTTTGATATGGAGTTCCCAGATACTTATTCAGTTACTTGGAACCAAATTGTGGCTCCATCCAGCACAGAGACCAGGAACTGCATCTCACCCATGCCCTATGCTTGGATTTGCTTTACTGTGAACCTTTTGAAATTCTTTTTTTTTATCAAAAGAGCCTGCATTTTTATTTGGTGCTCCTCAAGTTCTATCTGGTCTTGGGGAAAGAGGTGGATGCAATATCTAACTGACAGAGTTCATGTCTGGCATACCGACTGTCAGGAATCTACATGCACGACTCATCAGCCACAGGAGGCAGATGGGGCGAAAAATACAGAGTGGCAAATAAGGAGCCTGACTGTGATGGGAGAAGCGGTGGATGAGGAGGCGCTCTGCAGAGAGAGCCTGTACAGGAAGACAGTGGAGAGGACCATGAAGGCCTGAGGGCGATGGGGGCCAGAAGGCCTCCAGAGGACCAAGGCCATGAGTGCAGGGACATCCCTGGAGAGTCCTGGGATGTGGAGAGGAGTGGGTGTGGAGCCATGGAATGTGAGCATTTCATCAAAAGAAGGATGAGAAAAGACACGAAATGAGGGAGTAGAATGGTGTTTAGTAAGGGAAGGGCTAAAAGTGACTCTGAAATTTGGGAAAAATGAGACACTACTCTCAGCTAGAGCCCTCCCAGTTGAGTGGTGAGCTCCATGGAATGATTGGGAACTGATGTAGGAGAAGCACTAATTCTGAATGCATTCTCTGGGGGACCGGAATAGAAATAAGTGGCAAGGGAGAAATTGGCCGTTAGGCAGAATCTGAGACAAGGGGGATGTTTTTTGAAAAACTAATGGAGCTTTAGTGTGCTGGGAGAAAGAAGCCAATTGTGTGTGCGTGCATGCATGTGTGTATGTATGCAGGTGTGTGTGCATGCGTGCAGGTGTGTGTGCATGTGTGACTGCATGTGTGTATGTGTATGTTCATGTACTTGTGTATGTGTGTGTGCGTGTATGTGTATGTGTGCATGCATGTGTATGTATGCATGTGTGTGTGCATGTGTGTATATATGCACGTGTGTATGTGTGCATGTGTGTGCATGCATGCATGTGTATGTGTGCATGTGTGTGTGCATGCATGTGTTTGCATGTGTGTGTGCATAAGATCCCGTCTCATAGGTAATTACGATTTTTTACATCTTTAAGTTATCTAAATTGGCCACCGTTTTCTGACCTGGACATTTTAATTTTGACAAAAGCTCTAACATATCTAAAACATTTTTCCCTGCAGAGTTCCTACTTTTATAAACACTGGAAGCACATTTTTCCTACCTTAAGGCAAAAACTCAAATGACAAACCAAAACATAAGCCTTCCAAACCCAGCAAATGGCTAAATTTATCAATGTTCTCTGAGTTTATGTGAAGTATTAAGTTGAACCTTAATTGGTGTGTTTTGTTTATTTTTCTTGCTTTATTTGCCTCTTTCTAAAAGAAATGTATCACAGAACAAAGAATTGTATCTCCAAAGTTCTACGCGGTTGAGTATATTTCTTGGAGAAAACTCCACGGTGATCAAACTAAGAATCCACTCTATTTTGGGACTAGGTTGGAGGTCGTTTCCTGTTTATGTGTTTTGTTTGTTTTGTTTTTAAGTGACTGGAACATTTTTTTAAAATCCCCAAACTTCCAAGCTGTCACACTAGGGATGTCAGGAAGAAGTGTAGTGAGCCATAAAAGGGCACTCTTTTCCTTTCGGTATCAGAAAGAACCATGAAGTTATCATGGAGCTGATCTCTTGATTCAAGGTCATAGTCATGCTGGTAAGAATAATTTCCAAATAGATTCCAATGCAGCTCTCTATTAAAAAACTGTAGACAAAGAGAAATGCATGGACGGAATGGTTTTCAAATTAGAATAAACCCTACGAATATTTCTGTTATCCAAGGACACTAAATGTAGACCTGCAAATTTTAATTTCATGTGACATAGATATACATAAACAGTGGATTCTGAGGTCTAATTTGAATTCTTGGCATAAAAGAGTGTTGTGGTGAACTTTTATATCCCAGTGTTAAGGTTTCAGGAAAACAGCTTTCTGCTTCTGGAGGAGTAAGATGTCTAGTCTTAGTCTAGTGAAATATTGATAAGGTTCTGATTTGCAATGATTTTCTGTCTTTGCTGATTTTCTCAGGCTGTAGTCAGTTCACATTTTCCTGTGATTTGCACACATCCAAAGTCAGATGAAATTAGGCCAGAGCTATTTCACTGGTGCCCACAGTGACAGCTATGTCCCCAGATATAGGAATTTGCCATTACAAGGCTTTTTATTTGGTCCACCATAAATATTTCATTCAGTCCCTAAACGAGGGAGCTGCTCAATTCACAATGATAATGTATATATGGTGGAATTGTGTGCAGCTCATTTAGAACACAATCATTTTTAAACTGTCTGTAAAACATATATTTTGTATATTTAGAATATTAAATTTTAAAAAGATTTATCTGTACCTTCAAAATTAAATTTTAGGTTAGACCATATGAAATCGCAAATATTTGAGCATTTTTGACGTTCAAAAGGCAATTTTATGTGGTTCAACCTAAATAATATTTCCTGTGATATATGTACTCACATGAATCATCAATTTAAAAGTGATTAGAAATAATTTGTAACAGAATTTATAGATGTTTGTTTGTTTGTTTGTTTGTTTGTTTTGAGACAGTGTCTCGCTCTGTCCTCCAGATTGGAGTGCAGGGGTGCCATCTCAGCTCACTGCAACCTCTGCCCTCCTGAGCTAAAGTGATCCTCCCACCTCAGCCTCCTGAGCAGCTAGAACCACAGGTGTGCACCACCATGCCCAGCTATTTTTGTTTTTTTTGTATTTTTAGTAGTGATGGGGTCTCGCTATCTTCCAGGCTGGTCTTGAACTCCTGAGCTCAAAAGATCCACTTGCTTCAGCCTTCCAAAGTGCTGAGATTACAGGCATGAGCCACCGTGCCTGATGAATTTAGTTTTAATGAAACAATAATAATACACAGCTTATTATGAGTGCTTTGAGATTTTATTTTTTGTTTTCGTGCAATGTATACATTTGATGTTAAAAGTGTCTTATGTAATAGAAAGAGACTGCAAGAGTAGAGGGATCCAATGGAAAGCCTTATCTGTCCAATCTTAATGATTCCAAGACCAGGGGGTTATACGATTACCAAGTTCAAATTAGGTTGAATATCTGACGGAAATAACTTTATTGCATTAAAGATAATGCATCAACCTGTATGAAGTCTTTGATTGTTTAGTGACTTGTTTCAGAAACAGAAATAGTGATGCAAATATCTAAAGTTGTAATAGTTACAACCAAATGTTTAAGATTTATTTTATTTTTCATTTTGTATTTTACTTTAAGTTCCGAGATAAATGTGCAGAATGAGCAGGTTTGTTACATAGGTATACATGTGCCATGGTGGTTGATAGGTGCAACAAAAGTTTTTAAATAAAAAAAGGACATGTGACAGACAACATGGTAAGTATTCATTGACAAATACTATTCTTATCACCATTTCACACCTGGGAAACAAACATGGCATGTCAAAGGTAAGACACTCACCAAAGACAAACAGCTGCTTAGTGCTCTATCGTAGCAAACTTTGAGATGAGAGAGAGAGAGAATGTGTGTGTGTGTGTGTTCCAAATATATAAAACTTATATGCAATTTCAGGTATTTCAAAATAGTGTTTATTTTGCTAAAATGCGTATAGAAGGTTCCAATTTGTATCACATTTGTAAGTCTCTGAGATCATCTAACGTTTGGAAATGTTAAATATCCTAAAGAAAAGAAATGCTGTAAGAATAGGAAGAAGAAGGAAGGGGCCTGAAAATAATATTCTTGCCCGTAATGCCGTCTATCTATTTGAGCTGCTGTGACAGAATACCGTAGATGGTAATGTGAATAACAGTAACATAATCATCACAGTTCCGGAGGCTGGGACATTCAAGAGCAAGGCACTGACAGATTCTGTGTCTAGTGAGGCCCCGTATCCTGGTTCACAGAGGGCACCTCCTCACTGTGTCCTCCCGTGGTGGGAGGGGCAGGAGAGCTCTCTGAGTCTCTTTGATAACAGCACCCATCCCATTCCTGAGGGTTCCACTCTCATGACCTAATCTCCTACCAAATGCCCACCTCCTTGATACCATCACATCGTGGGTGATGACTTCAACACATGAATTTTAAGAGGACACAAACATAAAGTCTAGAGCAAACCTTATGCATTAAAAGGAGATATGAGAATAAGGAAATCCAGAGTAATGTCTACTTGAGTTCTTCCTGTGCTTCCCAAATCATGGAATAGCCAGGGATCAGCATCTTCAAGGACATTCCTGATCCATAGCCAGGGATCAGCATCGTCAAGGACATTCTTGATCTTCAAGCTCCAGATGTTATTATTCAAATCTTGCTACAAACACTTGCCGGTAAGGAGACCTGACCACATCCTGAGTGGCTCCAAGTCCCTCATGCAAGTGCAGTGATGTATGGAGATGATGATACTCTATTGCAACACACAGCAGATGGGTCTTGGTTCAGCAATGGAAACAAGAGACATGAATGAACGTGAGAAGAACAAACCCAGTGGGCTAGGGACTGATCTGGTTAACTGGCACTCCAGGAAGGGGCAAGTGAAGCAGGGAATACTCCAGCTGGTCAGCACATCAACAGGTCCTGTGATAGTTAATGCTGAGTGCCAAGTTGATTGGATTCAAGTATGCAAAGTATTAATCCTGCGTGTGTCTGTGAGGGTGTTGCCAAAGGAGATTAACATTTGAGTCAGGGGGCTGGGGAAGGCTGACCCACCCTTAATCTCATGGGTATAATCTAATCAGCTGCCAGCGAATATAAAGCAGGCAGAAAAATATGAAAAGGTAAAACTGGCCTAGCCTCCCAGTCCACACCTTTCTCCCATGCTGGATGCTTCCTGGCCTCAAACATTAGACTCCAAGTTCTTCAGTTTTGAGACTCAGACTGGCTTTCCTTGCTCGTCAAGATTGCAGAGATCCTAATGTGGTATCTTGTGATCACGCAAGTTAAAACTTAATAAACTCCCCTTTACATGTATATATCTATCCTATTAGTTCTGTCTCTCTAGGGAACGCTGACTGATACAGATTTTGGTACCAGGAGTGGTTCTAGAGGAACAGAATATTAAAGATAGAGTTCTTTAGTTGGTTTGGGGGTTTTTGGAGTTGGCTGCTTAATATGATTAGGCCCCAAAATGCTAAGGACTCTACTTCTAATAGTAGGGAGAACACTGATAGTTTGGCATGAACTGTTCAGAGAGTTATGCAAAATAAATGCATTTGACAATGTTGATTCACCACTCATGAGAGGCAAGGAGTTTAGTGACTCTGTACATAATATCTTTGACCATATGTGAAGAATCAAGGGACATAATGAAGCTGGTTGGTTGCTCCTAAGTTCAGTGGACAAAGTGATGAAAGAAAATGATGAATTCAAGGATTCTGTCTCCCAGCTTCAGAAGAAGATACTGGGCCTCCCATCTGCTAAGATTGCCCTGAGTGGAGTCTTATCTCCTATAGAGAAAGAGCTGAAATTGTGGAAAATCAGACACAAGCTCTTATCGTGAGAGTGGCTGATCTGCAAAAAAAAAAAAAAAAAAAAAAAAAAAAAAAAAAAAGGTGCATGCACAGCCTCATTAGGTGTCTAGTGTTAAAGTGAGGGTATTGACTGGAAAAGAATGGGACCTTGCAACTTGGAATGGGGACGTGTGGGAGGACCCTGATGAAGCTGGGGACACTGAGTTTGTAAACCTTGATGAATCTTTTTTGCCAGAAGGAGCAGCTTCCCCATTTCCATTAGTGACAACATCTCCTCCCTGACCCATCCTGCCATCAGCCTTTCCACTTTTGTCTGAAGAGATAAACCCTGTGCTGTCTGAGGGAACAGTGATGGCCTCCCCTGAGGCAGATACCAGGCAAAATAATGTTGATTCTCCTCAGGAGCCACCCACTACACCCCTGTTTACTTCTAAACCTATAACTAGACTAAAGCCCTGGCAGGTCCCTAGAGGTGATATTGAGAGTGTGATCCATGAGGAGGTGCATGACACTCGAAAAGAACTGCTTGAGCTTTCTAATTTATAGAAACAGAAATTTGGAGAACAAGCATGGGAATGCATATTAAGGGTGTGGGATAATGGTAGAAGGAACTTAGAGTTGGATCAGGCTGAATTTATTGATTTGGGCCCACTAAGTAGGGACTCTGCATTTAATGTTGCAGCTCAGGGAGTTTAAAAATGTTCTGATAGTTTATTTGCTTGGTTAGCTGAAATATGGATTAAAAGATGGCCTACTGTGAAAGAGTTGGAAATGCCTGATCTCCCTTGGTTTAATGTAAAGAAAGGGATCCAAAGGCTTAGGGAGATTGGGAGGGTGGAGTGGATTAGTCACTTTAAACCTACTCATCCCATATGGAGGGGTCCAGAAGATATACCTTTGGCCAATGCCTTGAGAAATAGATTTGCAAGGGCAGCAACTGCATCTTTGAAGAGCCTTGTAATTGCTCTTCTCTGTATGACAGATCTAACAGTGGGAACTGCAGTCACTCAACTGCAAAATTTAAAGACAATGGGAATTATTGGACCTGGAGGTGGCAGGGGCCAATGACACCACTCAACTGTCAAAAGCAAGGTGGGTGTAGCTGCCATCATGGACAGAATAGGCAAAGTGGCAATCAGAATAAACTGACTCTTGTAGAGTTCTGGCACTGGCTAATTAATCACGGTGTTCCTAGAAGTGAAATTGATAGGAAGTCTACTGCATTCTTACTTAATTTATATAAGCAGAAAACTTCTAGGTTGAACGGGCAAAAGACTAATTTGAAGTATAAAAACAGAGAATCATGCACCCACAGTCTATTTCCAGACTTGAGCCAGTTTACAGACCCAGAACCCTTTGAATGAAGGGGAGGCTGTGTCCCCTTCAGAAAGAACCCCATTACATTACTGAAAAGTTATGTAGTGAATCTTTCTCCCATCCTTCCCCAAGGATACCACCAACCTTTTACCAGGGTAACTGTGCACTGAGGAAAGGAATGTGATCAGATATTTTGGGGACTCCTGGACACTGGCTCTGAGCTGACATTGATTCCAGGGGACCCAAAATGTCATCCTGGTCCTGCAGTTAAAGTAGGGGTTTATGGAGGTCAGGTAATTGATGGAGTTTTAGCACAAGTCTGACTTACAGTAGGTCCAATGGGTCCCTGGACTCATCCTTTTGTAACTTCCCCAGTGCCAGAATGCATAATTAACATAGACATAATTAGTTGCTGGCAGAACACACACATTGGCTCCCCGACCGGTAGGTTGAGGCAACTATGGTGGGAAAGGCCAAATGGCAGCCACTAGACCTGCCTATACCTAGGAAAATAGTAAATAAAAAACAATATTGCATCCCTGGAGGGATTGTGGAGATTAGTGCCACCATCAAGAACTTGAAAGACTCAGGGTTAGTGATTCCCACCACATTCCATTCAACTCTCCCATTTGGCCCGTGCAGAAGACAGATCAATCTTGGATAATGGCAGTGGATTGTAAGCTTGACCAAGTGGTGACTCCAATTCCAGCTGCTGTATGAAATGTGGTTTATTGCTTGAGCAAATTAACACATCTCCTGGTACCTGGTATGCAGCCATTGACTTGGCAAATGCCTTTTTCTCCATTCCTGTCCATAAGGCCCACCAGAAGCAATTTGCCTTCAGCTGGCAAGGCCAGCAATATACATTTACTGTCCTACCTCAGGGGTATACCAACTCTCCAGCTTTGTGTCATAATCTTATTTGGAGAGAAATTCATTGCTTTTTGCTTCTGCAAGATATCACACTGGTCTATTACATTGATGGCATTATGCTGATTTGATCCTGTGAGAAAGAAATAGCAAACACACTGGACTGACTTATTGGTGAAACATTTGAGTACCAGAGGATGGGAAATAAATTGGACAAAAATTCAGGGACCTTCTACCTCAGTAAAATTTCTAGGGGTCCAGTGGTGTGGGGACTGTTGAGATATTCCTTCTAAGGTGAAGGATAAGTTGCTGCGTTTGGCCCCTCCTACAACCAAGAAAAAGGCACAATGCCTAGTGGGCCTATTTGGATTTGGGAGGCAACATATTCCTAATTTGGGTGTGTTAATCTGGCCCATTTATTGAGTGACCCAAGAGGCTGACAGTTTTGAGTGGGGTCCAGAACAGGAGAAGGCTCTGCAACAGGTCCAGGCTGTTGTGCAAGCTGCTCTGTCATTTAGGCCATATGACCCAGCATATCCAATGGTGCTTAAGGTGTCAGTGGCAGATAGGGATGCTGTTTGGAGACTTTTTCAGGCCCTCATAGGTGAATCAAAGTGGAGGCCTCTAGGATTTGGGAACAAGGCCATTTTCTGCAGATAGCTACTCTCCTTTTGAGAGACAGCTCTTGGCCTGTTACTGGGCTTTGGTGGAAACTGAACGTTTAACTATGGGTCATTAAGTCACCATGCAACCTGAATTGCCTATCATAAACTGGGTGCTTTCTGACCCATCTAGCCATAAAGTGGGTCGTGCACAGGAGCATTCCATCATCAAATGAAGTATATACATGATCGGGCTTAAGCAGTTCCTGAAGGCACAAATAAGTTACATGAGGAAGTGACTTAAGTGTCCATAATCTCCACTCCTGCAGCCCTGCCTCCTCCCCGAGCCTGCACCAATGGCCTCATGTGGAGTTGCCTATGATCAGTTGACAGAGCAAGAGAAGACTAGGGCCACAGATAGTTCTGCATGATATGCAGGCACACCCAAAAGTAGACAGCTGCAGCACTACAGACCTATTCCATGACATCCCTGAAGGATAGTGGTGAAGGAAAATATTCCCAGTGGACAAAACTTTGAGCAGTGCACCTGACTATGCACTTTGCATGGAATGAGAAATGACCAGATGTGTAATTATATACTGATTCATGGGCTGTAGCCAAAGGTTTGGCTGGATGGTCAAGGACATGGAAGAAGCATGATTGGAAAATTGGTCACAAAGAAATTTGGGGAAAAATTATGTGGATGAACCTCTCTGAGTAGTCAAAAACTGTGAAGATATTTTTACCCCATTGAGTGCTCACCAGTGGGTGACCCCAGCAGAGGAGGATTTTAATAATCAAGTGGATAAAATGACTCATTCTGTGACACCACTCAGCCTCTTTCCCCAGCCATCCCTGTCATCGCCCAATGGGCCCATGAACAAAGTGGCCATGGTGGCAGGGATGGAGGATACACATGGGTTCAGCAACATGGACTTCCATTCACCAAGGCTGATCTGGCTACAGCCACTGCTGAGAGCCCAATTTGCCAGCAGCAGAAACCAACACCCATCCCTCAATATGGCACCATTCCTCGGGGTGATCAGCCAGCTACCTGGTGGCAGGTTGATTATATTGGACCTCTCCTGTCGTGGAAAGGGAAGAGATTTGTCCTCACTGGAATAAACACTTACTCCGGATATGGGTTTGCCTATCCTGCATGCAATGCTTCTGCCAAGGCTACCATCCGTGGACTCACAGAATGCCTTATCCACCATCATGGTATTCCACACAGCATTGCCTCTCACCAAGACACTCACTTTATGGCTAAAGAAGTACGGTAGTGGGCTCATGATCATGGAATTCACTGGTCTTTTCATGTTCCCCATCATCCTGAAGCAGCTGGATTGATACAATGGTAGAATGGCTTTTTGAAGTCAGAATTATAATGCCAACTAGGTGACAATACTTGGCAGGGCAGAGGCAAAGTTATCCAATGACCATGTATGCTCTGAATCAGTGTCCAATATATTTTAGTTTCTGTCATAGCCAGGATTCACGGTCCAGGAATCAACGTGTGGAAGTGAAAGTGGCACCACTCACCATCACCCCTAGTGATCCACTAGCAAAATTTTTGCTTCCTATTTCCATGACATTATGTTCTGCTGGCCTACAGGTCTCAATTCCAGACAGAGGATCGCTGCCACCAGGAGACACAACAACGATTCCATTGAACAGCAAGTTAAGATTGCCACCTGGACACTTTGGGCTCCTCCTTTCTTTAAGTCAACAGGCTAAAAAGGGAGTTACAGTGTTGGCTGGGGTGATTGACCCAGACTATCAAGATGAAATCAGTCTACTACTCCACAACAGAAGTAAGGAAGAAGATGCATGGAATGAATACAGGAGATCCATTAGGGTGTCTGTTAGTATTACAATGCTCTATAATTAAGGTCAGTGGAAAACTACAACAGCCCAATCCAGGCAGTACTACAAATGGCCCAGACTCTTAAGGATTGAAGGTTTGGGTCACTTCACCAGGAAAAATCCATGACATGCTGGGGTGCCTGCTGAAGGCAAAGGGAATACAGAATGGGTAGCAGAAGAAGGTAGTCATCAATACCAGCTACAATCGTGTGACCAACTGCCGAAATGAAAACTGTAATTGTCATGAGCATTTCCTCTTTCTTTTGCTAAAAACATGCTTGTGCATGTATACACTTATGCTAAGAAAATATCTTCATTTTATTCCCTTCTCGTTTATCATGTGGCATAAGATTATTATTACTATTATTGACTTCATATCAGCATTTAAGTGTTGTTAAGTTTATGTAATAGTATCTGGCTTAGGGATTGGTGCATTTCTGGTTGTATGAAGGATAGTTGTATTATGTTAGGTGTAATTACGACCTTATTATTTTCTTTATCTGAAGATTATGCATGATCTCAGGAGATGTGTATGGGTTTAAGTTGACAAAGGGGTGGACTTGTGATGATTATTACTGAGTGTCAACTTGATTGGGTTGAAGGATGCAAAGTATTGATCCTGGGTGTGTCTGTGAGGGTGTCGTCAAAGGGATTAACATTTGAGTCAGTGGGCTGGGGAAGGCAGATCCACCCTTAATCAGGTGGGCACCATCTAATCAGCTGCCAGCAAATATAAAGCAGGCAGAAAAATGGGAAAAGGCAAGAAGGACCTAGCCTCCCAGCCTACATCTTTCTCCCGTGCTGGATACTTCCTGCCCTCAAACATCAGATTCCTATTTCTTCCGTTTTGAGACTCAGACTGGTTCTCCTTGCTCCTCAAGCCTGCAGACAGCCTAATGTGGCAGCTTGTGACTGTGTAAGTTAATACTTAATAAACTTTCCTTTCTATGTGTATATATATCCTGTTAGTTCTGTCCCTCTAGGGAACCCTGACGAATACAGGTCCCAATTATGTCATCCCACCAGGGAAGTAAAGCATCTTGGTTTTTTTTTGTTTTTTTTTTGTTTGTTTGTTTTGTTTTGTTTTGTTTTTGTAATAAGCAATTGCAATTATTCTTTGTCTTTTTGACAATTTGGCCATACTCTTAAGTAAAAGTCATTAATTGTGGCAACTGCATTTACTATAACTCTGGCATAACATCACAGAGACAATACATCTCTGCTATTATGTCAGGTAGACAAGTAGGCCCCGTAGGACACAAGGCCTGGTAATTGTGATTACCTGATTACATTCCTATTGTTTTCCATCACCCTGATAAGAGTCCCAAGTCAGCTCTCCTAGCAGGAATTCAGAACGTGTCCAAGTGTCAGTGTTGGACCCCGAAAACAATCCTGTTCCATGCAATGAAGTGAGGTTGGAGTTTGTCCTTTCCTTCTGCCTCCATATGCTTTTTGTATCATTGTTGTTGTTGCTTAGTTATGTATATTTCTCACGAAGAGAAGCCGTTCCCCAGAGCCACAGCTGATGTTGACGTTGGTTGCTTTCTTCTCCTATTTTCTGTTTTGCATTTATATCCTGCAACTCTTTTCCCGGCATAGAATCATATTGCAGGCACCTCTTCAACAGGCAGCACCTTCCCAGGTGAGAAGAGCCAGCCCACTTTTCCTAAGGGGAGAGACTGACTGCTCTACTGTAGAGCTGTCTAGGATGGGGTTGCAGCCAAGGCTGTGACCAGGCTGAAGGAGCTTCTCCTGTAGTTTTGGTCAATTCAACTCAATCAGAGAAGCACATGAACTCTATCAGTAGTTGACCCAGGTGACACCATACATTTCAGAACCATCTTGGAAATAGAATAGAGCCCACAAGTGGTATTTCGTTCCATCAAGGACATCTGGAGAATCACTCCCCATGGGTGGGAGAAACTTCTGTAGAGAACAGGAGTTTGGATTTTTTAAAACACTGATTTATTTTCTAAATTGTTATTCTATTCTACCTAATTCAATGTAACTATCCTTTAAATTGTTCTGGCTTTTCAGATTGCAATCATTATGTAGTTTTATTTTGTTTAATTTTTCTTTTTAATTTATTTTTCATTTTCATTTTTTATTATGCATTTTGTCTTTATTTATATTATTTTATTTATATTGTTGTATATGAAAAAATGTCATATGTGCTACACCGTGACATCTAGAGTGTATTTAAATAAGTGTTTCCCCCTGCGTTGCAGCCTCCTTGAAAAGAGGTATTCTGTTTGATTTGAATCTCTGACCCATTAGCAGGGCCTGACATTTAATGTTTGTTAGGTGAACTGATTTGAATTTCAATTGTGTAAAGTATAATATTGTAACAATTTTGCCAAGGTGATAGACAAAGCTATTAATCACAGGCTCATCTAACAGAGGGGTGATGGGATCTCAAAGATTCCTCTTCTGGAAGATATGAAGAACCAGTCATTTCTGTTTTACTCTTTTTGTGTTTTTCTTTTTTTTAATTTTGCACTAAACTCACATGGTGTGAAAGCCAATAGAATACTAACAGACTGAGAGCTGCATACCACCCCTACCTGCACAAAAGCCTCCCTACATTTTTAGCCACA
Source organism: Homo sapiens (assembly GCF_000001405.40). Taxonomy (NCBI): domain Eukaryota; kingdom Metazoa; phylum Chordata; class Mammalia; order Primates; family Hominidae; genus Homo; species Homo sapiens. Next base: position 3,946,063 of record NC_000005.10, on the reverse strand, counting down.
GTAGGGTAAGGGAACTCAATTTTTACATACGATCCATGCATTGCTATAATCGCTCCTCTGTGTCTGGCACTTACTTGCTCTGTTTCTCATTGCCATTTTATAACAGCATGCCTAAGCCCCATCAATATTCAAGTTAGCACCCTAAAATGAAACTATAAATTTCAATTTGGAGAAAATAAGCCCTCATTTGGGTTCATAAGTTTTAAATAACACATTACCATTGGCTACAGCAAGTTTGCATTTCTAATGCTATATTATGCATTTGACAATAGATGTTCCACTCTGCTCGAGAGAGGAGAGCAAGTGCATGTGAAATGTAAGTCTGCTTAAAATGTAGGAATTTATTAGAGCTGTCACTCAGCACTGACAAGAGAGCAAAATTATTTCTGAAGCTATTCGACACATATGTGTAGGCTCCATTGTCTGCAAGTTTTGAAGTTTCAGAATCCGATCTCTAAAACCTCTTCAAAATATTGTTTCCACTATATATATATATATACACACACACACACACACACACACACACACACACACACACTTTTTTTTTTTCTTTTTTGAGATGGAGTTTCACTCTTGTAGTCCAGGCTGGACTGCAATGGTGCAATCTCGGCTCACCGCAGCCTCCGCCTCCCGGGTTCAAGCGATTCTCCTGCTTCACCCTCCCAAGTAGCTGGGATTATAGGCATGCGTCACCACGCCTGGCTAATTTTTGTATTTTTAGTAGAGATGGGGTTTCTCCACGTTGGTCAGGCTGGTCTCAAACTCCCAACCTCAGGTGATCCAGCTGCCTCGGCCTCCGAAACTGCTGGGATTACAGACATGAGCCATCGCGCCCGCGCCCGGCCTGTCTCTACAATTTAAGGACCTGGAAAACAAAGCAGTGTCCACTTAAAAAATATATGATGGAAATAGTTCCATGCCAGACTCAAGGGAAAAGTATTAAGAGCAATTCCAGATGCCCAGGGCAGAGCTCATGTGAGGACGGCCGCCCTGGGCCTGGCAGCAGCCACGCCATCCACATGGTTGCTTCACGCTGTGCCCACGCACCTTACATCTCCACCATGGCACATGTAGGAGAAGGGATTCTGTGGATTCCTCTTTTGCCTTTTTATCAATATTTATTTTGGTGTTGTTTCCAATAATTATTTGATCTTTTATGAAACTAGAAAATGCAGTACATTTATGAAAAATCTATATTATCTAAAAAAACACTACCGCTCAGAACTAAGCCATGGTGAATACTGTTGTGTACTTTTTAGATTTTTCCTCTCCTAATAGTCACCCTGAATAGCAGAAAGTAATAACATGATATTTTTAAGAAGTAAATCAGGACTCAGCACTGTAATCCCAGCACTTTGGGAGGCCGAGGTGGGCAGATCATCTGAGGTCAGGCGTACAAGACCAGCTTGGCCAACGTGGTGAAACCGTGTCTCTACTAAAAATACAAAAAATATCTCGGTGTGGTGGTGCACACCTGTAATCCCAACTACTCAGGAGGCTGAGGCGGGAGAATCGCTTGAACCAAGGAGGCGGAGATGGCAGTGTGCCAGGATGGGGCCACTGCACTCCAGCCTGGGTGACAAAGTGAAACTGTTTCAAAAAAAAAAAAAAGAAGAAGAAGTAAGTCAGTAAGTCAGCATATCGGCATGTGTGGTTTATGATAGTGCGGTGTTTTTTTTTTTTTTTTTTTTTACAGGAAGATTCCCGTTTTGTCTGACATGGTTTTCAATATCATAAACGTTTGTACTGCAGTCACTGCTGTTTAACATCAGTGACAGGTTACATTTCCATTATGGTGTAATAGCATATCCAGGTCATATCTGAAGATAAATGATGGACACAATTCTGAAGCATAGAACAAGCTGCACATTCAAAACTTGAGAACCACACTCTTCCTACACACCAGCCAGAGGTATTTGCTCACCACTCATGCTTCCTCCCCTGGCTCTTTCACAAGGGGTATTTCAGAAACTTTGAGCACTGTCATCATTCACTGGGGTATATTGATGTCAGAATGGGTCCTTATCACTCCCTCTGTACCCATGGCCTGTGTCATGAGCCTCTGCTGCTCTGCCATTAGAAGGCACATTCATTTCCTTCCCTTTGATTCAAGCTGACCTCATGACCCGTTGTGGCCAATAGGTTGCGGTAGATTTGATGTTGTGGTGGACATTTTCTGGACAGCTGTGGATATTTTCTCTTTTTTTTTTTCTTGGACCCCTGATAGCACTGATAAAAGGGCAAGCCTAGACTAACACGCTGGAGATAAGGACCATTATCTCAGCCCTCTGAGATGAGACCACTCCTCATGGGCCTATCCCCAGCCAACCCATAGCTGATCACATAAGTGAGCCCAGCTGGCTCATAGGCTGCTGAGCAGTAATAAAGAGTTACTGTTTGCAGTTCCCAAGTTTGTGGATATTTATGACACCCTAGCTAACTGGTACACTATCACCATTGCCATAACGACCATTCATTAAGATCATATATTGTACTGGATGATGTTTTATGTATTTATTATTTTAATTAATATGAAAACTCTTCAAAGAAGATAATGTCATCTCGACTTTAAAAAATGAGACATAGGTTAATAAATTCCGTCCAAGTTTTTGAATCTAGGCTTATGTTATTCCAAAGTTTTAGCAACCATTTACTTCTTTTTTTAATTTTTTTATTTTTTGAGACAGGTTCTCACTCTGTCTCCCAGGCTGGAGTGCAGTGGCGTGATCTCGGCTCACTGCAACCTCTGCCTCCTGGGTTCAAGTGATTCTCCTGCCTCAGCCTCCCCAGTAGCTGGGATTACAGGCACGTGTCACCACTCCCAGCTAATTTTTTGTATTTTTAGTAGAGACAAGGTTTCACCATGTTGACCAGGCTGGTCTTGAACTTCTGACCTCAAGTGATCCACCCACCTTAGTCTCCCAAAGTGCTGTGATTACAGGCATGAGCCATGGCACCTGGCTCCATTTACTTCTTTTATTGTAGTAGCTCTGCCCCTCTAATAGTTGGGACATATCTCATTACTTTAAGCTAAAATCTTCACAGTTTTTGTTCTTTCCTTGTCTGGACATGGCAGGCCTCGTTCTGCATTTTCCCCATCTACAGTTAGTTTTAGCAGGGGAAATGGTGTTTGGTGATTCTTCCTTTCTTGGCTTCCAGGTGGCTCTTATCTTCCTCCCCATTCTAGTTGGAGCAGGAAGATCTATCGGGCTGAGTGAAGTCACTGGTCTCAACTCCTACCTGTTCAGAACTTTCCAGGAGACTAGCTGGCTAATGCAATTTTATTTCACAAGGTATTTCTTAAATGTCTTGCATAGAATGAAATCATTTGTCTTTCTATATCCTCCAATGTGAGCGGCTATCTAGTTTAATGCTATCATTTTGTAGATGAGGACAGTGGTGTAGGAAATGTGATATAATTGCATGCTTTTATATAGCTAATATGTCACTGCTCTGAAATATGAACCCACTTTTACATATTTCTAGTCACATCTTCTATCCATCACATCAAGAACTTTCTTGAAAAAATATTTGGGGTAGTTATATTTTTCAAAGAGCATATGGTTATCACTGTCCATGAAACCTGTTGTCTGGGGCTTAGACATAACTGAGATATTAAACACACACACATACACACACACACACACACACACACACACGGTGACAGTTCTTATTGTCAATTTGATTGGATTGAAGAATCCAAAGCATTGTGCCTGGTGGCTGCCAAAGGAGATTAACATTTGAGTCAGTGGACTGGGAAAGGCAGAGGCACCTTCAATCTGGGTGGGCACCATCTAATCAGCTGCCAGCATGAGTGGAATAAAGCAGGTGGAAGAAGGTGGAATGAGCTGACTTGCTGAGTCTTCCAGCCTTTATCTTTCTCCCATGCTGGAAGCTTCCTCCCCTCGAACATCAGACTCCAAGTTCTTCAGCTTGTGGACACTTGGACTAACACCAGTGATTTGCCAGGGGCTCTTGAGCCTTTGGTCACAGACTGAAGGCTACACTATCGGCTTTCCTACTTTTGAGGTTTTGGGACTCAGACTGGCTTCCTGCCTCCTCAGCTTGCAGACAACCTATTGTGAGACTTCACCTTGTGACTATGTGAGTCAATTCTCCTAATAAGCTCCTCTTCATATATTCATCTATCCTATTAGTTCTGTCCCTTTAAAGAACCCTGACCAACACACACACACACACACACACACACACACACACACACACACACACACACAGAGAGAGAGAGAAAGATTGAAAGAGAGAGAAAGAGGACTGAGCCTGGGCAAGATCATCTCCTGCTTAATTCTTAGCTAAATTACCTATTAGCTAAATTACCTATATAGAGCTTCATGTGTCAATGTGGCTATGCAGTAATTGGAAATTCTAAGACAAAACTCTTTAAGTAAAAAAATAAGGTTTTCAAAATATATATGTATATTATGTATAAATGTACATATTTATATGTATACAGGTAAATATATACATTTATATATACACATAATGTTTATGTATATATCTTAATAAATAAAATTAAGTCCCCCTTCTCAAAAAGCTCTAAGGAAGAATATATTTTTATTTTATAAAAATCTCTAAGTTGGGCCAGGTGGGATGGCTCACCCCTGTAATCTCAACACTTTGGGAAGCTGAGGTGGGTGAATCACCTGAGATGAGGAGTTCAAGACCAGCCTGGCCAACACGGTGAAACCCCATCTCTACTAAAAATACAAAAATTAGCTGGGGTGTGGTGATACACACCTGTAATCCCAGCTGCTCTGGAGGCTGAGGCAGGAGAATCGCTTGAACCTGGGAGGCGGAGGTTGCAGTGAGCCGAGATTGCACCACTGCATTCCCAGCCTGGGTGACAGAGAGAGACTCCATTTCAAAAAAAAAAAAAAAATCTCTAAGTTGCATTTTCCAGTTTCCTGTCTTGTAGTCAAGGGGCTTAGAAGTTTCCACTCCATCCTGATGACAAGTGAAAAGCTGAACAAACTGGAAAATCAATCGCTTACTTTGGAACCATCCGAGGAGGGAAGTCAGGACAAACGCCCATACAGAAATCTGAGAGACAGGCAGATAGATACAGAAATCATAACTTTCTAAAGCAGAAACTTCCAAGGAAACCAATTCCAGAGCAGAAAACCAAAACAGTAATTTGCTGGAAGCTCAATGTGGACAAGCCTGACAGTGAAAAGCTACAGAGGTCCCGGTCAAAGGGGCTTCTCCATACTGGGATTTGCATTTCAGGAACTTAACCAGGTCTTAACAGTGAAGAGTGGGGAAAAATCCCCTCAAGCTTCTGTCAGGGAGCAGGGAAAAGGAATTATTTAAAAATATACTGAAGTGTTCTGTTCTACTTAACAAGACCTCCCTCAGGAGAAACTGTTTTATCAGAGCTTAAACAAATGGAGATTACTAGAACCTAACCTACCTGGAGAAAGAAAATACCAATTCAAGCCAACTCTAGCCTTACACTTGGGGAAAGGAAAATATCCAACCCCAGCCCTCTCTAGTCACTGTGTTCCACCTAACAGGGAGAAAGGGGACTGAGAAGCACTGGTGAAGGTCACAGTCTAGGGCACAGGCTCATCAAAAGATTGAGACTTAATTCTAAGACCATAGAACACTTGCTCCCTCTCTACACCTTACCACAACATTATTAAAGACCTATTTTCCATAGCTCATTTTACCCAGTAAATTATCCCCACATGTCAACAAAAAATTAAAAGTCATATTAAAGTGCAAACACCCACTTTGAAGAGACTAAACAAGCCTCAGAACCAGAGTCGGATACGACAGAAATGTTGGAACTATCACAGTGGGAAATTATAAAACTATGATTAATATACTAAGAGCTTTAATGGATAAATTAGGCAACATACAAGAGCAAATTCATAAGGTAAACAGAGAAACAGAAATTTTAAGAAAGAATAAAAATTAAGTAGAGATTAAAAAAATACAGTAACAGACATAAAGAATGCCCTTGATGTCCTGATTAGTAGATTGGACACACCTGAGGAAACAGTTTCTCCATAGAAACATTCAAAACCCAAAAAGCGAAGGAAAAATAAATCCTGAAAAAGAACAATGTATCCAAGAATTGTGAGAAAACTAAACTAAAACAATACGTAACATACTTGTAATACTAAAATAAGAAGAAATAGAGAAAGAAATAAAAGCAATTTTTGTAGCAATAATAGCTGAGAATTTTCTCAAATTACTCTTAAATACCAAACCATAGATTCAGGACGCTCAGAGGTCACCAAAACCAAACATACAAATGAACCAAAAAGCTACATTTGAGGCAAATGATACTGAAAATTCAGAAAATCAAAAATAAAGAAAAATATTGAAACAAGTCAGAAGTAAAAATACCAACAGAGGGGCAAAAATAAAAATTACATTTGATTTCTTATTAGAAACTATGCAAGCAAAAAGAAAGTGGAATAAAATATTTGAAGTGTTGAGAGAACAACAGCAACAAAAGACAAAAAAGCTTTCCAACCTAGACTTGCATACTTTGCAAAATTATTCATCAAAAGTGAACATAAAAGACTTTCTCAGGAAAAATAAAATTGATATATATATGTATATATTTTTTGCTAATAGTCTTTTTTTGCAAGAAATACTAAAATAAATTCTTTCAGAGAGAAGAAGCTGACGTAGTCCAGGAATTCAGATCTACATAATGAAAGAAAAAGTGTCGAGGAATCAATCAGTAAATTAAAAATAGTAGAAACTTTTATTTTTCTCATTCTTAATTGATTTAGTAAATAAAAATTTGATCAAAACAACATACACACATATATGTATGTGTTTGTTTTTATAATGGAAATGAATAATGGCAATGACATAAAGGGCAGAAGAAAGGAATTAGAATTTTTTATTAGGTACTTGCACTATCTGTGAAGAGCAATAATATGTAAATGTAGACTCACATTAGTTTTAAGTATATATTGGAGACTCTGGGAAAACTACTGAAAACCTTTAAAAAGGAGAATAAATAATATATGAAGAAATGAGATAAAATTAAACTATCAAAACAGTCCATTAAAAACACAAAAGGCAGAAAAAGTATGGAAGACAAAAGTACAAAAAAGATCAGCCACCAAATAGAAAATAGTAACAACATGGTAGATACTAATTCAACTGTATAAATAATCACTTTAAATTTTAATAATTTAAATACACCAATTGAAAGACAGAGATTGTCAGAGTGGGTGCAAAAGCAAGACCCAACTATATGTTGCCTATAAGAAGCCCACTTAAAATATAAAGACCCATATACATTAAAAGTAAATGGAAAGAAAAAGATATACTATGCTAACATTAATCAAAAAATGTGGAAGTGGGAATATTAATTTTAGACACAGCAGACTTCAGAGTAAGGAAGTTTATCAGAGGTAGAGACATTACATGATGACATAAGGGTCAGTACTCCAAAAGACATAGCAATCTTTAAAGTGTATGCACCTAATAACAGACAAAATATATGAGGCAAAATCTAATAAAACTGTAAAGAGAAATAATTTATTATAAGAGTTGAATATTTTAACATTTCTCTGTTAGAAATAGGTCCAGCAGGTGGGAAATCAGTAGAAGGATATTGAACTCAACAGCACCATCAATCAACTTAATCTCATTGACACCTATAGACTATTTTATCCAACAATGACAGATTGCACATCCTTCTTGTGATCATATGAAACATTCATAAAGATAAACCACATCCTGAACCATAAAACACACCTTAAAAATGTAAAAGAATAGATATCATACAATGCCTGCTCTCAGACAACAATGGATTAAACTAGAAATCAATAACAGAAAGCTGGAAAATTCTAAAATATTCAGAGCTTAAACAAAACACATCAGGAAAATCTCAAGAAAAAATTTAAGAACTTTTTATCTAAATGAAAATAAAAATGTAATTTATCAAATTTTGTAGGATGGAGGAACAGTGCTTAGAGGGAAATTTATAGCATTAAAAGCATATAACAGAATTTTTTTAAAAAAATCTAAAACCAATAATATAAGCTTCCATTGAAGAAACTGGAAAGAGAAGAGCAAATTAAACCCAAAGCAAATAGCAAAAAAAGAAATAATAAAAATCAGAGCAGAAATTAATAAAATTAAAAGCAAGAAATCAATAGAAAACTATTGAACTAACTATTGAACAAAACTAAAAGTTTCTCTGAAAAGATCCATAAAATTGATAAACCTCTAACCTGGCTAAAAAAATGAGAGAATACACAAATTAGTAATTCTTGAAATGAAAGAGAAAATACCACCAAAAATCACATGGATGTTAAAAGAATAATGAAATATTATTATTAAAAATTATTTGCTTACAAATTTGATAACTTAGATGAACTGAAATAATATCTTAAGAGACATAATCTGTTGAAAATTGCACAAGAAAACATAAAAATGTCAGAATGGGTCAATATCTGTTAGAGAAATTGAAATAATAGTTTATAACCTTTCAAAACATAAAGCACCAGGCCCAGATAGGTTTCCTGCTGAATTCTACTAAATATTTAAGAAAGAAATTGCATCAATTCCCTCCAATCTTTTTTTCAGAAAAATAAAAAAAAGAAACATTTACTAACTCATTACTTGAGGCTGATGTTATCTTAATATCAAAACCAGGCAAAGACATTTCAAGAAAGAAGACTACATACTAATATCTCTCATGAATATTAATGCAAAAATTCTCAACAAAATATTAGCAAATCAAATTCAACAGTTTATGAAAAGGCTTATATTACATGACCTAGTTGGATTTATCACAGGAAAGCAAGGTTGGCTCAACATTTGAAAATCAATTAATATATTAAATCAACTGGCTACAAAACAAAAGTTACATAATCATATTAGTAGTTCCAAAAAAAAATTGACAAACTTCACCACCCATTCATGATTATAAAAAAATACTCTTCAGGAAACTTCAGAAATATGGCGAAAATTCCTCAACTTTTTAAGGAACATCTGCAAAGAATCTACAGATCTCATTATCCTCAACAGTGAAAAACTCAAAATTTTTCTCCTAAGCTCAAGGACACAGCAAGGATGTTTCCTCTCACTACTGCTTTTCAACATTATAGTGGAAATCCTAGCCAGTGCAATAAGACAATAAAAATAAGTAAAAAGTATACAGATTGGGAAATAATAAATAAAACTGTCTTTGCTTAGAGATGACACAATCTTTTACATATAAAATTTGAAAGAATTGACAGAAAAACTCTTAGAGCTAATGAAGAATTATAGCAAGGTTGCAGCATACAAAGTTAATACAGAAAAGTCAACCACTTTCCTATATACCAGCAATGAACAAGTAAAATTTTACATTAAAAACACATTGCCATTTGCATTTCCACTCCAAAACATATTTAGGTATAAATCTAACAAAATAGGTGTAAGATTTCTATGAGAAAAATCACAAAACTGTGAAAAATGTATCGAAGAAGAACTAATTAAATGGATAGATATTTTATGCACATGATTAAGAAGGAAGATTCAATTTGGAAGATGTCAGTTCTTCTCAACTTAATCTATAGATTCAATGCAATCCCAGTAAAACTTCCAGCAAGTTAATTTTTAGATATTGTCAAACTGATTCTACAGTTTATTTGAAGAGGCAAAAGACCCAGAATGGACAACTCAATATTTAAGGAGAAAAAACAGTGTTGGGAGACTGACACTACATGACTTCTACTTACTATAAAACTACAGTAATCAGGATAGTGTCATATTGGTGAAAGAATAAATAAATAGATCAAGGGAATGCAATAGAGAACCTAGAAGTCAACCCACATAATTATAATCAATTAATCTTTGACAGGGGAGCCAAGACAATACAAGCAAGCAAACAGTCTTTTCAACAAATGATGCCGGGATAACTGGAAGTCCACAGGAAAAAAAAAAAAAAAGAAACGAAACTTGATAGAGGTATTGCATTCTTCAAAAAATTAACTCAAAATGAATCATGGACCTAAATATAAAATAAAATATTTATAAAATGCATGGAAGATAGCATAAGAGAAAACTGTAACTGTAAGTTAGACTTTATGAAAATTAAAACTTCTGCTGTGTGAAAGAATATGTCAAGACAGAGAGACCACCCACAGACTAGGAGAAAATATTTACAAAGTACATGTCTGATAACACGTACTTTGAATAACATGTTATTCAAAATATACAAATAAATCTTAAAACTGAATAGTAAGAAAGATAACAACCTTGTTAAAAACCAGATCCAAATGTTGAAACCCTGTCTTTACTTAAAATACAAAAATTAGCTGGGTGTGGTGGCATATGCCTGTAATCCCAGCTACCTGGGAGGCTGAGGCAGGAGAATCGCTTGAACCCTGGAGGCAGACTTTGCAGTGAGCCAAGATCGTGCTGCTGCACTCCAGCCTGGGTGACAAGAGTGAAACTCTGTCTCAAAAAAAAAATCCAACAAAAAAAAAAACTGATCAAAAACTTTAACACCTTACCAAAGAAGATATACAGGAGGCAAATTAGCTTATAAGATGTTCAGCCTCAGATGTCATTAAGCAATTGCAAATTAAAAAAAAATACCACTATACAGCAATTAGCATGCCCAAAATTCAGAACACTGACACCACCAAATTCTGGCAAGGATATGGAGATCCAGGAACTCTTACCCACTGCTGGTGCTAGTGCAAAATGATGCAGCCACTTTGGAACACAGTTTTGTGTTTTCTTACAAAACTGTGTATATTCTTACCATCAAATCCAACAAGCATGCTCTTTGGTATTTATCCAAATAAGTTAAAAATTTATGCTCACACAAAACCTGTACATGGAGTTTTGTTTATGGTTGCCAAAACTTGGAAGCAATCACAATGTCCTTCAGTAGGTGAGTGGATATATAAACTCTGGTACATCCAAACAGTGGACCATCATTCAGTGCTAAAGAGAAAAAAGCTATCAAGCCATGAAATGACGGGGGGAAAACTTAAAAGCATATCACTAAGTAAAAGGTGCCAATCAGAAGAGGCTACATATAACAGGATTCAACTCTACGGCATTTTGGAAAAGGCAAAATTATGGAGACAGTGAAAAGATCAGTGGTTGTCAGGGGCCGAGCAGGGGGAGGGAAGGATGAACAGGCAGAAAACAAGATTTCTGGGGCAGAGAAACTACTCTGAATAATACAATAATGGCAGATACGTGGTATCGTCTGTTGGTCTAATCCCATAGGGTGTACATCAGAAGTTAACCCTAATACAACATACAGACTTTGGTGATGATGATGTGTCAATGTACGGTCATTAATTGTAACACATGGACCACTCTGCTGGAGCATGTTGATAATGGGGGAAGCTATGAATGGGTGGTGGCTGGGGTGTACAGAAACTCTCTGTCCTCTCTGCTCAATTTTGCTACAAAACTAAAATTGCTCTAAAAATAATGTTTATTAATTTTGAATGAACAGGATTAAATAATCTTGATACTTAATCTTGATAAAAGAAGACAATCGAATGATGATCTTGACTGGTAGATAGATGATATCAGTCAAGATAATAACTTTATTCTCTTCTTCGCATTTGCATTTTGCATGCCATGGTCCTTCATACAAAGGAAATAAAAATATGGATACAGAAGTCCTTGTTTTATCACTTCTTTAAAAAAAGATTGCACAGAAAAATATAAATATAAATTACAAGGCATCCAGTCTGAAAATAAAAGGGCACTTCCCACAATTTATGCCTTGATATTATAGTGGGAGAGAATTTCTTTCCAATAATGGAAACCTCTATTATCATATTCTCCCAAGAGAAGCTCTAATGATCTGAATCCAGAATTTATTTTTAAGTGAGAGGAACAAATTGGCTTAGTAGGCCATCATTTGTTGCCAAATGAATTGAAAAAAAAGTGTTTAGGCATGCAAGGATGACACATTTGCTGAGGAAAAAAAACTAATTTATTTTAAAATTGATGAATAATACCCCTTGGCTTAGAGAACTAAGACCTGCAGCAGTGAGTAGAGGTCCCCCTGTGCAAAGCATTGCAGCGGGTGGATGAGAGGAGACGTGTTCCTCTGCATCTCCCAATCTCAGCCCTCTTACCCCTCCTTTCTCAGGAGACAGACCCTTCTGCCCACCTTCCACCTCTTCTCTCACCTTCAAGCTGGTCTGCAGTAAGCTTAATAGATTGCTCATTTTTCTCAGATGCCACAAAGTTACCCCAGGGATATTTGCATTTTGAGAGCTGTCAGAATTTTAAGCAAAGACATGATGTTCAGATGACAGGCCAAGACCAAGCAGTGGAGGAGGGAGGGTTCTAATTCCTGGAAAATCCTGGTGTCTTCAGGCACATGGGCTTCATCTGCCAGCCCCGACCGGCGGGTGAGCCTGCCAGAAAAGATGCCCACTTTTGCTTTACAGCATATGCCATCACATTGAGTGCGTTTCCCAAATAAGAATCTTGACATAATTTTTTAGCCATTAAGCCTTCTGATTTTCATTTTCTCTCTTCTCCTTCACTCAAATGTTCTTAAATTATGAATTATGTCCAAGGTGAAAAGAGCAGGAAGGGAGGATTTATCCTGAACTTCTCGTCCAATCTGGATGAGGATACAGGCAGGTCATGATGTCGGGGGACTTGCCTGAGTTCCCTGGGCTGCTGGTGGATACAGAGTGGCATAAGGACCGCAGCCTCACTGCACAACGCAGCTCCTTCTAAGGCCATGGGCAGGCCACCTGCTCGGACACAATGTGGAGAACGGTCTGCCTCCCACAGACTTTGTCAGTGCCTTTGTTCTGCAAAAACAGGAACATAGTATTACTGGATTTCTTAGAAAGGGGCTAACGAGGAACTTAAATTTTATTTGAGTACAATATATGAGAAACATACAAAATGCATTAATGTTTAATAAAGGTGGGAGGGTGGGAGGGGTGCTTGATATTTGAATTCTTTGTTAAGGAATTAAGAATATACTATGTCCTGATACCTTTATATTCATGAAATTACACTCACCTAATTCTGTATCTTTTGGCAATAACAGCAAAGAAAGGAACATGGTATATATGACTTCTCATGATCTTGGAGAAGGGAACATGCCTGTTCATTGAGTGAGATTTTTTAAATTTAATTCTGAAGAAAAAGTAACTTGATTTCTTGAGTTATGAACAAGCAGAGGCTTGCTCCTTGCAAGGTCCTGGAACTGAGCCTCCCTTCTGGGACCTTCCCTTTCATTTCTGCCTTTCAGGGCCATCTCCCACCTCATCATCTTTCATTTGCTTCCTGATATCTCCTGCCCACATTTTAAATCGGAAATTAAATAGAGCTTCCACTTTTATCGCAGGGTGTGTGTCTATGGCTTTTTTGAGCATTGGTACATCTGACTTATAGATATCACAGATCTCCCAGGCAATTCTGAGTATGGCTATACTATAAAGACTTAGGTAAGTTTTACTTCTGGCCCTTCAAGAGACATTTTGCAAAAGACCTACTTCTCCATGATGCTGCCCAGAATTACCCTGGGCTGGCCCCTGGAGGTATTCCACTCTTTCAGGAACCCTGGTACTTACTATAAGGGCTGTCTAGGTGCCTCCAGGCATGGGCAGAAGCAAAGAAAAGCCACAAAAAATAGGTCAATTGGATTGTCCCCGGGCAATGGAACTCTTTATGTTTTCTGGCTCTGAATGTGTGGTTCAGTATGTCTGAATTGGACCTGACACGTCTTTTCAACCCATCATGATTTGGTCTTGATTCAACAGAAAAGGTCAATGCACTGCTAGAAACGTCACCGAGCCGTGCCGAGCCAGGGCCTTTCCCAATCAAGCAGCCACGGACAAAAGGCTGTAGTGATGGGTTGCCGTTGCTGTTGTTCAACACTGTGTGATTGTCACCCTGTTCTTTTGAACTCTCTCCAGCTTGGCATTTTGTCTCCGCTTCAAGCAGGTGTTTTGTTGCGGCCAGGAACACAGGCCTGCGCTGGAGTCTTTCAAAGTGCGCTCGTTGTGCAAATGAATGTTGCCTACGAACTTTCCCCGGGCGATGCGCTGATACCCAACCTGCTCCCAGCCACGCTAATCCAGCTCAGGGACATGTGGGCACATGAAAGCCTTTTCTTTTTTTTTTCTAACTTGCACTTTTTAATTGATATATTCTGCCCACTATAGACTTCCTCTGTGTTTGATACAGCAGTTTGATTATGCGGAGAGAGAAATCCACAGAGGCTGGATGAAATGAGCACGGAATCAAGGAGGGGAGGGAGTGAGGAAGATATAATGATGATGAGTGTGCGGTCGTGGATTCACCTCTGACTTGAAAGGTGGATAGATGGGGAAAATGATCATCTTCACACTGAAAACAAGGGGAGGTGGTGATGTTTTAATAATGTGACTCACACGGCAATAACTTCTGTGTGGATCTGTGTCTGTGTGTTTTTGATATCAAGACATAACTCACAGTTTATTAAATTCTGGCTTGAGATGTTTGTATTTTAAACCACCAATCCTTCTCCCTAGAAGTTTGATTAGGAATTAAATGCTAATGACATAATTGAGCACTTCCATTTCTCTTTCTTGGGCATTTTTATGACACGGGGAATTGGATATAATTGCTGAAAAAGGGCATTGCATGTTTGGGTTTAGGAGCTGTGTTCCTTAGTATTCATATGATTTTTACAGTTAGTTTATCATGCTAACGTCTATCTTAAGAGAAAGAATAGGATATTCGCTTTTCTATTCCCTGCTTGTATTTTTCTATGCCATAGAAGGAGTGTCCACTTGAACACAGAGTTGGGAGGCTCACCGTCTACACCGTATCAGGAGACATGACTCACAAGAGAGACAAACCAAGACAGAAACACCGGGTCTCTTGGCTGAAGCAGGAGGTGCCAGGGCCTCCTTCCTAACAGGGACCCTGACCAGGCTGTCAGTTGTTCAAGTCACTCAGGAACCATGAGCTGTTATGGGGAGATCACTACCTATGCCCCAGCTTTGCTTATTTACACTGAAAACAACATGACCAAACAACCTACAGCTCCTCCCAAAAGACGTGGGATGAACCTTAGAATGAACAATAAGAAAAGTAATTTCATTTGAAAAATGTATGGGTTTCTTTAGTACTGAATTATTATGATGATTATTTTAAAGATAACACTGTTCACATGTCAGAGACTGGTTTACATCCCTCTACAAAGAAAAGTTTAGTATGAAATCTGAGACTTCTAATTCCCAGTAAAGTAATGGGCCTCTTAACTCCAGGAAAATTCAAGTTGCCTATTTGAGCTGTGTGGGATTTCATGTGCAATTTATTATTAGCACCATATTTTGTTTCTATCATAGGGAGATAGGGCAGAATCATATCTGTCCTTAAGTCAATGAGTTACAAAATTGTACTCAGCCCTATAAATGTTCAAGTATCAAACTTATTAATAATACTTTTTAAATGTCTTTGAACATTATTTTTAAAAGTGTTCTAATAACACAAAGAAACAATATTCGTAGCAACAATGCGTCAAGCCTTTTTGCTGTTGTTTTGTTTTGTTCCCCATATCTTGAAGTGTATTTTCTCAGTGCAGCTATGTATTGAAACCTGGTTTCCGAGCGAAGGCAGTTGCTGACTTGTGCATGTGTCTCTCGTCTGGAGGGCTGGGTGTCCTATGAGAAGAGAAGGCCAGTTCTGGGTTCCAGAAGAGATGTCCAGCAGCCTTAGGGGACCCCTCAGACACCCTTCAGAGCCCCAGGCGTGTGCAGTGTGGGGTGCCAGCTGCCAGGCCGTCATCAGCCCAGGACACCAGCCCTGGCAGCCCAAGGGTTTCTAAGGCTGCCCTTGTCCTGTTATCCTCAATGAGTGAACATGGAGAAGCAACTTCTCTCCCTCCATGGAGAAATGATACAATTTTTCTGCAGGCTTTTGAAACGGATGTTCTTAGCACCAGAGATAATTGACCCAGGCCACTGTCGTTCTTTGCTTTGTTCATTCCCATAATTACATAATGTGTGGCCCATGAACTTAGCCTCTCATACAGCAGAAGAGACATTGTCCTCATATGCAGTAGTTTGAGACCAGGACCTCCGACTGGCCCTGGAGCACCCTGCCCCCACCAGTGCCATCCTGCTCAGCAGGGATTGCCAAAGCTGCAGATCTGATCCTTCTATGCCTGCATAACCCCTTCATCCCAAAGGGAAAAGCACAATGAGAGTAGTAGGATGAGAGCTTTTAGGATAAACACCAAAACCTAATCGGATCCGCATGGCGCCTGCAGGATCCCAACCTGGGGTGGTTGTCTTCGGCCTCCCCCTGGGCTCTCCCTTCTCCTCCCTTCACTTCTCCCCTGGAGCTTATCCCAGGCTCTGCAGGGAGCTTCAGCCCTTCTCAGAGCAGCCCATGAATCCCTTCCTGCAGGGCCCAGCTTCCAGCTTCCTTCCTTGGCTGGCACATTCTCATCCTCCAGACCTGGACTCAAAAGCTCTTTCTTCAGGAGAGCTCCCCGATGCTCTCATCATCCTCCAAGCAGCGTCCTGTTGCTGGGAGGCACTCTCCTAACCCCTCTTCTCTATCTTGCTGCCCAGACCCACCACGATTACATTGCCAGTTGTGACTATTTTACTTTTGTGCCTTGCTTCTCAGTGACAGCATGCACTCCACGAGAGAAGCAAATGGATAGGAGTGAAAAAGCTGAGAATATAAAGGGAGACACAGGGTCACTCCCCAGTACTACCATGGCACCTATCAACAAGCATGAAAGAACTGACGGAAGGAAGGCATAAGCATGATTGAGATGTAATGGAGGCCGGACCACCATTAAGGGGCTATTGTTGCATTTCAGGCAATAGTGGCAATGCTTTATTGGAAAATAGAGAACAAGGACAATATAGGAGAGAAGTTGTGGCAGCAGTATCAGCCTCTCACACTGACTCTTTGGGTGCACAAGGAAACAAAAAGAATCAAAGATGACTTCAAGGCTGGTCTGCAGCAAAAAAAAAAAAAATATCATCAGAGTAAAGAGACAACCTACAGAACGGGAGAAAGTTTTTGCAAACCATGCATCTGATAAAGTCTGACGTCCAGCATCTATAAGGAACTTAAACAAATGTACAAGAAAAAAAACATAAAAAATTGAGCAAAGGACATGAACAGATGTTTTTAAAAAGAAGACAAACATGCAGCCAAAAAGCATATGAAAAAAAGCTCAGCATCACTGATCATTAGAGAAATGCAAATCAAAATCACAACGAGATACCATCTCACACCAATCAGAATGGCTACTTTTAAACAGTCAAAAAATAACAGATGCTAGTGAGGCTGTCGAGAAAAAGGAATGCTTATGCATTCTTGATGGGAATGTATATTATTTTGGCCACTGTGGAAGACAGTGTGGAGATTCCTCAAAGACCTCAAGACAGATCATTCAACCCAGCAGTCCCATTATGGGGTATATACCCAAAGGAATATAAATCATTCTATTATAAAGACACATGCATGCATGTGTTCGTTGCAGCACTATTTACAATAGCAGAGACATGGAATTAACTTAAGTGCTCATCAATGATAGACTGGATAAAGAAAATATGGTATATATACACAATGGAATACTATGCAGCCATAAAAAAGAACAAAAGCATGTCCTTCTTGGGGACACAAATTGAGCTGGAGGCTATTATCTTAGCACACTAATGCAGGAACAGAAAAACAAATACCACATGTTCTCACTTCTTATAAGTGAGAGAGCTTATGGGAGCTAAACGATGAAAACACATAGACACATAGAGGTGAGCAACAGACACTGGGATCTTTCAAGGGGTGTGTAGGGGGAGGCGGGAGGGGATCGGGAAAATAACTAATGGGTACTAGGCTTAATACCTGGGTGATGAAATAATGTGTATAACAAACCCCCATGACATAAGTTTATCTATTCAACAAACCTGCACTTGTACCCTTGAACCTAAAAGTTAAAAAAAAATAAAAAGCTTTGCTCTGAGTTGAGTGAAGAATGTGGGAATCATTAATACAAACAGAGGAATCAAGAGGGCTGTAAGGGTCTGGGCAGAAGTGTTAAGGATGCGTTTGCGATGCATTTTATTTGTGAGACCCCAAGAAGGTCCAGCTTGCAAATCCAGGCTTGGAGCTCCAGAGAAGAGTCGGTCACAGGGAAGTCCCTCCCATGGAGGCAGTGGAACTGGAGGGGATGCCGAGGAGCATAGGTGAAGACAGGAGCAGGAAGAAGTGTCCAAGGAGGGATTGACATGGGTGGGTAGCGAGACAGGGACAGAGGGAGGCAGCTCAGAGTCAGGAGAAGGCCTGGCTGGGAGGATGGTAGGGGTCGTGGCGAAAACCACTGCATCAAATGAAAGGAAAACACCCTCCAGTGAACACATGAATTTGAAAACACAGTCGGAATGGGAGAGTCCCAGCAGGTCCATTTCAAATACTCTGGCTCAAGGCTGAGGAGGATGGCCTATGGGAAGAGGGCCATGGGTTTGCACCAGGGAATCTGAGCTACAGCTAATAAGGTTGATGGCAGAAGGCAGGTATCTGCAGGCAAGGGGGCTGTGTTTACTGGGGGGTGGTTTAGGTGCTCACACACTGAAGAGTGCCCAGAAATGGCCAGTGGCTCCCTGAGGTACCAGATCAGAGGAGGCCATGTTGTATAAAGAAACAAAAGTGGTTAGAGTTGGAGAAGCTAGGCCAGAGTCAAGAGGGCAGCTCAGAGACAGGGAGGGAAACAAATGTGTATTGACGGGTGGGAGAGGACTTCCCATGGTAGGAGCAGCCACCCTTCCATAAGAGCAGCTGTACTCTTGCAGTCTCCAATTCTTTCACTGGACCGTGAGCTCTCTGAGAACCATGGCCCCCAGGATACCCATCAAGAGACCACTGTAGCTGACCTCACAGCAGAATAAGGTAAAATGAAATTAAAATCAAAGACAAAGTCCTAGACCCCCTAAGAACATTCCAAATTCACACTCTCATCTGATGCTCAAAGACTATCAAAAGAAAAACTTCAGACAATTAAGTTTAAAGGAGTTTAGTTGAGCAAAGAACAATTCAAGAATCTGGCAGTCCCTGAAGTGGAATAGATTCAGAGAGAGACTGCAGTGCTGTGTGGTCAACGAGGATTTATGGACAGAACGAAGGAAGTGAGGCACAGAAACACCTCGGGCTGCCTTATCTGAACCTGGCTTGAACAGTGGACCACCTGTGATTGGCCAAAACTTGGTGATTGGCACAAGAGCAGGTTACAGTCTGTCTACACATCCAGTAAGGTTTCAGTTCACCACGAACAGAGAGACCTGTAATGCACACTTAAAATGTGTAAAGAGTCAGCTTTAAGATAAATTTAATTTAACAAGACAATCATTGGAAAGTGGAGAAGACGTTTCCATGTGCACAACTTTTATTATGGTGTCTGACAAAGAAGATGGAAAAGGGTCAGGTTGTGCCAAGAGAGAAATATGAGGTCTAAAGACCTAAGAGGCAAAGAAGCTTGAGCAAATGGCACAGTGGGGTGATGCTTGCCAAGCATTCACTCAAGGTCAAGTGCCCAAACATCTGCTGGGGTGGGGCCACATGCACGGATACCATGGGGACAGGAGAAGAGAGAGAGCTGCTCTTTCTTCTGCTGAGACATTGGACCTCATTGAAATGATGAAAGTATATCTCCATAAGCAACAGAAGAACCTAATTAAATTCTTAGTGCTGTGGTACACACAGCCCTCTAAATACAGAAAGGCAGGTGATGAGAAGGCAGTGTGATTTCTCTGATGGGTTCCTGCATAAAGGCAAAGGCTTAGCTGCGTCTGAAAAGAAGCCGTCCTGGATGAATCAGAAGATAAATGACTTCAGGAATTTCGAGGATGTGGGCAGCAAGGCACAGGTGAAAGGGTGTCACTGATGGAATG
Organism: Homo sapiens; assembly: GCF_000001405.40. Taxonomy (NCBI): domain Eukaryota; kingdom Metazoa; phylum Chordata; class Mammalia; order Primates; family Hominidae; genus Homo; species Homo sapiens. Next base: position 3,926,180 of record NC_000005.10, on the reverse strand, counting down.
GGAGAAGGGATGCATCAGGAGGGCACGTAGCGCAGAAAAGGGCTGAGCGCCTGGAGGGGAAATCCAAGAAATGCGACCTGAGACCAGCCCAGATCTTGACCCTGGCTTCTTTGTAAACAGTTACTTAAAACTCACTTTAAAAAAAGTAAACCATGACTAAGAGGAAAAATTTGGCCTCTGTCTAAATGTAACAAATAATCCATCGTGTCACTGCCTTCCTAAGAAACATGCTTTAGAAAATCCTAACCCTTTGCCTTTGGACAGCTGTGTTGTCAGCACACAGAACGCCAGGCCATGCCCAGCAAGCGTTTTCACTGGACTGAGTCTTGCCTGGCACAGAAAGATCTTCTACATAACCAAAGACACGAGGTGGCTGTGAAACAGATGCCTCAGCATGTAGTGGGGGACAATGGCATTTTAAAAGGGGAAATTCAGGCTGGGTGCAGTGGCTCACACCTGTAATCCCAACACTCTGGAAGGCTGAGGTGGGAGGATTGCTTTGGGCCGGGAGGTCAAGACTGCAATGAGCCACAGTCCTATCACTGCACTCCAGCCTGGGGGACAGAGGAAGACCCTGTCTCTAAAAAAGATGGAAATACCACATGGCCCCTTAGTCTCCTTTCATGAGGCACTGTGGTCAGTTTTTTATTTGTCCACCTGTCTTGATATCACAAGGTCTAAATAATTGCTTTGCAGTAGGAGAACCTGTTAAGACAGCCATGTGCGCAGGTGCCAGAGAGATCATCCTGGGGTTTCTAGAGAGACGGCTTTGTAAATAAGTCATACTTTTAATTGCTCTGTCAGAGGATCCCTCTTTGAGCAAAGGTGACAGGGACTGAATGCAGGAGCACTGGTTCTCCATTCAGTCTGGCAGAGGGCTCCCTGCACTTGTCCTCAGCCTCTAGAGCACCCCTGAGATTCCAGGCACATAGTGACAATTAAACGCACACAATGGCATGGCCATGTTCACTGAGACCAAGGCAGGTTGGCTGCTTCCCAGAACAGCCCCCCCAGGCCGTGCAGAACAAAGGGCTTGGTCCATCTGCACCTCGCGCTGAATGCCTCCTGCTCCAAAGGCTTTGCTCTGCTTCTCCAATGCCCCGGGAAGCCCTTGCACAGACAAAACTCAGAGGTCCAGGGGAGCTCGCCCTGACATTAATATGATAATGAATTCTGGATGCCTCTGACAGATGCCACAAAGGAGTGGGTTCATGGGATGCTAACTTGGCAGGGCGAGGGCAGAGCTGTGTGGACTCTATGTGGACAATGGGAACACGGGACAGGGTCAGCCACACACCTGAGCCTGTCCACGTGGGTCCCTTTGATTGAACTTTTTCTTGCAGTCATAAGAAAGAAGGGTCCGTCATGGCTCTATGCAGATAGTAGAGAATCCTGCTATCTTTCTGCACACCTGAACATGTCCAGGTGGCCAGGTTTATTTCCATGCAGATGAGGCAGAATTCGCTGTCTTTCTGCACACCTGAACACGCCCAGGTGCCCAGGTTTATCTCTAGGCAGATGATGGAGAATCCTCCTGTCTCCCCACATACCTGAACATGCCCAGGTGCCCTGGTTCATCTCCATGGAGAGGGTGGAGAATCCTGCTGTCTTCCTGCACACCTGAACACGCCCAGGTGCTCGGGTTCATCTCTATGTAGATGATGGAGAATCCTGCTGTCTCCCACACATGTGAACACACTCAGATGCCCAGGTTTATCTCCATGCAGATGGTGGAGAAATCCCACTGTCTCTATGCACACCTGAGCATGCCCAGGTGCCCGGGTTCATCTCTATGCAGATGGTGTAGAATCCTGCTGTCTTCCCACACACATGAACACACTCAGGTGCCCAGGTTCGTCTCTACCCAGATGATAGAGAATCCTGCTGTCTTCCCACACACATGAACATGGCCAGGTGCCCAGGTTCATCTCTATGCAGATGATGGAGAATCCTGCTGTCTTCCCACACACATGAACACACCCGGGTGCCCAGGTTCATCTCTATGCAGATGATGGAGAATCCTGCTGTCTTCCCACACACATGAACACGCCCAGGTGCCCAGGTTAATCTCTGTGCAGATGATGGAGAATGCTGCTGTCTTCCCACACACATGAACACAGCCGGGTGCCCAGGTTCATTTCTATGCAGATGATAGAGAATCCCATTGTCTTCCCACACACATGAACACGCCCAGATGCCCAGGTTCATCTCTGTGCAGATGATGGAGAATCCCATTGTCTTTCTGCACACCTGAACACGCTCAGGTACCCAGGTTCATCTCTGTGCAGATGGTGGAGAATTCTGCTCTCTCCCTGCACAACTAAACACACATAGGTGTCCAGGTTCATCTCTGTGCAGATGGTGGAGAACTCTGCTGTCTTCTTGTACAACTGAACATGCCCAGGTGGCCAAGTTTATCTCTATGCAGATGGTGGAGAATCCCACTGTCTTCCTGCACACCTGAACATGACCAGGCACCTAGATTCATCTCCATGCAGATGCTAGAGAATCCCGCTGTCTCCATGAACACCTGAACATGCCCATGTGCCCAGGTTCGTCTCCATGCAGATGGTGGAGAATCCCGCTGTCTCCACACACACCTGAACATGCCCAGGTGGCCAAGTTTATCTCTATGCAGATGGTGGAGAACCCCACTGTCTCCCTGCACACCTGAACATGACCAGGCACTCAGGTTCATTTTCATGCAGATGGTGGAGAATCCTGCTATCTCCACGCACACCTGAACATGCCCAGGTGCCCAGGTTCATGTGTATGCAGATGGGGGAGAATGCTGCTGTCTTCCTGCACACCTAAACACACACAGACACCCAGGTTCCTCTCTGGAAGCTCCTACCTGCTCTGGCTTCCTCTGATGAGTCTAATGATTGACTAAAGGCAGCTTGACATTCCCAATGCAGGCCTCTCATTTATGGTAAAGAAAAAGGAGAGGAGATGAAAGCACTTGCAGCAGGTTTACATGAGGATAACTTCCAGTCAATGCAGAATCCTAAAGGCAAAATAGCTCTTTAGCTAATAACTATGACATGTTTCTGATGACAATTGCTTGATGATTGACCCCCTTCAAAGAGAAGGCCTGGAGTTCTCAGGAGGTTGCAGCAGCCTTGCACCCTTCAGGTTTGGCTTGGGTAAGCCTGCAGGCTGGTAACATGTCCTCACTTCAATCTGATGTGCCTAGCCTTCCTGTGCATTCCCTTAAATTCCAAAACATCCCTTAGGTAAATCACAGAAGTTGAAATGTTGGCAACATCACTAACAAGGAAAACAACAGCAAATATGTCTTTGGTGCAAGGGGAGGAGAAGGAGTTGAACCTCGTGTCATACGAGGTCCCCATACAAAGTGGCACCAGTGTGCGGCAGTTAACAACTATTATATAAACATAATGGAATGTGCCTGGTGCTCTGACTGATGGAAAAAAACTGATCATTAGCCACTGGGGGATGCCCGATGCCCCCACAGCTCTCCAGCTGCGATCCAAGCATGTTTAAATAAAAACTTAGCACTCTTAACAAGGAGTTTGATAGAGTGTTAACAATCTTCAGCTTCAGGTCCAGCTGTTAACCAACAAAGTCGTCATTAACTGCTGGTAATGACTGCGTTTCTTGGGATTATTGCTTAATTATGAAGTGGACGGCCGGAATCCTGCCTCCCGACTTAGGGAAATATTTTCTCATCGCAGTTGTTTAACTATAACCTCCTTTATTCCATACCCAGTGTCTGCCATCTGCAACTATGGAAGATGTTGTAGGGTCTATGCTGCTGTCCAGAGGCTTTGTTTACACAGCATGGGGTTGTTTAGGGGCCTCCAGTGAGCCTGGATTGTCTGCAGACAGTTAGCAAACACAGCAGAGCTGCTGGGAACCACTGATTTCTCAGGGGATATTGATTTATTATGAACCCAAGCAGGTCGATCCAGTAGGGAGATTACTGCATCCCAAGTGGCTGAAACCATTTAGGACTCACATATATATACACATGCACACACACGCTCTCCTATGTCTCAGGAATGACTTGAGGGGGTAGTTTCAGAGGATCTAAACCTTCACGCTCACTCTGTAGTATGCCATTGCATGGGGAAAATGGATGTTGATTTTCAGGTTTGGGTCAACAAAATCCACCAGGTCTGGTTCCAAGTGGGTGACCCCACAGGGGTCATACCTGGGAGCATTCCCAGATCCGCAGCAATGATTTTCCCCAAAAATGACCACCTCAGGTAGCACTGACTTTTGTTTGTTAACATAAAATGCTTTAATAATTTCTTTAGAAACTGAAATCTCACATACAACTTATTTGTTAAATCAAATTTTAGGAGGAATACTTTTAAAATTTTATTTTTCATTTTGTAGGCACATAGTAAGTGCATATATTTTGGGGTAACATGACAAGTTTTTGATACAGGCATGCAATATGTAATAATCTTATCAGGGTAAATGGGTTGTCCATCACTCAAGCATTTCTCCTTTGTGTTACAAACAATCTAATTATACTCTTTTAGTTATCTAAAAATGTACAATTAAATTATTTTTGACTATAGGCCCCCTGTTGTGCTACCAAATACTAGATCGTATTCATTCTTTCTAACAATTGTTTGTAAGCATTAAGCATCCTCACTCTATTCACTCCCACTTCCCTTCCAGACTCTGGTAACCACCTCTATATCCATAAGTTCAAATGTTTCAGTTCTTACAAATAAGTGAGAGCATGTGAAGCTTGTCTTTCTGTGGCTGGCTCATTTCACTTAACGTAATGACCTCCAATTCCATCCATGTTGTTGTAAATGACAGGATCCCATCTTTTTTATGGTAGAACAGTACTCCACTGTGTGTGTGCACCCCATTTTCTTTGTCCATTTGTCTATTGGTGGACACTTAGGTTGATTTCATATCTTGGCCTTTGTGAACAGTGCTACAGTAAACATAGGAGTGTAGGTATCTCTTTGATATACTGATTTCCTTTCTTTGGGGTACATGCCTAGCAGTGGGCATATGGTGGCTCTACTTTTAGGTGTTTGAGGAACCTCTGAACTGTTCTCCTCAGTGGTTGTACTAATTTACATTCTCACCAACAGTGTACAAGGGGCCCTTTGTTCCACATGCTCATCAGCATTTGTTATTGCATGTATTTTGAATAAAAACCATTTTAACTGGGGTAAAATTATATCTCCTAGTAGTTTTGATTTGCATTTCTCTTACATGAGTGATGTTGAGCAGCTTTCCATATACCTGTTTGCTATTTGTATGTCTTCTTTTGAGAAATGCCTATTTAGGTCTTTTGCCCATTTTTAAATTTGATTATTAGATTTTTCCTGAAGAGTTGTTTGAACCCCCTATATATTCTGGTTATTTATCCCTTATCAGATTGGTAGTTTGCAAATATCTTCTCCCATTCTGTGGGTTGTCTCTTCACTTTGTTGATTGTTTTCTTTGCTGTGCGGAGGATTTTTAACTTGATGTGATCCTATTTGTCCATTTTTGCTTTGGTTGCCTTTCCTTTGGGGTATTACTGAAGAAGTCTTTGCCCAGACCAATATCTTGGAGTGTTTCCTCAAAATTTTCTTTCAGTAGCTTCATAGTTTGAGGTCTTAGATTTAAGTATTCAATCTATTTTGATTTGGGTTTTGTGTATAGAAAGAGATGGGGTCTAGTTTCATTCTTCTGCATGTGGATATCTACTTTTCCTGGCTCTATTTACTGAAGAGACTGTCCTTTCCTCAGTGCATGTTCTTGAAACTTTTGTCAAAAATGAATTCACTATAGATGTCTGGATTTATTTCTGGCTTTTCTGTTCTGTTCCACTGGTCTATGTGCCTGTTTTTATGCCAGCATTATACTATTTTGTTCACTACAGCTCTGTAGTGTAATTTGAAGTCAGGTAATGTGATTTCTTCAGTTTTATTCTTTTTTGCTTAGAATAGCTTTGGCTATCTGTGTATTTTGTGGTTCAGTATACATTTTAGAGTTGTCTTTTCTATTTCTGTGATGAATGCCTTCAATTTCTTACATCAATGTTTTATAGTTTTCATTGTAGAGAAATTTCAGTTCTTTGGTTAAGTTAATTAATTTCTAGGTAGTTTATTTGTAGCTATTATAAATGGGATTACAGTCTTAATTTCTTTTACAGATTTTTTGCTGTTTGACACATAAAATGCTACTAACTTTTTTATGTTGATTTTGTATCCTGCAACTTTATTGAATTTATCAGTTTAAAACATATTTTTTGGTGGATTCTACACATTTTTCCAAATATAAAATCATATAATTTGCAAACAAGGCTACTTTTACTTCTTCCTTTCCAATTTGGATGCCCTTGATTTCTTTCTCTTGTTTTATTGCTCTAACTAGGACCCCCAGTGTTATGTTGAATAACAGTGGTGACACTAAGCATCCTTTACATATTCTAGATCTTAGAGGAAAGGCTTTTGATTTTCTCCCATTCAGTATGAAACTAGCTATGGGTCTGTCATATATGGATTTAATTGTTTCAAAGAATGTTCTTTCTATTCCAAGATTTTTATCATGAAGGGATGTTGATGTTTATCAAATGATTTTCAGCATGAATTGAAATTATCATGTGGTTTTTATCCTTCATTCTGTTGATACGATGTATCACATTGACTGACTTGCCGGTGTTGAACCATCCTTGCATCCCTGAGAGAAATTCTACTTGATCATGATGATCTGTTTAATGTGTGGTTCAGTTGAGGTTGCTAGTATTTTGTTGAGAATTTTTGCATCAATATCCATCAGGGGTATTGTCCCATAGTTTTATTTTTCATTTGTCTTTGTCTGGTTTTGGTATCTATTTTGCATTAATTTAAGTGTCCATGGAAGAGAGTACTGGCTCCTTTATCACCATATTGGCCTTTTTAATTTATTCTAATTGCTAACCTGCTACTTCTGGTGCAATATTTTTAATGGTTTTAGAGTTTATGAAACTTTTTTTTGAAATGTGCAACAATCATGGATCTGAAGGAGATTTATTTTGAACATACCTTCGTTAGTCAAAATGTGGGGACAGATTTATGTGGGCTTTTGTGGACATTATAATTTAATTCAAAGTAATTCATCTACTTTTGTTGATCTCATAGTTTACAATGCACCTAAAAGGTGAATTTCATAGTAGTTACTCAATAAATAATTGCTGCAAGGGATGTATGTATTTCTGTATATGTATATATAATATTGTAAATTATGAATTGCTTTTTTTTTTTTTTTTTTTTGCCCTTGTGAACACATGACTTGCCTCTCCTTCCCTTGAGGTATTCTTGTGCCTGGGGAGGGGTTAGTGTTTCTCACAAAAGAAATATAGAGAAGATCCTAGAAACAGACAAATACTGAAGTGCCAAAAGAGGTTCCTGCATAAAAAATTAGCTTAGCAAGCCAAGCAATTGTCTTGAAGGAGGACATGTTTAAGACCTCCGTCACTAAACCTACCATACTCCTTGCTTAGGTCAGTCCATACACTGCTTCAAAGAACCTCCTGGGAAGGTCCCCAGGCTTAGGGAGGTTGTGAAAAGGGTGGATTCCCAAAGTGAAGGCCTCTCAGCTTCCTCCCTTAGGCCTCTAGTCCAGTCAGGGAATGGTGTGCCCCAAGTGAAGGGGACCCCAAAGGCAAATGGGAACACAGTCCATTCTCCCTTTCCCTTTCAGATTCTGAGAGGAGGCTGCCCTACCACTTGGGAGGCACCCCCAGGTATGCTTCCCCAGCCTCCCTGGGGCTCCACGACTATGCACTTGCAGACAGTGTGGGCTACTGGTTCAGGCAAGGGATCTAGAAAAAGGGCAGGCCCCCTGGGGTCCGAGGAAGCCCTCCAAGGGTCCATCCAGGAGGGAGGCAGGTGAAAGGGGCTCAACCTGCCCACGTAGGGCAGGAGACAGGTTGACCCAGGCTAGACAATAGCTAGTCCTCAACCAGAGGAAGGAGTGTCCCACCCAGGGCCCCAGTTCTCCCCTGCTGTCCTGAGAATGGCAGCATACCTGTGGCTCCAAGTCAGCCTATGAGATGGAGAGAGCAGTTGGGAGGGGCCCTGAGGGCTGCACATGGCAGAAGAGGCCTGACCCATCCTCAGCAAGTGTGGATGTCACTAGTCAGACTAACCTCAAAATGCTATTGGCTGTTTAGGTCATCCTGGCTCCTGTGTCCTAGAGGGTGGGGATAGGGGTGGGGGTTAGAGATAAAAGAAGGAAAGAAGGACAGAATAAAGTGTATGGTCTTTTTTGGCCCCTTCATTTGAAAGCCGCCTCTGACCATACACCTCTGACCCTGATATGTGAGATGCGTGAGTCTATGTGTATGAACCTCTTTAACATGACTTTCTACGTCTATATATGGTCTCATTTCAGAATATGAAAGGCATAACTGACATTTTTTTTCTCTCTCCAGCCCTTGTGTGTTAGAAGCTACAAACACGGATTTAGGGGAAAATATTGTGAAGACACATTTCTCTGTGCCAGTATTAAATTAAAGCAATATTAAAAATGCCTTTGAATGTGTTAGACAATTTTGAAGGAATATTTATAAACTCTTCTTGGGACCACACACTACTCTGTCCTCCCCCAGCCCCATGAGATTCCCCACCCTCAATGCCACCTACAGCCAGGTCTCCCAGTGAGAGGTCCAGGCCCAGCCTCATGGAAATGAACTCTAAGCAAATCGAATTTCAGATCAGTAGTGCTAACAATATGTGTCGTGTTACTGATACTCTTATACTCAGTAAAATAAAAGAATATTAAGGTTGTATATATACACTATAAACACCCGGAAGGTAAAATTAACTCTCTCTGTCTCTCTCTCTCTCTTTCTTTGTTTCTCACTCTTTGTGTCTCTCTTTTCCTGGAAACACTAAGCTGGACATATTTTCACAGTAATGCAAAGGGCACTTGCAGAATATAGAACCATGTAGACAACTGATTGTAGACAATCAGTAGTTATTTTCTGTGGATGTGTTGTGTGTTATTTCAGGCTACCAAAACACTAAATTCTGAAAAGAATGGTGTGTTCTATATAACGCTTCTTACAGCAAACAAGCATGTTAAAGAATAGTGAATATAATGCAGACACATAAATCTATGATGTGTGTGTATGTATGTATATGTGTGGGTGTATATATATATATATGTATATTCAACCCCACTTCACACACACACATACACACATGCACACACACACACACACGTACACACTTTAAAGCATTCACGGACGGTAAAATGTCAAGCTTAAATGGGAATCTCATCTCTGTTAACCAAGCCTGTAACTCTGGTATCTTTCTAAATTTACTTACATTCCAAATTTGGGTATTCTCTCATTTATATGTTTTTCTGTCTCCTACTTTGCCCATGGTCTGCAGCCAGAAGGCTCTGGTGGGCCTCTCACTTTCAAAAAAGGTGGGCTGTAGACAACATCCTTAGCAAACACTCCAGCTGTCTTTGGCCATCCAGTCCCCTGAATCGGTCCACGGAGTCTCTCCAGCAAAGTCAGGGGAAGCCATACTCCCTGTTGGGCCCCCTCTCTAGACATTACTTTGAAATAAATGATACGATTGAGTTTGGCATGGGATCACAGCACTACACATATCTGAATGTTGAAATATTTGCATCTGCCCACTAATGCCTTGGTGTTATAACCATAATGCAGAGCACTGCATTTTTAGAAAGGCCAACATGATTTTTTAAAAATAAAACATGTCACATTTACGAATGCAAGATAATTAGAAAACTATTTTTAAATAAAATTATTAACATTTTTCCTTCTCCTTTATTTACTCCACATTTCCTAATGTCCCCCAAAAGTATTAATATGCCACATGGCAGTTTTTCTCATCTATAATAAGAGGAAAGGCACAATAGGTGCTATTCTTTTGTGATTGATGTTGGCATATTAATCATTTATTGAGTGATTTTGTGATCTCTTAAATTATACAACATTCTGCTTTATAAAATTGTAGCCTGGAATAGGATTTTAGTTCTTTATCACTGAATTCATAAAACTACCAAGTGACACATAACTTGAAGTCATATAGTCACAAAATTTTCAGAAAATATTTTTTTAATGAATAAGCAACCCAGTAAAATTAGCCATCTTGGAAGTTCTATGCTCCCCACCCCTATTTTAGGAATGTTTATTCTATAAATTTTAAAGAAACATCCAAAAAGAAAAAACACAGATGGTCAAAGGGGCCTTTGATAGCTGTTATATAATTTTTGACCTTATATTGCATTTCATATGTATCTCAAATATGATTTGAAAATAAATTTATAAAATATGATTTTGTTACATAATATCTGCAAAGTGGCAAAATAACCACCTCCAAAACTCAAATTTCAAACTTAACTAAGGAGGCCATAGTGGATACACGAGCCAAAGGCTAACATCACAAAACTGAATCTTAGTAAACAAAGAGAAATCTAATGACAAATGAAGAACAATGCTTCTTTCTGTGGATGTCTTCCAGTAACTCGCCTCTCTGTTTCTAACTACAGTAAATAAATACACAAGAGGATAGCATGTATTGGGCCGTATTGTAGATGAGAAAACCACCATGTGGCATATAATTAACACTATTTTGGGGGTATTAGCCAATGTGGGGTAAAGAAAGTACTAAAAACTCCCCATTTCTGTGGTAATTACTCAATAATCCCTAGATTCTTGGGCCAGAACATAGCATGCTCCACTTCCCATGCGGCTGACAGTCCAGTAGCATCTCAGTTTTGGGGGTAAGGGACCATGTCAGTTTTCTTCATTTCTGTGTCCCCAGTGATTAAAACAGTTCTTCCCACATAATAACCACTCATTAAAATGTTTATTAAATGAATTCATGCACTAGGAAGAAGGAATAAGAAAGTAGTGGAAAGGAAAGAACTTCCACTCATTGCTTATTGTTGATAGCATTCTTTATACGTATATAGATGATTAAAACACCAAGTTCCTCTGCTTCTAATCTGCCCTCATATTCTTTCTTGAAGTTAAAGATATTTTGGACTGGAAGACGTAGATAAAATAAGTACTGGAACAGGGAATTGAAGTCCAAGTTAGGTAAAATGTTTGTAAGAAGGGACCTTTCAATCTGTAAATGAGGTCTTACCTTTTGGTCTGGACAAATTATATCCTGGGATCTTAAAATAACTTATGAAGGACATTGTGGATATTTTGCAAGAGATTTTGAGCAGCCACAGGGTAGTACAGAGACAGGATAACTCAGAGGAGCAAGTGCAGTCCTGACTCTACTCAAGAGGAAGCTGGACGTCAACCTGGCTCAGAGGTAAATGGGTCAGCCTAGGAGCAGGAAGTAAAGGGGCGGCTATCTCTGGTGTCTACCTGGGCTCCTCACAAACACAGGTTGGGTGAACTTCATCTTCTTTTGGGACAGGATTACTGATTTTTATATAAGAAAAACAGCATAGACATAGTAAATGTCAGCAACACATTTGCAAATATCATGTTCTTTTCTTCTGGACATGAGGAAAGCACATAGATGGCATGCTAATGCAATTGAGATGCCTTACTGGTTCAACAAATATTGAAAGACAGTTCCCCAAGAATGTGGGTCATTGGCTCAAGGCCAAGCTGGAATTTGCCATCATTTGGATGTGGGCATTGAGGTAATGCTGTCCATGGCATAAGGCTTGATATAATAATGATTTCCATGGATGATGAAATCTGCATCCAAAACGTCCTTGTGGTGTAGACAATGAGCTGAATAGAACACAGTGGCATTTGCCTGGGGTAGATAGAGCCCTGCACAGTCCCAGTGGTCCATGGGTGCTCCTTGATGCTGAGATAAAGGTGTCCCCAAGGGTCATTGTTTTAACAAGTGCTGAGCTGTCCCAGATTGAATCATTGCTAAAACAAGGATGTTGCACTGGTCAGAGAGCAGCTAGAATATGGTGCTTGATCTTACATCCTGAGTGTAAAAGGGGCCAAAAAAATTTCAATAAAAAATAGGCAAAAATAACTCAAAAGCAAGTCAGAGGAAAGAAATTAGGACTTTCTAATATAAGACAAGATCTGAGAAAGCTCAAAAAAGGGGAAAAAGACTCCCACTATGTGAAAATATTTTATAAAAAATGGATTCACTTAGTTCTATGCACCTCTAAGAGTTAGAATTAGAAGCAATGAATGGAAGACACAATGAGGAATTTTGGCTTAAATAGGGAGAAATAATTTAAAAAGCTGAGTGAAGATAAATGGATAACTTTAGAAAATAATGTTTCCTGTTCTTTAGGAATGTTTGAGAAGTGACTGAAAAACTGTATTGAAACATCATTGAAAGTGATTTCAACATTGGATCATTGTGTGGGCTAGCTCTGCACTTTCCAGTAGGGTAGAGCATGTGGCCACTGGACACTTGAAATGTAGCTATCCACATTGAGGTGTGCCTTAAATGTAACTGACCCACCAGATTTCAAAGACTTAGAATAAACAAAAAGAAAATAAAATACTGCATTGTTATGTTTTTAATTGATTGCATGTTTACTTGACAACATGTTAGATGAATTGGATTTCATGCAATCTATTAAAATAGTTGCACTATTTTTTGTCTTTACTACTTCTCCTGGGACTACTAAAATATTTGCATTTGCAATTACATGTGTGGTTTGCATTCCTTCTATTCCACAGCACTGGTCTAGATCCCAGCTATTCAAACTGTGGTTCTTGGATCAGTAGCAGCAACATCACCTGGAGACTGCAGAAAATGAGGATCATCCACCCTGGCGGAGACCCATTGAATCCGAGGCTGCATTTTCACATGGATTGAGCAACCCTGGTCTGGTTGATTATTGCTCTCAAACATTTTTTAAAGCCAGGAAATCTTTTATTCAAAGGAAATCTAAGTGGAAGAATGCTACAAAGATATGCAATGGTGGGACGCTCTGCTTTTCAGGCCTAATGACAGGGAAACCTTAGTCCTTCTGAGATGCCTTTGTCACCCTCCACACCTTCACCCTGGATTCTGCCCTCTTGAGTAAAGCATAGTTGGAAAACCCCTGATCTAGAGTGTCTTCAGAGTCTCGAAGGTATATGGACACAATAAATGTCCAATGTTTCATAATTCAGACCTGCATTCAAGTTTATGAGAAGCAGAATAACAAACTTTGCCATGACTATGGACATATTAGGTTAGTGAAAACACAACTGCGGTTTTTGCCATCACTTTTAAAAACCGCAATTACTTTCGCACCAACCTAGTGGTTTCATGGTGCCGTCGTGAACTTGTCTGGGCCAGTGGTTGCCAAACTGGTCCAGTCATCACAATCATTAGAGAATGTTCTTTGAAAAATGAAAATCCTGTGGAATCAGAATTTCCAAGGGAAGTAAGCCGGCAGTCTACTTATTTAAGAGTTCCCCAGGTGAATTGAAAGAGTTGCAGGAAATTCAGCTACAACCTTCAAAAGAGCAATACCATCTTTCTCAAGAGATGTTTTTTGACTTGAGTTATTCAAATAAATGCTTCAACTGTATATCTGTTAGTTAAACCCAAGTTTTTGCTTTATATTTCTAACTCTATATTCTGTTAATTTCTACAAAATAAAAGGTGCTAAAAAACACCTAGTGTTATCAACTTAAGAATATTCTAATTCAAACTAAAAACTTCCCATCCTATTATGAATAATTTCCTCATAGAAATTGAAGCGAAAGATTTATTGCTCCAATTTTTACTAAAAAAGGAGTTGTTTTGCTCTGTGTTTGTGTGTGTGTGTGTGTGTGTGTGTGTGTGTCCATCTGTATGTGTGAGGGGGTAGCCTTGACTTGGAGAAATATTTTGTATTGTCCTAACATGTTTTTAAAATGATTTACTGTAAAATGCAAAGATACACAAGACTTTCACATTTATATGGTAAATTAGATTGATAGCTATTGTAACTGCAAATGAGGAGGTAAAATGGATGGGAGGAAGGAATATTCTTCCTGCTCCAGAACACGGAATCATCCACACACTCTGTGCTGGCAGCCTTACTTCCCCTGTCTGGAGGGACTGACTTGTCCTCTCTTTGTCACCCACCTCTCTGATTTAGAAAAGGACCAGAGACCCTGTATGAAAATTGTGTCTTCATTTACATTTTATGTATAAAATTGTACCCAGGAGCCGAAACAAGGACATAGCTACATGCAACAACAGGAAGAAAAATCATTTCTAAAAAGTCTGTGTCCTTGAGGTCAGATGCCTGTGGTCAAACGGGTTTGGTAATGCAGTCGTGATGACAGTGAACCATTTTCCTAACAAGCAAAACCCATAAAAGCCATCTGTGGAGATGTTAATACACAGTTAAAAACAGATTTTTTTCTGGTTTGGTTAAAATTGTAAGAAATCTTTTATTCAGAACTATTGCGATGGCTGTCAAAACTATTACCCTGGGAGAGAGAGAAGGGGTTCAGCCACAAACACAGCAGAGTGGGGATGAACAGCCAGGAGGGGAGTGGGAAGTTGGTAGGTGAAAGATTACCAAGAAGAGGTATTAAGAGTGGGGGGGATTCTTGCTAAACCAACTTGATAGGATTTTTGCTGAAGGTAAGCCAGGGTGAGCAGATAGCAAGGGTGATCAAACATTAGAGGGAGGGAATTCTCACCAAACTGGCTTAAGAGGATTCTGACCACAACTGGGCTGTCTCTGCAGGCCCCACAAGGGCAGGCGCCAAGGTCAAAGAGGGCTCGGAGCCTCAGTCCAATTTGGTCCAGGAAAGTCTTTGCCAATTTTCATTGTGAAAACCCACATGATTTTATACAGAGAGACTCAGTGATATGTGTTAGGGATGGGACACAAAAGTATTTTTACTGGCTGTGATGTGGTTGTTTTAAAGGACCCAACTATTCCAGAGAATCTCGAAGGTAAGTAACACAGGTAGTAAATGAAGGGCTGACCCAAGGGAAAATGAGACCAGTGTGCACCTCCTGGAGGGAATGGTCTCTCTGCCACTTTCTCCTAGCTTTGGTTTTAACCACACAAAGAGAGAATGCTGCTGTCACCCAGCACTTTAGCAGCCATGCACAAAGCCCATGAGCAAAGCCAGCAGGGCTTCTTGTTGCAGAGAGACTTCTGCAGCAGGATAAGTCAGTCTCCTCCTCTCTGCACCCTTCTTCTTCTTTTTTTTTTAATTACACTTTAAGTTTTAGGGTACATGTGCACAACGTGCAGGTTTGTTACATATGTATACATGTGCCATGTTGGTGTGCTGCACCCATTTACTCGTCATTTAACATTAGGTATATCTCCTAATGCTATCCCTCCCCCCTCCCCCTACCCCACAACAGGCCCCAGTGTGTGACGTTCCCTTTCCTGTGTCCATGTGTTCTCATTGTTCATTTCCCACCTATGAGTGAGAACATGCGGTGTTTGGTTTTTTGTCCTTGCAGTAGTTTGCTGAGAATGATGGTTTCAACCTCTCTACCCAGGAAAAGGTGCTTTTCATTCCCCACAGAAAGCTAAGTGGGAGCCAAGAGTTAGGGGGCACAGAGCCAGCCCCTTAAGCCCACCTCTGGCCCAGGCCTCCTTGGCGGCTCATGTGGGGCCTATTCCTCCTCCACACAGTGAGGAACCACAGGGAGGCTTGGGAGCCAAGTACATACCTGCCTGGAGGGTCCTCAGGATGGGAGATGTTCCCTGTATAACCCTGAGCCTATGGTGCAATGGGCAGTGATACGGTTTGAACGTTTGTGTCCCTCCAAAATTCACATTGAAACTTAATTCTTAAGGCAATAATATTAAGACATGGGGCCTTCAGGAGGTGATTAAGTCATAAGGCTTCTTCGTGGTGAAAGGGATTAAGGCCGTTATAAAAGAGGCTTCACATGCTCTTCATTCTCTTTTTTCCTCCTACCTTCTGCCATGTGAGGACACAATGACCGCCCCTTCCAGAGGACGCAGCTGCAAAGCTCCATCTTGGAAGCCGGGAGCAGCCCTTGCCAGCCACCGAATCACCTGGCTCCTTGATCTTGGACTTCTCAGCCTCCAGAACTCTGATAAATAAATTCTATTGTCTATAAATTAAAAAAAAAAAGGACAGCAAGACCTCCAGGCCTGGCCTGCCCATGTGCGATGGCCTCTCCCGGGGCTCTGGTGCCTGCGCCCTGGGCTCTGCAGCAGCCCTGAGAGCATCTGGTAAGTGGTGACCGCCTTCTCCAGAGGACCACAAACCATGTCAGTGTGAATTACCAAACTTGACCTTGTGTACAGCCATTCCCCCAACGGGTTTAGCACTTTTATGTCATCGTCTCACATGCACACCTCCTCACGTGCTTTGTCTCCATTAGGTGATGGCCAAATTCTCAGTGGATGTCATCTGAAGATGGATGTGGCTGGCCCTTTGGCTTCGTGGCTGGAATCTGAATATTGTTCAGCTCAACTGAAAATATCAGGGAACGAAGAGTCAGCTGGGAGAATGGGAGACAAGCCAGCAAGGGTTGTTTCCTCTGCAGCTTCCACAGGGCTGGCAACGTGCACAGCCTTTGCCACTAGATGATGTGGGGTTTTCCCTCCTCTGTGTTGGCCGGGAAGGAATAGGGCAGGTAAGTAGGTGGGAAAGGAAATCAAGCTCAGATGGTGTTGGATTTGAGAGCAGTAAACCAGCACCGGTGGCATCAAAACCTTCATTTTTGGATGCAAGAAGCACCAGCTTCCTCCATCTGTGGCTGTGGCATGTGCCCTGCTGGGGCGTGTGTAGGGAAGGAATCAGATGCAGCACCTGCCCTCGTGGTTCACTGCAGCCATTGAGCCAGCTAAGACGATCCAAAGTCCAGGTGATAGGGGATACACAAGGGGGGTGTTCAAATAGGAACAGTAAAGAATGCAGCCCCAAGTGGTCTGGCAAGTGCTTCCAGGGGAGGTCCCTTTTAATTGATGGTGGAAAGAGGAGACAATCACACGCTCACAGGCACCGAGCTATGTCTGGGGAAAGAGAAGCTGCTACCTGGGATTGGACCCAGGGGTAAAGTAGAGCACTGGAGGATGGAGCCAAGAGAGGAGGCAGTGGCGAGACAATGGTGCTGAAGAACTTGTCACCATGGCCACCAGGCCATGGGGAACCAGAAGCCCCTCAAAAGATCATCTCTGTGTTTTAGATAAAGAACTATTCTAACCAGAGACAGAGGCACAGGCCGGGGAGAAGAAAAACTAGACCCAGGCAAGCCATTAAGGGGGTTTTATAATGGACAAAGGCCATCTAAATCGGGAAATGGACCATGAGAAAGGAAATGAGGGCACAGAATATTGAGGAGAAAAATCCTATGGGAAAAAGAAGAACCTCAGCCCTTACTGCAGACGGGATTGAGGGAAAGAGAAAGATAAAGATGACTCCCAGTGTTTGGCATGGGCGATGGCCAGAAATGCAGGGTCAGGCACAGGCTTGGGGAACATGGGGATGGGGCTGGTTTTGGATACCGTGAGCATCAGGGTCTGGGGACTTACAAGGTGAGGGAACAGGAGCTGGAGATCTTGGAGATCTAGAACTGGGTAATCATCAGATCCTATGTGATCTTTGAGGAAAAGGGAGCCAAGGAGAGCTCAGAACCAAAGTAGCCAAGGACAGACCCCTGGGAAATTGCAAATGACCCTGTGGAAGGAGAGGCCAAGGAGGGGGCAGCCTCAGCCTCCACCGGAGCCTTCAGAGCAGAGCCTAAGAGGTGGCGGCCCTGATGCCAAAGGGAGCTGGGGAGAGGCTGGGAAAGTGAACCTGGGGACACAGGTACCACTTAAAGAAGGCTGGCCACAAAGGGAAATGGGAGAGTGCAGAGGTGTGAAAAGAAAACCATAGTGAGGAATAAGGAAAGTATTTGCTCTTTGAATCTGGGTTGCACTGAAGCATAATCTGAGATTGAGAAGAAGGATCAAATTAAGAAAGAGAACTGTAAGATATCAAAGAGGAAGTAGTCAGAGCTTATAAATAAAAAAAAACACTTCTCACCTAGTTTGTTCAAGATCAAAAGCTTGGATATTTTAAATTTTGCTTTTTCCTCTACGACTTCCTCAATATAAAAGAGCAACTATTGAGAGAGGTTGAAAGTTCGTCCACATGCCGCAGTTTGACAAAGGCATGAGCCAAATCCAACACCAGCTTTAGGAACTTCTCCTGGATGGCTTAGGTGAGAATGTGGCTCCTCAGGGAGCTTAAATGAAGAGAAAAATGTACTTTTCAGTGGCTGGGAACGTGGACATTTGAATGCAGGGGACCTAGATTTGACACCTGTCTCCAATTCTCATGTGTGACCTTGGATAAAACCTTAGCCTCTCCATGGCCTCAATTTCCTCACCTGCAAAGTAGGGTGTTTAGTAAATGTATACCCCCAATGGGTTACTATGTGTGTTATGGATAAATCTATGCATCCAGCACTGTAGCAATTTTATCTGACTCATAAATATTAACTTCTGTTGTTGATATGAATGCTGGACACGCATTCATTAATTCTGAGTTTTTACTTTACTAGGACCCAGTTAATTAGTACCTGTTTACTGGATAGATGGTTTCCATCGATATTTGCTTCTTTCCCTAGAAAAGCCTGGATATCTCTTGTTAAGGATGAAATGTTATTGTGGCATATATTGCCACCAAGTGTCACAACAGAAATGTGTTTTTAATTAGCTTACAGAAATCTTCCTCTGCATGTATAGGCAGAAACCGTGCTTCACTTCAGGAAAGAAGCTCCAGGGTGCAGACTCAAAATTAGAGAAGAATTTAGCTAGATCATGCACAATTAGAACACACCTGCCCTGTGTCCCTGGAGCTGTCAGAATTAGAGATGATAAGCCAGCTGGTACAGAACTGGGGAGACCCAGTGACCACCCAAGACTCAGCAAAGGGCAATGAGAAAACATGACTAGGTTCACAAAGATTCATGCATGTTCAATATTAAATTGAATTTTACTTTATTTATTTGACTTTTTCAAATATTGCTGATTGATTTTTCTTTGGCCAGAACTCCAAAGCTTTTTGTAAAAGCAATAGAGGTGGGGTGCAGAGAACTAAAACACTGAGAGGCTGTGAGTATGGACAGTGTTGGCTCACAAGGACACATCTGTTTGGAAAGTGTATTTTATACAGCAATTCAAACTTAGTGACATTTGATTCTGGGCAGCGATTACAGTTGCACTTGAACACACTTTACGGTGACAAGACACATCCAGCTCTCTTTTCACAATGGACACATCAAGTTCCCAGTAAGTTAAACTGCTTTCCGGGTGTTAAGTTGGATTTGAGTATCAGTTCTTGGGTGACGTTTCATCAGAACGTTCTCTCATTCCCATTTAGAGCCTGTGTACTTTGCCACACCCAGTTATTCATCAAATCGATGTATTTGCAGCATCCCATGCATTTTTGGGGAGAAGCACTGACTGGAGGTGTGGGGGATCCTCTTTTCTCCTTTTAGCCCTAGAGGAGCTTCTGTTCACTCCTCATCTTCATGCCTGGCTCCTCCTGGTCCCACAGACTCCCCAGTCTGCATGAGACAGTGCTGGAGCTCACCAGCTCTAAATGGAAACATTCTCTGCAAGCCCCTCTTTCTACCCTGCGCCTCTCGTTCCCTTTCTGCTTTTCTTGTGATTATTTATGCAGCCCCTCCTCAATCTGTCTCTTTATCAGGCTGTTTATTTACAGCCTCCAAAGCTTTCCACTTATTGGCCATCCTGCTCTTCCCATCATGTTTGACCACACTGACCCCTCTGCCCCTTCCTGTTTAGAACAGCCTGGATGGGTTCCAGGTGTGGAGACACCAGCCATTCCTAAGCATCCTGCCCCTTCAGCACATTTAAACGAACTATGCGATGGGCCTTTCATATCAATTGTGTAAGGGAGACGACTGGTCCAACAGCAACAGACTTTCCTTACTTTTCTTTTATTATGTTGACTTTTACTTGTTTCTTCCAATTACTATTATGTCTGCAATGGCCTAGAATCCTATAAGCTTTCTTTTTTCTTACCAGACATAGCTAAATTCATTTTAGATTACCTCAAGAAAAGTTTGTATTTTTACAATTTGCATAGTTTTTAGCCTAATCAATGAATGTGTAATTAAAAATCACATGGACAAAGGGGGCCCAGTCCTGCCTCCCAACACTTGTAAGAAGCATGAGGATCGGAGTCAGTAGGCTCTGAAGAAGGAGAACCACATGCCTGACTTTCTGGGACACCTGAGGCAAGAAAGGAGGTGCCAGCCTTTGCTGCTGGCACTGGGCTTTGACAGAGGTGGGTTAGTTGCACTCTGCAGTGCAAGCCCTGCCCACCACTCCAGCTTGGTAGGAGTGGAAGTGGGCACAGCTGGGAGTAGATGGGAAATAGAATCCCCAAATTTCCCTTCTTGACTAGGTGATTATAGCATCTCTTTCAGATCTTTGTGTGATGACATGACCCCACATACCTGCCTAGCTTGGAGAGTCTTGGAGGCTCCCTGTGGTCGACCTGTCTTCCCAGTGTCCAAGGACCCCCACCCTCTGTCAGCAGCCCAATCCCTGTTCCTCATGGAGCCCCTTCACAAGCTCTGGGCACAACTCAAACCCAACGCTGCTCTTGATGATGCAGTACGCACTCCAGCCCTGTTGCTTTTCCTCACACTCTTCTTTGCCTTAAAGATACATGTTTTGTTCTGTCCATCTTTTTCCTGGGAGTTCTGAGATTTAAATATGTAGACACAGAGAGAGAGGTCAGCCTACCACATCTGCCATGACTGGCTGGGAAGTCTCCCTCCTGGAAGGAATGATGACCTTTACAATGATCCCTGATAAACAAAGAGAGGGGCCTCAGCATGACTGGACCCCGAAAGCTCAGAGCCAATCGTGTTTTGGGGAGTGAGGAAAGTTTGGTGAGTTCATGGGGCAGATGGGGCCAGCCCTGGAACCCAAGTCTCACAGGTCCCAATGATGAAGCCCGTCATGGGCTCAACTCAGGACATGGCATTGGTCTTCCAGCACTGTGATTGCGGAGTTTTCCAGGCAGTACACAGTGAATGGGAGGTCTGTTTGGAGAGAAGTGGACCCTGGCAGGAGCAGAAGGCTGGTTGAGGCAGGAAGGACTGCAGGCAGGGGATGCTCAGTGGTCTAAAATAAGTAAGGGTGGGCTGGGTCCAAGCGGGGGAGGCGGGAAGAGGCACACTGAGGAGACATTTGTGCAGGCTTCATAAGAACAGACGACAGGTGGTCCCCTAGCATGTTCCTGGCATGCTCTGAGCCCATCACAGATGCTTCCCAGGGAGGGCCTTCACAGCCACACCCCACATACCTTGGGCTGCATGGAAAAGGTAGCCCATATCCACCCTCAGTGTCTGGCCACCTCTTACTTCTCCCTATGGAAGAAGGATGAGTAGCTAATGGGTACATTTGAGTAAGGAATAGGGTGCCTGCGCCCAGTCCTTCCTCCTGCTTCCCCCTGGGAGCCGTCCTGCCATCCTTGGGGAGAAAGCATGCAAGCTTGGGTGAACAGGGCACTGAGTGGGGAGACCTCGCTCCATGCGTGTGGGGAGTGGGCTTGCTGTCCCTGCTCTGCCCCGATGGGATGGGCCACTCGGTCAGCTTGGGGCACGGCACTCAAAGGCATATTTGCCTGCAGATATGGCCGAATACTCCAACAGTGACTTCATCAATAAGAAAAGTGATATAGTGATATGTTGGTCTCCCATCTAGATTATCATGTTTTAAATTTCTCGGTTGGTTTAGAACTTAGACAAGAAAAGGAGATACCATTTATTGGGAGCACCTTGGGCCTGGTCTCTGGGAGGAGAAAAAGCAAGGGCTTCTCCAGTGACTCCTGACATGAGCTCTACTCTCAGGCAAGCTTAGGATTCTGATCTACATCCCAGGATCAGAGGAGCATAGGAAGCCTCTCAATCTAGTCACACCAGGACACTAGGAAAAGGCAAGTAAAAAGCTCCTCTGTGATTCTGCAGCCTCATTTGCTACAGGATGTCCACAGATTTAGGCCTCAGAGGCCTAAAAGTTAAACAATACCAAAAAAGTATAAAAATTCACTATGATCAGGGATCGGCATAGAAGACACAGCACAATTACACTCAGAGGAACTCAGATAATCGAAATGTTGTATGTCCACTGAAAAATAATAATAAAAGTGATTATGATGATATCTAAAAGTCAAATTACAAGTTTGATCAGTGAGCAAAATTCCACCATAATCAATAAGGGAATTTGAGAATTAACCACAGAGAAGTTCGAGAAATTAAAAATGTGCTTAATGAAATTAAAACATAATAAATAGGATGGGTTAAAAAATAGATTAAACAACAGCTGAAAAGGAAATTAATAAGTTGAAAGTAGAACTGAGCAAATTTACACAGAATACTGAAAAGAGAGAGCAAGAAATAGAAAATATGAAAGAGAAAAAAATGAAATGGCAGATAGAATGGAGTCTAACACAAATGTAATTGGAGTTTCCAAATGAAAAGAAAGAGAAAATGAGGAAAAAGCAATATCTAGAGAGGTGATGTCGATGAATTTTCTGAACTTAGAATACACCAGACTCCTCAAAGTCAGGAAGCATAATCAATCCCAGTCAAGAGAAATTAAAATAAAATAAACACAAACTTCAAAGTAGCGTAGTCACAGAAGGCCCCAGGGGTTGAAAAAGTACTGGGAAGAGAAGCTAGATTGCAGAAGCTTAAGAAAGAATATGCAGTTAATAAATGGTAAGGATGAAAAATATCTCAAGTTTCAGTGGACATGCATCTATGTGTTACAGAATGAGACTGTTCTCTTAAATTACTGGCTCATTCTCTTCTTAGAGGGTAAGGAATCTTTGGAAAATACTTTAGACAACTTCTTGGGGAAGAAAGTGCTGTTCTCAGGACACATGAGTCAGGGGAGCCTGGGCAACAGCAGACTTGGTGAAGTGGGGCCAGAACTGGGGGAAAGAGGAGAGAAGGAGGACAGGGCTAGGAAGAAGCTTGGGATGCTCTGAACTACAGCAACCCCAGGAGCCAAGACCGGTGAGGTTTCATCACTGATGCAGCAGCCAGAGGACCGTTTACCAGTTCATGTCATTAATGTTCCATGGTGATTTGTAGCTTTGCTAACAGATGGACACTTTTGCTTTTTCCTATAACCTCCCACTATGCCATGAATGTCCACTACATTGACACATTCACTGAGTGTGTGTTAGGTGTGTGAGTGGTGTTCCCCAACGAGGGATGGAGCTGTGCTTTACCTCAGGAGAGATATGCAAAATAAACATACTTGCATTGAAGCATAAGTCCAGAGGCAGACATAAGCACAAAAAACCCCAGATTTCCACAAAGTGGAATATGATTTTTAACAAAACAACCCCTTGGACTACTATAAACATGGCACCTGCCAGGTCAATATGGTGGCCCAGCACGGATGCATGGAGTTGAAGTTAAGACCAGCATGGCATTTTGTATTTTACAATGTAATCTTATTGAATTCCCATTATAATATTGTAACTTAGAAGCTATTATTGATGTCATATTACAGAAAAAGAAATTGAAGTATAAGAAATGTAATTACTAGAGAATTTAGAGAATTAAAGATCACAGAATGGCTAAATAGAGAAGCTGGATCTCAAAAGCATGCCTAAATCTTTTTCAGGGAAAAATAAACGGAAAAAGTTGTTAGTTACTAGGGAGGGTAGTATAGTTTGAATATGTGTCTTTCCCATACCTCATGTTGAAATGTAATGGCCCATGTAAAGGTTTTGGGAGTTGGGGACTGTAAGAGGTCAGCAGGCTTTTAGGCCTTAATGCCTTTCAAAAGGATTTTTGAGAGTAGGTTCTCTCTTGCCCATTTGCTTTCTGCATGGAGCGACACAGCAAGAAGGCTCTCGTTGGATGCCTACTCCCTCATTCTTGGACATGCCAGACTGCAGACCTGTGGGAAATAAATTTCTCTTCATTATAAATACCCAGTTGGTGGTATTCTGTTATAGCAGCACTAAAAGGACTAAGACAGATGGCAACAAGAAATTAAGGAGTGGCCTGATTCTCACTGGGCTATGGTACCTCAAAATTGACAGACATGGAGATGGCCACATGGAAAAGGCTGCTGACCAAGCAGACCAAATTTGGCTACCCTTGGCCCTTCTAAAAATTACACTTTTGAAAAATGTAGTCAGGCATGAGAGGTGCAAGAAAGTCTCCAAGAAATTATCCCCAGGCGGGTGAGTCACTCATGGACCACCTCTGAGCAAGGTCTTCCAAGGTCATCTGTGGCTCTTGGGATGCCTTAAGGTTGGCAGCCCTGCTAAGAGGGCCAGGGAGTTGGTCAAAATACAGGATGAGGAAGAACGTCTAAGAAGAAAAGCTACCATATCTTCCAAAAAGCCTGTGTGCAGCCCTTCAGAACACCCCTAGAGCTACATCTTAGAAGTTTGTGTCTTGCCCTTACTCAGTATGGGTATCAAATATCTGTGTTCCAAAAAGAATATGATAATCCCATCTTCAGGCAAAAATCCAGATTTAGTTCTCAAAATCCCAAGCAAGAAAACAATCTAGCCTCACAGAAACCCACCCATGTTGTAAAGGCAAAGAGTACCCGCCCCCTTCCAGGACGAAAACAACTTCCTCAAGTTTGGAAGTCTGATCCAATTCCAATGTCACTTCTTCCATGAAACGTTCCTTCGCCCCCTCCCCCAACTTAAAATAATATTTCTCTTTGTTTTCACAAAACTTTGTCCCTCTTCTCTGCGCCCTGCAATTCCATGTGCTTTCCCACTTCCTGTATTATAGCATGAGTTCTGAGGACAAGGACTATGATGCTCTCATATCTTCATCACCCTCCATTTGTAGCGTGTGGGAGCATTTGGTAAATGCTCACTTTTTTTTTTATTATACTTTAAGTTTTAGGGTACATGTGCACATTGTGCAGGTTAGTTACATATGTATACATGTGCCATGCTGGTGCGCTGCACCCACTAACTCGTCATCTAGCATTAGGTATATCTCCCAATGCTATCCCTCCATTCTTTGAAACCAACGAGAACAAAGACACAACATACCAGAATCTCTGGGACACATTCAAAGCAGTGTGTAGAGGGAAATTTATAGCACTAAATGCCCACAAGAAAAAGCAGGAAAGATCCAAAATTGACACCCTAACATCACAATTAAAAGAACTAGAAAAGCAAGAGCAAATACATTCAAAAGCTAGCAGAAGGCAAGAAATAACTAAAATCAGAGCAGAACTGAAGGAAATAGAGACACAAAAAACCCTTCAAAAAATTAATGAATCCAGGAGCTGGTTTTTTGAAAGGATCAACAAAATTGATAGACCACTAGCAAGGCTAATAAAGAAAAAAAGAGAGAAGAATCAAATAGACACAATAAAAAATGATAAAGGGGATATCACCACCGATCCCACAGAAATACAAACTACCATCAGAGAATACTACAAACACCTCTACGCAAATAAACTAGAAAATCTAGCAGAAATTGATAAATTCCTCAACACATACACTCTCCCAAGACTAAACCAGGAAGAAGTTGAATCTCTGAATAGACCAATAACAGGAGCTGAAATTGTGGCAATAATCAATAGTTTACCAACCAAAAAGAGTCCAGGACCAGATGGATTCACAGCCAAATTCTACCAGAGGTACAAGGAGGAACTGGTACCATTCCTTCTGAAACTATTCCAATCAATAGAAAAAGAGGGAATCCTCCCTAACTCATTTTATGAGGCCAGCATCATTCTGATACCAAAGCCGGGCAGAGACACAACCAAAAAAGAGAATTTTAGACCAATATCCTTGATGAACATTGATGCAAAAATCCTCAATAAAATACTGGCAAAACGAATCCAGCAGCACATCAAAAAGCTTCTCCACCATGATCAAGTGGGCTTCATCCCTGGGATGCAAGGCTGGTTCAATATACGCAAATGAATAAATGTAATCCAGCATATAAACAGAGCCAAAGACAAAAACCACATGATTATCTCAATAGATGCAGAAAAAGCCTTTGACAAAATTCAACAACTTCATGCTAAAAACTCTCAATAAATTAGGTATTGATGGGACGTATTTCAAAGTAATAAGAGCTATCTATGACAAACCCACAGCCAATATCATACTGAATGGGCAAAAACTGGAAGCATTCTCTTTGAAAACTGGCACAAGACAGGGATGCCCTCTCTCACCACTCCTATTCAACATAGTGTTGGAAGTTCTGGCCAGGGCAATTAGGCAGGAGAAGGAAATAAAGGGTATTCAATTAGGAAAAGAGGAAGTCAAATTGTCCCTGTTTCCAGATGACATGATTGTATATCTAGAAAACCCCATTGTCTCAGCCCAAAATCTCCTTAAGCTGATAAGCAACTTCAGCAAAGTCTCAGGATACAAAATCAATGTACAAAAATCACAAGCATTCTTATACACCAACAACAGACAAACAGAGAGCCAAATCATGAGTGAGCTCCCATTCACAATTGCTTCAAAGAGAATAAAATACCTAGGAATCCAACTTACAAGGGATGTGAAGGTAAATGCTCACTTAATTGAAAGTCTGAGTCTTAGGAGGAGATAGATGATCAGTGCTGAAATAAAAAAGAAGTATGCTGGATTCATAGCAGTGAAAATATTTTAAAAGGTGACTTGAGAGATTAAATAAGTAGACTCTTTCTGAATTTAATACTTGCTTGAAAATGTCTTTATTTTTCTCGTTCTGTACATCTTAGCAAAATGAAATGTTGCTGCAAGCACTTAATCAACAAATCATTTCTTGCTCTCTGACCATGGCTATTTGAACATCTGAAACTTTAATGGAGGCTTTGGTAATTTTTGTTTTCCAACCAACCGTTATAACTTCCTCAGGACGATTAAGGCAGTTTTTAGACAGCGGCTGAATTTTAACTCCCAGCATTTTGTGAGAGAAGCCTGAGGTCACATGAGGGTTCTACACGATCTAGGAAGCTTCGACATCTGGCCATAGTCACATGCTGGGTTAATCCAATTATATGGAAATGGTAGTTTTTAAAGAAAACAAAACTCATGCTGTGTTTTGGCAGAAAACTTAGTAGAGTAGATGAGAGGCTTCTTTTCAGAAATCACTGGTTCTGGTCATGTAAGTAATTGAGTTTACATAAACTGGTGTTTGGGAGGTGAACAGTTCAGTTGGCACTAGTTGCTATTTTACACAGGTTCCTCATGTAATTGGGGAGGGTACAAGCCGTCTGAGAGCACTCAAGCCGACCCTCGGGACTCTGATACTCCAGCTGTTGGTTGAGTGTCTTTGTTATCTTTTCTGCTGTGTCTCTCCTCCAAATGCTTAAGTGCTATTTACTTGAGACCACGTTCTGACTTATTTGATTTAGCTACATAGGGACAGCGCTTTAAGATCCAGCAACTTATCTTAGGGCAGAAGAGATTTTATCAACGTTAGGTGAAATTACTCCTGTAAATTTGCAGTTAGGCATCCTAACCAAATCAGAATGACCATCAAATTAAAGTTTCTGGAAGGCAGAGAAGCCAATCTGTTTCCCTCCAGTTTATTTAGTTCCTTTTGTTTTATCCATCATCATCATCATTGCGTATTTTCACAAGAGACAATGTTATTATTAACTTTTATATAAAGGATGAATCAACAATTAGTTTTTCAAATATACATTTTATTTTAGGAGGTTTTCGATTTACCAAAAAAAAAAAAATGCGAAGATAGTCCATCTGTTCCCCCATGTCCAAATCTGCATTTCTCTATAATTGGCATCCTATCTTAATATGTCATATTTGCCACAATGAAGTAACCAGTATCCATTCGTTATTATTAACTAAAGTCCATAGTTTATACAGATGTCCTTAGCTTTTCCCAAAGGCTTCCCTTATTTGGGGACCTCATCCAGGACAGCGTGTTACATTTAGTCCTCATGTCTCCTTGGCTTCTCTTGGCTGTCCCAATTTCTCAAGCTTTCTTTCTTTTTGATGGCCTTAACAGTTTTGAAGAGTACTGGTCAAGCGTTTTATAGGATATCCTTCTACTGGGATTTGTCTGATGTGTTTCTCATGGTTAGACTGGGTTATGGATTTTTGAAAAGAACACAGAGGCAAAGTGGTCTTCTCATCACTTCACATCAAGGGTACGTGGTGTTGACCTTGATCATCAGTCTCATTTTGCTTCTTTTAAAGAACTTATCCTACCATTTCATGAAAGGCATGTTTATTGGCAACAGATTTCCCCAGTTTTTGTTTATTTGAGAAAGTCTTTACATTTCCTTCATTTTGAAGGCTAATTTCCCTGAATGCAGATTTTTAGGTTAGGGTTTTTGTTTTTTAGCACTGAATATTTTATTCCACTGTCTCCTGGTTTGCATTATTTCTGATGAGAAGTATGCTGTAATTCTGATCAGCATTTTTCTATATATATGGTGATTTTCTTTTCTGGCTTCTTTGAAAATTTTTGTATTTAATTTTCTGCAGCTTTAATATATGATTTAGTATTTTTTGTGTGTAAGTATTTGTTCCTTTATGATTTAGTATTTTATCTAAGTATTTGTTCATTTTGCTTGGTGTTCTCTGAATTTTCTGAATGTGGAGTTTTATATCTACCACTAGTTATAGAAAGTTCTTAGGCTTTATTACTTTAAATATTTCTTTGGCTCCATTCTCTCTTACTACTTCTGCTGATATTTCAAGTGTGTGTGTGTGTGTGTGTGTGTGTGTGTGTGTGTGTAACTTTTAAAATTGCTCTGCAGTTCTTGAATGTCGTATTCTACTTCTTCCTTCAAATTTTGTTCTCATTATGATCAAGTTTGGGATGCTTCTATTGACCTATCTTGAAGGTCCTTTATTCTTTCCTTGGCTATATTGAATCTAGTGATAACCTTATTGAAGGCATTCTTTTTGTGACTGTGTTGTTGATTTCTAGCATTTTAAAACTTATTCCTGGAGTTTTCCTCTTGCTGCTTATATTACCCACCTGTTCTTGAATGTTACCTACTAATTCATTAAATCCCTTGGCATATTAATTATAGCCATTTTAAATTTCCTGTCTGATATTTCCAATATTTGTGTCATATATGAGTCTGCCTTGCTTTTTCTCTTTAGAATTTCTTTCTTGCCTTTTTACATGTCTTATAATTTTTGGTTAAAAGTTGGACATATTGTATGTGCTATTACAAGGAGTTTCTGATTCCAGCATCTTTGGCTTCAGTGTCTTGCATGTCAGGTAGGCAGATCTCACCTGTTACTCTCTGTATGTGCTGTCTCTTCACATTTCAGGGTGACAGCTTGCCCTGCAAACTCACATATGTATTAGGTCAAAGACAGTCATTGATTTTTAATTTGTCCAGCTTTCTTTGATGTTGTTTTAGGACAAAAATGATGTATTTTATGTTCTTTATATGTTGGAACTGAATCTGTAAGTTCAAAAATTAGATTTTTAATCTATTACAAAAAAAAAATCACTGTGTCTTATTCAACCAAGATATAGGAAAACAGACACTTTATTTCATGTCTACCATAGGTATGAATCACTACACATTTTGAATAAATATAGCTCTATAAATTTTAATTCTAATAAAAATATTTGATCC
Source organism: Homo sapiens (assembly GCF_000001405.40). Classification (NCBI taxonomy): domain Eukaryota; kingdom Metazoa; phylum Chordata; class Mammalia; order Primates; family Hominidae; genus Homo; species Homo sapiens. Next base: position 3,896,696 of record NC_000005.10, on the reverse strand, counting down.
AATCATTTCACTTTGGTAAACATTCCACTAAAATAAACGCAAATGCATAAAGATAGATATGTAAGAATATATACTCCTGCTAATAATAACTTATAACACTCTGAAAAGATCCAAAATAGCAGCTAACATGGGGAATGGTTGAATAAAAAATGGAAGGTTTATACTGTGGTAGGTTACAAAAATAGTCTCAATTTTTCAAATCTCTTGCACTCTTACCCTTTGCCGTGCAACTGTGCAGCCCTCTCTCTCTCTCTATGTGATCAGCCATATGACTTGTTTTGGTGACTGCTAATATAGAACTTTAGCATGCATGATAAAAGCAGCAGTCTAGAAAGCACTTGCATGCTTGCACTTGCCTTTTTGCCTGGGAGCCTCTGCCATCGCTATGAGAACATCCTCAGGCTAGCCTCCTGGAGAGGCAGAGGCACACGCAGAAAAGGTGAATCACCCATGTCCCCAGCCCAAGCCATCTTAAATCAGCTAAGAGCCAAAGGACGCTTAGACATGAGAGCAAGCACAGTCAAAACAAACAAGGCTGCCTAGCCAAGTAGCCCAGGTACATGCGTATTAACAAGGCTGCCTAGCCAAGTAGCCCAGGTACATGCATATTTTTGTACCCCCCTTAAGTTGTTTGGTCATTTTTGCACAGCATTATTTCAGCAATAGATAGCTAATACTACATAACTGTTAAGAGTAATAGCTACTCTGGAGGCTGAAGTGACAGAGTTGCTCGATCCCAGGAGTTTGAGTCTAGCCTGACCAACATAAACACGAACCAATCTCTTAAAAACAATGAAAAAACTAATTATCTATGGACCTCGAAAGATGTCCATTACATATTGTCAAAACTTTGAAAGTCAAGTTGCAGTGATATATGTTTCCTATATGCATGCATGAATGTTTATAAAATCATGGCATTGCATATAATGTCCATAATCCACATATGAATGGAAATCCAAGACACACCTGCCTCAGCCATCCAGGAAAGAAAAGGAAGAATAGTAAAAGATTACTCTTTTCTGTAAGTTTCTTATATTGTTCCACTATTCCTGCAAACATGACTTTTTCTTCAATTTGTAAAGTTCTCATAGGAAAAGAAAATTAACTTGTTTTATTTTCTAAATTTTTGACCTATATTTTGAAAACAACTTTATTTTTTTCTCTCTTTTCCTGTGGATTTCCTCTTCATTTGTAGTAGCCAATATCTTATAATGTACATATTTTAACAAGATGTTTCTGATGAATAATAATATAGGAAAAATTTTATAATAACAGCTCCAAATATCAATAAATATTTTAAACAAAATGATATATCAAAAACTACTCAGTTACTCTCTAAATACAATTAGTCCCTCATTAAAATCACGTTTAGCCCTTTTTAAAAATGTGCTCCCATGAACATCACACACTGGGGCCTGTCAGGGGATAGGGGACAAGGGGAGAGAGAGCATTAGGACAAATACCTAATGCATGCAGGGCTTAAAACCTAGATGACCGGTTGAGAGGTGCAGCAAACTACCATGGCACATGTATACCTATGTAACAAACCTGCACGTTCTGCATATGTATCCTAGAACTTAAAGTAAAAAAAAAAATGTGCTGAGGCTACAGGAGTGGGTTTACTCTTAAATGCACCCAGTGCCCGGAGGATCCAGGTGATATCCTCAGTGGGTGTCACTCTCTGCCATGGTGCGTCTCCACTGACTGCTTTCCCACCATGCTTTTAGGAGTTAGATCTTATTTTTGCCTAGTTTTTGTTGGGGAAAAAAATGGTAATACAATTGTTGAATAAGGAGCAGAATGAGTCGATTGCAATTCATTGTATAATTGACTGTAATAAAAAAAGAAGACATCACTGCAAATGAGTAACTGTTTATCACCAACTACATTAATTGGATACTAGGAAGCAATGTTGTGAGCATTTTACACCCTACCACGATAGAGTAATTGTGCACCTGCTATGTTTTATAATACTAGTTGTAATTTTTAGACTGATGTGTCATACCCTATCATTTTTCTATGTACAATATTCGGAAACACTCTTCCACTTGGTGCTTGGCAGAATGTCTGATATAGTTTGGAATAGACGTCCGAGATTCAGTGTGTGAGTTAGGGTAGGATCTTGGATATAGTTTTCTTTAAAACTACACCAGAAACTTAAGAGGAACTCAGGATTGCAACTAGCTGTAAGGTTCCTCTCTGTGGATTAGGAAGAGTTGCAGTATTACAGGTGCACAGCTTGGTCAATGGACCACAGATGAAATTGTACCCTTCTTACTCCTTCAGGCAATGCCCCCATGATGTGCAGGATGTGCAGTGGCCCTGAGTGAGGGGCAGGGCCAGCATGTATCAAATGTGAACTAGGTGGATTGCATCCAGAATGGCTTACTTTTTATGTAATGAGCCAATGATATAGTCACCATTATCCAAATGTCACAGCCCTAGAGAATAAAGCTGGACAAGTTAAGTACGCTGCCCAAGTTTACACACCTGGATAGTGTCAGGGCCTGGGCCCAAACTTAGGTCTGTCTGAGCTGGGGCAGCTTTCTACACAAAGGTTGGAAGGCAGCATGAGAACACTGCCAAGTATTCACTTGGCCTGACCTTCACCAGCCAGCTCAATAGGGTTTAAAATTCTATGTCCAGGATAGAGAGAAAGAGTAGATTCCAGAGACTAAGGTGAGTATTCTACATGCCTTTGAAGAATGAAAAAAAGAAAGTGAAGAGCTCAGTGATTCAAGCAAAACAGCTGACTTGATAGGAACAGCAGATGAATGGCTGTGGATTGAAAAGTTAGCCCTGGATGGAAGTTCATTTATCTAATGTGAATTGGTAAGGAGAAAAAGTAGCATCTGTTAGAGGAAAAGAAACAAGTGGCCTAATTGTGAACATCTTTGAGAGATAAGATGGTTTCAGAATAATGGAAGACAGGTTATCTGACTCAGCCTGCCAAGGGACAGAAAGCAAGTCTAGTCATGCAATACTATTTTGTTCATCCAGACCAATGCTTCCATATAATGGAGAAAGCTGAAGGATGTGGCATGGTCTTCATGAGAGAATGACAGCTAAGGAGCTTATGAAGGCAACAATGAGTGCTTTGGAGAAAGGCACTATGAAGGTGATTGTGTCAGTACACCCAAAAGCAGGGCCCTGTTCTTGAGGCAAATTCATTTTAACCAACCTCAAGAGATGAATGCATAAAGCCTGTCTTAGTCCATTTTGTGTTGCTATAACAGAATATCTGAGGCTGGGTATTTTATAAAGAAGAGAGGTTTCTTTGGCACACCATTCTGCAGAAAGCACGGCGCCAGCATCTGCTTCTGGTGAGGCCTTAAGAAGCTTCCACCTCTGGTAGAGGAGAGGAAGCAGGACAGCAGGGAGGGAGGTGCCAGGTTCGTTAGTAACAATTAGTACTCATGGGAACGATAGAGTGAGAACCCACTCATTACCCAGAGGATAGCACCAAGCCATTCCTAAAGGATCCACCTCCATGACTCAAAAACCTCCCATCAGGCCCCACCTCCAACATTGGAGATCAAATTTCAACATAAAATTTGAAGGGGGAAATATGCAAACTATATCAAAGCCTAAGTGTATTTGCAAAGTTGTTATGAAATTGTTATTGCTAAAGGGGCCAGATAATTCCTGCGTTGGCCAAGTCACTTCATCTTTATGGGAAAACAACATAAATGGCCAAATTCTAACCTAAATGTGAGCAAGCATTCAGAGGAAGGGGCATGAATGTATGCATTTCATGCACTAGCTCCTCCTGGAAGGTGATGTTGTTCTCCTGCCAGGCATCTCTTCTGATCAGCTCTCTGAGGCACATCCTGACCCCTCGCCCAAGTCAAGTCCCATGTCAAGGACTTCAGCACTTTCTTATAGAAAAACCTTCCTGCTCTTGCAGTGGCCTAGTTCAGGTGGGCTTGGGCTCTGTGGAAGCCCAGCTTCTGCCCTGACTCATCCCTGCATCTCAGTGCCCTGCCAAGCTTTTGACACACAGGAGACAGCATATGTGTTTTGGGGTACTTTAATCAATTAAATTGTGGACACTGGTAGAACGTCAATTTTTTTATATTTTATTTTATTTATTATTATTATACTTTAAGTTTTAGGGTACATGTGCACAACGTGCAGGTTTGTTACATATGTGTACATGTGCCATGTTGGTGTGCTGCACCCATTAACTCGTCATTTACATTAGGTATATCTCCTAATGCTATCCCTCCCACCCCCCCCACCCCACAACAGTCCCCAGTGTGTGATGTTCCCCTTCCTGTGTCCATGTGTTCTCATTAAAACTTCAATTATTAACATAGAATGAAATATCAGTGAGAACCCATGGCTTGGGGAAGGAACCAAACCCTGACTGCAGAGCATGAGACCCCAAGGCATGGCCGGGATGACTTCTCTCACCACCATGGCCAGCTCTGTCGATTTGCATATCCTTAGCAAAAAGCCCTCTCCTTCCCATTGTCTTCTGTATTCGAGTGCATTTTTGTGGTATACATTGGCTCTGGATGGAATTGTCATGTTTCCCTTGAGTTTGTATGTTGAAGCTCTAATCCCCAGTGGAATAGTATTTGGAGTTGGGAACTTTGGGAGGCTATCAGGGTCACATGAGGTCATGAGAGCAGGACCCTCATGAGAGGATTAGTGCCCTTTTAAGAAAAATCCCCAGAGATTTCTCTCTCCACCAAGTCAGGACACAGTGTGGAGGTGACGGTCTACAAGCCAGGAATAGAGAGCTCATCAGAGCCTGTCCATGCTAGCACCCTGATCACAGACTTCCAGTTCCCACCACTGTCAGAAAATACTTTTCTGTTATTTAAGCTCCAGTCTATGATATTCTGTTATGGTAGCCCAAGGTGACTAAGACAACATTTCCTTCTAATTTTACTTTTACTCAAAAGTCATGAATATTTTTCCAATAGCTGAATATTATTCTATCAATGATACCTACAGTAATAGGGTATGAACAGGGTATAATGAGGGAACTAGCTCTCATTACCTACTTTAATTCATGACCCGTTGGTCAAAATTCAGTCAATGCAGCATCTTCACAAAAATCATAACTACTCAAGCAGTGAGGTCGTGGCCCAGTTCTGCTATTTTACATAATCCATTATATGATTTTTATTTTCTCTAAGACACTGTGTACTAATATTGACTTAATGAGTTCTTTACATAAAGCATGCAAACATAAGTCCCTCTTCTAAAGAGTGTGCACAGTTCATTCCCTTAAGTTTGGCATAGTTGTGTGGCACCCAGGACCCCACACACCTTTCTGCAGGCGTTGTCCTTTAGGGGAGCTGACTCGCTTCCACTCCCCCTCCTCCCAGGGGCAGCTTCACAGCTTGAAGTGGAGAGCTGACCTCAACACACAACAGCAGGCAGCTGTTAGGAAACAGGAAGCCCCCCACTGAGCTTCACAGGTCGAAGATTGGGAACTTGAACCTCATGAGAAAAACAACTCCTGATTTTGGTTAGCCTCAAATAATTTGGGTCAACAACACAATACAACTGTAAAATGTTAACATGGTCTCAGGCCTTGCTCTCAGAGGAACACAGACTTATTTCCAATCTAGCAAGGTCACAGGGCATGGAGATCCTAGTAGATTCTAGGGTCATGTCCTCAGGGAGGTGAACATCCTGAGGTGGTGCAGGCCTCAACAGTGGGAGGTTGTAGCCTGCCCTGCACCCCAGGACCTGAAGGGCACGGCCTCTAAAGCTCCTGAAGGGCTAGTGGCTACCTGCCTTCCAGGGCACGGCTGCTGTCTTCTGGAAGGAATAGGGCAGAGGCTTCTTTCTGCATTATTACAAAAGCAGGAGATGGTACATCTTCCAGTCCAAGTCATGAAGACCCTGACAACAGAGCGGCATGGGCTGGCATTGTCCGTCGTGGGTGGAGGTGGGACGATTCGTTTTCCAGGTGGCACTTATTTCTCATGGTGGTAGGTGGCTCAGACTAGGCACGCCTGTCATCTACACCACGGACCAACACCCCTGAGTCTGAGCATTCCAGCCCCAGGGTGGACGCTGCCTCTGTACAATTTGCCCTGAAGTGCAAGAGCAGTGGGTACGAGATCAGTTGAGTCTCAGCGATGCTACACTTGGCACCAGCACCTACAGCAGCACTGAGCAGCCAGTCTGTGCTTACCATGCACTGCTGAATGACTGCCCAACGGCAGCCCACATGGGAACGAATGGAGGGATTTACTCAGAGCGTGCCAGGGCAGGGGAGTCAGCCACCATCACTCGCATTTCAGCAGAGACTCATATGGAGTGGTGAAGCTTCTTGATGGCAAGGGAAGCCTCAGGTGGGCCCTGATGGAGGCTGTTGGCCTGGAGAAGCTGGGGGGAGGCGCACTTGAAGCCAGGTATCCTTTGAGATTGGTTAGGGGAGCAAATTTGGTTTCCTCAGGCTGGTCCTGAGTTGAAAGTGGAGGTAACATGAGGGATACTGGTAGTCATTGATTACGTGCTGACTATTCTGGGCCAATTGCTGCAGAGGCTGTGTTTTGGCTCATGGCAGATGGAGGCAGAGGTCTTGTGCCAGAGCTCTGTGGTCCTGTATGTTCTAGCCATTTTCCAGTGAACATTCCGGGTCTCAGAGCCTCTCAGGTTGGGATGGTGCCACGTGATTCTCTCAGAGGGGAGCAGTAGGAAGCTTGCAGCTGCAATCCCAAGAGTAGAGCCTGCAGCGGTGGAGGTGGCTAGGCTGTTGGAGCTGCTGAAAGGTTTTGAGGTTCCAGTAGGATTGTCAGTACCGTGGCAGGAGAGGGGTCCTCATCATGATGGTGAAAATGTGCGACCGTATTTCTTGCACTCCAGCCTACTGTTACAATTCAACCACATTGGGTTTTATCTTAATGAGAGAAGGATGGATTATTTGTTTCATGATGAAGGTGACATTTCGGTTCCCTTTAGTGCAGGGACAAGGACAGCATCCTGCCTCCCTGCGTGGAAGTTGGTATTTTACAAAGCCAGAATTGTGCCTTTTAAATGCTCACTGGGGCAGAAAAGCCCCTTGTCAAGGGAAAGTCGTCTGTCTCTATTAATTGTGCTGTTGCTAATAAGCCAGAGAATGACTCACTGGTAACCTCAGTGCCCCATCACGTTTTTATAACCTATTTAAACTCCAATGAAAAGAATACTACAGCTGCTGCTACATAAATCACACTCAAACCTGATTTCTGTCCTTTCATGTTAATAAAATTCCATAGCCACTACACAGAAAGTCCCAAACCCTTCACATCTCAGCAGCGTGTATCCGCTCAAACAGGTGGATTTGTAAAAAGCCATTTTCATTTTTGAGCTTGACCCACTGCAGACTAACAGAACACAGTTTTTTAATACCTGTAGCCCCAGCATGGGTGCAAAGAGAGAAGGATGTGGAAACAACAGATCCCAGAGACCAGAGTGGCCGAAGCCCAAGAGACACCATGGCCTGGTATCGAGCCATCTCTGGTCTGCAAAGTACCCAGTACCCAGTGGCCAGGCTGGTGGCTTCATTTCAGTCATTCACAATTTGGGCAGCCCCCATAGCTGCTCACAGGGACAGACTGTGGGGACTGGCTCTGCAGGCAGTGGAATGAGCAGAGTGAGGTCTTCCTTCCTCCGGGGTCTGAGGAGGCCGAGGGAACCCAAGGTCTAGCAGCTGGCAGCACACGGATGCTCGCCTCTGGGTCCCCACCTCAGGGTCCACATCCAAGATCAACTTCTTTTAGCAGCTGGCTCTGGGCCCCCAGATGGATTCTGCATTTTATGGGTGCTAACCTGTGTGTCAGCCTTATTTCTCCACCTAAGGGTCCTCATCCCTGCCAGCAAACCCAGGACAGGGCTAACTCCAGAACACTTTGAACTGAGAGCTACTCACTACAGGATTTTTAGAGATGTGTGTGAAAACAGCTGGGAGGCTGCTGGCTGGAAGAAGCCCTTGGCTGGCAAACTTGACCCAGCTTCCAATGTGTGGTGCACTGTGCAAAATCTCTCCCACACCTGGAGATGGGCTCTTGAGTCCCTGATAACATAGCCCTTTCCCGTCAAGTGAGGTTTTTATCTTTGGGATGTAAAACAAGGGCCAAGCTCTGGCCCCAAGGAGCACCTGGGGACCTGCTGTCTTGCTGGTGCAGTGGCGGAAGCTTGCTGCCTACATCGTGTTCCTGAGGCTCATGTTGCAAGGCGGCATTGCTCTACATGGGCTGACTGGAGCTCTGCAGGTGTGAGGAGCTGCCCAAGAACCATCGGGAACTTTCTCCATCTGCCCCCAAGGGGAGCAACACAAGCTCCTCACATGATAATGTTGGACAAAGGCTCAGAACTTCACCTGAAATGGCAGATTTAATCTCCGGGTCAAAGACACAGCTATCACTTATGAGTTCTGAAATAAATTACTATATTAAAAATGACATAAACCACACAACTGAATCAAAAATGCTGTTTCTGGCATTTGCCCCATTTTCATTTCACCCACATGCCCAGACAACTTTGAACAATATAATTCCTGGAATGATCTGATAAATAGTCAGGAACTGATCTGTTTACCGTGGAAATACCATGATATACAATGGTTGTAATAATTATGGGAATTACAGAGATTCTTTAACACTTTCCAAATGAGATGCCTTTTTTGGCAAATCTAGGAGACCGAGTTTAATTTAAATCACAAATACCTGAAGGATTATTATCCTTTATTAATTGTAATAAATATAAGGTGGCCGGGCGCAGTGGCTCACGCCTGTAATCCCAGCACTTTGGGAGGCTGAGTTGGGTGGATCACGAGGTCAGGAGATCGAGACCATCCTGGCTAACACGGTGAAACCCCATCTCTACTAAAAATACAAAAAAATTAGCCAGGCGTGGTGGCGGGCACCTGTAGTCCCAGCTACTCCGGAGGCTGAGGCAGGAGAATGGCGTGAACCCGGGAGGCGGAGCTTGCAGTGAGCTGAGAGCACGCCACTGCACTCCAGCCTGGGCGACAGAGAGAGACTCTATCTCAAAAAATAAAATAAAATAAAATAAATAAAATAAAATAAAATAAAATAAAATAAATATAAGATATACACTGTTCATTGTATTGTCAGTATATTATGCATAATATGTAATACATATAATAATTATGTATAACTATTTATAATAATAAAGAACAAATCAGATCAGGAGTCCAAATTCCTGCAGACATATGTTGTAAATATTGACAACAGGTGCAGATTTATTTGTATTTTGTTTTGGATGCCTCTTCTTTCTTTGCCCTGGAACCCTCTATGACTTTCTTCTATTAGGTGAGTTCTATTTGTGTCTTAGATCACAATGCACCAAAAAACCTTCTTCCTGACCTTGACATTTGACTTTGATTTCACATCATCCATTTAAATAGGAAAATGGGAAGCTGGCACCAGTCAGATAAAGCCTGCACCTGGGCAGATTTGTACGGTGGGAGGAGGAGGCAATGTTGGCCATGGGCATATGGAAAAGATAAAAGCCAGATAAAAGCCGTTTTAACGACAGAAAATAACGAACATGAGGAAGAGTGGAAAAGAGAGAAAGGGTTTTTGTGTTTTAAATGCAAAGAAAAAGGTTCTTCAAGAAAAAAAACACACACACACATTCTTTTTTTTTTTTTTTCTTCTCCTGAGATGGAGCTGTCTGGTCAGGTTCTTCCAGATTAATCAAGTGTTTAAGTGGAGGGGCTCCTTGACATTTTGAAGTGAGTTGAGACTGAAGTGGTTTACCTCTGACATCAAGTGCTCAGTAGTGAATTTTTATACTTAATGGGATGCAGGGTCATTTCCCAGGAGCTATTTAGGGGACCTTTGTAGCTTCAAAATGTGATTCTACCCTCAGAAGTGCCTACAGCTGATTATTAACCATGATTCATAAATTCTTTAGAAGGTGATCAAGTTAAGTTTATACATTCAGACGGTGACAGGAAGCAGCCTTCTCTGCAGCTGTAAATACCCCAAACCACAATGACAGGGGTGTTTTAAATTGTTTTCTTCTTCACTGCCTTTTATCTGTACAACAGCCTTTTTGAAAAAAAAAAATACCGAATCCTTTTATACACATTTAGAATAGGCGGTGAAGGCAGAAATAAGAATGAGGTGGGAGGTGATCACTGGCCCCCACTCAGAGCTTGTGAATTACCAAATTTCCGGAAATCGCTGATGATGGCACCAAAAAATGTGAGGGACAAAAGAGACAGGAGACAATCGCCAATGGGACCGTGGGTTGCACGCCTTAGGCACTGAATACATCCAGCTCCACCATTTCACCCATAAACTGCCGACATCGCCTGTGTGGGGGGAGCAGAAGGCCTTGCGCGAACCCCCTCACCGTCTCCCAAGCCCACCTCGCCTAAGGCAACGGGCTGTTCCTGTCCCAGGAGAAACAGCCTTTCATTCCCTGGTCAAACAAATAAAAGAGGGCCCAGGCCAAACGCATCAACATTGGAATATGTATGTCACTTGTGCTTGTCACACGGGAACACTTATGAAAAACGCATTTGGAGTCCGGCTTATTCTTCCCTGGGTTTTGAGGGAGTGAACATGACTCTGCCCCAGCTGGGCAGGCTGGGCCAGGCTGAGTGCTTTCCGGAGCTCCCAACACACCCCTGGCCCTGCAAAGACATATCCTTTCATTTTATCATGAAACTACCGCGTCTTATTTGTGCAGTATCACATGTGTCCTGGATCTTGACCCAGAAGCCAGGAACGTCCAAAGTCTCACATTTAAATGTGACCAGCCATCATTTTGTGGATGGAAATTTCTCTTTGCTCTGGTCTTCCCTCTGTAGAGACTGAGGAAGGGCACAGCCACGTTTCGCTTTTAGAGCCCTGAAATGAGAGGCCTGATTATCTAAGGGTGAAGTGGTCATTTTAGTAAAGAAAGGCCTGTCTGCTGTCCACCCTGTGAGCCACTGTCCACCCTGTGAGCCACTGTCCACCCCGTGAGCCACTGTCCACCCCGTGAGCCACTGTCCACCCTGTGAGCCACTGTCCACCCTGTGAGCCACAGCACAGATGCCATGAGATAGCATGCAAATCATCAGGAACACGTTGGCTCCTTAGCTCAGAGGATACTTTAATAATAATCTTAGAAAAAGCAAAATATTAAGTTAATACCTACAGAGTTCTTTAATTTTGTGAGCTCCTCATCTTGCAATATTTATTTTGATCCAGGCTCCAGCAGAAATATTACTAAGCTGACAACTGAAACACTGGAAGTAATTTCAGAATTTTGTTACTAATCAATAATCTATATTAATAATATGGTTACCACTCATGTCTCCCTCTGATATTGGATGTTCTATGCAAAAATGACCAACGCCTTTCTTTGTTGGATTTGGTGATGATCCTTAGACTAGCACTATTCAATCTGTTATTAAATCTGTTGAATCTGTTTAATAGTGCTAGTCTAAGGGAACATCAAGTTGACATGACAGTGTGGTTTCATTCCTCTATGCTCTCCAATTAATTTTTAATAGAAATAAATTGCTGCCTGCATTGGGATTATCCAGAAACATCATTCAGTTGTTCCTCTTAGTGGTCAGAACCTTCGTGTTTACTCTTGTAGGAGGGTGTTACGGGCTGAATCATGTCCCCACAATTACTATGTAGAAGTCCCAACCCCAAGTACCTCAGAATGTGACTATATTTGGGGATAGGGTCTTTAAAGATGTAATTAAGTTAAAATGAGGTCATCTGGATGGACCCTAATCTGATATAACTGGTGTCCTAATTAGAAGGGGAAATGAAGACACAGACAGGTGCAGAGGGAAAAGTATGTAAAGGAATGAGGGGAAGGTGCCATCTAGAAGACAGGGTGCGAGGCCTCAGGAGAAACCACTCCTCTGACACCTCCATGTCAGATCTCCCGCCTCCAGGACTGTGAGACGAGGCATGTCTGTGGTTCAAGCCCCCCAGATTGTGGTATTTTGTTATGGCAGTCCTAGCAAACTCATGCACAGCATGAGTGATTTTACCTTTTCTTTTCTTTTTTTTTTTTTAAATACCTATAGATAACTCTAGCTACCTGTACTTTACTTTAAAGGTATTTTAGTGGAAACCTCAAATCAACACTCCCCTGTGACAGATACTTGTCCTCTGAGGTAGTCCTCACCGAGATTGCACAGGTTCTCGCCGAGATTGCAGACCTGGTGGCAGAGAAGGAGGATGAGCTGTAAGCCTAAGCCTGGCCGGTCAGCCCATGCAGGTGGGAGGGTGACGGCTCCACCAAGCCGCGGGAGACACTGAAGAACAGAGGGAATCACGGGGGCCAGGCCAGGCAGCAGGACGCATGAGACTGAGTGGCATGAGTTATTTTATAAGGCAATTCCCATGTCTAAATCTGAATATTAAATTCAGAGGGTGAAAAGCAAATATTACAAAATTAATCTGCTTAAAACAGAGTTATAAATCTTATTATATTTCCAGCCACTCTAGGTTCATGCCTGAGCAACAGATGTTAAGATTTGGGTATGAAATTGCTCCCACCTGATGTTTGGCAACCCCTAGGCTCTCCCAAACAGGACATCAGCTTCTAGGCCACACGTGCGTTTCCACAAAGGTTTTGAGGGGTGTGGTTTTGCATTCTGATGGGTCAACATTTTGAAGAGACATTCTGACCCAAATGAAGAAGACTAGGAAGAAGGTGCCCATTTATTTCACCCATAGCTACTGCAGGGTTTGGGCATAGGGATGCAGATGTGCACAGCCATGGCCACACCCCGGGTGAAACCTCCTAAGCCCCCTAGGTCCCCAACCCGAGGTCACCAACACCACAGAGAGGCCTCCTGGGGGTAAAGTGCCTACCCCATGTGGGCTTCCCAGGCTGCCTGCTCTGCCCCTGGCTCTCTGACCACCGAGGCACAGAGCATCTGTGCCCCACCCACGACAAGACTAAGTGGCCGCAGCTTTATATTCATCTCCCCTTCCCAACAGCACATATTCATTATAGGGGCATTTTATTGTTAGTTTAAATTAAATGTGTAGAGAGGAACTGGGGCCTGAAGGAAAGCAATTTTAGATAAAATATCCTGAATTTGGCAAGCATTTTTCAAAGCTTAATGAGGAATATTCAGGGTATGTAATTATAGAAATCTACTGAACTCATTCGCCTCCAAGGATGGAAAAGGGAGGGCTGTGGAGGAGAGCAAGGGGCTCTCTTCTGAGGTGGCCAGGACATCCACACTTGCTCATCCACACTCACCCATTCACAAACACACACTCATGTCCACACCCATAACCACACACTTATGCACACACACGTTCACATCCATACACAAGTACACACGCGTGTGCACACTCACACACACACATACTCTCGCATGCACGTGCACACATACTGATTTGCACCAGCTCACTCGCTCTGGGACACACACGGCCTTCAGGAAGAGGCCCTGCATCGCCACTGGTAAGCTTCACTCTGTCATCAAAGGAGCTGGAGGATGGTATCTGTTTCTCCTGAGACGTGGGCCCCACGCTGCTCCACTGGCTGTCCCATGCCTGGGGCCCTCCTGGGGCTCATCAACAGATCAGCTGTGTGAGTGCAAGACCCCCCCTTATGGTAAGAGAACCTCAGGTGCACGTTGTGTGTGGGGAGCCAAGGGATTGCACACAGCCAGATTCCAATCTCAGGGGCTCCTGGCTCACACCTGCAGAGTGATATGGTTGCCAATCTCTGTATTATCCCCGTGCATCCACAAGGCTGCAGCCAGAGGATGCCTGGCCGCAATGGGCCAGGTCCATACCAAGGTCCAGTTCCAAATGAGAGCAGTTCTCTGCAGGAGCACTCAGACCTCCAATGCTCTTCCTTGCTCCTCTTCTCTGAGCATTTCTTGATCCAACTCCTTTCTCTTTCTACCATTTCCCCACTTGCTACCAGCACCTAATTCCTTTAAACCCTGGGATTCCTGACCCAGTATCTCTGCAGAGGTGCTCCCTCCACCATAACAACCCCTGGGAGGGCCTCTTCGTTTCCCACCTCATCCCCATGACCCCACAACTGTCCTCTCTCATTCATTGCCCCTCCGTGTCATGCCTGGAGATCACAGGGTCTGAGGGAGCCATGCTTATCATGAGAGGATGTCCAGGCAAGCAATTGGCTGCATGGCTTCTGCACGGTTTAACAGGTAGGGCCCAAGCAGGTGAGAGACAGCAAGTAAGATGATGGCAGCTTGATGGAGATCCTCAGTGTATTAGTCTGTTCTCACGCTGCTAATAATGACATAACCGAGAGTGGATACTTTATAAAGGAAAGAGGTTTGACTCACAGCTCCACATGGCTGGGGAGGGCTCACAATCATGGCTAAAGGCGAATGAGGGGCAAAGTCATGTCTTACATGGCAGCAGGCAAGAGTGCGCATGTGCAGGGGAACTTGACTTTATAAAACCATCAGATTTTGTGAGACTTATTCATATCATGAGAAAGACCCAACCCCATGATTCAATTACTTTCCACTGGGTCCCTCCCATGACACATAGGAATTATGGGAGTTACAATTCAAGATGAGATTTGGGTGGGGAAACAGCCAAACCATATTATCCAGTGCTGATGATCCCCCAAGACTATTGAGTGACAGACAAGACCTCATACTTTCTCCTGACCAGAGCCTAAACCTCTGGAGAGAAGGTAGGCAGAGGGGAAAGAGCAAGCACACACTGTGGCTACAGGGCATAGTCCCCTGTGAATGGGGGAGTTTAGGGCTGGACAGAGGAACTGGCCCAGATGCGAGTGTCAGGGGTGGAGGAAATGACAACCAGGCTGAATCCCAAGGGTGAGGGTTGAATTTGGAGGTAGGGCCTTGCCTGAGCCCCATGGTCTGGGGTAGCGGAGGCTTCCTGGGGGTTAAGTTGCCCTAGAATGACTGGGGCTGGCAGGGAGACCTGAGCAGTAACTGAGAGAAGGCCCGTGAAGGCCTAGAGAAAAGGGGAGGCCTGGTGCAGGCCAGGAGAGAGCCTGGTGGAAGGGCAGGCAGGCTGGGGGCTGTTTGTTTTGCAGCAGAAGCTGAGGGGGAACCTGAGCATCTGCCTCCCATGCTTCCTTCCCCGTGGAGAGGAAAGGACCCGTTTCTGCATCGTAAGTCCCAGGCCTTGCTGTGTGGTTGCAAGTCCTCTTCCCATCCCAGGGAAGGAGAAGGACTTACCAAGGCAGATTTCAGAACCCAATCATGCTTCCTCTCTCTGGGCAGGATGAAAACGTACACCCCAGGCACCAAGAGTCCTGCAGGAGCTCAGGCAGGGCCACCTGGGACTGGATCCAGAGGGCAGCAAAGGCTGGGGAGGGTGGCAGAGTCAGGAGGCAGCCGAGGCCTCCACTGAGCCAGACGGCCCAACCTGGGCTCTGCACATAAGAAAGGGATGCTTGGGTGGCCATGCACCTGAATCCCGAGTGAGCCCTGAGCTGGTCTTGAGCCCGGGCACAAGCATATCCCCACTACCCTGCAGGGACAGAGCAGTCACTGGTCCACTGATGAGAGCAGTGTCATCAAAGGGGTAAAGACAGGAGGCAGGATCAATCATGAAATTATGATTTCAGGTTTCATGCACCCCCAGGGCCTTCAGCTGAAAGCTCCCTGCAGATGAGTCAAAGTGGAGCAAACTAAAGCCACGTGGAACCCACAGAGCAGAGGACACAGGAACAGGGAGCAGGCGGCCAGTCTGCAGGAAAGAGCATAAAACAAAAACAAAAATGACAAGGACAGGAGGGGCCCTAGGGGTCTGAGGAAGGCAGGAGGGAGGGGCTGCAAGAGAGAGGGGGCAGAGACCCGGAGAGAACCAGGGTCTGAGTCCGGAGCCGGCCCGAGCTCCAGCTGTGCCTCTGTCACTGGTTCTGGATGTCCCCTCTGTGGAAGGTCAATAAATCTCAGTCCTAATTTGCATAGCTCCTTTTAAGAGTATAAAAGGGTCCTCAGACCCCAAATTACGAGAACCTCTGGGCTCCCACAATTTACACAGCGTCTTTATGTTCTTCACAACCACAGAGGCTTGAGTATAAAGCCATGGAAATGGAGAAAAGAAAGAAAGGAAGGAAAGGAAGAAAGTAGAGTGAAAAACAGGCAGAGAGGAAAAGGAATAGAGAAGATGGAGGTAGGAAGGGACAGAAGAAGAGAGGGAGGGACGGGGGCCATGGAAATGAGAAAAGGAAAAGAGAGGATGCCCCATATCCGACCAACACACCTGGAGCAGAGCGGAGTCCCTGGCTGAGGGGAAAGCGGGGAAGGGGGAGCTGACCTCAGACCAAGTCCTTGATCATCAAATATTTTTTAATCCATTTTTTCTTTAGACTGCATTGAATATTATGCCCACTATTTCTACAAGGGTTTCCCTAACAGTGGCCATTCTTTCTCTTGGGGCTCAGTGGGAACCCACTGCTGCCAGCAGTCTGTCCTGTGTGCATCAGACAAGGCAGGAGCTTTTCACTCCTTTCTTCACTGTGCATGCTGCCCTGCAGACTCGCCTGGACCTCTCCGACAAGCCAGGGTAGCATCAGGGTGCAGCAATGCCCTCTTCATGGAGCTACTGAGAATCCCCCCACCAGCACCATGCTGCCCAGAACCATGTACAGAGCTGTCTTTAATGTGTGACATGCACCGACCCTGCAGGAGGTTTGCTAAGAGACAAAAGCCTTATTAGAGATCCTCAAGCCCAGGTGATGGGTGCAGCACCCCCAGGGCAGGTCACTCTTAGGACCAGGAGCGGCCCAAGGGAGATGGGGCTGCCTCTGAGGGCTTGGGATTCAGGAGACTGAGGTAAGGCTGAAAGCACAGGAGAAGATGGGGTGAGCTTCTGCTTACCCACCAGAAAACTGAGGGACGACACCAGCCATGGGCTAGGGAGAAAGGCATGGGGAGGAAAGGCGAGAAGAAGAACAGAAGAGGAGGAGAAGGAGAGTTGGGGGAGAAGGATTATTCATCAGTGATGTAGGACATGCTAATAAGGGACTACAACTCACACCTGTCATCCCAGGGCTTTGGGAGGCTGAGGTGGGTGCTTGAGCCCAGGAGTTCAACACCAGCCTGAGCAACATGGTGAGACACTGTCATTGAAAAAAATATTTGAAAAATTAGTCAGGTGTGGTGATGAGTGCTTGTAGTCCCAGCTACTCGGGAGACTGAGGAGGGAGGAAGTTGAGGCTGCAGTGAGCTACGATCATACCACTGCACTTCATCCTGGGTGATACAGAAAGTCCCTGACTCTAAAAATAATCACAAAATAATAATAATAATAATAACAATAAACCTATTCTCATTTCATTTGATTTGCTTTATAGAATTTGTTGTTTGAGTTAGGTTAATAATAAAACGATACACATTTGCTAACCTGATGGTTCTCACTGATTTTTTATCTCAGTGCCCCCTTCATGGTCTCAAAAATTATTGAAGAACCTGAAAGAGCTTTTGTTCATGTGGATTTAATCCATCAATATTTATCATATTAGAAACTAAAATTGAGAAAAATGCTAGCTATGTATGTGATCTTTTAAATATGAATCCATGGCATGTTAACATATATAATATTTTAATGAAAATAGATGTTTTCCGAAACAATACAGGAAATAGTGAGTGAGACGGGTGGCATAGTTTCACATTTTTGGATACCTTTTTTATGTCTGACTTAATAGAAGACAGTTGATCATTCTGCGCCTGTATTCAATCAATTGGGTCAGCCAAGGTCCTATACTTTCTGCAAAAGTCCACCATGCACTTGGGAGAAAATGAATGAGAGAATAAAGACAATTAATGTCTTCTTATGATTGCGAATATTGTTATACAAATGGAGGGGTGCTTTTTGTGCAGAGAGCAGAAACTCAGGTAAACGTAGTGCAACAAACTGAAATGTTCACATCACATGCCAAATGTTAACATTTGGAAACTGGTGAGTTACTGGAAAAGAAAGGTCTTAAATAGACTGCTAGAAACTTTTTAATACAATGTTCTCAACTTTTAAATGGAGAAAGTTATGTGTGGGTGTTATGGTCACAGTGCATTCCCCAAAATCCATAGGTTGAAAGTTAATGGCCAACCTGACAGCATTAAGAGGTGGGTCCCGTAGGAGGGGATTAAGCCACGAGCATGAAGCTCTCATGGATGAGATGAGGGGCTCTACACAGCAACTTGAGGTAGTGTCCATTCTCTTCCACACTCTTGCTGGGTGAGGACACCAAGACCACACTGCCTATGTGAAACGGGTCTTCACCAGACACCCAGCATGCTAATGCCTTGATCTGGGACTTCCCAACCTCTAGAAATGTGAGAAAGTAAATACCTTTTCTCTGTAAGTTCCCCAATCTGTGGCATTTGGTTATAGCAGCATGAATGGACTCACACAGGAAGCAAGTTTATGTAATAGGCAAATTCACCTAATAGGTGGAAGAGCTGGGCCTGGAAGCTGAGTCGTGGATGGCTACTTCAGTCCAGTGTAATATCCACTGTAGTTCTCTGTTTTTTACAAACACCTTTAATTCATGAATTGTTCTTCCTCCATTTAGTAGATGTTGCAAGTAATCTACATAGTTCGATTACAATGTACGTTCTACAGAATGTCATAGACTGACCTAGGAATTGAACTCAGTTTTCTGTTGGATTGCATTCTGAATTTCCAGCTAACTTACAGCTGATTTGAAGGTAAGCCATCTCCTTGTTAGACACGAGATTCCTGCAACAGGTTTAAGGGCCCCTGTGCTTACATCCATATGAAAACTGTCCACTGGGATGCTGGAGTCAAGAGCTGAGAGTCCTGACTCAGCCGTTCTCCAGGTGAGTGGATCCGTCTGAGCATGAACACCTCAGGTGTTACCAGAAATTATTCTTAAGTGACTTCATTCCTTACACGGTGGGTTCTAGTAAAACCTCCTTACGACTTGCCACAAATCTTACCCACGAAATGTCTCCTGCCAGTGAATTGGGAATGTATCTTTTGGTAGATGACAAGAAATATTTAGCATTGTGTATTAGGTGCAGGATAATAATCCTGCCAATTTTCTAATAACAATAAACAAGTATAAGTTCCACTTTGGTACCCTGAACTTCCCAATTTACAATTATAGAGCTTTGTAATTGTTTTTGAACTTTTTTTTAAATAATTGTCTGTTGATGACACAGTTATTTCACTTGGATTCCACCTCTGGGGCTTCTGTCTGTGTTGAGTTTGGCATCTCTGTTTCCCCAAATGATTGCATTTGTTTGGACTCACCAGGATCTCCAGCTACACACAGGCGTTTACTGTCTTCTCACCTGGAGCAAGGAGAGAGGGCCAATGAGACATGAGGTCTCATGCGTGGAAATTGAGAAAGAGATGAACATGATGTACTGTGGGGTCCCCTGGTGATGGCCCAGGGACTTGGAATCTTCTTACAGGGTAATTGAGAATATCATTACATAAAATGAGCATAAACTGTTATATTTTGCCAAATTTTGATAGAAAAATTTCTGTCTGCCTTCATCATCCACATAATTATCAATCTGGAACCACTTCCTTTTTCCGAGACATCATATTTTCATCAAATATTTAATATTCTTCATATATTATTCAATATGTTTATACTTGGAATAAAGACATTGTGTTTAATAAATACATTAATTGTCTCTATTCTCTCATTCATTTTCTCCCAAGTGCACCATGGAGTTTTACAGAAGATATAGGACCTTCGCCATCCCAATTGATTGAAAATAGGAGCAGGGCGTCCACCTGCTCGGCACACGTGGAAGCAGGGCTGGTATCCATGAAGGGGTTTCCCAGTGAGAGATCCAGCACTCAGAGACCACGGATGGTGAAACTTCACTTATCCTGTAGCTCCTGGACAGGAAGATGAGACTCTTTTTTATAAGATATTAAAATAAGCTTCGAGACAGGATGTTCAGGCCACATCTGCTGGTGATCAGAAAAAAGAGAAACAGGCATAGACAGACAGGTAGAGTATTACATAAAGGAGAAGGACTAGGTTGGCAGAGTCAGATCAAAAATAGCTTTTTAAAAAAAGCACTATGATAAAATGAGTCCATCACTACTATTAAGAAAAAGAGAAACGTTCATTTCTGGGGCCTTGTGAGGCTATTCGGGTAAGCTTTTCTTTTTTAGGGATGAGTGTGTGGGTGTGTACACGTGAAAACCTTTTTCTCCTCCTTTGTTGATTTCAATTGTCTTGCTGGAGTCTTCTACTTAAGGACTTTAAGTCTCATCATTTAATAAGTGCAATTGGAGTGAGTCACCTCTACGTTGATCCCAAAATTAATAAACTCAGATCCAAAGCTAGAATTCTCTCGGGAGGCAGTGCTCTCTCCTTTGTGCCCCTTTTAATACTGACTGTAAATTGACCCACTGTACACTTCGAGATCAGACTCAGAGCTCAATTTAGATTAGCGCACATTCAAAGTTCTTAAAAATCCAAGTTCTATTCAAATGGGAGGCTTTCACGGCACACACAGCCTTAATCAAAAGTAGAGCTGTATAGAATGGTTTAAATGTAATCCAAATCTCGGCGAATTTCATGAATCTGCCCACTCAAGCTTCACGCGAGTGGGCTTATAAATACCATTTCTCCTTTTATGCATGATGGAGTGCAGGCTGCCTCTGCTCCTGGGCTCCACACAAACACCCCAAACAGGGGTTCCTTCTGCCTTCATGCAGATTTTATAGCATAAGCAAAATAAAATTCATTTTATTGATTGATAAAGGGTAATAAAGCATGACTTCTCCCTGAACAAGCCTCACTGGCGACTAGCTTAGGCCATAGACAGGGAGAGTTAAAAATCTGATGATTTTAAAAAGGCAATATAAGTGCAATAACAAAGAATCTGTGGGGGGGTGGGTGCGTGTAGATTGTGAAGTTGGGAGATTTAGGGGGTAGGGATGACTTCAGGAGGAAGAAAATACAATTTTATTAAATTAACAACTTAGGGTACCATTTCATACTGGAGTAGAATGGGTGATCTCATACACAAGAAGAAAGTATTGAAATTTATTGAGGTTTTAGAATTTTTAAAAATATAGTAGGTAATATGCAGCAGTTTTGAGATTTCAGTACTAAAATATCAGTCTCTTTTAATATTATCTTTAAAAAAAAGTCACCCAAAAGTGAAGAGCCGTTTGTCAAGGTTGTAAAAGAAACTTGAATTGAAAGTCAGTTAATCCTTGTGTCTAAAAATAACTTTCAGTATTCCAAATACACTAAGAGAAAAGTGATTCCTAAGAATAAATCAACTTATAAAGGAAAGCATACACAGTTTGCGAAAAGAACTGAAATGCCAAAGGATGATTTTTGAAGTGAACAAAATGAAATGTTTCCACGTCACACACAGCTCCACGCTGGCCCTGGGCAGAGCCCTGAAGGACACAATGGCATTGAGCTGGTGATTCAAGCGGAGTGTGTTGGGCGTGCTGTGGCCCAGGATACACAACCCCAGCCGTGAGCCGGGAGCAGTGAGGTATTTCGTTTTTGTGGGGAGCGTGTGAGGCAGTTCCGGTCTGAGACACCCATGCTTTGCTCTGTGTCCTTCCCCTTTCTTTTTCTCTTTTATAGAGAAGGATCTCACTATGTTGCCCAGGCTGATCTCCAAATCCTGGGTGCAAGCATTGCTCCTGCCTCAGCCTCCCAAATTTCTGGGATTATAAGCATGAGCCACCACACCTGACCCTTCCCTTTTTCTTATCCCCTTCCTTAGGTATCCCTGATAATTGCAAGAACAGACCAATGGCCTTTGCCTTGTCTGCCGCCTGGAGAATGTTACCCATGTCTTGCCTACACTTCTAACGACATGGAATCTGCCTTCAGATCCATCTGGGAGAGTCCACAGCACTCTACAGCATGAGCCTTGTTTTCTCTCCCTCTTAGATCAGCACAGGAAATGTTATTTTGTCTTATGCCCGAGAGAAGTAGTAAAAATCAAACCTAACTAAGAAACAATGTTTGATTCAATATGGCTTATTTAATCAAAGTTACTGAAACATAATGTATATATGTATAGTAAGAATCCCCTTTTTGTGTTTCTGAGTTTTGACAAGTGTTTGAAGTTGTGTGACCACCACCATAGTCAAGAGAGACCAATCCCGTCAAATCAAAAAACCTCCCCTGTGCCCCTCTGGAGTGACCCTTTCCCCCTCACCCCTAACTCCTGGCAGTGCAGGTCTGATTTCTGTCCCTAGAGGTTCCTCTCCCACAGTGCCACATCAGCAGAATAATACACTTGCTACCCTTTTGGGCCTGGTTTCCTTCACTTGGAATAATGCTTTTGTGGTTTGCCCACGTGTGGATTCACTCAAGCCTCACTATTCGTTTTTATTGCTGAGTAGAATTCCATTGAATAGATGGAGCAGCATTTGTTTCTCCATCCACCAGTTGATGGACATTTCGGTGGTTTCCATTTTTTGGATATCATGCATCCTGCTGCTGTGAACATGTGTCAAGTGTTTGTGTGAAAGCATGTCTTCACTTCTAGGCAAAAGCCTAGGAGTAAAAGGGCTGAGATGTGTGATAAATACATGTTTCTCTCTCTAAGAACCTGCCAAACTATTCTCCCAGCTCATCGTACCATCCCGCATTCATACTAGCAGTGCGGGAGAGCCCTGGTGGACTCACATGCGCACTGGCACATGGTACTGTAAGTGTTTCTCGCCTTTATAAAGATATTCTAGTAGGTGTGTAGTGGTAGCTCAATGTGGTTCAATTTGTGTTTTCCTAATGGCTAATGATATTGAGCATCTTTTCATGTGCTTATCAGGGATTCCTTATCTTTTTTGGTTAAGTGTTCAAGTCTTCTATGATGCTTGAAGAGCAGTTTCAGGTTCACAGCAAAATTGAGCAGAAAGTACAGAGAGTTTTCACACATGCCCAGATTCCCTCACTATGGGAATCACCCACCAGACTGTGATGAGCCCACACTGACACATCAGTGCATCATTGTCACCCAAAGCCCATCATTCACACTGGGGGATCACTCTTGGTGTTGTGAATACTATGGTTTTGGACAAATGTATACTGACCTCTATCCACTGTGATAGTATTATACAGCACAATTTCTCCTCCCTAAAAATCCCCTGCATGCTACCTATTTATTCCTTTCTCCCTTGAATTGCTGGCAACCATTCATCTTCTGACTGTCACCATGGTTTTGCTTTTACCAAATGTCCTATAGTTGGACTCACAGGGTGTAGCCTTTTCAGATTGGCTTCTTTCACTGAGTAATATTCATTCAAGTTTCCCCTATGTCTCCTCATGACTTGATTGCACATTTCTTTTTTGTGCTGAATAATATTCCAAAGTTTGGATGAACCACAGTTTATTTATTCATTTACCTACTAAAGGACATCTTGGTTGCTTCCAACTCTTGGCTATTATGAAAAAAGTTGTTATAAATATCTGTGTGCAGGTTTTTTCTTGGACATAAGTTTTCAACTCCTTTGGGCAAATGCTAAGGAGCACAGCTGCTGGATCATAGGGTAAGAGTATGTTTAGTTTTGTAAGAAACCATGAAACTGTTTTCCAGAGTGGCTGTACAGTTTTCATTGCCACCAGGAATGAATGGGAGTTCCTGTTGCTCCACATCCTCACCAGCATTTGATATTGTCAGTACTTTGGATTTTTGCCATTCTAATGGGGATGTCAATATGAGTTTTTAATAAGAACAGGTCTTATGTTCTCTAAATTATTTTGGGTTTGTGTTAACTAGAGGAGGCTCCAGAAATTAGTGCTCTGCAGGCTTTGAAAACTTAAAAACTTAAGGTGTCAAGAGAAGACATTCTATAGGAGGAGCCATGGAGCCACATATATTGCCTTAACCCCTCTTCTGGATTGGGCTTCTGGTTAAAGGCAGCACTATCTCCACCAGGCCCCCAATCACCTTCATTTTTATCTAGCATCACACACACCTGCCACTCTCTTTAGGCTCAGAAAGTGGAAAACAGCCAGGAGAATGTCAAATCCTGTATTAGGACCTAGACATTTCATGTTTCACTCCTATGTAGAAGTGGTACATTTCCACTTTACCTCAATTCAGCCCAAACTAAGGGAAGCTTGTCTAGAAAATTAAGACTGAATACTATCCTATGAGTTTAAGCTGATCCAATCATCTTGAAATCTCTAAAATAAACATTTACTAGAAATATCAAACATAGGATGACCAAAATTATCTTTATGGGGTCTTGAATTCTTTCTCTGTGCAAATGTGGACACAATGAAGGGGGAGTTTGGGTCTACAATCCCTTTCCGTGCCCTGCCTGCTCTGTATCTGTCCTTGCCTGCTAGAATAATTAACAAAAAGGATTAGAAATGTTTACTTCTCACGGAAGAGGTATCGCTGTGAGAGATGGATGTTGGTGTTCTTCCTTACTCCCCTCACAATCCATTCGCATGGGATGGAGACTCTGGGTCCCCACACCATCTTCCCCCATCCCTGGCATGCACTTCTCCTCTGTCACTCTTCCTTGCAAGCCTGCCCACCCTCTGTTCATGAGCATGGCAAGCCTGGCTTACCATCCCCTACCTATGCCCACCTTTCCTTGATTCCCAGGGCTTCCCACCAGAGGTGTTTAAAGGGCTTCTTAAAGTGGCCCACATCACTGTTTCTGTGTAAAACCTACTCCCCAGAATGGTTATCTTACATTTAAGGTGAGATTCTCGAGCTGTCGCCTTGTGATAGTAAAGAGAAGGAGTGTATTTCTAATGCATGGAGTCAGCAATCAGGGATCGACACAAATGGGGCTGAAGGGTTTGTCCTGCTCCCGGCTCCTGCAGCAGGACGGAGCTGGAAGAATGCGGGGTTACTGGGTCCCAGTATGATACAAGTGGAATTCCTGCAAAACAGTGTCATGTATGGGATGAAGATGCGTTGGTGCTTATCAGGCTTTCTTTCTAAAATAATAAATACTTGGCCAGAGCAATGCTCAGGAAATGGCTAATGGGGCCAACGTTTGGCCTCTGAATTTTTGTACCACCTCTCAGGGCACAGAACACAATACCCCCAATAAATGGCACAGTGGTGTGCTGAGTATCACATGAAGACAAGCTGAGGGAAAGGAAACAATTGTGGAAGCAGGAAGGATGACCTCTGACCTTCTCCAGCCTTTCTCAAAGAAAGCCCCTCTGGCACAGGTGTCCTGCCCTGCTGCATAGCCAGAGGAAAGGAGTGGAGACAAAAAGACACAGAAAAATCCTAACACACAACCCAGCTGATCCTCCCCTCAGTTATCACCACTCAGTCATACCCGCTGTCCAGTCGCACACCCACACTACTGTCCCTTCATTCCTCATCCAATCGAAGAAAAAAAATAACCACCTCCTGGGGCTTTGTGTCTTCATTTCTGGAGGGCCTCACGTCCTGTAACACTTACATACTTTTCTCTTGTTAACCTGTCTTCTGTCACATGGTTGTCAGCCATGAACTTTGTAAGGGATGAGGAAAAGATATTACATTTTCACCCCTATATACAGAAAGAGAATGCTGAGATTTCCTAATAACTTACAGACATGGACATACACATGAATATGTGTGTGGCACGTGTGTGGGAATTTTCTTTTAGCGAATAGTAGTAAATTACACATCCAAATCTCCTATGCAGGGTGATTTGGTCCAACTAGGGTGGACCTGTGGGGATCTGGCTTCCCCCTGCGCTCGCCCTCTCCCACGTAGAGCCCTGGGGTGGACCTGTGGAGGTCCAGCTTCCCACCACCCTCACCCTGTTGCATGCAGAGGCCTGGGGTGGACCTGCAGAGATTCAGCTTTGCCCCGCCCCCATCCTGTTCCACACAGAGCCCTGCATGCAGAGCACATTACCTTCTAAGTATTTTTGAAAAGAACTAAATCTCAGTTACAGATGTGCTTATTTCTCCTTAAATTTTACTTGAATGTACTCTTAAGGGAATAATTTCATGTTTAAGTCTCGTGTGAAGTCAGTGAATTGTAATACAATGCACTCCAGTTACAATTTATTTGTGGGTATAATCTCTGATTCCATCCAGAAAAAATGCAATGCATTTTATAAAACTACTTTTGTAAAACTACTAATAAAAGATAAAAGTACTTTTAGGTCTGAATGATTCAGTCTTGCCAACCATCCTGTTCTCTAAACACAGCAGAGCCCTGTTGTACTCTGCTCCGTGTGGCAGAGTCTCTAGGCATCGGTGTCGTGTTTTTCAGTAAGCATGGAAGGGGACACACATTGTTGTTCATCTTCACGGTGTCATGTTCCTGCAGTTCTAGTCTAGGGGATGGAATATTAACCTGCCCAGTCCTGACCGGAGCCTGCGTGCTTAAACTGCAGTGGCTTACTGCATGAATTAAGAAGTCCATCGGGAGCTTGGAAAGTCAAAAGGAGAAAGAAGAAGGTAGAAAGTTTACTCAGAATCTGAAACAAAACATTCTCCAGCAGAACAAGAGAACAGAGGAAGGAGGCCCTTGGGAGGCCAACCCATTAGGTGATTACGATTATGGAGACGGTACCAACCGCCCCCCCAAGTCCCCCACCCTGCCACAGAGGATCAGTTGGCAGTTCTCCCATTAACATCTTTATGCACGGCATCATTGATATTTACTCACACCTTTTAAACTGTCATTTAAAAAGATGCCTAAATAATTCACAGTTTCATTTTCCTACATTGACTTTGAAGACATCTGTAAATCTGAAAGACATTTTTCATCATTTTATATTATACTCTGCTCTTTCTAGATTTTTTCCCTAAACTTTGTAATAGTTTTTACACTAGTAATATTTTTATTATAGTAAAATATACACAACATAAAATTATCCCATTTAGTCATGTTAAGTGTACCGTTCAGTGGCATTAAGCAAGTTCACATTGTTATAAAACCATCACCACCATCCATCTCCAGAACTTTCTCATCATCCCCACCTGAGACTCTATACCTGTTAAACACTAAATCCTCCTCTTCCTTATCTCGGGCTTTTAGAAAACACTGTTAGACTTTCTGTCTCTACAAATCTGACTACTCTAGTTGTCTGATATAACTGGAATCAAACAGTATTTATCCTCTTGTGTCTGGTTTATTTCAAGTGGCATAATGTCAAGGTTCTATTCTGACCTATGTCGTAGCCCGGGTCGAAATTTCCTTCCTTTTTAAGACTGAATAATATCCTGTTGTACGTAGATGCCACGTTTTGTTTATTCATTCACTGTTTATCCATTCATCCATGGGCACATTTTGTTTATCCATTCATCCATGGGCACCTGGGATGCTCCACCTTTTGGCTATTGAAATTAATGCTGCTAGGATGATGGGTGTACAAATATCTGCTAAAGTGTCTGCTTTCAATTCTTTGGGGTATATGTTTCATCAGAAGTAGAATTGCTGGATGAATCAGTAATTCTATTTTTAACTTTTTGAGGACCTGCCATACCTATTTTCCACATTAGCTATACCATTTTCCACCGCTCCCTTAGCAATGACTTAAGGGTTCCAATTTCTCCACATTTTTGCCAACGCTTCTTATTTTCTGGTTTTTATTGTTGCTGTTGTTTTGGGCAGGAGCCCTCCCAAAGGGTGGAAAGTGGTAACTCATTGTGATGTTGATTTGCATGTTCCTAATGATGAAAGATGTCAAGCATCTTTTCATGTGCTTATTGGCCATCTGCATATCTTCTTGGGAGAAGTTGTAAGTCCTCTGTCCATTTTTTAATGGGGTTGTTTGTTTTTTGGTTGAGTTGTAAGTAATTTTCTCCCCATTAGTTTTCAAATTCACAATTCTATAAAATTTATAAAGGAGATACATTGAGTGTAGGATAATATCTTTATTTGAGGGTTTGATAAATATTTTTGGTTATTTAGTTTTGATAAAAAACTGAGGTTTGATAAATAATTTCCTCATTAATAACATAATGTATATCAAAGCTACCAATGCCGTGTCTGTACAAAGTAAGTACTTGATTAATTTTAGTTGAATCTGAATATGAATTATCTTTTTTGGATATTCTATGAGGGTACTGTATTTCCAAGAAGAGAAAAAAAATGAAATACAATTATCTGACACAAGATATGTTAGTGGAGTTTTTTATTCTGTAATGTAATAATAAAGTGAAAGGACAAGATAAGTGAATTTAATAAAACACTGTACAACATAGAGTGTTTGTATATATTAATGGTGTACTTAATGCATAGAATATTGTATATGTAGCAAATGGAGATAATTAATTTCATTTCTTTCGAGAACCTGCTTTGTTTCTCTTGGCCACAAAGCATTCACTAAAGCAGCTAGCTTCAAAGTACCCCCACTGTGGGATGAGAAAACACCTTGTTTTGCCTGAACAAATGGAGCCAATATGCCAGTTCACAAATGATTTTTTTTTCTTGGAAAGTCAAGAAGAAAAATCTTTCAACCAAATGATATGATGCTGAAGTTCTAAAGCCCAGCTCCGAATATCATGTTCTGAAAAGATTGTAGTGAAGAAGAAGCGTGGATGTTTACATTTTTTAACAACTAAGGTATTTTCCCCTAATTAACATTCTTCGAGAATCATAGTAAGACTGAATGTGCTGGTGTGAAAAAGTAGGACAGTTATTCTGCTTCTGCTCTAATAGCCAGAAAGAAAGGGGCGGGGGCTAGGAGCAGATAGTTATATTTGTATTAAATTCCACTTTAAAACATCCTTTTTTCCCTTCCTGAATGGTGAATGCAATGCACTTCATGCTGCAGAGGGCCATGCTGATGTGGCAGCAGTTGTCTTCGGAGTAAAGGCCCCACGAACCTGCACCCTGTTTGCTCCCAGGCTTCCGATTGCTCCTGCTGCCTCCCCGCCGCCAGGCACCATGCAGCCTTCGAGAGCATGACCAGCTCCTCCACCTCCACTCCCACCTCCCTATGATCCAAACACTTACCAGCTGCTGGAAGCCAGTGGACAGCCTGGTTTGATGGCCAATTCCTATCACTGGGGCTCCCTCTGCATATTATCCAAAGCCTTCAGCATACAGTGACTTAGCATGATGTGTAGTTTCCAATGAATGGACCCATTTTGATGGCAGACACATTTACCATAGCTGGAAGATTAAAATCACTTTAATTATTTTAGGTTTAAATTTATTGGTCTACCCTTAACTCTACTCCTACCTACACACTAACACACACATACAAAAACACACACGCGCCTCCCTTTTTGGAACAGAGGCATGGCAGAGTTTCAAAGATAAAAAAGGAAAAACTTGAATTAGATTTTTAAAAATCTGATTTGCAGAAAAAGATAATTGCCATTTTTTAGCCCAGTATGAGCAAATGACAAAGAGCAAATTCTGTCTACCTCTGGCTACTTTCATCATTGGAACATTAATTGCCTTTTTCAACCTGTAACTCTTCAGTTGTTTCCAAGTTAAAATAATTTTCACAAATGAATCCTTATTATTCGCTTTCTCCATAAACACTTAACGTTACGGCATTCAGGCTGCTAGAAATAGCTGTATCTGTGTGTGTCCACTGGAAATGAGGGGCAGAAGATGACTCACTCCCTCTACTTTAGGATAGCCTGTGACAGTCATTCATCCACTTGCCGCATATCGTTTGGGTACCAGCTTGATGCTACAAAGCCGCTAAGCAGTGGGCATCTGAAGATAAGCCACGTACCACCCTGGCCTTAGAGAACAGTCTCCAGTGCTCTCCAAAAGAACTTGATGTGATAATGCAAATGTTGTGTGTCTGCACCGTTCAGCCTGGTGGTTCAACCCTATGGCCATTTAGCACTTGCAATGGCCCTTGTGGAACTGAGGAAGTGAATTTTTATTTTTATTTAAGTTTACTTAACTGGAATTCCATAACTAATGGCTGCTACACTCGTGGCTATCGTATTGGACAACACATGTCTAGACGAAGACACAGCCAAGTCAAAGAGCAACAACAATGTGTGAAAAACATGTGGTCAGTAGAACAATCCCCCACCCTCAGCCCCACCCCAGGAAGGCTCTGGGAATATGTCAGGTTACATGGCAAAGGGAAATTAAAGCTGTAGGTGGCATTAAGGCTGGTTGACTTCAAAATGAAGAGATTATTCTGCCTTATTTAAGAAGGCCAAATGTAGTCACAAGAGGCCTGGAAAGTGGAAGAAGGCAGAATGAGAGAGTCAACTAGAGGGAGACCTAGCTAAGAAAGGCACTGATGGACATGGACGCAGCATCGCTGGCTTTGAGGGTGAAGGAAGGGGCGGTGAGTGAAGGAGTGTGGGTGGGCTCTGGACCAAGGACAGGTAAGGACGTGCATTCTATCCTGGAGCCTCCAGACGAAGTGGAGCTTGGACACCTGAACATGGGCCCAGTGATACCCACATCAGGCTTCTCACCTCCAGAGATGCCAGGTGGTAAATCTGTGTTGTTGAAGCCAGGTAAGTTTGTGATCATTGGTTAAAACAGCAATGGAGACTGCGTGTGGTGGCTCATGCCTGTAACCCCAGCACTTTGGGAGGCTGAGGCAGGCAGATCACCTGAGGTCAGGAGTTTGAGACCAGCCTGGCCAACATGCAGAAACCCCATCTCTACTAAAAGTACAAAAATTAGCTGGGTGTGGTGGCAGGTGCCTGTAATCCCATCTATTTGGGAGGCTGAGGTAGGAGAATGGTTTAAACCCAGGAGGCAGAGGTTGCAGTGAGCTGAGATGCTGCCACTGCACCCCAGCCTGAGAGACAGAGCCAGACTCCATCTCAAAAATAAAAAATAAAAAAAAAACAGCAATGGAAAATGAACACAGGCCGGGTGTGGTGGCTCAAGCCTGTAATCCCAGCACTTTGGGAAGCTGTCACAGGAGGATCACTTGAGCCCAGGAGTTTGAGATCAGCCTGGACAGCAGAGTAAGACCCTGTTCCTACAAAAAAAAAAGGGGGGCAGTGGTGGTGCATGTGTGCTTATAGTTCCAGCTCTTCCAGAGGCTGAGGCGAGAGGACTGCTTGAGCCCAGGAGGTCAAGGCTGCAGGGAGCCATGATGGGCACACTGGACTCCAGCCTGGATGACAGAGCAAGATCCTATCTCTCAAAATTAAATTAAATTAATTAAAAGTTGTTTAAAAAAAAGGAAACACACCCACATGATGATAGAGACCTCTTCCAATGATGAGTCCCACCCTGCTTTGGGGGTGATGGTCATGGCTTCACTGCATGAAGAGTGAGGAAGTCTCAGCCCAGGAGACAGGTATCCTGGAAGCCAGAAGAGCGTATGCAGAGGACCAAGGTCAGAGGACCGCCTGCCTCTCCTGGGAGGGAGCAGCGGCTGGATGTGGAAGAGGGCGGCTCAGAAGGGGTATGGCCAGGGGGCAGGGCCAGCCTCTCCCCACAGTTCGACTGGTAGATCCCATGGGGTATGCACTTAGCCAAATGAGTTAATTTGTGAAATTCCTTACCCTGTTTTAGAAACAGAGTGCAAAATTCCAAGGCTTAAAAAACGTAGGTATCCAAACATATTTAGTATATTCATGGACATGAACGGTGCCAATTAAAGAAAAGTGAACAGTTAATCTTAGCGCCAAAGCCTGGATGCCTGTCTCTCACCTGTCCCTTATCCTCTTCCAGCCGCCAGCCCCATTGTGTCCCGGAGCCAACTAGCGTGGCACACTCACTCCACCCCTTTCACTCTCACTGCCAAAGAAGTGAGCCTATGTCAAAGTGAAGTTTAATATGGGCCCACAGTAGACTTGTAAATACCGCCTTCTCCAGTCACGTTCAAGGGCAGCGTGATTCACGCCCGTCATGCTGCTGTTGCAGCCGCGGAGATGTCAGGAGGTTAGAACTGATCAGAAGGGTTCTCTAGGGTCTTCTCTCCCAAGGCAGAGTCCTCCCAGAGCACAGCTCTCATGTGGCCACCCAAGTGCTCCTGAGTTCCTCCAGGGACAAGACGTCTTGCACAGATGCTCCCCATTCGTCAGTGAACATCTCTTAAGCACCTATTATGCAGGCAGAGCTTCAGACACTAAGGGTAGGGCTGTGAGTGAGACGGAAAAGTCCTTGTAGTCACTGTCTGCAGACAGAGCCCGCAGCAGCCCCTCCCTGAGTGCACCTGTCCCCCCGCCTCACACGAAGGATGGAGTAAACTCCCCTACGTGGGCTCATCTTGTGATTTGCTTTGTCCTGTGGAATGTGGCAGAGGTGATATCATGGGGCTGCCAAGGCCAGCCCTTAGGAAGATGCTAAGGAAGAGAAATTAGACATGAGAGGGCCTGTGGGGAGATGGGGTAGAGGATGAGAGGCCATTTGGATGTGCTGTGTTCTGGCAAGCTCCCAGCTGCAGCCACACTAGTGACCTCTGCCAACCTCTGCTAGAGCTGAAGAGCCCCCCCAGTCAAAAATCACGAATTGTTGTTTTCAGCTACTAAGTTTTGAGATGTTTTGTTACACAACAACAGACACTTAGAATGCTTGTTCAGCATATACACTTACAGTTTGGGAAGAGATATAGACTTTTGTTGTTTTTAAGTCAATGACAGTAAAACTGGATATAAGGTTATTAAAAAATTTAACAAGTGGACCCAAATGGTAAGAAAATTATCTGGTCTAGAAAGTCTCAGAAGTCTCCAAAAGGAACATCATCTCAGCCAAGACTGGGAGGATGAGCGCCATCAGGCTCTGGGAACAGCATTTCTGGAAGGAAGTGACACAGAACATTGCCAGCTTGGGAAACTCAGCACATAGTAGGTGCTTATGAAAGATTTGTTGAATGACTGAACAGTTATGGCGAAATCACAGGATTAGTGGGGGGATTACCATGGATGAGGCTGAGAAGGTAAAGTTCAGGCCATAAAGAACTTTGTGGACCAGGTCATCTAGCTTGGGCTTGATCCTTGGGCATTGAGAAATCAACTCGTTAAAAATTTTCCCTGGAAGGCCTTCCAGGGGTCTTGTTCCTGGAGCGAACCTTGTCTCTGAGTCCTTCTGTTGGTTTTAGTCAGTTGTTTTAGAACAGATTGATCTTCATAAGCCTGGATATAGGATTTTGTTCTGCCTTCCACTGGTTTATTGTTGAAGATGTTGATGGACAAGCCAAGCCCTGCATTTGTTAAGTGAGGACCTGAGACTCCTGTGTTCAGATGACTGACCTGGGGGCAGCAGGCTGCTCCAGGTGGAGTCGTAACACCTGGGTTTGAGTTTTGTATTTTACCAACTGTGTGACATTAGGCCAATCACTTCGGGACAATGATCTGTTTCCTCATTTGTGAAAGGAGGTGCCTCACTTTGGGGAGCTGCAATGACAGGTGGTATGAAGGTCACCTGGACACTGTGAAATGCAGGGTGCCCTCTATTAATCATCATCTCTCCCAGGCTGCAGGGGAGGAGAGAGAGGTCTGTGTGTGAGAGGTCTGTGTGTTAATCGAGGCGGGGAGAACCAAGGGTCTACATCATTTTCCTGGTTCCCCATCCCTGCCTCAAGCTGATGTCCTGTGGGCTCTGATCTTCCTCCCTCCCTGCTATGGCTGTGGTCTTCAGAGAGAAGATGCTGCTGATGCTTATGGCCAGCACTGGACAGGGAGCCCTGTTCTCCGGTGTTTTGTTTTTAATCCTGGGGACGGTAAGAGGGTCCACCCTAAACAGCAGGATCCAGCTGTATTTAGCTCTTAGGTTGTTTCTCCACTCCCAGCTCCTGTCCACTTAAGCTAGAGAGGAGTCTACCTTTCTGTTGACTCATGTCCCTGAGGCAATCGTGCTAAGAGGAAGGAGTGGCTCTGCCATCGGCCCCATTACTTTGTTCTACTCATGGAGATAAGCTTTGGCAGCATCAAGGATCAAAGTATTTTCTGGCCATCCCTCTTCATCCTGTACACATTTTAAACCAAATTACTTTAACTCTTTAACTCAGAATGTTGTTACAGCACAAGTGTCTCTTTTTCAAGGGAGAGAAAATAAATATGATTGCACACAGCATGAACCCTGGCGCGTTGATTGACAAGTTGTGTATTGCTTCCTTCTAGCTACCAAGGGTCTAAGATCATGAATCGATCTTTGTGAGAAACTTTCTGTGAGTTGGAAAGATCTTCACAATGTGGCACACGTGCTTATTCGCAAAGCACCATTGACGGCAATAATTTCAAAAGGAAAATATTGCATTCTTTACCACTTTCCCAAAAAGATGATTATTTTGTTTGTATATTGAAAAAAGTGAAGTGCTAGAAATAGATCTCAAATGTCCATTGATGTTTAGAACAAAATGAAAAGCTACATTTTGTTCTAAACATCAGTGTATTGCTCAATTAGAATTCGAAAGCAGGAGTGGTTGCTCCACTCCCCACTTCCGGTGTAGGTCTTTCAGTTTGCTCGTTCTGCCTATGTTATCACCCCATCCAAAAAAATGGCAGTGAGGACTCCCCCACCATGAGTATGAAGTTAGGACTATGCTGGGAAAACTTTTGTGAAAACTTTTGTAAATTGTGAAGTGCTTTGAAAGTACAGCAGAGTACTGTGGTTAGCATATTCTTACATCTAAGGAATTATATTGTAGATATTCGGGTTCAATAGTGCCGAAATATGTTTAGTTGAAATGTTGGCATAAAATATAAAGAAACAAACAATATAAGTAAAATCTGTTAAAGCGACCAATAATATGGAATAGATTATTCAAGAAAGCCAAAACTTTGGAAAGTTAAGGTAGCCACAGCTAGAGGAATGCTGGGTGCCAGGGAAGCCATGGCTCATTCCAAGGTAGGCTTCTCCAGGTGTTCGTTTGCTTCATTGGTGGGTTGTTTGAGGGAGAGATCAGCCTCTTAAAATGTATATTTAAAAATTAGGAGCTCTTTAATTATAACGGCACACATGAAACTTTCTAAAAATCCTATAGCTGTCTCCTGTTGTTCTTGGCAGTTTGGATCTCATCATAAAATTGTGTATAAATTATGCTTCCCAACTGATGTCCCTGAGGTGACATCCTATGGAGGAAATGGCTGCATGCATTGATAAATGGATCCTCTGACAATTATATGGATTCTGCTATAGACTGAATTATGTCCCCAACAATTTGCAGGCTGAAGCTATAACCAGCAATGTGACTGCATTTAGAGTAATGAAGTAATTAAAGTTACATGTGTTCATGAGGGTGGGGCCCAGATCCAACAGGATTCTTGTCCTCAGAGTAAGAGATGCCAGAGCTCTCTCTCTCCATCATGTG
This sequence comes from Homo sapiens, assembly GCF_000001405.40. Classification (NCBI taxonomy): domain Eukaryota; kingdom Metazoa; phylum Chordata; class Mammalia; order Primates; family Hominidae; genus Homo; species Homo sapiens. The sequence continues at coordinate 3,861,627 of NC_000005.10, read as the reverse complement.
ACCACATAAGAAGGTGGCCGTCTATGAACCAGGAAGAGCACACTCACCAGACAGCAGACCCTGCCAGAACTTTAATCTTGGACTTCCCAGCCTCCAAAATTGTGAAAAAATAAATTTCTGTTTTTTTAAGCCACCACCCAGTCAATGGTATTTTGTTATGGCAGCCTGAACCGACGAAGACAGATTTCACTAAATTCTTAGAAAGTCCCTTTGCACATTGAGAGTAATTCAAGAGGAAAGCCTCACTGATTTGCTCTGACAGTGATTACATTGTTGAAAATTCTCTCTGCTGTCCCCAGGCTGTGGCCTTTTGCATCTATAATATGTTGATATGTGTCCAAAGATAATAAAACGATCCAAATGTTAAAAGAAGAAATCATTAAACGTAAAAGATTTGAAGCAGAGCTAATTTTATATCAGAGGTTTGTGTCTCAGACACACACTTACGGTGAGGGGTAATTTTTCTTCTTTGAAAATAAACCTACACTTTAATTGGAAGCAAAGTTTGGTTTAAATTGTTTCCTTTCTTTTATTTATCCTGACTAAACATGCTCTTTTTTTCTGCAGAACACTTTTTATAATATTACAGTTTATTCAGTAGACTATTTTATTCCATAGACTTTTTATTTTCAAGAGAGCAAGGCTTGATTTAAGATTTTCCATTTCTGTAGCAGACACCCGGAAGACGCAGAACATTTGGTATCATGATTGCTTTGGAGACAAAACGTCTCTGGTAGGCAATTAGACAAATGCCCTTAAAAAACAAACAAAAAAAAGATTTTACTCCAAGATTTGTTTTCATTAGCTCAAGTATATAAAAACCCACTAACCTCAAAGCAATACTATAGTGTTACATCCATCATTCATGCATCATTCAGTGTACCAGAGAAAGCTGGGGAAGTGTCTTCCCAGAGCAGGAATAGGCAGCGCCTTTAGGCGCACTCAGGTGTCTGTGTCTTCAGGACAGACACCCAGCAGCGTGGACATGGAGCCCTTGCCTGCTTTTGAATTCTCGTCCCAGCATTCCTCACTGTGCAACCTTGGATAACTCAACCTCTCTGGGCTTCCATTTCCATGTGTGGAAAATAAAGTCCACTCTTGCTTCATACACGTATCAGTAGGATCAAGTGAGTTAAAAACTGGAAGGTACTTCTAGCAGCACATGGGGTAAATGGGTATTATCTGGTATAAGTAATGACCATTGCTTGATCCATAGAGTAAGAGGTTCATTAAATCCATGGGTTGTTTGAAGGAAGGGAGGGAGCTCCTGCTGACTGTCATGAGTTGAGTTGTACACCTCCAAAAATTCATATGTGGTAGTCCTAATTCCCAGAACTATGGTAATAGGGTCACTGCAAATGTGATTAGTTAAGGTGAGGTCGTACTGCACTAGGAGGGCCCTAATTCGGTGAGACTGCGGTCTTCGTAGAAGCTGATAGGGACACATAGGAGAGCGCCACATGAGGATAGAGGCAGAGATCAGGTGATACAGTGACAAGCCAAGGAATGCCAAGCCTTCTCAGCAGCCCCCAGAAGCCAGAGAGAGAGACAGGACAGATTCTCCCTCACAGCCTCAGAAGGAGCCCGCCCTGCAGACTATGCCTGGTCCTTGAACTTCTGGCCTCCAGAACTCCCAGGGAATACATTTCCGTTGTTGCACTTTGTTACAGCATCCACAGGACACTCATGCACTGGCCATCACCTGAGTGTCTCTAAGGCAAAGGCTCTGCTCCTCTCCCGAGGGGAAAGCCCGGGTCTGGGGGAGGAATATTGGTGTCACAATTAATCTTTCTGCTCCCATGGCAAGGGTCAAAGAGGGTCTTCTGGTTGAGGGTCCCCCTGGGCTCAGGTGTGGTCCAAGTTGGACCACAGGTAGAAGAAGAACAGCGAGGCTCTTCCAACAGGGTACCGGTGCCACAGGTAGCTCTGACTTCATGAGTGGATTTTCCGTCTGGCACCTGCTCTTCTAGCCGCTACATCCCATCTGTCTAATGTGCTTTTCCAACAGTCAGGCTGGTAGGCCTCTCTGAGCCCAAACAATCAGCGATCACTCTTCCATTCATTCTCTACCTTCCCAAGTCATGCCTTGCCCCAGGGCCCAGGCCAATCTCCCTCAGTTCATGAAACTCCACTGATCTCTCAGCTCCTGGCTCCTCCAGATTCCTGTGTCACCACAAGGAAACTTCCCTGTGGCCTTGGCTAGAGTTGCGGTGATTCTTACCAAGCCGTCGTTGGGAAATATACCTGTGGAAGTGTGTGTAAAATTTAGTGTGTGCACTTTACATAATAAGCTGTTGTGAAACTCAAGAAAGGTAGCTGGGCCCTTACATGTACACAGAGCTCTTCCACTGTCACATTGGGAAGATAAGTGGGATAAAATGCCTGGGGCTCAACAAATGTTAACCTTTGTGGTTGCTGTCAACACAAGCAATAATGATCTAGGACAGAGATGTTCAACCCTTTGGGGATCTCAGGGCCCAGCCAGGGGAGCAGGGGTGAGTGTCGGAAGTCTTGCTGTCCACAGCCATCCTCAACTCCCCAAACCTGCAACCAGGGCCGCTCAGCTTTCATGAGCTTACCTCCCAGCCTCTTTTTTAGTGCTGCCTTTGGAGAAAGAATGACGTGGTCAAAACCTTTGAAAATCAGGATTTAAACAATAAATTTTAAATATAAGCAAGATGCTTTCCTATAGGAAAAAAAGAATACATGAACAAAATTCAGCTTTCTACATCTGCAAATTCAACTGATAGTGAATTTAAAGGGCCATTTCCTGCCCTGTAATGATCACTGATGACATTGACAGGCTGCTTCTCTCTTTCTTGGCTGCACCTCATGGGGGCATCCTGGCACCTGCTTTGTGGTCAGGGTGTAGAGAAGACCCCCCCAGCTGTCAACTCTTTAACTGTCAACATCTGCGTCAACATCTGCTTAGAGGATCTTAGTCACACACCAACAATTCTTACTTAAAATATAAAGGGCCACGGGGATGAGTCTTTGAACTCTGCGCCCTCCCTTCCCTTGCAAGGCCAAATGTGTACACGCAGATGCTGGAGGCACATTCAGCAGGAGAGAGGAATGTCTTCATCTCAGCCCCTCTGCCTCTCGTGCCTCCCACATTTCCTCCCTTTGCCGAATCACTTCCTAAAGCACTTGATATTTTTTCTTCCAGATAAAAGCAAAGAAAAAAAGCAAGATCTCCCCTCCTGACCCCTTCCCTCAGCAGCTACCCCTCTATTCTTTGCTTTCCTTTGCGGCAAAACTCCAAGGAAGGGTGCTCTCTGCTCTGCCCACCGCTCTGCTTTCCAAAGGTCCCCAGTGGACTGCGTGAGACTAGGTCCATTTGTCCATTCTGCATTGTCTTTATGTTTGGCCAGTGAGAAGTACGTGGCACCGGGGACAGCTCCCTTTCACCCCCTCCTTATTCACCTCCCACTGTGAAGACCCTCCAGCTCAGTCTCCGTCCCACGGGGCTCTTGTCTTCTGAAGGGACTCTCAGTGGCGGAAACAGGTCTCCTCCTTGAAGCCCCTCTCTCCCCTTTTCTATTTAGCCCCATCGTGCCCTTGTTGGCATTGCTTCCAATACCATTCAGATGCTGAACATTTTCCAGATTTGCCATCCTCGCCCAGCCTTGCCTCTGGTGTTTCTGACTACCTACTGAATGTCTTGGATAATGTACAAGCACATCTCAAAACAGATCCAAAGCTCTATTCATGATCACACCTTTTGAACCTGCGTTTCTTGCAAATTTTCCTTCTCAGCCAATAGTAACTCCAGCCTGCTGATTCCTCAGGCCAAAGTGTTGACAGCTTTTTTTTTTTTTTTTTTTTGCACCGCCATGCCCAATCTATCAGGGAAATGTGGCTTTGCCTTGCACAAATCACATCACACGTCACACAGCCTGTGTCACCATCACGGTTAAAGACTTGTCATCTCTCCCTCCATTGCTTGCAAACCTCCAGTAGCCTCCCTGCCTCTGTCATTGCCCCTTACAGTGTATTGCTAACCAAGCAGCCCAAGGGAGCCCTGAAGTGCAAGATGGCAGCCGTCTTCTGCTGAACTGCCCTGCAGCTGACTCCCATGTCACACAGAGTGAGAGCCAGGTTCCTCCCAGCGCTCTGACGGGGGGAAATTTATCTTCACTTATCCCACAGGCTCTGGTCACACAGTCCCGGCTGTTTACTGGAACACTCTCAGTCCCCCCAACCTCAGAACCTTGGTGCTGTGGTGAGAACACCCATCTCCCAGTGTCTGCGTGGCTAATTCCCTCACTTCCTCCCAAAGTTTACTCAGAGGGCACCTTATCAGTAAGGCCAACCCTGACCACACTACTGAAAACTGCAATATTTATCCCAAGCTATTGATTTCCCTCACCCTCTATGAATTATTTTAATACATGGCACATATTACCTGCCAATATACTGTTTAGTTTACTTTTCAATTACATAGATAATCAGTGTTGATTGTCTTCTGCTGTGATGAACGCCCCGTGAGCATCAGAGTCTCTGTCGTTCACTGATGTATCCTGAGACACATGGTAGGTGATTGATAAATATTTGCGTAAATTAATTGAGTTAATATCTTGAAAGGCAATGTGTGTGTGTATATATGTATATATATGTATATATGTGTATATATGTATATATGTATATATGTGTATATATGTATATATGTGTATATATGTATATATGTATATATGTGTATATATGTATATGTGTATATATGTATGTGTGTATATATGTGTGTATATGTGTGTATATATTTATATATAAATATAAATGTATAAATATAAAAATATAAATGTATAAATATAAATGTATAAATATAAAAATATAAATGTATAAATATAAATGTATAAATATAAAAATATAAATGTATAAATATAAATTTATAAATATAAAAATATAAATGTATAAATATAAATTTATAAATATAAAAATATGAATGTATAAATATAAATTTATAAATATAAAAATATGAATGTATAAATATAAATTTATGAATACAAAAACATAAATGTATAAATATAAATTTATAAATATAAAAATATAAATATATATAATATAAATATATTTATATATATAAATATATATTTGTAAATATATTTATAAATATATATTTATAAATTATAAAAATATATATTTATAAATATATATTGAGGGGCTTCCTTGCTGCGCAGGTGCCCTTCATACCCTTTGTCAGTAGCATGTGTTGGCGGAGACTTCACTCCTGCCCTCTGCTTCTCTCCCTCCTGCCCAGGGGAAATGCCCTGAGCGCCTTTTCTGCAAGTCCCCGGCTCCTTTTCTAGAAGTCAGAGAGACTTGTCTGGGGATGAAACCTATTATGCTTGTTCATTCTTGACTCATTCTGGGGTTAGCTAGATGTGCCTGGGCCATGCTCTCCACTCCCCATCCTGCTGCCTCCCAGCAGGCCCAGAAAAGGCCCGTGCTCTTCTTGCCACCCTGATGGCAACCCAGTAGACACAGACACGCAAACAGAGGGCATGGGATGCCTGCACAGCCTTGGGTCGGAGCATCATTCCCAAGTCACCTTTACTGGGAACAGAGCAGATATTGTAAGCACTACCTGATTCCTGCAAGCATCTCTTAACTGACAGAGAATTGCCCATCAGAAGGAAGATTGTGGGATTAGCTTGCTCAGAGCTCCCAGCAATATACACTGACATCAAGAAAACAGTGTGCACTTTGCGGGTAAGTCTCCCACTACTGTTCTTTTCTCCTTTAAAAATCCAGTTCAGTACCCTGATTGCAATTGTCCCTGGATAAATTTTGCTGGCCAAAAAAAAAGACACTAAATAAGATATTAATCATAAACATCAGCATTATCTGATGTGTCCACTAGGAAAATCTTACATAACTTGGTTTATATTTTTATTACTTGGCTAAGAGTTGAACATTTCTGATGTAGGACATTTTCAAGGTACCTAGCAAAAGATATTTGTCACCTGCACATTTGATAATGTGCTCTTTCTCTGTAAGGGATAATATACTATCAGAGGCTAAGACTTTGAACAGGCCAAACTGCTAGATTAGAGATTCTGGATAAAGAAGATATTCCCTGAAATGATTTGACAAAGCTACATAATGCAAAGTTTTTTTAAAAAAATAAACAGTCTGAACTCACCTCTCAATTTCAATACATTAAACTTGACTGGAAGAATGCATCCCGGATAAAATTATCAATGACTGTGCTGTTGTATGAATGTTGGAAGGACTTGATCGTTTAATTGAAGGTCAATGTTCTAGGAATGTTACAAACCACAGGTGCTCCCATGATGGGGTGATGATGGGGACGAGGTGGGATTCTGTGGAATATTCCTGGCTCTAAAGTCAAGACAAGCCCTAAGCCTGTCAAGACTGATTAAGAAACAGGATACCCATCCACCTGCTTCCTACACATTGGAAATGTTTCTGCACAGGTGTGCACAGTGGAGGACTGTCCCTCCTTAACAGTAGAGAGGAAGCAGCTCTCTCCGGGCACCATTAGGGAGACCTGTGTGGACAGGCCAGTGCAGAAGACCTGCGTGGACCCAGTAGGCCAGTGCCTAGTACCTTAGTTGCCTCCCACCTCCAGTTAGCCTTTTGGGTTCTGATGCCTTCATGGGCACCAACTGGTAGAGCTCTGCAAGGTCATGCACCCAGGATCGAAACCCCCAAGCACTTCTGCGACTGGGGGCCACTCCCTGGGCCCACGAGGATGGGATTTCGGGAGCACACCCTCAGCTTCACAAGAGCAGTGCGACTTTTCCTCGCCCGGCTTAAATTTAAACAAAGAGAAAGCCACTGTGTATGCTTCCCTGGCAGCAGGCCTGACACTGTTGATCAAGCCAGGCCAAATCCAATTAGCCTGCAGCCCCCCTCCCCACCTTATTAACCTGCTCAGCTGCGAGGGACTCAGCAGGCCCTGCCAATATCTCATTTCTCCAGCGGCCGATAACATCAGCTGAAGACACTCAACGGGCTTCCTTTCACTGCAGCTCCGGCTCATCCCGGCCACGAGCATCCTAGCCACGGTGGCCGGATCTGATTTTCCTAGTGAAATAGGCCGACAAGCCCAAGGCCAAGGGCTCGCGCTGGCACGGACAGGATGGGGCCCTGGTGGGGAGCGGCTGGGCCCGATCCCCCTTATCGCAGCCGGCCCACAAAGCCGGGCCAGGCCCGGGCGATTAGCATTCCTCCCGAGCGCGCCAGGCCTATTTCTGTCACACAGACAGATTGAGCCTTTCACTCAGGCTCGCGAGTGAGTGACACATAGCCCGACCGGGAGGACAACATTGTTATTTGAGTTAAGAAATCAATTTGTATCAAATGTACACTGTAATTTATTTGTTGGCTTTGAAGGGAGCCGAGCTGAGATAAATGGGAACGGGCTCCTTTCTTTCCCCCTATGCCGAGCTGATAAAGTTCTTCTGAAGCTCCAGATAGCTGTAGTCAGAGCCAAAGTGACAAACATGTTTAAAGTTGCACAGTGATCTTTAAATCTCAAAAAGAACACCTTGTCGGACATGATAGAACATTTTTTACCTTTTCCCTCTATCTGTCAGAAAGCCGCTGTGACACATTGCTTTAGTATTTTTGCTGACATTTTCTTTATCAAGCACATCTGTTTGTGGGTCGAAAGATGCTTATTCCTATTTTCTTCAATCTACAGCAGGCAAAGAAACTGCCAAAAGGAACGGAGAAAATGAGTCTCTCCGTCCCAGCAGCATGCTCGGGTACTTGGAGGTTGCTGTTTGTTTGTTTGTTAAATGTTACTTATGTTTTACCAGGAATTCTCACCTTCTCGACCTCCTCCCCCTCCTCCTCTTCCTCCTTCTTCCTCTTTTTCACATTTGTCTTCATCTCCATCTCTCTGTTTGTCTTTATTTTTATATTAGTTTAAACTATTCTTGCCCTAGAGAAGAACCACAGAGTTTTATTTTCCCGCCTGCCCCTGTTGTAAATTAATATGTGCAGCCTCTGTGCACAGGCTGTGATCTTTGAGATTCCGGGAATACCAGGGAAGGCTCAGTCCTACGTAGCTCCAGCATGTTGGTGACATGGAGGGACTGCGTGTGGAGGGAGGAAACGCTGAAGCCCATCGCCGCTGGCAGACTCGCTTCTTGACATTTTAGTGCAGTCATTGTGTTATCTCTTTCTTCGTACTTTTAAAGATGTGTCATAACTGTAATATGCCAGGCCGGCTGATGGCATAAAATATTGATCGGTTTTAACCTGCCTTCCCTGTGGCATGGGGTTCTGTGTCCTCTTATGGCTAGAAGGAAAAATGAAGGATCTTAGGTGTTCTCTGTCTCTGGCCATCTGCTTGTCTGACCTTGTCTGTTCTCACAAGTGTTAGGACAAAGCTCTATGGGAATTCCATTTATTCTAAGATAAAGCTAGAATATTCCTAAGATAGAATGTCACAAGCTCCTTTTCAGTGGGTAAGCCGTTGTGCTGCAGGTGACTAGACCCGTCAACTCCGTGCTTAGGGCTGGGTTCAAAAACAAGGGAATGATTTTCCTTTTTGACGGAATTTCTTTTCATTGGTTAAATGGCATCACAGTGGAATTTGTAGTGCATGTAACTCGTTATTTGTGAATTATTAAAAATCAAACTTGGGTATTTTCTGGGGAGTGCAGTATAATTTTAGACTCCTGCATTTGGTCTCCAAACATTTCCTGACCACTTTTGTCTCTCTTTGGGCTCTGGGAACAGGGAGCACGGCAGGCGCGAAGCTGGAGGACATGGCGCAGCAGAGGGGCCTTTCCCCAGGGTTTCCAGGGTTATACGTGCCCTGACAGTGAGGTCTGCATGTGCTGTATGTGCATAGTGAAGCCATGTGAAAGCAGGACACCCGCACGGTGGCAGAGTTGTTCAGGGGCTGCTCCGCCAGCCTGTCCGGCCACACCTGCCCCCTTCCTGAAGCTGCACTCCAAGGCTTCTCCTTCCCCTCCCACCTGACTCAGCCCCGCTACCTGCAGAGCTTCTGTTTCCCCGCTCCACCCAAGCATGCTACCCTTGACGTGTCATCTTAACCCCTTTCACACGTGAGTGTCAAGATTTCCATTTGTGGGGCTAAAGTAAAGGATCTCAATCACTGGAGATCCTTCTTTGCATAAAACAAATTAACTAACTTTCCAAATGTTGTAGTTTTAGAACTCATTCTCCAGAAAATATGCAGGAGTCAGAAAATAAAGTTTGTTTAAGTATCTGGTAAGTCAGCCAGACCACTCAGTGGAGAGCAGTATTTCTCAGGCTCTAACACACTGCTCATGAATCATTGTTTTGTTTTGTTTTGGTAACAGCTTTATTGAAATACAATTCACTACCACACAATTCACTCCCTTAAAGTGTACAGTGAAATAGCTTTTAGTATATTTACAGAATTTGGCAACCATCATCACAGACAACATTAGAGCATTTTTATCACATCAAAAAGAAACACTGTAACCTTTCATGATCACTCCACCATCCATTGCCCCCTGGTCCCAGCCCTGGGCAATCACTAATCTTCCTTCTATCTCTGAATATGGCTCTTCATATAAATACAATCGTTTGAGATGTGTTGTTTTGTGACTGGTTTCTTTCACTTAGCATAATGTTTCCAAGGTTCACCGTGTCATAGCATGCACGCTTTCGTGCTTCATTCCTTTCTGTAGTTGAATCGTATTTTATGGTAAGGATATACCCCATTCATTTCATTTATTGATTCATTGATTGATGGACAGTTGGGTTGTTCCTGAGTTTTGGCTAAGATGAATAATGCTGCTGTGATCATTGATGGACACGTTTCTGTGTGGACAGGTATTCTCATGTCTCTTGTGCTCATACCTAGTACTGAGAGTGCTGGGCTGTATGTTTAACTTTTGAGGAATTGCCAGACTGTTTTCCCAAGTGGCTGTATCTATGTACTTTCTTTATGTACAATTCAAACACACTGATTAACTCTTTTTCATTGAACAGAAGATCAGAAGCAGCAGATTAAAGCTGCCCCAGACCATCACTATGGAAAGAAGCAAGGAGGCTGCTTAATACTGATGAAAGGGCAGAAAGAAAATAAAGTAGCGTATGAATTTGGGGAAAAAAAATATCAAAGGGCAAGTAGAGTCATGGATGTAAGTTGAACAGCCTGTATCTGTTTCTAGAGTACATAGAGGGTCGTTGCATAATTGATATTTAAACAGTTTACCTCTATGATAAGGAAAAGTAGAACTGTACCCTGTATATTCAGCTTAAGGAGCCATACTATGGTATATAATTGCATTTAAATATAATATGAAGCTACCATGGAAGGTATACGTTTTATGTGTGAGAAAAAATAATGCATTTAGGGGAACTGCTTTCTTGCCAGGGGTTGCCGAACAGTCAAGGAGCTGCTTTGAGGCCGTGTGGATGCAGCACTGTGCACTAGGACCTTGCCCGTGCCCCTGGGCAAGTTAGGCAGTGACGGTGATGATCCTGCTCAGGGGGAAGTTCCACAGGGTCCCTTCCTCACTGCGAGGAAGAGGAGTTTTTATCACATTAAAGGGCTTCGGGAATGTGAATTAGCATTTTCAAAATATTGCTCTGATTAGCTGAGTGTTAAAGAATAAATGCATGAGAAAATTTTAATTTTAATATATACATTGCTGGTTATTCAATTAGCTATACTTGTTTTTGTATTTATGCCATGTGAGGTTGTAGATTGAGATTCCGTTGTTGCTTTTTGAATTAATTCTAAACATTAGAGTGATAATATTTGTTTTCTTTCTGTATGGTTGAAGGACCGTTTTATCAGTACACATGTATCTATAAACAATATTAATAACTAAAAGAGCCTATCACAGCACTTTAAACATTAATATGATAGGGCTTACTAAAGCTGTATGTACTTAGACTGCAGACAAAATTTGAGCATAAATGGTTTCATGACCTCATCAGAATTAAAATCCACAGCCTTGGAACTAGGCATTCATGATCCATTCAATCAATTTTACTCTCCATATGCAATGCTTTTGTATTTCCTGTGACGAGGTAAGATTTTATGATAATAATCCTATAATGCAATCAGTGTAGAAAGCATACACATAGTTAATTATAAAATGCAAAAACAAAAAAGCTGCCCTCCTGCCTAATCAGGACTCTGTCAGAAAGGGAGCTTCATACTTGTACCAAGGAGCAGTACTTACAGGAGCAAAAACTCTGAAGTTACCTTTCTGCTCTGGATCTGGTTAATGGCACCCTGGCTAAGCTTCGCCTCACCTACTGGTCATCCCCATTCCCATGTCTGTGTCTCCTTCAGAAAACACAGAGGCGGGAAAAACTCATTCCTGACTGCAGGATGTCAACCAACCAGTAATGCGAAGTCTGCATCTCCTGCCATCCTCAACCACGGCCCACCCGTGCCTTCCCTCATCAGCCACATAAGGTGAGCCATATTCTGCTCAGAATGAATGAATGCATGAGCAAACAAATAAACAGGCGTTCCTACACCCCCTGGGGGAAATAGTGGCTATACTTTGTCAAATGGAATTGGGAGATCAGTGGGTCTCGGAGGTCCTGTTATTATTTTTCATTAACACAGAACAATGCTATTCCTTTCAACCTGGAAAATTTGTCTAGTGTTTATTGGACTGATGTTTGGGTCCTTCAAAACCAGGCTTGGGTAATTAGCATGCATTTTCAACCATGGGTAGAACTTTCTACTCAGGAAAAATAGTGTGATAAGCCTGAATTATAAAATGTGTATTTAAATGCAGTTTTATTACTTTTATGTACATTATACACTACTGAGTGAGATATAAATCTGTATTACTATTAGAGGGTGGAAAAATGAAAAAATACAATATCACATAATACATTATAATTATAAAAACCACGTAGCATATGGAAATTAATTGCTAGGCCCAGAGCTGAAATCATGTGAAGACATTTTAAAATTATTGAGTCCTTGTTTTGAGATGAAATTGCTTTTACCTTAAATTTTCCATGTTCCTGATTAGTATCCTGGCCATTTCCAGACATTTTTTTGAGATACATAAATTTCAGTCAAAATCACATATGCCAGGGACATGACAGCAACATCTGAACGACTGGAGTTCAAGGTATTGTTAAAACAATATTCCAAAAATAGAGCGTGCGACCGAGGCAATTATATGTGGAGAGATAATCTGTAACACAGTAGCAGAATGGATGGAATTAAAACAGGAAGGCACATTGAAAATGTATACCTATTAAGATGCTAGAACGGTTAATAGTATTTGCTATTTTTTAAAAAAAGTTAATTAAAGGGTTTGTGTTTTATCTTGCACTGTAAAGAACTCCTGACAGGCATTGTTATAATATGAAATGCTTCATTCTCCAGCAGTTTAATTTAGAGCAACAACAAAGATGGAAAAACAGAGAAATGAAGCAGTTGAGATGTTGGTTGCCGTCTGGCATCAGCTCCAGGGAGACGTTTCAGGGAAGTGCTTGGAGGGGGCCATGCAAGCCCAGAGGCTGCCTGAAAAATCATATTTTCCCTGAAATTGTTCCAGGCTACAGTGTTTATGGGAGGCCGTTTGCGGGATATATGCATGCCTTTGACTACCTGGTGGAGACAGAAAGCCCCAGTTAAGGCTGGCCAAGGTGATATCAGGACACAGCGTGGATCCCACGAGGCTGCAACAACAACCTGAAGTTGAGTCTGCAGTCACTGGCTCAGCTACGTGGCCATGGGCCACTGCATCTCCAGAGACTGTCTGCAACTAAACCCACAGATGCAGTTTCTCAAAACCTGCCTGCCTTTATTTCCTTCCATGCTTCTGCCTGGACAGTTCATAAGATGTTCCAGAAAAATAATGTCCTGTAGTTATAACCATATCTTACAAAGAATTTCACAGAGAATGGGATTGTCAGGAGGTAAACATATCAGTAGTGACTGACAAGAATCGGTGCTCCTCTAAGATGAGCTCTGTTCTGTAGGTTCTCAGACCAGAAACCCTGCAAAGCAGAAAGTGCCCAGTCAAAGCATTGACTCTGCAATGTGTGCTCAGTACGTCTTATTCCTGCATGAATTGCTACAAATGCAGACAACCTCTGCTTCCACGGACACCCTTGTCCTCTGATTCTCCCATGTGTTAATATGATTCTATTGCACTAAGTCATTTATTAACGATCTGTCCGTTCATCTGACTCAAGCTGTAGTTCACATTATTTTTCTCTCCAATTAGAGAACATGCTTCATGGAGGCAAGAGATTCGGCCGTATTCACTATTTCATGCTAATTGTGTTACACTTTCTGTATCAGCATGGATATCAACACAGTGGAAGGAATGAAGAAAGAGGAGAGAGAAAGACGGAGAGAAAGAGAGAGAGGGAAGAGATATTCCAACAAAAGACCAGGAATTGGATATTTTTGATTAAGAAAACAAAGTGTCTAACAATTCTTAATCATAGTTCTTCCAAAATACTCTGAAAATACAGTTTTGTTAATATTTATATTATAATATTTATATGTCTTCTATTACTGCTGAAGTCACCCATTAGTGAGCACTCACATGGGATACAAATATCTTCACAGTTTTTGTCCACTCAGATAGGTCCATCCACATACCTCTTCGTCAAATTTCTTTGTCACCAATTTTCTAATCATACTTCTTCCAAGTCCCTGACCATCCAGCCAAACCATTGGCTACAGCCCATGAATCAGTGTATAATTGTACATCTGGCCATTTCTCCTTCCATGCAAAGGGCACAACCTGTTGCACTGCTGGAAGTTCTGCCCACTGGGAAGATTTGGCTTCATCACTATCCTTCAGTTATGTCCTGGAAAGGGACCGTAGTGCTGCAGCTGTCCACTTTCAGGTGGTGCCTGCATATCCTGCAGAACCATTTGTGAACCAGGCCTCAGTCTTCTCGTCCTCTGTCAATTGATCATAGGGAACTCCCCATAAGACCATCGGTGCAGGCTGGGGGAGAGAAGGCAGGGTGCCAGGAGTGGAGACCAGGGGCATTTGAGCCACTTCCTCATGTAACTTACTTGTGCCTTCAGGAGCTGCTTGAGCCCAATCTCATATGTACCACTTCCATTTGATAATAGAATGCTGCTGTGCACGACCCGCTTTATGGCTAGATGGGTCAGAAAGCACCCAGTTCATGATAGGCAGTTCAGGTCGCATGGTGACTTGATGACCCATAGTCAAACATTCAGTTTCCACCAAAATCCAGCAACAGGCCAAGAGCTATCTGTCCTTCTGGATTATTTCCACCTTGACACACTCTTCTGCCCTGTATTTGTCTACAGAGCAAGAGCTAGCCCAGCATGTTGACATTTATTTAACTAAATGTCATTCCAGGTTCATATGTAAAGCTCCCCAGAGCATCCTCATTACTGCTAAATAACTTGAAACTTTTCTCAGTTGTCCAAATGTAAATTTGGCAAGGACTCTAAAGTTCCCAGCCGAAATACAATGGATGACATTGTGACCTTGAAGGCCTTCCTTAAACCCTAGCAATACTCTATCCTCTGGATGTCACCAGGTTTAGTCATTTGGTGAAGGTATCATCTGCCTCAATCAGGAGACAGACAAGAGTGGAGTTGCTGGAATTGTGGAAGTGTGGCCACCCTTGACCTGATTAGAAGATAATGGACCTCCTGGGAAGACAATCTTGACTCCAAACTAAACAAGACCAGGAACATTGCAGGACAAGACAACTGGCTAGAAATATCTCAGAGCCCAGGTTGGGACCTGTGGACAAGGATGCTGCTCTCCAGAAGAACAGATGTGGGGACAAGTGTAAGAGGGACAAGTAGCATATCAGCTTGTAGACTCATGAGGAAGATTCAGAAACACATGCCTAAATTCTAATGAGATGGATTATAAAGGCTCAGCATGGCCCTGCAGGAAAGAAAAGTATGTGGAACTGTTTATAAAGGGAAGAGTTCTGTAAGTGTAAAGAGCTAAAAGAATATGACCATAAGTCTGGAACAAAACTTCTCTTTGTTATGACCTTGACCTACAATTGGTGTGCCATGCTGTGCACCTAAAAGGGCTCCCTGCATGTATAAAGCAAGAGGTATTTGTTGAGGATGACAGTAAGTTTGATGCTCAGAAAGGTGTGAAGTGTGCTGGAGACATCAGATGTCATGGAGCAAGACCTAGGGAGGTGAGACAAGGGACTCAGATTCTGTCCAGCCCTCCCCTTGGGGCCCTATGTGAGCCACTCTAGCAGGACTCCACCTCACCATTTGTAAGCAAGAAGAGCAGCATCTGGCTTTGCCAGATTCACAAGGCAGTTGTGATATTCAAACGAAAGCTAATGAAGCACAAGTGACCAACCCTGCATCTACCTGGAACACCCCTTGGCCCAACACGAGGTGTCTGGCAGTCAGGTCTCATGTCTTCCATGTTCATCTCTTAGTAATACCCCTTCTTCAGCAAAGGGTCTCTCTAGGCCATGCCTTTGGATAATTTTTCATCAGGAAAATTACTATTACTTATTATGGAAGAGGAAAACTATGTCATCTAATGTCAAATCCAACCTTAAATGTAGGTGGAGTAGGTACAACTAAGCACAATGATTCAAGAACTATGCTTATATATAATCATCTTGCTTCATGACTGCCCAGTATCTTTTGAGCAACCATCTTCTATTTTGGGATTTTCTTACATCATTGTCCACCTCCCCAGAGAGGAGATAGGAACTTGCTTTCCTTAGCTCTCTTGCACTGAAGCACAGCCCTATGATAAATATTCTGCAGTTAGCTGTCTTGTGGAGGCTGTGGTGTAGAAGATAGTCCTTTGAGAGAGCAGGCCCCAGGTGGGACCCACCTTTTGTGGAGGAGGCAGAGGAGGCAAGTCGCCGTTAAGGGAGTGGCAGTGGTGGAGGTTCTGAGGTCCAATGACCAGCATCAGTCGTGAGAGTTATGTTGAAAGCCAGCAGCAGTGGATAGTATGGACTTTCTAGGGGTCTTCAAGTTGCCCAATAATCTTCAATAAATGCTGTTTTTTGACCAACGTAGCTGAAGTGGGTTCTGCTGTTCATAATTAAGCTGAGAGGCTTAGGATTCTGCATAGTCTCTGTCATCTAAGTCTTCTCGTATGTCCCCATTCTGATGCCAGTGCACACTTCCTTCTTGGTAAAGCCCCCACTCTCACACAAAATCCCTGGAGAGGTTGTGAATTCAACTAGCCTTGCCATTTGTCAAACCACAGGTTCAAACTTTGAGCTTGTTCTTAGATGACTCATCCCTGATGCAACGTGCAAACAAGGGGATCTATTAGCACAAACGTGGAAAGCCCATAATTCTCTGAAGCTGCTTCAAGGCACAGATTTAACACTCTAACCTTACGACTGACCTTTTTTAAGTGCCCAGCACAGTTCTAAATAGCCAGTCCATTCCACATGCGCTTGTGCCTGCCATACTGGTCTGTAACATGGTCGTTTGGTCTCTTCAGTTCTTGCCTTCAGTCATCACCTCACTCCAAGGACCAGAGTGATTCTTTAACCTGATCTTTCACTACCAAAGACCATAAAGTGCTGAGTCCCATCTTCTAGTAGCATTGGATCTTCAATGCCTACAAGCCCCTCAGTTATTCTCAGGTGTCTCCAAATCCTCTTTTTCTCAGTGGTCCCCAAATCCTCTTTTTCTCAATGGCCAGTGACCTGCAAACAAGCCATGTATGACCTGTATTCTGCAGTTGCTCCAAGATCCTAGCTCCACCTTAATGGAGTTTTGAAGCTCCATCTCACCGTGTCCCTGCTCACTGTCATTTCTGTGGCTGGCAAGGCTGTTTGTAAACACAGGGAGCTACAGAAGCAGTAGCTTGGCAGGCCCGTCCTCAGCCCCGTGTCCACTGTCCTTGCTGGTTATGGCCTTTCAGAAACACCCAGTGTCTAAAATACTGGGATGAGGGATCTTTTCCTGTGAAATACAGAAATTCTATTCTGGACTTCCAATGCAACCTGTGCTTCTGGAGTGGAAAGGGGGTGCAAAAACTGCAGGAGAACTACTGAAATCGAAATAAAGCAGCTTTGCCCACCTAATTTTCCCAGGCAGCTCTATTTCTTACCGAGTTTTGATGCTGAGTTAAAACGTCCCTAATGCATGCAAGAATAAACTTTGCAAGTTTTAGTGGAAAAACTCTGAGGCCTGGCAGTGCGCCTGCTGTATGCCTTCATGCCGTGCACAGTGAACCCAAGGTTCCCTTCCAGCTCCTCTACTGCAAGCACAAAACAAGGCTACCATTCTCTTTCTAAAGTTTCCATCAGTTCCCGTCCACTGGGGGATCTCGTGTTTTCTTTCCTTTGCAAGTCTTTTTCACTCTTCTGGCTGTCTTTTAAAAAGAAAGATGCTGTCCTTATTATAATCTCTACAAATAAAGCCTGGCTTTCCTTTTTACTAATTTTCTTTCTTATGCATTGGGTCTCAAAGGAGTGACCCCCGTTCTTACCCTGTGCACAAGGGCTTTGAGGCTCGCTGACCGAAATTCAACGTGGAAAACATTATTTTAAAAAATCTACTCACATCCATTGATAAAAGGGAAGAAAACAAATGTGGAGCCAACCATTACCAGTCCTGGAGGCACACAGTTTCACCTGCTTTAAATCTGAAGTCTTTGTTACCACTCAAAAGCTGAGATCTGATGACTCTGCCAGGACTCGCTCAGCGACACACACTCAGACGGGGGCCCCAGCCTTCTCCTTTCATAAACACTTTCTTCCTCACACTAAACACAGTAATGCATTTTCTCTGAGAAAACACTGACTGCGAAACCTGCTTTCTCATGGCTGGAAAGTTGCCTGCCCCCAGGCTGTGAGCAGAGCACCCAGACACAGGGCTGAGCGTGGGCCTGGCTTTTACTGAAAAACAGCCTCGCCAGCCATGGAAAGGGGATGGAGCTGCAAAACTGCATGGGTAAGGTGGAGACCAAGCTCTTGGAGCACCTGCCAGAATTCTCACAGTCTGTTAGCACAAATAAGCCTCTTAGGCATACCAGCCTGGTGCCCTTTTTTCTAAGTGGGGAAAAATAATATGTCAAAGGAAAAACAAAAGGCGATTATGACATGTTCTCTCATTTAACTATCTCATTAATAAGCATTATTGAAGATGCAATTGCATTCTGTCAGCATGTATAGCATTAATTCACAGTTAACACATGTGTGAAATGACCTCTTTTTACACCCCAAAGAAACAAGCTGATTTAGAGTTTGTCTTCTTCAATATTGGGCTTTGATTCTAAGCCAGTAATGAAATTGATCTTCACTTTGGTGCATCTTATTTCATGCCAGGGACAGGCCAGACCAGGTAACAGTTTGGATCACAAATTTTTTTCTTCTCTGATTAAGGCAGGATGTGAGACTTAAACAAAATAATGTTTAATTATTGTCATTTAAGTAAAATTATGGCAGCGACACATTTGCCCATGAAGGAATACGTATGGACCTGCCCCTCCTGTGACTAGATTTCATTTTCATTTGTCCCTGACATATGGGAATTGAATAAACTCATCGCATGAAAACAGACATGGTTAAGAAACTAGCCACCTGTAACTTCACGGGGCATGAATTGATGGAGCAACAGGGCATGGATAGGTGGAGCCAGGACCTTGCTCTAAGACAGACGGAGAGTGGGAAGAAGGGACTCCCCCACCTGTGCCTCCCTGCAGTGGACTGGAAGATGGAGCTTGAGCCAACGAGCTCTGACAGGGGCCCTGCCACTCTGGGAAAAAGACTGCAGCATGCTGATGGGGCAGCATTTTCCCCCAGCCATGCACTTTTGGAAAGCTGGGTCCATTCTGGGCCAGCCAGAGGAGGGCCAGACTTCTCTCCAGGACCTCGCAACAGCAGCCCTGAGGAAGCAACATATTGCCCTGGGCTGTCCCCGAGAGTCTGGGCTGTTGTCTGGCACCCAGGGGCTGTTTGGGTAGCTGGATCCCGTGGGAAACACCCACTGTGCTTGCTGTCGGGATACCCATGCCCACCCATCAGTGCTGGCCAAATGGTAACGAGCAGAAGCTTCTGTGAATACACTCACCAATCCCCCTACAAACCATATACCCTTGGCTTAATCATGCCTGGGCACAGAACACTGGCTAATGTGTCACAGGTATGTGGAAGTCCGGCATACAGAGAACAAAACCAGAGACATAGATTGGAGTTAGGATTGAGCAGAGAGCAAATGCCAACAGGAAACCATAACAGAGAGGACATTTCACTCTCAGTACAATTGTGTCCATCTTCAAAGTTGCTAGTGTTTATCTGTATTTTTAAAAAATCTAAAATTGCATCTTGGCAGTAAGAAAATTTCAAAAATAAATTTATAAGGAAATTGACACTATAACAATACACAACGAAAAGTTAATCTGAGGTTAAAACTACTTAGATAGAACCAAACCCACTCCTTGTAATTGAATTAACAACTGAAGTAATTCATTGAGAGATGTGTATTCCAAATGATACAAATCACTAGAAAACACACTTCTTCCTATTGCATTTGTCTCTTGTTGAATATATGTATGTTACAGTGTAGGAAACCAACATCCAGAGAAACGAACTCACTGACCCCCAGTTCCCCAGAAGGAAGGAGGCATTCCTGACTGGCACCCACTGCCATCTTCTCAGGACATTCTGTGATGGAGCAGATCAAACACGATCTCATTGTTTTAATTTTAAAAAGTGAAGCTGTATTTTGAATTCATGGTTCAAAACCAAGTGGACTCTCAGTGTCACATATTATGTAAAATATGATGTCCTTTTCCTCATGGTGTAGAGGGCTTCCTGAGTTTTCCTAACACAATGGAAAGTGAGTTGGGCTGGGGGGTAGAGAAACAATCTTCAGTCGCACTTGAGAAATGGACCAAAAAGACACAAGCGCTTGTGTTTACATTTCTTTCCCTTAAGCCTGATATACTGCATACATCCCTGAGATGGGTATTTATCACAGTCTGAGTTTCTTTCATATATAAATGATCACTGTGTGGGCGGGCATCCTTGCCTTTAGTATCTGCTGTTGTATCCAAGCACATTACAGAGCACTATTGGCACATCTTAGATTCTCAATACACAGGTGTAAAATGAAACCGTGAGTCTGCCCGCCCCCCGCCCCAGCCCTCCATGAGAGCAGGACCTCCCTCTTCTTCAGGGCATGGTGAAGGGACATCAGTGCCTGAGAGCAGCCTCTTCTCTAAGCAGAGCTGCCCCTTCTCACCCACACCCACTGTTGCAGGCCAGATGTTACACGGCGGGTTGGGGCAAAGGTCCCAGGCCTCGTATGGAATGCCCATAAAGTCCATGATGGTCTGGGAAGATGCATGGTCAATGTAGAAAACAAGATGATATGTAAGATTATGGGTGTCCTAGAGTCTTCTTGCAAAAAACGAAATGTTAAAAGTCCATTGAAAGGTGTTATTTTAACAAATATTTTGAAAACCATAAAGTAGATCCAAAAAGAACTTATGTAAAACCATCCAACATTATATGGCAGGTATCTATTATTGTAAAAATTTCTTTCTTTCTTTTTGTCCTTTCTTTCTTTTATTATTATTATTATTATTATTTAATACAGGGTCTCACACTGTTGCATAGGCTGAAGTACAGTGGCGCAATCTTGGCTTACTGCAACTTCCACCTCCAAGGTTCAAGTGATCCTCCCACTGCAGCCTTCTGGGTAACTGGGACTACAGGCATGTGCCACCACACCCCACACCTGGCTAATTTTTGTTGTTGCTGTATTTGTTGTAGAGATGGGTTTTCACCATGTTGCCCAGGCTAGTCTTAAACTCTTGGGCTCAAGTGATCTGCCCCCCTTGGCCTCAAGGTTCCAGGATTATAGGCGTGAGCCATTGCACCCAGCCCAGAATTTCTTAAGCAGGAATCAGTAGCTCTAGCAGGCCCAGGATTTACAAAGGCATCTCCCACACAATGTTGGAAAGGAACCGCAGCTGTTAAAAATCAGTGTTCAGTTACATTCATGTGACCCAAGGACTCTGTTGAGCCTGGTGTGTTCTGAGAGTCTCTAAAAGCACTAAGAAAGCCAAGTCACCATTTTTCTCAAGACCTTTACTTTTGGCGGTCTCTTCTTTGCATTTAATTGTTTTAGGTTGTACGTGCCAAAGATTCTTCCATTCTTCTAAGGATATTTTTCTTTCAGTATACTGAAAATTATAGCAAATCAGTAAATCAATGACCAAAAAATGACATTTAATTTTTTGATCAAACATGACATAAATTTTTACCCCACTGTGGAAGTTTTTTGGTTTGTTTGTATAGTTTTCTCTGTTCTACTTTTACTTTTCTAAACATCTTGTCTGGCTCAGATCCTAAAGAATGCAGCAGAGCCATTTTGATTTCCAACTGTCAAGCCTTGGGATAAATGATGTCAAGAAAAAGCCTAATTGTGCCTGGTTTAGACTGCCATGTTAAAAGGGAACAATTGGGGTGACAGAGAAAGAATCTTCTCTTGGCACTCAGGAGACCACAAAGCATGATGGGCCTGCTGGGTTGGCTTCTGTCAACTCCCTGTGGTTTGTGCAAAGAAATTTCAACTTGCTTCCTTCCACTCCAGACTCTGACATGGGCAGTTCCCACCCCCTGGCCATACCCCCTTGGCATTGCCCAGGCAGATGGGCAGACAGGCTCCATGAATACAGTTTGCCCCTGGACTGTCTTTCAGCCAAAACAGGCTATACTACTAAGAGGTGCATGTTGATGCTGAGTGGGTGTACATATTTCTGTGTAGAAGAGCCTGGCTCAGCTGACCTGTGAATAGTCAGTAAGCAGTATAATAAATGTAGAAATAAGTTGGTTCAGCATCATCTGCCAGCGTGTAAGTTCTGTGAAGTCATGATTTTTAATTGGTAATAACTATTACAAAGAGTCAAAACAATCCATAAATACAATAACATTTTTCAAATAGAAAATAAAATAATAACAACTGTATAAATAGAAAAACAAGCTGGCAAAAAACTTCTTTTCAGTCTTTCTGTAGGTGAGCAGGAGAGGAGAGGCAAGACAGAAGACAGCAGGAGAACTGCAGGTGTGAAAACCAACCCATGACGGAAAATGGTAGATGGGCCAGTTTCCAGGAAAGTTGTGTGGCTCCTCTCATAACAAAGACATTAATTTAAATGATGTAAATTGAAAATGTAAAAAAACCTATCATTTATCACATCATGAAAATATACACCTGAGAGAACTGCTGCTTATTTACCCAGAAGTAAACGCAGTATTCAAACCCCACCAATAAGCTTGCCTTTCACCCACCCATTCATTCAACACAAGTCCCTTCCGTGTCAGGCACTCAGTTAAGATTGTGGTCATTCTTTTCCCAATAACCAACTGCCTCATTTTGTGTTAGGGCTGAACTTTTGGTTTCCTTTCAGCTTTCTATGTTCTGAATCTTTCAACCAGAAATGACATAGCAAAGAAAAAAGCTCCACTTATTATTTTTAAACATTCATTTTTGGATTCTAGGAGTTGGATAATTTAGTTAACCTAAATTAAAAATAAAGGTTTTCTAATGGTTCAAATATGAGTTATGACTCATACCAATTATGAAGCACATCAATATATTGAAGATCAATTATTTGATCAAGCATTTGTTCAACACTTAAAAAAAGAACTTAGAACACTTGTGGCCAATCAGATGGCTGCTTTGCATCACCTTCAACGCTGAGTATCAGGAAATGCACTCAGGAACAGCCCTGAGCTGGGCACCAGCCTCATAGATGCTTTTATTCCTCCCTGGCTGCCTCCTCATCCACAACCAGGGGGCCTCGGTTGAGCTCTGTGATGCTGGAAGTATTAATTTTCTGTGGCTGCTGTGGCTTAAAACGGCAGAAACTTACTCTCTCACAGTTCTGAAGGCCAGAAGCCCAAAATCAAGGTGTCTGCAGCACCCCCCGCCACCCCTCCCCCAGCAGAGGCTCCAGAGAGGACTTTTCTTTGACTTTTCCAGCTTCTGGGAACTCCAGGTGCCCTTTGGCTGTGGCTGCCTCATTCCAATCCCTACTGCCGTCATCACAAGGCATTCTCCTCTGTCTTCTCTCCTGTCTCTTATAAAGATGCGTGTGATGGATTTAGGACCCACCTGGATAATCCAGGGTGACCTCTCCGTCTCTGGATCCTTAAATTTATTCCATCTGCGAATGCTTTTTTCCAAAAAAGAAAAAAAAAAGGCCACTTTACAAGTACCAGGGATCAGCATGTGGACATATCTTTGTGGGGACAACATTCAGCCCCTTCCACTGGGCAAGCCACCTCCTTATGTCATTCCTGCATATATTTCTCTGATATGCTCACCACAAATAATATATCTACAGAGGGAAAAATATCTACCAAGTTGTTAGAGAAGTGTGGGAGTTTCGTAGTATGAACAATTTCAGGTAGACTATGACTTGCTTTAGCCCAGAAATAATGGCACAGCTCTAGCAAACGGAGTTCCCATCTGAAACGGGAGGTAGTACTTTAACCACTGAAGAACAAGCTGCCATTCCATCCAGACCTGATGAACCCTTCATTTCATTCAGTGACACAGCCGCTTCCATTTGTATTATCTATGACCGCTGCCAACCCAGCTGTTGTTTTACTGACAGACCCGGACATACTTCTGAGAAGTCCTCTTGAAGGGCTTCCTCTTTCAGCTTCCATAACCTGTCCTTCTTCCTCACCAAATCCTGCAAAAGCAGCTCCATAAGGATTTTGAAACTAGTTTCATATTCTGCAATGCTTCTGTCCATGTGCAACTCCTTCCCCAGTCTGGGCAGCCTGTCCTCAGGATTATCTGAGCCCTCAGGGCCCCAGCCTGCTCTGCCCATGGGCACTCAGACATTGGCCTCTGCTCAGAATCACCTTATCACAAACACCAGCAAATGAAAGTCCCCACATTTCAGTTATGCTCCCTCTATCCCCCAACCGCTAAGACTACTCTGCCTTTCCATCCAAGACTGTTTCTAGAGGAATAAGTGTTTTACCACATGATTGAACTCTCCCACGCCCTCCACGGAGGTTTCCTCACCCTTGACTAAGTCCAGGTGAAAGTTAAATTAGGTTGGAAGTTTTGCTATTTAATAATTCATCCCACTTAAAATTCAAAGTGCTTTGCGGAGACTTTTATGGGGCTATGAAATTCTTGCAGAAGCCTCATGAATATTGAAGTTCTGTTGACTGTGTGAAGGATTTATTGGTTCACCCAGCCAGTTCACTAGTTTAGATCTCTGTCAATTAGTTTTAACCATCATATAGTACTAGAATTCTCATTGTCCAGAATACAAACTTTGACCATGAAAACATCTTTTTAAAGAATGCTCCCATTCTGATGGGATCTCAGCAGAAATGGCTGATAACTATCTCAAGCCACAAATTTGCATAAATCCAGAGGTGGGAGAGAAAAATTACTGTACTTACCTTTACGATAGGAACATTTTAATGAATTTTGACATATTAACCATCTAGCACATGGTGGTCTTTTTGAAAGCACAATGGAATTGTACCTATATTTATGCAGATTTTTTTCCACAGATAATTTGTGCTTAAGTCAAATTTCATGCAGCTTTTAGTTTTTCTTTATTAGCCTGTACAGCTCAGTCCCTTCCTAGCTATTACATATTACTGACGTTTCCAGTTCAGTCATTTCTGTGAGATCCCAGATATGCCCTACAGAAGGAATAATAAAACTAAGTAAAATTTTATTACGAGGGAAAATGCCCATGGCTGTAAAAGTCTTTTTATAGTGGTCATGTTTGGTTTTAATATTTCATAAGAATAATCCACCTTAAAGAAACATAACATTATGTTCAATCCCTTCAAGGATGGTGAGATTTGAAATTGTACAGGTAAAATTTTATCTGATGTAACTTAAAAAGGTTTGGATGTGCTTCAGACTGAGATCTAGAATCCAGATGTCTCGTCTCCAACAAGTTCATCAACCGCATGTTTTACATCAATAAAAAAATGGCAATAAAGCAAGAATTTGCAGGTATGTGGAAATGACTCACACTGCTAACATCTAAAGAAAAAGTCAGAATGGAATTTGTTGATAAAATAAATCTAAGTCACAGGTAAATGGCTTAAGTGGCTCTAACTTGAATCAACATAAATTATGATATTTTAAAACTGGAGTAACTGCTCCTAAAATTCTTTGAAGACTGTTAAGTAAATAATTATGCTATTGTTCATAAACACTAAATGGCATCTTCATAATTATGCTGCAGAGCCTAATTTTACTTACTATAATTTTGAAAATGGTATAAAAATTTAGTATTAAATTATTTGAAGAGAGGTCAAAGGTGACTTATTTCTACTCTGGAGGCATTTCCTCTTCTTGACTTTTACAGCTGCCAAATGACATAGATTTATAGCAAATCAATTTCACGACCTCCAGGGTTGAAGTGCTGGTGGTTTTTTTTTTCTTTTTTTACTTTTGGTCATGATTTGTGTGGGTCTCCATCTCCAGTGAAAACACTAACTGGATTTATGAATGCTGGAGCCCGGGTGGAAGGGTTTCCTCTTTCACCTTCCACAACCTGCCCTTCTTCCTCACCAAATCCTGCAAAAGCAGCTCCGTAGGATTTTGAAACTAGTTTATGTTCTGCAATGCTCCTGTCCATGGGCAAATCCTTCCCCAACCCAGTCTGGGCAGCGTGTCCCCAGGGTTATCTGAGCCCTCAGGGCCCCAATCTGCTCTGCTCATGGGCGCTCAGACGTTGGCCCCTGCTCGGAATAGCCTTATCAGAAACACCAGCAAATGAAAGTCCCTCCGCATTTCAGTTATGCTCCCCATATCCCCCAACCGCCAAGACTACTCTTCCTTCATATATATATATATATATATGAAGTTAATTTTTGAAAAATTGAAAAACACAAAAAAGGTAGTTTTATAGCTATAACACAATTTTTTTTAAAAAAAAGCTTGTTCACTGGGTTAAAAACTGGATTACCCAGTGAAGAGTAAATAAAATTAATATGCTTATTTGGAATTAAGTGGCCAAAACATGAGTGGCTACACGACAATCATGTGTTGCATAATGACACTTTGGTTGACAAGAGACAACCAACATTTTTCAGCCCCATTTTTATCTTATGGAGTCACGCCTGTAGGATGGTGATCCCATCAGATTAAAATGGAGCTGAAAAATTCCTATTGCACAGAGACTTACCATTTCCTCACGGTTGTCTACAGTATTTAGAACAGTAACCTGCTGTGCAGGTTTGTAGCCCAGGAGCAATAGGCTATGCCATCTAGCCTAGGTGTGGAGTAGGCTCTACCATCCAGGTTTGTGTAAATCTACTTTGATGTTCACACAAAGACCCAGTTGTTACATGACACATGGTTGTGTTTTATTTAATGTGCTATCTAATTATATAGATTTATCCCAATTACAGCAGTTGCATGACCATGGGACCCTTGCAATAGATTTTTTCACTGTCATTCACCACACTGGCCCACATATACATGCCGATCAATGTCCTGAAAATTCCTCTGGGATCATGATCAGGAGATGCTGGCCCTGGTGGGGTCAGGTTAAGATTTCACGCTAAGTTTACTGTTGATAAAAATAAAGCTATTGCCTTTTTAGGGTCAGAAGTGGTTTGATTGATTACATCAGCCAGGGCCATGCACACTTATTATCAGGAGCTAATAAAACAGTCAAATAAGTTAAACATTTCTAAACAACAAGCTATAAATAATACTCTGGATAGCAAGGGTGTCCAATCTTTTGGCTTCCCTGGGCCACATTGGAAGAAGAATTGTCTTGGGCCACACATAAAATATAGTAATACTAATAATAGCTGATAAGCCAAAAAAATTGCAAAAAACAAATCTCAAAATGTTTAAAGAAACTTTCCAAATTTGTGTTAGGTCACATTCAAAGCCATCTTGGGCTGCATGAGACCCACAGGTCGCGGGTTGGACAAGCTTGCTGTATAACATTCGTCTCACCACTAGATATAAATTTAGGTGCTTAGGAAATAAACAAGATTACCAACTATCCTCGGTCCAGGTAAGGATTGCCCCTTCCAAGGGCTCAGAAAAACAGGGCTTGGTGACAGCATTCCAGAAAGAGGAAAAGTGGGATCAGTCCAGCCTGACTGGGGAGAGAAGGTGCCAGCCATTGTTATGGGAGGTGGGATGTGCGTCTGTGTGCTAACTAGGAGGCTAACTAGACCGGATAAACAAGAGTGCGGCAAAGCCTCCCTGCAAAGTATATTATGTCATCGTCACACATATAATTCTGATAACACACTAAATTCTCCTTTCAAATCTGACCCTTACAAGTACAGTACTAATGTTTTGGAAGTTTTATAATATAAAAATGTTTTATTCCAGTCATATTGGATTTCCATAATTTTGGTTCACCTTTACAGATGATGAGTTGACTTACATGTTTACATCTAGTAGCACAAGTAACATTAAGTTTATTTAATTATCTCAATTGGGAAATGGCATAGTCCATAAAAAAGGGTTATAATTGCATATCAAGTCATTACTTTCTATTTCAAACCATATTTTCCTTATCATTTCCTAGGTTTTATTTCATGCAGTGGTCATCAAAAAGTAGTGTTCATAAGAGAGACCCCAGATGTCTGTTAAGATATCAGTTCCCACGCCTGAGGATCTGATAAGGTAGATAAGACTCCAAATTTTGAATTTTTAACAGGATCCCCAAGTAATCTGACACAGGTACTCCTTGGACATCTCTTTGAGGAATACTGTTGTAAACTGTACACTCTATAACTCATAAATTTTAATGAGGAAAAGTCAATGGCATTTATTTGTATGGACACTAGCAAAGATGATTTCAGAATCACTTGAGAATTGCCGTTGATGTAGCTTGACCTTGACACGGCAATGAGCTAAACTGAACAGCCGTCAGCAGGCTGCCTCCAGGGCCAGTCCAGGCATGAGAGGGTCTTCCTGTCTTCTCTTACTGACTCACTAAACTTCACTTGCTTTTCATATGGCAGTAGAAAGTGTGTCTACTGGTACACAAGAGGCATCTAATGGGCCCTTTGCCATGAGACAATGAGGATTGACTGAGCTCCTGTATACCTTATATAAGATATTTAGCCCAGTGCCTAACACAGAGCACATGGTCAATAAATATTGCTATTGTTGTTATTACTTACTTTCCATTATTCCATTTAACACATTTCAGTAGCCAGCTATATTATTAGTCCATTCTCACACTGTTATAAAGAAATACCTGAGACTAGATAGTTTGTAAAGAAAACAGGTTTAATTGGCTCACAGTTCTGCAGGCTGACAGGAGGCACTGTGCCCTCTGCTTCTGGGGAGACCTCAGGAAGCTTCCAGTCACGGCGGAAGGTGAAGGGGAAGCAGGCTGGCTGGAGCAGAAGCAAGAGAGAGCGGGTGGAAGGTGATACGCTCATTTAAACAACCAGATCTCACTCACTATCACGAGAACAGCAAGGGGAAAATCTACCCCATGATCCAATAATCTCCCACCAGGCCCCACCTCCAACACTGGGGATTATAATTCGACATGAGATTTGGGTGGGGACATAGAGCCAAATGGTATCACTAGCCATGTGTCTTATCTGATCAGGCAAATTATACAGGTAAAAGGCATTGCAGACACAATGCTAGATTGTCAGTATCATTTAATACAATTAAGACCAAATGACCTCACGCTTGGTCTTCAATTTGCTCCTGTGGCTTAGTGGAAGAAGCACGGCCTTCTACCTTGAGCATTACACTTATGCTTATTTTTGCCAGTTTTTCTTTAATGCTGTCACCAGTAAAATATGATCATAAATAAAACAAGTAAAATGATGCATTTCTCCAAGAATCATCAAGGCTTCACTGATGCAATGTTTCTGAAAGCAGCTGGAAACATAGGGAACCTGCAAATTGTCAGGAGCAGCGCATTTTAACATCAGTCTCACCCATGGCCGAGCTTCCTTAATATCTCAATTGATTTAACTCTTCTCCCATATTCACAGGAATGAGATTCTTTTCTTGGCCAGAAGAAAATCACGACTTGCTAATATTAGTGTAAGCTTACACAGGCATACTCTCTGAGCTTCTGTACAGGCTCACAGAGACACCAAACAATAATCTCAATCTAAAAATGGCAGGAATGGGAAGTCCTGACAGGAAGAATAGGCAAGAATCATCATTGAGAAGGGGTTCCATCAGAAGCCAGCTGGGGAGAGTGCTGAGAGGAAGGCCAAAACTGTGCTTAACCCTTTGTATAATATGTTGATAAACTGATTCACTTATAAAACACGGTTTTTAAAATTCTCAATCTCTTAAATGGATGGTGGGAGAAATGTGTGTGTATCAGTATATCCATGTATCTACCTCTATTGAGATAGATTGATGAATAGGGTAGCTAGGCAGATAGACAAGTAAATAGATACAGATACATAGGTAGATAGATAGATAGGTAGATAGACAGACTGATTGATAGACAGATAGATGTTAAGTGTCTGAAGTAATTGTTGCACAGTGACTTCTGACCTCTCTCACAATTCTTTTTTCCGAACGTAATAAATTTTGTGGATATTAATTATCATCAAGCCATACCAAATTAAACATAATTGTCACTTGTATTCTGCATGCAGGGAAGCTAATTATTATGATATTATAACTTGGAATCATAAATGTTGTTATCTGTAGATATTTATGTATTGGATTTTCAATTAGATCTTTTTTTTCTCTCTCTCTCACACACACAAGTCATTCCATCTACTTACTACATTTTCTGCTTATAATGTTTCCAGCGAGGGCCCCTGCCTTTAGGAGGGGAGTGAAAGTTCTTACTGCCCTCTTGTAAATCCAGTATGAGGTGGCCTCTTCATATGGGAGCTGTGAGGCTGTGAGTTCCCCAACCCTTGCACGTGAGGTTTCCTTACTGTATTAGTCCATTCTCACACTGCTATAAAGAACTACCTGATGCTGGGTAATTTATAAAGAAAAGAGGCTTAATTGGCTCACAGTTCCACAGGCTGTACAGGAAGCATGGCTGGGAAACCTCAAGAAACTTACATTCATGATGGAAGGTGAAAGAGAGGGAAGCACGTCTTAACCATGGCAGAGCAGGACAGACAGAGAGTGAGGGGGAAAGTGCTACACAGTTTTAAACAACCAGATCTCTTGAGAACTCACTATTAAGAGAACATCAAGGGGGAAATCCAACCCCAAGATCCAATCACCTCCCACCAGGTCCCTCACTGGGACCCAACATTGGGAATTAAAATTGGATATGAGATTTGGGTGGGGACACAAATCCAAACCATATCACTTATGGGGGTCCTTTAGGGCTCAGGACTGCTGCACCCAGAACCTTCATGCCCACGCCACCCCTACCTCATGCCAGCCCAGCTATAGTGTGACCCTTTCAGGCCAACCTGCCTGTGCTGTTCTAATCTCCGTCATGGCCTGCAGCACTTTTGTAGCAATAGTGAATTAACACACTTGCATGTGTTAATTCTTGTAAATATTTCATTTGCACTTGAATATAGCATATATTCTGCCATTTGTTAAATGTTGTAGACACATACACATTAGGTATGTGAAGTTTTTTTGTTTGTTGGTTTTGTTTTGTTTTGTTTTGTTTAAGAGGTAGGGTCTCGCTCTGTGGCCCAGGCTGGAGTGCAGTGGTGCGATCTTGGCTCACTGCAGCCTTGACTTCCCTGGCTCAAGTGATCCTCTCACTTCAGCCTCCTCATAGCTAGGACCACAGGTGCACACCACCACTCCTAGCTAATTATTTTGTATGTTTTGTAGAGACAGGGTCTCAGTATGTTGCTGGTATGGAACTCCTGAGCTCTAGTAATCCTCCCATCTCAGCCCCCACAAAGCACTGGAATTACAGATGTGAGCCACCACGCCTGGCCCTGTGAAGTTTCTTAATAATTTTATGCAAATCTTCTGCATCTCCTAAATCAGATGTATCTTCCGTAACTGTGTGGTTCACACTCTCTACATCTTCTAAAATATTTATAGTTTTGTCTGCTCATAAGAAAGGCACATTGAACTCCCCTATTGTGGTTAGGGGTTTATTTATTTTTGCTCCTAATCATCTGTCAATTTTTGCATTACACACACTGAGACTACATTACCAGGGTCATGCACATTTAGAGAGGTGAGACTTGCCCAGTGTTAAATCTGTGTCATGGTAATAAGCTCCTCTTCACCTTTGCAGGGCTGTTCACTGTATAGTTTCCTTTAAGATCATAAAACTCTGTTAAGAAGAGATGCAGGCTCTACACCTATAACTTGAGTTTTGATGACACAGGCACAGACAACTCATCAAAGACAGAGGAGGCTGAAGGACCATCTGCCCACGCAGCAAGGAAGTATCTGGCCTGTCTGGAACTCCTGATATTCAAAGAGAAAAAAAAAAAAGATTTATACAAAAAGAAGAACATATTTTAAAAATGTATTATAAAATATAGAATAGAAAATTACGTATTTATTAAAATCATTTGTATTCCAACCCCCCAAAACATGGATTCTAGAAAAAGTAAGAAGATAAAACAACAGACTGAGTTTTTTTTTTAGAAAAAGCTAGAAGATCTAGAAAAAAAACACAAAATATGAAAACTGAAGAGTTTAAAATAGTATTAAGATCAACACTGTGGGAAAGAGAATCAGTGCTGTGGATGACAAATTTAAAAAATAGAAAATAGAATAAAATTACAAAACAATTAAAGTCATCAAAGAGAAATCAGAATATGAGTTGCATACACAAAGATTCAATATATTGATAAAATATATTTCTAAAGAGTTTCAAAGGGCAAATGAAGACAACCAACATAAAACAATAAACCAGAAGAAATCTTTTTGAATTTAAGGAAGACACAAATTTGCAGATTATTTTCCAGAGTGGGAAAAAATATAGCCAGGTGAAAGTATTGACTTTCACAAATGCAAATTCAAGCAAAGAAAACTAACCCAACAGATACTTTAATCCTGTTCAAACTCCTAGCAAGAAACTAGGAGACTATTTCTGATTTTCTGCGGGCTTTACCCATGAAGTGGTAATAGGATGTAGAGTTTATATGAATAAACAGCCAGCATGTAAATATATATGGCATTAGATATGCTTTTAAAATATATTTATTTTGTAAAACTGAAAAGGACCATTCATGAAATATTTTTTCATGAAAATATTTCACTCATGCTTACAACTGGATAGATATGAATCAAAGAAAAGCATAATGCATAAAATGTAGAGTATGAAAATTGGTCATTTAAAAAGCTGACTTACACAAACATGTTCTTCAACACATCTATCCTCTTGAAAATGCTCCAAGGGCACTCTATGCCACTAAAGCAATGCCACCACAGCACTTTGAGCATGTTCAGAAACATTGTGTCTGCAGCACCTAGTGATTAGATTTAAATCACAGGTACGTTAAAGTGGTCAGTGTTAAAATAAAAGACTATCACTCTAGTTTTAGGTAGGAAATCCGAGATCGATTGTACTGCAAAGTTTGAGTACAAAAGGGTTTCAAAATATTGGTTTGGAAATTGTTGCAGATAGGTGGGCCATTTTCCAAGAATTCCGTCATCAAATGAAGTGATGCTGTGTGTTGCTATTTCTAGTAGTTTGCTCTTAGGTCTTTAGGACCCCTGAGCCACAGGTAAGAAGTGCAGCTCCGCTCCTGCCCCCTGCTGTTTTCTCTCCCCACCTGGGTCACAGTCACATGAGTAAAGGTGCCATCTTGGATCTGCAGCCCCAGAAGACACCAGGGGAAGGAGAAGAACCACCTAGCTGTGCTCAGCCACATTGCAGGATCGTGAGAAATAATAAGGTGTTGTTGATTCAATCCACCGAAGCTTTGTACAGTTTGTTATTTGGGAATAGAGAGCTGAAAGATTCATATATTGTGTAACCCATAATCTGGAGTTTTATTGCATTAAGAGAGAATGCAAAAGAAACACAGATATTGAAATACAATAACCAGAGGAATAAGATTATAATAATTTTACCAATGCATTTTAATATAATCTTTACTAGTTTTTAAATTGCATTTAATTGATTAAAATTTTAAAATATCATATAAACATTAATTTAATATTTCAAAGAGAATGTGAAAAAATTACAGTATACTCACTGTATTTTTGTATTCAATTTTTTTTCAATTTATTCAGACAAAATCTTAATGTGCAACAAGAAATAACTGCAAGTAGCAGACTGAAGTCTCATTTTATATTACAATTTAAAATAATATGAAGTGATTAAAAAGTAAACCGACTAATTACACAAAGAACAAAATATAGATACTTTAAATAGCAGGAAAAAAATAGCAAGATTTATACATCTTAGTACCATAACTTGTACTTAAAGTTCATCTACATTTTAATATAGTTTGATACCAAATTAAACTAAGTGACAATTTTTAACCAAATTATTGAGAGTTCTTATGCACATAAGTAATTGAAAAAAATAAAATAAAATGTGTACTTGTTTAATGGCCAAAACAAAATGTCTTTAAGTTTTAGCCATTGTCAAAGACTATATAAGAATAAAAATTAGAATAAAATTTTAATGATATTCTGGATTAAAATATTATTTAAAGAAAATCACTTCTTTATTATGTAACAGATGAAATACTTTTTAAAAATTCCTGAGGGAATTCATTAGATACGTTACTGCAGAAGGAGTTTATAGACCCAAAATGTTTGAGAAGCCCTGGGCTAAAATTTTTAGTTAAAAATTCAAGCTTTTCTCATATTCATTTAGTGGGCAAATCTCCATTATTCCTCTTGCAACTATGTTTAAGAAACAGAAATATCACAGGGTAGATATTGGTGGGTAAGTAACAGGAAGCAACACCAGACGGAGT
The DNA here is from genome assembly GCF_000001405.40 of Homo sapiens. Taxonomy (NCBI): domain Eukaryota; kingdom Metazoa; phylum Chordata; class Mammalia; order Primates; family Hominidae; genus Homo; species Homo sapiens. The sequence continues at coordinate 3,827,844 of NC_000005.10, read as the reverse complement.
GCTTTTGATAAGACACCTGCCGGAGGCCAGCAGTCCGCACCCCCTAGCCACGTGCAGCTCTGCCGGCCGCCCCTGGCAGCTGCACAGTGCGGGCCCTTCCCAGGGCAGGCAAGCCCCAGCTCCTTAGCAAAAACATACCACACCCCCCGTTTCAAATAGGAGATATACTCACTATTAAATAAAAATCCAGTGAAAGAGACAGCAATGCCTTATTCCTCAGAAAAGCAATGAGACTTACAGGATCACAGGAGGGAATTCCTTAATGCTATCTTATGGGTCTCAAATACGTTTAGGTAAACATGCCTTTTCGAGGATCTGGACCGAACATAAAACACCATCACCCTTCTTTATATAGATGGCAAGGAAAAGAAAGAAAAAGGAAAAGAAAAAGAAAGGAGTAATGCAGAGAAAAAAAAAGTATGTTTAGCATGCAAGACTTTCCTTTGGGACAAAACTTCCTAACTTCATCCAAAAATCAGCACTACTGACTCTTTAAAAGGTCATGGAAGTGGGGAGAGGCCATGCTAAACAGGTGGTAAGGAAAACATGTTGCCACTTTTAAGGCTTCACCTAACATTGCACTGGAAAAAATAAAAATAAAAACAAGACTTTCAATAACATAAAAATCCTCTGGAACTGAATGTTTTAGAAAGAAAAGAGAATCCCTGATGGAACTGGAAGAGGGAGTCTTTCAACGCTAACAAAATCAGCTAATATCTCAAGGATGAAGTCAATAACTTCATTCTAATAAGACATTTGTCAGCCAAAGAAATCTGACCAAATTGCATCTCCCCTGCCTGCCTGCCATGAACTAATAGCTGAAGACCAATCCCCTGTCTGCGAGCTGCCCTCCTCACTCCTACAGAGCACCTCATTCAGGCGTGCTCAGTACCCTCAAAGCTCAGTGTGCCCCGTTTGGGTTTACCGTCTTTCTCAATTTACAATGCCAGCTTGTCTTTCTATTTCATTTGTACTCCAAGTTGGTAGGTATTTAATCTCTGGATCCAGATAAGAGGAGACAGAATATGAGGACCAGCTTTTAGTGGACTTGAATAGAAATCAGCTGACTTCTACTTTACCTAAAAACTCCACTTAAATATGAAGTTCAGAAAGGATCTTAAATACATAATCCATCTTATGAACCCTGCTTAGGACACTTCTATGTTTAGAAAGATTCCTTAGAATTTGGCACTTATATGGTGTGACTACGTGTGCTTTCCCTCAAGTCATGCATCAAATAGCATTATTTACATATTGAATTGGGGTCAACAAGTTGAATGTTTTGTTCCAAAAATGATGGGAAAAAGAATGCACCCCTCCTGACTCCCTATTTTGAAATGTTTACCCTTTCTGCATATCAAGACAAGAGCCACACAACAGAACACACTGGCTGAGTGTTCCCTGCTCTGTTTGGAATTCCCTGAACAAATCATACTGGTTTATAAAGGGGCAGTGATGTGTTCATCTCTGTGGAATTGTTTTCTGCCAGGCCAGACTCTCACGTAGCTCACGGTGGGGCTCCAGCAGGGTGATCTATGCACATTCAGTGCAATGCTTGTTTCCCTCAAATTCACTGGGATCTGCAGCCACAAATCATTTATTATCCTGAAGCCGTCTTTTTGGATGCATTATGTTGTGAGCTAACTAGGAAGAGCCCTTCCATTTCTATGGGCGAGCCGTGGACTGGTTCCCATTGTCAGAAGCTGCAGGGGATGAAAATACTTGGCATTGGCTCACACTCTGCTTGGGAAAGTGCTCAACATCCCAGCTCAGGAAACAATGCGAGAACAGTGAGCCATCATCTCAGCCACAAGATCTGCTCAGGTCCCCAAAGAGCCGAGAGTCTTACAGCACAGATGACAGAGTAGCCTGGGAAACGAGTTCCCAGGGAGCATTCATTTAGGAGAATTTCAATAGGGACCAAGATGGCTTGTTCCAATATGTGTAATTTTCTGTGTCTGCCATAACCCAAGTTCCCAGTCTACTAAAACTGTTTTCATACACATAGCATGGTCCAAAGAATTGATGTGTATGCAATTTTTTTTTACAAGAATAAAGCTAAACGCTTGAGAGAATGAGTTACTCGATAGGAATGCTCTTGGAGAACTTTTAATCCATCTGGATCATGGAATGCTACAAACGTGTGACAAATGTATGGAAGAACTTGAGAATGGTTTGTATTGTCAAAGGCATGCCTAATATCTAGGAAAGACTGAGGCATAGGCAGGTTTCAAAGACCTGAATTCAGTTACGACTGATAAACATGATCACTTAATACCAGAAAACAAAATGATCTCTGCATTTCCTACTTTATAATGAACGATTCCATTACTGCTAAAGTTATTTTTGTAGAATGCATCTGGAGTGCATCTTATCACAAAGTGAGTGTTTTTAACGGGGAACTGTGAAGGAGGCAGCCAGCAGAGCCTGAGGGGACTTCACGTGGACGCATGTGGACGGCTGTCCTGGGAGACTCTGTCCCGCAACTCAGTCTTGAATTTGCATAAACCCAGTTGCTCCCGTGGACCTGGTGGTTTATGTTTGTTTTCTGGGGATGCCATAACAAATTATCACCAACTTGGTGGTTTAAAATAACAGAAATGTATTCTGTCACAGTGCTGGAGGGTGAAGGCCAAAACCAAGGTGTCCTCAAGACTGAGCTCCCTCCAAGGCTTCAACAGAGGATCCTTGCTTTTCCCAGATCCTGGTGGCTCCAGGTGTTCCTTGACTTGCGGTAGGACAAGTCCAATCTCTGTCTTCACATGGAGCACTCCCTGTGTGGGTGTCTGTGCATAGGGGCATCTGTTGTATTGTATTAGAACACAACCCAGTGACCTCATCTTAAGTCATCACATCTGCAAAGACTTTATTTCCAAATGAGGTCACATTCTGAGGTCCCGGGCATTAGGATTCTGACATTTCTTTCTGGTGGTGGGTGCACAATTCCAACCGTAACACTATGAATGTCTGCTGTAGGAACTGCTCCTCAGTTACTGCCTCTGAAGTAACATAGTTAAGGGGAAATTACCCAATTATTGTACAGCTGCTATTTTCACATAATTATTAAGTCACCCCCCAACCTGAAGCCAAACTCAAACGGTGCAGGGCGGGCAGGAGGGCCCTCCAGGGTTTCTGCATCTCCATCCACATCCTCAGTTAACAGTGGCCTCCCACAACTCCTAGCTCACCCATCCACCTTGAAACCCCACATACAGGAAGTTTTTCCTTCCCCTGCACATGTGGCCATCATGGAGAAAATAGTGAGGGAAAATAACCTAAAATTAGGGGACAGAAGAGCTCAGCCAGGAGCACACACAGCATTTCTGTGAACAGCTCGCCTGGGTCCTGTTCCTCCATGCAAGTTGTCAGTAATAGGTAGTGGACACCCTCACCAGCCTCAAATTCTACAAAGATCCTATGCCTTGGGCCACCTTAACGTAATCAGTGTTATGTTTACATTACCACATACTGTCAATGTATGTTTTGGTGCTTGTGTAAGAATTATATTTTATCTCCCAGAAAACATGTATTCAATAGATAAATGGTTCTATGTTTGCAAGTCTCTCTCTTTTATGAAGTGAATGTTGAACAAGAAGGGTGCGTGCATTATTTCACTTGACTTTAGATGCTTTAAGTGCATGATATGTATTTGTCAAATATGACTACATTTTTAATGTAGACTAACATTTTTAATGCTTTTTTTTCTGTCTTCATACTTGACACACATTTCTGCTTGTGTGAAAACAGAAAAAAAAATTAGAAACTGATTCTGAGTTTGCTACAATTTCTCTTTCAGCACAGATTTACCAGGAATTAGACTTTATTTTAATATTTTTAAAATTACAGAATTATCTTGAATGCTGAGTTCCTGTCTGATATCGTTAGAGTAATTCGTGTTAATGTTTTTTGATGTTACATAATGCAACTCTTCCAATTAATCAATTTAAATGGTGGTGATTTCACCAGTGCTTTGATTTTAGAAGATAAGATTAAAAAATTCAATAAAAACTAAAAGCTACTGACCTGATATATAGGAGAGACATTTAGCTGCTTTTCTTCTGGTAGAGTATAAAAAGCTAAAGTTTCTATGTAATAAATCCTATGTGGAATTAATTTAGAAAAGAATGTGCTGCTTTGGGGACTCTTAGAATATTTAATTTATTTAAAATAATAAACATGAGATGGAGAGTCGTCCAGAGCGAAGGACGAATGGATTACTAAACATAGCCCTCAAATGTGGATCTAGCATGGCCGGCACTGGAGCCCCCTCTAGAAAAACCATCATTGCACTCAGGATGAAGGAGGAGGCGTTTCTTTCCAACCCACAGTGGCACTCTCAGTGCTTGGGAAGCTCACATACCTCTTTACCGTATTGCAGTATTTGAAATGTGGGGGCTCAGAGAGATCGTGCCTATTGTCTCTTGTGGCTTTAACGTGTGTCTTGTTTCGGGGACAGTGCAGTTGTCCCTCAGCACAGCCCTCAGAAGGTCAGGACACGCGCTCCTCTCCCCACAGGTTGATCGGGGTCCTACCCACTGCTTTAGCCCCATGTGCACATACTCTAGAAAACGGCGGCCCAGACACCCCAAGTGTAACTACACACAGAATGTTTTACTTGAACCAACATTTCAAAATAAACAAGCCAGTTATTCCCAGCATGGTTAGGCGTTGCTTAACGTTGTCCATTGGATCTTGGAAACTGCGACTTTAAGCAAAACAACATAGAATGAAACGAATTTTTCCATAGGCTAGGTGACATAAACAAGAGTTCAGTTTCTAAGATCATGTTTCTGGTCACAGAAACATCACCAAATGGCTAAGTAAAAGCCCCAAACACGTCTAATATTAAACATTGAAATAAATGTGAGCAATGCATACATTTAAGAAAGATTAATAAAAACAAGTGAGATCATTGTTTACATGCTTGTTCCAGTTCAGGGTCATGGGTGGCAGGAGCCCGTTCTGGCAGCTCAGGTACAAGGCTGACACCAGCCTGGACAGACGCCGTCCCGTGGCAGGGTCACCACCAGCACCGACACTCACTCACACTGGGGCCATGAGACTCCCATGAACGGAACCTGCACAGCTTTGGAATTAGAGAGGGAACCGAACGACTCAGAGAAAACCCATGCCGACCCAGGGAGAACCTGCAAACCACACACAGCGCCGGTCGGGGATGGATTTTGTTTCTTATCAATATTGTAAAGAAACCACGTTGAGCAGAACGGCATCACTGGAGGACCTGCTGTATATCCGCATGGTCTCTATCTGTTTCAAATGCCAGAGAACTGATCTCAGTGGCAACACAGTCTGCGCCTGGATTGCCATTACACAGTCCATCCGAACTGTGGGCAGGTTTGCCTGCTCTTTAGAAGTTGTTTTAACCCTCAAATCAATACTCCAGGCACCTTCCTGACACTTGGGGACATGTTCATGTGCAGAGTAGTGACAAATGTGAGTCACCTGACTGGCACGTCCCCAGACGAAGCCGAAGACCTCACTCTGACTTCCTGTTTCAGCTCATCCCATAAAGACAGGCCCTTTCTGCCATCTTTGGTGCATAATGTTTACATTTTTGTGTCAATGAATCAACAATATTCAATGAGGTACCCTTAAACAGAAACACACATAAATTGAGGTTATGTATTAATAGGTTGACAAACATGTTGTGACCAGAGAGTCACAGGCACTTACCCCTATGCTTCTCCGAGGAGCAGTGACTCAGGACGCACTGATTTGAGGTCCACAGTGGCCTTCTAGAGCATAAGTACCACAGAAAACGAGATGAAACCTATTTGTTCAGTGCCCTTCCTGTGTGTCACCCCCCTCCACAATGCCCTCCTCCATTCCTAAAAGAGCCCAGGTCTCCTTGGTTTAAAACAGTGTTGGACACACACCAGGTGTCAACGAACAGCGGGCTTACTGGTACCTTCACCAACTAAAATTCAGAAAACACTCCTAGAGACGATTTTACCATCTAAAACTGTATAAAGGGGATGGCAGGAGACATTCTGAAATTGGTTTTCTCTCTTATTTCCCCCAAAGTGTGAACTTGATTTTCAGCCTGTGAGGGAAGGCCTTGCTGCTGTTCCAGTCCCCCAGGGCACAGGTGAGCAGGTGCAGGGTCCCTCAAAGGCCAGCCATGTTTGAAAGGTCCAGCATTGCACCGAGGGCACAGTGCTTGGGGATGTGGGGCTCCATCGAAACACATTTCAGTGAATTCCTGAATTATTGTAAACTTGAGGTTTCTGTCACATTGAAATTTTAAAATCATTTTTATTATACAATCCTGAGGCCATTCAGAAAAGACAGAGCAATGCGTGACAGCACACCTGACATCTGTCCAGTAAATAATTTGAGTGGGAAGATTTATAGGAAAAAAACCCGCTCTTATATCACTGAAATAGTTTCTATGTATTGTCCTTGGTCTCTTTTCTTTACTTTTCCTTCTTAGATGGTGACGTCTTGGAAGTTTCTGGGGCACCTCTGGGCATGGTTCCTGAAGTGTCACCTGAGAAAGACAAGGGACACCTGCAGCTGCACAGTTCATCCGAGAAAGCAAATGTGCTCAAGCCATGAATGGTAAAGTGCAGAAAAGGGTAATGAAATACATGTGAGACCCATGCCCTTGATTCACCGTTCTCTGATCTAACATGGGCATCAGGCAGGCACACCAACCAAATGCGTCTGTCTGTCTCCACGCACACATTATGCAGCTCGTGCTGTTACAAGGTCAGCTTAATCCTGTGCTTCCCACACGGGAGTCCTTTTATTTCTTCTTTTTTTTCTTTTTTCTTCTCTCTTTTTTTTTTTTTTTTGGAGATGGAGTCTTACTCTGTGGCCCAGGCTGGAGTGCAATGGCGTGATCTCAGCTCATTGCAACCTCCGCCTCCTGGATTCAAGCAATTCTCCTGTCTTAGCTTCTTGAGTAACTGGGACTGCAGGTGCCCGCCACCACACCTGGCTAAGTTTTGTATTTTTAGTAGAGACAGGGTTTCACCATGTTGGCCAGGCTGGTCTCGAACTCCTGACCTCAGATGATCCAACCATCTCGGCCTCCCAAAGTGCTGGGATTACAGGCGTGAATCACCACACCCAGCTGAGTTCTTTCACTTCTCAATGCTAACCCTCAGCAAACCAACACTTAACTTTGGAGGAGAATACCTTGAAGGGTTTAAAGGGGAGAAATTGCTCCTTAACTTTTGGATGGGCAGGTTTCTTTGAGGATTGCCTGGGCTGTAGAGACCTGACTACCTCCCCAGAACACGGAACAAACTTTCAGATCGTCTCAGATGCACAAGTCCCTGTGGAGTTTGCCAAGACCTTCGCCGGGCTGCACGGCAACTCAGCCTCTCCCTGCCCAATGCTGTCCCTTCCCCTCCAGGCAACAGGCATGAACCCCACTGCACCCCTAGCTATCTCTCCTGTGTGCCAGTTTTTGAATCTACCATGCTGCTCTGCACACACATTTGCATACATCTGTCTCAACTCTGTCCCTAGTCCAGGAACCTGGAACATGCTCTTTCTATTATTATTATTATTTATTTATTTATTTATTTATTTATTTTGAGATGGAGTCTCGCACTGTTGCCCAGGCTGGAGTGCAGTGGCCTGATCTCGGCTCACTGCAAGCTCTGCCTCCCAGGTTCATGCCATTCTCCTGCCTCAGCCTCCCGAGTAGCCGGGACTACAGGTGCCCGCCACCGCGCCCGGCTAATTTTTTTGTATTTTTAGTAGAGACGGGGTTTCACCGTATTAGCCAGGATGGTCTCGATCTCCTGACCTCGTGATCCACCCGCCTCGGCCTCCCAAAGTGCTGGGATTACAGGTATGAGCCACTGCGCCTGGCCTGGAGCATGCTTTTTCTAAAATGAAGATCTGATTCAGGGCTCACAGTGACTCCACAGAGCATAAGTACCATGAATAATGAGAAGCAACTTAATTGTTCATTGTCAGGCCAATGCTGTATCTATAATGTAGATCTCATTTGTTTTTTCTTCTCCTTTCTTCAAATAAAAACTGTTGTGGAAGCACCGGTGTTTCTGCAGATTTTAGGTCAGTTGGTTGTCTGTCGTAAGACGTCAGTTCTGAGACGGGAACACTAAAATTATGTTTTGTGAGATTATCTAGCTTTTCCTTATTTATGAGTGGGAGCAACAATCCTTCCAGCTTTTTATCTCCCTGGCAGAAGCCAGAAGTCACCAATCCAATTTTAGAACAGTAAGATGACAGGGAGGGAGTGACTTGTTCTACCAGCTATCAAGGCACATCAACAAGCTACTAAGATAGCAACAATGACATTTCGCGGGCTAATAGACACATGAAAAGAAGGGACTAGAGAGGACAAGAGGACCCAAACATATCCAAAGCTGGGGTTGGAGGTAATCACCATTTCAAAGCACAAGAGGAACAGAAAGACTGGGTAGTGCACATCAGCAGAGGAAGCAGGGACAGCCAGCCATCCATCATCCTAAAGCCCACCTGTTTCATACCACAAATAAAATGGAAGGGAAGCACTGAGTCCCAGATCCGAAAAAACAAGCCTGAAATACATACAAGCAAATAAAACATTATCTTCACAGTCATAGATTGAAGAGATCTTTCAATCAAGTTCTAAAAAAAAAAAGAAAGATAAAAAATTATAACCACATCAAAATTAAAAATTCCTCTGTGACAAGACACCTTAAAGTCAAGGAACAGCTGGGGAGAGGTTAGGGATGTTTCAAGCGTAACAAAGAATGTGCCCTCAATTGACTAATAGCTTAGGAAATATACCTCTCACCATAAGTAGATGGGCACACGCCCATAGGAAAAACGGACAAAATACACTTTCTAACAAATTTGCAGAATAATAAGGCGCATACACCCAATGCACACATGACCAATGTAAATATAGAAGGAAATCCAGCCTCATTAGCAAGCAGAGAAGCATTAACTATAATGAGGAAGGGTGCATTTCCCCTCATCATATTGCAATAGAGGAGTCACGTTGACACCACTGTGCGTTACAGGAAGTAGCTGCTCCCACGGTGCGGCTGGGAGGACAGGTTTCACAACCACAGGGCATGTGGGTCTGCACCCCTGCCCATCAGAACCACTCACCACTGTCCTTTGCCAATTGATGAGTGTTTTGCTCCTTCCCACTGGTGTTGGACCGGGCCATGTATCTTATCTCCTGATTGGAATCAGGCTCAAGTCACAGGGACATTGACAGTCTCCCTGCCCCTCTGCCACGTGTAGGAGAGTCCACAAGAACAGCCTGTTATGTGGCCATGACCAGTGAATTCTGAACCACAAAGTGTAGACGCTGAAGCAAATCTGAATCCATCCATGCACAGCCAAGACTCCTCACTGCTGCCAACCTGCAGATGCGCCAGCATGGCAATTCACGTGTGCTCTTATAAGTGTCTCATGCTTTGAGGTTGTCTGTTACCAATAATATTGAAGCATAAACACAAATCCAGCCACCTTGGAAATACTCTGGCAGTTTCTACTAAAATTACAGTTGTACATTCCCTATAATCCATCAATTCTGCTTTGGCTATATTACAGAAATATTCAAATCTGTATTATCTGAAAAAATATATATGAAGTGATTGAATAATCATTTTGGGAGAAGGGTGAATAGAGGGTGATATATTCATAAGATAAAAGAAGACATAAGATTCATATGTTACAAATATGGAAAGATCTTTAAAAGCATACCATTGTATGCAAAAGCAAACTGCAGTCATAAATATAGTGTAACGCTGTTTATGTTCAAAAACACAAATCAGGCTGGGCGTGGTGGCTCATGCCTGTAATCCCAGCACTTTGGGAGGCCGAGGCAGGATGATCAGGAGGTCAAGAGATTGAGACCATCTTGGCCAACATGGTGAAACCGTGTCTCTACTAAAAATACAAAATTTGGCTGGGCGTGGTGGCGCGTGCCTGTCATTCCAGCTACTCGGGTCGCTGAGGCAGGAGAATCACTTGAACTCAGGAAGTGGAGGTTGTAGTGAGCCGAGATGATGCCACTGCACTCCAGTCTGGAAAAAGAGCGAGACTCCGTCCAAAAAAAAAAAAAAAGAAAAAGAAAAAAAAAAAAAAACACAAATCAATGCTCTCAATTTTTCATGAATGTGTATATAAAAGCATTAAAAATGGTGTGGCTACCTGTAATGGTAGATACATTTGGAAACAGGTAGAGTGAACCAGATTTTTGGGAGTGATCAAAGAGTATTTAAAGTACCTCTATTGTCCCAATTTCTCCAAAAGTAATAATATTTATATATTATTATAAGTATATACATTGAATATATGTGGAAAAGTTTGAAAGTGAATTTGTCCAAAATTATAACTGTTTAATTTTCTGAGGTAGAAATTCAGATAGATAGATTGATAGACAGATAGAAGATAGATAGGTGATAGATAGATAGATACATAGAAGAAAGATTAGATAGATAGATAGATAGATGATAGATAGATAGATAGATAGATAGATAGATAGATAGATGATAGATAGATAGACAGATAGACAGATAGGTAGTTCTGGCATCCTGAATCACTAGACATTTCTTCCACAACATAGCATGCTTTGAAGTAAGGAAATGAAAAGACTGTATGTCAAGAATTATTTGCTCACATGAAGGCAGCATGGCTGTGGCATTAGCATGGATGCTTGCGGATGGAACAATGCAGAAGAGAGTAAGAGAAGGGAGACCCGGGAAGGAGAAGAAATGTTGTTGGAGAAATGTTCTTGACAAGGAGAGAGGGGCGAGGTCTAGGGCACAGACAGAGTTTGCCGCCCATGAAGGACAGACCCACTGCTCTTCATGACATCAAAGAAAGGGAAACGGGATGGAAGGGCCACTCTCCAAGACAATCCTCTTTCCAGTGAGTACCAAGCCACAGATAAGATGATTAAGTATTTAACACTGTCATTCTGTATACAGGTAAGAAGGGCATGAAAGTGCCTGAGAAAGAGCCACCAGCTCCCCATCCGTCTGAGCCCAACAGCCCCAAAACCCCAACGCTGGCTTCTCCTGATCCCTCTGCTGCCTGCAGAAGCTCTTCCATTATAATTATTACTATTATTGTTAATAGTATTATACATTAAATTACAATACACATTCTAATTGTACTGCAATTTATTATAAATATATGTTAATAGCTGTTAAATAATACTATTTAAAACTATTTCTAGGCCAGGCATGGTGGCTTATGCCTGTAATTCCAGCACTTTGGGAGGCCAAGCCAGGTGGATCACAAGGTCAGGAGTTCGAGACCAGCCTGACCAACATGGTGAAACCCTGTCTCTACTAAAAATACAGAAATTAGCCAGGCATGGTGGCATGTGCCTGTAATCCCAGCTACTCAGGAGGCGAAGGCAGGAGAATCACTTGAACCCAGGAGGCAGAGGTTGCAGTGAGCCGAGATCGTGCTACTGTACTTCAGCCTGGGACACAGAGCAAGACTCCATTTCAAAAAAAACAAAAACAAAACAAAACAAAAACAAAACTATTTCTAGTTTCCTAACATTTACTCTAGAAAAATATGGTGATGGGCTCTTACAGGTCTAACAGGCAGATCCTTCCTCCTGCCCAGTGTCTATGATATAGATTAAAGCCAAATTATTAATTCATCCACTTCAGTTATAAATTACAAACATTCAGCTTTATTGTTTTCTGTTGCACATTAAACTTTTATCACCAGCATATTAGAATAAAAGGTTCTTAGGGAAGAGGATAATATCCCATACGGTTTACCCCATTGCCAAAGTCACAAATAGGAACTTTTTGAACATTTAATAAATATGTTTTTTTACTCTGTGATACTTTTATGCTCAATAGGAGGGGAAAAGCTCAATGGAATTAGTTAAGCATTTTATATGGTTTCATCTCAAATGACTTAGTCATTTCTGCATGTCATTGGTTTCGATTCCTTCCAAGATCCATACTGCTTAATAGATTGTGAAAGGAGACAGATTAGAAAATATCACACGTGGTAATATTTATGCTGTAGGGATAAAATATTATATATTATTTGTAAATCTGAACTGTTTCAACCCAGATTCAGATTCAAGTCTCTGTAGATAAGCCTGTCTCTGTGCTCAGTGTTCTCCCATGAAGGAAGCACTTTATAAAGATCTAGTCACACTCTGGAGACCTCTCATTCACAGTCCATTAAAGACAACCAAAAAGTGTATCCAGGCAGACTTCAGAGTGTCTGTTTGCATGATGACAAATTTCCAGTTTAAAAAACAATTTTTATTTCATCTGCTATGAACTAAATTATGCCCCCTCCCACCATTCATATGTTGAAATCCTAACTCCAGATGTGAGGATATTTGGATATGGAGCCTTTGGGAGGTGATTAGACAAAGATGAGGTCATGAAGGTGTAGCCTTTATGATGCGATTTGTGTCCTTGTCAGAAGAGACATGAGAGAGCTGTCTCTCTGATTAGTGCTCTCTCTCTCTCTTTGTCTCTTTCTGGCTGGCTCTCTGGCTCTCTGTTTCTCAGCCACATGAGGACGTGAGGAAAGGACAGCATCTACAAGCCAGGAAGGACATTCGTGTTGAGAAACAAATGACCTGGAAGGTGATTCAGAGATCATCAGGGCACCTGGCTCAGTGCTTTCACCTGTAGCTGTGGGTGTGGGATTCCCCAGCAGAGCCTTGGGGGCAGGACCTCACCTGCAGTGCTAGTGGACCTAGAGGACAGAATATTGAACCAGGGAGGATCACCCTCAAGTCTTAAAATCTGACAGAATTTGCCTTATTGTTTTAGACTTGCCTGGGACCCATCGCTCCTTCCTTCTTTCCTACTCTCATTTGGAATGAAAATACCTAGCCTATGCCTGGCTCATCATTGTATTTTGGAAGCACATAATGTGTAAGGTTTCACATGTTCACAGCTGGAGAGAAAGTTTTCTATAGAATGAATTGTATGTGGAGTCTCACCCATACGATTTAGGTATTTAGATGGACCTTAGACTTTAGAGTTGACGCTAGAACATGTTAAAACCTTGGGGTCTGTTGAAATGGAATGAATGTATGGTGCAGATGAGAAGGACATGCATTTTGGTGGACCAAGGGTCAAATGCTATGGGCAGAATTGCTTTCCACCCAAACATATATGTTGAAGTCCTAACTACAAATGTGATGGTATTTGGAGATTGGGCCTTTGGGAGGTAATTAATATTAGATAAGGTCCTGAGAGTGCGGTCTTCTTGACGGAACTGGTGTCCTTACTTGAAGAGACCAGAGAGCTTTTTTGCTGTCTCTCTCCATCATGTGAAGACACAGCCAAAAATTGACTGTCTGAAAGCCAGAAAGAGAACCCTCCCCAGCAGCCAACTATGCTGAGCCCCTGATCTGGGACTTCCAGCCTCTAATATTTTTGTTAGATTTTTGTTGTTTCACTCACCTGGTCTATAGCATTTTGTTATGGAAATCTGGGCATACTAGGACACCTTCATATGGCCAGCAATATGGAGTTCATCACATTTTAGATGTTAGCCATTCTGAGACATCGGGACTCTGGAGATTCACGAAGCATCACGGCAGTGACAATGTGGCGTTTTTTATTGCTGTTGTTGTTTTGTTTTGTTTTTAAAAGAAAACATTATTTTGAGGGACTGGAACAACAGTTTTAACTTTAATTTGGATAGTAGACATAGTCCAACCTTCCCCTTACCCAAACATTCCAGAAGCTTATTTTGAATAAAGTCAATTATTCAAAGATGACTGACTGTTTTCCTACTAACTTTATCAATCTAGGATCGGGGGTGAAATTTCTGAAAGTGTTTTTTTCCCACTGAAAAGATAACATTTCATCCAAATAAAACATATGGTTTAATGACAGCTTGAACCTTAAAACATTTCTATTTTAATTTTAAAAAGTGTCAAAAATGTCACGGTGCTGTAATGAAATAAAAGGCAGTGAAGATCTTTTTCCCATGGTCTTACAGTGATGAAACCATATGTGAAGCCTCCTTTCCATCCGATGCCGGGGCTAGTAAAAGATCTGCTCTTGATCATCAGGTTTTACACATGAAAGACTTCGACTCTCTCCATGCCCAAGATGAGCACAGAATACTAATTTGGATCCACATGAGACACTATAGAAATAAATCCTTCATTTTAAACTGTTGGTAACCCATTTTTCTAGGGCTCTATCTAGGGCTCTATAATTACTACTAAATCTACTGAGAAAGTACCCTATGTGGCTATTGTTAAAAAGCCTCAAGGGTGTGCATGATAATCTGCATTTACTAGAGGAACCTTCTCTGCCTTAATAACAACACATTTCATCAAATGCTGATTTCAGAGCATCTGCTACCGTACCATTAGAGAGAAAGATCTGGGCCCATTGTCTGAGTGCAGCAGGCCTGGGCATGTTGCATGTCTCCCCAACTTTATGATAACTTAGCCCAGCTCAGGTAAAGGTCAGGAGGAGTAAATGAAAATTGCCTGGGGATGGACCCTGCAGCACTGAACAATGCACACACCATAAAGCCACTCCTGGGTTTCCCTGACCATTCTGTGTGTGACCCAGCATGTGCTAGGCCCTCAATTTAGAGCTGTAGGGTATGGGACATTCTGCCAGGAGCAACCACTAGAGGATGTGGATTTGGTTTGCAGTTCAGGGACTGCATTTGGAAAATTCTTTCTCAGGACAGCAGAACTTGATGAAGCCCAGATCAAACTCATTACCTTCTTTGCCAGTGGTCTCCTTGACTTCTCCGTTAGTTAAAAGCATGGTAATCAGCAGTGACTCAAGATGAGAGTCCATCCTCCTCTGCCTCCTCTCTCTCCCTCATGTTCCCATTCCACTGGGATCACAGCCTCCCTCTCACTGCCATACCATCCCACAGCACCTCTCCAGCCTCACCCACTCCCATCCTGCCTCCCCACAGCCCTGCCAGCCCTCCTCAGCTCCCCCTGCCAGCCCTTCCAGACGAGCCCTCCTCATGCCAGGCCAAACACCTCTCCTCCTCTTCTCCCTGGTCCCACCCCACAGCAAAGCCTTCTACAGTCTGGCATGTCTGGGTTTTCTCCCACCACAGATGGCACATATTCTGTGCTCCAGCCAGATTGGAATTTTACTAATAATGATCATAACTAACCTTCATGGAGGACCTACTGAGGGCAGGTGCTTTTCAAACATTTCATATGCACCATCTCATCTAATGGTAGATTCAAACAATCCCATGAGGTAGGCCCTTTACAACAGACTGGTGAGAGAACAGAGGCCCTAGAACTAAATACTCACATTGTGTTGCTCATTTTGTAAAGGTGACTCAGAGTACTCATCCACAGTTCCCCCTCCCTCTCTTTTCCTGGTGAAATCTTCATTGCCTGTATTTATTGAAACGGATGGGCAGAGCTCTATGGCACAGGGGCCATGAGGCAGATCTTGGTGTATAAGGGCAGGAGCACGTGACAGCATCCCCACACCATCTGGCTCTGCTTCCAATAGCTACTCCCCAGAACATGCTCTCCTGTCTCTACTCTCATACCTTTGTGGGGTTTTTGTTTTGTTTTATTTTTTTGGTTGGTTATGCTTACACTTTATTTATTGCAGCAGTAATAATTTCACAGCAAAATTGAAAATATAGAGATTTTCCATATACCTCCTACCCCCCTGATATGGTTTGGCTGTGTCCCTGTCCAAATCTCATCTTGAATTTTAGCTCCCATAATTCCCACATATCATTGGAGGAACCTGGTGTAAGGTTCACGGGGGTGGGTTTTCCCATGCTGTTCCTGTGATAGTGAATAAGTCTCAGGAGATCTGATGGTTTTATAAAGGGCAGTTCCCCTGCACACACTCTCTTGCCTGCTGCCATGTAAAACATGCCTTTGCTCTTCCTTTGCCTTCCACCATGATTTTAAGGCCTCCCCAGCCATGTGGGACTGTGAGTCCATTAAACCTCTTTATATATATAAAAATTACCCAGTCTTGGGTATTTCTTCATAGCAGTATGAAAATGAACTAATACACCCCCACATGCACAGCCTCCCCCATTATGAGCATCCCCCACCAGAGTGGTTCATTAGTTACAATCAATGAACCCATATTGTTACATCAGTCACCTAGAGTCCACAGCTACATCAGGGCTCACTCTTGGTGGTGTATATACTATGGATTTTGATAAATATATCATGACATGTATTCATCATTATCAATTCATGCAGAATAATTTCACTGCCCTAAAAATCACCTGAGCTCCCCCAACTCATCCCTCCCTTCCCCCAACCCCTGACAACCACTGACCTTGCTACTGTCTCCATAGTTTCATCTTTTCCAGGACGTGATATAATTGGAACCATACAGTAGGTAGCCTTTTTGGATTGATGATTTTTCACTTAAGTAATATGTTTTTAAGTTTCCTTATGTCTTTTTGTGGCTTGATTGCTCATTTTTTCAAGTGCTGACCAAAGTTCCATTGTCTGGATATACCCAAGTTTATGTATTCACTTACCTACTGGAGACATCTTGATTGTTTTCAAGTTTGGGCAATTGTGAATAAAGCTACTGTAAACATTTGTGTGCAGGTTTTTGTGTGGACATGTTTTCAACTCCTTTGGGTAAATACCAAGGAGCATGACTGATGGATCGTGAGGTAATAGTATGTTTGATTTTATAAAGAACTGCCAATCTGTCCTCCCAAGTGGCTGTACCATTTTGCATTCCCACCAGCAATGAATGAGAGTTCCTGCAGTTCCACACCTGCTGTGAGTGTTCTGGGTTTTGGTTGTACATTGGTCTGAAGTAGTGTCTTGCTGTTGTTGTTTTAATTTGCATTTTTCTAATAACCTAGGAGGTAGAGCATCACTGTATAAGCTTATTTGCCATCTGTATATCTTCCATATTTTATTTTCTGACTATATTCATGTGGGCTCTCTATTCTGCTCTATTAATCTATTTATTTATTATTTTACCAATACCACATTGTCTTGAAGTCATGTAATGTCAGTCCTCCAGCTTTGCTTTTCTTCTTCAATACTGGATTGGCTATTCTTAATCTTTTGTCTCTTCAAATAAACTTTAAAATCAGTTTTTGATATCTACACAGTAACTTACTAAAATTTTGATCAGTGTTTAATTGAATCTATAAATCAAACTGGGAAGAACTGATCTGTTGAGTTTTTCTATTCATAAACATAGAATACCTCCCTATTTAATTTATTTAGTTCCTTTTGTTTGTTTGTTTGTTTCATTTTTTGTTTTTTCTTTTGAGATGGAGTCTTGTTCTTGTTGCCCAGGCTGAAGTGCAATGGCGCGATCTCGGCTCACTGCAACCTCCGCCTCCTGGGTTCAAACTATTCTCTTGCCTCAGTCTCCTGAGTAACTGGGATTACAGGTGCCCACCACCACGCCTGGCTAATTTTTGTACTTTTAGTAGAGACGGTGTTTTGCCATGTTTGCCAGGCTGGTCTCGAACTCCTGACCTCAGGTGATCTGCCCGCCTCAGCCTCCCAAAGTGTATTTAGTTCTTAATTAATGTCTTTGATGAGAGTTTGTAGTTTTTCTTATATAGATCTTGTACCTATTGTGTTAGAGTTTTACCTAAGTATTTTATTTGGGGAGGTGCTAATGTAAATGGTATTGTGTTTTTAATTTCAAATTCTACTTGTTCATTGCTATACATCTTAGTGGGGTTTTTTTGTCTTTATCAATAAACCGTGATCTCAAAAGTGGGGTGTTCAAGCACTATGGGACACTCATGAGATTAAAGCAGCAGAGTAGAAAGAGAATACGATCACTTTCAATTGTATTCATTTTCACTTTTTTTATTTAGGATAGATAGATAGTCACATCTCATGTATTATGCAGAAACACATAAACACACATACACATCCATGGGGATTCTAAATTTTTCTACTAATGCAGATGTGGGACCAAAAGTGTTTAGAGGACACTAGCCTAAGACAAGTCTTGAATGTTTTCCCTGATGAAGTTTTTGTTTTCTACTAAGATTCATCCTAATGTTCATATGCCTTGCCTATCCACCTAGATAAATGTGAGTGTTCCTTCTATAGGATTTTGCTTATTCTGGTGGATTGTGATGATATTTTGGTTTGCGTGTATGAACTTGTCATGGTCTTCCAGTCCTACTGTTGCAGACTGTCTGGACGTTTAGGGAACAGGCTCTCTGGCCTCTGCTCACAGCTGATGTCCATCCCCAGGCCACCCTGTGGGTAGGTGTGTCCATGAGCACTGCCTGGTGGAATGTGGGCAGATACGATGTGTACTGCAGCCATGCTCAATCCAGGGAAAGTTCCCACATTAACTCCCACACTCACTCTTCACTTTCTTCTGGTTAAATGCAAAGTATGAAAGCCCATCTAAGGCCTTGAGAAGTGGTAGAGCCACCGGATAAAGAGTAGCTGCCACCTGCCTTCTCTCCAGTGACCTTCCCTGGACTATGTCTTGAGGAAGAAGAAAAAAACTTTTTTTTGCCTGCATTAGTGACTGAGATATTTATTTCACCAGATGACTTATGTTAATCCATGTTCCCATTGTGAGATTCCCATTGTGACCTCAGCTTTCCCCTTCAGATCCACTCTGCCCTTTTTCACTTTCCCTGTCTGGACTAGCTTCTAGTTGGCTCAGGTCAATAGGGAGATCAGGCAGAGAACTGAAAGGAAGTGAAATCACGATATTTATTCTGCCAGTTGCATTTCCTGAGAGCTGGCTTCAGGGCTCTACTGAAGAGGTCTGTTGGATATTCCTCCCCACACATGCTCCAAGGTCTAGCCGGCTTTACCTCCCTGTGCTGGTTCCAGCCCAAAGTGGAGGAGGAGGAAGAGCTCCCTCTCCGCTTCCCATCAACGGCTCCCAGTGCCCCCACCCCTCTGATTTTCTGTACTCTACCCACAGTTTCATCAAGAGTCATTTTCTACATCACCCTGAATTTACCCAACTTGTAGGTGCCACCTGCTTCCTGCTGAGACCTTAATAACACACCCGCCCAAGGAAAAACTTGTGAAGGATGTGTATATTGTATCATACTCCTCCTTTCTCTCCTCAGTAAGCGCTTGCAGAATTGGAATATGGCTACGTATTCTCTATGGGCAGGGATAAATTAAACGCTGTAACTATTTTACCCAAAGTAAATGATATAGCCATTGATCCTTTTTGACATGATAAAGCATCTATATTTCACAAAATCTTTGACCTCATTTGAAAACTGGAGCCTATTGTCATGATCAGTACCAGAAGCCTCTATAAGCATAATAGTCTGTCTTAATAAGAGATATATTTGTACTATTTTAAGTTTAAACAACATTCATTCCAATCCATGTATACCATTTGACTACCCATTGAAGAGATTAAAATTTCCTTTCATTTCAAAATATTCCTAGAAACAAAATCCTGAGGTTACAAGGAGGCCTTATAACCAGGATGAAGCTTAGAAAACCTTCACATACTATTTCATTAGCAATTGGTGAACGGAAATCAAACTCCTGCCATAAAGTGTTCTCAGATTATTAATTTTTTCTGACTATGAATGGAAATCAAACTCCTGACATAAAGTGTTCTCAGATTATTAATTTTTTCTGACTATGAATGGAAATCAAACTCCTGACATAAAGTGCTCTCAGATTATTAATTTTTTATGACTATAAACATTGTTTAATGTTTAGAAATATAGAACATTTTAAGATAAATATTAATCTATAGCCTCGCTACCCAGAAGTTATTATTAACATTTCAAGAGGTATTTTCTTATCTTTCCATTTATGTAAAATATATTTTCAAAATAGATTTCAAGTCATACTCTGCATGGGTATTATTTTTTAATTAGATATTGTATTGTGGTCCTATTACCATAATATTAAAATTATTGAAAGCTCTCCTTTAAAAGGCTTCATAACATTCCATATTATGGATCTAAGACAAATTTATGTAACTATTAGTACAGCATTGGTTGTCTCTTTGTAACAGCAGCCCTCAACCTTGTGGACACCAGAGACTGGTTTTGTGGAAGACAATTTTTCCATGAACCAGGGGTTGGGGGTAGTGGGTGGGGAATAGTTTCAGGATGATTCAAGTGCATTATATTTATCGTGCACTTTATTTCTATTATTCTTGCATTATAATATATAATGAAATAATTATACAACTCACCATCATGTAGACTCAGTGGGAGCCCAGAGCTCATTTTCCTGCAACTAGATAGTCCCAACTAGGAGTGATGGGAGGCAGTGACAGATCATCAGTCATTAGATTCTCCTAAGGAGTGGGCAACCTAGATCCCCCACATGCACAGTTCATAATAGGGTTTACTCTTCTATGAGAATCTAATGCTGCCACTGTTCTAACAGGAGGTGGAGCTCAGGCAGTAATGCGGGTGATGGGGAGCAGCTGTAAATACAGATGAAGTTTCTGTCACTCACCCACAGTTCACCTCCTGCTATGCAGACCAGTTCCTGACAGGCCAGGAACTAGTACCAGTCCATGATCTGGGGGTTTGGGGTCCCTATCTATAATAAAAGAATCTTAGCTATCTTAATTTTTAATTCTAGTTTTTTAGAAATTAAATTTCGGAATATTTATTTATAACGTGTATCACAAACATTCTCCCCAGTAAGGAACTGAAACCATCTACATAAAAACGTATGCACAATGAGTTAAAACAAAGATGAAAATAGATCGGAATCCACATAACTGTTCTAAGAACCATGACTGTGATCAGTGGTTGTTTTAGATCCAAACTCACTTATTACATGGATTCTAAAAGATAAGCATGAACAATATAAACAGGCAATATTTTCAACTTAGTCTTGCAGGAGATGTAGAATCTGTGATAAAACAAAGACAGACTCACCATTAAGTCAAATCCACAGTTGTCTGTTAAAATGTCAGCATCAGACTTTGCTAGGGTGACACCTACCATTCAATGACAAGCCAGAGTGTCAGAGCTCAACTTTTTTCTAGGACTTCAAATCCCTGGGAACACTGTGAATCCAGAAATGTAAGTCCAAAGATAAGTAGTGCTTGAATGTTAATTATAGTGATGTTATTTAATTCCTTTTGTAAATTTATGAACTCTGTAAAGTGCTAACATAAACCGATGTTCAATCACAGGTAAAATCTCCCTTTAACTCTATACTGAACTTCCCATGTTTCAGAAAATGAAGTGAATTAAGAATCCACCTTTAGCTCATGCATCGATCCGCTACCAAAGTTAATGGGTGAAATGGTCAGAAAAGTTTGCTGGGGACCAAGCCACAAGGAAACCATGAACACTAGAAGCCAGCCTGCAGATGCTGCTGGCCTCAGCCACTATCTGGGCTATCAGGGCAGCCTCAGAAAGGCACTGGTCTCCCGGGTTCCCACCTCCAACAGCTAGAAGAGGGGGTGATGGTAAGAACTGAGCTCTCGTTGCGCAAAAGCATGATTTGAATTTCTGCGTTGGTAGGTGGAAACCTTTGATAAAATGCCATGTGCGAACACGACAGTGAACCTTGCTTGAGAAATGGAACAACTCATCCTAAGCACCCATCGTTGCAGGATTCGGGGGTACCTGAATGTTACCCTCTATGCTTTGTCTGTTTTGTCCTAAAGATTTATTTCCATTTTACTTGGTTAAATGATCTGGTACTCATGACATGTTCTGCTGTTACTTTTATCTTATTATTATTATTTATTCATTTTTTTTTTTTTGAGATGGAGTCTTGCTCTGTCGCTCACCCTAGAGTGCAGTGGCGCGATCTCAGTTCACTGCAACCTCCACTTCCCAGGTTCAAGCGATTCTCCTGCCTCAGCCTTCTGAGTAGCTGGGACTACAAGTGTGTGCCACCATGCCTGGCTAATTTTTTTGTATTTTTAGTAGAGATGGGTTTTCACCGTGTTAGCCAAGATGGTCTCGATCTCCTGACCTCATGATCTGCCCTCCTCAGCCTCCCAAAGTGCTGGGATTACAAGCATGAGCCACCGTGCCCGGCCTGTTACTTTTATTTTAAAGCAAACTTTGAATTTTTTCAAAAATAGAAATTATGATTAAAACCTCATTTAGGAATAATAGAACTCCTCTGCAATAGAGTGAGAACACTAGTCTGAGGAATTTAAGCAAAGTAACGTTTAAGCGAATTCTGTCCGTGTGCCACTCCATGGTCGTTCTACACTATACATTTCAGCTCAGTTTGCCACACTCGTCGACGGCAGGCGCCAAGCTGATGAAGACGAGCTGCACAACTCTGCCAGTTGTAAAAATCAGGATGAGATCTTCTTTCTCTAAATAGAGAGACTGTAAAATAGGCTAATAAGAAACAATCACCTGGTAATAGAAAAAAATACAAAATTGCAACAGGCAACAATGAACCTTACTGGAAATGTTGGGATAATATTCTTGTTAGGCCTTAAGAAAGATTATGCAAAGGAATATAATTTCCCTAAGTTTGCTGCTTGCTTTACTTACTATGTCTGTGAAAATAGTGCTTATGGAAATACTGTTGGCAGTTTCCTGAGAATATTGATTTATGCTTCATATCAATAACCAGAGAGTGAATGTGGCACCATTAAGACTCAGGCAGGCCAAATAAAATTTGACAGGCAAAATGACTTTTGAAAATCAGAGATGAATTTTATTTTCTTTCTTTTTTTTGACACTGTAGACAAAAGCTCACAAACACACACATATGCACACACATGCAATTCCAAACGTCTGTACCTCCACAATGACATTTTAGGATTACAAATTGGATTGTCAAAATTATTTCATCAAGATGCAGAACTAAATTCTGTAATCACATCAGCAACCAAATGTAGAGTTTGTTTTTTATTATGGATGTTTTATGTGTTAGTTTCCCTTAAAAATACAAGTTCTTGCATTGCTCAATTATCATATGATCCAAGTTGAAACTTTACTAATGTAATATTTGTCAAAAAGAAAACTAAAGAAGTCACCAAAATGTGACAGGGTTTCAGAAGCAGGTGACCTTCACAGAATCAGATAGGTGTGCAGGCTCATGGGAGAAACTGCAAATTTGTTTTTGGAATAGAGATAGGGCTTTTCCCTTATAACTAGGGTTCTTCCATTTCATATATCTAATTTAATTGCTTCTTTTTTTTTTTTTTTTTTGAGACAGAGTCTTGCTTTGTCGCCCAGGCTGGAGTGCAGTGGCTTGATCTCGGCTCACTGCAAGCTCCGACTCCCGGGTTCCTGCCGTCCTCCTGCCTCAGCCTCCCGAGTAGCTGGGACTACAGGCGCCCGCCACCATGCCCAGCTAATTTTTTGTACTTTTAGTAGAGACGTGGTTTCACTGTGTTAGCCAGGATGGTCTCGATCTCCTGACCTTGTGATCTGCCCACCTCGGCCTCCCAAAGTGCAATTTAATTGCTTCTTAAGAAAGACTTTCTGATTTGACTTTTCCTCCTTGTGTATGTATTTAAGACAACAGCTACTATGAAGACCAAATGAAAATATTAGCTTACGTATAGAATTATCTCTCTTTTATATGTATTTACTTTAAATTGTTCTCTGAATAAATTGCTGCTGAAGTTTAGTTGGGCAGAAATGTTCCAAGTGTCAAGGTTATGTGGCTATCTGTATTTCAATAATCGCTGTGATGTTAGTTAAGTCCATTTTCTCACTATTCAACTGCCGGAGCTGGCCATGTCATAGGCCAGAGCCTCATAAAAATCTCATAAGGATGCAAATTTTTTCAACTGCTTTGAGGAATATACTAGATGCTTCATCCAAGGGCATAAAGGAATCGTTCACTTGATTACTCAGGAAAGACATATAAGTGATAGAGTTCTCAGATTCTAGTTAGGTCCAGGTTTGTTTTCATTATTTCCACAAAGGAAAGCCTTTTGTAGAACATAATCAACACTTTTAGGATTGCTATGCCCATTTATTCAGTTATAGTTTCACAGGACAAAAATTTACTAACAGATTGAAATGCTGTGGTTTTCCAAACGTTATCTTTTTTAAATGGGCTAAAATTACCTTTAATATTTAACAAATTAATAATAGCACCTATGTCCACACTCCTAAGGAAAAATAATTCTGGCACTAAAGATTGCTAAACCATGAAATTCAGAACAAGAAAACCACTTATTGATAACATTGGATTTAGTAGAAAAATAAAATAAAACAACTAATTTCCAGCCATGTTTCCATTCTAACATTGAGAAGATTAAGTACTGGCATGATTGTCCAGTGATACAGTTTCATATTTCTATTTCCTCTCCTTAACTGAAGTAATTCAAGTTTCATTCCTAAAGGATTCCCTTGGCATGCATGATGAATGTGACAGCAAACCTCAGTTTGGAACTTATTGCTAGGTTGTTAGCAATTATTTGTTATTTTTAAGGTTTTCTTGATTCTAAGGGGCTTTAAAAGCAAAAAGATTAGATCTATTCATCACAAAATGTGAAAGCTAACCTCCAAAATGTCTATACGACTCAACTGTGGTTAGAACAACAAAGAAAGGACAGATAGGGCCACTCCTTGGGAAACAGAATGGTGACTGCAAACTCCTACACAACCAGCTTCCCCTAGAAATCCATTTTTTCTAAGAAAAGTTATAGTGTTCAATGTAGGAATAGCAGTATAAAGAAAAGTGTTTGAGGAAAAATTAAATGTGTTAGCCAATCTAAGATGATTTCCAGGAAAATGAGTTGTAAGCAGTGTTTAAATTTTGTTTTGTTTTCTTGTTTTTTTCAAAGACATAATTGCAGTCACAGATTTTCTAAAATATTTGAGAAGTCATGGAGAAAGTAAAACAGCCACATCAACAGAGACATAAAATATTGGCCCAGTTTCAAAAAGGAGAAAAAGAGGGCACACTAAAATTTACATAGTGGTGTGTTCATTATAAATGGGACAGAATTATAAAATGTGAAATATCAGTTAGTCTACGTTTCTTCAAATACATGTTGTTTATACCATATGGGTTAGTAAATAAGAAATCAGTTGAAACAAACCTAATTTGAAGTCTTATTTCCAATGTGACAGATCACAGAAAAACCACACAAATAGTGATTTCAAAAACTACTGAAAAGTGCTCAGAGGGCATACTTGTTCATATATGATGTTCATGATAAATGGGTGAACTTTTAAGTGGTGGTTCTTAGGTTTCCAACTGCCTCAAGGAGGGTCACATGGGATTGATCACAGGATTCCTTTTTTGCAGAAAACAGAGACTGTACAAAGGGACTTTATAGTAAAGGTGTTGGGAAGTTGACTCAAAAGTTTCACAGCAGGCCTGGTGCGGTGGCTCACACTTGTAATCCCAGCACTTTGGGAGGCCGAGGTGGATGGATCATGAGGTCAGGAGTTCGAGACTAGCCTGACCAATATGGTGAAACTCTGTCTCTACTAAAAATAGAAAAATTAGCCAAGCATGGTGGTGGGCACCTGTAATCTCAGCTATTAAGGAGGTTGAGGCAAGAGAATCGCTTGAACCTGGGAGGCAGTAGTTGCAGTGAGCTGAGATCATGCCATTGCACTCCAGCCTGGGTGACATAGTGAGACTGTCCCCACCCCACCACACACAAAAAATTCATAGCTATTCCACAGGACTGGAAAGTAGAAGCACAGCCATGGCCTTGTAGCTGGAAATGGCTCAGCTGCATGTGTCCATTGAAAAGAATCACCTCCAGCTCTTCCTTCATACCTGATGTCACCAGTTCATGATGCAAAGTCCCAGAAGGATCTCATTGGCTGAGCTCAGATCACGTGACTATCGCCATGATCATGTGGCCATCTCAAGACAGTAAGAGGACACAGCTGGCCCCTTTTGTATTTGTCATTCCCCTACAGGGGCTACTCATCTTGGAAGACAGAGATAATTTCCCACAAGACATTATGCTGATTCTGAGAAGGGGGTTGGATGTTTGTACCAAACTAGCAAGTGTTCACTGCAAGTGGCCTATCCCAGACACTGTTTGAAGAAGGCTTTGTAGACAAACAGTTAATGTGGAATGTTCCTGTAGCATTTTCTTTACTATAACATGGTATTTGTCACGCCATGATCATTTAATACCTTCAGTTGAGCAAAGTGATATAGCACACATGAATCAGTTGTGTGTTCCAGGGAAATGGGCTCTGAGGTAGCACATGAAGAAGATGGATTTTATTTACAGGGCAACAGGGCAAAAGTATTGCATGGGATTCAAGACCTTAGGGAGAAAGCATTGAATGCAGCAATGGAAGGAAAATACGAGTGAAGCAGTGGGAGACACTGGAAACGTGAAAATCAAATCTGATCTCTAAAGAGATAATCTTCACTAATCAGAATTATGTCTGATATTCAATGTGGAACAATTTGGGGAGTGTTCTGTGACCAGTGTGCTAGTGAGTGATGTCTGTGAGGGGCACCTTCCTGCAGATGAGTGGAAAAGGTCTGTGTGCATGGGCAAGAAAGTTTCTCCGGAGAGCCACGCAGCTGAGCTTGGACTACAAGAAGCATCTATTTCTACAATCACAAGAAGCAGTCATTCCACAACCACATGGGCACTAGATATTCCAAATGCCATATTTTAGGAGATCCTTCAAGGGAAATATCATACTCCCAGACATAGACACCTGGCAGAAAGAATGACAAAAAAAAGAAAAAGAAAAGAAAAGAAAAGAAAGAAACAGACGGTTGGTGGAGATAACTGGAATTATTGTTAATGGAAAAGAGAAGACCCCATTGCACAAGTTTTGATCTCCCCAACCCCAATGCCTTGAAGTGTAACTGAGTAAAACATGAACATTCCTCTATAGTTCTGTGGTGCCATCTTTGTTGTAAATCAACTGTCGGTGCATGTGTAGATTTGTTTTTAATCTCCTTATTCTGGTCCATTGATCTATTTGTACTTGTACTAATATTAAATCATTTGAACTATTCTGGCCTCAGAATAATTCCTAGTATCAAGTAGAACAAGTTCTCCTACTTTATTTTCAAGAATGCCTTGACTATTCCTCATCTTTCTTCATTTTCATGTAAGTTTAAGAATGAGCTTGTTAAATCATACTCCCAGATAAACACACACAAATGCAAAATATATGCACATAGTCTGTTGGTATGTGTGCTAGACCCTTTTCCAATGTCTCATATAACTCACATGCTATGCTTGCTTTGTTTTTGTTTCTTTTATCTCTCAGTGTTTGAATATAGATATTTATGTTGATCTGTTTTTTAGTTCATTAATTCTATTTTCCCTTGTGTTCAATCTTCTACTAAACCTAGCCATTGAGTTCTTTTTCATATTTTAGTTATTGTATTTTATGTGATCTGAATGCTGTGTATCCTCAAAATTCCTATGTTGAAATCCTAACTCCTAAATGAAGGTATTAGGAGGTGGGGCTTTTGTGAAGGTTATGAGGGATCCAGCCTCATAAAGGGTTAGTATCCCTATAAATTAGGCCCAAAGGAGCTTGTTCACCCTCTACTGCATGAAGACACAGTTACAAGGTGTCATCTAAGAGGAATGACCCCTTGCCAGACACTGAATCTGATGATGCCTTGATCTTGGACTTCGCAGCCTCCAGAATTATGAAAACAAATGCTTG
This sequence comes from Homo sapiens, assembly GCF_000001405.40. Lineage (NCBI taxonomy): Eukaryota > Metazoa > Chordata > Mammalia > Primates > Hominidae > Homo > Homo sapiens. The sequence goes on along the minus strand of NC_000005.10, from coordinate 3,800,340 downwards.
TTGTTTACAAGACACTCAATTTTGTGATTGCAACTTGAAAGGACTAAGACAGTATTGGGAAGTTCAAAAATGTCCATCTGACTCTTTTTATGTACTTTATTTTTTAACATTCTCCATATTTTCATTCATTTTTGTTCTTTTCTCCAACATCTTTAACTTAGCATATTTATTTTGAAGACTTTTTCTGACTAATCTAGTATCTGGATTATGCTGAGTCTGCTTCTGTTGATTATTTTGTCCCTTCATGGTCAAACATTTTTTTCTGCTTCTCTGTGTAATGATTTCTGACTATGTGTAAGAATCTGTGTATGAGCCATTGTAGATGCTAAAATTTAGTTTGTGCTTTTTTTGGTTTGGATTTTGGTTTCCTGAAGGGAGCTTTAGATTTTGATTTTGTTGTTACATTACCAGCAGGTCACCTTTGAAACTTAGTTTCAGCTTAGTGACAATAGGTCTATTTCCATTTTGCCTGTCCTTCCAAGACACAGCACTCAGAGCTGTGTGCAGTGCAGGAATGCACTGCTGGGTCATGGTTGTCTTTCCTCTGAAGATACAGTACTCAGTGTTGCGCATGGTGCAGGGCTGCACCACCGGGTCACAGGCTTCCTAAAGTCTCAACTCCGTAACCCTTCCACTCTGGCCAGGCACATCATAATGTTTCTCCAGGATGGAGATGCTTGCTCAGCTCTCAGCCTCCCATTTGTGGTTCCCTGCCAGTTCCTCTGGAGTCTTGCCTGCAGTTGGAGTTGGTCAAAGTCCCCCAAATTCTGTTGGAGAATGCTTCTCTGTAGTACCATCTCTTCTAGTAGGCTGCCCTGAGAGGTCACAGCTGCCTTAGCATTCCCCATCTTTATTCCCTATGGATGTCACCCTGCAAGACCACTGCTCTCTGCTGGGGCTCTGTCCTCTGCACCAAGAGTTTGGAAGGTGCCCTCAGGGGGAATGCTGGCATCAATGTGAGGTCCCACCTGTGCTCTGCTCCTCTCAAATCCTTACATACCTACACTGGTTAAAGTCTGATATCTGCTGACATTTGTCTTACAAAGTTCCTCTAATTTCATTTTATTTTCTGTTTATTGCCAGAGAATAAGTCTAATATTAATTTTTCTGTCTTAGATGTAGCTGAAGGTCCATGCACTTATTTAGATATTAGGAATATGTTAGAGATGCAGAAGAGAAGTAAGGTGCTAATAACTGCAATAGTCAAATGGGGTGTGTGTGTGTGTATGTGTTTACTTTCGGTCAGCACCCATAATATTTAAAAAATGATAAACAATAGAAATTAATAAAAGATATTCAAATGGTCAATGATGTCAGGAAAGAACAAATACATTTTGTTTTCATTATTTTCCAATCAACTTTCAGAGTTTACAGAGATTACAAATTCCATTGATGATGAGGTTGAGGGATTAGTGGGAATACCCATTTACAGTGCTTAAATGTAGAAATTAGGGCAACCTTTTTGGAGGACTATTAGACAAAATGTATCAAATTTTTGAAAAATGTAAATACTGTTGTACAAGCAATTCAGTTTTTAGGAATTTTCATAAAGAGCTTGTTAATCATGGGTTCAAGACCAGAGCTCTAAAGATGTTCATCTCACTGTTGTTTATATAGAAAAGAACGTGAACACTAGCTAGTGATTTATTAGATGATACAGTGTACATCTTAAGGTCATTAAAAATTATTTAAACATAGGAAAATGTCCATTTGTTAAGTGAAAATCTATAAATTATAATCCTAGTCTTGGGATGGGGGAAATATGTATGAAAAGACAGTGGGTGATTTTACCTTATTTTTGTGTGTGCCTCCATTACTACCATAATAAATATTAATTGATTTCAAATTAGTAAAGAGAAGGTCATTTTTATCTTTAGAAACTTTCAAATTCTAAAATAAAATATAAGTATAAAATTCTACAAATTTTGATGGAGAAAATTAAAAATATCTTTCTGTTTGATAGCAAATATCTTTTAAACCTTTCTTCCATATGTTATTCTATTGGTTAATTCTTCTTTTGCTGCTAAAGGAAGTGGCTGTGGATCAAAGTACTAATGCAAGTGTTCATTGAGCTATTTCAATAATAAATGAACAAATTAATTCATTTTTTAATTTGGCAAATTATTTTTATATTCGTGTTTTAGGTTTGTAATATCACTTGTTATTCAGCTAAGCTTTTATTAAATTTGCCAAATGTAAAATCTTTTAAAGCTTGATGATAAAATTTTTTTTTAGTTTTACAGTTCTCTAAATGTTTTGTCCTACTGAAAACAAGTCACTTAAATCTGACCCATTTCCACTCCTGATGGTATTTTTCTAATCCTTGCTTTACTGCCTAGGTATAAATTTAAACAGTAGCTTAAGTTCAGGCCACCAAGGATTGGGATAAATGCACATTCCACTGCATGATATACGAAAACAGCAGGTGAGAATGGTCTACAGAAAGAAGTGTCTATATTTTAAAATTGACAGAAATTATTTGAGTTCGGTACGCACACATGGGGATTTTTCTTCTAAGGCCATTTTGATTAATTTAATCCACCACGACAAATTCACAATTCAATATGAGAGGTAAGGGTGCCTGAAGATGCCCTTTGCTATCCCCCAAGGGGAAAAAATATGTCTAAGTAAGAGATGAAAACATGGCAAGCCTAAGTAGGTGATAAGGATCTGAACTGTGGCTGGCGTGATAATGCAGGAGTGACAGCTCTGGGAGAAGAGCAGGGTGCCCTGCATTTGCGCTGCTCATGCAGGCGCAGGGATGGATGGAAACTGGCTTTCCACACTCACTGTTTCCTCCAGCATCAGCAAGGAAATGAAGGTTCTGAATGCTTGGATTACACGCCCAGATCAGTACCTGCAGATATTTATTTATTAAATAGAAATTGTGTTTTCTAAATAATTAAGCTCTTGCGTTTTCTTACACTATTCCCCCAAAAAATATTGTCAAGCTTCCAAAAAGCAATTGTTTCAATTTGTGAAAAAAAAAAAGAAAAGAAAAGAGAGAATAAAAGAAGAACATAGATTACATCTAGATTAACTGAGCAAATGTGAATTGTCTTTCTCTAAGTTTCCACTTGGTTAAGTTTGATTTCCTTGGGTGATCTTAAATATTTATTTTCTCTGCTTCTTCTAAAGTCTCCTCAGTTTTTATCCACCCATCCATCCATCCATCCAACCATCCACCCATCCACCCATTCACCCAGCTATTCAGCCAGCCATCCACCCAGCTACCCACCCATCTACCCATCCAGCCATTCACTCATCCACGAATCCACTATCCACCCAACCATCCAGCCATCCAGCCAGCCATGCACCCATGCACCCAAACATCCATCCACTCATCCACCCACCCATTCAGCCAGCCAGCCACCCATCCAGTAATTCACCATTCAGCCAGCCAGCCAACCACCCACCCATCCACCCCATCCAGCCATTCACCCATCCACTCATCCACTATCCACCCAATCATCCATCCAGCCAGCCAGCCAGCCACCCTTTCACCAAATCACCCATCCACCCACTCTCAATTCATCCATCAATCGAGCACCCTCTATTATCGGGTGTTAAGCTGGGCATGCACACAGTAGTAAACTCATGGGTTTTGAGGTTTGTGGAGGTGCAGACATTAGACATATAAGTTCACACATAGTTAGAGATCACAATGGTTATAAACATTATGAAAGCAACTGTGGGGCCTTACAAAGTCATCACATAAAAGACATATAAAATCTAGAGACAGTCAGAGACCGGGTCAAGGTTGCTCTGGGGTGGACAGGAAAGTGACATCACAGCTGAGCCCTGGAGTGCAAGAGGCGGAGTATCCCAGACAGAAGAAACAGCATGAGGGATGCCTTATGGCAGAGAAGGTTAACACTTTTAAGGAACTGAAGGAAGGCAGCTCTGCTGAAGTTCAGGGCCCAGTGAGTACCAATGCAGTGGAAGAGGACTGTGGGTGCAGGGGAATCAGGCTGGATCCCTTGTGTCTGGTCCACTGTGGAAAGTTCTTCACTTTACTGAAAGTGAAGTGAAAAGCAACCGAAGAGTGCAATGTACTGGAGCAATGCCTTCAAATTTTGATTTCTACAATATCTAAAAATTAATTCTGCTCCCTCAAAAAATATCCTGGAGGGAGACAAGGTTATAGCTGCTGGTTCTGGAAAGCAAGCACTGCCAGAACTCAATGTAAGAAGATGAGCTAAAATAGAGAGGTTGAGGAAGGCGGGAAGATGCTGACACAGAACAGACTCCCTGGAGTCTGAGGGTTGGGTCCCTTGTCACAGGGATCCAGGAATGTCAGGGTGGAGAGAAAGGGAGCTTTCGAAGATGGCTTCCTAGGCCTGACCCATGCAATTGGGTCTGGAGAAGGCCATTCAGAGGGACAGGGAAAGCTGGGGGCAGGCAAAGAGTTCAGTTCTGAGCACATGATGTTTGAAATGCTGGGAAAAAATCCAAGTCCAAGTGCACATGCAACATAGACAATAATCCCATAGTTAAAATAAAATAAAAGGTCTGGCTGGAGGGCACATGTAGTGTAAGTGACATCATTTATTAAATATGCTTGAGTGTCTTAAATCATAATAAATAATGATTCTATTACTTTACCTCATTCGCTAAGAGGTAAGAAAAAAATATCAGATATATGGACTTTTATTGTTTCCTGGAAAAATCAATTAGGATAAATTTTTTTCCAAAGCTTAAACTAAAATCAGTCTTTAAGGATGGGAGGACCTCAGGAAGGTCTTGAGAGGACTGCAGAGACCTGCTACCCCCCAACCCCCGTGGACACCTGCAGTCAGCTCTGAGTTCTGAACATGCATAGGCCTCACAACAGGCATCCAGCTACTATTCGCATAGGATTATCTGCATCCTCACAGACATAGCTAATTTTTTTGTATTTAGTTAACTAATAATCTATAAGTGGAAAACATGGAAATGTCCATTTTTATGTGAAATTTCCCATTTGAAAAGTGAGTTGGTAAGTTACTAGTCTATATTGTTCACTTGGCACATAGCTTAGAGATCTGAGTTTATTTAACATGAGTTGATTTCCCTTGGGTGATCTTAAATATTTATTTTCTCTACTTGTCCTTAGTTTTCATCCACCCAGGCAACCAGCCAAACATCCATCCACCCATCCACCCATTCACCCACCCATTCAGCCAGGCAGCCAGCCACTCAGCCACCCACCCATCTACCTATCCAGCCATTCACTTATCCACCCATCCACTATCCACTGATGTGGAGGCCCTGAAGCCAGCAGAGCCAAAGTGATTCCACAAATCATGGCATGGGTTTTCTATAGGAAGTTTGTTTTTTTATTTCTTATATTTCTGTAACAGGTTTTTTTTTTTTCCCTTGATGAACAACTTTTTATTAAAGAAAGGTGGGATGGAGAAGGAACATTGTTAATCACTGGCTCAATGCCAGGCCCTGGCATCAGTCATTCCTTTCCTGGGAGCTGACATGCAATGGGAATGGGTGGTGAGCAAGCAGACAAGGGTGCTGCCCCAGGGATTTCTGCTAGAGGAAGACACTGGGAGAGTGATATGGTTTGGCTGTAACCCAACCCAAGTCTCCCCTTGAATTGTAATAATCCCCACATGTCAAGGGTGGGGCCAAGTGGAGATCATTGAATAATGGAGGTGGTTTCCCTTACTGTTCTTGTGGTAGTGAATAAGTCTCAGAAGATCTGATGGTTTTATAAAGGGCAGTTCCCCTGCACACGCTCTTTTGCCTGCTGCCATGTAAGACATGCCTTTGCTCTTCCTTTGCCTTCCACCATGATTGTGAGGCCTCCCCAGCCATGTGAAACTGTGAGTCCATTCAACTTCTTTTTCTTTAAAAATTACCCAGTCTCAGGTATGTCTTTATTAGCAGCATGATAACAGACTAATACAGAGAGCAACAGACGTGGGATTGGAGGTCGAGTGCTTCCTCATATGTTCTATGAACGAAAATAAAGCAGAGTTACAGGTAGAAAATCGCACGGTGGTGGCTAGACATGATGGTCAGGGCAACCCTCTCTACAGAAGGCACAAGTGGACAGAGTCCTGGGGGGCTCTAGGAGCAAAGCCAGGGAAGGCTCTAGCAGCCAGAAGGCTGGAGTGGTGTTAGAGACATGTTGGCATGTGGCCACCTGAGGATCTTCTAGAAAAGTGGATGGATAATGTCTTTATCGGGAATGCTGAGGTGAACAGAGAATCAGATTATCAGAGGCTGGAAAATAAAGGAGAAACAAAGGCGGTGGATTATGCACACGGACACTGAAGCCAACAAGAATGAGGTCATTGTTGATTTACGCGTAGTTCAGGGAGAACATGCAGGGTTTCAGCATTGTTAAAGAGAATATACATGCTGAAAGAAACTGAAGAAAACATGAGAAGAAATTGCAGATTCTGACATAATAATCTCCATGAAAGAACAACAATTTTTACTTTTGCATCTCTGTTTTACCCATGTGAATCAATGCTCACACTGAGAGGCTCACTGTGGCTGGAGTTAGGCCCCAGCTGGGGTTCCCCAGAGTGGAAGGAGAATACCTCACTCTTTGGGAGCAGAACTCCCAAAAACTGGGCTGTATTTTCCTTGTATTCTCAATAATTTGAATAGTCTATATTTTTTTCATGGATGGAATGTCTCCTAATTGTAAACTTTTATCTTAAAATAGTCAGCCCAAATTTCCTTATTAAAAAATGTAATCAGAATTACTTTCCCCCATGTCATGTTAAGAACAAAAACATATTAACAGAATTACCAAATCCTATTAGGAAAAAAATACATATTCTTTTTCACTTAGTATAAAAGAGTGTATGTAGCTTTATAGATGAGAAATTGTATACTTTATATGCTTTGTTACAAGTATATGTTTTACTTCCAGGGAATTTTCTCCCAATTTTTTACTCAGCTTACTCAGTCCCACTCAGTCTTCAAGATTCAGTTGTAGAGTTTCATTTTCAGCCATGCAATGTATTTTAAGTATGTTTACTTTGAACAAAACAGCCAAGGAAATGCTTCCTTGCTAAGTATGAGGTAATCAGATGTTTTTATACCCAGGCAAGTTAAAATACATAATTACAAATAGCATCTTTCCCTGTCACAGAAATCCCCTCTAATCTTGCCTAAGCCACTTTTGCTCACCCGGCACATTCAGGGCCATTTAGAAACCCAATGAAACAGTCAGTAATTTACTTGTTTCTTAAACAATGTGTAATTTAAAATACTGATCGCATTGATTTTCCACTTTAAACAGAAGAAGAAGAAACTTCACTCCTCATTTCAATATAATTGTGTATTTACAATGAAATCCCCAAACCATGGCATTATAAAAAGGATGACATGTTTAGTGCTACTGAATAGCCAGAAATTTTCTTCATTTGCACCATTTATCTTTCATTTATGTTGTTTATTGAAAACTTCTGCAAAATATCAAGAAATGCAGCAGGAAATTGCTCATATGAAGAACTGCAAGACGCTGGTGCTTTGCATGTACAATAGAGGTGATGGCTACTGCCAACACCTACACCACTTTAGATCTGTTTATTTTCACAGGTGAACATTAACACACATACGGCCACACGACCTGGAAAATTTGCATTTGAAAGAATCCATCAGGACAATAACATTGACAATTTTTTTTTCCTTTGGAATCTGGACATGATCTTAAAGCTTACAATTAATGGAAAGAATGCTAAACAATAAATGCATATGATTTAATCTATTTTATATATCATTGGTTCATGTTCCGATTTTAAGAATTTTAATGTACTCATTAAGATAGAATGTAAGGTCTTCATTGAATCATTGAAGGACACATGAGCTCTTGGTGTTGTAGTGACAACAGGCAAAGCATTCTGGTTAAGAGAGCAGATTAACTGTTCATGTTCAATGACATTTTGGCACCTCACTTTTAGAGAAAACATTAAGCTTATTTTTTACTTTTAACAAGATGGTGTTGTTCCACTTTTATCATTTTTTTTACCTGAAATAATAGCAAAATTAAAATTACCTTTAGCCTCATGTTTAACATACCCACAATTTTAAAACATTTGCTGACCCAAATGTAAGAGCCCCATGTGTGCCTTTCTGATTCTCTTCTTAAGCTATTTTTCACATTCTCTTCCAACAATGCTGTTGTCTCCAGGCCGACCTTTGAGGTCACACTCTCTGGTTGCGTCCAGTCTGTCACTCACAGAAAATAAAGTGAGGTGCAAGCCCTGCTGTTTTCAGCCCATAGCCATTCCCACCCCTCTCAAGTCTCTCTGAAATCTGAAACCCCTTTCACTACACTATGTTAACGTTTGCAGACTCTCATTTTCTTCCTAAAAAGTATATTGAGTACAGTTGTTTCTTCTATGAAAAATCATGATTGTAGCAGCTTCATCATCATCATCATCATCACATCTAGTATTTATTGGGGGGTTAGTAAGTGCCATGCAAGGCACTATGTATTTCCCATGCAGTTTCTCTGTTATTCCTCACAATGACCCTGGAAGATTCTATTCTCTAGTTTATAAAGGAGGAAACAAGGCTCAGAGAGGGTGAGTAACTTGTCTAAGTTCACAAAGCTGGTAAATTCAGAGCCAGCCTTTTTGAACCAGACTCACTCTACCACACGGCCTACCTTCCTACTTGGAGGTACTAAATCTCCCATGGTTGCCTGCAATTTATGTGGGTGAGATGTCGCAGCATAGATCTGTACTTACAAAAATAGTCACCTTTTTCATTACACAGTTGTTTGCTTATTAGGCTCTCCATAGGAGAACTGAGCTCCAAAATACATTCTGAGTGTCAGTTCTCAGAGAGATGTGGAAAGCCGAGCTGAGACTTCCCCTTAGAACCATGTTATGGTGAGTGGGACAGTCCTTCACAGTCACTTGAAGCAAAAGCTTTATTTTATATAGGGGGAAATTGCATGCCTGAAAAGACAAGTGGCCTTTGCACTCTCTGTCAAGGAGCTAGAAGAGGAGACTAGTGGACTTCAAGCCACCTGTGAGCCCTGGAACGTGTGTAAATGTTTCATCAGATCCTCAAAGGTTCTGTAGCCAATAAAGGTCTTCAGCCTTTCCCTGAGACTTGATGGCCTTAAGAAGAGTTTAAACAGCAGGATGGGCTGGCCAGAGCTAGCCACTTTGCTGAAGGTCCTTCCAACCAGGGGTACGAGCATATCGGTTGAGGAAGCAGGTCTCATCTGCCAACCTTCCACCCAACACATCCACTCCAGAGGCAGGAGATGGTTGCCTGTCACCCCGGGCCCAAGCCTGGGAGGCTCAGACAATCTTTCCTTTGTTGTAAGTTCCAGAACCTTCTCAGAAGCTTAGGTCTGCCGCAATTGACCTGAAAGTAATTATCTCGATAGACTGCAGCACAGATGCCTGGATTAAAGTCACATTCATTGCAGGAAAATGCAGCATTTACCCTTAGAACTGGTGGGAATGAACCAACCCCAGCATCATGGTCAGCTCTTGAAGGGGCTTGAGGCTTCAGCTGCAGAGCCAGCTCTGAGTCCCACTGCCACATGGACACTTACCTTCTCTGTGACTGCACCTAGCACAGTTGGCCTGGATGACCCACAAGGTGACTACCCCATTCTAAAATACTATGATCTGCACAATTTTACCCAAAGCTCAAAGAATGCTTTCCCTCATCAAAACTGCCAGAAGAGGACATTTACGTGGATCTCATAGCCCATCCGCTAGGCAGTCATAAATCTTAGCCAGAGAAACAAGCAAGCCCAGGTGGCATTGCCGCCTTTCCTAACAGGCCTCGGGACTTTCAGATTTGTTCCCTGGAAATCCAGAAAAAGGGAGGTGCTTATTGATTAGAGGCAGTTTTTGCCTTGAGAAAGCATTTTGCTTGCTTATTTTGCTTTGTTTTTGTTTTGAGGCAAAAGGGCATAAGGAAGCCTCTGTTGTGGTTCCTGGTCGTCCCTCCACTACCACCACCTCTGTCCCCTGAACTAGAAGTGTCTGCACAGGCCCTGATGAGAACTGCAGCCGTGGCCCCTTGTGCCATGCTTTCCTCATGCTCACGGTTGCTTGGCAAACACATCTTCCCAATTCTCTCTTCCAAATGCCTGATGTCTCCTATTTTTATTTCTTTAAACCCATGGCGGCTGCCTGAAGTACTGGTATTGGCTGCTCCATGACTGAAGCTCCTGAGTGAGGCTTCTCCAGCGCACTTTGTTGGGCTCCCCATGCCTGGTAAGGGTCCCAGTACTGGGGCATGTGCCAGGACTAGGACATGCACGGTTGCAGGAACCCACGCTGAGCGTCCCGTCCCCATTGGTGCCCATTGATGCTCCAGGCTCCACACCTGGAGGCTGAACGGACCTGTCCATCTTCCCAAACATCCTCTCCTGTGTCCTGCCCCCAACCCCCAACTGCACTTCCCAGTCCCGTCACCGTCCCAGAAAATGCCCGTTTGTCTTGTGCCGGACCCGATGTTTGCTTTTCCTCCTCTGGTGGGCGCCCCCATCGTCTTGTAGGATGCTTTTCTTCTTCCACAGACATTGGCAGAGCTTCATCTACATTTGAAACAAAAAGACCCTCCCTTCCTCCGCATTGCAGAGGGATTACCAGCCATGACCAGGTCTGTGAGAGGAGTTCTTAAAAAAGGAATATATATACATATATATTTTTATATTTTTATACATATTTTATTTATATTATATATTTACATATTTTTATAATATAAAGAATATAATATAAATAATATAAATATAATAAAATAATATATAATGTTATATATTATATTATATAACATATTATATAAATATGTATTATATAAATAATATAATATATAATATAATATTAAATATATAATATAAAATATATAAATTATATATTTATATTATTTATATTTTAAAATATATTTTATATATTTTTATATATACATATACATGTATATTTTTTGAGACAGGGTCTGGCTCAGTTTCCCAGGCTGAAGTGCAGTGGTGCAATCTCAGCTCACTGCAACCTCTGCCTCCCGGACTCAAGCGATTCCCATGTCTCAGCCTCCAGAGTAGCTGGGACTAAGGGCATGCACCACCTCGCCCCGTTAATTTTTGTATTTTTAGTAGAGACAGGGTCTCACTGTCTTCCCCACGCTGGACTCGAACCCAGAGCTCAAGCTATCCTCCTGTCTTGGCCTCTCAAAATGCTGGGATTATAGGCCACTGGGCCCAGCCTGTGTAAGGAGCTCTTAGCAGAGAGCACAGCATGATATAAAGTGTCAGTTAAAGCTCTTTATCATTCTTCTCAATTTTAATAATGCTATAATCATTGCTTTCTTTTTATTTCACATTGCTTTCCATGGCTTTATTTGTTGTTTTTGGTTTGTTACTGAATAACAACAACAAAAAAGCTTCTCTCTATTACTATAAGAAATAGGAAAGAAAAGAAGCCTAGTTCCACACACACTCTCTGGTTAAGAAAAAGTGAACAGCATGTGAGTAAATTTAATAAAATCCACTCAAGACCTAATCATCCTGGAGATGTGCTAATTTCAATTTCATATTGTCAGGCCTCTGAGCCCAAGCCAAGCCATCGCATCCCCTGTGACTTGCACGTATATGCCCAGATGGCCTGAAGTAACTGAAGAATCACAAAAGAAGTGAAAATGCCCTGCCCCGCCTTAACTGATGACATTCCACCACAAAAGAAGTGTAAATGGCTGGTCCTTGCCTTAACTGATGACATTACCTTGTGAAAGTCCTTTTCCTGGCTCATCCTGGCTCAAAAAGCTCCCCCACTGAGCACCTTGCGACCCCCATTCCTGCCCGCCAGAGAACAAATCCCCTTTGACTGTAATTTTCCTTTACCTACCCAAATCCTATAAAATGGCCCCACCCCTATCTCTTTTCACTGACTCTCTTTTTGGACTCAGCCCGCCTGCACCCAGGTGATTAAAAGCTTTTATTGCTCACACAAAGCCCGTTTGGTGGTCTCTTCACACGGACGCGCATGAAACGTATATTTTATGTTATTTAGGAGGAAGGAGTAAAACCTAGCATTATTAACTCTAGTTGAGAAAGAAAAGAGTTGAATAGATACAATTCCGTTGCTTATGATTCAATTGTATTTTTACGCTAAAGTCAACTAGATGGGAAAATGACTATATCTTTAGCCTCGGGAATAATGTGCCTACAGTCACATCAGCCTTGGAGGAGCTAATTGAGACTGGGATTTTTAAAGTAACGTTAAAAACCCAAGTGGTCAAAGTTGAATTTAGCATCACTGTAGAAAGCTTGAAAAAAAAAAAGTGAGGCCACAAATTCTCAATATTTTATTTCATTCCTGTATTCTGCACATCTGTACAAAAAATCATTGAGGAATTTTTACATTGCAGATCAAAAACGCATGTTTCTTAAAATCATATATTCAAGAGCATGCAAATGAGACAGGAGAGGGTGACCCTCAGCCCTGCTTCCTTTCTCCTCCAGTTGACCTTGAAGTCACTAATCCAAAGGGACCCAGAGCCTGTACAAAGAGTTTCTTCCAGTCGCCGGGTAAATTAGATCACCGCTATTGCTGTCAGCCGCAGAGAGCGCTCACTGTATTCCACGGCTGCATATGCTGGCACTGACGTGAAGTCATCGTGATGGTCTTGCAATCTAGATAAATACAGTTGGAAGTGGCGATTCCATTTTAAAGGAGAAATATTCAAAACAGCATTTCACAGCAGGTGAAGGGCAGAGAATAGTTTCTGTAGGGGGTGGGCAAGGGGAGTCCAGGGAGATGGGCGGGACTTGCAGAGTTGATTGTGATTTATAATCAATATTAACCATATCATACACAGGGAGGCACTGCCGGCAGAAAGAAAGAGTTAGAGCTGGGCTTTTTTATCCAAGGAAGGTCATAATAAGATGGGTGAAATGATGAAAAAATTTATGGAAGGTAGTTGGCTCAACAATGGAGAAAAATACCTCTATTCTGATGATGAATTCTCTCCAGCGATCTTGCAAAAGTACTGGCCGCTGTTGTAAATTTGCTTGAGAACGAGGAGGGAAAGTTTAAATGAGATTTCTAGTGATTTCTGGCCTCACTGAGGGCTGGAAAATGACAATTATTCAATTTAAGAGATTTTCTGCCTGAAAAAGCATGGGAGGAGCACCCGGTTTGACGGCCTGGCGGACTAATGCAACCTTGTCCCAGAAAGCGCTCCACCTAAACGCCGCTAATCATGCTCACACCTGGGTTCCCACGTCAAGTAATGAAGGGCTCCGAGGATTGATCCCTGATTTCCATTGAGGGGAAGAGAGGAAAAAATGGCATTAACACTCCCAGGGGAGGTTTCTAGTAGACGGTTGCAAGTGATTTCACCAAGTAAAATTCCCAGAGAAACTCTAAAAGTGTCTCAGTGTTTCCTGGAGTTTGCTTTTCCTTTTGATTGCATTTTGAAGCTCTGTAGCATAGCGAAGATGCAGAGCTCCCAGCCCCTGATACACACGGAGGTGTTGTTAATACCAGAGCTGGGCGGCTGGGCACAAGGAGTGAGCAGCAGTGACCTACTGACCATGGATAGCGCTGCAAGCTAGGGACAAGGCCAGGCATGGCTCGATGGCTGAGATAACAACATACCCTTAGGTCCTCATTCCAAATACATGTACATGGATAAAACACATTTCTCCAATAGTTTGTGGACGTAGTCACTGGAATGACTATTTTCTTGTCTCTAAAATCCTGTGCCTCTAATGCAGACTATTTTTCTCGAAACCAATGTGAAGAAGAAAATTATCTCTTAAAAGGCCAATTGTTAAACAGGAATTAGTAGCCCTTTCCTTGGGTATGACTTTTACAAACATCAAGTTCATGAAGCCACTGCATAGAGAGGTAGAGATGTGGATGTGAGTGAGGATGTGGATGTGATTGTCAGTGTGGATGTGGTTGGGGATGTGAGTGTGAATGTGGATGTGAATGTGAATGTGGATGTGAGTGTGGATGTGGATTTGAGGGTGGATGTGGATGTGGGTGTAGATATGGATGACAGTGTGGATGTGGATGTGAGTGTGGATGTGACTGTGGACGTGGATGTGAGTGTGAGTGTGGATGTGGATGTGAATGTGGGAGTAGATGTGAGTGTGGATGTGGATGTGAGTGTGGATGTGAGTGTAGATGTGGATGTGAGCGTGAGTGTGGATGTGGATGTGGATGTGGATGTGAATGTGGGAGTGGATGTGAGTGTGGATGTGGATGTGAGTGTGGATGTGGATGTGAGTGTGGGTGTGGATGTGAGCCCGGATGTGAGTGTGAGTGTGGATGTGAGTGTGGATGTGAATGGGATTGTGGATTTGGATGTGAGTGTGGATGTGGATGTGACTGTGGGTGTGAAGTGTGGATGTAGATGTGAGTGTGGGTGTGGCTATGGATGTGAGTGTGAATGTGAGTGTGGAATACGGATGTGAGTGTGGATATGCATATGGATGTGAATGTGGATGTGAGTTGGATGTGGATGTAAGTGTGGACGTGGATGTGGATGTGAGTGTGGGTGTGGATGTGAGCCTGGATGTGAGTGTGAGTGTGAGTGTGTGGATATGAGTGTGGATGTGAATGGGAGTGTGGATTTGGATGTGAGTGTGGATGTGGATGTGAGTGTGGAAGTAAGTGTGGATGTGGATGTGAGTGTGGGTGTGGATGTGAGCCCGGATGTGAGTGTGAGTGTGAGTGTGGATGTGAGTGAGTGTGGATGTGAATGGGATTGTGGATTTGGATGTGAGTGTGGATGTGGATGTGACTGTGGGTGTGAAGTGTGTAGATGTGAGTGTGGGTGTGGCTATGGATGTGAGTGTGAATATGAGTGTGGAATACGGATGTGAGTGTGGATATGCATATGGATGTGAATGTGGATGTGAGTTGGATGTGGATGTAAGTGTGGACGTGGATGTGGATGTGAGTGTGGGTGTGGATGTGAGCCTGGATGTGAGTGTGAGTGTGTGTGGATATGAGTGTGGATGTGAATGGGAGTGTGGATTTGGATGTGAGTGTGGATGTGGATGTGGATGTGAGTGTGGAAGTAAGTGTGGATGTGGATGTGAGTGTGGGTGTGAATGTGAGTCTGGATGTGAGTGTGGATGTGAGTGTGAGTGGGGATGTGAGTGTGGATGTGGGTGTGGATGTGGATGTGAGTGTGGATGTGGGTGTGGATGTGAGTGTGGATGTGAGTGTGGGTGTGGATGTAGATGTGGATGTGAGTGTGGATGTGAGTGTGGGTGTGGATGTGAGTGTGGGTGTGGATGTGAGTCTGGATGTCAGTGTGGATGTGAGTGTGTGGGTGTGGATGTGGGTATGGATGTGGATGTGGGTGTGGATGTGGATATGGATGTGGATGTGGGTGTGGATGTGGATGTTGATGTGGATGTGAGTGTGGGTGTGAGTGTGAATGTGAATGTGGAAGTGTATGTGGATGTGGATGTGAGTGTGGACGTGGGTGGAGGTATAGATCATGTAGATATTTACACTGGTACAGATATTGATAAATATACCGATGCAGATACAGGCAAGTATAGTATATTGGCATAGATATTGGTGCTGATGTACTGATAAGGATACGTGTAGACAGAGATACATTTATGTATAGATATAGATATACAGGTATTGATTTGACGTAGATAATTATATTATAAAGATATTGATATAGATAGGTATAGATATTGATACATACAGAACTATAGATATAGATACAGACATGGGTATTGGCATAAACATACTGATATATGTATACTGATATAAATTGAGTTAGTAATTCAATTCAACAAAACTTTCATTGAACTTCTATATTTAGTGCACAATACTAAAGACCATAGTTGACGGAAAATCCCAGTTTAACCCTCCGGCTCATGCTGTTTACACTCATGAAGTAAACTTGGCAGGAGCAGGGAGAAACCATTTTAGTTATTAAAATAATACATATGATTACTGGATAATCATGCAACTTGATGACAAAATCTATGTTCTAGAAAAGCACATTTCTAAGCAATCTCAGCATAGTCTTGGCTATCTGTCCTGCCACAGGGGAGCTTCAGTCAGAATGTCGAAGTATTTCTCATTGGGACATTAGCATACCCCTTTCACGTCAATATCAGGGCATGGCAGTTCCAGTGAACTGACAGGTGGGGTCATTCCATCTCAGTTCCTTGACATGGAAACAAAAGGGACAGGTTAGGATGGAGGACACCATTGGACAGGAGCCCCTCCGTCTCTTCCCCAGACACTGTGGTCCCTTTCTTTGGGCCAGAAGCTCAATCACAGGTCTCCTTCCCCAGCCACTGTCCTCCCGAACCAGACATTCCAATGCCAAGACAGACATCACTCACCTGTTCCCAGATGGGATTGTTTTGTAGTTTGTATTGAAGCATAGTGTTTGCACAGATTCGCGGGGGGGAGGGACAGGCTGTTTTGATGCATGTGTGGAATGTGTAGTGATGATGACAGAGTATTTAGAGTCTCCATCACCTCCAGCATTTATCATTTATTTGTGTTAGGAACATTTCAAATATTTTCTTCTAGCTATTCTGGAATATACAATACATTGTCGTTAACTGTAGAGTCACCTCCTGTACTGCGGAACAGACCTCATTCCTTCTCTCTGACTGCAGGTTTGCTCTCATTCACCAACCCTCCCCACACACCTGCTTCTCAGCAGACCCACTGGGGCCTGTCATTCTACTCTCTGCGTCCATGAGATTACAATTTTGGGCTTGCACACGTAAGTGAGAACACATGATATTTGTCTTTCTGTGCCTTATGCTTTTGATTTTTGAACATACTAGTGTTCCACTTAAGAGAAAGGGATGGATATCCGTCCTGTCACAGGGGAGGATGCTGTGGACATCACAGCTCCAGGTTCTGATCCCAGGCAAGATTGAAAGTGATATTTTCACTGACAGTTAAGCCAGAGGGAAAAACCCCACTGGAATAAGGGCCAAGGTATTCCTTTCCATTGGTCTTTATAGAAGTGGATCAAAAGCATGGCGTGGCTAAAACATGAGTGGATTAGAAGTGTTTGGTGTATGCTAATAGTGCTTCTTTATCCAATAAGGAGAACTCTATTCACAAAAGAAATTGTCTGTCTGTGAGGAAAAGTTGTATGAAATAGGAAATGCGAGCTGTGGTAAAGAACTAGATATTTATCTTCTTGGTCATATTTGGTATTTTATGCATATTTGGGCATGCTTGTGAAAACACACACACGTGTGTGTGTGCACGGCAGTGACAGCCCATAGGTACAGTCTCCAGCCATCCCATGCAATGTTTTCGAAGTGTTTTTCCATGTAACCACTCAACCACCCTGTCAAGTCAGGATTATTATTAAATGGTAGACACGGAACCTGAAGCTCAGAAATATTAATAGCCAGCAACTTGCAGGGGTCGCCGAGGGTGTGAGTATCCGAATCAGGACTTTAAATCCGATTTTGACAAGTTCTAACCCACAGGTTCTTAAGCACTGCTGTGTGGGCTCTTCAGTTCAATGAGGTTGAGAGTTTCATGAAAATAAATTATTCTCTTTTTATCTCCCCTAATGCCATATCTACCCATTACTCTAGTTGCTAAGTGAGACTGCAAGCAGCACCCTGCTAGCAGAATGCCACAGGCTTGCACACAGCCACCTCCACCTGCTGCAACCTTCCAGTAAACTTTCCCTTTCATGGAGGTGAGGAAAATGGGGATAGTCTCAGAAATGATAGCTAAACCAAGGGTGCACAAACACATTATTTAGAAAAGAGCTTTACCAATAAGCCTGCACATAGTCTAGTCCCCAAAAGATGACAAATAAGAGGCGTACCTAAGTATTTCTCATGCTTTAGTGCAATACCCTCCATAAATTTTATGCATTTTAGAAGCCCAGAAAGTTACCTTTGAAAGTTCACTTAAAGCTATCTTTGGAGCTCTTCATCAAAAGAAATGGAGACTGGAGCTTAGCTACGACTTTAACTTCCATCTGTTCCATGATGCTGTAGCAATCTCAGCCCGCAATTGGCATGGAGCATGGCAAACATTACTCTACAATGCCCTTTATGAAACATCAATGTGCTCGCAATCCAATAATGAAGTGCCACAGAGCATCTGTTTGTATTCCCAGGCAGTGCAAGGACCGGATTTCTGAGGAAGGACTCACCAGCATCTGGTTGAAATGAACTGTGTAATTTTAGTATCTTTCAGATTTTTATTTTGCCAAAAGAAACACCCATTTCATGTAATGATTACTTATTTTTTTAACCCTGAGACTTAATAAAAATGGTAATTCCAAGTTGCAAATGTGTATACAGGCCTCATGCATATTTTAGGAGCTAGCCATAGGAACCCCAGAACTAACAAAGCTCACAGAGCACCCTTATTTTCGTCTAACGCAAACAGCAGGTGAACTGAGCTTCCCATGGCCATTTGAGGGAAGACTGTCACAACTCTATGGACGTTATGTTTTTTGTTTTTGTTTTTGTTTTTGAGACAGAATCTCACTCTGTCGCCCAGACTGGAGTGCAGTAGCGAGATCTCGGCTCACGGCAACTTCCGCCTCTCGATTCAAGCGATTCTCCTGCCTCAGGCTCCTGAGTATCTGGGACTACAGGCAAAGTCACCACGCAGGGCTAATTTTTTGTATTTTACTCGAGACGGGATTTCACCATGATGCCCAGGCTGGTCTTGAACTCCCGAGCTCAGACAATCCGCCCACCTCGGCCTCCCAAAATGCTAGGATTACAGGTGTGAGCCATCATGCCTGGCCTTTTTTTTTTTTTTCAAATCTCAGAAATATAAAATCATTCAAGAGGTTTGCTATACATCTCCAAACTTCTCAGCCCACCTAAAGGATGGGTTTCTAGAGAAGAGGAGAATCCCAACTTTGGTGGAAAGTCACAGCCAAGTGCAGATAGGGTCCATTCACTGGGAGTCTTCCCTTTCTGCGGTAGGAAAAAGAGAGACATCTGCATTGCCTGGGCTGCCGCTCCTTTCCTCCTGGCCTGGGCTCTGCCTGCAGCTGAAAGCCATGGCAATCACGCCACGGAGCACGACATCATCGCCCTGCCAGGGTGGGTTGGCCTATGTGTGCATCATGCATCTCACTCTAGGCGCGACTATTTCACCAAAGCGTAGACAAGGCTGGGCCAGGTGGCCAGACTTTCCCTAGAGGTCCAGGCAAAGCCCTACAGAGCGCAGTGGGGAGTGGCCCGCAGCTCCCTCCACAACTGCTCTCCAGAAACAGCCACAGCCCTGACCGTCCAGAAAAGCAACACAAACAGAAAGCAATGCCAGACAGGCCCGGGGCAGGTGGCACATCCAACAGAGGCTGGGGAACGGCCTCCAGATGACCTTGTGACTGTCAGTGAGTCGCACTCCCCTTGCCAAGTGGACATTTTCACACCAGGGTTTGCTGTCTCTTCGTAGCTGTTCTTTCCATCCAGGAGCCCAGCACATTGCCCATCGTTAAGCCCCATTTTTCCTATGACCAGTCTCAGATCCCACAGCAGCAGCTGCCCATCCTGGGCCCTCCCATCTGGGCTACCTAGAACTATTGTCAGGAGCCCACAGACCCCCTGGCCATATGTGATGTGGCAGATCAGGGCAAGAGAGAGTGCAAAAGCAAATAGGTACATTTTTGTAATTCTCAAAGGTGACAGTTCCTGAGATTCCATATTCATTAAAACTTCCTAGACTCTTAGACAGGTGACAGCATCTCCAAAGGAAGTAATGATGGATCTTGGCTTCAAATATACGTTTAATTGGAGTCTACGGCTTGTGATAAATATGTCTTTACTGGCCTTTCAACTAAGGACAATCGTGGTGATATTCCAGTGAATTGATGTGAGTTCCAAGGGTGTACTTGGGACCTCGTGCAGGCGCCCATGCCTGTAACCCCAGAACTTTGGGAGACTCAGGTGGAAGGATTGCTTGAGCCCAGGAATTTGAGACCGGCCTGGGCAACATAGCAAAACTTCATCCCTAAAACATTTTTTAGAAAATTAGCCATGCATGGTGGCATGCACCTGTAGTCCCAGCTACTCAGAAAGCTGAGGTGGGAGGATTGTTTGAGCACAGGAGTTTGAGACGGCAGTGAGCTATTATCTCATCACTGCACTCCAGCCTAAGTGACAGAGTGAGACCCTGTCTCTAAAAAAAAAAAGAAACAAAAATACAAAAGTATAATTGCATCTTATTTGCTGGGTGGTTTAAGTATCATGTGAGGAGCTTTCTTATTTGTTTCTACAATAACATTACAAAATAAATAACATGATCCCACATTTGACCAATAATAAAAGTGAAACTCAGCCCCCAGATAAACAATGGCAGAGAAAAGATTCAAGCTGTGGCCTATCCAATTCTAATTACATAATCTTATTTTTATACATCAAACAAAATAATTCTTTTAGTTAGACATTAATTGGTTTGGATTAGCCCCAGCCTACATGGGCACCAAGTATGGATACCAAACCTTGGTTTCCATTCTCCTTTTCTTATTGTGTTTGTGATGACTTTAAAACAAAGAGCTCTGCGCTTTTTCTAAAATGCCTAAATTTGTATTAGTAAACACCAACAGATCACATTTTCAACATTCTCAACTTTTTGTTCTTAGAACATATTCGCCTATTGAAAAAATGGTTCATCTCAGGAGTCAAGACTTCTCTACAAACTTGCCTTAAAGTCCCTGCCATAACTTTGGCCGAAACTCAAATTGGTACACTGCATTTAAAGCTTCAGTAATTGATGACAGTACTGAGTAGCGGACACCTAGGAAAAGGGGCTACCACGGCAAGACTAAGAGACAGCAGAGGGGGCTGCTGTGGCTCCCCACTCCGGGCCAGCCCTCCTCCTGAAAAGGCGCGGTGGAACTCCACTACAGAAATGGTGGCTCCCACGCATCTAACGAACCATGGCTGGTGTCTTCATAAGCAGACAAGAGAGACGTAGTAAAAGCTTATATTTAAAATGTGTGTCCAGTACCTTCTCTGTGAACCACCAGGAGCAAAGAGGGGTAAATGTGATGGCTTTTGGTAGCCAGCTTTGGGTGAGTTTGCAACAGGAATCTGTTCTTTGAAAGCCCAGAGTGTTAGCTTTGAAAAGAAGTGCTCAGAGAGCCAGGAGCTAATGAGTTTCATCAGGGTGAATCTAGCAGCTCAAGTTTACCTGACCTGTTTCCAATGGCATCTGTCCCCATCCTAGGCAAGCAGGCTCTATCTGGCATCCATCGCAGCAGGGACACACAGCTGAAGAATGAAATGGAAACAACACTTCTAGGCTGTGCACACTCCAACCTGCCAGATACCACAGCTATTTTAAAACCATTTGCCAGGCCTCTTATGAAAACTTCCATGCAGGGGGAATGGGGGTGCCAATATAGTTGTAAGCCAAAGGCCCATTTTTCTTCATTTGATAGCTCTGAGCCTTCCTGCGGCCCCACAAGCAGGCAGCGAACAGGCAGAAAAGGGCAGGATGATTTGACTTTTTGTTGTTTAAATCGACTCCCTGGCAGGGAAATAGCTCCCCAAAGCCATTCCTGGTATGTGTGTAAATTCTCTCCAAATGGAGGGAAATTTCTCAATTAGGAAACTTTACCACGAAGTCTTCAGAAGTAACGGGATAGCAGGCAGCTACTGCCTTCCCCAGAAAGGTCACTGCTGGCCCCGAGGAGCTGACCCGAACCTCATCGTTTGACGAGAGAATGATCTAGACCTAAGCATAAAACCACGGATTCTCGTGGAAACAAGGTCACTTGGCCATGGCTGTGCCACCAGGAAGTCATTCTAACAATAGCACCTGAGCTCCCTGACATTCCAATAGTGAACCCAGCCACTTTCTTTCATTTAAAGAGCATGAGAAGAAACAGCCTGGACCATAACAACGCAGTAGAGGGTAAACTTTTGCCTTTTACTTACAGTTTTGTCTCAGATGAGAGCAAGTTGATGTAAACTGAAGATGCCACACTTTTCCCCAGGAAACACAGCTTTGCTATCAGTCACCCACCCGGCAAATGCTTTATTGCGAAACTCCCTTATCAAGATGGCATGCAGTAGACAGAGCTATTTTGAAAGTCAATGTCTCGCTCTTTTTGAAAGCTTCACTCTGTGTTTTTAGATGCAAGCTTCAAACTGTCATAGTTTTGTTGCTGTTGATAAAGCCGGCCTGGGATGAATGCCCAGAGGGTGGGCTGACCTGAAATTATGAGACAAAACTTGAATTAATTCTCTTGGTAGCTCAGGAAAAAAGGCAGAGAAGACACACTCTCTGAGCTGCACAAATAGATAATCCATAATTGTTGTTGCTCAATGAATGTCTTGCTTTCCTAGCTTTAATGGCATTTCTTACACACTTAGTATTTGCCAAGATAATATTTCTGCCGACATTTGAATCTAGTGGCCTCCAGGAGACTTCGCCAGCAGCATACCTCATGCTCTAAGTGCTAGCTGGCCATTTGTGTGAATATAGATATCGGAAATGAAAACAATTGGCTCTTCTTTAACAATGTTAGATATTTACACCCTAAACCTGTCCATTTTGAAAGGCAATTTTCAATAGAAATGTCCCTATTACACGTTAGCTACTTCAGAGCCCACAAAACATTCTCAAAACTTCTCAATAAATATTGTGGTCACATAAATGATCTCAGACACTCTAGACACTCTGTAAAATTAAACAGGTGCAGAGTGTTTTAGGGGGATGACTAAAGGGTTCTGGAATTAGGCAGTTGTGTTGCTTGTACAAGTTTGCGAATGTGCTAAAATCCACTGGATTGCACACCTAAGCACGGTGAGTTTTACGGTATCTGAATTATATCCCAATGAAAATAAAATTAACCCTTGAGACCAGCATGCCCACCATTTAAATCTACTAGCTATTTCATGTGGGACTTTAAGCCACACTTCCTTATACAGGGTTTTGTTTCTTAAATATTCCACTGGTTTAATCTAAAATTTCTGCTCATTTGAGCAATGAACTTGGGTTTTCCAGCTGTGAAGCATCACTTGTCAAGACATTTTTTAGACTGGTAGCCTTTTATTTGAAGAATCAGAATAAAATCTACAGTGTGCATGCTACACAGCGAGTGTAGGTATCCCTCACAGAGTGAGTGTTTCTCCAGCTCTCTGTTTGTTGATGAGAACCAGGCCACGGTGCAGAATCCATAGTTTGCTGTGGTTCACGATTCAAACTCTGAAAGCTACTGCGTAAGTCTCCCATACAGGGATCTGCATCCAGGCATCATGTTTTGCTGGTGTTGCTTCTAGACATTTCCAGAGATACAAGGGTCCCACTGTCAAGCCACTAATGTCTGAAGTGCTTGGAGAGTCCTACAGGTAGGAGGCTTAAACATTAAAGAATATCTAAAAGTAGAACTACCATTTGATCCAGCAATCCCACTACTGGTTATCTACCCAGCAGAAAAGAAGTCATTATTTGAAAAAGATACTTGCACATCCATGTTTATGGCAGCACAATTTAAAATTGCAAAATTGTGAAACCAAACCAAATGCCCCTCAATCAATGAGTGGATAAAGAAATGGTGGCATATATATACACACACACACACACACACACACACACACACACGTGTATATATATATACACACACATATATATATACACACACATACATATATATATATACACATATATATATGATGGAATCCTGCGTAGCCATAAAAGGAATGAATTAACAGCAATTTCACTGACCTGAATGAGACTGGAGACTATTATTCTAAGTGATGTAACTCAGGAATGGAAAACCAAACATTGTATGTTCTCACTGATGTGTGAGAACTAAGCTATGAGGACACAAAGTCATAAGAATGATACAATGGACTTTGGAGACTTGGGAGGAAGAGTGGGAGGGGGCCGAGAGATAAAAGGCTACAAATACGGCTCAGTGTATACTGCTCGGGTGATGGGTACACCAAAATCTCACAAATCACCACTAAAGAACTTACTCATGTAACCAAATACCACCTGTACCCCAATAACTTATGGAAAAATAAAATAAAGTAAACATAAATAAGTAAACACAAGTTGCACCTGCTGTGGGATCCAGGGGCTCACTTATCCTGTCTGTGTCTAGGGGTCCCCATGAGGAGAGCATTCCTTGCACAGAGGGTGGATCCGAGTCTCTCTGAGCAGGACCAAGCATGAAGAGTGTGAACCGCTCACCATCTACTCTGATGCTGATCTCCACAGAAGAACCCATGTCCTAATAAAAATCTTTATCTTTGTCAAAGACATTGATTCTATGAGGGTCAGAAGTTAAGTGTCATTTTAAGGGAGTGGGAATTTTCTGTAAAGACTGACAGCATGAAGCAGAGGCTGAGATGGCATCATTCATGAGCAGCCAGGCCTGGCTGCACGGGGAAACTGGGGGTCAGCGCTGAGGCCACGGTTTCAAGTCTCTCCCATAAGCCACCCAAAGACATATCTAAAGGATTCCAAGGCAAAGACAACACATTTTTTAGTGTCTTTATGCAACATCACATCAGGAGCAGAAGGCTATTTCATCTGAGTTATTACATACAATATCAATATGTTTTAAAGTCAAATGTCTTCTGTGAATGAAAAACTTCCTGAATGTCTGAGGTATATCAGGTTCAAAATGTTGTCTTCTTCACAACTATATGCCTCTATTTCTGCTGCCCCCCAAATGCACCTTCATCTCTTCTTACTAGAAGCTTCTCCCTGATTCTGGCTCCATGTTGAGGTAAAACCATTCACAGTTTTGATCGTAGGGTATGTGTCAGTCTATCCCACCATTTGGGCTCTACCCCTGTTCATGCTAAGCTGCCCTGTTGGATGCATGAGAAATTTGGTCTTCGGGACCCACTAGTTCCACAGCCCCCAGGCATCCCCCACATGCTTCTTTTCTTCCTTAGCATCCTCCACACACTCTGTCCTAGAGCCCACAGCCCTCTATGATGTGAAGCATCCTGTAGGCCTCAGCTGAGCCCTGGGATGCAGGTCAGGTAGCCCAGAAGACCGGGCACATCATGGCCAGAGTCCCATCAGAATTCCCATTGCATGAGGCCCAGAGGAGCATCTTTTAAGAACAGGCAACCGCCACGGGAGAGGTCGGCAGGTCAGCCTGAGGGGATGGCGAGCTGGCCACCTTCCGGCCCCTCACTCCTGTGTGAGCCTCCTGACGAGGAGAGCTTCAGGATAATGGTGGACAGGGCACTCCCTTCTGAAGGGAGCAGAGAACAGCAGCCTGGCCCGCGCCCATCCTGGTGATGACGGTTGTCATAAAGAAGGGAGGAGGCCCTGATACTGGCCTCTATGGGGCCCAAAAGGCCACTTGGATGCATGAAGACTGTGGCTTTGGGGCATGCAGAGGGCCTGCCATGGGGCAGGATCAGTGGAGTCAGGATGGGTGTGTTGGGTAGATGGCAGGGCGGAGTCCTCCACTGCTGTCATGGGCAGAGCTCAGCAGTTGGGGCCTGGTGGGGAGGATGCTGTAGGAGCTGCAAGGAAGATGACGAAGCGGAGCTGTGGTCCCCGCTTTGGCAGATGAGGGCAAGGAGGCCTGAGCAATGCCTTAGTTCTAGAGCAGTGACCACACATGTACCCTCAGCCAGCGAGTCCTGGGGAGATGTGCACACCATAAATGGGGGAACATGGAGAACACCCAGGAACGTATGATTCTCCATCCATTTATGCAGATCATGGTTCAGCGCCAGGCACTGAGGAAGGTTTCTGGATCTTATCTCCAACCAGGGACTCTGGAAAACCAGCAGCATGGGCGTGGGGCCACCATGAGACAAGAAACAAGAGCAGCATTTACTCTCAAGGAGAAGCTGTGAACAAGAGCACCAGTCCCAGCTCTTAAACACAGTGGTGAGTCCCGTCAGAAGGGTGTGTTGCAAAGGTAAGACCTCGAGAGCTTCACGAGGCAATAGGAAGGGTGAGATGCCCTAACTCCAGAAGAGCTGGCGTTTTCACCACGTTGGGACAAGTTTATACCTAAGAAAAGCAAAGAGACAGAGGGTAGAAAAACCCATGATGTAAATCAGTCCAATTGAAACCTAAGAGGAAAAGCAGAGAATGCATTCAGCTAAATTTGGGGCTTTTTAGGACACCTCAGACCATTTGTTCAAATGGAACACTTTCTCCAAAGTGTTCTTAAACAAACCACCTCTGGCTTCATGCAATGGACAGGAAGCATTAGGATCAGTCCTTTCTAATCCATCATGGCAGCCCCATAGAACTCTGCTTTATAAATGCTGAAGAACACAGCTGCTTAGAGCAGGTAAATTCTGATCATTCATAAGAAGATCAACTCCCAGTTGAGAAGCTGTTTGACTGGTTGTGAGCCACTTCAGAGGAGAACAAAGTGCATTTTCTCAGTGTGAATACGAGAGGGCTTTATACAGATTAAGGAGATCCGGATCCTAGGATTAGCTTTTGGGGTAGGCAGGACACAAACACCCTGGGAGTGTCAGCTTCCCTCTTGGCTGGGGAGATCACTCAGGGGCATTCCACTGGGAAACCCCCCAGGAGAAAAGCCCCCCGATGCAGCATAGGATATTGTCTGGGCGATGGGAACTCCTGTCACAAAACGCCTGTTTCCCCCTGTTGAACCCCTCACCTAGCCATGAGTGACCTACAAAATCTTCACGGACATACCATTTTTTAGTAACATTCCTCAAATAAAGGCTAAGCTAAAGAACCGCATAGACCCTTTCTGGTTCTTAATTTCCGTGAAAATCTATAACTTTATCAGTTTACAGCTTTGTGCACTTTCTGATACAACATGTAAATGATGTTTATTTAAAGGGTCAAAAAAAAAAAACAAGTTACTGTTATTTGAATAGGTGCTGACTGGAAATCAAGTCAATTGCGCCAAGAAAAGTCTTTCTGGGGAATAGTTTGCTTAAAAAAGAAAACAAAACAATTTTAAAATACAAGAATCTGTTTCTGCTGGAGGAGACACGGTCAAGGATGAAAACAGGTCTTAATTGTGCTAATTTTTCTCTCTTTGCTGTATATTAAATATGTGGTAATAAAGAACGTGCCTAAGCATGAATGGATGGGGGATTTTGATTCTACTCTGAGTTTACTTTCACTGTTTGTCAGCCTGACATCGGGGGAGAACAATAGAATTGCGAGGAATGACTTTAGAGAGTGCCATTTTACAGAAGAACAATATTCTAGAACAAATACATGTTTTTGGTAGTTGTAAGAAGATATTAAAATGGAGAGTTAATGAGTGTGCATCAAAAACATGAAACAATACAAGTGTGAACAGTTGGGGTACCCGGGAACACGAGATGATTTTATCAAACAGAGCGGAAGGCAATACTGACACAGTGTCCAAGTCAGAATGCAGCTTCTCAAGAATTCTATTTTACTTTTTTTTAACCACACCCCTGAATGTCCTAGTCTTTCAATATTGCAAACTAACATCAGTCAATAATTTTGAAAAATTAAAATTCTCAACTGTGGCGATACTGTTTGATATCATTACGGCAGGCTTTTCTAAGACATTTGGCACATTTTGGTCCTTCAAAACACTCCTCACATTCAACCACATGTAAGAATTCCTCAGTAATTTCAGTCATCTCCCCAAATCCTCAACTCTTTGCAGCTAATATCTGCAACCTGATTATTAACTATTAGTATTCAATCATCAATTACGAATGCCCCAGACTTAGCATCTAAGGTACCAGCCCAGTCTTGATGTTGCAGGATAGGAAAGATGGGTGAGGCAGAATTCATGAGCTACGGAATGATGAGACCAAGGTCCCAACTAAACTCCTAGCACTGTGATTGGTCTCCAAGCTGACCTTCTGCTCCTTTTTATTCTCCCACATTCTTCATATCTACCAGAAGTGTCGGTTGAACTCACTGCTCCAAATTGGCCCAGCTCAGTGGCCACTTCCTCAAATGACCCCTCCTGACCACTGCACCGCAGTTGTGGCCTGAAGCTGTTGTATCACCCAATACTTTGCTTCCATCCCACTTGTCACCATCCATTAGTATTGATGATAATGTGTTCCCGCATGAGTGGGCCACACTTTTTCCCCACCTCCAGGACAATGTGGCATCCTCCTGGACCCACCACTAACCAGGGGTCTGTTGTGCTACTTAAACAATCTGGACAATGTCACTTGGTTCATCTATATCCTGGGAATTCAGACAGCGTCTATTTCAGAAAGCTGGGGTTATTTCTATAACACTGTGCAACCACCAATGTAGAATACTCTTTAATTTAATCTTTCTACTACTAGTAGCAATTGTCTTAATAACACATACTTATAATCAATTAATCATTCTGTTTACAGATAAAGTGGTTTTGACTGAACCCATGGAATGGGAAAAAAAAAAACAGGGCACAAAGAACTAAAGTATCAATATCATGATGAACAGGGAAAATACATAATTTTTGTGTGTATGAAATAAAAATCACAAAT
Source organism: Homo sapiens (assembly GCF_000001405.40). NCBI lineage: Eukaryota > Metazoa > Chordata > Mammalia > Primates > Hominidae > Homo > Homo sapiens. The sequence continues at coordinate 3,771,965 of NC_000005.10, read as the reverse complement.
CCAACACAATTTCAAAAAAGGACTAAAAAATTCTGGCCTGCATTGAGTATCGCTGAACTGAGTGGTTGCTCCCCATCTCATCAAAGCTGCCTCCTTACTCCTGCTTCGGAAGCTGCCTGAAATCTTGTCACCAAAGTCCCTTGTACATAGGTTCCTCTAATCCCATGACTTTTCAAATTACTTTACAGACGTATTCATCACTCAGTCTTTTAGAAACAGGGAACATGAATTCTGTCAGAAACAGTCTTTGGAATTCACAGCCTGGAGGCTCCACGAAGCTGGGCGGCTTCATCATGGACACCCCGTCTCATCCGTATGGTGCCGCTGCCTGCCATGTGGGTGTGATCCTGCTGTGATGACAGCGCTACTCCTGCACACGCAATCGGGGTGTTTGCACTGAGACTTTCAGGGTTGGTTTTTAAGTGAAACTATGTGTCAAGGGCAATCTTTAGAAAGTTCTGCTGCCAGTTCTTCAACAGGAATGATTTTATTTTTGTTCACTTAAAGGCAGCAATGTCTTGTCTGTAACAACAGAGACTAAAACAGTAGTAGGCTTAGCTGTGTCCATGGTAAGTCCTCAGCGACTACTATGGAGGAAGCTTTGACCTCTGTGCAACATATATTTGCTGTGGCTGTGCAGGAATGTCGGGCCACAGCGGTGACCTAGTCCTTGTGTGGGGATGTGGATGTAAGGGAAGGCTGGGCTTGGGCAGGTTTTCCTGGCTGCCATATGGGAGTCTGTCGGTGTGCTCAGGGCCCCACATTTGTGCAAGCAGCATGGAGATGCTCATGTTCCTGGTTGCAGTACTTATGCATGGGGTGGGATGCCTGATATTCCATAGGCCTGGTTTGGAGAGAACATCAATTACCCAGATATAAGCACAGCTCTGGCTCTAATTATTTCTCAAAGGTTAAAACATGTTGTCCTGTGTTTTGTGGTATCTGTGTCGTGAGTCTTCCCTTACTTTCTACAGCTTTCAAACGTGTTGATTTAAGGTAGCCCAGGGACCATCCTAGAAGCACAAGAAAACAGAAGCAGCTGGAAGTGGGCCCAGCCCTACGACCTCCTAAACCGTGCACTGCTTCTGGGAAGCTGGGGTCGGGGAGTGGTGAGTGGTGCAGGCAAAGCACCCTCCGGAAACACTCAGCCCCTCTCCGCTTTGGTGATGTTTAACTCTCTGCAAAAAGTTGTTCCTTTGTGTTCTTCCAACCCTCCTCTTTTTCCCTTCATCCTGCAAGACCAGTGGCTGCTGTTTATAATCTGTTATGGACAAGGCTCTGCATTCACCACAGAGATCGTCAAGGCTGCATGGCACATTCCAACCTTTCCATCTATACTTATAAACTGTAGAAAAAATGATATTTTTTGCAATTAAGTATGCGTTGGTCTGTCTCTTTCAGAAATATTTGTGAGTATTACGGTGTTGTTAGAATAAAGGCTTCTGTTTATTCTAAGAGAGAAGCTATGTGGGTGTTACACGAACATCATTCCTGGCATTTGCCTGTTTCCCTAGATGCAAAAACACAGGGCCTAGGCATGGCCCTGGACTTGCACCACCCGTATTCTGCAGCTGATCGCATCTGCCATCGTCGCCTTACTAGAGATGAGTTTTCACTTTCGGGTTTTTATAGCACCTCATATTTTAGGGTATTAACCCCTTACTGCCATGTTTTCAGAGAACATGAAGATCCCATCCGTAAGCATCACTCTGGCCTCCTTGCATAGGGAACAAAACACAAAAAAGAAAGGAAAGAAAGAAAGAAGGAAAGAAAGGAAAGGAAGGAAAGATGGAAGGAAGGAAGGAAAAAAGGAAGGACAGAAAGAAGGAAGGAAGGGAGGAAGGAAGGAATGAAGGAAGGAAGAGAGAGAGAGAAAGAAGAAAAGGAAAGAAAGAGAGAAAGAAAGAGAGAAAGAAAGAAAGAAAGAAAGAAAGAAAGAAAGAAGAAAGAAAAGAAAAGAAAGAAAAGAAAAGAAAAGAAAAGGAAAGAAAAGAAAAGAAAAGAAAAGAAAAGAAAACAGCTCGCTCCCTGCATCTGGCCGGCCAATAGGAAGACAAGAACAGTAACTAGGAAGCCGAGTGGCCTCTGGAAGTCTCAGGAGTCCAGTGGTTCCACAAGATGCCTCAGATTGTCAGTTTTGCCCTAAAATTAACAAGAAAGGGTGACGAGGATGCACCCACATAAGTGGGTCCACTGGTCCTGCAGAGTGAAAAGGTCATGTGCCCTGCCCTCCTGGAGCCTCTGAATTCTATGCAAGCCATCACCTGTCCAACACAGGGGCTTCCTCATCTGCACATAAGGGTAATAATCCCACAGGCATCTCGGCTTCGTTCTAAAGTTTTCACGAATGTGCCCGTGCAGAACGTGTGGCATGCATCAGGTTAAGCTACTGGTTATGGAAGGTTCTGGAGACATGCTGCAAAGTCCGAAATTGAGGGAACCGGGGTACACATCAAATACACTTTATCATTTTATGACTCACTCCTGGTTTGTTAATTCCCCAAAAAATGAAAGAGGAAAACAAAGGTCAGGAATGATAACGGTGAGTAATTGGTCTATATTCCACACCAGATATGATATGAATTCCTTTCATTCTAAGAATTTGGATAAGAAAAAGGTATTTTAAAGAATATTCAGATAGCCCTACTCTGATATCTCATGCAATTCACCCAGTAATCACAGGTCACCTTAAAAGTCAATGTTGTTGCAAAAACTTTATACGAAGACTCCATAGATATACATATACTAATACAAACAAAAATAGATTCTGCTGAATGATTAGGGGCATTGTAAATGTGTTGGTACCTCGATGTTCATTGTTAATAAAACATTTATCAGAAGCTATTAAATGGAAGATGAATCTAACAAGTTTTATGCATTTTAAAATTGCTAAATAAATGCCCTTTGAACAAAAAATGTGATGCTTCTGAATAAAACAAGAATTAAAGAAAAGTGGTATGATTGGGTGGTATAAGAATACACAGAACAGGCAGCTGGGCGTCTCACTCGAGACAGAGAAATTAGACCTACGACCAGGACATGCCTTTAGAGCTCTTTGCAATCTCTCCTATTTTAAGTCGCTCAAAAGGATTTGTCTAGAAATGAAAAGGAAAAACATATAGAAAATATAGTAAATGTACACTTTCCGAGGAGGGGTATGTGCCACCTGGGTCCCTTTGGAAAGAAAGACGAATGGAGAACTTTCAGCAAGAGGCTTTGCTAAATGCCGTTTTCTTCACCAGAAGAGCATCCCTCAGAGCCAGCTCCGCTTTCTTGGCCACCTTCTCCCATCGCAGTACTCTTAGCTGCCATGCCTTTATCGCTGTATGCGTTTCTTTTACCAATTTAAAATATTAAGGAGCTAAAGTTTAAGCACAAATATAAACAATTGCTCTTAAGGGTATTTTAGTAACACACCTTTGTGGTTGTTTGTGTGTTTTCTAGTCCAAAAAAAAAAAAGTGGTTTTCTCCAGCTTTGAGTATTTAGAAGTTTCCCTTCTGACACAGGCCAGGCCTCAGAACCTATTTGTTGGACCCTCAGATGGAGCATGTGTCTGGAAAGGATGGGGGCATCCATTTCTTTCGGCAGCGCGCTGAGCGGCACTCTACACCCACATTCCAGCGAGGTTATTAGTCAAAGTAATAGTTTATTTTCTTCAGCAGAAAAATAAACCCTGATGCACTCAACACAGCAGTTCCCTGAGCCATACTTGGGCTTTGTTTGACTTAGGAAGTGCTCTTATTATGAAAAATTATTCAATAATGGATGAGGAGTCTGTGAAAACTTCTCCCACACAGCATCAATTTACCTGAATTATACGGCACTACCACTGAAAGGAACCACCAAAGGTTATCTCAGGCCTGACAAGGGCCAGAGGAGGAAACTGCCTGGGGAGCCGGGTTTCAAGGCGGTCCTCCATCGGCACCCCGCAGCCGGGAGACTTACAGCAATGAAAACTGACCTTTCTGGGGAAACGGGTTGCCTGCCTCACACGAAATAGTTGATCTCTTATGAATATGAGCATACCTAGCAGCATATGTAAGAGTCGAGAGTGTAGGCTAAGTCGCAGCCATCACAAAAGCGCCATTTGCTCTGAGGGATTACAAATGGACACTACACTATTTATTTTTAAACATGTTCCTAAAACTAGGTTTAATTCAGGACTCACGTAAGTGTTGCTTTTCTTTGTTTTAAATGTCGGCAATATTTTAGGGACGCGAGGACTGAACTTTACTCTCCCTAATGCTACTTGTCCTTTATCATAGTCTTGGAAATCCAGTATGGTATGCATTTTTTATGGGTGTGGTGGCAGAGTGCCTCTCCCCCAGGCTTGCTCCTCCTCATTGCCATCTCCTGGTTTCCCTGCAACATTCACACAGAAAGCTGAGGTTGCAATTGACACCCCAGTAGGCATCTGCCCTCCAAATTCCTCACTCCCTACTCAGACAATTAGTTCCCTTTTCCAGGGAGGTTTCCCAAGCTCATGAAGAGCTTGGATTTTCCTGAGATGTGTAACTGTGAGACCTTGTGGGTGCCCCTTCGCCTCTGAACTTTCATGGTGTCATCAAAGAATGAGGCAATTGCTCTAGGACATCTAAGTTGTTTTTCTTCTGGAATGCAGAGTCCAGGGTTTTCCTTCTCATCCTCCACCTGGTGCTCTGGATGCCTGGAGGCCAAGATCGTGGAAAGAGCTGACCGTACCTCCTAAGGACCCTCACCTTCCCTTTGAATTTTAGAACTGTTTCTAAAACAGACAAGAAAGAGACTCAGGTCCTGTCTTTCTATCTGGTGGCCCAAACTGTTTAAAGAAAGATGAAGCAGAGAAGAACAACAATACAAAATATAAGCCGAGAGGCCCAGATCACTGCAGCTTCCCAAGGCCCCAGAGGCAGGCGCCTGTCGGCATCTGCAGAGTCTTCAGGCTGCACTGGGGCCACTCACAGATGACCAGGGCCCTGTCCACAGCCACCAACCTGTCCTGGCCGAGCCTGCTCAGCACGACCAGAACACAGAGCAGGTCGTGTCCTGGGTGGCCTGCACATAGGCCATTGCTACATGAGAGCCAAACAAATGAAAACAGAATACACCCATGTTATCTAATATTTGTTGAAATTTCTAAATGATAAATACTGTAGTGTTTCAGGTAATATAGCCATTTATACAAAAAATTCTTCTGCAAAATGGTGCATCTTCAAAATGAAAATATACACATATGAATTAAATCATAAATTACATTCATTATGAAATACAATTGTGAATGGATATTGCATTGAAATGAGTAAGAGATTTTAGACTTTTGGGTAAAATTAGAGCAAATTATTGATAGGTGTTAATTCAATGACATAGAAGCCAAAATTAAAGATCTGTAAGAGCTCACGAAGCCCCTGGGATGTTAGAGCTAATGGTTTCTGTCCAGTTACTTCCTTTTTGAAGCCTCCCTGAGAGCACTCCCATGTTACTGATATGTCTTCACTTCACCTGCAGACTCAGGGCCTCCAGGACAGGAACCCAGGGCTCAAGTAATTCCATTGGTTCTGTGGGGCCTGGTTGAAGGTTTTAGAGGAAAAAAACAGCTTTTCCCTGCCATGCTGTCTCCATCAGAAATACCAGGGAGGAGTTTTGGGAGCCTTGGCTTCCCCACTGTGTAACGGGGAGACCAGGGAGAAGTCAGTGGTTAGCTTTTCTAGCCACCATTTGTCTGGTCTGACAACTGGGAAAAGGCAGCCTCTCCATCCCAGCTGGGTAACAGCATGAAAGAGGTGGGGTGCGGAGCATTGGCACAGCGGCAAGTGTACCTCGCATATTGTGCCTTTGGCTGCCATCATCCCAGTGAGGAGCCTCTTCAGGGAATTCCAGGTCAGGGCTTGCAGACACCAGCCTTGACTTCCCAAGGTTATGGGCCGACGTCCTGTGGCTTGGGCCCTCGCCTGTCCCCCTTTCCATCAGGGGAGCTGAAGGCTTAAGTGCTTTTGTGTTTAGTCATTCATAAATAGTCTCTGCTATAACATTTCTAAACACAATGGGACATGTTTAGCTTTTCCCAGAGTGACATTGGACTCCAGCATCGCCAGGACCCAGGCAGCCAGCCCAGGATGGAGGGTCTGCTTTCCCATGCTGGGGCCACAGAGTCATTAGTCATTATATTGAATGGTATGTTTTTGCCTAGAGCTCTTCTGTTCATAGACTCTGATTTCAGAGCCCAGGACCGCAGGCTCCATAGTTAGAGCTGGGGATAATTGCCCAAAGGGGCCATGGCACGGAGGTGCTGCTGGATCCCTCTCAGGATGCGAAACCAGCCCCTCTGTCTGCCCTCCCTCGCTGGGCTGCTGCAGGGCCCGTGGCTTTCCACCCTCCACTCTGCTCTGAGCACAGCTCAACAAACCGTGGCCAAGAAACATCCACAACATTTCAGTAAAAATGATAAAATTACGAGAAAGATGGGGGGATTAAGTTGCACTTTGTAAAGCGTCTTTGAAAGTTAAAAAAAAATTTCTCTCAATTTATGAAAGCTTACTTTAAATACGCCCAATAAGTTGTTTAATTTGGGGAAATAGGGGAGGAATTGCTGTTTCTGGAAGACACTCTATGCAGGAGAACTTTGCTGAAAGCACGTGGCAACACATCTTCCTTAAATTAAAACTAAGCATCTTTTTTATGTTGTGAAAATTGCCACGCTTACTTCATTTAAATAAAGAAAAATATCATACTGTGATTGAATTTAAACAGAGGAGACTTTCATCTCTGAACAATTACACAAATACTTTCACATATTAAGATGCCATTAGTAGGGCTGGAATATTTCCAGAGCATCAGCTTGTAATATTTTCTGAATAATTTCTTTAAAATGTTTTTTCTCTTATTATGCTTTCCTATTGCTTCTATAATTATTTTAATTATCATTTTTAGTGGATGTTTTGTAGCCAAGGCTGGGAGTGGGATTTTACAAATGCGGGGCCGCTTGCTGAGGTAAATTCAGCAAGTCACCTGTGCACCCGGAGAAGGGCTAATTTTAACAAGTCCTCATTTGAAGGAGCGCTTGTGACATTTAGTGTCTTAATGCTTCCAGTTCCAGACCTTCAGTTTTGATCCTAAACAGGAGTGTCTGGCAATATACAAATTATAAACCACTAGAAACAAGAGATTTTAATTTAAAAACAAAAATTGGCGATGCATATTTATTTATCTAACGATGAGGGGAAAGAGTCTCGAGAGCACTGATGCTGTGTGTCTATTAAGAAGACATTTCAGTCTTTAAAATCTTTTGCCTGGAGGAAAATGCTCATGTTCTTGCCAGGTCTGAGATATCTGCTGTTAAGAGTGAGTTTCTGCGTATGAACTGGAAGCTGCTGGAATAAATACGACACAGACGACCAATTTTCGAAAGGAAAACAGAGCACTATTGGACATTTTTGTGCTATTTACCTAGCATTTTAATACATTTTTAATTCATTTTAAAACTTAAATGAGGAAGGCTGATGTTTTAACACCACAAAAGCAAAAAGACGTCCCTGGAATGGCGCCATGGCTGGACTGGCTCGTTTCTCCCTCTCCTGCTGGCTGCTTTCTTCTTTCCGATGGGAAACATTACCCATCTGAGAGAGCAGGAGACCATCTCTGGGAAGCTGTAACTCAGCAGGCTTTTCTACCCCTTGGCGGGAAAGATTTTGAATGTACCTAAATGAAGCTTCCCAGTCTCATCTTCCCGGGAGGTGGCCCTGAGCAGCATTTAACCCAGTTCCTGGGAAGCACCGACTTGGGAATGAAATCCCCTTCGCCTGGGACCTTTTTCACCTGTGGGTTCTTCTGTGGGATGCAGACAAGGAGCCGATGCAGTCGCAGGACAGGTGGCCGGGCCCAACCGTAAGGGAGGAAGGTGTCTCACGTCTGTCTTCCCTGTCAGTGTCACCTCCCGCCTTCTCCTGACTCCTCTACAGCTGCCCCGTCGGCTCCTTCCCAAACCCTCACGCTCCCACACGTCTCCCCTCCCCACTTTGCACGTACCGGCCTTTCCTTCTTTTCTTCTTTTCTTTTCTTTTTTTTTTCCCACCCCAGAGACCAAGTCTCACTCTGTTGCCCAGGCTGGAGTGCAGTGGCACAATCTCCACTCACAGCAACCTCCGCCTCCCGGGTTCAGGAGATTCTCCTGCCTCAGCCTACCAAGTAGCTGGGATTACAGGTGTACCACCATGCCCAGCTAATTTTTGTAGTTTTAGTAGAGATGGGGTTTTGCCATGTTGGCCAGGCTGGTCTCGAACTCCTGACCTCAGGTGATCTGCCCACTTTGGCCCCCCAGATTGCTGGGATCACAGGAGTGAGCCACCACACCCGTCCTGGCCTTTCTTTTATATTCCAATTGTTATTCTTTATTTTCTCCTCTACTTCCTCCTTTCAATGGTTGAGAACAGATTATGATTAGAAAAGATGTGAGTGGCTAACCTAAAACCCAAATTAAGGCTAGGTATCCGCTATATACTCTTTTTAGAAAAAAAGACTAACCAATGGCAGGAGAATAACCATAACAGCTTTCATGTGTTACACATCTAGTTTGTGCCAGATGTTTTTCTGAGAAACTGCTCATAAATCCATTTCAAGTCTTACAGGCAGGATATGGAGCCTGGGACTCAGAGAAGTCAATTCACTTTAACAAGAGCACACAGCGACTTAGTAATGTGGTGGGAAGAGCTCAGGCTTTGTCAGGCTTCAAAGCAAACGTGTGCAGTTTTTATCATATTTGGTATGCTGCAGTGGAATTCCTACTATTTTTTAAATTCTTAAAGAACAGGGTTATTTCTCACATTTTCTGTTTGTATTCTTGTATGTGTACATAAGTAGGTCATGTTTTATTGGGAATTTTCCAAAGTTTTTATCTTGTCCAATAAAAATAAATCTCTGATGTTGTGTGCTATTGCTTTAAACTGGAACTGAAAAAGGTAAAAATAAAAGAAGACATCAAATAATGATGCTTGCGTATGTTTTCTCCTCCCAAGCAAAAGGCAGCCAGGCAGGCCATCGCTGATGATGGCAGAAAGACTATGAAAAGGCACAGCTTGCAGGGCAGCCTCACAGGCCGGTAGGAAGGACGCTTGCCCAGGCTGTAATTCTATGAGAATCACTTCCTCTCATTGCAATACACTGGAATCTGGACAACATGCAAAGAAGCAAAAATGTCCTCAGCCCTTGCAAGCTGGCCGTGATGTGCACTGCACCATGCAGATTGCATCCACAACCCATGATGGAGGTGCAGGGATGCTGTAACAGCACCAGTGAAGGAAGAAGCCAACACAGAGCTGGGGCAGCCCTGCAAGGGATGATGTTCCACCCTGGGAAGAGTCACTGATGGGAAGGGCTCAGACTTCTGGTTTTCGGGCCCAGTCTGGAAATGGAACTTGCTATGTGAGATTCCGTGAAGGTGTGTTGCTCTGCAGAAAAGCTCTGTTAGCAAGGAATTGATAAAAAATAAAATAAAAAATAAAAAAACTACTCAATGCTCAGGCAGAGAGTTGTTTTCCAGTTGGAACCTGAAATCATGACAACCTGCTTTTCTTCAACTGAGAAACATTTATTTACTGATTTATGATAAATCAAAATTCCATGTGCCATTTAAATAGTTGAGGGTTTTTTCTTCTTTTTTTTTTTCATACAGGAGCTAGAATGTTAAAAAATGATGATTAGTATGATATTAGAGACTATCACCACCTGGGAAAGTAGTAGAGTCTCTTACAGTTTTAGAAATGTACGCTCTACAAATCCAGGCTCATAGACTTACTCCAGTTTTATGACAACATGATTTAGGCAGGCTTAAAGCACTTAAGTTAAAAGTATATGACTTATAGAAGAGTCTCTGAAGCATTTGTAGTGTGTTCAGGTCTGGGAAGTCTTTGCGAATATGTGTGGAGGAATGAGGATGATCCTGCAGGCACAGAACCAGTATTGGCCCTGTTGACCCCAGAAAAGAGGAGGTGGTGCGCTGCTCCAGCCCTTGGTGCCCCAAATCCACACACGTTCCCCAAATCTGCCATGTGCTGTCCAATATCAGGCACGTTATTCCACTTCTGAGCCTCAACTACCTCCACAGGGACAGTTTTCTGGACCAAAGACGGAGCAAGAGCGTGTGCACAGACAGAGTGCAGAGCCCATCAAGATAGAAAAAGAACGTGTGCACCCACTCAGAGACGCAAAGGCCACAGAGATGGAGGGAGCGCATGTGCACCCACTCAGAGACGCAAAGGCCACAGAGATGGAGGGAGGGCATGTGCACCCGCTCAGAGACGCAAAGGCCACAGAGATGGAGGGAGCGCATGTGCACCCACACAGAGACGCAAAGGCCACGGAGATGGAGGGAGCGCATGTGCACCCACACAGAGACGCAAAGGCCACGGAGATGGAGGGAGCGCATGTGCACCCACACAGAGACGCAAAGGCCACGGAGATGGAGGGAGGAGGGAGGGCATGTGCACCCACACAGAGACGCAAAGCCCACGGAGATGGAGGGAGCGCATGTGCACCCACACAGAGGCGCAAAGGCCACGGAGATGGAGGGAGCGCATGTGCACCCACTCAGAGACGCAAAGGCCAGGGAGATGGAGGGAGGAGGGAGGGCATGTGCACCCACACAGAGACGCAAAGGCCAGGGAGATGGAGGGAGGGCACGTGCACACACACAGGGTGTTACTGTCCTAATACTGGACCATGCTAAGAGTCCTTTTTTCTTTACACCGAATTCCCTTTTTCCTGGGGTCTGAGCATCTTGCATCTGAACACATGGACATAATGCACGGCTCCTGGGTTGTGAAGCACAAGCTTGAAAGTCGCAGTCGGGTTTTTCCACACAGCTTTTCAGGTAAACCTCCCCGAAACGGAGTCCTCGACTCCGCTTGTCTTGGACGCGCCTTAAGATTCTTCCTCTCTGAAGGCCCACGACAGCTGCTAGAGCCGCATTCAGCGGGCATGTTCTGGCTCAGGTGTGGCTGAGTGTCTGATACTCCTATCCACTGCGTCTCTACAGCAGCTTTGTGTGGTAGACAGCACTACCGTCTCGTTTTGGAGATGAGAGAAATGAGGCTTGGACAGTTGAAGAAACCTGAGTAAAAGGACGAAGCTAAATATTGAAACCAGATTCCACGGCTCCCCACGCCTGGAGTCTTCCCTCTGGATTCTATTGCAGGATCAAGGGTCTATTGGAATATTGGAATTAAGGAGACCTTGTTGTAGCAAAGGCACACACCTCAGTGTGTGAAGACACAAAGACCACAGGTTGACTTTGAAGCCAAAAACAACTGGTGAGAAATCAGGGAAGCTGGTGGTTTCATGTCATGGGGATAAGAACTAGCCATGAGGCCAAACTTTAAATAATTCACTTGGTTGATTAGTGTCATGGAAGCACAGTTTCACAGTCAGATTTTCATCTCAAGGTTCCATAAAAGGCAGACAGGAAAATTAAGAAGATAAACATGGGTACATAAATCCCAAAAGGAAAGAGGTTGCACAGAAAAAAAAGAATGAAAAAAATTCAACATGTTTGTGCACTCTCACAATAATTTTCTTCTCTTAGAGCTTCATATTTATTTATTTTTATTAATTGACACTCTCCAATAAATTTTTTTTTGAGACAGAGTTTCACTCTTGTTGCCCAGGCTGGAGTGCAGTGACATGATCTTGGCTCACCACAGCCTCCGCCTCCCGGGTTCAAGCGAGTCTCCTGCCTCAGCCTCCAGAGTAGCTGGGATTACAGGCATGGGCCACCACGCCCGGCTAATTTTGTATTTGTAGTAGAGATGGGGTTTCTCTATGTTGGTCAGGCTGGTCTCGAACTCCCGATCTCAGGTGATCCACCCCCCTCAGCTTCCCAAAGTGCTGGGATTACAGGCATGAGCCACTGTGCCCAGCTCCAATAACTTTTAAACGATGAGAAAGCATCTCCATATTGTTATATCCATACCCCAGCTGCCAACTCAGCCATGCTCA